>NC_000010.11:115370368-116620368 GCF_000001405.40 Homo sapiens
ACAGGGAAATGTGGGAAAGTGTGGAACTCCCTAGAGACTTGTTGAATGGCTTTGACTAAAATGCTGATAATGATATGGACAATGAAATCCAGGCTGAGGTGGTCTCAGATGGAGATGAGGAACTTGTTGGGAACTGGAGCAGAAGTGACTCTTGTTACGTTTTAGCAAAGAGACTGGCGGCATTTTGCCCTTGCCCTAGAGATTTGTGGAACTTTGAACTTGAGAGAGATGATTTAGGGTATCTGGTGGAAGAAATTTCTAAGCAGCAAAGAATTCAAGAAGTGACTTGGGTGCTATTAAAGGCATTCAGTTTTAAAAGGGAAACAGCATAAAAGTTTGGAAAATGTGCAGCCTGACAATATGATAGAAAAGAACATCCCATTTTTCTGAGGAGAAATTCAAGCCAGCTGCAGAAATTTGCATAAGTAATGAGGAGCTGAATGCTAATCACCAAGACAGTGGGGGGAAATGTCTCCAGGGCATGTCAGGGAACTTTCTGGCAGGCTTTCCAACCACAGGCCAGGAGGCCTAGGAGGAAAACATTTTTTGTAGGCCAGGCCCAGGGTCCCTCTGCTGTGTCCAGTCTAGGGACTTGGTTCCCTGCATCCTAGCCGCTCCAGCCATGAATAAAAGGGGCCAAGGTACAGCTTGGGCCATGGGTTCAGAGAGTGCAAGCCCCAAGCTGTGGCAACTTTCATGTGGTATTGAGCCTGTGGGTACACAGAAGTCAAGAATTGAGGTTTGGGAACCTCTTCCTGGATTTCAGAGGATGTATAGAAATGCCTGGATGTCCAGGCAGAAGTTCACTTCAGGGGTGGGGCACTCATGGAGAACCTCTGCTGGGGCAGTGCAGAAGGGAATTGTGGGGTGGTACCCCCACACAGAGTCCCCACTAGGTGTGATGCCTAGTGGAGCTGTGAGAAGAGCCACCATCCTCCAGACCCCAGAATGGTAGATTCACCAACAGCTGGCACCCTGCATTTGGAAAAGCCACAGACACTCAATGCTGGCCTGTGAAAGCAGCCAGGAGGGAAGCTGTACCCTGTAAAGCCACAGGAGCAGAGCTGCTCAAGACCATGGGAACACACCTCTTGCATCAGCGTAACCTGGATGTGAGACATGGAGTCAAAGGAGATCATTTTGGAGCTTTAAAATTTGACTGTCTTGCTGGATTTTGGAGTTACATGGGGCCTGTAGCCCCTTTGTTTTGGCCAATTTATCCAATTTGGAACAACTATATTTACCGAATGCCTGTACCCCCATTGTATCTAGGAAGTAACTAACTTACTTTTGATTTTACAGTCTCATAGACAGAAGGGACTCTCCTTGTCTCGGATGAGACTGTGGACTTTTCAGTTAATGCTGAAATGAGTTATGACTTGGGGGAATGTTGGGAAGACATGATTGGTTTTGGAATGTGAAGACATTTGATTTGGTAGGGGCCAGGGGCAGAATGTTATGGTTTGGCTGTGTCCCCACCCAAGTCTCATCTTGAATTGTAGCCCCCGTAATTCCCATGTGTTGTGGAAAGGACCTGGTGGGAGATAGTGGAATCATGGGGACAGGTCCTTTCCATGCTATTTGAGATAGTGAATAAGTCTCACGAGATCTGATGGTTTGAAAAAGGGGAGTTTCTCTGCACAAGCTCTCTTCTTTTGTCTGTTGCCATGTGAGACATACCTTTCACCTTCTGCCGTGATTGTGTGGCCTCCCCAGCCATGTGGAACTGTGAGTCCATTAAACCTCTTTCTTTTGTAAATTGCTCCCAGTCTTGAGTATGTCTTTATCAGTAGCGTGGAAACGGACTAATACATGTTCTTTGTCCATTTTAAAAATCAGGTTACTTGTTTTCTTGCTATTGAGTTGTTTGAGTTCCTTTTATATTTTTTGATATTAACCCCTCATCCAGGTATATGATTTGAAAATATTTTCTGCAATTTCCTAAGCGTATCTTCACTGTGTGGATTGCTTCTTTGGCTCTGCAGAAGCTTCTTAATTGGAAACAATCCCATTTGTCTATATTTTTTTTGTCTATTTTTAAGCTTTAATTATCTGTGCTTTTGGGACCATGTTCAAAATATTTTTGCCAAGAGTAATGTCAAGAAGGCTTCCTATGTTTTTCTCTAAGAATTTTCAGGGATTACCTTTAAGTCGTTAATCCATTTTGAGGTTATTTTTGAATATGGTATAAGATAAAATTTCATTTTCATTCTTATGCATGTAAATATCCAGTGTTCCTAACAGTAGTCATTGAAGAGGCTATCCTTTCCTTATTGTGTGTTCTTGCCACCTTTGTTGAAGATCAATAGACTCTATGGTTATGGATTTATTTCCAGTCTTTCTATTTTATTTCATCAATCATATGTCTGCTTTTGTGCTGGTATCATGGTGTTCTGATTACTATGGCTTTGTAGTTTATTTTGAGATAAGATAGTGTGATGCCTCCAGCTTCGTTCTTTTTGCTCATTATTGCTATGGCTATATGAGCTATTTTGTGGTTCCATAATTTTAGGGTTGTGTTTTCTGTTTCTGCTAAAATGCCATTGGCATTTTGATAGGGATTGCATTATACCAGTAGATCACTTTGCGTAATATGGACATCCTGAGAAAATGAATTCTTTTAGTCCATGAATACAGGATATTGTTCCATTTATTTGTGTCCTGTTCAACTTTTTTCATCAATGTTTTATAATTTTCAGTATATAGGTCATTCACTTCTTTGATTAAATTTATTCCTAAGTATTTTATTTTTCATAGCTATTATAAATGAGATTATTTCTTGATTTTGTTTTTAGATAGTTCACTGTTAGTGTATAGAAATGCTGCTGATTTTTGTATGTTCATTTTGTATCCTGGAACATTCATGAATTTGTTTGTTATTTCTAATGGGTTTTTGGTGGAGTCTTTGCAGTTTTCTGTAAGAACTTGTCATCTGCAAACAGGGACAATTTTACTTATTTCTTTAAAATTTGGATAGCTTTTATTTCTTTCTCTTTTCTAATTTTTGTGGCTAGGACTTCCAGTATTATGTTGAATAGAAGTGGTGAGTGTCGGAAACCTTGTCTTATTTATTGTTCTAGAAGAAATGCTTTTGACTTTTCACTAATGAGTATGATGTTAGCCATGGGTTTTTATCTAACTTCTTTATTATGTTGAAGTACATTCAATACTTAATTTGTTGAGCATTTTTTCAATCATGGAAGAATGTTGTATTCTGTCAAATAGTTGTTCTACATCTACTGATATTACGTGATTTTTATTTTTCATTCTCTTAATGTAGTATATAACAGTTGTTGATCTACATATGTTGGACCATTCTTGCATCCCTAGGATAAATCTTACTTGATCTTGATGAATGATTTTTTTTCATTAAAGGATTATTGAAATGATTGAGTTTGTTTCATAATATTTTGTTGATTTTTTTCATCTATGTTTATTAGAGATATTGACTGGTAATTTCTTTTATCTTAGTGTTCTTTTCTGGCTTTAGGGTTAGGGTAATGCTGGCCATATAAAAATGAGTTTGGAAACATTTCCTATTTTAATGTTTTTGGAAAAGTTTCAGAAGCATTAATATTTATTCTTCTTTAAACATTTGGCAGAATTCAGCAGGGAAGCCATCAGGATCTGAGCTTTTCTTTGATGGTAGACTTTTCAATATTTATTTAATCTTCTAAATTGTTTGATTCTGTTTATATTTTCTATTTCTTCATGATTCAGTTTTGGTAGATTGTATGTTTCTAGAAACTTACTCATTTCTTATAAGTGATTCTATTTGTTGATATAAAATTGTGCATAGTAGTCTCATAATCTTCTATGATATTAGTTGTAACACTTCTTTAATTTTCTTTATATGAATCTTTTTTGTGTTTTCTTAGTTTAGTTAATGGTTTGTCAATTTTGTTTATCTTTTCAAAGGAAAAAACTCTTAGTTTCATTGATCTTTTTTATTTTTTTCTAGTTCCTATTTCATTTATTTATTTATTTATTTTGCTGTGATTTTTATTATTTCTGCCTCCCTTCTGCTCACTTTGGACTCAACTTTCTTTTCCTTCTCATTCTCCTTCTCCTTCTCCTTCCTTCCTTTCCTTCCTTCCTTCCTTCCTTCCTTCCTTCCTTCTTTCCTTCCTTTCTTCCTCCTTCTTCCTTCTTTCTTTTTTTCTTTCTTTCTCTTTCTTCTTCTTTGTTTCTTGAGATCTAAAGTTAGGCTGTTTATTTGAGAACGTTCTTCTTTTTTGAAGTAACCATTAATTGCATAAATTTTCCTATTAGTATTGTTTTGTTCAACCCATAACTTTTGGTAGGTTGTGATTCCATGTTTATTTTTGTCAAGACATATTTAAGTTTCTCATTTGAATTATTCTTTTTGTTTAGGAACAGATAGTTTAATTTCCACATCTTTGTGAATTTTCAATTTTTCCTCCTGTTACTGATTTCTAATTTACTACCATTGTGGTTGGCAAAGATGCTTGATATGATTTCAGTCTTCTTGAATTTTTAAGACTTGTTTTGTGGTCTAGCATATTATCTATCCTGAAGAAAGTTCCTTGTGTGTTTGAGAAGAATGTGTATGCTGTTGTTGTTGAATGGAATGTTTTTTATATGTCTTTTAGGTTCATTGATATAAAGTGTAGGTCAAATCCAATGTTGTTTTTTTTTTAATAGACATTTTATCTGGATGATCTGTTCAATGTTGAAAGCAAGGGTATTCAAGTCCCTTACTATTATTTTATTGTAGTCTATCTGTCTTTTCAGATCTATTAATATTTTCTTTATATATATAGGTACTCTGATTTTGGTGCATATATATTTATAATTGTTATATCCATTTAATGATTTGATCTTGTTTTTATTACCTAATGACCTTCTTTTTGTCTACTGATACATTAGATTAAGGTCTGTTTTGTCTGATATAGCCACCCCTGATCTCATTTGGTTATTCTTTGCATGGAATATCATTTTCCATCCCTTCACTTTCTATGTATGCCTTTAATATTAAAGTTTGTCTCTTATAGGGAGTCTATTGTTTGATCACTAAAAAAAGTCCAGTTAGCTAATCTGTGTCTTTTTATTTGAAAATTTAATCCATGTAAGTTTAAAGTAATTACTGATAAATATTTAATCTTGCTATTTTGTTAATTGTTTGGTGATTGTTTTGTAGTTCTTTTGTTTCTTTCCTCCAACCTTGCTTTTTACTTTGTGTTTTGTTGTATTTTTATAGTGGTATGCTCTCATTCTTTTTTCTTTATCTTTTGTGCATGTACTAGAGGTTTTTATTTCATGATTACCATTAAGCATAAAATATAATATTCTGATTTAAGCTAATAATAACTTGAATTTAATCACCTACAAAAACTATGCTTTTTCACCTTTCCATTACATTTTATGTAATTGATGTCAACTTATTTTTTATATTGTTTTTAGAAAATGTATTATGACTATAGATACTTCATTACTTTTTTCTTTTAAATTTTATACTACAGCTAAAAGTGATTTATATACCACTGTTACTGTATTACTGTATTCTGAATTTGACTATAGATTTACATTTACTAGTGAGTTTTATATTTTCATATTTTTAATGTTGTTACTTATCATACTTTCATTTCAAATTGAAGAATTTCCTTTAGTATTTATTGTAAATCAGGTCAAGTGGTGGTGGACTCTCTTAGCTTTTTGTGTGTCTTGAAATGTGTTTCTCTCTATTTCACTTCTGAAGGACACCTTTGCTGATGTAAAAGTCTTGGTGGTGTTTTTTTCCTGTAAGCAATTTGAATACATCATCCTTCTTCCTCCTGTTTTATAAGGTTGTTGTTTTTTTTAAAGGGGGTAGGGATTTCCATTAATAGCCTAATGGAGATTCCTTGATATGTGATGATTCTGTTATCTCTTACTGCTGAAGATTCTCTGCCTTTGACTTTATTTATTTATTTATTTTTGAGACAGGATCTTGCTTTGTTGCCCAGGCTAGAGTGCAGTGGTGTGATCATAGCTCATTGTAACTTCAAATTCTAGGTCAAGCAATCCTCCTGCCTTGGCCTCCCCAAGTAGCTAGGACTACAGATGCATGCTACCACATCCAGTTAATTTTTTTAGTTTTTGAAGATATGGGGTCTGGTAGCTAGGACTACGGATGCATGCTACCACATCCAGTTAATTTTTTTAGTTTTTGAAGATATGGGGTCTCGCTATGTTGCCCAGACTGATCTTGAACTCCTGGTCTCAAGTGATCCTTCTGCCTCAGCCTTTCAAAGTGCTGTGATTATAGGCATGAACCACCCAGTCCTGTTTTTGACTTTTGACAATTTTATTATATTTTGTCACAGAGTATTTTTTGGATTCATCTTACTTGAGATTTTTTTAAGTTTGGAAATCTGGATGTCTGTAACCTTCCCAATATTTGGGAAGTTTTCAGCCAGTATTTCTATAAGTAAACTTTTTCTCCCTTTGTCACATCTTCTGGTGATCCCATAATTCATATGTTTTTATGTTTGATGGTGTCACATAGATTCCTTATGCTTTCTTCATTTTAAAAAGAATCATTTTTTGTTTTTCTAACTGGTTAATTTCAAATGATCTATCTCTGAGTTTGCTAATTTTTTTCTTGTGTATGATTGAGTCTGCTGTTTAAACTCTCTATTGTGATTTTCATTTCTGTCATATTTTGTAGCTCTTGGATTTCTATTTTGTTCTTTTTATTGTTTACATTTTCTTATTAAGCTTCTCATTTTGTTCATGCATTATTTTTATAATTTTATTTAATTGTTGGTATGGTTTGGCTGTGTCCCTACCCAAATCTCATCTTAAATTGTAGCTCCCATAATTTCTCATGTTGTGGGAGGGACCCAGTGGGAGATAACTGAATCACGACGGCAGTTTTTCCCATACTGTTCTTGTGGTAGTGAATAAGTCTCACGAGGTCTGATGGTACCCCATTCACTTGGCTCTCCTTCTGTCTTGCTGACACCTTGTAAAAAGTGCCATTCACCTTCCACCATGATAATGAGGCCTCCCCCGCCATGTGGAACTGTAAGTCCATTAAACCTATTCTTCTTCGCAGTCTTGGGTATGTCTTTATCAGCAGTGTGAAAATGGACTAATACGGTTGTCTATCTATGTTTCCTTGCATCTCATAAAGCATCTTTAGCATCATTATTTTGAATTCTTTTTCAGGCAATTTGTATTTCTCCACTTTTGGGCGTTAGTTACTGGAGCTTTTGTGGTATCATATTTTTCTGACTTTTTCTTAACTATATAGCCTTGCACCAGTATCTGTGCAGCTGAGGAGCAAACACCTCTTCCAGTCCTTACAAAATTTGACAGTCTGTATATGTCTTTATAAGTCCTTCTCCTGTTGGGTCCTTGGGCTGATGGAATTGCCTCTGAAATTATGGTTGAATGGAATTGGAGTTGGCTCATGTGGCTGATGCTGTTTCTGTGGTAGGGTCTGAAGATGATGACACTGCTACTGGGGCTCTAGCAAGTATGAATTCTCTCCATTTCCTAGGTGGACTGCACTCTCTCCAGGACCTTGGTTGGTAGGGCTTACACTGAGATGAGGGTTCAGAGTTAACAGACATTTGGTCTGTGGCCACATATATGGACTACTGTGGCTTCTTCTGCATTCTTGTAAGGGCTGCCACTGGATTTCTGGGTGGGTCCTTTAGCAGACAGACAGCACTTCCCTGGTCTGTATCCGAGATGGACTGGGACTGAGTCACAGAGCTGCTTCAGGGTCTACACCTGAGGCCAAGGTCTTCATATCTGTCTCTGGGATATCATACGTGTGTGTTTACTAGCACGTTCTTTGGTGGGTACACCTGCTCTCAGATTGTAGTTGACAGGGGATACAACTGATTTATAGGGCTGTTTCAAGATCCACAGTGGGACTAATGTCAGCAGGTTAGCCTGTAGGGGCAGTAACAGACACGCCCATCTGTAGGTCCCTGGGAAGGCAGAACTGATTTCAGGCTGCAGTCAAGATGAGCCAGGCCCAAGATCCAGGGCCATTTCAGGTTCTACTGTGGAACTAAAGTTGATAAGCCTGTCCTGGGGACTCAGATGGGCTTGTTTCCCAGTGGTGCCCTGACTAGGCAGAACTGTTTTACAACTGTAAATAAGAGATACTGGGACCAAGATCCAAGGCTGTACCAGGATGTGCTGTTGGACTGAGTCTGACAAGCTTCTCACAGTGGCAGAGGAGTTAGTCTCCCAGCAGTTCCCTGTGTGTGTGTGATTGTTTCTAGGCCACAGCAGAGAGGGGCTGGAGCTGAGATTGGGGACCTGTTCAGGATCTGCTTTGGGATAAGACCAACAAGCCTGTCACAGTGGCACAGATCAGCAAGTCTCCCAGTGTTTTTGAAGCATAGAATTTTAAATTATAGGGTATTTGAACTTTTGTCTTTGTTAGAATTCTTACTATATTTGAAATCTAATCTATAACATATCTATTAAATTTCTTTAAGTATAATTATGCTGTAAGGATACAAAGAAAATTAAATTTACATGATATCCTAACCTCTAGGGGTTGTTACAAGTATATGACAGTTGATGATGATGCAAGCAAGGAAATAATGATATAGCAAGGGATGGGCATAGGAACATAAACTGATTTTGAAGCAGGTACTACCATTGGCTACTCTTTGGTTTTATGTTTCTAAAGTGTTTTTTTTTATAAACAACTTCTTTCAATAACTTTTTTTGCATCTTTTTTTATCCTTATTGTTTGGTTTTGCTTATAAGTTGATACTGCAACTTTATATTCTAGGGGGCAGAAATATGTTGGCCTCATTATGTTCCTTTAGTGTATATCTAGAATATAAAATCATCATCATATATAAAATTTTAAACAAAGGCCACTGTATAATGCCTTCATAGGTGCTGGTTCAGCATAAAAGGATAGCCACAAATGCTGACAACAACAGAATAATTTCAGCACTGTCATGAAGTATAAATTTTAAACAATTGAATTTAAAATGCATTTGTGCTATTTTACTCTGAAATACAGTGCCACAAGGGAATTCTCTCACAATGAGCTCACAAAAAGTTAGCGTCTTAGAAATTATTGAATTTACTGTACAATGGTAATTCTTTTAAGAAATGTGGCAAGCATAACTAGTATCCAGTTTTGCCATAACAGATAAATGAAAGGTTTATCCATATTTTAAGATATTAATATACATCGTTTTAGTGTAACTCTGAATATGACAGTATTAATATGAAACTTTGCAGATTAATATTAAAAGACATCATGATATATTCATTATTTTTGAAGTTACATATTACTAATATATCACGGTGTGTCTTTACTACTTGATGACAGTTTCCTTTATTCCCTGCAGCTCTCTGCCTTGTGTTTCACTCTGTAATTCTCACATCTTATGTTCCCACAGCTAATTCTACAAACTTAATGAAAAAACTGTGTAGGTTTATTTAAATATTCTTTATGAAGTAAACTTTATACCTTTTTTTCTTTTGAGACGGAGTCTTGCTCTGTGGCCCAGGCTGGAATGCAGTGGCGTGATCTCAGCTCATTGCAAGCTCCACCTCCCGGGTTCACACCCTTCTCTCGCCTCAGCCTCCCTAGTAGCTGGGACTACGGGTGCCCACCACCATGCCCAGCTAATTTTGTTTTTGTATTTTTAGTAGAGACGGGGTTTCACCCTGGTAGCCAGGATGGTCTCGATCTGCTGACTTTGTGATCCGCCCGCCTCAGCCTCCCAAAGTGCTGGGATTACAGTCGTGAGCCGCCGCGCCTGGCCAACTTTATATATACCTTTATGTAAAAATGTCTTCTAGTAGAAAAACAGGTTCTTAGAAACCTTTCTAGTACCAAAAGTAATTTTATGTATGCATATGGAGATGTGTGTATTTATTTTAATCATCTGTTTTTTCAAAGGTAATAATCATAAGCAATTAGCAAGAAACTTAGTGTTCTACAGTATTTCATAATACGGCAAGTACTGATGATTTTTCAAACATCTCTGTTAAAATATAATTCATACATTTAAAAAATTACAATTTGAAAGTATACAATTCAGTTGTTTTTACTGTATTCACCGGGTCATGCAAACATAATTATAATCTACCTTTAAAATGTTTTCATCACCCCCCTCTAAAAAGCCCTCAGTCATTAGCAGCCATTCCCCTTCCTCCCTTGTCCCCCAGCCCTGCCTCTGGTAGCCCTGGGCAATCAATAATCTACTTCCTATTTCTATAGGTTTTATTCTTCTGGAAATTTCATATAAGTGAAATTATCAAATATGTGATCTTTCATGACTGACTTTTTTCATGTAGTGTAATAAAGGTTCATCCATGTTGTATTATGTACCAGGACTGTACTAATTTTTATTGCCAGACAAAATTCAATTATAATATCCAATTCAAATATGGCTATATCATATTTTGTTTCTTCGTTAGTTGATGGACTTTTGACCTATTTCCATTCTTTGGCTATTATGAATAATGCTGCTATGAACATTCCGTGTATGTTTTATTGTGGACATTTAAAAAAATCCTCTTTGGTATATATTTCTAGAAGTAGATTTGCTGGGTTATATGTAAATTTTATGTTTAATATTTTCATGGACTACCAAATTGTTTCCAAGAATAGCTGCATCATTATACATCTTGACCAGCAGTTCATGTGTGTTTCTATTTCTCCATATTCCACAAACTCTTATCATTATCTGTCTTTTTTGTTATAGCCCTCCCAGTATGTGTGAAGTGATCTCATTGGAGTTTTGATTTGCATTTCCCTAAGGAGTAATGATTTTAAATATCTTTTTCTGTGCTTATCAGTCATTTGTAAATCTCTTTGGAATAATCTTCTTTGGAATATTCAGATATTTTTCTGGACTTTTTTTAGTTGGGTATTTATCTTTGTTTTTTGTTTATTTTTATTATTACTATTTTTTGAGACAGAGTCTCACTCTGTCGCCCAGGCTGGAGTGCAGTGGCACAATCTCGACTCACTGCAACTTCTGCCTCCCAGGTTCAAGCAATTCTCCTGCCTCAGCCTCCTGGGTAGCTGGGACTACAGGCACATGCCACCATACCTGGCAATTTTTTTTTTTTTTTTTAGTAGACATGGGGTTTCTTCACCATGTTGGCCAGGCTGGTCTCAAACTCCTGACCTCAGGTGATCCGCCCGTCTCGGCCTTCCAAAGTGCTGGGATTACAGGTGCAAGTCACCGTGCCAGGCCATGTTTTTATTATTTAATAGAAGAGTTCTTTATATTCTGGATACAAATAAGAAATACAAATTGCAAAAATTTTATTCCATTCTTTATTGTCCTCTTATTTTTTTGATGGTATCATTTGTAGCACAATATTTTTAAAGACTGATCCAGTCCAATTTATATTTTTGTTTTTTGTGTGCTCCTAGTACTAAAACAATTACCTAACTCAAGGTCACAACGTTTTATTCATACATTTTTCTGGAGAGCTTTATAATTTTAACTCTTATATTTAGGTGTCTTATGTATTTTGAGTGATGTTTAGGGCATGGTCTGATGTGTAGGAGTCCAAGTCTATTTTTTTTAAACATGCATATCTAGTTGTCCTGCCATCATTTGTTGAAATGGCTGTTCTTCCCCCATTTACTTATTTTGGCACCCTTGACAAGAATCAATTGGCCATAAGTGTAATGGTTTATTTTTGGACTTTCAATTTTCTTCCATTTATACACAATTTATATTTATACCAGTATTATGTAGTTTTAATATTGTTGCTTTGTAGTAATGTTTGAAATTGGGATGGCTGAGTCTCCAACTTTATTCTTCTTTTAAAAATGTTTTGGCTGTTTGAGACTCCTTGTAATTATATGTGTATTTTAGAATCAGCTTGTCATTTTCTACAAAGAAGACAGCTCAGATTCTGGTAAGGATTACATGAAATCTATAGAGTAAATTTATATATCATCTTACCAATATTAATTCTTCTTATCCATGAACATGGGCTGTCTTTCAATTTATTTATACCATCTTTAATTTTTAAACATTTTATAATTTTTTACAGTACATCTTGTACTTCTTTTATTAAATTATTTCGTGAGAATTTTATTTTAATACTATTTTATATGAAATTATTTTTTTAATTTCATTTTCACATTGTTTATTGCTAGTGTATAGAAGCACAATAGACTTTTATACATTGATTTTATATCCTGCTTACACATTGATTTGGTATCCTTGCTTAATTAATCTATTAGTTCTAATAGACTTTTTGTGGATTATTTAGGCTATCCAAGATCATGTCATATGTGAGTCGTAATAGCTTCACTTCTTCCTTTCCAGTCTGGATACTTTTAATTCTGTTCTTTGCTTTTTTTTTTTTTTTTTAATAGCTACTTGGTTTGATAAGAATCTCCAGTACAAGCATAAAAATAAGTGGCAAGAGCAGGCATCCATGTCTCATTCCTGATTGCAGTGGGAGAAAAGATTCTGTTTTTTACTGTTAAACATGTTAGATGTGAGTTTTTAAAAAAATGCCCACACTATTTATCAAGTACCCGTATTTGTGCACCCTTGTCAAGAGTCAATTGTCCATAAATGTAATGGTTTGTTTTGGGACTCTTAATTTCATTCCATTGATATGCATTGTATATTTATGCCAGTATCATGTGGGTTTAATAGAAATAGAGAGGAAGTTCTTTTTATTTCTAGTTGAGTATTTTTAATGATGAAAGAACATTGGATTTTTCAAAATAATTTTTCTGTATTTATTCGGTTATTTTTGTTTGTTTTTCTTTTTTTTTTTCTCTCTCTACTGGTCTTTTTCCTTTTAGTGTGGTACATTGCATTTACTGATTTTTGTATGTGAAACCAACTTTATTTTCCTAGGATAAAGCCCACTGGATCATGGTGGGAATCTGTTAATGTTTGCCTAAATTTGCTTTGCTAATATTTTGTTGAAGATTTCTGTAAAGTTGGTAGTGATGTCTCCCTTTCATTCCTGATTAAAACATATGTTTTAAAAAATGATAATTATGACCGGGTGAGAAAATCTTCATATCTTTGTGGGTCTGTATGGTTTGTGTCTGTATGTAATTTCAGAAAAGTAACATGCATGCTAGATTAACTATGTGTATAGTTAGATATTTGTATATGTGTATAAGACTTGCAGACATTTTCCCTTACTGCGTTTATGTTTGTAAGTTTATATTTATAAAATTGAATATAATATCAATGAAAAATTTCCAGTTGTGCTATTGGCATAAGATTGATACCTTTCCAAATCAAGGGTCCCATAAGAAAATTGCAAAATTCAGCATCGAATATATCATACTTGGTGCTGCTTCCAAAAATATACAAATATTCAGAAATATATTTTAAATTGGATATGTGAGGCACCTATCACAAAATGTCATTTATAACAAATTATGCTACTTTACAAATTAAGATAATAAATATTTGTTGACAAAATAAATGAAGTAAAGACAGCATGATGTATGTTCAAATACTGTAAAATTTAGTTACCTTTTCCAAATACAGACTCAGAAAAAATGCAGTTTTGTTTATTTTATGTAAGTTTTACTTTCTTTGATGCCCTTTAAGTAATTGCACTTGAGCTGACTTGATATCAACTGAGAAGCAAGGAAAATATCAAAAAGTAACATTATTTAAAATATATTATTTTGCGTTTATAAATAGGCACAATTTAACAGTACAGATCTTAAAATTAAAATTATTTAATTAGTATTATCTTCATTTCATATTTGAAAAAGTGTGAGTTTGTGTCATTAAAGCACTAAAAGATGCAAAACCTATGCAAACAAATGAAAGTAAATATATTAACTTTTCTCAATTCCCTACCAAGGAACATCATGTTGTCATAACTATATGTATTTTATCTTCATAGAATTAGTTATAAGTAGTAAATGCATGTTCTTTAAAAGTGCCCTTAGATAAATGTTGTCAAATTCTCTATATCCAAGAAATCACTACCACAATCAAGATAAACATTTTTTTTCACCCCAAAAGTTTCCACTGTATCTCCTCCCCATCACTTCCTCACCTGCCCCAAGGTGCAGCCAAATACTACTTTTTAATTTCTTTTGGTCACAAATATAAGGGTTTTTTTTTCTTTTAAGAAAATATTTTATGCTTTATGGGCCATTCGGTCTGTGTGCAGCAGCTCAACTCTGCTTCTATAAAATGAAAGCAGTCATGTATACTATCTAAACAAATGAATGTGGCTGTATTCCAGTAGAACTTATTTCATATACACTTAAATTTGAATTTCATGAAATTTTCATGTTATGCATTTTTTCTTCATTTTTTTTTCTTCAACCATTAAACATTTTAAAAATCTACCCTAAGCTCATGGGTCATACAAAAGTAAAAGACAAGCTAGATTTGGCTCATGGGCTATAGTTTGATGATCCTTGCTGCAGACTGTATTTGTTATTTCTAAAGTTTTGCATACATAAAATTAAATAGAACTTTCGTTTCTGATTTCTTTCACTCAGCATTTTTAATTTCTCTTTTTTTTTTTGCTGAGTAGTATTTTATTGTCTGGATATACCACATTTTGTTTATTCCATCACACCTGGTTTTTTTCTAGTTTGTAAGGAGCAATATTATTTGTTAATATTGTTACTTACAATATTAGTGTTAATATTTATGTGTTTATATTTATGTGTAAGTGTATGTGTGCATGTCTTGCATTTCTCTTGGGTAAATACTTTAGAGTGGAATTGCTTTTTGTGCTATCATAAATTTGTAAACGTATGTGTCACCTTATAGGAAATTGTCAAACTGTTTTTCAAAGTAATTGTATCATTGCATATTTCTGTCAGAAATTTATGAGGATTTTAGTGTTTCATTTTATTGTCAACATTTAGTGTCGTCAACCTTTTTACATTTTAGCCATTATAGTATGTGTTTGATGGTATGTCTTGTTGATTTACAATTATATTTGTCTGTTGGCTAAGGACATTAAATATCTTTTCATGTGTTTATTAGCAAGTTGTCTATCTTTTCTGCTTGTGCGTATGAAGTATCTATTCAGATCTTTTGTCCACTTTTAAAAACTGGGCTATTTTTCTTCTTTCTGTTAAATTTTAAGAAGTCTTATAATATTTCACATAGAAGATCTCCCTCAGATATATGGATTGCGAATATTTCCCTCAGCCTATGACTTCACTTTTCATTTTATTAAGAGTATCTTCTTATAAAACGAAGATGTTTTAAAGTAGATAAATTATATGTTTTTTTCTTTGATATTTTATACTTTTTGTATCACGTACGTGAAATCTTTACCTACCCCAAGGATGCAAATATTTTTTCTCTGTTTTTTTCTTCCAGAAATTGTATAGTGTTAACTCTTACATGGAAATTTGTGATTAATTCTGAGTAAAATTTGTGTGTAATGTGAAGTTGTGATACTGGTTCCTTTTTTCTCTTCCAGATGTCCAGTTGTTCTAGCACCATTTGTTGAAATGGCAATTCTTTTCTCATTGAATTACTTTAGTACATTTGTTGAAAACTAAATTGATGGAATATGTGTAGGATTGTTTCTGTCTTCTCTATTCTGGTCCATTGATCACTCTCTTTGGCCTAATGTCATTACCAAACTTTCTTAATTGCTATGGTTTTAAAGCACATCTTGAAATTATGTCTTTTAAGTCTTCTGTCTTCGTCTTTTTTAAATGCTTTTTTTTTCTTCATGTTTTAAGATGTATATAAGTTTTAGAAGTAGCTTGCAAGTCTCTACAAAAATAGCCGGCTGGAATTGTATTGAAATTTTATAAAATTTGTTGTATAAATTTTGGGAGAAATGATACTTTACCAATACGTAATTTTCTAATTCATGTGCATGGCATATCTATTTATTTAGATATTTAAAAATCCTTTCAGTAGATATGGTTGTCGGTGTATAGAGCTTGCTCATATTTTGTTAAATTTGTCTCTAAATATTTCACAACCTGTTGCTAATAAATGATATTAATGTTTGCGGCAGCGCTCCTTTCACGGGGGCACCAGCTGCGGGGGGTCTGTCCCTTGCAGATCCTTGACCTGGCGACGGATGAATAATGTATACTTGACCCACAGATATTCTGCTTTGCCAATCCAGTTGAGGGTGTTCAAGCTGCTTACAGACTCCCCACTGAGTGCTGTAAACAGTTGTGACTGCCTTGATCAGCTAGTGAGACTCGCATTTATTCAGTAAGACTGATTAACAAAGGCTTGAGTCAACACCAGTAGAAGGTAACTGACATTGTGGACTTCTCCTCCAGTAAAAAGCACTTAAGCACCCAAGGTACATCAAAGGTTAGTCTTTTTTTTTTATTTTTATTTTATTATTATTATACTTTAAGTTTTAGGATACATGTGCACAATGTGCAGGTTAGTTACATATGTATACATGTGCCATGCTGGTGTGCTGTACCCATTAACTCGTCATTTAGCATTAGGTATATCTCCTAATGCTATCCCTCCCCCCTCCCCCCACCCCACAACAGTCCCCAGAGTGTGATGTTCCCCTTCCTGTGTCCATGTGTTCTCATTGTTCAATTCCCACCTATGAGTGAGAACATGCGGTGTTTGGTTTTTTGTCCTTGCTATAAATCATGCTGCTATAAAGACACATGCACACGTATGTTTATTGCGGCACTATTCACAATAGCAAAGACTTGGAACCAACCCAAATGTCCAACAATGATAGACTGGATTAAGAAAATGTGGCACATATACACCATGGAATACTATGAAGCCATAAAAAATGATGTCCTTTGTAGGGACATCATGTCCTTTGTAGGGACATGGATGAAATTGGAAATCATCATTCTCAGTAAACTATCGCAAGGACAAAAGGTTAGTCTTAAGATCAGATGAGTAAACAAGCTAGCTAGGTAAACTACTATGCCGTCCTTTGTTGCTGCTTTAATTTGTTTAAAGGTAAAGGGACCAGGCTGCCTTTAGCCAGTTCTATTACCGAAGCTATGCAAACTTCTCGGCCTTTCAAGATTTGTGTGTCTCTATAACTATCTCTGATATTTTTCCTACCAGCCTGATTGAACCCCTACAAATGTTAATTTCAATTTCTAGTTGCATGTTATTACTCTATTAATATAATTGTTTTCTATTGAGGTACAATTCAGGTAACACAAAATTATTATGAAATCCACAATCCAGTGGCATTTAGGACATTCACAGTGTTGTGCAGCCAACACCTGTATCAATTTCCAGCCATTTCCATCACTGCAAAAGAAAACCCATAACCATTAAACAACCCAGCCCTGGGCAGCTACAAATCTGCTTTCAGACTTTATGGATTTACCTGTTATAAATAGCTCCTATAAATTGAATCATGTAATATGTAATCTTTTGTGTTTGGCTTTTTTTCACTGCATATTTTTTTAAGATTCATCTATGTAGCATGTATTAGTACTTTATTTCTTTTCATTGCTGAATTATATTCCATTGTATGGATATTTTATCATTTATAAGTTGATGGGCCTTTGGGTTGTTTCCACTTATGGCTATTGTGAATCTGATCACTCGTATCACTACTGTAAATCTACTACTTATGTTATGATATATAGTATCGTCATCATCACTTTTGAAGGAAATTTGTGTTTATTATAAATTTTTAGTTTTATTGTGTGATTAAGTGTTGTTACCACTTTGTGTAAGGTACTGATGTTTTCCTGTGACATAATGCATGATTATGTTTTGTGAATGTTTTATGTGTAGTGGGAAGAAGGCGTATTCTTTAGTATCAAGGCATAAGCCTGGAATCTATTCAGCTATCTTGTTATAATATCTAACTTAGTGATTATTTTCTTTAGGCCTTTTACAGTTTTTCATATTTTATATCTACTGTTTTGTACTAAGAGTGGTGTGCTGGTTTCTACTAGGTGTGGTGTGCTAAAGTCTTTCTATTTGTCTCCTTACTCCTTATGTCTTCTGTGATTTTGCTTTGTAAACATAGTTGCTTTGTTATTTGTCACTGAAATATTCATAACTGTTATATATTCATGATGACTTTTAGCTTTGGTACTAAAAAGGTCTTTGTCATATTTAATGCTTTTTTGGTTTAAGTTTTATTTTAATTTAATTGATACCAGGTTTGTAATCTCTGCATTCTTATTGTTTCCATTTGCCTGGTAAACCTTCTCTATCTCTTATTTTTAGTTTTTCTGAGTCACTTGGTTCTAAATGTGGCTCTACTTTAGCGCATGTAGTTGGTTGTGCTTTATGAGACAAAATAGATAAGTTAAGCCTATTCATCTTCATTGTTATTATTGATAGGTTATTTTTTCTCATTTATGTTATATATACACATTATTTATAATGTGTATCATATTATATTTGTTGTGCTTATTTCTCTGTGATGTGTTTCTCTGCTCTTTAATTAAAAAATAATATTTACATTCATGGAGATTTGTAATTTTGTTCCATTACTCACCTTTGTTTTTATTTATGTTTTGAATTTTATTTTTAATTTTAATTGACAAATAATAATTATATGTATTATATGTTTGTGGGGTAAAATGTGGCATTTACATTTTGATATATGTTTTCATTTTGGAAGGATGAAACTAAGCTAATTATTTTTGTGTTAATAACATTTAAAATCTACTCTTAGTAATTTTGAAATATATATTCTGTCCAGTAGATTACTAAAGCTTATTCCTCCTAACCGAAATTTTGTACTCTTTGATCAACCTTTCTTCTTTCCCCTTCCATCGCTCCTAACCCTGGCTTGTGGTAATCATCATTCTACTTTCTTCTTCTATGAATTTGATATTTTTTAGATCCCACATATAATTGA
Organism: Homo sapiens; assembly: GCF_000001405.40. Classification (NCBI taxonomy): domain Eukaryota; kingdom Metazoa; phylum Chordata; class Mammalia; order Primates; family Hominidae; genus Homo; species Homo sapiens. Next base: position 115,389,149 of record NC_000010.11, read on the forward strand.
GATCATGTAGTAGTTGTCTTTTTGTGCCTGGTTTATTTCATTTAGCATTAATTCATCTTGTCTTTTTAAAAGCTGAGGCCGGGTGCGGTGGCTCACACCTATAATACCAGCACTTTGGGAGGCCGCGGATGGCGGATCATGAGGTCAGAAGTTCGAGACCAGCCTGCCCAACATAGTGAAACCCCATCTCTACTAAATATACAAAAATTAGCCAGGCGGGCATTAGTGGTGGTGGGTGCTTGTAATCCCAGCTACTCGGGAGGCTGAGGCAGGAGAATTGCTTGGACCTGGGAGGTGGAGGTTGCAGTGAGCCAAGATTGCGCCATTGCACTTCAGCCCGAGACTCCGTCTCAAAAAAAAAAAAAGCTGAATAGTATTCAAATGTGTATGTGTATATATATATATATATATATATATATATATATATATATATATATATATATTTCATCCAATGATGGACACCTAGGTTGCATCTATATTGTAGCTATTGTGAATAATGCTGCAGTGAACACAGGAGTACGACTATCTCTTTGGCATACTTATTTCATTTCCTTTGGCTATATACCCAGAACAGGAGTTACTGGACGATATGGTAATTGTAATTTTACTTTTCAGATGACACTCCAAACTCTTTTCATAATGACTATTATTTTAAATTTTCACCAACAGTACACATGGTTCCTTTTTCTGCTCATCCCTGCCAGCATTTGTTAAATTTCATCATTTTGATAATAGCCACTTAAACACGTGTGAGGTGATAACTCATTGTCATTTTAATTTACATTTTCCTAATGATTAGTGATAGTGAACAGTTTTTCATATACCTATTGGCCATTTGTATGTCTGCTTTTAAAAAAAATTTATTTAGGTCCTTTGTCCATTTTAAAATTGTGTTCTTTCTTTTCTTGCTATTGAGTTGCTTGAATTTCTTATGTATTTTGAATATTAGCCTCTTACCAGATGTATGGGTTGTGAATATTTTCTCCCGGTATGTGGATTGTCTCTTTACTCTATTGATTATTTCCTTTATTGTGCTTAAGATTTTTAGTTTGATGCAGTCTCATTTGTTTATTTTTGCTTTTGTTTTGCATGTGCTTTTGGGAAAACCAAGAAATTTTTGCCCAGATCAATGTCATGTAGCATTTCCCTTGTTTTCTTCTACAGTTTTGGGACTTACCTTTAAGTCTTTAGTGCATTTTGAGTTGAGTTTTGTGTATTGAATAAGGTTCTAATCTCATTATTTTGCATGTGAATATCTAGTTTTCCCTGCATAATTTATTCAAGAGACTATCTTTTCTCCATTGTGTGTTCTTGACACTTTTGTCAAAAATCAGTAGATTGTCAGTGCTTGAGTTTATTGCTGGGCTCTATATTCTGTTCCTTTGGTTGATGTTTCTTTTTCTTTATGTTGGCACTATGCTGTTTTGTTTAATATAGGTTTGTAGTATATTTTGAGATCAAATAGTTTGATGCCTTCAGTTTTATTCTTGCTCATTAATTTCCATATGAATTTTAAAATTGCTTTTTCTCTTTCAGTGAAAAATGCCATTGGCATTTTGTCAGAAATTGCATTGACTTAGTATATTACTTTTGGTAGCATGGGCATTTTAACAATACTAATTATCCCAATCCATGAACATGGGCTACCTTTCCATTTATATAAGTCACTCGCTATTTCTTTCCTTAATGTTTTGTGGTTTTCAGTATTTAGAGCTTTTAAGTCCTTGGTTAAATTTACTTCCAAGTATTTTTTATGCTATCATGAATGGGATTGATGTCTTAATTTCTTTTTCAGTTAGTTCATTGTTAGTGTGAAGGGATGTTATTGATTTTTGTATGTTGATTTTGTATTCTTCAACTTTACTGAACTTCTGTATCAGTTCTAACATATTTTTGGGGGAATCTTTAGGGTTTTCTGTAGACAAGATCATGTCATCAGCAAACAGAAACAATTTAACTTTTTAATTAACTTTTTAATTTCCTATTTGGATGCCCTTTATTTCTTCTTCCTTTCTGTCTGTTTGCTGTGGCTAGAACTTTTAGTACTACATTGAACAGAAGTGGTAAAGGTGGACATCCTTGTCTTCTTTTTGATTATAGAAAAAAGCTAAACTTTTTACCTTTCAGTATGATGTTAGCTGTGGGTATATCATAGGTTGATGCAGAAGTAATTGTGGAATATATGACCTTTATTGTGTTGAGGCCTGGAGCCTGACAATGCAGGGACTAGTCTGGTAGTGGGATGGGTCTGGATTCTGATACTGCAGTGGCCAGCATGGAGCTTGGGACTGTGGGGTCATGCTTGACCTTGGGTTCAGTGAGGCAGATCTGGTGTTGCAGTCCAATGAAAAGTTGAGTGCTTATTTCATTCTTCCTTGACTTAGGGGTATCTTGCTCAGTGTTGTGCTGCTTGGGCTTGTGGGAGGGGTAATATGGATAATATTAAACTGGCTTTTCTACACTATTCAATGCATTTTTTTTTTTCTTTCGGACTGCAGTAAGGTGGTATAATCTCTTGTCTGGATTCCTTAGCTGTTGGGAAGGTATTATGATGCATGGATAGTTTTTCAAATGAATGTTTCTATGAGAGATGAACACTAGAAAGTCTTATTCCACTATCTTCCTAACATCACTCCTCTAGAGTTTTTTTTTTAATCCAGATATATGGGGGTTTTAGTAGAGTTTTATTTGTTTATTATTCATTTTTGACTTAATTGTATTGTCATCAGGACTCATTGTATGATACTATTTTTAGGAATTTGTTGCAGTTATCTTCATTTGCTAATGGCAAGTTAAATATTATAAATGATTTATATATGCTGGTTTTTAAAAACAGGAATTGATAAACATAAAATTTAGGGTAGTGGTTACTTCTGGTGGGAAGAGGCAGTAAGAAAGGTTAAGGGAGCAACACACAGATCGATACAAGTAGTAGCATTAGAAATCTAGTCCTTAAATTAGATAGTTTAATTATCCCATTATATAAATTACTAACAGTTTTACAAGCAGAAAATGTACATGCTATTTAAAATCACCACCATAATCTTTTGTCTTCACAAAATAATAAGCAGTACTTTTTTTCAGATTTTTTCTTATATAGATGTAATTTATATCATTCCCAAGCAAGACATAGAGTATAATCAAAATACAGTAGTTTTCTCTGTCACTGACCCTTTAAAATATATTCAGTGCAATACATTTTTCCCTTGATCTTGTATGAAATCTCAGACTCACTCTTAGTTAATATAAGGAACTCCTGAGAATTTAATTTGCAAACACGTGTGTAAGTAAATAATTAAACTTGTCTAGATCAGATAAAAGTAAGAACTCTGAACATATTTTGAAGCCAAATTTTCTCTTCTCCTCTATTCCATATGTTCTTTCATTCTTAGCCTAGTATTTTCCTCCTTTCCTGGCTCAATAATTTTTTTGATCTTTCTAGGGGAGAGGAGAAAATTATAGTCTTATGTGTGAAGAATAGTTGTCATATTTAGTTAAGGTCCTCTGTGTGAGAGATGCACAATGGCTGATCCATTCTCACATAAATGTCTTTGGGGGCTCTTCTGAGTCTTGACCTTTCTAGATGCAATTCTCGTGATCTGTGGGAGACACATACTTTCTTCCTGTTCTGGCAACTTTTACTTCAGTTTTCAGTTGAAGTCCTCCAGCACTTCCAGGCAATCCTGTTGGTCAGAATATTAAGTAGATGCTGGCTAGCTGGAAGAAACATACTTTCTTTTTCTTGACTTCAGTGTTAGTACAAATATTTCCTAAAAGTAACTGTTTCTATTTGTCCTTCCACCTCAGTTAAATAGCCATAGCTGGTCACACCTAATTCAGAATTTCCTCTAATATGCCACCTAGATTTTAAGGGGACCCACAGCAGACTCTTCAAAAACTTCTGTGAAGTCCCACTCATTAGGCTTGTGTAAGAGGACAGACAACCACTCCCTTGGCAGGCAGAAGACTGGATTACTAACACTGAAATGGGCTTTTCTGATAATCCCCATCCAATCTTTCCCCCTTTCACTCTTTTTGCCCCTTTTATTGACTCTATCTGGTTCAAAGATTACTGGTTTTGAACTTTTGTTTTAGTCTCTTCTTTTGAAAATGTTCATATTGGTCTTATATTTCACTTAGGTATACAGTATCTATTTTCTTTCAGAGACTCAATTGAACTAGCAATATGATTATCTGGTTACATTTGTTTGCATTTATTAATTCATTAACATATATGTTAGAGTTACTATTGATACTGGAAGAAAAATAATGAAAAAGTTGAACATTGGGAAATTTTGACTCATTCACTTAATTTTATATGGCTCTACAATTCAGGAAAAGACCATATCATTTCATTTTTGTCAATAGAATGGTTTAGCTAACTGGTAGTGTACAAGAACAGCAGTAGTTCTCATTAGGTGTTTTTGAAAGAGTTAGTGACACCATCAGCCTTGTCTGTTTAGAATGTGTTATTGGATTGGAGAATTAATTGTAACCTGGAAATACTGAAGGCAAAGATATCTGCTATGTGATTATATTGTTGTCAGTAAGAGAAAGTGGATGACAATACTTTGTGGTGGCTGTTAGAATGAAAAGGAGGGGTCAGATACAAGAAAGATTATACATGTAGAAATTAAAATCTACCAATTGACTGGATGTTGGACATAATTAAGTGTGAGGTTTATGTCCTAAATAATTGAACAGTGCTCTTTAAGAAAGGATTGCAAAGTAAGAAAAGGAGACAAGTTTATATGAACCAAATTAATCATGCAACTTTTACAAAATGGAAAGTTTCGTCTAGTACTCTAAAAGGATGATCTAAAAAGATCTAAAAGGATACTCTAAAAGGATGAGGATGATCTCAGAAACTTAAAAGGGTGAATTTAGAGGAAATAAATAGATGTTCTTTTTTAAAACACAATCTGCAGCTATGTTTTTATTATTCTTACCAGTAGTAATAACAGTGGAAGTAATATCTGCCAATTATTAAGTGCTCAATATGTGTTATGTGTCTTAAATTACATTACCTCATTTAATTTTCACATCAATCCTGGAAGCTAAGTGCTGTTATTCTTCTTTTGCAAATGAAGAAATTAAGCATAAACAGGTTAAGTAAATTGTCCAAGGTCATATAGTGATTTTAGATGTAAATTTTGAACCCAAGCTGTTTGAGTACAAAGCTCTGGCACTAACGCTTTGAAACTCACTTTATTAAAGAAATATACCAAAGTGAAAATGGAGAGAAGCCCAAAGAAGAATTAGATAACAGTTATATCCACAGTAGACTTCAGGATATCCCCCAAAGACTTTAAGGAATTTCACAAAATTTTCAGAAAAGTGAATTTACTTCCCTTTAATTAAAAATAATTTATACTATCTGGTAACCTTAGTTTTTGGATGGCAAGAGGAAGTTACAGGACATAAAAATAAGGTAATAATAATACTTGAAATGTGAAATGTGCATGTTTGTGATGTAGAATATTCAATATCATTTTGGTTTTGACTTACAGCTTGTACATGCAGTGGCCATGCAAATATCTGTCATCTGCACACAGGAAAATGTTTCTGCACAACTAAAGGAATAAAAGGTGACCAATGCCAATTGTAAGTAAGAATGACTTTTTAGAACTTTCGTGGATTGAATTTGTGTTGTTGAAGTAATTTTTATGTTTTACTTTTTAATTTAGTGTTGTGCTAGTTAGGCATACCTTTATTACAATTTTTAACTTTTATTTTAGATTTGAGGGTACATGTGCAGGTTTTTAACATGGGTGTATTGCATGATGCTGAGGTTTGGGATATGATTGATCCCATTATCCAGATACTGTGCATAGTACCCAATAGATAATTTTAAAGTACTTTTTCCCCTTCCTGCCTCTCTCTCTCTAGCAGTTCCCAGTGTCTGTTGTTCCCATCTTTGTGTCCCTGTGTACCAATATTTAGCTCCCATTTATAAGCAAAAACATGTGGCATTTGGATTTCTGTTCCTATGTTAATTTGCTTAGGATAATGTATCCATGTGGCAGAGGATATGATTTCATTTTTTATGGCTGTGTAGTATTCCATGGTGTATGTGGACCACATTTTCTTTATCCAGTCCAGTGTTGATGGGCATTTAGGTTGATTCCATGTCCTTGCTATTCTGAATACTGCTGCAGTGAACATATAGGTGCATGTGTCTTTTTGGTAGAATGATTTATTTTTCTTTGAGAATTTACTTGCACCTAATGAATTCTCTTTAAAAATTAAACCTTTTAAAGAACAATTTTGTAGAGGCTTTAAAACAACCCCATAGAACATGTTATCTTTTGCATTTCTAGAAAAAGATGCATTCTTAATCTTATGTATCAAATCTACATTATCTTTACACTTTTCTTTCATATTATACCTAATATAATGTCTCTATGCCGTTCTTTTTTCAGTCATTTATTATTAATTCTGATAATTAATTCCAATTCTTGTCCTTTAACCCTTTCAGCTGGTTCCTTATATTCATCTTCTTCTCTTTTCTCTGTTCTTTCAGTATGCAGGAACCCTCTACTGCTACTCTCCTCTCTGTACTTTCATGAATGATTTTTGTCTTAGCATTTAGTTTTTATTCTAAAATTTTATTTTCCTTCAAAAATTAACTTTAAAAGGCAGCATTTTAGGCTATTTAAATTGTTTTTTATTCTTTTTCTTGTTTATCTATATTATTAAAATCAAATTTTTATGGTTTTGAATTATATATGTACAAATACATGTTTATATTAGGTATATATGTACTGTATTTGACACAAATAATAAATTCCAACCATAATAATTACAGAAACATAGGGAAAGTTTAATAAAGAATTCTTCAAAACTATAAATATATAAAAATTTATACCTAAAGTCTATTAAGCATGGAAAATGATCCTTTTATTTTTATTTAAAATAAATATATTACTTGTTGCAGAGTTATCCTAAATGTTTCAAGTTAGGTGATTATGTCTTTGCTTAGCCACCTAAGTATTACAGATTTTCAAATTCAGACAAGGTAAGCACAATCAGTTTTTATTCCTTCTCTATAGTCTGAAGTTAAATACAAGTTCACAGCAAAAGATCTTGGGGGAATTCCTATTAAGGAAGGCCATTTTGGTCTTAAAACCAACGGAATTAAATCATTGTCTTCTGTTCTAAGATCAAGGATGCCTCTAATACTTTGCAACACTAAAGCTTGATTATAAGTAAGGCCAACTTCATGGGCACGTGGCCTGTGAATTTATACAGGTTCCCACACTTACAAGGGCAGCACACTTGGTTTAGTGCTCTGCTATCATCATCTTGAAATTCTTAATAACTTTTAAATAAGAACTCTACATTCTTCTTTTGCACAATGTTCTCCTATTCCCTGCAATTATGTATAATAGCATGTTCTGGTTATAAGTAATGTTTCTCTTGATTAACTTCTATTAAATATGTTGGTTGGATAGCAGTGTGCAGCAATGAAAATATTTTCTGTAGACCATAGTGGCAGTATTACAGATAAAAATAATATATGAGATTCTACCATGATAGTAAACACTGTCAATCTTCTTAGTATAGTTTTACTTAAATAGTATAGCCATATAACTATCCATAATAAATAGTTCTTTGATACAGTATTGCAGTAACATATTTTTGTTTACAGACAAAAGAAAGCAGAATTTTAATTCATTGAAATAGTGAGCTTGTAAGCTTAGCTAAAATAGAGTTATAAGATTTGGCATATGTGCAAAATATTAGAAAATCAATCATATAGTTCTTAATGATAAAAGTACATTTTCCCCGTTCTCATTTATGGCTTTTTATGAAGAGGATAATAATGGAATACTAATTTGTAAAGAGTATTTTGTAGGTGGTATTTGTACACAGAATTCCATTCATTTACTTTTTTGTTTATTTAGCTTTTGAGTATGGAGCAATAAAGAATAGGCTCATTATTTTTAGAGCAATTAATTGCTATAATCTGCTTATACCTGAAAAAAATGGTTTGTTAGGAAGGAGAGCTACTCCTTCAAATCAGTAAACAATTATTAAGTGAGTACTTGATACTACTAATGAAGATGAATAACATATGGTTTTTGTTGAAAGTATCTCAGACTAGCAGTGAAGACACTGACCAAAATACAGTATACCAATTTCTTACATTAGTGATTTAATATGCTTATGAACCCCTTCCACTTCTTAGGATAATTTCTGTTTGGTTTTAAGTATTTAGTCAGATATCATATCTTATATATTCTTAATAACCATCCTAAACTGAAATCGGTTCTCTTCATATCTGTTAATTTCTTTTCTTGCATTATTTGTGTACTTGTCTGTGTCCTTTACTAGAGTGAACTTTTGGGGGGACCATTGCAACAATACCACAATGTAAGTGTTCAATAAATTTGTTTAATAGAATGGAATGAAGAAAGTATTGATGGAGCACTGAAAAGGGAAGTATTAATTTATTTTGGTTGGATAAGAAAAATTTAAGTAGAGGATGTTTGAACTAGAACCTGAAGGAGTAATAAAATCAACTTTCTGGGAAAAGAAAATAGGAAACAAGGGGAAATGCATCAATAAAAGCAAAGAAGTAGAAATGAACATGATCATAGCATTTCCGGTCTTTGCTCAAGAATGTTGAGAGCTGGAAAAATATTGCTTCTACCCTTACAATGAAAGGGGAAAAAGCTGGATAAACTGTAAATTCATGAGTTTTCTTGAAACCATTGGAGAACTGAGAAAACAGGGTAATCAAATGACCACAAATCTAAAGAGAGACAAGAGACTGCAGAGAGATGAGACATGAACATTGGCTTACCTGGAGCAAAATCATCTGGAAACTGATAAGAAGAGATCAGCTAGGGTAGTTGATATTTGGCGGGGATTAGGTATACACTGTCAATAGTGTGAAGCTCCTGGGAGCCACAGAAATTGGTAGAGTATGGAGAGCATACTCTTTGTAGAGTTTTCAAGCCACCTACTGTGGCTGCCATTCCCTTCCACCAGTTGCTCAGGTAAAAAAAATGAACATTTTAAGAGAGCATTCCTTGTATTGTACCTTGTGGAAGGGATTGGCAGCCGCAGTGGGCAGGGCATCAGTAGTACAGTCAAAATATTCATTTAGATGAGCACCAAATGATTCATTTTGCTGTAGTAATGACAGTTTTCAGTCTTTTTTTGGCCCAAAACACAGCTGATCGTCAAAAATTGTAACTTAAAAATGAATTTCCATTTGTGTCATCTCTGATTTTTTTGTGCAGTGGTTTTTAGTTTTCCTTGTAGAGATCTTTCTCTTGCCTGGGTGTTTTCCTAGGCACACATAATTGTGTGGCAGTTATGAATGGAAGTTCTTTCCTGATTTGGCTCTCAGCTTGACTGTTATTAGTGTATAGGAATGCTATTGATTTTTGCACATTGTATCCTGATACTTTGCTGAAGTTGTTTATCAGCTGAAGAAGCTTTTGGGCCGAGACTATGGGGTTTTCTAGATGTAGGATCATGTTGTCTGCAAGCAGGGATAGTTTGACTTCCCTTCTTTTTATTTAGATGCCTTTGTTTATTTCTTTTGCCTGACTGCCCTGGTGAGAACTTCAGATACTATGTTGAATGGAAGTGGTGAGAGAGGGCGTCCTTGTCTTGTGCTGGTTTTCAAGGGGAATGCTTCCAGCTTTTGTGCATTCAGTATGATGTTGGCTGTGGGTTTGTTATAGATGGCTCTTAATATTTTGAAGTATGTTCCTTCAGTACCTAATTTGCTGAGAGTTTTTAACATGAGTGGATGTTGAATTTTATAGAAACCCCTTTCTGCATCTATTGAGATAATCATGTGCTTTTTGTGTTTAGTTCTGTTTATATTATGAATCACATTTGCTGATTTGCTTATGTTGAACCAACCTTGCATCCCAGGGATAAAGCCTACTTGATCATGGTGGATAAGCTTTTTGATATGCTGCTGAATTGTTTGCCAGTGTTTTGTTGAGGATTTTTGCATCAATGTTCATCCAGGATATCCACCTGTAATTTTCTTTTTTTGTTGTGTCTCTGCCAGGTTTTAGTATCAAGATGAGGCTGGCCTCATAGATTGAGTTAGGGAGGAGTCCCTTTTCCTCAATTTTTTATTGAGGAGAGTATATCTGGTAGAATTCATCTGTGAACTCATCATGTCCTGGGTTTCTTTGGTTGGTAGGCTATTACTGCCTCAATTTCAGAGCTGATTATTGGTCTGTTCAGGAATTCTGTTTCATCCTGGTTCAGTCTTGGGAGGGTTTATGCGTCCAGAAATTTATCCTTTTTTTATTTTCTAGTTTATGTGCATGGAGGTTTTCATAATGTTCTCTCATGGTTGTTCATATTTCTGTGGGGTCAGTGGTAATACCCTTCTTGTTGTTTCTGATTGCGTTTATTTGAATCTTCTCTTTTTCCTTTGTTAGTCTAGCTAGTGGTCTAGCAATTTTATTATTTTCTTCAAAAACCAGCTCCTGGATGCATTGATCTTTTTATCTTTTGTGTGTGTGTGTGTCTTTATCTCCTTCATTTCATCTATGATTTTGTTTATTTCTTGTCTTCTGCTAGCTCTGGGATTTGTTTGCTCTTGGTTCTGTAGTTCTTTTAGTTATGGTGTTAGGTTGTTAACTTGAGAGCTTTCTAACTTTTTGATGTGGACATTTAGTGCTATAAATTTCTCTCTTAAGACTTCCTGGAAGACAACCTAGGCAATGCCGTTTAGGACATAGGCATGGACAAATATTTCATGATGAAGGCACCGAAAGCAATTGTAACAAAAGCAAAAATTGGCAAATGGGATCTAATTAAAGAGCTTCTGCACAGCAAAATAAAGCATTAACAGAGTAAACAGCCTACAGAATTGGAGAAGATTTTTGCAAACTATACATCTGACAAAAGTCTAATTTCTATCATCTATAAGGAATTTAAACAAATTTACAAGAAAAAACCAACCCCATAAAAAGTGGGCAAAGGACACGAACAGACACTTTTCAAAAGAAGACATATATGTGGCCAAAACTCATATGAAAAAAGTTCTACATCACTGATCATTAGAGAGAATTAAAACTGGACCTCTTCCTTACACTGTTAATGCAAAAATTAACTCAAGTTGGATTAAAGACTTAAATGTAAAACTATATAATTTGATTGTGCTGTGGTCCAAGAGACTGTAATGATTTCAGTTCTTTTGCATTTCTTGAAAAGTGTTTTAATTCTAATTATGTGATTGATTTTAGAGTATATGCCATGCAGTGATGAGATGAATGTATATTGTGTTCTTTTTGAGTGGAGAGTTCTGCCTGTATCTATGAGATCCATTTGATCCAGTGCTGAATTCAGGTCCTGAATATCTTTGTTAATTTTCTGTCTCAGTGATCTGTCTAATATTGTCAGTGGTGTGTTAATGTCTCCCACTATGATTGTATAGGAGCTTAAGTCTCTTTGAAGATCTCTGAGAACTTGCTTTATGAATCTGGATTCTCCTGTATAGGTGCATATATATTTAAGATAGTTAGATTTTCTTACTGAATTGAACCCTTTACCATTATGTAATGCTGTTCTTTGCCTTTTTGATTTTTGTGAATTTAAAGTCTGTTTTGTCAGAAACTAGGATTACAACTCCTGCTTTTTTCTCTTTTTCATTTGGTAGGTAGATTTTTCTCCATTCCTTAGTTTTGAGGCTATGTGTGTCATTGCATGTGAAATGGGTTTCTTGAAGACAGCATACCAACGGGTCTTGGATCTTTATTCGGTTTGCCTTTCTATGTCTTTTAATTGGGGGCATTTAACCCATTTACATTTAAGGTTACCATAAAATATTTAATTTCCAACAGAATTTAACAAAGACATTGTTATGTCTTATATGCAGTAAGTGTACTAACTAAATGTATTTTGGTTGGAAAAAGATAAACATTGATTTATTAGGTTAATGGTTCTTGGTGGAGATGGAATAGCACCCCCTAGAACTTCATAGGTTTTCATAATTAATTATTCTAATAATTGGGGAGTGCTACTGGCATAAGAGGATGAATAGTCACAGCCTCTTATTAGAATGGGCACTTACAGAGACCAGGAAATAAATAAAATCTAAGTCCAAATATGTTTCATTGAGTACAGTAGATCTACAAACTCACTCTGTAGTCATTTTCCCTGTTCCTTAGTTCATAATTAAAATGGATGTATGTAGCAGCCAGCAGATGTCTCATATTGGCTTCCTGACCTGTGGAGAAAGAGCCAGTAAGGTAGAGAAGGGCCAAGAGAAAGAAACCCTTGAAACTAATTCCATTCATTCTGGACCCAGTCAAGATGGCAAATCAGAGATCTCATGTCAAGACAAATAGCAGGCTGCTGAAATGGAGAAAATGAGGGATTATGATATTCTCAAATATGAGCTGGATCCTATTTATAAGTGTAGTGCCAAAATAATTCCCTAGCTTAAAATGTGGACAGAATTGTGATAAAATCTAACAGAAAATATATTTTCTTTCTTGAAATCCTACCACATGTCAATGTATACATTCTGTTTCTGGTATGTAAAAAGACTGTAGAGACTATATCATGTCTTAGGAAACGGGACATATTTGAAAAGGAAATAGTAATATAAGAGCCAGTCAAGTCATGTTGTAGACCTCTGGAACATTATCAGAGTCCCCTGTTTAAAAACAATTGCAATCTCCCCCACAGTAATTTTACCATGTAGTTTCTACCGCATACATTTTATATTATAGCACTATGAAATTTTAACAAATGCATAGGACAGGAATAATATGATAATTTTAGTTCCTATATTATGAAATTCAGTAGTACTCATAATTTGGCACCAATTTAATATGTTTTTGTTTTTATCTCTTAAGAGGTATCTCAAATATTCTCCAGACACATTGTATACTCACAGATGTGTGTGAGCAGGATAGCTATTGGTGATGAGATTTTCTTAAATGAATATCTCTTGGTCAAATTCTGAATAATATTATAAAAGGTATATTTTCAATTTACATGATAGTTGCAGTTGTAGAAAATTCAATATGTGTTATAAATATGCAAAACTACTTTGTGTTTATATGTAAAATGGAGTTAGATTCCAGGCTGAAATATTTATGAGCACATTTTTCACCTACTTAAACATCTGCCATGTTATTCTAAAATTATATGAGATTTTGATCCCTTTTTTATTTTGTGGAATTACTTTGTATTTTTGTAGGATGTCTGCACCCCTGGTTTCTCTTTCATTCCATTCAGTAAATTCCAGTGGAACTCCATAATTATGGAAATAATGAATTGTTACTCACAAATTTATCCCCACTCACAACCATGTGCCTTAAAAATTAGTGTTTTCCCTTATCTAGCCAAAAAAAGTTTATTGTTTCACTGTTTAATATAAGAGCTCAGATCATTTTATTGATTTCTGGTGAAAAGTACATATAAATGGCACTCTTAGATATTTTGTTGGTAGATTAGTCAAAATTGATGAGTTGATTCAAAATTGTTTTACTCTCTGTTCACAGTAAATTGAAGATAAACTTCTCAAAGGCATTTGGAATTAAAAATACCATTTCCTAAGATATATGGCAATATTACTAATCAGGATCTTAATTGTGCTAATTAACTTATAACTGGCTCCCCTTTTCTGTTCCTTATACCTTTCCCATTTACTGATCTTACAACTTCTTCATAGCTACTTACTTCAGGCTTAAGACCCTGGTTCTCAGAATTAGGGCACAGAAGAATCTCCTGGGATATGGTGACTAAACTCCTGGGATGGGAGCCAAAATTCTACTTTACTAATAGTAAATTGTGAAATAAAAATTCTTGATACATTTTGAGAAATGTTGCCGTAGGAGGATCTTCCTGAACATTTTTTTTCCTCCTTGGCTTACCTTTAGGCCAGTAATATCTAAGATTATTACCCATTTTTCTCTATCTTGTTTTATCAAGTCTCTTTTGTTTGTTTGTTTTGTGAAATTGCCTTAATGATGATGCCAATGAATTCCTTTCCGTTTTAGGAAGATCAAAGTTGTGCCTTCTTTTCTAGAACAGATTCTGGCACATACTAGGGACTTTAGATTTTTAAAAATAATGTATCTTGGATCTTTATTTTTCCTAATTACTCTCATCTTTTTTTTTTTTTTTTTTTAGTCTGCTATATGGGGAAAAGTACATCTTTTCTCTATGTGACTTAATCTACATTGTTATAATAGAGACTACAGAGGAAGAATAATTTTCTGTACAGCCTGCCTGCACATAGGTTATCACCTTTATAAACACAATTGGATAAGTAACTAGTGACTATGGTCTTCAAATACTGACACTAACTTTTTTTTTGTTTGTTTTGAGACAAAGTCTAGCTCTGTCCCCCAGACTGGAGTGCAATGGCACAATCTTGGCTCACTGCAACCTCCACTCTCTGGGTTCAAGCGATTCTCATGCCTCAGCCTCCTGAGTAGCTGGACTACAGGCACTCGCCACCGCACCCGGCTAATTTTTGTATTTTTATGAGAGATGGGGTTTCATGTTGGCCAAGCTGGTCTCAAACTCCTGACCTCAAGTGATCCGTCCACCTTGGCCTACCAAAGTCCTGGGATTACAGGCATGAGCCAGTGCACCCAGCCTCCAACACTAAATATTGTTAAGATTTTTCTAGGTTGTTTTGTTGCTGTATTTGCAACTGCAGATAAGACTAATGGTTTCTTTGTGATAATGAGTTAAGCAGCCTTGATGTCTAATATATAAGATACTTGAGGAACTCTTATGCTTGCTTTATTCTGTAAACATTTATTCACTGAGAGGCTATGAGACAGTACCAAAAGCATACATCTGAAAATATCAGTTCAGAACGCATGTTACTCATGTTAAGGTTGGCCAGTATGAAACCATATATGGTTTTGTCCGATTTCTACCCTTGAGGAATATGTTTTGGTAACAAGTCTAACTTGAGCATATAACTTCCTATGTCAGGTAAATGTTTGAGTTCTTTTGGAGTATGACTTAATGAATTTAAAGCTCTTGGATTTTAGGAATGTACTTTCAAAGTTAAATGTTAGTTCTCCCATCAGTCTTTCTATACCAACACCTTGTCCCTCAAAACTATACTAGATTGAATGTCATTTAATCGCCAATTTTGAAAACATTCTGAACACAACTCAGCTGTATTTCGCAGCCTCCATTGCAGTTAGGTTGGAAGTCATGTTATTGGGCTCTGTCCGGTAGACAGAAGTAACACCCACCACTTCTAGGCCTGGCTCTTAAAAACCTCATGTGCCATACACCCTCTGTTTCCTCATTCAGCAGTTCAATGGAGAGGAAGATGAGGATCTGAAAGATTGCAGAGGCTAGGAATAGCCCAGATCCTGGAAGACTGCATGGACCAAGACCTTTTCTCCAAATCCATTCCACACTGGACAGTGTCTTCAAGCTGGAATCAAACTTATTGTATAGAACTGCTGAGATTTTAAGGTTGCTTGCTAGAGTTAGCATATTCTTCCATGAGTAATTAGTATTCCCTTAGCATCTAGCTTGACATCCTTAATTACTGTACTTTCATTTAAATAACCTTAAGGGTCCTGTTCATTAAGTGTGACTGCTGGAGTAGGTTAGTGAACAGTGTGGTGGTATTTAGGTTTAATTTGTTCTTTAATCCCCATTCATCTCTTAAAACTTGCAAAAACCTCCCAGCTTTTTTTTTTTTTTTTTAAATCAAAGCTGTTCTCATTTAAAGCTATTGTTTGGGAGACTAGTATAGTCCATGATTTCCAACTTGATTATTACATTCACATAAGGCATAAAAGTTAAATGGCTTTATTTAACTCTAGATGGTCAGAATGGTTCCCAATACATGATAGAATTGTTGGAATTGCTAATAAAAAAGAAAAGTGCACAGTAAAGAACAGAGTATCAAGTTAAGATTTAGGATATACTACCTACAAGTTGGAAGAAATTAGAAAAAGAAACAAATGTGTATGTCAAAGAAAGAGACAGCACTTTAAGCATTTATTTTACTTTGATCAGTCTTCTATATATTTATTATTAAGTTATCTTGAAATATCAGGGGATGAAATAAATAGCCTAGTATGTCCCAACTTAACATTGTATGAAGAAATAAAGTTTTAACATTTAAATGTAGAAAATATATCTGGTATATGTGTAGGTGTTTTATCAAAATATGGACTCTCATGTCAAATGCATGTGTGTTATAGGATGAACTACTGCTATACACTAGTATGTCCTTTTGATTTATTTCTGGAGCTCCAGTGTAGTGGCTATGTTGTATAGTTTAGCACTTCTGGTTTTATGGAAAAATGGTAAGTGACTGAACATATTTCAGTGTAATCTCTTTTTATAACAATTTTCTTTTTTGTCTTGTTTTGGCAATTTGCCGGTGCAAATATGATATCCTTTCTTTATTGTTAATAATGTTTGTCCTCTCACCTCAACATAATGTTTTGAGATTTATCCAAGTTGCTGCATTCAGATAGCTGTAATGTGATCCTATTCAATGTTGTAGAGTATTTCATTATATAATTATAACACACTTCATTCATTTGCCTGTTTTCTTTTTTTTTTTAATTATACTTTAAGTTTTAGGGTATACGTGCACAACGTGCAGGTTAGTTACATATGTATACATGTGCCATATTGGTGTGCTGCACCCAGTAACTCGTCATTTAACATTAGGTATATCTCCAAATGCTATCCCTCCCCCCTCCCCCCACCCCACAACAGGCCCCAGTTTGTGATGTCCCCCTTCCTGTGTCCATGTATTCTCATTGTTCAGTTCCCACCTATGAGTGAGAACATGCGGTGTTTGTTTTTTTGTCCTTGCAATAGTTTGCTGAGAATGATGGTTTCTAGCTTCATCCATGTCCCTACAAAGGACATAAACTCATCATTTTTTACGGCTGCATAGTATTCCATGGTGTATATGTGCCACATTTTCTTAATCCAGTCTATCATTGTTGGACATTTGGGTTAGTTCCAAGTCTTTGCTATTGTGAGTAGTGCCGCAATAAACATACATGTGCATGTGTCTTTATAGCAGCATGATTTATAATCCTTTGGGTATATACCCAGTAATGGGATGGCTGGGTCAAATGGTATTTCTAGTTCTAGATCCCTGAGGAATCGCCACACTGACTTCCACAATGGTTGTTTTCTTTTTTTGATAATTCCAGTTTTGTTTTTCCTTTTTCACCATTACTGTTAATGTTTTATCAGTATTCTTATATGTTTCCTGGCTTACAAATGCATACATTTTGTTGAGTGTGTATTCATTATTCATATTTTCAACTTTGGAAAATTAACTGTTTTGTAAAGTGATTATATTAAATTATACCCATTCCAAGTCTTTATGAATTTTATTAATGCTCCACATCTTTGCTGATAGTTGGTATTCCAAGGCATTTTAATTTTGACACTTCTGATAGATGTGTAATTGCTATGTTCTTAAGCTTAAAAAATTCCTTAGTTCTTAAAAGTTTATTATGTTTAATCTTTAAAAGTTTCATCTCTTTAATCACCGGTGGAATTTTCTCTTTTTATGATGTAGTATTATCTCAAGTTTCTTGTGATTTTTCTGCTGGATTCTCCTTAATCATTTTTAGTAATATTTTATACATGCTATGTACACGTCTTTTGTTGGTGATATGTTTAGTAAATGTCACTCTGTGGTTGGACTTTCATGCCAATTTGTATGTCTATAATGAGACATTCTTAATTTTAATATAATCCAGTATATCCATCTTTTCCCTATGGTTAGTGCTTTTTTGGGTTCTGTTTAAAAATTCTTTCTGTTCTCCATTATCAAGTAGTATTCAGATAGCCAGTTGGTCATGGAATTTATTTTTGGCCTGAAGGTTTTAACTTTCATCCAATTTCTTTAAAAGAGATAAACTATTCAGATTTTTGTTTCTTCTAGTGTCTGTTTTGTTCTTTTCCTTTAAAATATTTTCATTTATTTATTTAAATTGGATTTTATTTTTAAATTGACACGATAATGGTACATATTTATGGTGTTCATAATGATGTTTCAGTACATGCAGTGCATAATGATCAGATAGGGCAATCAGCATTTATAATCTGTTTGTGTTAGGAACATTAACACAAATTATCTTTCCAGCGATTTGAGCTATATAATGTATTATTGTTAACTATAGTCCTCTTAAAGTAGTATAGAACATTAGAACTTATTCCTCCTATCTAGTTGTAATGTAATATGCTTTAACAAATCTCTCCTTATTTCTCTTTCCCTACACCCTTCCCAGCCACTAGTACCTTCTGTTCTACTTTTTACTTCTATGAGATCAACTTTTTTTTTTTAGCTTCCACATGTCTAAAGACATGCAGTGTTTAACTTTCTATTCCTGGCTTATTTCACTTCATGTAATGTCTTCCAGTTCCATCCATGTTGCCACGAACGACAGGATTTCCTTCTTTTTAATGGCTGAATAATATTCCATTGTGTATATATCCTACATTTCCTTTATTCATCTATTGATGTACACTTAGGTTGATTACATATCTTTGCTATTGCAAATAGCATTGCAATAAATATGACGATGCAAGTATGCCTTTGACATACTAATTTATTTTCCTTTGTATAAATACCCAGTAGTGGGAAGTCTGCATCATATGTATGGTAGTTCTATTTTTAGTATTTTGAGAAATTTCCATACTGTTTTCCATACTGGCTGTACTAGTTTACATTCTTATCAACAATGTATAAGAGTTCCTTTTTACCACATCCCCACCGGCATCTTATATTTTTGTCTTAAAAAGACACAGCCATTTTAACACAGCCATTTTAACTGGGGTCAGATGATATCTCTTTGTGGTTTTGATTTGCATTTCTTTTTTTTTTTTTTTTTTTTTTTTTTTTTGAGACGGAGTCTCGCTCTGTCGCCCAGGCCGGACTGCGGACTGCAGTGGCGCAATCTCGGCTCACTGCAAGCTCCGCTTCCCGGGTTCACGCCATTCTCCTGCCTCAGCCTCCCGAGTAGCCGGGACTACAGGCGCCCGCCACCGCGCCCGGCTAATTTTTTGTATTTTTAGTAGAGACGGGGTTTCACCTTGTTAGCCAGGATGGTCTCGATCTCCTGACCTCATGATCCACCCGCCTCGGCCTCCCAAAGTGCTGGGATTACAGGCGTGAGCCACCGCGCCCGGCCTGATTTGCATTTCTTGATGATTAGTGATGTTGGCCATTTTTTCATAGGTTTGCTGGTGATTTTGTATGTCTTGTTTTGAGAAATGTCTGTTCAGATTATTTGCCCATTTTACAATTAGATCGTTTGTTTTCTTGCTGTTGCAATGTTTGAGTTCCTTATGTATTCTGGCTCTTAATATCCTGTCAGATGAATAGTTTGCAACCCATTCTGTGGATTGTCTTTTTACTCTGTTGATTGTTTCCTTTGCTGTGCAGAAGTTTTTTATCTTGATATAGTTATATTTGTTAATTTTTGCCTTTGTTGCCTGTGCTTTTGAAGTCTTATTCATAAAATCTTTTCCCAGATCCATGTCCTGAAGCATTCCCCTGGCGTTTTTTTCTAGTAGTTTTATTGTTTCTGGCCTTACATTTAGGTATTTGATCCATTTTTCCGTTGTTTTTTGTATAGGGCAAGAGGTGAGGGGTCTAGTTTAATTCTAATGCATATGGATATCCAGTTTTCCCAGAACCGTTTATTGAAGAGGTTATTTTTTCTCCAAGTCATCTTTGTTCTTGGCATCTTTGTCAAAAATCAGTTGGCTGTAGATATGTAATTTCTGTGTTCTCCATTATGTTTCATTGATCTATGTGTCTGTTTTTATGCCAGTACCTGTCATTTTGGTTAGTACTACTTTGTGGTATATTTTGAAGTCTGGTAGTGTGATACCTCCAGCTTTGTTCTTTTTTGCTCAGGATTGCTCTGACTACTAAAGGTCTTCTGAGGTTCTATACAAATTTTATTTTATTACTTTTTTCTATTTCTGTGAACAATGTCATTGGTAGTTTGAAAGGAATTGCATTCAATCTGTATAGCTTTGTGTAATATGGCCATTTTAACAATATTAATTGTGATTCGTGGGCATGAGATGTCTTTTTATTTGTTTGCATTCTCCTCAATTTTATCAGTTTATTTTGTAGTTTTCCTTGTAGAGTTCTTTCACCTCCTTGGTTATATTTATTTCTAGGTACTTTTTTGTTAGTTATTCTAGATGAGATTTGCCTCTTGATTTCTTTTTCAGCTACTTTGTTGTTTGTATATTGAAATGCTACTGATTTTTTAATGTTGATTTTGTAACCTACAAGTTTAGTGAATTCATTCAGCAGTTCTATTAAATAATAGTGTTTTGGGAGATTCTTTAGGATTTTCTGTACACAAGATCATGTGATCTGCAAACAGGACAATTTCACTTCCTCTTTTCCAATTTGGATGCCTTTTATGTCTTTTTCTTGCCCAATTGCTCTGGCTGGGACTTTCAACACTATGTTGGATAAGCATGGTGAGAGTGGTAATTTTTGTCTTGTTTTAGTTCTTACTGAAAAACAAACAAACAAAAAAACAAAAACCAAGAGCATGATAGTAAAACAGGAGTAGATTAACCCTGATACCAAAACCAGACAAGGATACAACAACAAAAAGAAAACTATAGGCTAATATCCCTGATGAACATGTATGCAAAAATCCTGAACAAAACAAAAGTGTTCAGCTTTTCCCTATTCAAATTAGTGTTTGGTGTGGTTTGTCATGTATGGCCTGTATTGTGTTGAGGTACTTTCCTTCTATACCTAATTTATGGGGAGTTTTTTTTATCATGGAGAGATGTTGAATTTTGTCAAATGCTCTTTCTGCATCTTTTGAGATTATCATATGGCTTTTTTCCTTCATTTTGTTGATGTGATGTGTCACATTTATTGATTTGCATTGTGTTGAACCATCCTTACATTCCAGGGATAAACCCCACTTGATCTTAGTGTATTATCTTTTTATATATTGTTGGATTTGATTTGCAGTATTCTGTTCAGGAGTTTTGAAAATGTCCATCAGTGATATTAGCCTATAGTTTTCTTTTTGTTGTTGTGTCCTTATCTGGTTTTGGTATCAGGGTTAACCTAGTCCTGTTTTACTATGATGCTCTTGTTTACTGCTATTTTTTCATTTATCAGTTTGGAGATTTCAGAAAGTTTAGCCATTTCTCTTTAAAAATTGCTACTTTTTTTTTTTTTTAACAGAGTCTTGCTCTGTCACTAGACTGGAGTGCAGTGGCACAATCTTGGCTCACTGGAAACTCTGCCTCTCGGGTTCAAGTGATTCTCCTGCCTCAGCCTCCCGAGTAGCTGGGACTACAGGTGTGCACCACACACCCAGCTAATTTTTGTATTTTTAGTAGAGATGCAGTTTCACCATGTTGGCCAGGATGGTCTCGATCTCTTGACCTCATGATCTGCCCGCCTTGGCCTTCCAAAGTGCTGGGATTACAGGCATGAGCCACCGCACCTGGCCTCTCTCTCTCTGTTTTAAAAATATTATATGATAGCATTTTGGTGGGTTTCTTTAGGGAAAAAAAGAGAAAAATAAGTGTGTTTTACCTTTTATATCTTTATATCTTCATTTAAAAAGAAATATTTTATTTTCAGAGACAGAGTCTCACTCAACTTGTCATCCAGGCTGGGGTTCAGTGATGCGATCTTGGCTCACTGCAACCTCTGCCTCGTGGGTTCAAGTGATTCTTCTGTCTCAGCCTCCTGAGTAGCTGGGATTACAGGTGTGCGCCACCATGCCCTGCTAATTTTTGTATGTTTAGTAGAGACAGGGTTTTACCATGTTGGCCAGGCTGGTCTCAAACTCCTGACCTCGTGATCCACCCACCTCGGCATCCCAAAGTACTGGGACTACAGGCATGAGTCATCATGCTTGGCCTACCCCTTCATATTTAATCATAAAAATGCAAAATTATTTAGCAGATTTTCAGCTGTTTTAAATAATCTGTAATATTTTAAAATTATGGCTGTTACATGCCCCTTATTTTAGTCTCTGAGTAAAAAAATTATGTATCTTGACAAGGTATATGTATATATTTAAACATTTGAATATATATTTAATATATTTAATATCTAAGTGTTCGTATTATAAATTCAAATATTTAAATAAATTAAATATTTAAATTTAAAATTTTAATTTAAACATTTAAATTAAAAATACTTTAAAACTTATAAATGTAGAATTATTTTATATTTTGTTTTATACAAAATGTGTATAACAATGTTAGCGTTTACATAAATGATAATCATTATTTAGGTGACATTTAATGAGATTATTTACTTCTTCAAAGTCTGTAATACATAGTTCAGCCTAAATCTGTTTTCCATGAAAGTCCAGCTGCTTGATTAGTTTGCTTAGTGGAAAAGGAGTATGATTATCTCTTTGCTTAGACACAGAAACCCTTTGAAATTACATTTTTAATTAAGCCATTACAGAAGACTTCTAAAGGCTTTTAATGTTTTTATCAGTCTTGAAGGGTTCTGAGTTTTTAAAATATTATTTAGCTCAAATATCAGAAATATTAACATGATTTATGTTGTAAAGTATCAATTTGTTTAAGGAATTATTATTTATATTTAAATGTTTTACATTTTATTTACCTGTTGTAATCTGAAGTTGAACTTGCTAAAATAATTTATGTCTCAATTTGCTTTTTTATTATGTGAATTAGATTAGTGGTTCATGTTCATACCTCAAGTAAATATATTGAAATATTTTATATTATAAAATTCTATCTATAACAAAAATTTTATGTTGGGCAGCTCCTATATTGACCATTAATTATCTATGACTTCTGGTATTCATACCATTGTGTAGTTCCATTTCCTTCCTTGAGTGTGGGCAGGACCTGTGCTTGCTTCTAAACCAGAAAATAATGCAAAGTTAATGGGATATTACTCCTATTATTTTGTTACATTACATGGTAAAAGTGATGGTTTTCACTTCTGTGAATATGCTGTGAAGTCTATGCTTCCTAGAAAACTTGCTCTAGTGATTTTTTCTTTTGCTGGCTCTGAGAAAAATGTAGCTGAGAGTATCCTCTAGCAGCTGAGGATAGCCACCAGCCAATAGCAAGTGAAAAACCAAGGCCCTCGGTCCTATAGTGGTAAGGAAATAAATTTTGCCAAAAACCTGAGGGAAAATAGAAGCAGGCATATGCCTAGTTAGTCCTCTGATTAAAACCAGTCCCAGCTGACACCTGATTGCAGGATTACAGTGGACCCTAGGTGCAGCCAACGTCTTGATTGCAGTCTGCTGTGACTCTGAATCAGAGAACCTGGTTATGCCATGCTCAGACTCCTGATCCACGGAAACAGTGATATAATAAATGTGTGTTGATTATAGTTACCAAATTTATGTATTTTTATTGAGCAATAGATAACTAGTACAAATATTATATCCAAGTACTCTGATATTTTATTTACTGAATTATACAACTCTACATTAGATATTTTTGTAATATATTCCTTAAGTGTTTTCAGACTAGGAAGGAGATTTCTAGTCTTTGGTAGATATTTTCTTGAATGGGGAAAATAATTTCAACAATGCAGATTAAGACTTTTCCTAGAACAGAGCATTTCTGAAGAAATTTTACCTTTGTGTAAATAAACACAGTAGACTGTTACAGAATAAATGAGTTAAACTATTTTAATTGATCTGAGTAATTTACATTTTATATCTGCAAAATTGCCTTAATAAGGTATTTGTAATTTTGTTATATTGTTTTCTTCTTATGTTGAAAATAGTTAGATCCTCCATTCTGATTTCTTAATTTGCATTTCTTTGGGGGATCTACAATGAAATTGATGGATTATGATAATCTTGATTCCAGATCATATTATTATTAGGTTACATCATAATCCATAACGGATATGCCAAACATTTTAATATCACCTATTTATAACAGGTTAGCACAGTTTTATCAATTTATTTTTGGCATGTGAGGAATGAGGTGGGGAGTCATTGGTTTGCATAGCATTGCATTGTGTATAAGTA
Source organism: Homo sapiens (assembly GCF_000001405.40). NCBI lineage: Eukaryota > Metazoa > Chordata > Mammalia > Primates > Hominidae > Homo > Homo sapiens. The sequence goes on from NC_000010.11 coordinate 115,413,154, forward strand.
ATATTTTATACATTTGTTTGGGATTTCATCTGTTTTATCCTTTGTAATGAGATATTTTCCCATGAGTGGTGACTCTGCTATTAGAATCAATTTGCTAGCCTGTGAGGATCTTGGATTTTGAGTGGAAGTATAACAAGTAAGCCTGCATTCTTTTTTCTCTTTTGTCTTTTTTAAGTGAATTAAACGTGGAACAAATTTATCTGATAGGACGTGACATTAATGAAAATAAAAATTTGTTTATTCTTGCCTAATCTTAATTTTTATGATGATGTTTACCAACTCCTATGGTAGACTCCTTCACATTTACCAGACAGACCTCAACATTTTTCTATAAACAAGACCCTTCCTTTCTTGTCCCATTTATTTATCTATTTATTATTGGAATGGACTCATGAATTCCTGTTTTTTTCCCAATGATTTATAATTCACTAATGTTTTTAACCACTTTGGTGCTCACATTGTCCAAGATTTGGCCAGTAGGAGAGGCTTCAAGCTAGCTCTTTTGTTTATGTGACACACCTATCATTTTGTGAATACTTCCTTACTTTCTGGTATAAGAAGATATTTCAGGCTCATCTTATTCCTCTTCTGCCTCAGTTGTGGAATCAGCTGTATATCCTTTTGGAGCTCTAGTTCCTTGTAATGGAATATCATATTAGAGACCAAGATCTTGGTGCTAGGTATGCTTTTTGCTCTTTGAGGTATCTTTACTTAGTGGGTTGTTTGGTGAACAAAGTTAGGAAATAATAATTTATTTATGTGCACATATAAATATACATATGTGCACATACATGCATACATATGCATGTATATACACACATATAAATATTTTAGAAAGCATTTCTTCATACCAAAACTTCCAATTCGGATCTATTTCTGCAAGGCTTTTGTACCTTCTCCGGCTCAGTATTTGTTCCTTCTTCTACAGTAAATGAACACTGACTTCCAATGACATCAACATATTTACTTGTTTGCTCAATTCTATATTGTAATCTAAAATAGTTTCAGATTTACTTTGCTTATATCACTTCAGTAAGAAAACCTACATAAAAGATTCTGGAATCTGATTTCAAGCTTCCCTCCTCCACCTTGCCCTGCACCAATTCGGAGTATGTAGTCAAATTTTGGGTTCCTAAGTTACTTTGAACCTTCCTTCCCTCCCTCTTCTCTTACTCCCTCCCTTCCTTTCTTCTTTCATTCCTTTTTTCCCTCTTCTCTTCTTCCCCTTACCTCTCCTCCTATTTCCCTCCTTTTTTACTTTCTTTTTCCATCAATATAGAGATAGGATTCACTTGAAGTTTATTAGGCTCTTATTTCTACTTACTTCTAATTTTATGAATTTTTTCCTTTCCCATTCTTATTGTATTAAAATAATTAATTAAATATGTTGAACATTAATAACCTGAAACTACTTCCAGTATACTCAGAGAGATTATTGTTCATTTCTTTCTCCCTCTTCCAGTAGGTAACCAATTTTATTGTTTTCTGGTTTATCCTTCCCATCTTTCCTTTCATAAAAGTAAAGCTGTATGAGCTGTGTGTGTTTCTGTCTATGTGCGTATCTTATATTTATATATATAGTTATTATTTCACCTTCTTACACAAAAGCTGACATATTATTAGATGTATTTTAGATACTCTTTTGAGTTTTACATTTTTTTTCTTCTTTATAATACTTCCTGGAGCTCAGTTAATATCAGCTCATAAAAATGTTCATTTTTTTGTTCTGTTTTGTTTAGAGATGTATAGTATTCCATTATGCATATGTACCATAGGTTAACAAATCTATTCGGGGACATTTAGACATTTTTCTGGTATTTTGCAATTAAAATTACGCTACACTGAATAAACTCGTATGTATGTAGTTTTATAATATTGGAGGTTTTTCTTAAGAGCAAATTCCTTTCAATGGGATTGTTGGGTCGAAGAATACATGCATATGTAGTTTTTTAGATATTGTCAAGTTGTCCTCCATATGAATTTTCTCATTTTCTATTCCTACTAGCCCACATGGGATGGCCTATTCATCTACAGACTCATAAGCAGGATATATTGCTATGCATCTGAAATTTTGCCAGTCTTGTGGAGAATAATTTGTGTAGTTTTAATTTATATTTCCATTATTATAAGTGAAGTTGAATATTTTTCATGTGGTTAAGAGCCATTTTTATATCACTTTTGTGAATTGTCTCTTCATGTATTTTGCCAGTTTTTCTATAAAATTATTAGTTTCCCCCTTATTTTTAAAGAGTTCTTTATGAATTAGGGATTATAGCTCTTTTTCAGTGAGACATAAGTTGCACATATTTCCTCCCAGTTTGTCATATGTTTCTTGACAGTACTAATTGCACTTTTTTTTTTTGCTATGCAGCTTTCTTAAGGTAGTCATATTTCTTAGTCTTTTAAAAATTACATTTGGAATTTTATTCATGGTTAGGAAGCCTTTTATTTTGTAATTAATTATGTAATTAACTTGTCCTTTATTATGTAAAGGTTTTATTATGTAATTAACATCCTTTTTTTACTATATCGAAAATTTTATTTTTTACGTTTAGATTTATGCTTCATTTAGAGTTTTATTTTGTTTATGGTATGAGGATTGGATCTGATTTGATAGTTTTACAATAGCTATCAAGTTGTCTTAATTTATTATGAGGACTGTCTTACTCCAGTCATTTAAGACAACTTTTATCATTTACTAGATTTTTAGCATGTGATAGTTGAGCCTGTTTCTGGAATTTCTATTGTACACATTTGGTCTATTTATGTGCTAGTACCATACTATTTAATTATAGAGACTTTGAGTATATTTTATATCTTTTAGGTCTACCTCTCTTCAAAGCTCATCTTTTTCAGTGTTTTTCTAATTATTCTTGTATGTTTACTTTTGTCCCTAAGCATTGAGATCAACTTTTCTAGCTCCTATAAAATCTCATTGGAGTTTTCATTGAATCACATTAAAGTTAAAGATTATCTTTGAAATTAATTGCTATTCTGATGATGTTGAGGTGTCCTACAAAAGAATAAATAATGTCTTTCCACTTATTTACATCTACTTTTGTCTTTTTCAAGCTGAGTTTCATACCCAAAATCATATTGTTATGTTTTTATAGAAAGTATTTATTTCATTAGCTTTTTGGAGGTACCTGTGTTTCCTTAAATGACACATGGAATTAAACTACCAAAAATTGGTGTTTAAATTTAACTCATAAAATTTGAAAACCATTTTAATACATTCAAAATTATTTCAAAAATTATTATTTGTTAATATAAACCACTTTAGATAATATATGTTTCTAATTTGCTTTTTTGAGCTATAAATATTTAATAGAGAATGTAGTTCTTGTATTGGACACCTTCCAGAATTCTGCAAAGTCTTTCAGTTTGATTCTTAACAAGGTGGTGTTGGTTTGTTTTTTCTGTTAATTTTCTGTGCTTGACTATTGAAAACTTAGAATTGGGATGCCAAAGTTACTTCCTACACAAGAACATATAGTTTCATCCTTCCAAGAAATTTGTAGTTTAGAGAAAATAAAATTTCAACCATTCCTTTGTAAAACTTATACTGTGTTGAAGGTAAATATATTATAGTAATTTTCAGTTCAATATATGATTATGTAATTTGAATAAACCAAATATTGTTAACAAAAAAGAAAATGTTATAACTTTCATATTAGAGAAATGAGTTTGTATCCTTGAGCTTTTTAAGTCAATATCTCAGTATTATCACTTTGAAAACACTTGAGGGAGAGTGATACCAGCAAGATGGCAGAATAGGAGATAACCTACTAATATTTCTTCACAACAACAAGAACTCTGCACTTATCTACTGACAAAAGTCACTGGCAGGAGCCTCAGGAGTCAGGTAGGAGGGTGTGAAAGCCCACTGGAGCCCAAGGCCCAAAGAGGGTTGTTTTGAGAATGCAGACTGGCACCCAGGTAATAGATGCATTAATTTTGCTTCCAGGTTCAAGCCCAGAAATGGCCCTGATCCCCAAGGGATTTGACTACAGCCCTGTTTGGCCTTGAGCCTGCAACTAAAATCATCTTCTAAGGGGTCTAGGAGCAATCATGTGTACTAGTGTAAGAGACTTGTTTGCCCACTGATATCAGTCTCTGCAGTGAACCTAGAAGTAGTCCTGTGGCTCGACTCCAGCCCTCTACAGTTGAGTTCCCAGCACAGAACTGCTCACACAAAACCCCAGAGGGAGACTTGCCCATATCCTGCAGATTGTGAGTCTGAGCCTCCTTGATAGGCTTGCCAAACTTATCTTTCAGTAGTACCCAGGTTGTCATCTCACAGCACATCCTGAGGGATCCAGTCTGACCCCCAGCTCCCCCCACTGTAGTCAGGTAACTATCATATCTGTGCAGGGACCTGCTAGGAGATGTGCAACCATCTGAGGAATTGAGGTGGGCTATCCAACCTTTGTCCCACAGTAGATCCTGAGGGGACCCAGCCTCAGATTTGGCCCCTCCTGCTGCAGTTGGTGACATATCTCTCACCTGTTCAGAGACCTCCTGGGAGGCATGATTGTCTGGGGCACTGGGATAGTCTTCTGGGCTAGGTTTCCTGGCCAGCTTTCCCACACAGCCCAGTTACCCTCCTTGGATCTTCCCTAGGTCCATCTGCCCTGCAGAGCCCTGCCAACCTTGGAGCCCTCCTGAGACTTGTGGCAGATATGGGCTTAGACTGCCCTCTAGTGTTTAGGGAGTTGCAGTGGTCATGGGCTCAGAGAACACAACAGTCAGTCCCCTTAGAAACTCTGGAAGGCCCTCTGAAGAAGGATGAGCAAAAACAAAACTAGACTAGGAAGACTGGAATAAACACCTGATCTCTCAGTGCACACACATTGTTGCATGTCCATAAGCATCAAGATCATTCAGGGAAATCTGATCTCACCAAACAGACAAAATAAGGTGCCAGAGACTGGCCCTAAGGTGATGGAGACATGTGGTCTTTCAGACAAAGAATTCAAAATAGCTGTTTTTAGAAAGTTCAATAAATTTACTGAAGCTCAAACTTCAGTAAAATTCAGAGAAGCAATCAGAAATACATGAACAAAACTTAAGAGATTGAAATATTAATAATAAAAACAAATGGAAATCCTGGAGGTGAATGAAATGAATGAGTGAAATGAAATACAATGAATGAAATAAAAATGGAATAGAGAGCATCATCAGCACAATAGATCAAACAAAAGAAAGAATTAGTGAGTTCAAAGGTAGGCTATTTGAGAACATAGTCAGAGGTGAAAGAACCAAAAGAATGAAAAGGGCCAAAGAAAGCTTACCAGATCTGTGGGACAACATCAAAATAACACATTTGTGTTATTAGAATTCAAGAAGGAGTTGAGAGACAAAGGGGCCAAAAACTTATTAAAAATAATAACAGAAAACTTTTCAAGCCTGGGGAAAGATGTGAATGCCCAATTATAGCAAAGTCAAAGGTCACCAGATTCAATCCCAATAAGAATACCACAAGGCATGTCACAATTAAACTCACAAAGATCAATGACTAAGAGAGGGTCTAGAAAGAAGTGAGAAAAAAGAAGCAAATAACATTTAAGAGAGATCTAATATAACTGGCAGCATATTTCTCAGCAGAAACCTTTCAGGGCAGGAGGGAATGTGACAATATATTCAGAATGTGGAAGGAAACTACCTGCCAACCAAGAATACTATAGGCAGAAAAGGTGTATTTTAAAAATGAAGGAGAGAAGGACTTCTGCAGACAAACAAAAGCTGAGGGAATTAATGGCCACCAGACCAATTCTGCAAAAAATGCTGAAGAGAGCTCTTCAAACTTAAAGAAAAGAATACTTACATTGATTGTTAGGCTAATACTGTAATTTTGTTGTATAAACCACATTTATCTTTGTATAAAGAATGAACGACAAAACTATAAAAAACTACAATAATTTGTTAAGAGATAGACAATATGAAAAATATAAGCTGTGACATCAAAATTCAAAATATGGAAGGATAATGAGTTAAAATGTACCATTTTTGTTGTTTTCTTCTTTCCTTTGCGATCAAAATTAAGTTTTTATTGGTTTAAAATAACTTATTATGACTATAAGATGTTTTTGTGAGTCTCATGGTAATGAAAAAGCTAAAAGCTATAATAGATAACACTAAAAAAGTAAGGAATAAAACACATTACTAGAGTGAATCACATAACCACAAAGGAAGCCTTTAAGAGAGGAAAAAAGGAAAAAATATCTAGACAACTAAAAAAGAAGTTACACAATCGTGATAGTCATCCCTTACCTATCAATAACTACCTTGAATGTAAATGGTTGAAATTATTCAGTTAAAAGAGAGGCTGAACGGATAGAAAAATATGACCAAACTATGCTGCCTACAGGAGACTTACTTTACGTATAAAACAACATGCATAGATTGAAAGTAAATGGATGGGAAAAGCTATTTCATGGAAATGGAACCCCAAAAAGAACAGAAGTAGCTGTAATTATATGAACAAAATAGACTTTAAGTTAAAAACTGTAAAAAGAGACAAGGCCATTATATAATAATAGCAGGGGTCAATGCAGCAAGCAGATACAATTATAAACATATATGTGCCCACTAGCAGAGGACCTATGTATATAAAGCAAATATTAATAGATTTAAAGGGAGAGATAGACTGTAACACAATAATAGTAGGGGACTTCAACACTCCACTTTCAGCAATGTGCAGATCGTCCAGACAGAAAATCAACAAAGAAACTTCAGTGTCAGACAACACTCTTGACCAAATGGACCTAACAGACATTTACAGAGCATTCGGTCTAACAGCTGCAGAAGGCACAGTCTTCTCAACAGCACATGTAACATTGTTTAAGATAGATTATATGTAAGGGCACAAAACATGTCTTAACAATTTTTTTTTTTTTTTTTTTTTGAGACAGAGTCTCACTGTTGTCACCCAGGCTGGAATGCAATGGTGCTATCTCGGCTTAGTGCAACCTCCGCCTCCCAGGTTCCAGCAATTCTCCTGCCTTGGCTTCCTGAGTTGCTGTGATTACAGGTGCCTGCCACCATGCCTGGCTAATTTTTGTATTTTTAGTAGAGACGGGGTTTCACCATGTTAGCCAGGCTGGTCTCGAACTCCTGACCTTAGGTGATCCACCTGCCTCGGCCTCCCAAAGTGCTGGGATTACAGGCATGAGCCATGGCGGCCTGGCCTCAAATTTTTAAAAATCAAAGTCATATCAAGTATTTTTTTTCTGACCACTGTGGAATAAAACTAAAACCAATAACAGGAGGAACTTTGGAAACTGTATACGTACATGGAAATTAAACAAGTCAATGAAGAAATTAAAAAGGAATTTAAAACATTTCTTGAGAAAAATCAGAATGGAAATACAACATACCAAAACTTATGGGATATAGCAAAAACAGTTTTTAGAGGAAAGTTTATAGCAATAATCACCTATTTGAAAAAGTAGAAATATCTCAAATAAACAGCCTAATGTTGTACCTCAAAGACCTAGAAAACAAGAATGATCTAAGTCCAAAATTATGAGAAGGAAAGAAATAATAAAGAACAGAGAAGAAATAAAGGAAATAGAGACTAAAAATACAAAGCATCAAGAAAATGAAGAGTTGGTTTTTGAAATAAGAAACGAAATTGACAAAGCTTTAGCTAGCCTAAGAAAAAAAGAGGAATGATTCAAATGAATAAAATCAAAGATGAAAAAGGAGACATCGCAACTGATACCACAGCAATACAAAGGATCATTAGAGACTATAATGAGCAATGATAGACCAATAAATTTGAAAACTTTGAAGAAATGAATAAATTTCTTATAGCTTATCTTACCAAGATTGGATCATGAAGAAATAGAAAACCTGGGCAGACCAATAATGAGAAACAAGATTGAATCAGTAAAACAAAGACTCCTATCAAAAAAAGTTCAGGACCTGACAGCTTCATTGCTAAATTCTAGCAAATATTTAAAAATGAACTCATACCAATTACTATCAAACTATTCCAAAAAATTGAAGTAGAGGGCATTCTTCCAAACTCATTCTATGAGGCCAGCATTACCCTGATAACAAAACCAGACAAAGATAAAAGTATAAAATAAAACTACAGGCCAATATCCCTGATGGATATAGATGCAAAAACCCATAATACAGTACTAGCAAACTGAATCCAACAACATATTATAAGGTCATTGACCATGATTTAGTGAAATTCATCCCAGTAATGCAAGTACAGTTCAAACCACAAAAATTAATAAATGTGTTACATTGCATTACTAGGATGAAGGACAAAAACCATAGGATCATCTCAATAGATGCTAAAAAAAGAATTTGATAAAATTTAACATTCCTCCATGATAAAACCGCTGAAAAATTAGGTGTAGAGGGAACACACCTCAACATATGTGCACATATATGCATCCACAGCTAACATCATACCAAACAGGGAAAAGTTGAAAGCTTTCCCTTTGAATGCTGAAGCAAATGCCATAGTATGATGGCATTCCTATCAAACTATGACATTCTTTACATAATTAGAAAAAATTATTTTAAAATTCATATGGAATCAAAAAAGAGCTCGAGTAGCCAAGGTAATCATAAACAGAAAGAATAAAGCTGGGGATACCATGTTAATTGACTTCAAACTATATTACAAGGCTGTGGTAACCAAAACAGGATGGTACTTATACAAAGACAGACACATAGACCAATGGATCAGAATAGAGAGCCAAGAAATAATTCTGCATAGGTACAACTATCTAGTCTTCAATGAAGCTGACAAAAACAAGTAGTGATGAAAGGACTCCCTATTCAATAAATGGTGCTGTAATACCTGGCTAGCCATATGCAGAAGTTGAAACTGGACCCCTTTCTTACACCATATACAAAAGTCAACTCAAAATGGATTAAAGACTTAAATGTACGACCCAAAACTATAAAAACCCTGAAGGATAACCTAGATACCATTCTGGATGTAGGACCTGGCAAAGATTTCATGACGAATATGCCAAGAGTAATTGCAACAACAAAGAAAATTGACAAATGGCGCCTAATTAAACTGAAGAGCTTCTGCATGGCAAACAAAACTACCAGCAGAGTAAACAGACACCTTACAAAATAGGAGAAAATATTTGCAAACTATGCATCCCACAAGGATCTAATATCTAGAATCTATATGGAACTTAAATCAACAAGCAAAAAACGAACAACCGCATTAAAAAGTGAGCAAAGTACATGAACACACACTTTTCAGAAGAAGACATACATGTGTCCAACAAGTATGTGAAAAAATGCTCAACATCACTAACCATTAGAGAAATGCAAATCAGAACCACAATATGATACCGTCTCACACCAGTCAGAATGGGAATTATTTAAAAAAATAACAGATGCTGGCAAGGTTGCAGAGAAAAGGGGACCTTATACATTGCTGGTGGGATTGTAAATTAGTTTAGCCACTGTGGAAAGCAGTTTAGCAATTTCTAAAAGAACTCAGAGCAGAGTTACCATTTGACCCAGCAATGGAACACTTGCAGCTATAAAAAAAGAACAAGATCATGTTTTTGGCAGCAACATGGATGGAGCTGGAGGCCATTATCTTAAGTGAACTAACACTGAAGGAGAAAACCAAGTACTACATGTTCTCACTTTTTAGTTGGAGCTAAACATTTTGTACATACGAACATAAAGAAGGGAACAACAGACACCAGAACCTACTGGAGAGGTGGAGGAAGGGAGGAGGGTAAAGTTAGAAACAACACCTATCAAGTATTATGCTTATTACCTGGGTGGTGAAATTATCTGTACCCCAAACCTCTGTGACACACAATTTACCTATGTAACAAACCTGTGCATGTACCTCTAGTATAACCTAAAATAAAAGTTAAGAAAAATGATAGGAAAACAATAATTTATTGTACATTTTAAAATAAAACAGTGTAATTGGAAAGTTTGTGACACAAAGAAATGATAAATCCGTGAGGTGATGGATGTCCTTCTTACCCTGATGTCATTATTATACAATGTATGCCTGTATCAAAATATCTATGTACCCCATAAATAAGCACACTTACTATGTACCCATAAACATTAAAAGGTAAAAATTGGCCAGGTGCGGTGGCTCAAACTGTAATCCCAGCACTTTGGGAGGCTGAGGTGAGTGAATTGCTTGAGTCCAGGAGTTGGAGACCAGCCTGGCCAACACGGCAAAACCCTGTCTTAAGAAAAATACAAAAAGCTAGCCAGGTGTGATGGTGTGTAGACCCAGCTACTAGGGAGGCTGAGGTGGGAGAATCACCTGAGCACAGGAGATGAAGGCTGCAGTGAGCTGAGATTGCACCACTGTATTCCAGCCTGGGCAACCGAGTGAGACTGTGTCTCAGAAACAAACAAGCAAATGAACAAACAAACAAACAAGTTAAAAATTTAAAAAGACACACAAACTAATGAAACAGAATAAAGAACCCAGAAATAAATACACGCATGTATACCATCTGATTTTTGGCAAAAATGCCAAGAATACACGTTAGGGAGATAATATTTTCTTTAATAAGTGATGCTGGGAAAAAGTTTCATTAAGAAGAATGAAACTAGACCCCATCTGTCACCACTTAAAAAAAAATCAAAATGGATTAAAGATTTAAATGTAAGTCCTCAAAATGTGAGACTACTGGAAGAGAACACGGAGGTAACACTTTATTACATTTCTCTGGGGAAGGTTTTTGTTTGTTTGTTTTGGAAAACACCTCAAAAGCACAGGCAACAAAAGCAAAAATAGAGAAATGGGATTACATCAAAACAAAAGCTTCTGTGCAGCAAAGGAAATAATCAGCAGAGCAAAGAGACAACCTATAGAATGGGAGAAAATATTTGCAAACTATGCATCTGATAAGGGATTAATATCCAGATATGTTAGGAACCCAAAGAACTCAATAGCAAAAAACCCCACAAGTAGTAAAGAGTGGACAAAAGATCTGAATAGACATTTCTCAAAAGAAGACATACGAATGGCTCACTGATATAAGAAGAAGAAACTCAACGTCACTCATCATTAGGAAAATGCAAATCAAAATCATGATGAGATACCACCTCACACTAGTTAGAATGGCTGTTATGAAAAAGACAAAAAAATAACAAATACTGGCGAGGTTGTGGAGAAAGAGGATCTTCTATCCACCGTTGGTGGAAATGCACATTAATACAGCTGTTTGTGGACAACAGTATGGAAGTTTCTCCAAAAATTAAAAACAGAATGAAAATATGTTTCAGTAATCTCACTACTGGATATTTATCCGAAGGAATTGAAATTCGTATTTTGAAGATACATCTGTACTCTTACTTTTATTGCAGCACTATGTACAGTAGCCAAGATATGGAATCAATCTAAGTCTGTATCAAGAGATGAATGGATAAAAATATGTCATATATTTTTGGAATGTATTTTATCCATAAAAATAATGAAATCCTGTCATTTGGGACACAACATGGATGAACCTAGAGGACATTATATTATGTGAAATAAGCACAGAAGAAAAATACTGCATGATCTCACTTATATGTAGACTCTAAAAAGACTGATCTCATACAAGTTGAGAGTAGAATTGTGGTTATGAGAATTGTGGTTGTGAGAAGCTGTGGAGGATTTTGAAAGGCTTGGGAGGGTATGAGGAGGGTGGAATGGGGAGAGATTGGTCAATTTATACAAAGTTACAGTTAGATAGGAATCACACTTTGTGGTGCTCTATTGCATATTTCTAAAACTAGAAAACTACCATCAATGACAAAATCTTAAAAGTGGTGTTTGGAAATGTCACAGAAAACCTAACACCCAAAGTTCCTTTGTTTCACAGAGTCCTTTTCTTCCAAGTTAGTGTTTTAAAGGATTATCATATTTTGACTTTAATTTTATAATTAATATACAGTAAAATTTACTCTTCAACTCATTTTTTTCCATGAATATAAAAACTAGCTAGCACATGGCTGAAAAATGCATTGGGAATGTAATCTGATTATTTAGCCTCTAATTTTTCACTATTTGACTCTTCATTATATATATGTATTCTACTATTCCTCTGTTCTTATGAATGCTTCTGAAAAACTAAAGACATTTTAGACTCTTTTACCTCTTTAAACTTTTAACTAGAGTTGAAATATATGTAATATATTTATATAAAATATGTATGTAATAATTACTTAAACCATATGCAAATATAATTTTTAGTATTTAAATATTAAGTCACTTTATTAAGTTACCCTGGTGCATAAATTTTATAATAATTTATTTTGGAGGACGTTCCAAGAAATGTTATGCAAAACCATGCTATATCTCTATTAGACATTGTCAATTTTATTTGGCAAACAAGGTTTTGTGAACTTGAAAAATTTTGAAAATACTTATGATTTTCTCCCACTGCTGTAGTTAACTATATTTTTATGTATTAAATATAAGAGTACATGAGTATGGATGCGCATATGTTCTTTCACTTTTTAAAAATCTGTTTATGTGAATTCAAAGTTTGAGCTCCTGAATTTAATCTATATTAGTCAATTTTGTTTGGGTTAGAGAAACCTTTTTTTCCAATTATTTACCGGAGGAGATCTGTTTTTAAAAATACAGATTAATTGGTGTAGAAACTGGTGTAGAAAATTTTTTTAACTGGTGTAGAAAATATGTTAATTTCAAACAATACCACAAGTGTGAAAATAATGTGGATTTATGAATTCCCTGAATTTTCTTCTACCTAAAAATATCTCTGTATCTTATTTCAGACTTTCACTTCTTCTGTTTATTAAGGCAGGATACATATCCCAAAGCTCATAATTATATTTCATCTGCCTTTTAACATTCCTTATATGCCTATCATGTATGTTTATTTTCTTTTTCTTCACTATTTCATCTCTCACTTTTTCTCATATATAAAGCTTTCTACAATTAATTCAAATTTCAAACACATCTTTCAAAGATGTGTTTTTGAAATTTCAAATAATGGTATAGTTTTAAATATGTTTTGATGTAGAATATAAATACTTTTTTGCTTGAAGAAAAACATGAGGCTTTTGAATTGCATTGTTTAATAGTAAATGAGTTTTTGTGTTTCTGCAGATGTGACTCTGAAAATCGCTATGTTGGTAATCCACTTAGAGGAACATGTTATTGTAAGTATATGTGTATTCTTCATTTTAAATAATTGGTGCATACTATTAGTTTCAAATAATAAAGGTCATCTTGAATAACTAAAATTGTCATGAATATCTTGCAATTTCTATTTCTTAAATTTTATAATACAACTTTACGTATATTGCTAAGAAATATATTCTCTTAATTATATTTGGTACATTTTTTCTACTCTGAGCAGTAAAATAGCAATAGATTTTGTTGTGAACATAGAACAAAGTATAGAACTTGAGTAAACTCATGTGATTTTAATGTAGTCCTTTTCATTATGATGGATTTTTGAAGAACTTGAATTTTATAATAGATATTTTGCAGAATTTTGGGCATTACTAAAAGGCTGCACTGATTTTGTACCAACAGATGCTTTCATTGGGTACTGATTATATGGTAGGTATATATTTAACTTTTGTTTTGTTTTCTGAGATGGAGTCTTGCTCTTGTCGCCCAGGCTGGAGTGCAACGGCACAATCTCAGTTCACTGCAACCCCTGCCTCCCAGGTTCAAGTGATTCTCCAGCCTCAGCCTCCCAAGTAGCTGGGATTACATGTGCCCACCACCACGCCCAGCTAATTTTTGTATTTTTTGTAGAGTTGGGGTTTTGCCACGTTGGTCAGGCTGGTCTTGAACTCCTGACCTCATGATCCGCCCACCTTGGCCTCCCAAAGTGCTGTGATTACAGGCGTGAGCCACTGCACCTAGCTTATCTTTAACTTTTAAAGAAACAGCCAAATGCTGTTTCCCCAAATGGTTGTACCATTTTACATTCCCACCAGCAGTGTATGAGAGTTTCAGTTCTTCCACATTTCAGAAACTTTTTTAGAGTTAGTCCAAGTTTTAGCCATTCTAATAGGTGTGTAATGGTATCTAACTCTCATTTTAATTTGCACTTTCCTAATTACTAATGATGTTCAGCATCTTTTCATAGGATTGTTTGCCATCTGTATATTTTATTCGATGAAGGGTCTGTTGAAATCCTTTGCCCACTTTTTAGATTGTTTTTATATTAACAAATTTTCCACATACTTCATTCTAGATACAAGTCCTTTATCAGATATATGACTTGCAAATATTTTTTACTAGTGGTAACTTGTCTTTTTATCTTATTAACACTATTTTCTTGAAGAACAGATTTTAATTTAGATGAAGCTTGACTTATCAGTTTGTTCTTTTGTGAAATCTTAGCCTAACAGGTCACTGTGATTTTCCCCAGGTTTTGGTAGAAATATTATATTTTTAAGTTTTCTATTTAAGTATATGGTCCATTTTGAATTAATATTTGCATATATAGTAGGTGATGGATTGAAGTTCTTTTTTTCTCCATGTAAATATTTAAATGTTCAAGCACACTTTATGTGAAGACTATACTTTAATCAATGAATTTCTGTGCACCTTTGCTGAAAAACACTTGTCTGTAAATGTGTGGGTCTGTTTCTGGACTCTTTTCTGTTTCTTTAATCTATTTGCTTATTTTTATGCTAACGTAGCACATTTATAATTAATGTGATTTTATAAGTCCTGAAATCGGTTAGTATTTATTCTCCAACTTTGTTCTTCCTTTTCAAACTTGTTTTGACTACTCTTTTTTTTTTTGCATTTGCAAGTGAATTTTAGAATCTGCCTTTCAATTTTCAAAAAAATTGCTATAATTTGTTTTGTGATTTTGTTTAACTTATAGATGAATTTGGGGAGAATTGGCATGTTAACTATAGTGAGTCTTTGGAATTATTGTATTTTTTATTTTTTCTCAATTCTTTAATTTTTACTATTAATATTTTATAGTTATAACTGTACACATATTTCACATTTTTGTCAGATTTATCCCTGTATATTTTAAATTTGTGATGCTATTGATAATGTTAGCTTAAAATATTTCATTCCTGATTTCCTGATTGTTTCTGGCATTTATAATTGATTTTATATTGGTTTTACATCCTGTAGCTTTGCAAAAGTCACATTTTACTTCTACTACCATTTTTTGTTGACTCTCAGAATTTCTACACATACAATGTTTCCTGCAAATAATAGCAGTTGGATTTCTTTTCCTCTCTTGATGGTTTTCTTTCTTTTTTCTGCCTTATTGCTATAGCTAGCACCTTTAATAATGTGTTGAAAAGATGTGAACATGAAAGTATTATTGTCTTGTTTCTGATCTAAGAGGGAAAGCATTCAGTCTTTTATCATTAAATATGATGTAGGTTTTTGCTAACTGCCTTTATCAGATTAAGGAAATTGCCTTCTATTCCTACTTTGCTGTACATTTTTTATCAGAAATGGTTGTTTATGTCCAATGCATTTCCTGCATTAATTTATATGATTATCAGAAATTTCTATTTTACTTTGTTAATATAGTGATTTTAGTATTTTTAATTTAATGAACGGTATACAGTATAAGAATATACTACCATTTTTGTCCATTCATAAGTTCATGGACATTGGGATTTTTTTCTAGGTTTTGTCATTAAGAAAAATGCTGCAGTGAATGAACATTCATATGGTCTTTATGTGAACATATGTTTTTATTTTCCTTGGGTAGATTCCTAGCAATGTATAGTTTGGTTGTATGATAAGCTTTTGCTTAACTACTTTAGAAACTGCCAAATGGTTTTCCAGAATGTTGGTAACATTTTTTAATTTATTCTAGAAAATTTTGATACTAGAAATTTCATTCCTTGACATCCTCATCAATACAACATTGTCTCTTTGATCATAGACATTCTAGAGTGTGTATAGTGGCATTTTGTGGTTTTGTTTTGTATTTCTTTAATGACTAATAGTGTTGAACTTGATTTTATGTGTTGATGCCTTGAAAATGATTTGCTGGGTGTGTAAAATTTATCCTTTTTTCAGTTTTTGTTGCTGTTTTAAATTGTATTTTTCAAAATTTTGTTTTCTACTCTTGTTTGATATATAAAAATAAAATTCGTTTTAGTATATTGATCTTATATTCATTAACTTTGGTGAACGCTTACTAAATTCTGTTTGTAGATTTGCTTGGATTTTTAAATGCAGTTAATTATATTACATGAAAATAAGCACAATTTTCTTCCTTTTTCAATATTTTTTACCCTTATTGGGATGTTGAGACCTCTATTTCTGGGCTGAATCACAGTGATGATAATAGATATCCTTATCAGGTAGGATGTTTATTATAATTTATGGAATATTCCTTGTATCACATTAAGCAAATTCCTATCTTATTTTGTGACAAGGTTATATCATGAATAACTTTCTTTTACCTTATTAAATACTAAGTTAAATTAATAGATTTTCTCACATTAAACATCTTTTCATTCTGGGCTAAACCATACTTAGTCATGGCATATTAGTATTTGGATACTGCTAAATATTAGTTGTTTATATTTTAATTTAGAATATTTTTAGTATGAAAGAAGACGATCTCTTTTTTGAATGTTATTTTTTCTGACTAAATGACCTATGACTGCAGTTTTTAAAAATTATTTTCTGGCCGGGCGCTGTGGCTCACACCTGTAATCCCAGCACTTTGGGAGGCCACAAAGGGCGAATCACGAGGTCAGGAGATCGAGACCATCCTGGCTAACGCGTTGAAACCCCGTCTCTACTAAAAATACAAAAACAAAATTAGCCGGGCGTGGTGGCGGGCGCCTGTAGTCCCAGCTACTCCGGAGACTGAGATGGGAGAATGTCATGAACCCGGGAGGCGGAGCTTGCAGTGAGCCGAGATCGCGCCACTGCACTCCAGCCTGGGTGGCAGAGTGAGACTCTGTCTCAAAAAACAACAACAAAAAAGTTTTCCATTCTATATATCTGCAATTGTGGTAAAAGCTTTTAAAAATGAATTTGGAACAATTGCTATCTTCTTTTAAAACAGGAATAGTTAAAACTTTAAATAAAAATTAGGTATTTCAACAAAAATTTTTGGGTCTAGTGCTTTTTAATTGGTAGTTATTTTATTTTTTTATTTTTTGCTATTTCATAGCATTAGCTTTTGGTTTTATTTATCTTTTCTGTGGATCTTGTTTTTTAGTTCATCAATTTCAGATTTTGTCTTTAATAATTTCCTTCTCATATACTGTTTGTTGTTGTTTTGCCTATATTTGCTATAGTATTTTAAAATTATCATTTTTTTACAGAATTTATGAATTCCTTTTTTATCTTTAAAAACGTAATTATTTTCTTAGTTCCTTTCTTAAGTGATTCTTATTTTTTAACTTTTATTTTAGGCTCAGGGCTGCATGTGCTGCCTGTTATATAGGTAAATTGCATGTTGTGGGGGTTTGGTATACAGATTATTTCATCTCCCAGGTAATAAGTGCAGTACTTGATAGGTAGTTTTTAGATCCTCACCCTCCTCCAATCCACAAAACATTTGTTAACTATTTTTAATTTTTTAAAAATGTTACTGAGAATGTGGCATATAAAATCCCAAATTTTGTTAAGGTATTTTTGCCCTTTATGACACATTTGATAGGGTATGGAGGCAATTTTGTTTGTCACAACAGGGGAGTGGGACGTGGGTGCCGTGGGCATCTCATGGGTAGAGGCTAGGGATGCTGGTAAACATCCTGCAATGAAAAGGTCAACCTCCCCAGAACAAAAAATCATGTGGCCAAAAATATCAATAGTATTTAGGTTGAGAAATCCTGATTTAGAGGCTTAATCAAATTTATATCTGATTTTGGAGAAAATAATAATTGTAGATGGTTTGGTTTTCTTTGTCTAGAAGAGTCATATCATGTCTGTTAGTGTCTCTTATGTTCTTGGCACACACTGACGCTCAATGTTTAGATTTTAATTGATCAAGATTGAAAAGATATAATATTCTGCCAGGCACAGTGGCTCACGCCTGTAATGCCAACACTTTGGGAGGCCGAGGCGGGCGAATCACCTGAGGTAGGGAGTTCGAGACCAGCCTGACCAACATGGAGAAACCCGTCTCTACTAAAAATACAAAATTAGCTGGGCGTGGTGGTGTGCGCCTGTAATCCCAGCTATGTGGGAGGCTGAGGCAGGAGAATCGCTTGAACCTGGGAGGTGGTGGAGGTTGCGGAGAACTGAGATTGTGCCATTGCACTCGCACCTGGGCAACAAGAGTGAAACTAAAAAAAAAAAAAAAAAAGAAAAGAAAAGATATAATATTCCAATTTCTTCTTCATGTTTTGGTTTGAATACTTCGGTAAAAACAAATTTTCGCTCATCAGCTGTTTGGTTGCTTATTGCTACAGTTCGCATAGGGAAGGCATGATAAATGTTACAGTTTTTCCCTGTATTTTTTATTTATTCCCTTTACTACTTTTATGTATGTATTTATTTATTTAAAATTAAAAGTTAGCTCAATATCTTTCAAAAATGACAGTTTTTGTCACTAATGAACTTATAGATCCATACATGTTTTAATCCGTGTGCAATTATTATTCCTACTGATGCTCAGACTGTCCAATTACTGTGTCATTTAAATTATCTTTATTCTCTAGCTTTTCCACATCATTTTTGTTTTTCTTATTTCAAATATCCTGGATTTATTTTATAGGGATTTTTTTCTTTGGTTTTTTAAAATTAGAAATTCCTCTTTTTTTGAGCCTTTAGTTTCTTTTATCTGCCAAAGGAGTAACTAGTTACCATTATGAACACATTATGTAATCTCTGTTTATTACAAATATACTAATGTTTAACCCTTTTATAAAAACTAGCATAATTTTTCTTCTATGTCAATGTTGTCCAATACAAATATGATGTGAGCCTCATATGTAATTTAAAATTTTCTAGTAGCTTCCTTTAAAAAGTAAAAGAAAATGAGTAAAATTAATGTTAATAAAACCTTTTTTAGCTTAACACATCTAAAATTTTTTCATTTTAATGTGTAATCAGTTTTAAAAGTCATTAAGTCATTAATGAGATATCTTACTTTTTTTGTACTAGTGTTTGAAACAAAGTTTACATTCCATACTTACATCACATTTTAATTCAAATCAGTTACTTTTCAACTAGTCAATAGCCACATATGGCTAGTGGTGACCTTATTGGACAACTCTTCTCTAGATTACATAGGATCCCTGCGTTCTTTTAGAAATATCAGAAGCATAATGGTAAAGCACTAGGTGGCACTCTTGGTATTGCTGTGAGACGTTTAAAGCTTAATATTTGAAAAGAAGTGATGCTTAAAAAAGAAAAGGACAATAACTCTTGTAATAATGTTAATAGAAACTATTCTAATTTTCAAGATTAGATCGAAATTTAAGATGCAAGTCCACACTGTAACTTAAAGCAATTGAGTGCAATGTGGTATTAACTTAATTGAAAGTGATATGTCAGCAGTTGTAATCTATTTACTTAGTAGTTTTTCAAAGTTCATTTTAAAACCAAAAACCAAATATATTATAAAGCATGCCTCACAAAGGAGGGAAAACGTTCAAACAGTGTTAACTAATTTTATTGGCCCTTGTAAACATTGAATTACTCAATATATTTTTAGTAAATACAAAAAGTAGTAGTCACAAAGTATCACAAAGTAGTATAGTTTTTTTTTCTTAAATGCTTTCTTTTAATTGTAATAACAATTTTAACAAAGAAAACCTTAAAAATGAAAGACTAGGCTGTAGAAATGCTATATAGATGATATATTTCAAAAAGTAGAATGAGAGTACATAAAGTCACTTTCTGCAGTCATTTACTTTATTTCACTATTGTGCTAATTCTTTAAATACATGTAATTTGCAATGCTCACACCCCTAATTATTGTGTTTTAATATACTTCCAAGTAATTGAACACATTTTATTTCATCTTTTACTCTTTAAAAAATTACTGTTTTATGTTGAATTTCTTTTATTAGAGTTTCTTTTATTTAGAGTTCATGGTGGAATTTTGTAGTAATAATAAACTACCTATTTTGAGAGTAGGAAATTTAAGTTGAAAAAGATGACTTAAAATAGTATGTCAGTTTAATTACTTAAAATAGTATGTCATAGAAAACAATGAAACCAATTAATACTTGAATTGACCCTTATATTTAATGGAATTATCCTGGTTTTTGTTCTAAAACTGAATAAAATAATTTTCCTGTTTTAAACTGAACATTTTGTTAGTGAATGTTTTATATGACTTTTTAACTATTGGCTATAAATTGCTATTTAAGTAGGATCTGGCTGTTTCATTTGCACATGGGGCAGAGTGATCTTAATAAACACCAATAATCTAAATTCTTATATTTACCAGATTGCAGACATGATGGATTGAACAGTATCTGACAAGACATAAATGAGTCACATTTTTGGCATTTTAACCTTGTTCTTTGATTCCTCAGTATTTTTATTAAATTTTCTGAAGTCTGTATCCCTGTACTTTTAGATTTTTATTTCAGAACTATTTACTCCTTTAGCATAGTCCAAAATGATGGATAATAAACATGATTATAAGAAAATTTAAAATAGCTAAAAGGAAAAAAATTGCTATTAAGTTAATGTAGAAGAAGGATGAAAATTTATTTGACTTATATATTTTACAATAAAAGTGTTACATTATTATTTTCATGTAAAATCATAGACTCACTGTAAAAAATAATAAAAAAGTTTAAGGAAGGAAATAAAAATGTCCATAAACCTTCCACCAGGTCCCCCAAGTTGAGTTGTGTAGTATGTATCCTTTGTAAGGGTACTCAGCTGAGTGGAAGATTGAGAGCTGATATGCTGTACTTACCTTTCTCACTAAGCCATGTACCCTAGTGTGGGGCTGTGTCTGCCTTGAGCCAGAGGTATATAGTTCTTTATTTGTGTGTAAAATGTTGAATGGTCTACTGAAGGGACTGCCTGCCTTCTAAATAAATCTCTGCATCATGTCCTGAGAATGATTTTATGTCATAGAGGTCATAACATGCATAATATTATTGTGAATGTTTTTCTTATAGATATATAGCTCATTATTAGCATTTAGTAAATAAAACATAGTTTTTCCCAAACTGGAAAAGAACAACCACCTGACTTTAAAATAATGATCATACTAGTTAACATTTATTGAGAACTTACTATACTAGACTGTTCTCAGCTTTTTATATGTATTAGCTTATGTAATACTCAAATGGGAAGGGTATGCTTATTATTCCCATTTTATAGATAAGAAAACAGAGATAGAGAAAGCTGAACTAATTTGTATAAGATCACACAGGAAATAGTAAAGGCAGGTTTCAACCCTCTTAACCATTAAAGAAGTGGAAATCAGTGGTATATGTAAGCAAAAAGTTTTTATATGAGTGAAATAAAAACATTATGCTGAAGGAAATAAGAGGATCTAAATAATTAAAAAATCATATGCCATTTTTTCAAATAAGAAATATTCATCCAAAGATATCATAACTTCCCAAAATTGATATAAAAATTTTATGTAATTCCATTATAGAATTTCATTCAATTTTTTCTGAAAGGCATGCATTCCAATAAATTACCTTAAGGTTCAAGTTAAATAATACACTTTTAGAATATCCAGTTAGATTACAAACAGGAAGAATAGTAAGAAATTCCTACTTTAATAGATATCCAAACAAACTGTAACTCTAACTGCATCCACTGGCTCCCAAACTTGTATTAGAATATGCCACTAAATCAATGAACAAGTTGGAGTATAAGATTAAGTTCCTGATAATTTGGGAATTTATATGGTACTATGGTTTGAATGTTTGTTGCCTCCAAAATTCATGCTGAAGTTTAATTGACATTTTAACAGTATTAAAACCTGGGACTTTTTTTTTTTTTTTTTTTGTGACGGAGTCTTGCTCTGTCGCCCAGGCTGGAGTGTGGTGGCCCAATCTGCAAGCTCCGCCTCCTGGGTTCATGCCATTCTCCTGCCTCCTGAGTAGTTGGGATTACAGGCACCCACCACCATGCCTGGCTAATTTTGTTTTTGTATTTTTAGTAGAGACGGGGTTTCACCGTGTTAGCCAGGATGGTCTTGATCTCCTGACCTCATGATCCGCCCTTCTCGGCCTCCCAAAGTGCTGGGATTGGGACCTTTAAGAGGTGACTAGGCCATGAAAACTCCACCCTCATAGGTGGAATTTGTGCTGTTATTGAAAGGCAACTTCAGTTCCTTCTTGTTCTCTCTTGCCCTTTGGCCTTCTGCCATGGGATGACACAGCAAGAAGGCCCTCACCAGATGCCAGCTGTTTGGTCTTCTACTTTCCAGCCTTCAGAACTGTGAGCCCATAAATTTATATTTATTATAAATTACCCAGTATGTGGTATTTTGTGGTATTCTGTTATAGCAGCACAAAACAGGCTAAGACATATGGCAAGTCATTTTATTTGTATGTCTTTAATGACTTAATTTGCTTGTTCTTAGATATCTCAAACTTTACGAAGATTATGGCTTTCGCATTTACTACTTTTCTCTCTCAAGTACTCTATCCCCAGCTAATATTCCAAACCTAACAAAAATGACTCTTCCAGATATCACAAACCTTTTGTTTCCATCCTAACACTTACATAGTATAAAATTATCTCAGTTGATTTCTGTTTTTAACTTGAATTTAGGTTTTTAAGTAAAATGAAATTTTACTAGAATCAAATTCTGTGAACACTGTACCTTGTTTTATTGGATCTCCATACTTAGAAATCTGTATGACTCATAACAGACCTTCAGTTATGTTTAATGGTAGTAGACTCATATAAGTTATTAATACATAAGTGAATATACATTTATTTTAGCTGTATGAGCAAGCATTTTTATTGTTGGGGTACTTGAGCAAAAATGTCCAGAGATCATATTGTAGATTATCAAGTAAAAGTTGCTTTAAGTTTATTACGGACATAGGGTAATACTATTATATCACTGAAAAACTTTAAGTATCAGTCTTTTATTTAAAGAAAAAATGAATTTCAAGGTTTGTTTTCTTCATTGAACATTTCTTTCAAATGAAACTAAATAGATGACCATTCATCATTGCAGGATAATTGAAAGTTTAGTGATTTTGAGCTATTATGAAGTAAAAAAAGGTGGCTTCTGAATAGGTCATGGCATATTATTAAAAATCCCATAAATTAGAAAAATTAATGTATGGCATTGGTGATAATCATCCATTCTTATGTATTTAAAAAATTTATTTGTAAGACTGAATGAATTTAAATGTATATCTTAGGTCATACAATTAGTAGTTTTCAGAGTTTGGATTATAACTGTGTTTTTTCTATGATATGATATCTAGCAAATGCTGAACCTACAAAACTTGTGCAACAGATTTTACTTTTGAAATTGTTCTAAATGTTCCAGATTCAGTAGAAATTCTTAATAATTTTCAGCATGGATAGTACAGTTGAGCAAACAAGGAAAAACTAGTATTTATTAAATATTTATGTACAAAACAATTTTATATTAATAATTTCAGTATTCCCAAGGGTGACATATTTTTTCTCATTAAATTACTTTCTGGAGGATTCGACTGTTAGAGCTTGGAGAGACTGTCATTTACTTGCGTTTACTGACTTGTGTTTATTCATTCTACATTTACTTATTGACTAGCTACTTTGTTAGACTCCATGGATAACAAAGTGAACAAAATGTTTTTTCCTCTATTGAAGCTTATACACTACTAGAGAAAATAGATATTAAACCAGTTATATGATTTTCATAGGTGTGATTTTCGTAAGAGCTCTGAATGAGAATTATAGAGTTTTGGGAATGTATTTCCAAACTTTATAGAGCTTTGGGAATACATTACAAGAGGGCCTGACCTAATTTGTGGGATAGGGAGTAGGTGAGGTAAGGGAATGATTGAGCTTTGATTTGAAGAAATGACTTGATAAGATGTGATAGTGTGAGGGTAGATAGGAAGAAGTGGAACCAAAAAGGACAGCATGTACAAAGGTTCGTGACTAGAAAGAACATGCAATGTTTGAGTTACTAAAAGAAAACCAATACTGAAACACATAGAATATACAGAGCAAAAATAGGAAGCTTATGAGATCTGCAAGATCCAAACAATGCTATGCTTTATAGAACATGTAAGATACGGTCTTTATCATAAGAAAGATAGGACGCCATTGAAGGGTATTTAGAGGAGAGAAAAATGTTACATTTTGCTTTTAAAATAATCAGTCTGCTTTCAGTATGTAAAACAGCTTAGTGGCGGCAATAGAGCATGAAATAGACCATTTTTGGTTTATTTTTTGAGGCATCTTCCTGGAGCTATCTGTAAAATATCATTACAGCACATTGAGACTGTTAAAATACTTGTACTTTTATTCACATGGGTTTTTATCATTTACTAAACAATTGTCTAAGTTTGCAAATAGTTGTATTTATAATCGTACCATTGTTTAAATGTTTTTGGACTCTCGATATTGTTGTCAAAGTCTGTATGTATCCTTTATAGACTCCTCAGGATGGCTGACTATAAGATCATAAACATATGTTTATTAACAAACATATGAATATAAATAAACATACATATGGGAATCTGACTTTTGAAATCCTTCAGAATTCATTCAGAAATAACTACAGTGAATAAGGCAGTGAAATAACTTTATCGAATGCCTTTATTTTATCAGACAGTCTTCTCTAAGGCAAATACATACTCACACAATTACATTTAATTCACAGAGCAGTCCTATGACATAGGCGGTTTTATCCCTGTTGTACCATTGGGTCTCATTAAGCTTAGTTAACTTGTATAAAATAACCTAGTTGTTATATGGGAGATTACAACCAAGATCTCCTTAAATGGTATAGATGATGCTAAATTAAAACTGAAACGCAATATTAACTGAATCATTAACTCAGTGGAAAAGCAAATTATTAAGCTGCAGTTTGTTTCTCAAAAAATTCACATATAAAATTTCAGAAACAATTCAAAATTTATATCTAAGAATTCTTCTTCCCAAATAAGTTGAAATTTACATGAGCAGTGCCATTGATACAGCATATGCAAATCAGGCTTATTTTTATTTGTCATCCTAACATGCCTGCCATCTTGCATCTCAGATATAAAGATATTTCCAGTATACACCTTGATGATTTTTTTTATCACTGGTTACTATCTTCTTAAAAAATACATTATTTCCTGCAGATTTTGTTGCAAGAGTAAAGCAAATCTTAAATATTCACTACTTGCTCTTCATCATCCCAAGCATGTAATGTACTCAGAAACTTTCTTCTTAGTTTCTCTTTCAAAATGTCTTTTTATGCATATACATTTTAGTCATCACTTTCCACCTAATCATTAGTTTTTAATATCTGACTTCTTTAAACATCTTGTATACGTTAAAAGCCTTTTCTCTTTATATATTTTTGCTTAAACTCCTTTTTCATGCAATGTGTTTTACTCATCAGCTTCATTTAGTATATAATTTGTTCTTGTAGTAAATAGAAAACACTTTTTTGCACTACGGCTGCTAGACCAGTATTGACTAAATAACCTTAAAAAAATCAACTTCTGCATGTTGAAACTTAATCCTGGGCATATTCCAGTCATATAAGACTAGGATGAGAGACTGATTATCTTGTATGTTTTTGTTAGCCTATATCTAAGAAGTTTGTGTATTAAGAATGAAATATGCCATTTTTGGAGAGAAACATAACTACAGTTGACCCTTGAACCCCCTGAGGTATAGAGGCACCAACCCCGCATGTAGTCGAAAATCTGCGTATATCTTTTTACTCTCCCTGAACTTAACTACTAATAGGATACTGTTGGCCAGAAACCTTACCAATAACATAAACAGTTGATTCACATATATTTTGTATGTTATATACATTATATATTGTATTCTTGACAGTAAAGTAAGCTAGAGAAAAGAAAATGTATTAAGAAAATAATAAGGAAGAGAAAATATATTTAGTATTCATTAAGTAGAAGTGGAAATGGATCGTCATAAAGGTCTTCATTCTCAACGTCATCATGTTGAGTAGACTGAGGATGAGGAAGAGGAGGGGTTGGTCTTCCTGTCTCAGAGGTGGCACAGGTAGAAAAAAATTCACATATGAGTGGACTTGCATAGCTCAAACCTGTGTTGTATAGGGTCATCTGTATATCAATCTAATTATTTAATATGTAAGTATACATCATGTGAAAAACATGTTGAAGATCAAGGATTAAAACAAAGAAACTCTCTGAACATTGGTTTACATTTTTTTTGGCCCAATAGTGGAAATACTGCATGTTCATTCTAGAAAAGAGATAAATAAAAATAAAAATAAAAATTACTAATTTTTCTACCTAGAGAAAATTGTTGCTAAATTGTACTAGTTTTCCAGTCATTTATTTATGTATTGATACTCTGTGTTAGGGTGAGTAATGCACCCCGAAAGATGTCTACATCCTCCCCAGAACCTGTGATACATACTTACCTTAAATGATAAGAAGGAGTTACATATGCTTAAACTAAGGATTTTCAGAGAGACTATTCTGGACTATCCTGGTATACTCAGTGTAATAACAAGTATTCTTATGAAAGGGAAGCGGAGGAAATTTGACTACAGTAGTAGGAGATGTGATGATGGAAGCAAGTGGAGAGATGTGAAGGAAGGGACCATGAGCCAACAAATGAGGACAGGCTTTGGAAGCTGGAAAAGGCAACTTTTACCATACATTGATTATTCTTATATGAAAGAATTATTATTAATGTGTTTACCAAATGATGATTTTCTATTTCATCATTTGTTTTACATTATTAACTGTAAGGGAGAGCTGTTCCTTCTCCTTCCTCATTAATTTGTTTAATTATTTATTTATATCGGTATGAACTCATGGATATCTATTTAATTTTATGATTTATAAGAAATTACTGTCGTTATTTATTTTGTAGCTGAAATTGTTCCAGATCTGGTCATTAAGATCCCCCTCAATTTGGCTTCTGTGTTTTTTAACATAACTCCATCATTTGTTGAGTGCATCCTTATTTTCTAGCACTACAAGATATTTCGGGCTTACCTTGTACTTTCCCTCTTCCATCCCTGAAATCAACTAGTTCCCATTTCCCCAAGATGCCATGGTTTCTTATATTGGAGAATAATATTTAGAAACCAAAACTGGGGATTATATATGCTCATTGGTTCTGGGGTTTTATTCTTTCTTTCTTTTAAAAATTTTATGGGTTTCCTGACCCATGCACTAGGGTATAACAATGGTATTACCCGATACCTTGTCATTAATAACATCACCTATGAAATACCAAATTCAAATATCTTACACCTTTAGTCCTTCTTGCTCACTAAGTACCAATGCCATAATTATTCAAACTCATTGAAATTTGTAATTCATTAACCCTACTTGTTTTCTCATTTTCACCCTTTCCTAGTGCCCTGCTGTCTTCTTTTATACCCTTAACCATGTGAGGTTTTATGCCATTATAGTTATCAGTCCTTAGCTAAAACTGCATATTTTCTTCCCACTCCTGTTTCTTCTATCTACTTGTGTAGCAAAATCCAAACTGGTTAATCCAACTCTTCACTACTCTGTGTCTGAACTTTCTTCACCCTCACGTTGCTGGGGGGAAAAAAAAATCATATAGCTGTGTTGACTGTTTGGTCTTGAGCTTTATCAAAGGAAAATGCAAAACTACCTGGTGTTTTTCCTGCATTTCCTTTATAATACTCTCCAAATAAGTGTTTTAAAACTTCATCTCTATTCTCAAACCTTTATCTGCACCAGCTAATAATTTTACCTCCTACTTCATTGAGAAAATATAAGCAAATAGATGCGAATGTTCCCATTTTTTTTTACCACCACAATCACCAAACTTTTTTGCACCTATACTTATTTTCTCTGCCTTTAGTTTATTATCGAGGAAAGAATAACTCTGTTCCTAACAAAAGCCTATTTTTCAATTTGTTTTGCTCTAAATTTTATACCTTTAACTCTTTAAGGGACTTTGCTCTTCCATTTCTGCTTTATCAACAGTTGCTTAGACTCTACTGGACCAATTTCCTTAGCACACATATACATGTTTTAATATATCTTATGTTAAAAATAAAATTTTTCTACTCCCCTTATACTTCTCCAACTATTGCACCATTTCTGTATTTTCTTTCAGATCAACCCTTCTCAAAATAGTTGCCTAAACTTGTCACCAAATCCTTACCACCCATTTCCTCTTCAATCCCCACAACTCCATAGACATTGCTTTTCTAAGGAAACATACCACAGAGTCGAACAGTTGAAACAGTCTATTTCTTGACTTTCCTATCATACTTTCCAATTTTTCCTACTCTGTCACTGACTGCACCTTTTTAGTCTTTTTTACTTTTTTTTCCACTTGACCTTATCAGTTCCCATAGTTTTAAGAAGCATCTAAATTTTGATGTTCCAAAACTTGTAGTTTTGATCACTTTTCTGAGCTGCAAACTGATTTCTCTGACTTTCTGTTTGATATCATCATTTAGATATTTTATTAGAAAGTCATATTCAGTATTTTCAAAACAGAACTCTAAGTTTTTCCTCATTTTATAAAACTTCATTCTTTACTCAGACTTCCTCATTTCAGTAAATGTACATAATGCCTATATACTTGCTTTTGTCAAATATCTGAAAGCCTTCTTTGATTCCTGATTCCAAAGACTTCTTTGAGCCCCCCTCTCTGATACCTTTCCTTTCTCAACCCTTACTTTGTGAGGGTGTTTAGTACTTCAGTTGGATTTCCTTATACAATATATCCCAAAGATATATATCTTTCTCTCTTCTACTTCTCCCACCCTGTCCAAGGCACTGTCATTTTGACTCTGGTCCTTTTTAGAAGCTTCCTTGTGTAGTTTTCCCATTTTCAGTTTTAATTTTCTTCAGACATTCTCCAATCGGCCACCAGGGTGACATTTAAAAATTAAAAATCAGACCATCTCACTACCCAGCTTGAGATCTTTCATGGTTTTCCATGATGTGGCCCTTACCTGCTTTCTGACTTTATCTCTTACAACCCTCCACAAATCATTCTAAGCACAGTGGAATTATTTTTTTTTCCTCAAACAGCGCAGCTTCATTTTCATTTGTGTTTGCTCTCTCTCTCTCTCTCTCTCTCTCTCTCTCTCTGTGTGTATGTGTGTGTGTAAACAATCAGGAACTTTTTCACTGTAAACAATCAGGAACTTTTTCACTGATTGTTTACATGATTTGCTTCTCATTTTTCATTTATCATTTCAGATGTTGTTTCCTTTTGTGTGCCTTTTGTAAAGCAATCTTCTCTGAACCTGTAATAGGGATTGGTAAGCTTTTGCTGTAAAGGGCCAAATAATAGATATTTTAGGCATGACAGGCCAGATGGTCTCTGTTGTTCCTACTAAACTCTGCCACTGTAGTAGACAAGCAACCATAGACAATATGTAAATGATTGGTTGCGGCTGTGTTATCATAAACTATCTACAGAAACAGGCTGTGGACCAGATTTGGTCTGTGGGCAGTAATTTGTAACACCTATTCCAAAACATTACCTTGCGATCTTCATAGCATATATCACTCTCTTAAAATGTCTTGTTTATTTGTGTGATTATTTTTGGCTTTCTCTTCTATTAATAGAATGCAAACTCCATAGGAACAAGGCCTTTGATTCCTCACTTCTATCTGTCTATAATTCTGATTGGAATTTTATTAATTTAAAAGATTAATCTGAGGAGAACATATATATATTTTCTTAAGTATTAAAATTTAGAATGCTCCTTAGCAGTCTATTTATCATGTATAGTTACATCTTCTTTTATGACCTAAAATAGATTTTGTAGTTTTGTAAATTAAATTTTTTGTAGTTTTGTAAATTAATATTTAGTTTATTTCTGGGATTTCATTTGGTTTGGAGATTTTTATTAGTTTGCTATTCAGAATGGAATTTTTAAACCATTACATTTTCTGTTGAATGTAAAACCTCTATTGATGTAAAAGAAAAGCTATTGATGATTATATGTGTTTAAATTTTTGCATTTTTTTGGTGATTTGATATCATCAAATTATTCTGTTGATGATTTATAGTGATGCCATTAATGACAAATTTTTGGTCTCAAAGTCTATAATTGAAATAAATGTAATTACACCTGTTTCTTTTGATTAGCATTTGCCTGATGTGTCTCCCTTCATCCTTTCAGTCTGTGGGCTCTCTTTTTATAGGCATATCTCTTAAAAATAGAAGACTTTGATTTTGCTGTTTTCTAATCTGTACATTTTTGTGATTAATGATGAGTTGAATCCATTTATTTTTGGTGTTATTATTCATATCTGAATCTATTTATACCATTTTAATTTTTTATTTTGTATTTTTACTTTTTATATATTTGTTTTTAAGCCTTTTATAGCTTTTTTGGAAGGGGAAACATACTGATATCCCCCTCCTATAAGATAAGGATTTTAGCATTCTGTAACTTTTTTTGAAATTCTTTTATAAAACCACAGTGTTTTGATATTCTCTAGACTTTCTATTCTTGGTTATTATGGATACGCATGTTTCTTTGGACATCGCAATTTTTACAAAGATAACAAATTCACCAAGGTATTTTATCAGCCCCATCTCCGTATCCCTTGATATATTTTTTGCTACACATTCTGTATTTATCTCTTCTCTTTTTAAGTCTTTAATCAAAAATTGTTTTAACGGAAGTCTGCATGTCAAAGCTTCTGAATTCTCTATGCCTCAGAGTATTTATTATTCCTTCCTATTTGAGTGTATGCAACTAATAAAGTAGACTTAATATGTGGAGCAAAAATTGATTAAACTACAATAAAAAATTAAACATACCTCTTTAGAGTATTTCTAGATCAAGCAGACAAAATTCAGAAAGAATATCAAAGATCTGAAGAACACAGTTAATAGAAATATGAATTATAGCCATAAAGATTTAAAAGAGGATTTAAATTTGCATTTATTTTACAGATGATATAATTGTTTCCATAAGAAATCGAAGTGTCTACAGGCAAATTATTAGAAATAACAGGAATGTTTGTCAGGTTGTTGGATACAAAATTAATATTAAATTGCCTTCTTAGACATGTTCCTCTACCAGCTGTTAGGGCTAACTAGATAGTTACAGTAATTAAGGCAGTGTAGAGTTGTTTTTCTTTTGTTTTTTGGTGCAGGGATAGGCATAGTCACTGAAGTAATAAGATAATCTCCAAATAAAAGGTATAGGTATTTATATATTAATATTTAAGTCATATCTGGCTACATTACTGAATTGTTTATTATTTAATAGCTTTTTAGTTGTTTTATATTAATTTCTTGGTAAACTGATTCTAGGCAGAAAAAGACAACTTTGTTTTCTTTTTAAAAATATTCATATTTCTGTATAATTATATTTTTGTAATTTACCTCTGTCATCTATTCACCTTTTTTCTTTGCCATTTTTGTATTTGTATTTGTCTCTTAGTTGTAATGTGTGTGTGAGTTGATTTTTTTTTTCAAAACTGATATGTAGATTATGTCCTTTTAGGACACCTGTTTACCTGAAATTATTTTATTTTATTTTATTTTATTTTTGAGGTGGATAGAGCAAGATATTTATATCTTGCTCTGTCACCCAGGAAGGAATACAGTGGTGCCATCTTGGCTCATTGCAACTTCCGCCTCTCGGGTTCATGCGATTCTCCTGCCTCAGCCTCCTGAGAAGCTGGGATTACAGGTGTGCGCCACCACGCCAGCCTATTTTTGTATTTTTAGTAGAGATGGGGTTTCACCATGTTGGCCAGGCTGGTCTCGAACTCCTGACCTCAGGTGATCTGCCCGCCTTGGCCTCCCAAAGTGCTGGGATTACAGGCTTGAGCCACTGCACCCGACCCTGAAATTATTATTATATTGTTCTTGAATGGGGACAGCATTGCTGAGTATATATTTTCCATAAATATTACTTCTTTTTTTTATTTTGACATTTATTTCTGCTTAAGAGCACTTGGCTGCTGGGCAAAATGGCTTATGCCTGTAATCCTAGCACTTTGGGAGACTGAGACGGGTAGATCACCTGAGGTCAGGAGTTTGAGACCAGCCTGGCCAACATGGCAAAACCCCATCTCTACTAAAAATACAAAAACAATTAGCAGGATGTGGGGGCACACGCCTGTAATCCCAGTTACTCAGGAGCTGAGGCACAAGAATTGCTTGAACCTGGGAGGCAGAGGCTGCAGTGAGCCAAGAGTGTGCCACTGCACTCCAGCCTGGGTGACAGAGTGAGATTTCGCCTCAAAAAAAAAAAAAAAAAAAAAAAAAAAAAGCCTTGGCATGTTGCCTAATCCTACTCTGTAAATAACTCATTTGTCCGTGTGTGTGTGTGTGTGTGTGTGTGTGTGTGTGTGTGTGTGTGTGTACACTTACCTACATGGACATGCCTGGATGTCTGTAATTTTTTTTAACAATAACTTCATAGAGATATATTCACAAACCATAAAAGTCACCATTTTAAAGTGTACAATTCAGTAGCTTTTAGTATATTATACACAGTTGTGCAACGATCTGCACCATCTAATTTTGGAACATTTTTATCGCTCCAGAAAGAAAGCTGTACATGTCAGCAGTCACTTATCATTCTTTTTTCACCAGCTAGTGGCTACCATTTATCTTCTTTTTGTCTGTATGGATTTGTCTATTTTGGACATAACAAAATAAATCAGTCTTTTGTGACTGATTTCTTTCATTAGCACAGTATTTTTGAAGTTTATTCATGTTATAGCAGAAATCATTACTTTATTTCTTTTTATGACAAAATAATATTTTATTGTGTGAACATATCACATTTTGTTTACCATTCAGTTGAGGTACATGGGTTGTTTTTACATTTTGGCTAATTTGAATAATATTGGTGTAATATAATATGCTTTTTATATTTATACAAGATACTTCCTTTAAATATTTAGGTTTTCTTCATCAACAGATTTTTTTCTTTATTTAATATATGTGCTACCCTTCAACTCATTATGATCTCTGCTTTAACTACATTAGTCATGCATACACTGAATTTTTCTGTGTATCATTTCTCTTGAGTGATTTTCATCTCTATTTCTATTTTGGGAGGCTTTTTCGTATTTGACCTACATAGCACTATTTCAGTCTTATGTTGTATTAATTATTCTGTTTTCTGATTCTCGTATTAACTTTTTAAATTTTGCCATTACATTATTACTTTTTTGTTCTTCCTTTTGTAATTTATTTAGCTCTCTTTTTATTGTAATCTTTGGTGTTATTATCTCATCTTTCATCTTTAATTTTGTGGAGTCAGTGTTTTTTAGATTTTATTTTCTCTTGACATGTTCCCCATGGGTATTTTAAATAGCTAAAAAAACTCTGTATTTATATTAATTGTATCTACTTCATCTGTTGTTGTCAAATTGAGATTTTGCTCTTTTTCTCTTCTTACCATTGCAAGTCAAAATAATGTAAGAAAAGCAAAAATGTTTACTACTTTTCCTATGTTTTTGTTTTTATGATTTAAAAAACATATGCAATTGGAATTTGGAGCCTGAAGTATGAATGGTTTTGTATTCTCCTGAAGCTCTACGAAGCTCATACAAAAAGTGAGAAGTGTAAATAAGAGAGGTCTTTCTTTATATCTATTTTACCTATTTTTATAAACTATTTTTATATAAAATTGGGAAATTAATTGTGGATCTCCGATTTTCTTGGATTTATGAGAGGTGGTTTGCTTGGATTTATGAAAGGTGGTTTGCTGATTGTTCGCCAAAATATTTAAAAGCAGATACATATATCATTTAAAGTGGTTCTAACCTCTGGGCTCAGTCTTTAAAATCAAAAGGTTGATTTATAGATACTTACAGCTTTGATTCTTCAAGCCTTGAAATACAGCTATTTAGTATTTTTTTCTATTAACAAAGTTTTCCAAAAGGTGTTCCTAGCATATTTAAACATAAAGAATAGTTTATCTTTTTTTAAGTTATGGAAATTTAAAATGTGTTAAAAAGTATAGTATATATACTTCTATTCATGTAGTATATATATTTCATAGTATATAGAATATACTTAAAAATTGTGTACCTGTTACCAAGCTTTAATAAAGCTTAACGCCTTGCTCTATTTGCTTTGGATTTTTTAAAAAGAAAGTAAACATCACAGATAGAGTTGATTTTTTTTGTGTCTTTTTTTAGATAGAGCCACCAAACTGTATTTTGTTTTGTCCTTATTATGCTAATGTTATTTGTTTGCAATATATATAATAATCAATATTTATTGAGTACTTTATATATGTCAAACAGTTATAAGTACCTTTAATTTGTTAGCTCACTTAATCATCCATAAAAATTAATACTATACCACATTATTTAAAATATATAAAAATTACATACTCTGTGAATCCTACAAATTGCTTTTATGTGCAACATATTTGAGATTTATCAATGCTAATATATGCAGCCATAGTGCATTTATTTTAGTTATGTAGAATATTTCTACAGGTATAACATTTATTTCCCCATTCTCCTTTTGATGCACATCTAAGTTGTACTTAATTTTTCAAAATAATATATAATTCTGGAATTAAAATCCTTACACATTTCTACTTGAACTGGAAGTTCTTTGAGATATACAAGTAGAAGTGGAATTGTAGATTTATTAGATTTTTCCAAATTACACTGCAAATATTTATATTAATTTATGCTCCATCATGGTATACAATAATTTTCTTCCACTTCCTCACCAACATTTTATGTTTTTAGTCTCTTTAATATTTGCCAATCTGATGGTTTTGAAATACTATCTTGTTTTTACTTGCATTTTCTTTATGACTAATTGAAACAATATCATTTTACATATTTATTGTGTATTTAAGTTTCTCTTCTTTGAATTGTTGCTCTTATTCTTTGTCTTTTTCTTATTTTGTAGTTTGTCTTTTTCATATTGTTGGCATTTTCTTATTGATTTATACTAGTTTTAATGTAATAAATTCTGGATATTAATTTTTTGTTCATTATTGATACAGCAAATATCTTCTCATAGTCTATGACTTGGCTCTTGATCTTTGTTAAAAATGACATTTATACATTCTTCTCTTTGCTACATGGCACCTACCCTAAACTCGAATATCAACCACATAATTGGATATAAAACAATCCTCAGCAAATGCAAAAGAACTGAAATCATAACAAACACACTCTTGGACCATGTGAAAATAGCAGTCAGGACAAAGAAAATTGCTCAAGAAATTAAATAACGTGCTCTGGAATGACTTTTGGATAAATAATGAAATTAAGGGAGAAATCAAGAAGTTCTTTGAAAATAATGAGAACAAAGCTAAAACATACCAGAATCTCTGGGATATAGCTAAGGCAGTGTTAAGAGGGAAATTCAAAGGGCTAAATGCCCACATCAAAAAGTTAGAAAGATCTCAAATTAACAACATAACATCACAACTGAAATAATTAGAGAAGCAAGAACAAATCAACCCCAAAGTTAGCAGAAGACAAGAAATAACCGAAATTAGAGCTGAACTGAAGGAAATCAAGACGCACACAAAAAAAAAACATTTAAAAGATAAACAAATCTAGGAGTTGGTTTTTTGAAAATATTAATAAGATATGTTGCAAGCTAGACTTATTTTTGCAGTTGAAAGTAATGGCAAAAACTGCAATTACTTTTGCTCCAATGTAATAGCGTGCCAACCAACAACAACAACAACAACAACAACAACAACAACAACAAGCATAGGTCCTGATGAATTCACAGATGAATTCAACCAAGTGTACAAAGAAGAGCTGGTACTATTCCTACGGAAACTATTCCAAAAAGTTGAGGAGAAGGGACCCCTCCCCATATTATTCTATGATACTCATATGGACAGGAGGCAGGGAAACACTGGGTAGAAGAGGGCAGTCCCTGGGAGGGCCCCACCCTCAAGCCTGGAACAGTAGCCCAAAGGGAGAAATTTCTATCACCATATTTCTGCTCGAATGTTGCCTTTTCCAAAATCGCCCTGGCCCACCCCACTCCCCTGATTCTGTACCCATAAAAACCACAGGCTCCACTGGCAGAGGTGCTGCAGAAAAGGAGAGAAGAGAAGAAGCAGCCAGACATTGGAGAGAAGCAGCTTGACTTCAGAGGGATGGCTTGACGGGGAATATCAGAGGAGAGCTTGGCTGGGGAGAGCAAGACTCCGGGGAAAGACCACCTTCTCACCTCATATTCTTTCCACCTCCCCTTCCCACTGCAAGCCACTTTCATTGGCAATAAAATCCTCCATATTCACCACCCTCCAATTTGTTCATGCAACCTGATTCTTCCTGGATGCTGAACAAGAGCTCAGGAGCCATGGGTATGGACACTTGAGCTATTTAACACTTAAGCCTTCCGTGGATGGCAAAGCTAAGAAGACACTGTAACACATGCCCTCTGGGGCTTCAGGGGTTGTGGGTACCCCCCAGACACTGCCATGGGGCTGCACAGAGTTTTGCTTCTGCCGGCACCCAGAAGCATTCATCCCAGTTGCTGCACCTGCTCACTTGCATGCTCCTCCTCCCACAAGGGGTTATTTAAGAGCTGTGGGCTGAGTAAGTGAGGCACCCCTTTTGTGAGACCCATGAAGGGTCAGGGAAAATGTTCTGTTTCAATGCCAGCATCATCCTCATACCAAAACCTGGCAGAGACACAACAAAAAAAGAAAACTTCAGGCCAATATCTTGGATGAACATAGATGCAAAAATCCCCAACAAAATACTTGCAGACCAAATCCAGCAGCACATCAAAA
Organism: Homo sapiens; assembly: GCF_000001405.40. Lineage (NCBI taxonomy): Eukaryota > Metazoa > Chordata > Mammalia > Primates > Hominidae > Homo > Homo sapiens. The sequence continues at coordinate 115,449,936 of NC_000010.11, forward strand.
AGCTAATACACCACAATCAAGTAAGTAAGTAGGCTTCATCCCCAGGATGCAAGATTGGTTTGACACAAGCAAATCAATAAATGTGATTCATCACAAAAACAGAACTAAAGACAGAAACAACATGATTATCTCAATAGGTGCAGAAAAGGCTTTCTATAATTAAAAACTATAACTTAGGTATTAAAGGAACATACCTCAAAATAATAAGAGCCATATATGACAAACCCACAGCCAATAACATACTGAACAGACAATACCTGGAATCATTCCCCTTGAAAACTGGCACAAGACAAGGATGCCCTCTCTCACCAGTCTTATTCAACATAGTATTAGAAGTCCTAGCCAGAGCAATCAGGCAAGAGAAAGAAATAAAGAGCATCCAAATAGGAAGAGAGGAAGTCAAACTATCCCTCTTTCCAGAAGACATGATCCTATATGTAGAAAATCCTATAGTCTGAGTCCAAAGGCTCCTTCAACTTTTAAACAGCTTCAGCAAAGTTGTCAGATACAAAATCACTGTACAAAAGTTACTAGTGTTCCTATGCACCAACAATAGCCAAGCTGAAAGCCAAATCAGAAAGGCAATCCCATTCACAATTGCTACAAAAAGAATAAAATACCTTAGAATACAGCTAACCAGGGAGGTGAAAGATCTCTATAATGAGAATTACAAACCACTGCTCAAAGAGAAGACACAGACAAATGGAAAAACATCCAGACTCATGGATAGGAACTGTCAGTATCATTAAAATTGCTATACTGCCCAAAGCAATTTACAGATTCAATGCTATTCCCATAAAACTACCAGCAGCATTCTTCACAGAACTAGAACAAAACTATTTTAAACTTCATATGGAACCCAAATAGAGCCTGAATAGCCAAGGCAATTTGAAGCAAAAAGAATAAAGCTGGAGGCTTCACGTTACCCAGCTTCAAACTATATTACAGGGCTACAGTAACCAAAACAGCATGATACTGGTACAAAAACAGGCACATAGACCAATGGAACAAAGTGGAGAGCCAGGAATTAGGCTACACACCTATAACCATCTGATCTTCAATAAAGCTCACAAAAACAAGCAATGAAGACTCCCTTTTCAATCAGTGGTGCTGGGATAACTGGCTATCCATATGCAGAAGATTGAAGCTGGACCCCTTCCTTACACCATATACAAAAGTTAACTCAAGATGGATTAAAAACTTAAATGTAAAACACAAAACTATAAAAATCCTGGAAGACAAACTAGGCAATGCCATCCTGGACAAAGGAACTGGCAAAGATTTCATGACAAAGACACCAAAAGCAATTGCAACAAAAGCAAAAATTGACAAGTTGGATCTAATTAAAGAGCTTCTGCACAACAAAGAAACTATCAACAGAAACTATCAACTATCCTGTAGAATGGGAGAAAATATTTGCAAACTATGCGTCTATCAAAGATCTAATATCCAGCATATATATGGAACTTAAATTTTCAAGAAAGAAACAAGCAACCTCATTAAAAAGTGGGCAAAGGACATGAACAGAAACTTTCAAAAAAAGACATACATGTGGCCAAGAAGCATATGAAACAAAGCTCAGTATCGTTGATTGTAGAGAAATGCAAATCAAAACCACATTGAGATACCATCTCATGCCAGTCAGAATGGATATTATTAAAAAGTAAAAAAATAACAGATGCTGGTGAGGTTGTGGAGAAAAGGGAGCACTCATACACTGTTGGTGGGAGTGTAAATTAGTTCACCCATTGTGGAAAGCAGTATGGCAATTCCTCAAAGAGCCAAAAGCAGAACTACCATTCAACCCAGCATTCCCATTACTTGGAATATACCCAGAGGAGTATAAATCATTCTACCATAAAGACACGTGCACACAAATGTCCACTGCAGCACTGTTCACAATAGCAAAAACATGGAATCAACCCAAATGCCCATCAGTGACAGATCAGATAAAGAAAATGTGGTATGCATAAACCATGGAATACTATGTAGCCATAAAAAATGAGATCATATATTTTGTGGGAATATGGATAGGGCTAGAGACTATTATCCTTAGCAAACCAATGCAGGTACAGAAAACCAAATACTGCATGTTCTCACTTACAAGTGGTAGCTAAATGATGAGAACTAAAGAACACAAAGAAGGATACAACAGACACGGGGGTCTACTTGAGTGTGGAGAATGGGAAGCGGGAGAGACAGCTATTGGATACTGGGTTTAATACCTGGGTGATGAAAAAATCTGTATGACAAATCCCTGTGACCTAAGTTTACCTATGTAATAAATCTTCACATATACTTCTGAACCTAAAATTAAAGTTTTTTAAAATCAATATTTATTGTGGAGGGGTTTTCAACTTTATTAATTTTTTCCTTTATGATTGAGATCTTAATGACATGCTTTTTTAAGGTCATAACAGATGCTCTCTTGTATTTTTGAAAAGCTATAAAGTTTTGCTTTTAATATTTAGGTCTTTAATTAGCTGAAATTGATTTTTATGTTTGATATAGGATATAAATCCATACTGTAGTTTTTCTTTTTTATTGTTTGTTCCTGTGCCATTTATTGCAGTCTCCCTTTCACCACAGATTTTTCTAAAGTACTTTATTGAGATACAATTGGCATAGAAAAACTGTACACAATAAATATCCACAATTTGATAAATTAGGAAATAATTATACATCTATGAAACCATCAGCACAATCAAGACTATAAATATATCCATCCAACACCTTAAGTTATTTAATTAATTTTCTTAAAACTTAATATAAGACCTAACTTGTTAGCAAATTTTAAAAATATACAATACAGTATTGTTAACTATAAGTACTATCCTGTATAGTAGATCATCAGAGCTTAATCATTTTGCATAACTGAAGCTTTGTACCCTTTGAGTAACCCTTCCCCTTTTCTTTCTCCCTATCCCAGCACCTGGTAACCACCTTTCTATTCTCTGCATGTATGAATTTGATTATTTTAGATTTCTTATAAATGTGGGATAATACAATATTTGTTCTTCTGGTCAGGCTTATTTCACTTAGCATCATGTTCTCCAGGTCTATCTATGTTGTTGCAAATGGCAGAATTTCCATCCTTTTTAATGCTGAACAATATTTAATTGTATGTATATACTACAGTTTCTTTATCTGTCATCTGTCAACAAACACTAAGGTTGCTTCCATGTCTTGTCTATTGAGAATAATGCTATAAGGAACATAGAAGTCTAGATATCACTTTGAGATCCTGAGTTTAGTTTCTTTTGATCTGTATATACCTAAAAGTGGGATTGCTGGAACAGATGGTAGTTCTATTTTTAATTTTTTGAGAAGACACCGTACTGTTTTTCATAATGGCAGCACCAATTTGCATTCCCATAAACAGTATACAAGAGTTTTTTAGAGAAATGTCTATTCAGTCTCTTTGCCCAGTTTTAATTGGGTTGTTTACCTGATATATAGTTGTTTGATTTCCTTTTATGTTTTGGATATTTACCCCTTGTCCAATGTATGATTTGCAAATATTTTCTCTCATTTTGTACCATTTTCTTTTGTTGATTGTTGCCTTTGCTGTTTGATGTAATTTCAACTTTTTAGTTTGATGTAATTTCAGTTGTCAATGTTTGCTTTTGTTGCCTGTGCTTTTGGTAGTATGTTCAAGAAATCATTGTGTACTATGCAGCCATAAAAAATGATGAGTTCATGTCCTTTGTAGGGACATGGATGAAATTGGAAATCATCATTCTCAGTAAACTATCGCGAGGACAAAAAACCAAACACTGCATGTTCTCACTCATAGGTGGGAATTGAACAATGAGAACACATGGACACAGGAAGGGGAACATCACACTCTGGGGACTGTTGTGGGGTTGGGGGAGGGGGGAGGGATAGCATTAGGAGATATACCTAATGCTAAATGATGAGTTAATGGGTGCAGCACACCAGCATGGCACATGTATACATATGTAACTAACCTGCACATTGTGCACATGTACCCTAAAACTTAAAGTATAATAATAATAAAAAAGAAAAAAAAAGAAATCCATTGTGAAGTTCTCTGTTGATAAGCATTTCTTCTGTTTCCTTATAAGAGTTTGATGGTTTCAGGTTTTACATGTAAGTCTTTAATCCACTTTGAATTGATTTCTGTGTATGGTATAAGGGTCTAATTTCATTCTTTTTCATGTGAATATGCAGTTTTCCCAACACCATTTAATGAAGAGACTATCCCTTCCCCATTGTGTTCTTGGCATCCTTGTTGAAGATCAGTTAACTCTACATGCATGGGTTTATTTCTGGGTTCTTTACCCCGTTACATTTATCTATATATCTTTTTTCATGCCAGTACCAAACTATTTTGATTATTATAGCCTTGTAATATATTTTGAAATCAGGGGTATGATACCTCCAGCCTTTTTTCTTCTTGGTCAGAATCGTTTTGACTATTTGGGTTATTTGGTGGTTCCATATGAATTTTAGGAGTTTTTTCTTTCTATTTATGTAAAAAAAGGCACTGAGATTTTGACAGGATTTGCAATGAATCTGTAGATCACTTTTAGTAGCATGGACATTTTAACCATATTAATTTTTCCAATCCATGAATATGGGATGTCATATTATTTATTTGTGTTTAATTTCTTTTGTCAATGTTTTATAGTTTTTAATGTTCAAGTCTTTATTCTCTTTGGTTAAGTTTATTTATAAGTATTTTATTTCTTTTGATGCCATTGTAAGAATGTTTTCTTTAATTTCTTTTTCAGATAGTTCATTGCTAGTGTATAGCAATGCAACAGATTTTTGTATGTTGATTTTGTATCCTGCAACACTGTTGAATTTATTTGTTCTAACAGATTTTTGTGTTTGTGTGTGTGTATGTGTGGAGCCTTTAGTATTTTATCTACATAATATATCATCAGCAAACAGAGATTACTTTTTCTTTCTGATTTAGATACCTTTTCTTTTTCTTGCCTAATTGCTCTGGACCTTACTTCCAATACTGTCTTGAATAGAAATGGTGAGAGTGGACATCCCTTCCTTGTTCTGGAACATAGAAGGAATACTTACAGCTTTTTATCATTGCATATGGTATTAGCTGTGGGCTATTCACATATGATCTCTGTTGTGTTAATTTTCTCCTATACCTAGTTGTTCAGTATTTTTTATCATGAAAGGGTGTTGAACTTTGCCAGATGTTTTTCTGCATCTATTGATGATAACATAATTTTTATCCTTCATTCTGTTAATGTAGTGTATCACATTTATTGATTTGTATATGTTGAACCATCCTTGTATCTCAGAGATAAAGCCTACTTGATCATGGGGTGTGGTCCTTTTAATGTGTTGTTGAACTTGGCTTGGTAGACCAATGGAACAGAACAGAGGCCTCAGAAATAATACCACACGTCTACAACCATCTGATCTTTGACAAACCTGACAGAAACAAGCAATGAGGAAAGGATTCCCTATGTAATAAATGGTGTTGGGGAAACTGGCTAGCCATATGCAGAAAACTGAAACTGGACCCCTTCCTTACACCTTATGCAAAAATTAACTCAAGAAGGATTAAATATTTAAAGTAAGACCTATAACCATAAAATCCCTAGAAGAAAACCTAGGCAATACCATTCAGGACATAGGCATGGGCAACGAGTTCATGACTAAAACACCAAAAGCAATTGCAACAAAAGCCAAAATTGACTAATGGGATCTAATTAAACCAAAGAGCTTCTGCACAGCAAAAGAAACTATCACCAGAGTGAACAGGCAGCCTACAGAATGGGAGAAAATTTTTGCAATCTATCCATCTGACAAAGGGCTAATATCCAGAATCTACAAGGAATTTAAACAAATTTACAAGAAAAAATCAAACAACCCCATCAAAAAGTGGGCAAAGGATATGAACAGACACTTCTCACAGAAGATGTTTCTGTGGCCAACAAAAATATGAAAAAAAGCTCATCATCACTGGTGATTAGAGAAATGCAAATCAAAACCACAATGAGACACCATCTCACACCAGTTAGAATGATGATCATTAAAAAGTCAGGAAACAACAGATGCTGGAGAGGATGTGGAGAAATAGGAATGCTTTTGCATTGTTGGTGGGAGTGTAAATTAGTTCAACCATTGTGAAAGACAGTGTGGCAATTCCTCAAGGATCTAAATCTAGAAATACCATTTGACCTAGCAATCCCATTACTGGGTATATAACCTCAAAAGTATAAATCATACTACTATAAAGACACATGCACACATGTGTTTATTGCAGCATTATTCACAATAGCAAAGGCTTGGAACCAACCCAAATTCCCATTATGTTAGACTGGACAAAGAAGATGTGGCACATATACACCATGGAATATTATGCAGCCATAATAAAGAATGAGTTCATGCCCTTTGCAGGTACATGGATGAAGCTGGAAACCATCATTCTTAGCAAACTAACACAAGAACAGAAAACCAAACACCGCATGTTCTCACTCATAAGTGGGAGTTGAACAATGAGAACATATGGGCACAGGGAGGGGAACATCACACACCAGGGCCTGTCATGGGGTGACGGGTAAGGTGAAGAATAGCGTTAGGAGAAATACCTAATACAGATGACAGGTTGATGGATGCAGCAAACTACCATGGCACATGTATACCTATGTTACAAACCTGCACATTCTGTACATGTATCCCAGAACTTAAAGTATAATAATAAAAAAATAAATTTTTGAATAGTAATATATGTAATACTCTCTAATGAATATATTCTCAACTTCGTTGCCCTGTCTTTACTTCATCCTCTATCCACAGACAAAACTCTAATACAGTATCAACTAATTTCTAAGCTTTTTTTGAACACTCTGCTGTAGAAAAACATACGAATATACTGATCAGTCTCACTTCAGATGCATGCTCACCAATCTCATACTGTTTCAGCTTCTTCATTCCTGTAGTTCAGCAAGTGGGAGGGAGTGGCATCCAGTGGCTTTTTTGCTCCCGTTGTTCGGTGAGCAGGAAGGAATGGTGTGCAATGACTTTTTTGCTCCCATTGTTCAGCAAGTGGAATGAAGTGTTACAGCTCTTTTGTTCCTACCATCTGCAGCTTGGTGAATGGGAGGGTTACAGGTCTTTTGTTTCCACCACCCACAGCTTAGTGAGTTCTGAGTTCTTTTCTCGTGACCATGAGGAATAAGGTACGTGGACACCGGAGAGTGAGTAAGGCAGAAAATAATTTTGTTGAGCAACAGAAGGAAAGCTCTCAAGCTCTCAGTGGAGAGAGGGACCCTGAAAGTGGGTAGCCCTCTGTGAGGCTGAGTCTGGGGTTTTTATGGGCTTAAAATGGGGGCAGGCTGGTACTTGCTAATTGGTCCATAGGTGGTCTTGGAAAAAGCAGCATTCAATTAGTTAAAAGGCATCATACACCAGGAACCAATCGAGAGAGTGGGTGGGTTGGCGATAGAAGTTCTCACTCTGGTTGTGGACTCTATCCAGAACTGGCAGTTCAATTTTTCAGGCTTTAGGCTGTCTTTGGCTTGAAGGTTGGCTTTCACCGGGGACCTGTCCCTGTCCACCTAGGAATTTGTCTGTCTCCTGTCACTACAAATACTATATTTCCTCAGTCTATTTACTTTCCCTCTTTTTAATGACTATTTTAGATCTTTTCTCTGCCCGCACATTTCCCAACCCCTCATCCTCCATTCTCTTTCTCAGCTGATGGCCTTTCTGATTTTATTGAGAAAATGGAAGCAATATAAAGGGAGCTTCCAAATGATCCCGCCACCACATGTCCCTCCCTGCTCTCTGTTCAGTATGATCTCCTCCCTGCATGTTGTGTATATTCAGTCTTTATGTTTTTTTCACAAGATCTCATCACCTTTTACCTACCTCAGGGAATAGTTCCAAATTCCTCCTCCCTCTCCTCTCTTTGCAATTTTTCCTTTTCTAATAATTTTTTTCCAATTGGCATAAAATGTGTTATTTCCCCAATCTAAAACTGAAGTTTTCTTATGTGTCTTGATCATACTTATTCTTCATGCTAATTTTTCATTTCTCTGTATTTATCAATAAAGCAATAAATTATTTGAATTGATTTATAGTCAATCATGTTGTAATTTCTTTATACCATAATAGAGTAGTTCATTAATGCAGCATAAAAATTTATTTTCAAGTTATGTACATTTATGGATAAACTAGAGACATGTTTTAAATTTTAAAGTTTTATATCCTGTACCCTACTTAGCTAAGAAGTTCAGAGCATATTTCAGCATTAAGTTACATGTTTAAGTGCCAGGTAAATTTTCCATTCATAACCAAACACACCATCATGATTTTTGAAATTCTGAGGAGAAATATATCTCCTAGTTAAGTGGAAAATTGTGCAGTTGGTTTCTGGAGTACTTTCATTCTAAGCAGCTTTAAAAGGAAACATTTTGTGTAGAAGTCTAAATTTTCTTTCTTTATAGTAGTGCACATTCATTCATTGGTATTCTTATTAGACACTTGAATTGATTAATACTCCTACTAATTTTGTTCTAGATCTCAGCTTTGTATTTTTAGCCTGATTGACATTAGGATTGATCATTACCATACACAAGATACTTCATACTGATCTAGTATTTTCAACTCTATTAAATATAAGAAGAGAGAAAATCATGCTTGAATGCCTGGCCAAGAATGTGGTTGGGCATATTTGTGGCAGATGCTGGAGTCCATATAGACAGAAAAATGTCTGTAGGTCTGGGGCATTACAGCCTTTACTCAGGACTGTCCAGGGTCTGAAGTCTCCCAGTTCCTACCTCCAAAAGGGCATTTATTTCCTGGCTTATTAATGCTTAGTTGCAGTCTTGAAAAAAGAAAGATGCTTGAGCAGACAAATTTGTGGAAATAGTTTTGAAGTGCTTGCTTTTCCTTCGTGATATTTTTTTCTTCATTCTAAATAGATATTCTCTTTCTCAAGACTGCAGCCCTACTTTTTGTTGTGGGAAGTCAGGGACCCCAAATGGAGGGACCGGCTGAAGCCATGGCAGAAGAATATGGATTGTGAAGATTTAATGGACATTTATTAGTTCCCCAAATTAATACTTTTGTAATTTCTTATGCCTGTCTTTACTGCAATCTCTAAACATAAATTGTAAAGATTTCATGGACACTTATCACTTCCCCAGTCAATACCCTTGTGATTTCCTATGCTTGTCTTTGCTTTAATCTCTTAATCCTGTCAGCTGAGAAGGATGTGTATCATCTCAGGACCCTGTAATAATTGCGTTAACTACACAAATTGTACAGCATGTGTGTTTGAGCAATATGAAATGTGGGCACCCTGAAAAAAGAACAGAATAACAGCAATTGTTCAGGGAATACGAGAGATAACCTTAAACTCTGACCGCTAGTTAGCCGGGCAGAACAGAGCCATATTTCTCTTCTTTCAAAAGCAAATGGGAGAAATATCACTGAATTCTTTTTCTCAGCATGGAAAGTCCCTGAGAAAGAGAATGCGCACCTAGGGGTAGGTCTCTGAACTGGCCCTCCTGGGGCGTACCTGTCTCTTATGGTTGAGATTGCAGAGGTGAAATAAACTCCAGTCTCCCATAGCGCTCCCAGGCTTATTAGGAAGAGGAAATTCCCACCTAATAAATTTTGGTCAGACTGGTTGATCTCACCCTGTCTCCTGATAAGATGTTATCAATGACAGTGGTGCCCAAAACTTCATTAGCAATTTTAATTTCGCCTTGGTCCTGTGGTCCTGTGATCTCGCCCTGCCTCCACTTGCCTTGTGATATTCTATTACGCTGTTAAGTACTTGATGTCTGTCACCCACACCTATTCGTATACTCCCTCCCCTTTTGAAACTCCCTAATAAAAACTTGCTGGTTTTTGTGGCTCATGGGGCATCACGGATCCTACCAACGTGTGATGTCTCCCCCAGACACCCAGCTTTAAAATTTCTCTCTTTTGTACTCTGTCCCTTTATTTCTCAAGCCAGCCGACGCTTAGGAAAATAGAAAAGAACCTAAGTGATTATCGGGGCAGGTCCCCTGATAACTTTTGAATCTCACTCAGCTGCATTTGTCCAAGGTGATCACTACTCAGTCTTTTAAACATTGTATTTACTTGATGTCTATAGCACTAAATTCTGGGTTTCTTTTTCTCTCCTGAGTAGCCATTTCTCAGTCTCCTTTGCCAGTTTCTCTTCAGGCTCTGATTATTTAACATTGGTCTGCCTCAGGGCTAATCTCTTGGACCTCTTGTCTATCTACGAAGACAATTTCCTGCCTTCCTGGCTTTCAATCCTATGTAATTTCTGATAACTTACAAATTGTTATCTACTACGCATGCTCCTGAGCTTGACTTAACATCTGGCTATTCAATAAATTTCTCTAACTTAATATCTTTAAAATTAAGCTCCTAATTATTTCCCCAAGTTCCATCGCAGTCAAACCTATTCTCCATTTAAGTTAATGGTGATTTTTGCTTGGTCTTAGGAAAAAATTAAAAAAAAAAATAAAACTTTGCCTTTCTTTCTTAAAAAGGCTGCATTCTTTTATAGCTAATCCTGTTTGCTGTACCTTCAAAATACATTCCCTGTATTTGACCACTTCCTGTGGCCTTCACTGCTGTTACCCTGGCCTCCATTACCTCCTTGCCTGTATTACTGGCACAGGCTTTACGAGAATCACAGTTAAGGCTTGCTTTTGCTTTGAGGTTTCTGTACTTGTCCTCTCTGCCTGGAATATTTTTTTCTGGTAAACTCCATGGCTTATTCTCTTACTAGCTCAATTCTCTAAATGTTTCTTCTGAAAGCTGGAAGCATACTCCTACCTAACAGTATCTCCCTCCTCTTCACTGGTTTATTCTTCTCCAAAAGACTGATGTTCATTCAGTAGAGTATTACTTGCAAGAGGACAGAAATTTTTATTTTTTTATTGTATCTCTAGGGCCTAGAACACTGGCACATTGAATTTTCCTCTGCAATTTTTTGGCAGTCAGATGAAAATTGGAACTATGACCTACTGCATAATTCTCATTATCAGATATAAGGATACCTATAAATTCTTATACAAAATATTGCCTTACACTAAATTATACAATAAATATATAGGTTGAATCTTATAAAGTATACAAGTAAGCATACGAATAATGCCTTAATAGTTTTAAAAATAAATTCAGTTAATGTAATTTAATCTGTATGTTCTATATTAATAATTTTTAATGGTTAAGGGTATAATATGAAAGGTATGTATCCAAAAGACAGAAGTAATCTATATTTATTTAAAATAATTGGAAATAATTTTTATAAAAGTAGCAGTTTAATGTTATTAGCAATACATCACCTTCATGTAATATGCATAGCCACTCATGACTTATGACATTTAAATGTTTCACCTTGGTTCCAGCATTATGTATGGACAAAATTAAAAATATCTTTTCCCAGAATTCCTTGTATCATTGTGAATAAAGGTCATATCTGTAAAATGATGTTTATCATAGAATCATTTTAAAATTACTAAAAGTAGAAGTGAACACAATGGAAAAACAAATAAATACATTATATGAGAAATATTATTTAGCTATCAAACTTCATGTTTTCAAAGAATTTTGAGTTTGTGAAAGTTACAAAGTTTTATGAAAATGTCTATCTTTACAGCTACAGAATTCTAACTGGAATAAAATGCACCAAAATGTTAACTGTATTTCCTTCTAGTTATAAAATTATAGATAATTTTTATTTTATTCACTTACTTTTGTATAGTTTCCAGAATGTCTATAATGTTTTAACTTTGTAATAGCATCAGAAATAATAAATAAAATTTTTAAGGAATTAGTACTTCTTCCATAACTATGTTTTGCTTTTTGTTGATTGAGGACAAAGATTTGTATTTTGTTATACTTAAATATACCACTAGTATTTAACAATAATCATTTTTAATATCAGTGTACAATATATTGTAACCTAAATTTTGCTTTTTAGACAGTTTTTAAAGTACATATCAGGATTGTACTTTTTTTCCTCCCTACAGACAGCCTTTTGATTGATTATCAATTTACCTTCAGCTTATTACAGGAAGATGATCGCCACCATACTGCCATAAACTTTATAGCAAACCCAGAACAGGTGAGGAAAAATTGTTATCTTTTAAAGTATAATTATTGGACACAATTTTTTTTTCATATTTCATTTGATTTTACCTCTTCTCAGAATTATCACATTGTAGGGCCTTTGTAGAAACTACTAATCCTATTAATTTTTTCTCTCTTCGTGATTCAATAATTTGTGAATTTGATATTTCAGATTTTGCAAATAGCCCTATATTTTAAATTAAATATAATTTGTCACCTTATATATCTTGTGACAAAATTTATGCCTATAATTATACAAGCACGGACTGTTCTTATTTAAAAATAAAACTCGTTCGGGCGCAGTGGCTCATGCCTGTAATCCCAGCACTTTGGGAGGCCAAGGCGGGCAGATCATGATGCCCAGAGATCGAGACCATCCTGGCCAATGTGGTGAATCCCCATCTCTACTAAAAATACAAAAATTAGCTAGGCATGATGGTGCGCGCCTATAGTCCCAGCTACTGAGGAGGCTGAGGCAGGAGATTTGCTTGAACCCAGGAGGTGGAGGTTGCAGTGAGCCGAGATCACGCCACTGCACTCCAGCCTGGCGACAGAGTGAGACTCCATCTCAAAAAATAAATAAATAAATAAAACTAATGAATTCAAAGCATACTATATTAAATGTATTTTACTTTCCTTTATACCATTCCACAGTAATATGATTTGTCTTTTTTCTCAGTCAGTAGTTTATCTGAGTTATATGAATGATGGCTCCTTTAATGAAATTACCACATCACTGATATATTGTATAAGCTTTTGAAGTTTAAATATATGAAAGATTCATTGTGAATTTTAATTTCAATCCATCAATTCAGGTAAAGACTCTTAGGTTGTGTCGAAATAACACACATATTTTGCTATCCATCTGAGACTTTATTAATTTGAAAATCCTGAGAATGGAAATATCAACCATAGGGTTTATTCGGGTTGAATTTTAGTTCTTTTAAAACTAACACTCATACATTTGAAATGAAGTTATGTTAAATATATATATTATTATTATGAATTCATCCATATTGTTAAATGATATGTTAAATCCATATCATATATTTAATGGTTTTTCAAGTAGGTGAAATGTCTAAATATATTAATACTATGACATTTTGCAACTTCTTTCCTTTTAACGTAGTTCACTGGACTTGCTGACAACTAATATAATTTCTTAAATTTTTCTTTTCCAGTAAAATAGCATTCTGTCTCCCCCATCACCAAAAAAAAGAACAGTTCATTTTACATTTTATGTTACTCTTTATTCCCTAGACTTTATGAATGACTGTATTCTTGGGGAATACATTTAAAGTTTTGACTTTTAAATAATGATTTTAAAGATATTTTGTTTCAAATACAAGCCGTCCTTCACTGATTATCTGTTTCTACATAGATATATTAACAATCTCAGAAACTACATTTATCAATGTGATAAAGTTTTTATACCTGCATTATAATTACCATTGACTTTTTATTGTAGTAAAATAGACATAAAATAACATTTATTTAAATAATTTTAGGTATGTAATTCAATGGCATTAAGTATATTTACAGTGTGGTGCAATCATCACCATCATCCACATTTTCATTATCCCTAACAGAAACTCTGTGATTATTAAACAATAATGCCTCATTCCACACTTCTCTGCAGCCCCTGGTATCTTTATTCTACTCTCTGCCTGTATTAATTGGCTTACTCTAGGTACCTCATATAAATGTAATCATTTGTCCTTTTTTATCTGGCTTATTTCATTTAGCATAGTGTTTCCAAGGTTCATCCATGTTGTAGCATGTATCGGAGGTCATTCTTTACCTTTAGCTTCTTGATTAATAGTAATTCCAAACCTGTGGGGTTCTTTGAAGATCTAAGAAATTTGATGTAAGAGAGATATCTGACTCAAAATGTGAGAGTGAATAATATTCCTCCACAGTATTGTCCATAGTGTCATATACTTATGTCCAGATTAGCCACAATTCTAGTTTGCTTGTCTTTTTGCCATTTTCTCCTTCAATTTCCAGCAATCCCAAGTGCTTTCCAATGTCCCAGCTTTGTTTTACTTTCTACTATCTTGTCCAGTTGAAGCCAAGAAACCAGAAAAGTGTTCTGTGAAGCTTAACGATGCATAACTGTCATGAGAGGCATCGCTAAGAATTCTTATAATATCATTTTGTGTAACCCTCTTTAATTAAAGATATATTCACCTGGGAATAATCTCTGAAATTATTATGTATTATTGGCCAAGGCTTCTTATTCTATAAGAAAATAATAATAAAAAGTAGATAATTATTTATACATTTCCTACATTTTGAAAAACAGATTTAATTTTAACTCGCTATCCATCACTTCTAGCCAGTGCTTTCATGTGAACAATTTCTGAATAGGTTTCTGTATAACATTATTTTGCCAAACTTATCCATATCTAACAAACAATGTTCTAAATCACTGATTTTATCACTTACTGGAATAACTACAGTGTCACTTTTTCAGTACAGCTTTTTAAATCCTAAATGCTTTTTATATGGCTTTAGTTATGGTACCATATAATTCAGCATTGCCTAAACTTGGAATTGATAGAGAATGAACTAAAAATTCAAAAAGAGTTTTATAGGTTTTTTAAATATCAATTGGAAATTTTGTGTGACCTTTTAGCGACAACAGTTATGCTCATATTAATCTCATCCAGCATAAGGTACATGTAATTAAGAGACAATTTCAAAAGAAAATAAAGATTTAAGCCTCCTTAAGGGTACGCTGATTTCACCATCCTTTACTTTCATAAAAAAGTGACTTTTTGGATCCGTTTCATTAATAGTAAAAAAATCCACTCCTCAGAGCATGTCCTTTTTTTGAGTTCCCAGTCCTCTGGGTGAAGATGAAGATGAAGAAAGAGAAGAAAAAGAATATACCCTGTCACTATACCTAATAACGATAACACTACAATTATAAGCACTATGGGCTGAAACCAAAGTTTTTTTTCCAGAAATTATTTCATTTAACGCTCACAAGAGCTTCTTGAGGGAAGTAATTACATCCCCATTTTAGAGATTAGAAAAATGATTTTTGGAAAGGAAAAGTAATTTCCCCCTAATCAATCAGTCTGTACATTAAAGACCTGAAATTTCAATCTAAGGTTATCTGACTCTTCACTAATTCTTTTCATTGCTTCATGAAAATGATTTACTGTATATGAAACTGTTATTGGATTCAAGTCTGGTTACTTTATTATGATGACATAAATCAACATTTGCTACCAGATATCTACCTTTGATATCTGGATTTTCCTTAGGACTACATTGTGTATATTTGGAAGTATATTTTGTATACCACAACTGAACAACATAATCTATTGAATAGTCCCTGTCTGCATGCTGACATAAAAGTATTCTGCATTTATTGCTACAGTCAAAGAGTTGCTCAGTTATTTTTCTGGCCTTCCATTGAATTTATGCCCACTCTGTGTTCACTTATATCTTAAAAGAAATAGGAAAATCTCAATATGTTTGACAGTTTTGTGGCATGTACTGCAGAAGGGTTCTTAACAGCTTGTCAATAGAATTCAGTATTAATTGATAATCAATAGAAAATAAGAAGGAAGTTAACTTCCTTCTTATATTCATGGGCATTTATGAATATCACTATGATGCATAATATAATAGCCTTCTGATTTACTCTATGTATTTAAAATCCAAGGTTTTATTTTTCTTTGACTACTTCAAATTCTCAGATGCTTTCTCCACAATATTACTATGTACTACTCTAAAAATATGCATGACAATCACTCAACCTTATTATAACAAATTTTATTTTACATGCTCTTTCAAGATGATCATTCTTTTTGAAATCTTATTTGCCTCCTGGAAACTGTGACAATATCATTTGATGGATATGGAACACTGTTAAGAGTTCTTCATAGAGAATAAGCTGTTCTTCCATGTAGGGAAATCATTAAGAGTAGATGTTATTTGGAGGTATAAGATTGGGGCTTATACGTCTGTCAAATGGTATGGCCATCACACATCATCCAGCAGCCTTTGCTTTTTATGATGTTCCTTATTTCTCCTGCTATTCATCAGGGAAAGGCCATTTTCCTTGTCAGTTTTCCCCTAAGACTGTTATATCAGAAAAGGGGAATTTAGTTGCTTCCATATTTACTTTCTCCTAAGAGCCACTTAGAAAATTGGGAATATATTTTCTATTGGCTTACCTGCTTTATCATATTTAGAAAAATAGTAAAACGAAGGAATTAATATATTCTCTATCTCTCTTACTCCGTTTCACTAGCTAGATCTTAGCAGTATAGAATTTTCTACAAGTCTTTGTAGAGAATATTTAAAATAAAGCATAATACACTCAGTATCTGAAGCTAAACTTACCCATTATGACTATCATTCTTTGCCTTTCCACAGGAACAAATAGTTGTAAATATACCTACTTTCTGCTTCTTACGTCTTGGAGTAAGAAAATCACAAAAAACATTTAAAGAAATCTCTTAGTCATATTTCCCTGAAATTAAATGTAAAGAGTCTGTACTCCACTAATGAATGACAAGAAGCGGGTTGAATGGCATAAAATTAAATTCTCAGTGTTCCTCTCTATAACTGTGTAAACAATGTGATCTGCTGTTTTTTTGGAGTAGGTTCATCATTTTTACCTGAAAGTTTTAGGTTATGTTATTTTT
This sequence comes from Homo sapiens, assembly GCF_000001405.40. NCBI lineage: Eukaryota > Metazoa > Chordata > Mammalia > Primates > Hominidae > Homo > Homo sapiens. Next base: position 115,466,708 of record NC_000010.11, read on the forward strand.
CCCACTAGAAAATATGGGTTTAATAATAAAAATGTACACCTAAGAAGAAGTCTTTTAAAAAAATAATCTTATATTGTTATAAAATTGCTTGGGACTAATCCAAACCTGTTTCATTTAAACCTAGCAAAAAGAATCAAAATACAAATATCAAATTTAAACTAAGTTTAGTCTACAGCTAAGCAAAGAGAATCCAAATAAAAATATTAAATTACAGGAGCCTCTGGCTTACATACAAAAGACCAAATTATAATAGAGAAGATAAATGAGGAACTTGATATCTACCTTTGAATTTATTACACATTTTCTTCATTAAAATGTATAAATGGCATCTACATATATTCAGTTGAATATTTACAAAATCTATAGAGTTTAAGGAATAAAACAGACATAATTAAATCAGTAGACTAAATCATATATATCTAGTGTAATTTTCGTTTTTTAACCTTAATATTTTCTTTTCTGGTAGTCGAACAAAAATCTGGATATATCAATTAATGCATCAAACAACTTTAATCTCAACATTACGTGGTCTGTCGGTTCAACAGGTAAAAAAATGTTGATGTCATATCTCTTTTACATGTGTTCCTATCTGGAAGTTGTTCTAACATGATCTACTGTTAATTAAATGTTTGAAATTTTAAAAATGTTATATGACAGGATTATTTTGCTGTTACTGGTAAAAATAATAAGTAGAAAAATGAATAGAGCTTCATTATTTTGTTAACTTTCTCCTTTATTCAATTAAAATTAGATTGGTAACAAATATTATACACTAAATTAAATTTTTAAGTGGCAGTGTTATAAAATGTGATTTTAATTAAGATAAATTGCTTCTTTAATGACTAAAGAGACTGAAATTTCAATTATTTGATTCACTATTAAAACTATAAATTTAATTATTAACCTTAATATTTATATAAAACAATGAAATTCTTCTGTACATGCTGATTACAGTAAACATCTATTATTGTCAAGCTTAGAAAATATAACCCCTCTTGTCAGCTTCAGTGCTCAGAGGAGTTAAAAAACTGATACATAATATGTCTTTCATAATAAGGTTAATAAATTTAAATTACTGACTTAAAAAGTATATCTGAGAAGCTGTTCAGATTTTTATGTTGAATTATGAAATGTATTCTTACTTTAATTTTAGTTTTACTTTTATTCTAAAAATTTTATTGGTATCTATTTTCTGTATCAAAGGTATACTGTTGCATAAATGTGCTGGAAATTGTTTCTTTTTTATAGAAAATTTATGGATTCTTAGAAATTTATATTTGATTTCTGAAAATTAAATCATTATGCTATTTTAATATGTAGAATATTATGGATACATAGAATTCAAGAATTAAGAGCTCTTTTGCAATTCCCAAATTTATATATTACATTCAAAAAATGAAAATTCAGGCAAATAGGCATTTTGTTACTATTAGTGCCAAACATACAGTAAAATGTTGGCACTATGGGTTTCATTAAGGAAAAATTCGTAATAACTTGTACTGTTAATTTGATAGTTATTTCTGACCAGTAAGAAAACTGTAAGGGTTTAAAAATGTGTCTACAAAAATGTCTATAATACATTTCTAATCACTTTAGAACAATAATTTTAGTATGCAAGACATCACGTGTTCTTTCAGATTCCCAGACCAAATCTCAGAAATTTTTATTTATCAGATTTGGAGATGAAGTCATGGAATCTGCATTTAATAAATGTACACAAGGTGATTATGGAATAAGTGGTTAGTTAAAAATTCAATTACGCAGTATACTAATTCTAATTATTTTTACTATTGATTAAGGTGAAAGTATTGCTAAGATTGTTGGAAATGCTTTGTTCTATTTTATTAACTTCAGTAAATATTTATTCAGCACTCTATGTGTTTAACCAATTGAGCATTTAGCTCATGTTTTAAATTGTGGCCTCCACCCAATTTATTTAAAGCAGTGATGGTTCAATTTGTGGTAAGACAAATAAATTGATTTTTTCCCATTTTTTAATTGGATTGAGACACACGAAAATATGGTCTGATTTCTTTTTAAATGCTCTGTGGCATTGTAAACAGAATGAGCTCAGTTTCTAGAGCCACATATACCTGAGTTCCAACTGCTTAGTAGCTATAAACTTGGGGCAAATGCTTTAATCTTTCTGAGGCTTAGGTTGAAATCTGAAAAATGGAGGTGATAATACTTCTGGGATATTATTGGTTTTAAAAAAGAATATAAAGTCTCTAAGCTAGTGCCTAGTACATAGCACTTAATCAGTGGTAGCATTTTTAAAAATAATTTTTATACTAAATTTATTTCCATTATATTTATGGCAAACTTATTTTCCTTCATTCAAAATTATAAACAGTATATTTTGATAATTATTTTTATAAGAGCAATTATAAAAAACTATAATATGCATTTTTAAATTCATAAAGATATTTCCTAATATTAATTATTTAAATTATTTACATTTTAGCTGGAACAATATCTGGGGAAGAGACTTCTATAGTTTCCAAGAATAATATAAAGGAATACAGAGATAGTTTTTCCTATGAAAAATTTAACTTTAGAAGCAATCCTAACATTACATTCTATGTGTACGTCAGCAACTTTTCCTGGCCTATTAAAATACAGGTAAGTGTTAAGAGTATTTACTTCTAATGACCATAATATCATTAAGAAAAGAATGGTGCTTTTGTCCAAAGTGATGATATATGTACATTTCCTGACTTGACTAATACAAAAACATGCATTGACCTTTGATAAATAAAGGTCTGCGAATGTCTGTGATGATGAATTTCTCTGTAAAAACCCTCATGGAACCAACAAACTCTATACTTAAATTTTTCAGTGATTATTATGTACTAAGCAATGTAGCCAACTGAAATGTTTTGGTTTTCTGATTAATTATATACTTTAACTGAGGGTTAAATAAATACTGTTCTCATATAACCCCACTTGAAATTATTTTCCGTTTGAGTAGTCTTATTTTTACTTTAGCACATTCTGAAAATAATCTGATCTTTCATTAAAGATTTTGAGTTAGCAGTATTTCAGTTACCTCTTTAAGTAATTACCTCTCATCATTAATTTCCTAATCTGTACTACATGTGTGTTTTACATTTCATTTTTGTTATAGTTAGAGGTAGTCTACTTAAGACGTCAGATTTACTTCTAGGAAAGAATTGGAATATTCTTTCTATCTTATAGTCAAGGTTTGTGTTCTTAATTTATGTTTTCCTGAAAGAAAAGCCTATCTATTGGGATGCTGGGATTTGTTCATTCCTTTACAACTGATTGATTAGATTGAATTTACATTAGTTATTCGAATAGCTTATATATATCAATCCTTGTTCATGGCTTTTATGTTTTAAAATCTTTTAAAGATTTTCAGATCATCCCTTCCCTATATATTAGTAAATTATAGCATATGCTCTGTAACTAGAAATGTTTGCAGGTTTTATTTATATTAATTTCTATGTGATTTGTGGAAAGAATGAGTGATTTTTAAAATCATATGTTTACTGGAAAAAATTTTTCTTCTTATTTTTAAGGTTGATGTAACACTTAAATTATGGAAATTATTCAACTGTTCAGGAAATATGAGGATAAATTACTATTCAGTTCACTTTTGAGAATTAATTTGAGAAATTTACTTCTTCATTGTATAGTGATTGATTTAGATGCTGGTACTGTCAGAAAAATGCCATAAATATTTGTTTTTAAAATTTTAACATTAAGGATGTGTAACTTTATTTCCTAAGATTCATAGAGAAATATTTATCAAATTTCACTTCATTTATTCAATTATGATTGAAAGGGAAAAGGGTTCATCTATAGCACTTAGTAATTAGTTATTAAAATTGATATGATTATATTTTAAATTGCTTCCTATCCTTATTTCTTGTTTATATACTTTTGAAAAAAAATTACATAGTTATTTTAGAATGTTTTTGAATACTTAATGGTTAGGAATTAACTTTCTAAATTGGGTTTTTTTGAGAACTTACTCTTTTGGAAGCAAAATCAAAATTTGTGTAACGAGGTTGAAATACTCCACTCTCAAAATAATACAGTGTGGAAAATAATTGAGATGGACAAGATACGTAGGCCTAATTTCTCCTCTTTATTAAACTCATTATGCCTATGGAATATGTTATATTAAAGCATGGAAGTATTAATATATGTGTTTATTTATAAGACTAGAATAAACTTTAAATTATAATATTATACAAAACACAGTAAAATTATTTTAATTATGATTTTAAATACTGGCAGCCATCATTGTATTCCCTTTCAATAAGTTCATAAGTTTTTTAGATTCCACCTATAAGTGATATCATGCAATATTTGTCTTTTTGTGACTGACTTGTTTATTTAGCATCATGTCCTTCAGTTTCTTCTATGTTGTCACAAATAGCAAGATTTCCTGCTTTTTAAAGGCTTAATAATATTCCATTGTTATGTGTGTGTATGTACGTATATAAATATATACATATTATGAATATGAAACATATAGATATAAATCACGATTTCTTTATGCTTTCATCTATCCATGGACACAGCTTGCTTCTGTATCTTGGCTATTGGAAATAACGTTGTAAAGAATGTGAGAGTGCAGCTGTATCTCTGAGATACTGATTTCACTTGCTTTGAATATATCCCCAGTGGTGGGATTGCTGGATCATTGGTAGTTTTATTTTTAATTTTTGGGGGAATCTTCATACGGCTTTACATGATGGCTATACCAGTTTACATTCCACCAATTGTGTGTAAGAATTTCCCTTGCTCCACATCCATTCTAACACTTGTTATCTTTTGTATTTTTGATAATGGCCATCATAACAGCTATGAGGTGATATCTTATTGTGGTTTTGATTTGCATTTATTTGATGATTAGCAATGCTGAGCACCATTTCATATACCTATTGGTCATTTGTGTGTCTTCTGTGGAGAAATGTATAATCAGGTCCTTTGCCCATTGTTTCCATTGAGTTTTTGTTTTCTTGCTATTGCGTTTCATGAGTTCCTTACATATTTTGGATATTAACTTCTTATTGAATAGATCATTTGCAAATTTATTTTCTATTCTGTAGGTTGCCTTTTCAGTTTGTTGATTGTTTCCTTTGCTGTGCCAGGAAGCTTTTTTTAGTTTGATGCAGTCCCACTTGTTTATTTTTGCTTTTGTTGCCTGAACTTTTGGTATTATATCCAAAAAAATCATTGATAAAGCCAATGTCAAGGAGCTTAGTCCCTTTATTCTGTTTAGGATTTTTATAATTACAGGTCTTATATTTACATCTTTAATCCATTTTGAGTTGATTTTTGTGTATGGTATAAAGTAAGAATCCAATTTCATCTTCTGCATATTGATATCCCAGTGTTACCAATACCATTTATTGAAGAGACTGTGTTTCCTTTACTATTTATTCCTGGCACTGAGTCAAAGATCAGTTGACGCTGTCTATGGGTTTATTTCTAGCCTCTCTATTCTGCTCCATTGGTATTAGTGTATTTTTATGCCAGCAACTTCCTGTTTTGATTACTATAGATTCATAATATAGTTTGAAATCAGTAAGTATGATGCCTCCAGCTTTGTTCTTCTTTTATAAAATTTCTTTGACTATTTGCAGTCTTTTGTGGTTCCTTTTGAATTTAAAAATTTTTTTTTCTATATCTGTGAAAAATGTAATTGGAATTTTGAAAGCAATTGTATTGACTCTGTAGAACACTTTGGGTAGTGTGGCCATTTAAACAATGTTAATTCTTCCAATCAATGAACATAGGATATTTTCCATTTATTATTGATGTTTTGAATTTCTTTCATCAATGCTTTATAATTTTCAGTGTACAGGCCTTTCATTTCCTTGGTTAAACTTATTCTTAAGTATTTTATTCTTTTTGATGCTCCAGTAAATATGATTTGTTTACTTAACTTCTGATTTGGAGAGTTCATTGTTAATGTATAGAATTCAACTGATTTTTGTATGTTGGTTTTGTATCCTGCAACTTGACTGAGTTTTTTATTCTTTTTAACAGTTTATTGGTGGACTGTCTAGGGTTTCTTGTGTATGAGAACATGTCATCTGCAAACAGAGACAGGTTTTCTTCTTCTTTTCCAATTTGGATGCCTTTTACTTTTCCTTGTCTAATTGCTTTTTCTAGGACTACCAGTCCTATGTTGAATAGAAGTAGTGAAACTGGGCATTTTTGTTTCTTTGCTAAAATTAGAGGAAAAACCTTCTGCATCTTGCCATTGTGTAGGATGTTAGCTATTGGCTTGTTGTATGTGTTCTTTATTGTGTTGAGGTACATTCCGCTTAAACCTAATTTGTTGGAAGTTTTTATCATGAAACAGTGTTAATAAACTTTGTCAAATGCTTTTTCAGCATCTATTGAGATGATCATATAATTTTTGTCCTTCATTCTGTTAATGTGGTATATCACATTTTGATTCATGTATGTTGAACCATCCATGCATTCCTGGGATAAATCCCACTTGATCATGTTTTATGATACTTATAATGTGCTGTTGAATCAAATGTGGTTGGCTAGCATTTTGTTGAGGATATTTGCATTTACATTTATCAAGGATGTTGGCCTGTAATTTTTCTTTTTTTTCCTTATGTTCCCTATGGTAAGCTGTGGTACAATAGTATTCATTTTTATTTATTTGTTTTCCCTCTTACTGTTGCTATTATATTTATTTTTTAAAGAACAGAATACAGCATTATTAACTATAGTCACCATGTTGTACAATAGAAATTTTCAACTTAGTCCATCTATTTAACTAAAATTTTGTGTCCTTTTACCAATGTCTCTGAAATGCCATTGATTTTCTTTTCTTGTAGTCTCCTTGCCTGACTTGGGTGTCAGGGAAATGCTTGCCTTACAGCATAAGTTCGGAAGTGTTCACTCTACTTCATCTTTTTGGAAGAGTTTGAGATGGCTTGGTGTTAATGCTTTAAATGTTTGTTAGAATTCACCAGTGAAGTCATCGATTCCTGAGCTTTTCTTTGTTGGAAAGCTTTTTATAATTGATTCAATCACCTTAGTTATTTTTGATGTGACCAAGTTTTCTATTTTCACATGATTCAGTCTTGGAAAGATGTATTTTTCTAGGAATTTATTCATTCTTTTCTAAGTTATTTAATTTGTTGGCATACAATTCCCCACAGTCATTTCTTATGACCTTTTGGTATCTATGATGTCAGTTGTAATGTCTCCTTATACATTTATAATTTGTTTAAGTCATGTCTCTTTTTTCTTGGTTAGTCCTGTGCAAGGTTTGTCAATTTTTAAAATTGTTTTAAAAACCAACTGTTTATCTTTTCTATTGTTTTTCTATTCTGTATTTCATTTATTTCCACCATGATCTTTATTATTTCCTTCCATCTGCTAACTTTGGGCTTCACAGTTTAACAATTCTATTGCCATTTATTGTAAGGTAGACCTAGTAGTCATGAAGTTCTTCAGCTTTTGTTTGTCAGCTTTTATGTCTCCTTCATTTCTGAAGGGCAACATTGCCAGGTAAGGTATTCTTGGTTGGTAGTACTTTTCTTTTAGCACTTTAAATATATCATCTCACTCCTCACCTGTGAGGTTTCTGCTGAGAAATCTGTTGATATCCTTAGAAGTATTCTCTTATATGTGATGGGTCACTTTTATCTTCTTCTGCAATTTTCTTTTTGAGTTTTTACGATTGGATTATGATGTGTCCTAGTGAAGTCCTTTTTAGATTGAATCTGTTTGGTGATGTTCAGCTTCATGGATCTAGACATCTGAATCTCTCATAAGATTTGGGAAGTTTTGAGCCATTATTTTCAAGTTAATAGATGCCTCGAGTTTAGGGACTGTTGTGGGTGAAATAGAGCAGGGATGGAAGGGAGATATAGAGGTTTTTAAAGAGTATCACCAGGGATCTTGGTGGTGTTAGGACTCTTCACTGTCTTGAGTCTGGTGGTGGATGAATACATTTTTAAAGCATCCACTAAGTAAAATCAAGTGTTATATAAACACAAAGTAATTATGGATAGTTTTCAGCAAATTTTGACAAACAATGAAATTTAAATTTGGTGATACAAACAAGAATTTCTAAAATAGCCCTTTTTGAATAATTACAAAGTAAACAGTTCTTCAATACCCTGCTATCAAAGTATGGACTGACTAACCAAAGGCATTGACATCACCCAGGAGCGTGTCAGAAATGTAGAATTTTAGCCCTGTCGCCACTGAATGAGATCCTGCTTTTTACCCAAATCCCCCTAGGTGATAATGTGCACAGATGCTTGCAAGCCATTGTCTAATAGAAAAACAACACCACCAAAATCACTCCATTTCCTTAATTTGGGAATTGTCTATAGTATTTTCAGTTATGTCTGTGAAGATATGAAATTGTTTGGAATTTGAGGATTGGCTTAAATTATGGTTCACAGCATAACTCAATGAAATATTTAGTGTTCTTTTTCCACTTGCATCTAGATTAGTAGAGATATGATGTTTTTAATGTTTTTTTCATTTTAATGAATTTTGGAGATGATTGAAATTAGTTAATATCATAGTGAATAATCCTTGTCTTGTTAAACTACTATTTTAATTATGCATGAAATGCTGCTATCATTTATATGCATTATGTAATGTATTTTGATAATTAGGCAGCTAATATGTAGCAAAACACCTTTATACCTATCAGTTTGTCAGTTATGATGTCAGTAATGATGTTCTAGTTGTTATCAATGGAAGTAATCCAGTGTCAATGGATTGCTTCTTAATCGTTATAGTATTTAATTCTCTGTGGCATATCTCACTTATTTCTCCATTTGGAATAACTGTTTCTTCAATTTCTGTTGCATTTGTCTTTCCCATATTTGTGGTTTCAATCAAGTTATTCATTCCTCTGAGCTTCAATTACCCAATCTATAAAATGAAGATTACTAGTGGTACTTAATTATAGGGTTATCATGATGATTATGTGAGATAGTTATGTGAAACAAAACCTTACCTATTGCATTGTAATAATTGTTCTAAATTGTAAATAGATGATCATCATTTTCTTTTTCTTCATCATCACCGTCAACGTCATTGGTATTTAAGAGAGCTTTTTAATCTTCTTATCATTTACCTCACCTTTTTAAAACCTTTGGTGATTTCCCATAATATTTAAGATAAATTTATTCCTTTATCTTTTACTTATCTATATTAGGTTGATTACTTCTACTACAAGTCATACAAAAATTATAACTGCTCATCATAACAAAGACAAAATATTTAGTTTAATTCACTCTTGTTTTACATCTTTCTATGTTGAGAGTTTAAATCGTTGATTTTAGAACTTTTCTTTTTTCTGATATATACTCTACAGCTATAAATTAACCTGTATGCAGTGCTTTGACCACATTTTACACATTTTGGTATGTTGTATTTTCATTTTTATTTAGTCCAAAATATTTCCTGATTTTTCCTGTGATATTTTCTTTGATGCATAAGTTATTCCAAAATGTTATTTAATTCATTTCAGGGATATTTCAGGTGTCTCCTTTTTATTAATTTCCAATTTAGTTTTCGCTATGGTCAGAGAAAAACTATGGTTTTAATCCTTTTTAACTTTATTAAGGCTTGTTTTTGGCATATTTTTTATTTTGCAGAAAATTCATGTGCTTAAAAAGCAAAGTGCCTTCTGCTCTTGTTATTCTTTTAATGTCAGTTGGATATTTATTTGATTCTTATTCAATGTCTGAGATTATTGCTGATTTTCTTTCTACTTTTTCTATCAATTACTGAGAATATTTTGGAAATTTCCAGCTATTTTTGGTGTTGTGTTTCTTTTTTTAATATTGTCAGATTTTCTTCTTGTTTTTTGAAATTGTAGTTTTTGTACATATACATTTACATAAAAGGTCCCTTTACTGACCCTTTTATTTTTATGAAATGTTCTTTTTTGTCTTTATTAAATCTGCATGCCAAACTACTTTCAGCTCTCCAAATATCTATCCTCTGTCATTTATTTCATTTTGCTGCTTATTTTTACATTCTGTATTTTTATCTTGCAAATGACCTTTCTGGCCTTAACCTTTTTTTTAACTCTTGCTTAGCTTTTGTCTAATTGTGAATATAACCTCCCCTTATACCTAACTACTAGAAATTACTCTTTTCTTACAACTGGCATATTCTTTAACTTATCACAGTTTATTTATATTTATTGCTTCACTTATTTATCCATTATTAGCCCTCAAACTCCTTTACAGAGAAACTACATATTTTTTTGTATTTTTAGTACTTAGCTGAGGTAGCTAAAGGAATAGTTTTTAAATTGAGAGATGAGTAATATATTTCTCTGGAGAAAGGAATGTACAGATAAAATATGCTTTCTTATACTCTTAAAAAAGTTTTAACATGCAATATAGATAGTTTATGAGTACAATAAAAGATTTCTCCCTTATATTTACAAAAATCACATGGGTTTCTTATTTAATAATAACCCAAATTCTTTCTTCTCCCAAAATGAAATTTTATAGTAAGTTGTTTTGTTAATTAAGATTTTGTGTAAGAAACAGAAATCGTGCATGACTAACAAACAGAAGAAAATGTATTGTTAGCATAAGGTGTTGCTAACAATATGAAAGGGAAGAATAAATCATCAGGTTTTCAATAAGCAGAAAGCTTTCATTCCAACAGTTTTCAGTCATGTGCATTAGTTGACATTCTTAACTGGGCATGCCTGCTATACTGAATGAAATCTCATGATTTCTCCAACCCATCCTATAAATATTCACTCAGGATCTAAAAATCTTAAGTGAATGAGTCCAACTGGCAAATTTAGGACACCTGTCTAACTTCCTCCTGACCCATAATGGTGCAAGAAAAAAAATTGTCCTGGGAAGTAGTTTTTTGGCTTCTCTGCTCGAAGATATGGGACTTGGATTCACAACCCCAATAAGGAAAAAAATATCTGAAGAAATAATTCTTTGTTTGGTCAGGAGATATTTGGTGATCAAAAGTCAACAAATACTCGTTATCATGGATAACCTTGATAGAAGCATATTAATATCTAATAAGACTATCCTTCTGAAATCAGCATTTCCTTATTCTAGGAAAATAATATGACTATAAAATAATGTAATTGTTATTAAAGAAGGCTTCAGTTATTGTGATTCTTAAAAATATTTAATTAATCTGCTGCAAAGTGAATTATATGTAACATTTTCATCAATGCCAATTCTAATGTAGATATTCTTATCTTGCTTCCAGGTTACAATTGCTTGCTTTCTCATTGTCAGTAAGCAGTAGGTATTAAGAACACGGGTTCTAAGTCAAACTACTACCTCAATTTGAAATTCTTAAATTACAAGTGATAGGATTGAGAGGAAGGTTTTTTGTTTGTTTTTTAAGTCACAGTCTTTCCATTTCTTCCTCTGTCAAATGGGAGATGATAATATTGCCTACCTTTATTAGTTTTTCTTGCTGTGTAGCAAATTATCACAAGCTTATCAGGTTAAAACAAGGACCGTTTATTATTTTATACTGTCTGTTGGTCAGGAATCTGGGCATGAGTTAACTGCCCTTTGTTAAACCCTGTACTCAGGGCTTCACAAGGCTGAAGTTATGGTCTGTTGAGCTGCCGTCTCATCTGAGGCAGAAGGACTTCTTCCAAGGTCACTAGTTGTTGGCAGAGTTCAGTATATTGAAGTTGTAGGTCTTAGGTTTTTCTAGTTACTGTTAGCCAGGGGCTCTTCTTAGCCTCTAGAAGATGGCCGCTGTTCCCTGCCACATGGCCCTCTCTACAACATGACACTGTGCTTCTTTTAGGCCAGTTATACAATCTCTTTTCCTTTAAATCTCTTTCTTCAGTCTGTTATAATGGAGACTGATAAAATTCAATAATCATAGGAGTGACTATTCTACCACCTTTGGCATATAATGTAACGTAATCAAGGGAGTGAATTTTCCATTGTATTCACAGATTCCACCTATACTTAAGGGAAAGGCTTTAACATATATTGTATTAAAATATTAGAAATGTGTATATGTTTATCTTTTGAATTAGGGTAAAAAAATGGAAAGTTATTTAAAGTATATGAAAATAGAGTAAAGATATTGACTGAAATAATAGTATTATAGTTTTGTCAAAATAGTTCTTTTTATATCAAATATATTTTATTACAATTTATGTTATCAAATATGTTTTCACTCCTACTATCTCCTGTCCTTTCTTCTGTAAACCCATTAGATTTTAATTTTACTTTTATTAATTTATTCTGTAAAACATTTTTATGTGAATTACATGCCAATCAAGCAATTATTATGGTATAAAGACTTCATGTGGGTAAAGACAGTGATAATAACTGTTTATTTAAAAGGCAGGTTTTATCTTTTCAGTCTACTAGCATCATTGTTGGCAAAATTCACTGGTTCTATTTTCCTTTATAATTATAAAGATGTTTGAGGAATAGATATCTTTGTTAAGGATTTTTGGTATTTACTTGTTAATACTGTACCAAATTTTTGATAACTAATTAGAAGTTTTTTCTTTTACTGTTCCTAAATTATATGTGTTGTAAAAGTTTCTTGTAGTACCATAGTCTTATATCTATGAATGGAATTCTAGAAATCGAGAAATGTTTTAAAATGTCAAATGCACAATATACTTACTAGAGTAGGAAATTTTAAGTTGGTGGCTATTTGTACAGAATTAATCAGACATTAATTTAGCCATTGAGATCCTCTGCCATTTAAACATATTATTTGATTAATTTATGTACTTTGGAAAGCTGTTTTAATCTAATGTAAATCAAACAAAAGTTTTCTTCATTGTCTTCAAACTTTAATAGGGTGTTTTATGTTTTAGGTTGCCAATCTCTTTAGCATTTAAATATCCTTAAGATCCTTTAGAAATTCTAGTGACTGTGAGACATATAGCAGTGTTATGTGATAAATATTCCAATAATATAGTAATTAAACAGGGAAAAAATCTTTTTGTTTTGAAATGCTGGGAATCATGCCATTGAGTTCATTTGCATGTTTGTAATATGAGATTTTATTTTGGTAGCACTTGTTCTTCATGATTTATAATGTCATGCAATTAAATCTTGATAATAAAAAATAGAAAAAAGTACTACTGTAGCGGTAGTGCTAATAACTTCAAAAAAAGTGTATTGAACTTAAGTACTTTGTATTCTACAATAGTGCTGTTCATCAACATTTATATATCACAGTTTAAATTAAATTAGATTGACTCTCAATTACCTGTTTCTGAGCAAACTGGCTTTGACAATTCACTATTATATCAATCTGCAAAGTGATGTCATAATTTAGATTAGATTTTTTAATGAGAATGATGCTAGGAATTATTCTTCACTTTGCAATTCTAATTTCCATTCTATACTGGTTAATTTCCTTACTAGCATTGGTTAAGTTATACAGAACAAAATAGAAGAAGAAGTGAATCCTAGTGCTGATGTCTATACAATTTTATCACAAATAAATTAGCATTTTCAACATAGATGAGTCATTTGAACACACACACACACACACACACACACACAAAACAGAAAACTACTGGTTAAGTAGATATTAAAGAGGATGTTTTAACTTATACATATGATTTGAAAAGTGGCTATCATAAAAATGTGCTGATGGAGTTGCCCTTGTATATATATATTTTTTAAATTGACACAGAACACTTTTCGTTATTTGTGGTTCTTGTCTTTTAAATTGTTATATGCTTGAAGAAGTTATCATATATATTTTCAAATACACTTTTTTCTTTTTTAAAAAAGTTTCAATTCTTTTTGTCATTTAACCAACCAAGGTAACATAAATTCAAAAGGTAGTATTAGAAATTGTTAATTTTATCAGTTAAAGATGTATTAACTATACTAATTAGAAATATAAATGTGAATGATATAACAAATATGTAAGAAACACATATAGAGGAGAATGGAAGATTTTCTAATAGCTATAAAATAATACTGGCTATGATAGGTACAAATGTTCTCAAAATTCTCACAAGGAAGATATATTACATTTACACTACATTGACAGAATTGAGTAGTGAAACCAGAGACCATATTGCCCACAAAGCTGAAAATATTTACTGTCTGGTTCTTTACAGAAAAAGTTCGTTGACTTTTTATGCAAAATGCTCTTATCTAATCCCTTATCCAGAGCTATTCTTTACAAGGAATAAAATTGTTTGAATTAGGTGAGATGGTATAAATGTAAAATCTGCTTTTCTAAGAAAATTTCTTATGACAAACATTTTCAACTTTTCCAGTGGTAAAATAAATTTGAGTAAAGAAGATTTTTCATTTCTTTATATTATAAATTTTTATAAAGTCATTAATTATATTTTGAAATCTAATGAAACTCTTCTAAAAATTTTAATGCGGTTTTGTTAAATATTCATAATAATCCCATAGATATTTTTAGATGGTTGCCCTTGTAATATAGTATTCTTTTATAAACTACCCTGGTTTTTATATAACATATTGTAAACAATTTTAGTTTTAATATAATATTAATTAATGTTTTTAATACTATAAGAATTTTTTCAGATCATATACTTCCATAGTCTGTTACTGGAAATTTGGAGTTATTTTTGTTTTAAAAAAGAGCAAGGTGATGAATATCTTTGTGTGCATTCATCTTCTATTTTAGAAAATTATTTCTTTTGCACATATGTCCCCAAATTAAATTATTGGGTTAAAGTATATAAACAAATTTATGATTGTATATTATGCACTAGGCATTATTCAAGGTATTGTATATGATTTAGTGCTGTTATTCCTAACTTATAAAATATTTTTATCTAAATTTTTATAAATGAACAAAATAACTTGTTGAATTTCATACAGTAGGCAATTGAATTGAGATATGAGACTGGTCAATTTGACACCAGATCCCATTCTACCACTATTAACTCACACTTCTTTATTTTACTATCATTTTATTAGTATTAATATTAAGGCTGAACATTTTTCTATTTATAAAATATTTACTGAGAAGAATTTATAAACAAACATATTTATAATCTTATATTTATATCTCAGGACAGCTTCCTGAGGATATTTTGTTTTAGCTCTAGACACGCTTCCATTTTAAACCTAAACTGGAAGTGTGTAAAAGTTAGTCATTTGAAAAAAATATAACTATACTTGATTTGTTTGCAATTACAATTAAGTATTACCTCTTGGGGTTTGTTAAGAACTTCTACTTCAGAAATTGTTTAAAAAATGACTTAATTTTTGGCAAAGGTATTAAAGTATGAGTACTATATTTTGGGTTTGATTTGTGAGCTACTGATACCTTTAAGAATTCATCAATATCCATAATCTCAGAAGGCAGTATATTTACAATAATGGATCAAATGAAATATTAATATATAATGACTTAGCATAGCAAATATTTCAGAATCTCTCAATAGATAATAAAGGTATATGTGACTTAAGATTATACTTCTACTTGGACTCGTGTTTCATATTGTTATATAATGTTACTAGAATCACTAAATAAATATTGAATTAATGCAGAATAGAGGATTACAGCAATTCTTTAAATATTGCCTTACAAATGAATATTCAGCACGCAGTGGGTTCTATGTGTAAATCTGTAGGTTGAAATTTAGAATTTTTACTAATGTCTTTATTTTTGTAATTGCTCTACAAGAGTTGCTTATTCAAATGGCAAAGTAAACACTTATGTAAGATAATGTAAATTGTGGTAGTTTCAAAATTTCCATGTTCTTTTAACTTTTATGTAATTTGACGAGAATAAAAATGCTTCTTTTATTAATATATTTATAATACTGAATCATATGTTTCTCCTTATTTTGTACTTTGATGATTGGATAAACAAATATAATAATTTTTAATTAATTATGTAGTAATGAATTTCTTCATTAATAAGCATTTATTGAGTTATTCACTTTGAGTAGTCTAATAAATTACAGTAAAAACACATATAAAAATAGAATTAATAAAGTTTGAATCAGTCCCAAGAATTAGAGCTTTATTTAAGAATCATTATTTGTTGCTTCATATAGGAAGCTCAGAGAATTGTAAAGTAGAATCCAAAATTTATACAAAAGCGGACTTTATTCTGTACTGAATGTTGTTAGTAACTAAAATTTAGGCATAAAAGAAGTTAGAGGTGAAGGTCTTAAATATTCTTTGTTTTAGCATATACCTAGATATTGAATAATTCGTTTACATATTCTTTGCTTAGGTTCCCAGTTCTGTACTAACCGTAAGGTAAGAAAGAGTAGGGGATAATCTGTTTGCTAATAGAAGAGTATATATTTTATTTGTTAAGTAAATAAAATGGTATGTTTTAACATTTCTGGACAGTTTTTGCTTTTCCTAAAACATTTTGGTCCTATCAAATTATAAATGAAAATTATTATTTGTAATTATTAATTTACCAACCCCTGTGCTAATGGAAAAAGAAACTTATTGCATGTTGATCTCCTATGGAAAGACATCTGCTCTTACAAGTCAGATATGAAATTAGTTCCATCATTTATTTCATATGCCTTCATAAATCAACAATAGTTTATATAATGAAAGAAGTCACCAGAAACTTGTATTGCGTAAAGAACTGTTCTCAAACTTTCACGCTGGGAAAAAAATTGTTTAGAAAGAGAGGGCATCTTGACTGAAGCTTTAAGCAAATTTAGGAAATTATAATGATGTTGTCTAATAATTACTAGAGATATAGCAAATATAGATTTTCATTGCTTATATTTTATTTAATTCTTTCATTCCTTCAACTTTCAGCATACATTTTATTGGTCATTTGTGCATATACAATTTTGGCTTATTGCCAAATATATTTAATATAATTTGATGTAACAACAAAATATACCACATGACTATATGTACAGACCTAATTTACAAATTGTAACTCAGTTATTTCTTTAGATTTATCAATTTTATTATACTTAATTTTCATAAAATCTAGATGTTAGAAGAAATCGTGTAATTATATGTATATGTTGTTTTAATTATTTACACATGGTACTTTAAAGTTAATGCAAATGTGATTAAATGTGAGTGTTATGATTCCATTTTACTTATGATTTTTAAAGCATTTTATATGCTAGGTCAATGTTTTTGATAGAGTCTACATGAAATAAACTTATTGAAATATTCATTATTTTTGCACACTCTAAGAAGGAATCAATCTCATATTTGCCCATGTTTTTAGAGTTTGACATGCTTTTAGGCTAATTGTTTGTGAGACTGTAAGAAGCAGAGAGAGGGCCACTACTCAAGTGAAATATTCAGGAAGCATTTGTAAGAATTTGTAAGAATACAGTTGAATAAACCTACACTAGGTCTCTCAAAAGCAGAGTGCCTTATACTCCCTTTCTTGGGATAATGGTAATAATTTTGAAATGCAATTGAAGAGACTCTGTTTCTGATTATCTTTTTTTTTTTCAGTAAATGTCAAATCTTAGATCTTTTTCATATCTTTTAAAATTCTAAATCTATATCTCATTGATATTAGGTTATGAAGTATTCTGCAAATTACCAAATGCTGTTATTAAATATTATGTTTTTTCATTTTGTTTTATCATATTTTGAATAATCTTCCAATTCACTCTCTACTTACAGATTATGCTATTTTATATTTTAATTTTGAGATTTTATCTCAGGTCTTGTTTGTGTTCACTCTTTTACAGTTAAAAAAACCAAGAATCAGTGTATTAATATATATCAAATGCAGTGGCAGAATATTTAATTTATCTTAAATAAATTAAATAGGATAAGGTATCAAGTTACAGTCTTCATACTTTTATTATATACAGTATACTTTTTAGGACTGTGTGTATTTAAATAAGTCATACAATTTTTAAGGGTCATCTTATTTTCCCAATGAGTGCTTCTTTAACACCACTCATTGGGCAAATGCCTTCTTTGAATTCCCATAGCATCTTAGCTTATATTTATTCTTATAGTATTTGAACATAAACTCTACACTTAATATTTGAATATATAATATGTGAATTGCCTGTAGTTGTCTTCTGAGGAATACTACAAATTTCTCTCAGAGTTAACCATATTTTACAGTTCAAAAATCTTTCCGTTTTTAGACTATTCAAATAATATGTTTGTTTTAGTGCTTTAAATTTGCTCTATCTATGCTAATTATGTGGGGGAGACTAAGAAGAAATGTAAGATGTTTATTGACCTAAAGAATTTAAATTAGGTAAAAATCAGGAGCATGCAATAGGGAGAAGATTAATTATGAAATTGAGAGAAGGAGTTGGCAAGAATCACTATGTGAGCGAAAATGAGTGTAAGCTATTAATGAGCCATCACTTGATCATGGTCTGTTTTTTTGTGTGGTGTTGCTAGTATTTAGTAGGTGTGCATTGATATTAATAAGTGATATTGATAACTTTTTTCCTGTACTGTCTATGTCAGATGTGGCATTTGTGTTATAATTTCTTCATAAAAAGAATTAAAAAGTGTTCCTTCATTTTTATTGTTTTATAAAAATATATATAACATTTAAACTACCTGGTCTTTGAAACCATAGTAGAATTTCCCTATGAAACCTCTGGTACTGGTATTTTTTGTAGAGTAATTTCTTTATAACTTCCTCTATTTCATCTACAGAATCTTTTCCATTTAAGCTACTTTTTTCTAAATTTATTTATTTCTAATTAACAGATAAAATTGTATTTATAATGTAAACATGATGTTTTGAGGTATATATACATTTTGGAATGGTTAAATCTAGCTAATTAAAATATGCATTACCTCACATAGTTGTCATTTCTGTGGTGCAAATGTTTAACATCCAGTCTCTCAACATTTTTTGAGAATACAACATATTATCATTAACCTTAGTGACCATTCTATACAATAAATCTGTTAAGTGTATTCTTCCTATGTGACTAATTTTGTATCCTTTAACCAGTGTCCCTCCAAACCCCCTCCTCAATCACCCAACGTCTTTATTTTTTTTAAGTTTATAAATTATTTTATTGTAAGCATTGCTACAATTATTTGAATCTTCTAGTGTTACACATTACAAATGAAGATCTTTCTTTTTTTATTATACTTTAATTTCTGGGGTACATGTGCAGAATGTGCAGGTTTGTTACATAGGTATACACGTGCCATGGTGGTTTGCTGCACCCATCAACCTGTTATCTACATTAGGTATTTCTCGTAACGCTATCCCTACCACAGCCCCCCACCCCCCAATAGGCCCTGGTTTGTGATCCCCGCCCCCACTCCTGTCAATGTGTTCTCACTGTTCAACTCCCACTTATGAGTGAGAACATGCGGTGCTTGGTTTTCTGTTCTTGTGTTGCTTTCCTGAGAATGATGGTTTCCAGCTTCATCCATGTCCCTGCAAAGGACATGAACTCATCATTTTTTATGGCTGCATAGTATTCGATGGTGTATATGTGCCACATTTTCTTTGTCCAGTCTATCATTGATGAGCATTTGGGTTGGTTCCAAGTCTTTGCTATTGTGAACAGTGCCGCAATAAACATCTGTGTGCATGTGTCTCTATAATAGAATGATTTATAATCCTTTGGGTATATACCCAGTAATGAGATTGCTGGGTCAAATAGTATTTCTAGTTGCAGTTCCTTGAGGAATCACCACACTGTCTTCCACAATGGTTGAACTAATTTACACTCCCATCAACAGTGTAAAAAGTGTCCCTATTTCTCCACATCCTCTCCAGCATCTGTCGTTTCCTGACTTTTTAATGATCACCATTCTAACTGCCATGAGATGGTATCTCATTGTGGTTTTGATTTGCATTTCTCTAATCACCGGTGATGATGAGCTTTTTTTCATATTTTTGTTGGCCACAGAAATGTCTTCTTTTGAGAAGTGTCTGTTCATATCCTTTGCCCACTTTTTGATGGGGTTGTTTTTTTCTTGTAAATTTGTTTAAATTCCTTGTAGTCTGGATATTAGCCCTTTGTCAGATGGATAGAGTGCAAAAATTTTCTCCCATTCTGTAGGTTGCCTGTTCACTCTGATAATAGTTTCTTTTGCTGTGCAGAAGCTCTTTAGTTTAGTTTCCCATTTGTCAGTTTTGGCTTTTGTTGCAATTGCTTTTTATGTTTTAGTCATGAGTCTTTGCCCATGCCTATGTCCTGAATGGTATTGCCCAGGTTTTCTTCTAGGGTTTTTATGGTTTTAGGTCTTACATTTAAGTCTTTAATCTACCTTTAGTTAATTTTTGTATAAGGTGTAAGGAAGGGATCCAGTTTCAGCTTTCTGTATATGGCTAGCCAGTTTTCCCAATAACATTTATTAAACAGGGAATCCTTCCCCCATTGCTTGTTTTTTGTCAGGTTTGTCAAAGATCAGATGGTTGTAGATGTGTGGTATTATTTCTGAGTCTTCTGTTCTGTTCCATTGGTCTATATATCTGTTTTGGTACCAGTACCATGCTGTTTTGGTACCATAGCCTTGTAGTATAGTTTGAAGTCAGGTTACGTGATGCCTCCAACTCTGTTCGTTTTGCTTAGGACTATCTGGGATATGCAGGCTCTTTTTTAGTCCCATATGAAATTTAAAGTAGTTTTTTTTTCCAGTTCTGTGAAGAAAGTCAATGGTAGATTGATGGGGATAGCATTGACTCTATAAATTACTTTGAGCAGTATGTCCATTATCACAAGACTGATTCTTCCTATCAATGACCATGGAATGTTTTTCCATTTGTTTGTGTCCTGTCTTATTTCCTTCAGCAGTGGTTTGTAGTTCTCCTTGAGGAGGTCCTTCACATCCCTTGTAAGTTGTATTCCTAGGTATTTTATTCTCTTTGTAGTAATTGTGAATGGGAGTTCATTCATGATTTGACTGTTATTGGTGTATAGGAATGCTTATGTTTTTTGCACATTGATTTTGTATTCGGACACTTTGCTGAAGTTGCTTGTCAGCTTAAGGAGTTTTTGGACGGAGATGATGGGGTTTTCTAAATATACAATCATGTCCTCTGCAAACAGAGACAATTTGACTTCCTCTTTTCCTATTTGAATACCCTTTATTTCTTTCTCTTGCCTGATTGCCCTGGCCAGAACTTCCAATACTATGTTGAATAGGAGTGATGAGAGAGGGCATCCTTGTCTTGTGGCTGTTTTCAAAGGGATTGCTTCCAGTTTTTGCCCATTCAGTATGATATTGGCTGTGCATTTGTCATAAATAGCTCTTATTATTTTGAGATATGTTTCATCCTAGTTTATTGAGAGTTTTTAGTATGAAAGGCTGTTGAATTTTGTTGAAGGCCTTTCCTGCATCTATTGAGATAATCGTGTTTTTTGTCATTGGTTCTGTTTATGCGATGGACTAGTTTATTGATTTGCGTATGTTGAACCAGTCTTGCATCTCAGGGATGAAGCTGACTTGATTGTGGTGGATAAGCTTTTTGATGTGCTGCTGGATTCAATTTGCCGGTATTTTACTGAGGATTTTTGCATCGATGTTCATCAGGGATATTGGCCTGAAATTTTTCCTTTTGCTGTGTCTCTACCAGGTTTTGGTGTCAGGATGATGCTGGCCTCTTAAAATGAGTTAGGGAGGATTCCTTCTTTTTCTATTGTTTGGAATAGTTTCAGAAGGAATGGTACCAGTTCCTCTTGGTACCTCTGGTAGAATTCGGCTGTGAATCCATCTGGTAGTGGACTTTTTTTGGTTGGTACGCTATTAATCAATGCCTCAATTTCAGAACTTGTTATTGGTCTATTTAGGGATTCAACTTATTCCTGGTTTAATCTTGGGAGTGTGTATGTGTCCAGGAATTTATCCATTTCTTCTAGATTTTCTAGTTTATTTGCATAGAAGTGTTTATAGTATTTTCTGATGGAAGTTTGTATTTCTGTGGGATCGGTGGTGATATCCCCTTTATCATTTTTTATTGTATCTATTTGATCCTTCTCTCTTTTCTTCTTCTTAGTCTGGCTGGCTAGCGGTCTATGTATTTTGTGGATCTTTTCAAAAAACCAGCTCCTGGATTCATGGATTTTTTGAAGGGTTTTTCGTGTCTCTATCTCCTTTAGTTCTGCCCTGATCTTAGTTATTTCTTGTCTTCTGCTCACTTTTTAGTTTGTTTGTTCTTGCTTCTCTAGTTCTTTTACTTGTGATGTTAGGGTGTCAATTTTAGATCTTTCCTGCTTTCTGTTGTGGGCATTTAGTGCTATAAATATCCCTCTACACACTGCTTTAAATGTGTCCCAGAGATTCTGGTATGTTGTGTCTTTGTTCTCATTGGTTTCAAAGACCATCTTTCTTTCTATCTTAATTTTGTCATTTACCCAGTAGTCATTCAGGAGCAGGTTTTTCAGTTTCCATGTAGTTGTGTGGTTTTGAGTGAGTTTCTTAATCTTGAGTTCTAATTTGATTGCACTGTGTCTGAGAGACTGTTTCTTATGATTTCCGTTCTTTTGCATTTGCTGAAGAGTATTTTACTTACAATCATGTGGTCAATTTTAGAATTAAGTGCAATGTGGTGCTGAGAAGAATGTATATTCTGTTGATTTGGGGTGGAGAGTTCTGTGGATGTCTATTAGGTCCACTTGGTCCAGAGCTGAGTTCAAATCCTGGATATCCTTGTTAATTTTCTGTCTCCTTGATCTGTCTAATATTGACAGTGGGGTGTTAAAGTCTCCCATTATTATTGTGTGGGAGTCTAAGTCTCTTTGTGGGCCTCTAAGGACTTGCTTTATGAATCTGGGTGCTCCTGTATTGGGTGCATATATATTTAGGATAGTCAGCTCTTCTTGTTGAACTGATCCCTTTACCATTATGTAATGGCCTTCTTTGTCTCTTTTGATCTTTGTTGGTTTAAAGTCTGTTTTATCAGAGACTAGGGTTGCAACCTCTGCCCCTTTTTTGCTTTCCATTTGCTTGGTAAATATTTTTCCATCCCTTTATTTTGAGCCTGTGTGTGTCTTTGCACATGAGATGGGTCTCCTGAATACAGCACACTGATGGGTCTTGACTCTATCCAATTTGCCAGTCTGTGTCTTTTAATTGGGGCATTTAGCCCATTTACAGTTAAGGTTAATATTGTTACATGTGAATTTGATCTTGTCATTATGATGCTAGCTGGTTATTTTGCCTGTTAGTTGATGCAGTTTCTTCATAGCATTGATGGTCTTTGCAATTTGGTATGTTTTTGCAGTGGCCGGTACCAGTCATTCCTTTCCATGTTTAGTGCTTCCTTCAGGAGCTCTTGTAAGGCAGGCCTGTTGGTGACAGTCTCTCAGCATTTGTTTGCCTGTAAAGGATTTTATTTTCTCCTTCTCTTTTGAAGCTTAGTTTGGCTGTATATGAAATTCTGGGTTGAAAATTCTTTTCTTTAAGAATGTTAAATATTAGCCCCCAGTCTCTTCTGGCTCGTAGGGTGTCTGCCAACATATCCACTGTTAGTCTGATGGGCTTCCCTTTGTGGGTAACCCGACCTTTCTCTCTGGCTGCCCTTAACATTTTTTTCCTTCATTTGAACATTGGTGAATCTGATGATTATGTGTCTTGGGGTTCCTCTTCTCGAGGAGTATCTTTGTGGTGTTCTCTGTATTTCCTGAATTTGAATGTTGGCCTGCATTGCTAGGTCGGGGCAGTTCTCCTGGATAATATCCTGAAGAATTTTTCCCAGCATGGTTCCATTCTCCTTGTCACTTTCTGCTATACCAATCAAATGTAGATTTGGTCTTTTCTCATAATCCCTTATTTCTTGGAGGCTTTGTTTCTTTTTACTCTTTTTTCTCTAATCTTGTCTTCTGGCTTTATTTCTTTGAGTTGATCTTCAATCTCTGATATCCTTTCTTCCCCTTGATTGATTCAGCTATTGATAGATGTGTATGCCTCACGAAGTTCTTGTGCTGTGTTTTTCAGCTCCATCAGGTCATTTATGTTTTTCTCTAAATTGGTTATTCTAGTTAGCAATTCATCTAACCTTTTTTCAAGGTTCTTATCTTCCTTGCATTGAGTTATGCTCCTCCATGCTCCTTTAGCTTGGAGGAATTAGTTATTACCCACCTTCTAAAGCCTACTTCTGTCAGTTTGTCAAACTCATTCTCCATCCAGTTTTGTTCCCTTGCTGGTGAGGAGTTGTGATCCTTTGGAGGAGAAGAGGTGTTCTGTTTTTTGGAATTTTCAGCCTTTTTGGGCTGGTTTCTCCCCATCTTCGTGTATTTATCTACCTTTGGTCTTTGACGTTGGTGACCTTCAGATGGGGTCTCTGAGTGGACATCCTTTTTGTTGATGTTGATACTATTCCTTTCTGTTTGTTAGTTTTTCCTTCTAACAGTCAGGCCCCTCTGCTGCAGGTCTCCTGGAATTTGCTGGATGTCCACTCCAGACTCTTTTTGCCTGGTTATCACCAGCGGAGCCAGCAAAACAGCAAAGATTGCTGCCTGTTCCTTTCTCAGCAAGCTTCGTTCCAGAGGGGCACCTGCCAAATGCCAGCCAGAGCTCTCCTGTATGAGGGGTCTGTCAGCCCCTACTGCAAGGTGTCTCCCAGTCATGATACACTGGGGGTCAGGGACCCACTTGAGGACCCACTTGAGGCCGTCTGTTCCTTATCAGAGCTTGAACGCTCTGCTGGGAGATCTGCTACTCTCTTCAGAGCTGTCAGGCAGTGATGTTTAAGTCTGCTGAAGCTGCCCCCACAGCTGCCCCTTCCTGCAGGTGCTCTGTCCCAGGGAGATGGGGGTTTTATCTTTAAGTCCCTGACTTGGGCTGCTGCCTTTTTTTTTTCAGAGATGTCCTGCACAGAGTGGAGGAATCTAGAGAGGCAGTCTGGCCGCAGTAGCCTTGCTGAGCTGCAGTGGGCTCAGCTCTGTTTGAACTTCCCAGTGGCTTTGTTTACACTGTGAGGGCAAAATCACCTACTCAAGCCTCAGCAGTGGTGGACGCCACTCCCCCCACCAAGCTGGAGCATCCCAGTTCAACCTCAGACTGCTGTGCTGGCAGCGAGAATTTCAAGCCAGTGGATCTTAGCTTGCTGGGGTCTGTCCGGGTAGGACCAGCTGAGCCAGATCACTTGGCTCCCTGGCTTCAGCCCCCTTTCCAGGAGAGTGAATGGTTCTTCCTGGCTGGCGTTCCAGGTGCCACTGGGATATGAAAAAGAACTCTTGCAGCTAGCTCAGTGTCTGCCCAAATGGCTGCCCAGTTTTGTGCTTGAAACCTAGGGCCCTGGTGGCATAGACACCAGAGGGAATCTCCTGGTCTGCTGGTTGCGTAGACTGTGGGAAACGCACAGTATTTGGCCTGGAGTGCGCTGTTCCTCCTGTCTCTCATGGCTTCCCTTGGCTAGGGGAGGGAAATCCTCTGACCTCTTGGCTTCCCAGGTAAGGCGATGCCCTATCCTGCTTCAGCTCACCCTCTGTGGGCTGTACCCACTGCCCAACCAGTCCCGGTGAGATGAACGGTGTACTTCAGTTGGAAATACAGACATCACTCACCTTCTGTGTCAATCTCGCTGGGAGCTGCAGCCTGGAGCAGTTCCTATATGGCCATCTTGCTAGCAAATCGTCAAGCTCTTTATTTTTAACAGGATTTCTGAGGTTTTTGTTTAGAAGTCTGCAAAGTGATCCCTCATTCTATTAACTTGTATTGTTTCAATGGTTATTTCTTTTTTTGGAGGTGGGCATTCGTCCTTGCCTTCTTGATCATTATAACTGACAATTTACTTACATTGCTAATGTTTTGAAAAATTAGAGTTTGATTTAATTAGGTCTCTCATTCTTCATATTCTTGCATCATTAATGCTTACTTTCATCTTTGTTATAGTATTTCCTTTTTTGGCTTTCTATTAGTTTACTTTGAGGTTCCTTTTATCATTTCTAGAGCTTTATATTTCATTTATTTTAGATATTTTATGTGTATATTTTATATTTATATTTCATTTACTTTATATATTATATATATTATAATTCATTTCTTTTAATTCTTTCATTTTTACTAAAGTGATTTTTTTTTTTTTTTTTGAGATGGGGTCTCACTCTGTTGCCTAGGCTGGAGTGTAGTGGCACAATCTTGGCCCACTGCAAGCTCCGCCTCCCGGGTTCACACCATTCTCCTGCCTCAGCCTCCTGAGTATCTGGGACTACAGGCGCCTGCCACCATGCCCTGCTAATTTTTTATATTTTTAGTAGAGACGGGGTTTCACCATGTTAGCCAGGATAGTCTCAGTCTCCTGACCTTGTGATCCACCCGTCTCAGCCTCCCAAAGTACAGGGATTACAGGCGTGAGTCACCGCGCCTGGCCTTACTAAAGTATTTTTTGATGGAAATGTTCATTAGCTTCATTTTGTCATTCATATGTATATGTAAAACAACATCACTTTGTACTCCATAAATATATAGAATTATAACTTGACAATTTACAATAAAATAAAAAATAATCTTTTTTTTTGCTTTGTGAAATTGTTATTTATTTCTTATCAACTTTTATTTTAGATTTAGTGGTAGACATGCCAGTTTGCTACATGGGTAAACTGTGTTTTGTGGGGATGTGGTGTACAGATTATTTCATTGCCCAGGTAATGAGCATAGTACACAATAGGTAGTTTTCAATCCTCACCCTCCTCTTACTCTCCATCCTCAGATAGGCCCTTGTGTATATTGTTCCCTTCTTCATGTCTATGTGTACTCTATGTTTAGCACCTTCTCATAAGTGAGAACATGCAATATTTGGTTTTCTGCTCCTGCATTATTTCGCTTAGGATATTGACCTTCAGCTCCATTCATGTTGCTACAGAGGACATGATTTTGTTCTTTTTATGGCTGTATAGTATTCTATAGTGTATACGTACCACTTTTTCTTTATCCAGCCCACCACTGATGACCATCTAGGTTTATTATGTGTCTTTTCTATTGTGAATACTGCTGTGATAAACATACACATGCATGTTTCTTTATGGTAGAACGATTTATATTCCTTTGGGTACATACCCAATAATGGGATTGCTGGGTTGAATGGTAGTTCTGTTTAATGTTCTTTGAGAAATTGCCAAACTGCTTTCCACACTGGCCAAACAAATTTACATTTCCACCAACACTGTATAAGTTTTCTCTTTTCTCTGCAACCTTACTAGCTTCTGTTATTATTTGACTTTTTAATAGTAGATATTCTGACTAGTGTGAAATGGTATTATTGTAGCTTTGATTTGCAATTCTTTAATAATTAGTGATGTTTAGCATTTTTTTCTTATGCTTCTTGGCCACATGTATATCTTCTTTTGAAATGTGTCAGTTTGTGTTCTTTGCCCACATTTTAATGGGGTTATGTTTTTTTTGGTTGTTAATTTTTAAGTTCCTTATAAATTCTGGTTATAAATCCTTAGACCATTGTTGGATGCATAGTTTGCAAATATTTTCTCTTATTCTATAGGCTGCTTAATATGCTGATAGTTTCTTTTGTTGGAAGCTCTTCAGTTTAATTTTTGTCAAAAATTTTGTCAATTTTTGTTTTTGTTGCAATTGCTTTTGGCATCTTCATCATGATTTTGTATCCTGAAACTTTGCTGATGTTGTTTATCAGATCTAGGAGCTTTTGGTCAGACACTATGAGGTTTTCTACATATACAATCATATAATTTGTGAAGAGAGATAGTTTGACTTCCTCTCATCCTGTTTGGATGCATTTCATTCCTTTCTCTTGCCTGATTGCTGTGGCCAGGACTTCCAGTACTGTGTCGAACAGGAGTGGTGAGAGTAGGCATCCTTGTTTTGTCCCAGTTCTCCAGGGGAATGCTGCTATTAATAGCTTTTGCCCATTCAGCATGACGTTGGCTGTGGGTTTGTCCTTGATGGCTCTTGTTATTTCAAGGTATGTTCCTTCAATGCCTAGTTTGTTGAAGGTGTTAACATGAAGGAATGTTTGGTTTAATTGAAAGCTTTTTCTTCATATATTCAGATGATTATGTGGTTTTTGTTTTTAGCTCTGTTTATGTGATAAATCACATTTATTGATCTAGGTATGTTGAACCAACCTTGCATCCCAAAGATAAAGCCTACTTAATTGTGGTGGATTGGATTTTTGATATGCTGCTCAATTCACTTTGCTAGTATTTTTTTGAGAATTCTTGCATCAATGTTCATCAAGGATATTAGCCTGAAGTTTCCTTTTTTCATTGTGTCTTTGCCAGATTTTGGTTTCAGAATGACACTGGCCTTGTAGAATGAGTTAGAGAGGAGTCCCTCCTTCTAAAATTTTGGAATGGTTTCAGTAGGAATGGTGCCAGCTCTTTATACAAATGATATATTTTGTCTGTGAATCTGTCTGGTCTTGGGTTTTTTCTGGTAGGTAGACTTTTTATTTCTGATTCCATTTTGGAACTCATTATTTGTCTGTTCAGCAATCAATTTCTTCCTCGTTCAATCTTGGGTCGTTGTATGTTTCAAGGAATTTATTTCTTCTAGGTTTTCTAGTTTGTGTATATAGAGGTGTTCATAGTAGTCTCTGTGGGTGTTTTGTATTTCTGTGGGAATGGTTGTAGTGTTATGTTTGTCATTTATGATTGTATTTATTTGGATCTTTTTTCTTTAGTAGTATAGCTAGTGGTCTATGAGTCTTATTTATATTTCAAAGAATGAAGTGGGTTTGTTAATTTTTTGTATGATTTTGTGTCTCACTATCCTTCAGTTGAGTTCTGATTTTGGTTACTTCTTATCTTCTGCTAGCTTTGGGTTTTGTATGCCCTTGTATATCTAGTTCCTCTAGGTGTGATGTTAGGTTGTTAATTTGAGATCATTCTAACTTTTTGATGTGGACGTTTAGCACTAAAAACTTTCCTCTTAACACTGCTTTAACTGTGCTCCAGAGATTCTGGTGTTTTGCATCTTTGTTCTCATTAATTTCAAAGAATTTTCTGATTTCTGACTTAATATCATTGATTACCCCGAAGTCATTCAGGAGTAGGCTGTTTAACTTCCATGTGATTTTATAGTTTCGAGTGATCTTCTAAGTATTGATTTTTATTTTTATTGCACTACTGTCTGAGAATGCAGTTGGTATGATTTCAGTTTTTTTTTTTTAATTTGCTGAGAATTGTTTTATGGCCAGTTGTGTGGTCAATATCAGAGTATGTGCTATTTGCAGATGAGAAGAATATATTCTTTTGTTTTTG
The DNA here is from genome assembly GCF_000001405.40 of Homo sapiens. Taxonomy (NCBI): domain Eukaryota; kingdom Metazoa; phylum Chordata; class Mammalia; order Primates; family Hominidae; genus Homo; species Homo sapiens. Next base: position 115,495,806 of record NC_000010.11, read on the forward strand.
AGTGGAGAGTTCTGTAGATGTATGTTAGGTCCACTTGATCAAATGTCGAGTTCAGGTTCGGAATATTTTTGTTAGTTTTCTGCCTTGATGATCTGTCTAATATTGCCATTGGGATGTTGACATCACCCACTATTATTGTGTGGTTATGTACATCTGTTTATATGTCTCTAAGAACTTGTTTTATGAATTGGGTATTTTTGTGTTGGGTGCATATCTATTTAGGATAGTTAGTTGTTCTTTAATTGTAACCACTACCATTGTATAATACCCATCTTTGTCTTTTTTGATCATTACTGGCTTAGTGTTTGTTTTGTCTGCAACTATAATAGCAACCCTTGCTGTTTTCTGTTTTTCATTTGCTCGGTAGGTTTTTCTCCATCCTTTTACTTTGAGCCTATGGGTGTCATTGCACGTAAGATGGGTCAGCATGTAAGCTGGTTATTATGCAGACTTGTTTGTGCAGTTTCTTTATAGTTTCAGTTATCTATGTACTTAAGTGTCTTTTTGTGGTGGAAAGTAATGGTCTTTTTTCTCCAGATTTAGCACTCCTTAAGGATCTTTTATAAGGCAGGTAATGAATTCCGTTATTTGCTTGTGTGAAAAGTATCTTATTTTCCCTTCACTTATGAAGCTTATGAAGGAATATTTGGTTTAATTGAAAGCTTTTTCTCTATATATTCAGATGATTATGTGGTTTTTGTTTTTAGCTCTGTTTATGTGATAAATCACATTTATTGCTAGATTTTTCTCCATCCTTTTACTTTGAGCCTATTGGTGTGATGTGAGGTTGTTAATTTGAGATCATTCTAACTTTTCGATGTGGACGTTTAGCACTATAAACTTTCCTCTTAAGTTTGGTTGGAAATGAAGTTTTTGATTTGAGTTTTTATTCTTTAAAATTGCTGAGTATCAGCTCCCAGTCTGTTCTGGCTTATAAGGCCTCTGCTCAAAGGTCCACTGTTAGCCTGATGGGGTTCCCTTTGTAGATGACCTGCCCCTTCTCTCTAGCTCCATTTAACATTTTTTCTTTCATTTCTACCTTGGAGAATATGTTGACTATAGTCTTAGGGATGGTCTTCTTGTGAGGTATCTCTTGGGGTTCCCTGCATTTCCTGAAGTTGAATGTGGCCTCTCTAGCAAGGCTAGGGGAGAAAGTTGCTGGCTTTCTCTCCCTGTCTTTCAGCGACACCAGTGAGTTGTAGATTTGGTTTCTTTACATAATCCCATATTTCTCAGAGGATTTGTTCATTTTTTTAATTCTTTAAAAAACATTTTTTTTCTGATTGAGTTTGTTTGGAGAACCAGTCTAAAAGCTCTAAGATGTGTTCCTCAGCGTGGTCCATTCTACTGTGAATACTTGTGCTTGCATTATGAAATTTTTGTAGTGTGTTTTGCAACTCTATCAGATCAGTTTGGTTCTTTCTTATAACGGCCATTTTATCTATCGGCTCCTGCATTATTTTATTGAAATCCGTAAATTCTATGGATGGGTTTCATCTTTCTCCTGAATCTCCTGAATCTTTATGATCTTCATAGGGGATCTAAGTGCAGAGTGCAAAAAGCCTGTGGCAGATATGTGAGTCCATGGGGACTATCACTCACTTATCATTTCCCCATGGTGGAGGACATCCCTTGGCTCAATGCCACTTTTGGGCGGGCAATAGTTCTGTCTCACTCTTTTCTGTTCTCCATGGGTCACATTTTTTCCTTGATGAATCCCAATGTGTTCACCTAGATGTTCTAGTTGAAGGGCTAGTGTTGCTCACCACTCTCTTCTCTCCATGAAAGTGGTGCACACTAATTGGTTCTAATCAGCCATCTTGTAAAGTCTCAGTGTAAGTTAAGTTTACTCTTTTTTTTCTTTTTTTTTTGAGATGGAGTCTTGCTCTGTTGCCATGCTGGAGTGCAGTGGCGCAATCTCGGCTCACCGCAACCTCTGACTCCCTGGCTCAAGCAATTCTCCTGCTTCAGCCTCCCGAGTAGCTGTGATTAGGGGCATGTGCCACCATGTCCAGCTAATTTTTGTATTTTTAGTAGAGACGGGGTTTCGCCATGTTGTCCAGGATGGTGTCGATCTCCTGACCTCATGATCCACCCGCCTAGGCCTCCCGCAGTGCTGAGATTACAGGCGTGAGGCATTACACCTGGCCTACTGCACTTTTTAAAAATCATCAAAGCATGAAATTATCTATGAGTGAGTGAAAACTCATTAGAAAGAGTCTTCTCAAAGAATAAATTACTTTATGCCATTAAATTGATACCAAATCTGAATTTGACTAGTGCTCAGCAACATCTTATTTCCCACATTAGATTTAATTTAAATATAGTAATTACCCATGACTTAAGAAAATAATATTTTAAATACCATAGTAAAATATATGTCCGATATTTATTTTCTTTGCCTATTATTATTATTTTGCCTAATATACTCTGGTATAAAAGGCCTTCCAAATACCACAGGGTAGAAAAGATTTTTAAAGTTACAAATAAATTCCTATAAACTATATATGGCATTACATGATTTTCAACTTTGTTTTTAGCTATATTGGATAATCATAAGATTTCATTTTTTAAAAAATTGAAAAGCCATGATCTCTCAACTTGGGTTTTAAAATTTATCATGTTTTGATTATAATGAGTCTTAAGCTCTATGATGCCATTTTTTTATGTAGTTAATTAATGGAAACCTATGCTTATCAGGGAAAGACATCAGCAATTGTGGGGTACCTAATAAATCACCTTTGTAAGATTTTTCTTCTGGAAAGCACCTCACTGTTACTACATTCTGTTTCATTAGTCTAACAGTGAAAACAGAATAGCAACTATCTCTTAAAAATTAGATACTTTCTATATATAAGTATATACTTTAATATACAAAATATAAATATGGATATCAATATTTTAAAATTTTAGTCGTTTTGTTTCCTTAACTATTAATGTATTTTTATAATGCAAATGTTTTATTACTCATTTAATAGGAATATATATGCATTAAAAAATTAATGTTTTGGGTAGTAGAACATGCTTTACTCTTAGACTGTTGGAAATACTTGCTACTTTCAGCTTTTAGACATAACCCAAATTTCTAAAGTTTTAAAGATAAGACTGAATGATAAAGTCAATTTAGTGCATTTCCTTTACAAAATGAGTACCTTTGGTTACTTAACACAGTATGCAGAAAAAGATAGGTTATGAAAAAATTATAATTTCTATAAAATGGTGTTAAAAGCAAAAATTGCTATTATGAATCTTTGATTTGTGAATTGAAATCTGAGAATCTTCAAGAAATCTCATAAATATGCAAATACTATAATTAAATACAGGTATCATTATAATTACTAATTTTTATCTTGTCATTTTAAAGGTTCCGTTTTGTTTTCTAACATTTATAACAATATTTTTTTGACAAAAATAGGTTTTAACTTCAAGAAATTATACTCTTCAAGAAACTAACTGAAGAGATTGGGCTCAATTTTAATGTAGATATAAAATTCTACATATTTTAACTGGTATAATCTTTGTGAAAAAGTAATGCTTGTTTTCTAGTACAGCTTGACCTTTAGCTAAAATGAAACTATTTTAAGAGTTTTTACTTTGAACATTGAGTGTGTGAACACCGAAAAGATGAGACAGGTGTCAGTTAATTTAGAAAGCTTATTTGCCAAGGTTGAGGACATGCACCTGTGACACAGCCTCAGAAGGTTTTGATGACATGTGCCCAAGGTGGTTAGAGCACAGTCTGGTTTTATACATTTTAGGGAGACATAAGACATTAACATATGTAAGATGAACATTGATTCAGTCTGGAAAGGCAGGACAGCTGGAAGCAAAGATGGGAAGACTTGAAGGAGGGAGAGGGTTCTAGGTTATAGGCAGATAAGAGACAAATAGTTGCATTCATTTGAGTTTCTGATTAACCTCTCCAAAGGAGGCAATCAGATATGCATTTATCTTAGTGAGCCGAGGGATGACGTTGAATGAACTGGGAGGCTGGTTGGCCCTAAGCAGTTCCCAGCTTGATTTTTCCCTGTAGCTTAGTGATTTGGAGGCATCAAGGTTTATTTTCCTTTCACGTTTACTCCTTTTTCCTTTTAATCATCTTTTGGAGAAAGCATTTCAGAAGAAAATAAGTTTCTGGTCTCAGGTTTTGTCTGATCTTTTATGGCTAGGATGCTTTATTCCTAGACAGGTAGGTCCCAAGTTATTAGGAAAGCTCATTTTTTGCAGGTGTTGAAGACTTATGTTTATGAAGAGAAAATAGGGGGAGGAAGGGAGAAAAACAACCACAAACAAAGGAACAATCCTGGATAATTGACGTAGGCCACAGTACTTTGAAGTCCATCCATCAGTAGGCATGTATGAATGTGGCTTATGTATGTAAATAGATTGCTGTTACATTTTCTGAAGTTTAAGTTGTTTAGCTTTAGTTTGCAGGGCTTCACGAAAGCACAGCTTAGTTTTCAGTGACTCCAAATTAGGAAATATGGGGAAAAAATAAGGAAAACAAATTGAAAACATTAGTTTGCAGATTTGTAGTCAAGAAAAATTAGAATTTGGTCCAAACCTTAGAAAATAATAAAAATTGAAAAACATTAGGCAAGACTAGAATCTAACATCAGGTGTCCTATAGTTTTTGAAATTTTTTTTTCTCCAGTTTCCCGTGTTTATTAAAGACAAATCATGGTAGGACTGATTTGTTTTATTATACTTGACCTCATTATTTGTATATAGTGCAGCAAGAATAATTTTTTTTTTGAAATGGAGTTTTGCTCTTGTTGCCCAGGCTGGAGTGCAATGGTGTGATCTCAGCTCATTGCAACCTCTGCCTCCGGATTCAAGCAATTCCCAGCCCCAGCCTCCTGAGTAGCTGGGATTATAGGCATGTGCCACCACGCCTGGCTAATTTTGTATTTTTAGTGGAGATGGGGTTTCTCCATGTTGGTCAGGCTGGTCTCGAACTCCCGACCTCAGGTGATCCGCCTGCCTCGGCGTCCCAGAGAGCTGGGATTACAGGTGTGAACCACCACGCCTGGCCCAAATAATTATTTTTTTTATGTAGGCTTTTAAATTGGCTTTGATGGAACTTTGTTTCATAGCAGAAATTTCAGGTAAGACTTTTTTTTTTTTTTTTTTTTTTTTTGAGATAGAGTTTCGTTCTTGTCGCCCAGGCTGGAGTGCAATGGTGCGAGCTCCACTTACTGCAACCTCTGCCTCCTGGATTCAAGCAATTCTCCTTCCTGCCTTAGCCTCCCAAGTAGCTGAGATTACAGGCACCCACCACCATGCCTGGCTTATTTTTGTATTGTTTGGTAGAGACAGGGTTTCACCATGTTTGCCAGGCTAGTCTTGAACTCCTAACCTCAGGTGATCCACCTGTTTTAGCCTCCCAAAGTGCTGGGATTACAGGCGTGAGCCACTGCGTCTGGCCCAGGTGAGACTTTTTTAAAGCTGTGCCCAGCCATGGATTTGTACCATTAAATACCTATGAGTTGGGTGAATTCCTCTTCTCTTGAGGTTTCAGGATAAACTTGGGGCTCATGGGCCTATTAGAAAGTGACATTATTTTACTTACCACAGGTTATGAACCCTGTTACAGGGACTGTAGACAAGGTATAAGGCCAGTTTTTCCATGGGGCTGTTATTGGCTCCATAAGTTGTTTGATTCCTTAAAAGAAAGTACATCATTCCTGTTAATGCTTTGGTAAAAATAACCCATTTCTTCAGTCATGTACTGTTACAAATTAAAACAGATTCTTATTGCACATTCCATAGTTATATGGAAATAACTATATTGCCATAAGTTAAGAATACTAACAAGTAGTTTTTAAATTCTGTAGAAATCAGGTAGAGAGAAACAAATGTTGTTTATAGGAGTATACTAAATTATTAGAAGCTATTAATAGCTTTAAAGAAAAGTTTTCTTGACATTGAAAAAACAAAACAAAGGATTAGCAATGTTTTAAGCAAAAAGTTAAAAAGAGTACTGTAGTCATCTATTAGTTCAGTCCATGCAGTTAATTCCTGTTCTGCTTGACATTTATGAACATATCAGCTCTCCCTGTGTCCTGAAATTTTTTCCTCTATTTACATATCAAAATCTTCAAAGTTATCAGAGATTGCATTCAAGAGCACCTGTTAGAGTTTTATAGCTGATTATAAAACCCCCTTCTAAAGAGGACTAAAAGAAGACAACAATTGTCCTTGGATTACAAAAGTTTTAAGATAGCCAAAGTTTAAGACACAATTAAGTAAATTTGTTATGTCTGTGGCACACAATAATTTAACATAACAATTACAATTATTACTGATAATGTATACTAAGTTATATCAGAATTATGGGAGTTTTCCATAATTTTGGAATACATATCAATAATGTATTTATACAAATACAGCTCAAAGAAAACCACGTGCCATTTTGTACTTGACAATGCTTCTTGTATAATTTTTATACCAATTAAGCCAAATTATGTTTTTTTTGGACTCTAGGGACCCTAATATCTTAAAGGATTAATTAGGTTAGAAAAAGACATAATTTATAATTTGATTTTGGAAAGTTTGTTAAATATCAAAGGTTTAAAACACTTGATATAGCAGGTTATTGTAAAATAAGTTATTCATTCAACCAAAGTGATAACTCAAGGATTTTTAAAAAGAGGCAAAAACCCTTATTTTTTGAGAGAGGAGACTTAATTTTACAAACAAGAAGCCCTAGTAAAAATAGCATGAAGCCAATTAATTTTTTTTTAATTTTATAAACAATTTATAAAATTTTAATCCTGACCATAGGATATAACTTCCATAATCCTCTTATAACCTTTATTAAGGAGTCGGTTAATGCTTTAAGAAAACCTTGTTAATCTGACACAGCTGTACATATGCTGGTATTGCCTTAATGTGCCTTTGACATTAATGATTGATTTATAGATAAACTGAACTGATTTTATCTTTAAAAATGGCCCTATAGCATTAGGAGAAATATCAAATGTAGATGATGGGTTGATGAGTGCAGCAAATCACCATGGCACGTGTATACCTATGTAACAAAACTGCATGTTCTGCATATGTTCCCCAGAACTTAAAGTATAATTTTAAAAAAAGGCCCTAACAGTCTCACATCCCCACCTCCTCTGCGATAGTTTTTGGGCCTTGAGGAGTTGAATAGCTTTAATTTCTGGCCCTGTATGTCTCAGGAATACAGTTTATTTTGACTGGCATCTTTTACCGGGCCTGAAGATAAGGCTGTAACTGCTTTTAGTGTTTATGCTTTAGCAGGACTTGGTGTCCTTTTTAGACTCAGGATTTAAAACCATGTAACTTAATATTACAAGGACTTTAAAAGCACATGAAGAAGGATACACATATGTAATAACCTTAATTAAAAAAATTAATTTTAGTTATTTTCCTAAGCAAACCAAAACTTAATAATAATGGCATAGGAATTGTTTCGATAAACTGTAAAATCTTTTAGGCCAGTTACCAAAGGGAAAAGAAAAGGCCTTTTGCACTGTACACAATATTATGATGGAAGAAAATATTTTCTTTAGAGCTTTAAGAAAATATTGTTAGTCTCAGGCAATAACAAACAGGACATGAGGAAAAAAAATTATATGAGCTGAAAATGTGTTGAAGGAGAAGTTTTGCTATTTTACACCCTTAAAAGGGGAGAGAAAACCTAAAACGGTGAGATGCAATACAAGTTGAACATTGTGTTAAAAACAAATTAAAATCTCATATAATTTATTGAGTAAATCAATCCCTTAAGAAAATTTCATTGTTTTAACCAATTATGTAGTGTATGAGTGTTTTTGTATATATCAAGCCCAGTCTTTAAAAAGACCATTACAATTTCCCTTTAATTATAGACAACTTTATTATGTAAAAGTTTTTATTTTTATTTTTTTAATAAATTCTCTTCTTGTGACTTACCCAGACTGTTCATGACATGCTTGGACTTTCTGGTTTGTCCTGAACATCACTTTTTCTTAAACAACCAGTTATTTTATTATAGGACTAAATCTACCCTACAAGATTTTTTTTCATATTAAATTATTTTTCTTTAAGCTTTTTTACCAAAAAACCCTTTTTATTTTTACAACTTCCTTTACATCTTTCTTATTTCCTGGTTCCTTTTACCTTCTTGTAATATAACCTTTAAATTAGCTTTGAATTAGACAAAATTTGTTCACCTTTTCAAAAAGGACACACTTTTTTTCAAGAAAGAATGTTTTTATACAAATATATTATTATTGGAAAATGCCCAAATAATGAAATATCTATTATTTAATTTAACTTTAGATTTTAAATTATAACACTTTTGTTTACAAGTATTTATCCCATTACATTTACCTAATTATTTTCTTTTTATCATTTACCTAGATTGTGTATGAAAACTGAAATAGTCATTATTTAAAGTTATTGAACTGCCATTGCAAAATTGTACCTGAGACAGTAAAAAAGATTTGATCTAACTGACTTCATCTTGATTCTTGTTCATTCCTCGGTATTGGCTGAACAAACTAAATTAGGAGGAATTTAGTTTATAGTTTAGCTTTGAATCAAAGATGAAGATAACATTCCCTTCCCAAAACAAACCGTATTGCCTGTGGACTAGTCCACCTAAAGCCACAGAATTAGAAGTTATGGTAATCTTACTAAATTTAAGATGTATCTATTTTTATTAAACTCATGTTAATGTCTTATTTACTAAAGATTATGGAAGCAAAGATTATTTTCTCTTGGGCTGGGTTTAAAGTTTATAGCCAAATTTTGACACTGTATAGTATTTGAAAGGAATAAGTATGAAATTACTTGAATAATAAATACAAAGAATGTATGCTGGCAATTCTTAACACATTTTTAATATTACTTTACCAATAATTTTAAAGCTGGCTTATTTATTAAAGATTTTACTTAAGTTAAATAAACTTGAAAAAGCATTTGACTAGCCTTTTCTTTTTTCATGATAAAGTATTTGATTTAAGCACTTTTATTTTCTTAAGCCAATTAGAGATCTTTTATATATTTTCAGTAGTGAAACATTGTGTACACAACACAAAAATACATAGATGTATTAGGCATGCCTATAGAAGTACATCTTTAGATTTATAGATTTATAAAGACCTTTTTTTCTATCTTAGACTTTTAGATTCTTAATAACATGTTTTATAACCCAGAGCAGTTTTCAGCTAAATAGCCTTAAATTTGCATATTAAAGGAGACAACTCAGGTGAAAATCAAATTACAAAATTTACATAATAAGGTACTGAGACAAAAAGTCTGGTGGTGCTAGAGGGAGATTAAAGATGGATGCCAAATTAAACATAAAATTATAGAAATCTGTCATAGAATTGTATAAGGAGACCAATTTTATTTAGATACAGACTACATATATTTTAACTGGATCTTTGAGCTCTGGGCAGAGCCCACACTGAATCCTGGGTCTCCAAAAAGGGAGAATAATCATGATCTTAGACTAGCATGGCATCCATGCTTTTACAGTGCACTTAAAATAATTCTTTTTAAACAAAGATATTTCTAAGTGTTTGAACTGCATGCTTCCTTAAAACCCAAAAGTAGCCTCTGTTGTAATAGGTATTTTAGTTAAAAAAATCAGGTTACAAAATACGAAAGCAAGCAGTTTATTTAAGAGCTGAGACAAACTTGTCTGTATATTCTTTTGGTATTCCATAAAAAGCAAACAAACAAACAAAAAACAGAAGTTCCTCCCCAAAAGGGAGCTAGGTACCTTCTTTGATTTCTTTAAGGACCCCCAAGATATTTTAAACTATTTTAGGTCCCACATGTAGTAGATGGTGCAAGAGAAAGGAGAGAGAGTAGATGTAAATGGAGAAAACAGAATTCAGTTAACTGAGAAGAAAAAATATTTTGCTCAAAAAAAGGCAAGGTTCTAGGAGAGAAAAAAAAACATGAACGCCTTTTAAATACAAACAGGCACACAGGCACACATACACACACACACGTCTTGGATAATGACTTTTAATTAAGCTTAACCACTGAGCTCCTTTAAAAATTTTTTTAAATCTCATTATCATATTTCAGCTAGGAGAAATTGCTGCTATTTCAGAAGTACCAAGTATCAAACCAGAAAGGGCTGGATTCAGGAACCAAACCCAGGGTGTCCTGGTGGAAGAAAAAAAAAAAAAGAAGGCAGAACCTTAGCTGTTGAACTCCAGCATGGGTGGACAGCCATTGTTCTTTCAGTTTGGCCTGGCTAGTAAAAAGGTGGCCTTGTTATGTAAATAAAGCCCCTTTAGTAGTTAAAATTAAAAAAAAAATTCATTTCTTTTTCCCTTTTGCTGTCCATTTTCTCCCCCACTACACCACCTTTGTGTGCATGTGTTGTGGCAGGGTGTCAGGGGTGGTGGTGGGGAATTTAGCCACTTCAGAGGCCTTGTTCCCCATAATTTGGAATTTTCCTTCAAATTTTATCAAGTCTGATAGAGTTGGTTAAACCCAATGGGAAAAAGACTGAAGGAACAATAAAAATAGGAACAAACATACAACAACAACAAAAACAGTTAAACAAACAAACGACAGCAAACAAACACATTATGTGATTACTGAATATTGTAATGGTAAGGAGAAATTAAGACCAGCTGGTTCTTAAACTTAGCCAAGACAAAACCCCAATTTAGCTACTTACCTAGGGATGGGTCTCAGGCTGAAGACCGTACTCTACCAGCCTAGAAGCTGGAAAAAAAACTAAAAAACAAAAACCTGAACTCATCTTCCCTGCTGCAAATGAGCTCAAACTCCATAAAGGAGTTATCTGCCTTTCATCATCATGGAAACAGAAAATCTTGCCTTCCTTGTTGGAAGCAAGTAAAACTCCAAAAAAGGGAAGTTGTACGGCAAAATAAACTTTAGATCTCGACCAAATTTTGGGAGATCAGGGATTCTCTGGACGGTATGCTCCCAGACCTCAGCAAATTGTCCTATTGGAGCCATAATGTTTGCTTATGCTGATATCAAGCACCAATAGGAGATTTGTGAAAGGTCAGAGGCATCTCCAGTCAGAATTGCCTTGTGGTTACCAAAATGTGAACCCCCAAAATCTGAGACAGGTCTCAGTTAATTTAGAAAGTTTATTTGCCAAGGTTGAGGACATGTGCCTGTGACACAGCCTCAGGAAGTTTTGATGACATGTGCCCAAAGTGATTAGAACACAGTTTAGTTTTATACATTTTAGGGAGACATGAGACATTAATTAACATACATAAGATGAACATTGGTTCAGTCTGGAAAGTCAGGACAGCTTGAAGCAAAGATGGGAAGACTTGAAGCAGGGAGGGGGCTTCCAGGTTATAGGTAGATAAGAGACAAATGGTTGCATTCCTTTGAGTTTCTGATTAATTTCTCCAAAGGAGGAAATCAGATATGCATTTATCTTAGTGAGCAGAGGGGCGACTTTGAATGAAATGGGAAGCAGGTTGGCTCTAGGCAGTTCCCAGCTTCATTTTTCCCTTTAGCTTAGTGATTTGGGGGCCCCCAGATTTATTTTCCTTTCTCAAGTGTTACATCTCTAGTAGATACTGCAATTCAATAAGTAAAAATGCTAGGATTTTTTGCTAGTTACTAGGAATATAATAATCAAATGCGTGATTGCAAATATTATAAAGTCACATGAAGAAAAAGGACAGGTAACCTAATAATGATAGTACACACTGTGACTAATTGTTGTTAGGAAAGTGTAGTACTTAAGAACTAGAGTCAGAATGCACTGATTTTCATTTCAGCTTCACTACTTATTGACTGGGTAACCTTCTAAGCCTTGATTTATCATCTATAAAATGAAATTAATAACATTACCTAATTGATGAGGTAATTCGGAGTATTAAGTCAGTTAATGTACGAAAAGTAATTAGCACAGTGCCTGGGAAATAGTAAGCACTTTATGAATATCAGCTCTTTTTAGTAGTAGTATTGTAGAAGTATATGTAGAGAAATCAGGAGTAAAATGAGGATTGCCATTCACACAAAATCCAGAACTGGTAGGCAATGATTCTAGAATAAGAGTTACCCATGGGTGGAAGGTATAAGGGATGAGGGAAAAGTTTGTGCCAAACAGGGTTACAGAGGTTTGCTAATGTATGTCAAGTTTTTGAAACTGCTGGTATAGGCATACCTTGTTGTATTTTACTTCGCATTATTGCACTTCAGAGATGTTGTAGTTTTTTTACTAATTGAAGTTTTGTGGTAACCATAGGTTAAGCAAGTCTGTTCGTGCAATTTTTCCAATATCATGTACTCACTTTGTGTCTCTGCACCACATTTTGGTTATTTTTAAAATATTTTTATTTTTAAAATTATTACTATATAGATTATGGCAATTTGTGATCAGTGCTCCTCGATGTTACTTTTGTAATTGTTTTGGGGTGCCAAAAACTGTACCTATATAAAACAAGTCAGCTTAATTAATGTGGTGTTTGTTCTGAGTGCTCCATTGACTGGAAGTTCTGTCTCCATCTCCTTAGGCCTCCTTTTCATTGAGACACAGCAATATTGAAATCAAGCTGTTTAATAATGCTACAATTGCTTCCCAGTGTTCAAATGAAAAGAATTGTTGCATGTCTTGTCACTTTAAATCAAATGCTACATGTGATTAAGCTTAGTGAGGAGGGCATGTTGAATGCCAATACGGCCGAAATCTAGGCCTCTTGTCCGAAGAATTAGCTGAATTGTGAATGCAAAGGAAAAATTCTTGAAGGAAATGAATGCTACTTTAGTGAACACACAAATCATAAGAAAATGAAATAGCCTTTTTAATGATATGGAGAAAGTTTTAGTTGTCCGAATATAAGATCAAAACCACTATAACATTCCCGTAAACCTAAGCTTAATTTAGAGTAGAGCCTAACTTTCTTCAATTCTACAAAGTCTGAGAGAGGTGAGGAAGATGCAGAAGAAAATTTGGAAGCCAGAAGAAGGTGGTTTATGAGGTTTAAGTAAGGAAGCCATCTTCATAACAAAAGTGCGAGGTGAAGCAGTAAGTGCTGATATAGAAGATACATGTCTAACTTAATTGATGCAGTAGCTACACTAAATAACAGATTCTCAATGTATATGAAACAGCTTTCTAAAAGAAGATACCACCTAGGAATTTTATAGCAAAGAAGACATGTAAATGCTTGACATCAAAATTCAAAAGACAGGATGACTTTCTTGTTAGGAGCTAATGCATCTGGTGATTATGAGCCTTGGTAATGAGCCAGTGCTCATTTACCCTTCTGAAAATCCTACGGTCCTTAAGAATTATGCTAAACATGTTCTGCCTATGTTCTATAAATGGAACAATAAAGCCAGCATGACAGCATATCTATTTACAGCATGGTTTACTGAATATTTTAAGCCCACTGTTGAGGCCTACTGCTTAGAAAAAAAAGACTTCTTTCAAAATAGTACAGCTCATTCACAGTATACCTAGTCACTCAAGAGCTTTGAAGGTGATGTGTAAGGAGATTAATGCTGTTTCATGCCTGCTAACACAATAACTGATACGGTTTGGGTGGTGTCCCCACCAAAATCTCATGTTCAGTTGTAATCCCCAGTGTTGGAGGTGGGGGCCTGGTGGGAGGTGATTGGATCATGGGGATGGATCCCTCATGAATGGTTTAGCACCATCCCCTTCATGCTGTTCTCTTGGTGCTGATAGTGAGTGAGTTCTTGAGAGATCTGGTTGTTTAAAATTGTGTAGTACCCCCTCTTCACTCTCTCATTCCTGCTCCTGTGCCTGCTCCGCCTTCACCTTTCACCATGATTCTAAGTTTACTGAGGCTTCCCCAGAAGCCTTGCAGATGCCAGCATCATGTTTCCTGTACAACCTGTGGGTCTATGAGCCAATTAAGCCCCTTTTCTTTATAAATTACCTGGTCTTGGGTATTTCTTTATAGTAATGCAAGAATGGTCTAAGTACAATAACCATTTGGCAGCCTGTGGATCAAGGAGTAATTTTGATTTTTTGTACTATTTTTATTAAAATACATTTTGTAAGGCTATAGCTGACATAGGTGATGATTCCTCTGATGAATCTAGGCAAAGAAAAATCTCTGGAAAGAATTCATCATTCTAATTGCCTTTGATAACATTCATGATTCATGGGAGTAGATCAAGATATCAACATTAACTTGAGTTTGGAAGAAGTTGATTCCCACCCTCATAGATGACTTTGAGGGGTTCTAGATATTAGTGGAAGAAGTAACTGCACTTGTGGTAGAGATAGCATGAGTAATATTGATAGAATTATAAGTGGAGTTTGGAGATGTACGGAATTGCTGCAATGTAATGATAAAACTTTATTAATGAGATGTTGGTTTTTATGGATGAGTAAATAAAGTAGTTTCTGGAGATGGAAACTTTTCCTGGTGAAGATGCTGTGAACATTGTTGAAATGACAATGAGTTGGAATATCACATAAACTTGATAAAGAAGCAGCTGGATTTGAGGATTGACTCCAATTGCAAAAGTTCTGTTAGTAAATTTTTATGAAACAGCATTGCATGCTGCAGAGAAATCTTTCCTGAAAGGTGCAGTCAGTCATTGTGGCAAATATCATTGTTGTCTTATTTTAAGAAATTGCCACAATCACTCCAACCCTCAGGAACCATTACCCTGATCAGGCAGCAGCTGTCAACACTGAGGCAAGACCCTCCACCAGCAAAAAGAAAACATGCTAAAGGCTCAGATGATCATTAGCAGTTTTTAGCCATAAAGTATTTTATATATATTTTCTTCTAGACATAATATTATTGCACATTTAATAGGCTACAGCATTGTGTAAATGTTACTGTTATATGCACTGGGAAACCAAAAAAATTTTGTGACCCACTTTATTGCGATATTAACTTTATTGCAGTAGTCTGTAACTAAACTTGCAACATCTCCAACATATGCCTGTACTGTTATTTGACTGCAGTGTTAATGCTATTAGCAGAGAAAGAAGCAAGGCTAAGTTTCTAAGATTGGTATATGATATGTTAATGTGATTGGACGTCATAAAAGTGAGGGAGAAACACTGAGGAAATTTAAGCAAGGGAATTAAGAAGTGTTTGGAGGAGAATCACAGAAACCTCTTTTGGGGTTAAAGAGAGCACTTTGTCAGTTAAGTTTGTGTATTAAACCATGAGGAAAGTTATGAGTGCCTTCATTCATTAGGCATGTGTTTGCTATAGAAAGAACTTAAACTATTTAATGTTTATAAACAATATCCAAGGATTTATCATCAGAATAATATGCTATAATACTTATGCAGAGCTGTCTGGTATATTTATTCCTCATGTTTTATTCCAGAAATATGTTTTATTTTGTCTTTTACAATTGTCTATTTTCTGTGTAACCATATTTTTAAAAATATTACCTTGTCTGAATTATATACATTATTATTGTATTAATTATCTGTTGAAAGTTTATATGGAATAGATTTCATCGTGGATCTTAGTAACAGCTAATTTAATCTCCAATTTGAATTTATTTATATTTTTTAAAAGAACAAGTAAGAATATAACCTAATAAGATCTCAAGTTGTTTGCCTGAAACAGCCCGATTGTCTTTAAGATATGACTAGTTAACTAGCATCCTTTATGTAACTATGCTTTTAAATCCAAATAGTGGTTTGCAAGACCCTCTCTTTCCCTTCAGTTCGTTAGATGAACTTGATAATTTTAGCACATTCTTTTATATTACATTTTCCTTTTTTGTTTATCTGAAATATTATATCAGAGTTTATTATGTCTGGCAAGCTGACGTTTTGCACAAACACATCAATTTATCTTTCATAAAATAAGAAATTTTCTCCCACAAATTTTGACATTTTGTAGTAAATATCAAGCTATTAATCTACTTCTCTGTCCAAATGCATTTAATGCAACTTTTTTATAAAATCATAAAATTTAAAATATTGATCATTATTATTAATTCATTAAAAATATAGCATATCTTAAATTCAAGTTTTAGATTTTGGACATGTTTTCAGTATGAATTTACATTTACATTTGAATTGACAAAATGTATTATCAGGGTTACTGTAGTTTCAGCTAACTTAATTTTTAGCATGTTGTCTTATCAATTATTTTGGGGGTTTTTTAAACAGATGGGGAAGATGAGAATATGAAATTGTGTCACTAATCAGTCTTTATTTTGATTATTGTTTGAATAATCACTGTATAATGAATAAAATTATTACCGAAGACAGAATTACAAAGGTGCATTTATACTGGCTTAAGTTTTAAAACTAACTTTAAATGTAACTTGTGTAAACATGTCATATTTTTCATGGGAATACCACAGAACTAAATGGAAAACGTTATTTGCAAGAGTCATGTTCTAGCCATGGCATCAACAAATAGGAATCTTCCTAATTAGAACATAATAGATTTTACAGTCATAAATATCCCATACCCTGAGAAGATATACTTTCATAGAAAATACAAATTTAGAATATTGTTGCCGTTATTGTCTCACTGTTTTTTAAAAGCAGTTGGCTAAATAATCATTCTTTTAAGATGGTATCATTTTTAATACATTAAGAAATAATATTTCATGTAATGCCACCTAATTGAGACACAATAACATCTGTACCTTCTTCCTTTCATAGCTTTTAATAAGGATATTTGAAGTCCTAAGAATACTCCTGTGCTAAATCTTGCTATTGAATCTATTTATTCTATAAATTTCTTGAAGTTATTTATTTATATTTATAAATATTTCTAAATTACATTCATTTATTTATAATAATTTATTTATTTATTCAGTAGTTTTATTGAGTGCTTTCTATATACTGTCTACCAACTACTGTTCTAGTCATTGGAAGAGTGCTGTGAACAATATGAACAAGGCTACTGTTCTCGAGGAGCTTACATTTTAGTGGGGAAAAGACATTTTAACTAATGATCAACCAGTAAAATAAAATAATTTTAGATTGTAGTTTGAAAAGCATAGTTTTATACAATACTATAGAGTAAGGGGGTGGTAAATTACTTTACATGAGTGTCTTTAAGAAGTGCAATATTTACGGTGAGACCTACATGATACAGAGCAAGCCATGTGAAGACCAGTTGCCCTACATCACTTAAGAATGATTCTCCTTTGTGCTTATTCCTTTTCCTAGAAACCAGGCTTGTCCAACTTGCAGCCCATGGGCCACATGCAGCCCAGGACAGCTTTGAATGCAGTGCAACACAAATTTGTAAACTTTCTTAAAACATTATGAGATTTTTTTGCGATTTGTTTTTTTGTTTTTAGCTCATCAGCTATCGTTAGTGTGTTTTACGTATGGCCTAAGACAATTCTTTTTCTTCCACTGTGGCCCAGGGAAGCCAAAAGATTGGGCACCCCTGCAGTTTCCAGTTTTATTAGAAGGGGCCTGGAACTGCTGTATGCTATTGTAGACAGAGAAAAACTGAGAATAGCCAGATACACTTGAACCTAATGCTGTGCTTCATTTCTTTCTGCTCTCTGTATCAAATTTTCCTGTTTGATCTCAGCACTTCTGCATATTTTTAGATGTTAAAAAGCGATTTCTTGTCCCACCCACGTGAGTAGTAGAAGACAGGATATTTTTCATGTTCTTTTTTCTCATAGCACTTACTGAGTTCCAACATATTATATAATTTATTATTATCGCCATTTATTATCTGCTCTCCCACTAAGAATTTTTTCACTGCTAGCTTTTATTTTTAACTGATACATCCAAGTACCTGGTACAATGCCCAGAATATAATAGATACTTAGTGATTTATTTGATATATGCATAAATGTATACCCCTTAAGGAGGGAATCTTGAAAGAGAATCTGATTGAGTTAGTGTCTGCTTGGCATTGCTTACTAATTTTACAAAATCATCCTTGTATCTGCCTTCCATTTCCATAATTAATTATATCTTATTTTTAAAGTATATACCTGACAATGGACTGCAACAGTATTTTCCATAGGCAATTTCCTGTGGAATTTTCTATGGAAAGTCTCGGGTGGAGGAACATTTTGAAATATTTGTACAACAAATTGTAGTGCTGACTCTTCTGTTGAATAGCCAGTATGGAATATATTCAACCTGAGCCTGTAGCCTCCAGCTGGGACTCCAAGTACAAAAACTGCTTGTGCTGAGTCTACATTTACTCTTGAGTGCCATTTATTTTAACAGATTTGTTACTCTGAGTGTCCCTTGCATCAGTTTTTAAGAAAGTCTGTATTTCAGATGGTACTTTTTATAGAGACTTTACCCATACACTTCATCCCACCATTAATACTCATTATTGTAAAAGGTAGGAGAGTATTATCTGTAGCAGGAGTTGGTTGAGGTCTTCAATCAGTACTTTACTTAATGTTCAAGTATCATGTGTAACCTAATTTGAACTGCAGCTGTTATTTTTGATAATTTTAAAAACAGTGTTAATTTTGGGAGGTCCAAGTGTCTCATCACCCCCAAGAAGTGGTATTTCAGCTTATTCTCTGAAAACAAGCTGGAATCAAAATAGCATTCATATTTCTTATGAAAACTTTTACATTTGTCTTTATTATGTTTATTAATAGGTAAAGATAGATAATGTAATTATTTCAAGTTTTAGAATGTTTTGGTTCTTTACTTCCTGACTTTTACTTGAAGAAGTAGTCAGTTTCCTCTGGCTACTTTATTTATTCAAATATTCTTTGGGCAGATGTAAAAAAAATATATAGAGATGTTTCATGTGTGCCTATGTCTTGCTTACTTGCCTGAAATTATGATCTTTCTTATAAGGTACTTAGTTATATGGACCCACAGATGGCAGGTAAACCATAATAAAATTCTGCAGTTCCAGCCTGAATCATGTGCTTCATCAATTTAAGTATATTGTTAGTCTGTTGGTTACTCCCACTACTTATACACCATTTAAATTAAAGAAATGCCAAATCCTTTATATGTTAAAGAATGGCAGATATTTGGGAGTGATAATGAGTTAAATAGGGATTGCACAAGGGGATTAGTGAAGACTCATATTTGAATATTATATATTTTAATAATCAATGCTTTTTTCCCCTAAAAATGTGCCACTTGCTCTTTGAAAATTTTCCATCTCAGTTCCTTTCCCCACTTTTGTTGGACCTTCTTTGTTTTGTCTATATTTATTTTATTCTGCTTAATTTCGATTTTCACTTTTAGCAGTTTCTCCTCATTATGAGACCAGTCCTGGAATAGAGATTTGACTGGTTGCTTTTGAAAGTTCATGTACTCCAACTGTTCCAGGCTTCTTTAGAACTTCCTCAGGATCCCTTCAACTAACCTAGTCTTGTATTGAGCAACTCTACACTTCTGTTTTCACTTCCTTATTCAAGTTGGCCTGGCCTAGTTCCAGTTAATACCTTTTTGAAACTTTTGAGTTTTCCTATTGATTCCCTCTTTTTCCTGCCTCATAGACACTGGTACCTTCCACAGCTTGAGTTTGTCATTTACCCGTACCAGTTTATGTTTTGACATTTAAGGGGATAGATAGTCTGCCACTTACTTTTGTTAGAATAGTTGTTCTTTTTTTTTTTTTTTTTGGCTTTTCAATTTAGCTGCTATATATTTTAATATTGGAAGTCAAGGATATCAAAAACTATCCTGCTACGCCCACTGCCCACTCAGAACTCTGTCCCTTGGATTGCATTTGTTAATTTCTAAGTAGTTAAGCTTGTTTTGGCCATATGTGAAATTATAGTTTTAATTTTATTTTATTGGAATATGTTAATGTACCTTATAAAAGCTACCATTTAGATTTTTAAAATACTTTCTCTGTACAATGTTTATTGTCTTCTTTTTAAAATGTTCTATGGATTAAAAATATATTTTAAATCATCTGTGTTCTTGATGATTTCTGCTCTGTTTTGTAACATAACTTCTTGAAAGTTCAGCCTGTAGTTTGTTTCTACTTTGTAATGTTCCACATTCTCCTTATATTATTCTGTTTATATTAACATCCCCACCACTCTGTTGGAAGTTCATTTGTTTAAATTACTCATGAAGTTCATGTTGTCAAATCCAGTAGCCATATTTTCATCCTCGTCTTAACCAACAAAATCAACCACTACTTTCTTCTTGCAACATTTCTGTTCTTTGATCATCTTGGCACAACCCTTTCCTGGTTTCCTCCCACCTACCTTTCCACTTCTTTTTTTTAAGCTCTAATGATGGGGTGGCCCTGAATATCCTCTTAGAGATAATTTCTCCTGCATCTATTCTGTCTCCTAGGGACTATCAAACAAGTACATGATTTAAGATGACATTTATGTTCCTTTGATTTCCAAATTTTTAAATCTAACCTTTCCTGTGAGCTTCAAGCTAGTAGTTACTGTCTACTCTTGAACATTTAATAGGTATTTCACATTTAACATATTCTAAGTAAGTTTTTCTTTCCTTATTTCTCCCTTGATCCTCATGGCACTTTTCTATTCTCAATAAGTAGAAATATCATCTTTCCACTTGTTCTTGTGAGAGCAAACTACAATAGTCATGACTGATTCTTCTCCTTCATTCACCTGTCATATCTAATCTTTCTTCATTCACCTGTCAAATCTAATCCTTCAGCACGTCTCCTCACTTCTCTCTCTAAATTATGTACCTAACTACTTATTTTTGTCTTGATGACTACTACCCTTGTGCAAGCTACTATTGCCTTATGACTAGAAAAATCAAATATCCTCTTCTCTTATCTTCTGGATTTCCCCAATTATTTCTTTCTCACCCAACAGCCAGAATGATATTTTTCTTGAGAGTTAGATCATGTCATTCCCATAGCTCAAAACTTTCCATGGGTTCCCATTGCCCTTATAATATATTCCGAACTCTTTGTCATGGCCAACGACCTATGTGACTTGCTTTTTGCTTTCTAATCTGAATTTATTTACAACTACTCTGTCCTTTGCTCACAATACTCCAGATCTTATGACTTTTCATAAACATGTCTAACCTAATCATCATCTTTACACTTGAGAAACCTCTACCAACAGATATTTGTGTGTTTTTAAACTTCTTATTTGGATATAAGCTCATATATCACCCCTTTAGTGAGGCCAGCAGCTCTAACCACCGGATCCAAATTAGCCGCAAATCCTCCTAGCTCATATCATCTTTGTTTTTTTCCACTCAAAACACCACTGTCAACAATTGTGATATCCCCCTACAAGTTCACCTGGTTATTTTCTCCCTCCTGCTATTAGAACATAAAAGCCAAAATAATAGGAGCTTTGTCTTATTACAATGGTGTAGAACAGAGCTTGTTTAGTGACTATTTCTTGAATATTTTTACATGATTTAAATGATTTAAGTAGATCAATTTTGTGTCTCTTTGATCAGATAACTTTTAAAAGAGATATGCATGTTAATAATTTCTTCCAAAATTTTGCCATTATCAAATTCCCCTTATATGTCCAGAGATTGTGTTTTTACTTACTTGGCCTGTATTTTTGGTGCATATTGTTTTATTATTGTTATGTTTTCTTTGTCTCAGTGTTTTATTTGATCAGGTTTTGCCTTTGAATTTCACTTTGCTATTAATATTGGTTTATATGTTTTATTGTTTTTAAGTGCCTATTATATCTTCTTACAGTATTTTATATTTTAGATAAAAATGTGTCACTGTTCTATATGTGTTTTCTGCTAAAAACGTAAAGCTGAATTGTATCTTTACTGCAAAAATCTCTGTCTTTCAATGTGGATTCACCCTGTTGACATTTACTGCAATTGCACTGTATCTTATTCAGTTAATTTTATGTTATGTTTATTATTTTATTTGTTATTTCATCTGTTCTCTTTTTTTATATATTTGCTAATTTATTCAAGCCTTTGTTCAAGGTCCTTATGCCCCCTTTTCATTTAGGTATTTATCAACATTGCGTAAGGTTTCCTCCTATTCCAATTTGTCTTAAATAAACTAATTTTCTTTATTATGATTTCAAAATATTATCATTTTGAAGATTTTTCCTGTTCTTAATTATTGTTTCCAGAATTCTGTTACCATGGATTTAAGTTCTTGTTGACAATATTCTTTGATAAGCTTCCTTTCTATGATATTCTATGGACAAAGACCTGGGAAGAAAATTCATTCTTTTAAACTTTAAAAGATGTTTTTTCTTTAATCTTTTATAATATTTTCACCTATAACCAATCTCCTATGCCAATTATCTTTCTTCAGCCTTTGTATAAGTGTTTCATAATTCAATAGCTTAGAAGCTTGTAGGAAATGAATATTACTATATTTAAGCTTACATGTACATGCCAAAGAATCATTTTCTCAACTTACTGTAATTCTTTACATAAGAAATACTGACATCCCTTATTTTAGAATGCCATTTAAATTCCTTAGTGTTCTTTCCTTGCACTGGAAGCTGGGACAATTATAGGATTAATTTCCTTTGTTTTTCTTCACTCAGGGATCATAATCTCTGGCCAGTTGTCCAATGCCTGAAATTGGTTGTTTCAGATACTTCACCTAGTTTTCCAGTTGTTTACAGCAGGAGGGAAAACTCATTCCTTTTAGTCCATTTTCAGTAGAAATTCTATTATGTTTTTGCAACATTTTCATAAAATATTATTAAAAGAAAAAGAGATTTTAATACCTGAATGGTTTAGCTTCAGCAATGTGGGAAAACTCACTTATATTGACATCTCATTTATACATGATACAAAAGTTTAATAATGTTTATATTGTAACTTTTACATGCCAGAAATTATGGTAAACATTAAATTTCTATTCAGTTAGATTTTCTATAACATTATAAGGTAGATGCTTTTATTATTACCATTCGCATATGGGAAAACTGAGAAATAGACTAGTTTTTCAAAATATACAGGGCTAGTAATTGAAAAACCACATTACACAATCAGTTATTCTCTATCCAGATGCTATATTGTTGATTGATATACTATAATACACTTCCTCAGGACAGATGTTACAGTATGATCTCTATAATGTTAACAGAAATGGAGAACGACTTCAACTTTTTGGCTAGTTTCACCTTTTAAAATTAACTTCTTATTAACATTAACAAGTTTTAAAATGATGTGACATATTTTATTATTTGAATGGTGTGTAACAAAACATTTGTATATATATATGAAGCTTCCCCAGATGAAGTTATATAGGGAGAAAATTCCCTGTTTTCTTAGCTGAGTTGAAATGTGGGTGTTTTGGTTAGGCATATTTAATCTGTCATAGTATTTCACATGAAACTCTTAGCGTGCATCCTTAAAGTAATTATATAATAGTTTTTAAAATATTTAATGTCGTATTCTACACTATGACCATCATTAGCAGTTGGATATATTAGGTATTCTAGATGAAATTTTCATTCCATCACATATTTGATTTATAATATCATGATCCAAATGTCTTGGTGATTTAGAAAAACTGTATTTACAAATGTCATGAAATATCACCACAGGTTTTAGAGAAGAACATACTTTCAATTTTTTTTATTTTGATTTTTCAGATTGCATTCTCACAACACAATACAATCATGGACCTTGTGCAGTTTTTTGTCACCTTCTTCAGGTAAAAGTTTGCTTTGACTGACTTTGAACTTTTCAAGCCTGTATTCTGATATATGTCCTGTCAATCTGTTAGATAATCGACCAATTCTAAAACCTTAAAGTATCATAGAGTATGTCTTGAATAGCTTTATATGCTTAAATATATCCCACAGAGGAGAGGTAACATAGCTGAAATGTACTTGTGCAAGATTATTTTGCTGTTATACTATTTAATAGCCAATGGATTCAGTGGAAAGAGGATAACTTTGTGTCCCCCATCACATAAATAATTATAGCCTGTTTTAATTAATGAAATTAACAATGCATGCACCACATGGATTAGTTACATCTACAAGAACTAAACCAATTTGTTTATTTCTTAGTTAATTTTGTTAATTGTGTGACATATTCGTTGTAGGTTCATAAAAAGGGCTCCACAGTGAAGCAGCTTTGTAAAATGCTACATGTCCTAAAGTTAAATAGTGCTCTTTTGGTTGGTTTTCAACTGGCATTACTTCTCAAAGCTTTTAAAATGCTAATTTGCAATATGTCATTCTACAAGAGAGGTTATAGTTTGTAGCATTTCTCAAAACATGAAAACTGTTTTCAGGGAACATTTATTTTCATTTCCATGGGATGTAAATGTAGAGACTCTGGGTTAGGAGTTTAAGTTATAAAATATCTGTGTTATGAGATCGTAGATCCTCTGGATTGGAAGAGATCTTATTTTTGTTAACATTATTATTCACGTGTGAAGTTTATGCTGGTCATTTGGGTGCCTTTGTACAAATTAGACAAATATGACTTCTCCTTCTGGCAGATACAGCCCCACATCATGGCACACAAATTTGGAAATAGTGCAGTATGAATTTTAACCAACACTCACCAACTTGGCTGGGCTGCCATACAGTAAAGACCTGCACAACTCAATCCTTAGCACAGATGATGTATTTGGAACTTGTCTAAACACAAAGTAACCATCATCTTTTTGATTGTCTTGTCCAGATATCCATAAAGTATTTGAATTTCTAATACCTTCTTCACTGGAGTCAGCAAACATTTTCCATTAAGGGCCAGATAGTAAATATTTCAAGATTTGTGGGCTGTATGGTCTTCATCGCATCTATGCAACTTTTCTGCTATAGTGTTAAAGCAGACAAAGCCAATATGGAAACAAATGGGAGTGGCTGTGTTCCAATAAAACTTTATTATAAAAACAGCTGGTGGATTGAATTCAGCCTGTGGACATAATTTGCCCAACCACTGATCAGTTTTATGCCTGAATGCCTTTAATGACAGGAAGCTCACTAGCTCCTCAGATGGCATTTTCTATCATCAGATAACAAATTGTTCTTTATAACTGAGCTGAAATCTGCCTCCCTATGATATCTCTCCTAATTCCTCCATGTGGGCCCATATATAACAATTTCAATTTCTCATTTCCATTTACAGCCCTTCAGATTTGTAAAGTATTTTCTACGGTTTACACATTCCTTGTTCATTTTTCTACTTCTCTTGATAAGAGAAACCTTTGCCATATTGGTCAGTTTACTCTGAAAACAATCATGTTCATCCATGCACCTTAAAATATTATAATTTCTATAATGTATTTCTATAAACATATTTATCACTAATATGTGTAAAAAGTGCATTCGTACTTTAAATTGTTCCTTAAAATGAAATTTGAGGAAACATCTTAAATATGTTTAATATTTTACAACTTTGTACTTCAGAAAACAAATGAATTTTAAGGCTATTAACAAAGTTACAGTATGGTTTTAGAAAGTACTAGAAATTACAGTTGAACAAGCATTATTGAATGCATTAAAACAACTTTTGTTGTTGTTGTTGTTGTTGTTGTTGTTGTTGTTGAGACAGGGTCTCACCCTGTCACCCAGGCTGGAGCAGTGGCGCTATTTCGGCTCACTGCAACCTTCACCTCCCGGGTTCAAGCATTTCTCCTGCCTCAGCTCCTGAGTAGCTGGGATTACAGGCACGTGCCACCACGCCCAGCTAATTTTTGTATTTTTAGTAGATACGGGGTTTCACCACATTGGCCAGGGTGGTCTCGATCTCCTGACCTCAGATGATCTGCCCACCTCGGCCTCCCAAAGTGCTGGGATTACAAGTGTGAGCCACCATGCCTGGTCTAAAAAAAACTTTTTGATGCAGAATAGTCTGGAAGAAAATTCACTGAAAGTTTGGTTAAGTGAAAAATTTCACAAAGTTGAATATGTATGTAAATTATTTGAATCTTGAGGTTTTTTATTTTAAGCTTTTGAATTTGTGTGCATATTTAAATTCAATAGCTCTTTTGTTAAGTAAAAGAAAATTACTGTTAATGTGTACCATGTCTTAGAGATGATCCTATTTATTATGTTGTCATCATGGACAATGTAAAATAAAATATTCTAATCTTTGGGTGTGATAAAATATATTTGATGGGTTTTTTGTCATTTAAATTCTTCCAGTAGTGAAATGTAAATTAGATCACTTAAAAAACTGGGTCATTGTTAAGAAAAATATGGACAGGATATTTTGAAGCTTATCAATTATTAAGTTTTATAAAGCTACTGCTAAACTTTAGGAGATTTTAAAACAGGTTAACATTTATGGAGACCCCTCAATCAGGCCATTTTTACTGTTATTGCTGTTATTTTGGTAACAGAGCTGAGTGCGTCAGCTTTGCAGTTTAGCCATTGTTCTGTAGGGGCTGGTTCTCAAACTCTTTGTTAGATTTTACCTCTATATTGTGTGTAGTTCTGATGGTAAACATAATTGGGCCAGTACTAGGGAGATCACTTACAGACATACCCTGGCTCTGTTCTTAATGTTTTATGCCATCTTAAGTAGGTCACTATTTTAGTTTGTTTGTATTGCTGAAAAGGAATACCTAAGGCTGGGTAATTTATAAAAAGAGGTTTATTTGGCTCACAGTTGTGCTGGCTGTACAAGAAGTAGGGTGCCAGCATGTGCATCTGGTGAGGGTATCAAACTGCTTCCACTCATGGCAGAAGAGGAAGCGGAGCTGGCATGTGTAGCAATCACATGGGGAGAGAAGAGGTGACAGCCAGAGACTCCTTTAAACAGCCAGCTCTCTTGGGAACTAATAGAGTGAGAACTCATTTGCTACCATAAGGACACCACCAAGTCATTCACAGGGAGTCTGCCCCTGCAACTCAAACACCTTTCATTAGGCTCAATCTCCAACGATGGGTATCAAATTTCAATATGTGCTTTGGAGGGTCAAATATTAAAACTATAGCATTCTATCCCTGGCCCCTCAAATCCCTGGTGTTCTTCTCACATACAAAATATAATCATTTAATCCCAATACTTCCCAGAAGTCTTAACTTGTTTCAGCATCAACTCAGAAGTCCAGAGTCCAAAGTCTCATCTGAGACTCAAAGCAAGTTCCTTTCAGCTTTGAGCCTGTAAAATCAAAATCAAATTATTTATCTCCAAGATACAATGGTGGAACAAATATTGAGTAAACATCTCATTCCAAAAGGGAGAAACTGGTCAAAATATAGTGATAACATGCTGCATGAAAATCCAAAATATAGCGGGGAAGACATTAAATCTTAAAGCTCCAAAATTATCTCCCTTGGTTCCATGTCCTGCACCCTGGGAACATGGATGCACCATAGCCCTGCTCTACTAGGCAATCCCTGGTGGGTACTCTCTTCAGGGCCTCCAACCGCATATTTCTGCTCAGCATTGCCTCACTAGCATCTGTCTGCAGGGTCTCCACCCCTATGGCAGGCTTCTGCCTGGGCACTCAGGCTTTTCAATACATCCCCTGAAATCTCAGTGGAAGCCGACAAGCCTCTAGTACTCATACTTTCTAGCCTCCTTCAGTGGCAGTAGGCACAATACCTGGGGCCATTTGAGCAGCGAGATGTGGGGAGCACTTTCTAGAGATGGGGCATGGCAATGTTGTCCCAAGCCTGTCATCCAAAACCATACCATCTTCCTTGGGCTCTTGGTCTGTGATGGGAAGCCCAGAAGCCTGCCAGATTTGTGAAATGCCTTCAGGGTCTTTCCCCCATTGTCTTTACTAATAGTACCTGGCTCCTTTTATTCATGCTACTTTCTTTAACAAGTGTTTGCTACCCCAGCACTCTTCTGAAAACACTCTTTCCTTCTCTGCCACATGGCCAGGCTGAGGATTCTACAAATTGTTATCCCCTGCTTTCCTTTTGATTATACATTCCAACTCTAGGTTATTTATTTGCTCCTGCATGTGAACATAAGCTGTTAAAAGCAGCCACATTACTTCTTGAGCACTTTGCTGCTTGTCATGGACACAATGTAGCAAAGTTCTTTGACAGGGCATAACAAAGGTTATCTTTGCTTCAGTTCCAGTGATTTCCTCATTTCAGTCTGAGACCCTCAACATGGCCTTTACTGTCTATATTTCAATCAGCATTTTGGTCACAGCCACTTAACCAATTTCTAAGATGTTCCAAACTTTCCCTCATTTTTCTATCTTATGAGCACTCCAGTTCTAAAGCCACTTTTACATTTTTAGGTGTCTTTATAGCAACATACCACTTCCTGGCACCAATTTTCTGTCTTAGTCCATTTGCATTGCTGTAAAAGAATACCTGAGGCTGAGTAATACATAAAGGAAAGAGGTTTACTTGGCTCATGGTTCTGCAGGTTGTGCAAGAAGTATGGTGTTGGCATTTGCATCTGGTGAGGGCCTCAAGCTGTTTCCATTCATGGTGGAAGAGGAAGGGGAGCTGGTATGTGTAGAGATCGAGATCACATGGTGAGAAAGTAGGCAAGAGAGAAGACAGAAGTTCCAGACTCTTTTAAATAACCAGCTGTCATGGGAACATGAGACACAACGATGGCACAAATCCATTTATGATGGATCTACCCCTGTGACCCAAACACCTCCCATTAAGCCCCACCTCTAACATTGAGTATCAAATTTTAACATTTGATTTGGAGGATCAAATATCCAAACTATAGCAGTCACCTAGCTTCTCTAAATCTCAGTCCTTTCATATATTGAACTAAAGGTTTTTTTTTCTTGTTGTTGCTGTGAAATAATATAGTAAATAATTCAAAAATTGAAAAGAATAATTTTTTAAATAAACTCTTCTTGTGTGTAAAATGGAAAAGTAGATGTATCTGAGTCAGAAAAGTCTGAATTATTTATTTTAAAGAACTAAATTAAATGGAAATTTGGTAGAGACTACTATCCCTGTGTTAGACTTTTAGTGGTGGCATTAATTTTCTATATCATTGGATGACATTATATTTTGTATTTATTAACTTGTCCAGTTGGGAGTAGTTTCAGAGATTACCAGTTGGTCTTTTCCACTATGACTGATCTTATCCTATAAGCCAGGGACACAGTGTAGAGGTTATTCCAGCTACCTTGTACATCAGTTCTATTTATACACTTAAAGAGTGGGGAAATGACCAATGGGTGGATCCATTGACATAGTGGGCACACTGTGAGCAAGAATTTAGTCAGAATTTGTTATGTGCCCCCACCCCATGAACACCCCAACTCTAATAAGAGGACATGATGATATTTTGAATGCTTGGCTATCTGTGTCTAATGGGAGTCAATTAGGCCCTCATGTCTAATGGTAGTCAAAATGTCTGCTTATTCCTCCTGTACTGTATATATATCCTCATGCATATACCAATGTATATAATCAAGTTTATGGTGTAGGTATTTTCAGGGATCATTTTACCCACTTTTCAAAATGTTTCAGGGACCTTCCTTCTATGGACTCAGTCACCTGATTAGTTAATCGGTTTTGGATTTTAAAATTAGCTGAAATCTGGGAACTGTGAAGAGAAACATGGCCCTCCATTGAAGCAACAACCCTCAGTCTCCTGTTCCTTCATTCTTACTTAAAATGAAACCAGATGTTAAATAGTACCACTGTTGGCTGCCCACCTATTTTCCCTTCAGAATACCATGCCTTATTAATAATCCCTACAACTCTTTGTGAGCCAACCCCCTTGGCAGTTCGTCCAATCTTGTTGATCTAATTATGGTAATTGTGGTTTCTGGATTCTGGCAGTTAAGCGCTGACACCTGTCGTCTATTACATTGGGTCTCCATCTTTTTATGGCAATTAACAAACCTAGCCCTGTGACTATCTCTCGTATTTTCGGGACTGCTCTGAAGAGGAGAGCCAGCTCTAAGCCTCCTTATAATACTGGTGCCTCTCTTATCAGCATATTCATAACAGCCTTAATGCATAGTTTGTCCTCTGAGTCCTCCCATGGAACACAACCTGGTAGTTCTTCTGGCCTCCTATAATATAAACCATTCCAGCATATCCCCTTCTCTCAGTGTTTTTATAACTTTCTCTTCCATAAGCCAGGACAACCCAGGCATTTCAATTTCACTTGTACTGGACATTGCATTTTTCAGGCTTCTACGAGTCACTCTAGCAACAAGTTTGCTCCATTCCCTGGAATCCTCAGTAGGGTATTACATCTCTGTGGTCCTGAAAATATGCACCAAAACCAATGAGTTTTTATTTATCCAGTCTTAACATTTCGTTGCCCTTTATCAAATATTTAAATCTGGTCATACTTCCATGGCTCCTGCCAGTACGTGCTCCCTAAATCTTGCATCCGTATCAATTGTGTAATCCATTTTCTTTCGTATCAGGCTCAGTTGGGTCATGCTGTGATTTAATCCCCCTAATCAGTCTGGCAGCCAAGAAAAGAAGTGGTGACAGTTTGTGAGGGGGCACCTGTTACCTAAGAGAGAAGAGAGCTCTTTAGTGTCTTCCAGCATAACGAAATGCTAGGTATTGCTAGGGAAGCGGTTGGTAAAACCAACATCCTCAGAAGCATTCATTCATATATTCCTATTCCATATTTCAGGTTCCTAGGTCTCCTGAACCATGGCCCTTTTTGCATAACACAACTTCTTTGGCTTAGCATTCTGTCATCTCTGGAGCTCTGCAACTCTACAACAATTAGATCATCATCCTGCTGGTCATTCATGTTGGCATTTCTGCTATCAGTCATCAGGGCCTCATTTAAAGCTATGAAAGAGACCCACTGGCTCTTTTATTTAGCCAGTAAATGGTTTGTTAATGGCCTTCAGTCTCTCATTATCCCTCTGCAGGTATCAATACAACATAATGATAATCATTCTACTCCACTCTCTTTTGAAGGTGTTTTCCCCATCTTCCAAGCACCTGAATTGCTGTACCTTCAAGTATTTTCTCTATCAGTGCATTTTCTCAGGTCACCACTGGTGAAATCCAGCAATTTAAGTCTTCTGCCAGGAACTGTGTTCCACCCACCAACATGGATGTTGTCCTCTTAGCCTGCCAATCAGTGAGTGAATCAGTTCCTCATCTCCATCTTACCTTCTGTTTACTTGGACCATAAGTCCTCTGAGACACAGAAGCCAAGATGGGATTAGATAAGCAATAAACGTGTTAGGGGAACTTCTGTGAGGGGAAATTGGGAGAAGGGAGGGGAGATAATGGGAGAATTTGAGACCACAATGCCTACCTGCCTTTGTGAGGGAGAGAAGCAAGAAAGGGAAGGTGAGTGAAAGAGCCTGAGAATGCAGGGCACTTCTAAGAATGTTTAACACCAGTGGTGTAGCCTTGAGCAAAAGTTACCCATCAAAGGAGTCTTCCATCTCCCAGGAACAGGCCCGCCTTGGTATTTCTGCCATGTTTAGTCCTTGACTAAGGACAGCCCTTGGGAAGCATGGGCTCAGTGTGAATAAAATGATGGATTTCAGAGTGCAGTAGCTGGGGCCACTAGTCAGTTATGCTCTCTGCCATCAGGGATCAGAGAGGCACTTTTTTTTTTTTTTCCCCCCCGAGATAGGGTCTCACTCTGCCTCCCAGGCTGGAGTGTAGTGGCACAATCTCAGTTCACTCAACCTCTGCCTCCCAGGCTCAAGCGATCCTCCCACCTCAGCCTCCTGAGTAGCTGGGACCACAGGAGCTTGCCATCACAGCTGACTAAGTTTTTTGTATTTTTGGTAGAGATGGGGTTTCACCGTGTTGCCCAGGCTGGTCTCAGGCTCCTGAGCTCAAGTGATCCGCTCACCTCGGCCTTCCAAAGTGCTGAGATTACAGGCATGAGCCACTGTCCCCAGCCAGAGAAGTATATCTTAGTGGTTGGCACAATGGAGTTATTTGTTGTGTGATGGTTGATAGAACTGACCTATAAAACCTGTAAAAAATGATTTTGGTAATGTGTTTGTATTTATTTTTGTGTAGTTTATATTTTTGAGGGTAGATTTTTAAATTTGACTAAGTTTCAGTAATATTTGTGTCTATGGAGGTTTTTAATTTTTTCCTGACCTAGTTGGTAATTGGCTTTTTAATGGAAGTTGTACTCTTTGTTTCATTTTATAAATTCATTGACATATTTACAATATTAATACTCTGAAGTTTGTTCTATATTAGAATTGTGCCTACCCTTTTATTGAGAATTTTGCCTATTTTTCCTTCCTTCCCTCCCTCCCTCCCTCCTTCCCTCCCTCCCTTCCTTCCTTCCTTCCTCCCTTCCTCCCTCCCTCCTTCCTTATCCTTCCTTCCTTCTTTCCTTCCCTCCCTCCCTCCTTCCCTCCCTTCCTTCCTTCCTTCCTTCCTCCCTTCCTCCCTCCTTCCTTCTCCTTCCTTCCTTCTTTCCTTCCCTCCCTCCCTCCTTCCCTCCCTCCCTCCCTCCCTCCCTTCCTTCCTTCCTTCCTTCCTTCCTTCCCTCCTTCCTTTCTTCCTTCCTTCCTTCCTTCCTTCCTTCCTTCCTTTCCCTTCTCATTTCTAAAAATAATCTGCTTCAGCTGCATTCTGTAGACATTAATATGTAGTATGCTGGTCTCATAGAATGATTTAGGAATTGTTCCTTCCTTTTCACTTTTTGGGAAAAGTTTGAGCATTGGTATTAGTTATTTTTTAAATGGGTAGAATTTATCAGTGAAGCCATTGAGTTCAGGGCTTCTTTGTTGTGGTATATTTGATTACTGATTCAATCTCCTTACTGGTTATAAATCTATTCCATTTTCTATTCCTTTATCATTCAATCTTGGTAGGTTTTATGTTTCTAGGGATTTGTCCATTTCACCTAGCTTATCCAATTTATTAGTGTATAATTGTTCATAGTACTCTCCTATAATCATTTTTATTTCTGCAGAATTGGCAGTAATGACCCGACTTTTCATTTCTAAATTTTGTAATTTCAGTTTTCTTTCTCTTTTCTTTTTTTTTGGTCAGTCTAACTAAAGGTTTGCCAATTTTGTTGCTCTTTTTCAAGAATCAACTTTTGGTATTGTTGATTTTCTCTATTGTTTTTCTATTTTCTCTATTGTTTATCTTGCTCTAATATTTATAATTTCCTTCATTCTGCTACCTTTGAATTTAGTTTGTTCTTTTTCTAGTTCAAGTTGTAAAGTTAAGTTGCGTATTTGAGATCTTTCTTCTTTTTTAGTATGTTTATAACTAAATTTCCCTTTTATCCACTGCTTTACAGTGTTCCATGAGTTTTGGTATGTTGTGTTTTAATTTTCACATTTCTCTAAATATTTTCTAATTTCATTGTGATTTTGTCTTTCAACCATTGATCAAATGTGTGTTGGTAATTTCCACATACTTTTTAATGTTCAAGTTTTTCTTCTGTTTTTGATTTCTAACTTTATCCCACTGTGGGTGGTGAAGATACTTTGCACATTTATCTTTTAAAATCTACCGAGATATAATTTGTTACCTAACATATATTCTGTCCTGGAGAATGTCTTCTGTGCCCATCAGGAGAATATGTATTCTGTTGTTTTTAGGTAGAATATCCTGTATATATCTATTAGATCTTGGTGGTTTATTGCATTGCTCTAGACCTCTGTTTCCTTTATTATCTTCTGTCTGATTGTTCTATCCTTTACTGAGAATGGAGTTGAATTATTGTTTTAATCATTTGGATTTCTCTCTGTTCCTATTGTTACTTTTTGTCTTAAAGAACATTTTTAACTTAAATATAGTATTTCTTTATTAGAATTTGTCTATGTCTTTTTGCATATCTTTTAAAATTTTTTCTCTTGTTATATTTTGTGTATGTTTCTTTTATACCAAAAATATCTGGATATTTTGGTTTTGTTTTAATAATCTGGGAATCTCTTAATTTTATGTGACAGGGAAATAAATGGAAATTTTCTTTTTTCTTCTCTTCTGATTTTTATTAATTGAATGAGCTTCTTATTAATTGAATGAGCTTCTAATGTTCTTTTATTTTCCTTTTAGCAGTTTAAGAATTATAGTTTTTTTTATTTAATGATTACTCTTAAATTTTAACAAGCATATTTCCCTAACCAACAATAATATTAATCAGTATGTCTTTTATCCTCCTGAATCATATAGGAGAACTAAAAAACTTCAAAACTTTTAC
Source organism: Homo sapiens (assembly GCF_000001405.40). Lineage (NCBI taxonomy): Eukaryota > Metazoa > Chordata > Mammalia > Primates > Hominidae > Homo > Homo sapiens. The sequence goes on from NC_000010.11 coordinate 115,529,698, forward strand.
TTATCATTGTCTAATTTTTAAACGTTTTCCAATTTCTAATTTTAATTTGTGTTTTATTTGGTGATATAATTCACATATAATACAATTCACCAATTGAAAGTGCACAGTTATTCTTCAACCATTATTGCAATCAATTTTAGAACATATCATCATCCCCAAAAGAAGCCATGTACTCATCAGTAGTCACTCCCCCCTTTTACATACCCCTAGTTCTGAAAAATCACTAATCTACTTTCTGTCCATAGATTTGCCTATTCTGGACATCTTATATAAATGGAATCGTACAATATGTGTTCTTTTGTGACTGGTTCCTTTCATTAGCACAATGTTTCTTATCCGTAACGTAGTATGGATCAGTACTTTGTTTCTTTTTATTGCTGAATAATATTTCATCTTATGTGTATAACACATTTTATTTCTCTATTAGTTGATGGTTATTTGAGTTCTTTCTTCTTTTTCACTGTTGTGAATAATACTACTATGCACATTTGTGTGTAAGTTTTTATGTGGATATATATTTTCATTTCTCTTAAGTATATAATTAGGAGTAGAATTGTTGATCACATGGTAACTCTAGGTTAAACATTGTGATAAACTGCCAAACATTTTTTTAAAGAAGATGTATCATTTTATAATCTTACCAGCAAGGATCAGACATTTATTTTTTCCACATTCTTACTAAAGTTTGTATTAACTGCCTTTCTTATAGCCATCTTAGTGGGCATAAAGTGGTAAGAGATGATGCATATTTAGAGGAATTAAAAATGAAAGATTAAAGGAATCTAAAGAATACAACAGGCAAAGAAATAATAAGAGTTAAGCGCTTGAAAAACAAGAACAATCAAAGATGACTACATGGAAGCAAGCATGCAAGTGAGCAGAATAATGCAAAGTTAAGTATAGTGTTCATGATTTGGGAAAAATAAGACTTTTTATTATTATTATTATACTTTAAGTTTTAGGGTACACGTGCACAATGTGCAGGTTAGTTACATATGTATACATGTGCCATGCTGGTGTGCTGCACCCATTAACTCGTCATTTAGCATTAGGTATATCTCCTCATGCTATCCCTCCCCCCTCCCCCCACCCCACAACAGTCCCCAGAGTGTGATGTTCCCCTTCCTGTGTCCATGTGTTCTCATTGTTCAATTCCCACCTATGAGTGAGAACATGTGGTGTTTGGTTTTTTGTCCTTGCGATAGTTTACTGAGAATGATGATTTCCAATTTCATCCATGTCCCTACAAAGGGCATGAACTCATCATTTTTATGGCTGCATAGTATTCCATGGTGTATATGTGCCACATTTTCTTAATCCAGTCTGTCATTATTGGACATTTGGGTTGGTTCCAAGTCTTTGCTATTGTGAATAGTGCCGCAATAAACATATGTGTGCATGTGTCTTTATAGCAGCATGATTTATAGTCCTTTGGGTATATACCCAGTAATGGGATGGCTGGGTCAAATGGTATTTCTAGTTCTAGATCCCTGAGTAATCGCCACACTGACTTCCACAATGGTTGAACTAGTTTACAGTCCCACCAACAGTGTAAAAGTGTTCCTATTTCTCCACATCCTCTCCAGCACCCGTTGTTTCCTGACTTTTTAATGGTTGCCATTCTGACTGGTGTGAGATGGTATCTCATTGTGGTTTTGATTTGCATTTCTCTGATGGCCAGTGATGGTGAGCATTTTTTCATGTGTTTTTTGGCTGCATAAATGTCTTCTTTTGAGAAGTGTCTGTTCATACCCTTTGGCCACTTTTTGATGGGGTTGTTTGTTTTTTTCTTGTAAATTTGTTTGAGTTCATTGTAGATTCTGGATATTAGTCCTTTGTCAGATGAGTAGGTTGTGAAAATTTTCTCCCATTTTGTAGGCTGCCTGTTCACTCTGATGGTAGTTTCTTTTGCTGTGCAGAAGCTCTTGAGTTTAATTAGATCCCATTTGTCAATTTTGGCTTTTGTTGCCATTGCTTTTGGTGTTTTAGACATGAAGTCCTTGCCCATGCCTATGTCCTGAATGGTAAAGCCTAGGTTTTCTTCTAGGGTTTTTATGGTTTTAGGTCTAACGTTTAAGTCTTTAATCCATCTTGAATTAATTTTTGTATAAGGTGTAAGGAAGGGATCCAGTTTCAGCATTCTACGTATGGCTAGCCAGTTTTCCCAGCACCATTTATTAAATAGGGAATCCTTTCCCCATTGCTTGTTTTTCTCAGGTTTGTCAAAGATCAGATAGTTGTAGATATGCGGCATTATTTCTGAGGGCTCTGTTCTGTTCCATTGATCTATATCTCTGTTTTGGTACCAGTACCATGCTGTTTTGGTTACTGTAGCCTTGTAGTATAGTTTGAAGTCAGGTAGTGTGATGCCTCCAGCTTTGTTCTTTTGGCTTAGGATTCACTTGGCGATGCGGGCTCTTTTTTGGTTCCATATGAATTTTAAAGTAGTTTTTTCCAATTCTGTGAAGAAAGTCATTGGTAGCTTGATGGGGATGTCATTGAATCTATAACTTACCTTGGGCAGTATGGCCATTTTCATGATATTGATTCTTCCTACCCATGAGCATGGAATGTTCTTCCATTTCTTTGTGTCCTCTTTTATTTCATCGAGTGCTGGTTTGTAGTTCTCCTTGAAGAGGTCCTTCACATCCCTTGTAAGTTGGATTCCTAGGTATTTTATTCTCTTTGAAGTAATTGTGAATGGGAGTTCACTCATGATTTGGCTCTCTATCTGTTATTAGTGTATAAGAATGCTTGTGATTTTTGTACATTGATTTTGTATCCTGAGACTTTGCTGAAGTTGCTTATCAGTTTAAGGAGATTTTGGGCTGAGACAGTGGGGTTTTCTAGATATACAATCATGTCGTCTGCAAACAGGGACAATTTGACTTCCTCTTTTCCTAATTGAATACCCTTTATTTCCTTCTCCTGCCTAATTGCCCTGGCCAGAACTTCCAACACTATGTTGAATAGGAGTGGTGAGAGAGGGCATCCCTGTCTTGTGCCAGTTTTCAAAGGGAATGCTTCCAGTTTTTGCCCATTCAGTATGATATTGGCTGTGGGTTTGTCATAGATAGCTCTTATTATTTTGAGATACATCCCATCAATACCTAATTTATTGAGAGTTTTTAGCATGAAGGGTTGTTGAATCTTTTCTGCATCTATTGATATAATCATGTGGTTTTTGTCTTTGGTTCTGTTTATATGCTGGATTACATTTATTGATTTGCGTATATTGAACCAGCCTTGCATCCCAGGGATGAAGCCCACTTGATCATGGTGGATAAGCTTTTTGATGTGCTGCTGGATTCGGTTTGCCAGTATTTTATTGAGGATTTTTGCATCAAGGATATTGGTCTAAAATTCTCTTTTTTGGTTGTGTCTCTGCCCGGCTTTGGTATCAGGATGATGCTGGCCTCATAATGAGTTAGGGAGGATTCCCTCTTTTTCTATTGATTGGAATAGTTTCAGAAGGAATGGTACCAGTTCCTCCTTGTACCTCTGGTAGAATTCGGCTGTGAATCCATCTGGTCCTGGACTCTTTTTGGTTGGTAAGCTATTGATTATTGCCACAGTTTCAGATGGTGTTATTGGTCTATTCAGAGATTCAACTTCTTCTTGGTTTAGTCTTGGGAGAGTGTATGTATCGAGGAATTTATCCATTTCTTCTAGATTTTCTAGTTTATTTGCGTAGAGGTGTTTGTAGTATTCTCTGATGGTAGTTTGTATTTCTGTGGGATCAGTGGTGATATCTCCTTTATCATTTTTTATTGTGTCTATTTGATTCTTCTCTCTTTTTTTCTTTATTAGTCTTGCTAGCTGTCTATCAATTTTGTTGATCCTTTCAAAAAACCAGCTCCTGGATTCATTAATTTTTTGAAGGGTTTTTTTGTGTCTCTATTTCCTTCAGTTCTGCTTTGATTTTAGTTATTTCTTGCCTTCTGCTAGGTTTTGAATGTGTTTGCTCTTGCTTTTCTAGTTCTTTTAATTGTGATGTTAGGGTGTCAATTTTGGATCTTTCCTGCTTTCTCTTGTGGGCATTTAGTGCTATAAATTTCCCTCTACACACTGCTTTGAATGCGTCCCAGAGATTCTGGTATGTTGTGTCTTTGTTCTCGTTGGTTTCAAAAAACATCTTTATTTCTGCCTTCATTTCGTTATGTACCCAGTAGTCATTCAGGAGCAGGTTGTTCAGTTTCCATGTAGTTGAGCGGTTTTGAGTGAGTTTCTTAATCCTGAGTTCTAGTTTGATTGCACTGTGGTCTGAGAGACAGTTTGTTATAATTTCTCTTCTTTTACATTTGCTGAGGAGAGCTTTACTTCCAAGTATGTGGTCAATTTTGGAATAGGTGTGGTGTGGTGCTGAAAAAAATGTATATTCTGTGGATTTGGGATGGAGAGTTCTGTAGATGTCTATTAGGTCTGCTTGGTGCAGAGCTGAGTTCAATTCCTGGGTATCCTTGTTGACTTTCTGTCTCGTTGATCTGTCTAATGTTGACAGTGGGGTGTTAAAGTCTCCCATTATTATTGTGTGGGAGTCTAAGTCTCCTTGCAGGTCACTCAGGACTTGCTTTATGAATCTGGGTGCTCCTGTATTGGGTGCATATATATTTAGGATAGTTAGCTCTTCTTGTTGAATTGATCCCTTTACCATTATGTAATGGCCTTCTTTGTCTCTTCTGATCTTTGTTGGTTTAAAGTCTGTTTTATCAGAGACTAGGATTGCAACCCCTGCCTTTTTTTGTTTTCCATTTGCTTGGCAGATCTTCCTCCATCCTTTCATTTTGAGCTTATGTGTGTCCCTGCACATGAGATGGGTTTCCTGAATACAGCACAACTGTATGGGTCTTGACTCTTTATCCAGTTTGCCAGTCTGTGTCTTTTAATTGGAGCATTTAGTCCATTTACATTTAAACTTAATATTGTTATGTGTGAATTTGATCCTGTCATTATGGTGTTAGCTGGTTATTTTGCTGGTTAGTTGATGCAGTTTCTTCCTAGTCTCGATGGTCTTTACATTTTGGCATGATTTTGTAGCAGCTGGTACCGGTTGTTCCTTTCCATGTTTAGTGCTTCCTTCAGGAGCTCTTTTAGGGCAGGCCTGGTGGTGACAAAATCTCTCAGCATTTGCTTGTCTGTAAAGTATTTTATTTCTTCTTCACTTATGAAGCTTAGTTTGGCTGGATATGAAATTCTGGGTTGAAAATTCTTTTCTTTAAGAATGTTGTCCTATTGGCCCCCACTCTATTCTGGCTTGTAGAGTTTCTGCTGAGAGATCCGCTGTTAGTCTGATGGGCTTCCCTTTGAGGGTAACCCGACCTTTCTCTCTGGCTGCCCTTAACATTTTTTCCTTCATTTCAACTTTGGTGAATCTGACAATTATGTGTCTTGGAGTTGCTCTTCTCGAGGAGTATCTTTGTGGCGTTCTCTGTATTTCCTGAATCTGAATGTTGGCCTGCCTTGCTAGATTGGGGAAGTTCTCCTGGATAATATCCTGCAGAGTGTTTTCCAACTTGGCTCCATTCTCCCCGTCACTTTCAGGTACACCGATCAGACGTAGATGTGGTCTTTTCACATAATCCCATATTTCTTGGAGGCTTTGTTCGTTTCTTTTTATTCTTTTTTCTCTAAACTTCCCTTCTCGCTTCATTTCATTCATTTCATCTTCCATCACTGATACCCTTTCTTCCAGTTGATCGCATCGGCTCCTGAGGCTTCTGCATTCTTCACGTAGTTCTCAAGCCTTGGTTTTCAGCTCCATCAGCTCCTTTAAGCACTTCTCTGTATTGGTTATTCTAGTTATACATTAGTCTAAATTTTTTTCAAAGTTTTCAACTTCTTTGCCTTTGGTTTGAATATCCTCCTGTAGCTCGGAGCAGTTTGATTGTCTGAAGCCTTCTTCTCTCAACTCATCAGAGTCATTCTCCGTCCAGCTTTGTTCCGTTGCTGGTGAGGAACTGCGTTCGTTTGGAGGAGGGGAGGTGCTCTGGTTTTTAGAGTTTCCAGTTTTTCTGCTCTGTTTTTTCCCCATCTTTGTGGTTTTATCTACTTTTGGTCTATGATGATGGTGATGTACAGATGGGTTTTCGGTGTGGATGTCCTTTCTGTTTGTTAGTTTTCCTTCTAGCAGATAGGACCGTCAGCTGCAGGTCTGTTGGAGTTTGCTAGAGGTCCACTCCAGACCCTGTTTGCCTGGGTATCAGCAGCGGTGTCTGCAGAACAGCAGATTTTCGTGAACCACGAATGCTGCTGTCTGATCGTTCCTCTGGAAGTTTTGTCTCAGAGGATTACCTGGCTGTGTGACGTGTCAGTCTGCCCCTACTGGGGGGAGCCTCCCAGTTAGGCTTCTCGGGGGTCAGGGGTCAGGGACCCACTTGAGGAGGCAGTCTGCCCGTTCTCAGATCTCCAGCTGCGTGCTGGGAGAACCACTGCTCTCTTCGAAGCTGTCAGACAGGGACATTTAATTCTGCAGAGGTTACTGCTGTGTTTTTGTTTGTCTGTGCCCTGCCCCCAGAGGTGGAGCCTACAGAGACAGGCAGACCTCCTTGAGCTGTGGTGGGCTCCACCCAGTTCAAGCTTCCCAGATTCTTTGTTTACCTAAGCAAGCCTGGGCAATGGCGGGCGCCCCTCCCCCAGCCTCGCTGTTGCCTAGCAGTTTGATCTCAGATTGCTGTGCTAGCAATCAGTGAGACTCCGTGGGCGTAGGACCCTCCGAGCCAGGTGTGGGATATAATCTCCTGGTGCGCCATTTTTTAAGCCCGTCGGAAATGCGCAGTATTGGGGTGGGCTTGACCTGATTTTCCAGGTGCCGTCTGTCACCCCTTTCTTTGACTAGGTAAGGGAATTTCCTGACGCCTTGTGCTTCCCAAGTGAGGCAATGCCTCGCCCTGCTTCGGCTCTCGCACGGTGCGCTGCACCCACTGTCCTGCGCCCACTGTCTGGCACTCCCTAGTGAGATGAACCCGGTACCTCAGATGGAAATGCAGAAATCACCCGTCTTCTGCGTCGCTCATGCTGGGAGCTGCAGACCGGAGCTGTTCCTATTCAGCCATCTTGGCTCCTCCCAAAAATAAGACATTTAATCATGTTGTACATAAACATATTTTGAAAGAGAAAAAAGAAGAAAATGTAACTCCCTGAAGAAAAAAGGTGAACCTAATTTAGTCACAGGATCTCTACATCAAAGAGATATAATCCTAGAATATTTGCCAAAAAGTTTTTTAAACAATGTGTAAGGACACTGTGAAGAATTACAAATACAAAAAAGTCTCTGTTTAAAAAAATAAGATTATGATGATGGATATGGTAATGGAAATGACACCTGAAGATATGGATTTTGCTAAGTAGAAACAATAAATGATTTCTTACTGTACTGGAAGTTCACTTAGGAATTTTCTCCATGGTTTTTTTGTGGAATACAGTAGATACTTAGGACCTAACTGTTCTTGTAAACCAAAATATTTAATGCGGTGGGAGTAAACTAGTGATGGTACGTTTTCTTGCAACTTAGTTAAACCAGTGCTCCCCATCTAGTTTACAAAGCTGAGGTTTATCGTACTAGACACTGAAATAGACTTCTCCAAGAGTCATATCAGTAACTTCACACTTTGACTTAAATATTGCTTTACACCTCAAACTTAACATGCTTTAAATTGAATTTACTGTACTGGGAAACAGTCTCTTTTTTTCCAGTTTTCTGTAGCTCAGTTATAGGTATCACTATTTAACTCACTTGAATACTTGGGACTCATTTAAATCCTCTTTCCTTAATGACCTACATGAACATCAGTTCTAACTTCTTTGTATCAATATATTATATGTAAATTAGCCAAAGTGGTAATTTAAACATAAATTATTAACTCCACTGTTTAAAATCTTCCTTTTACATTTATAATTCAAAGTATGAGTATTCTCATACTTAAAGTATACCAGTCACTTTTTCATTGTTAGAGGGGGCAGTGGTTAATTACTTGCCTTTTTTTCCAGCATTTTTTTGGTCCTTATTGTTTGTTTTTTACTTCTGTTGGAAGCATTTTAAAATTTCTGTGCAGTAAAATTCCTTTTGCGGGGAGTACAGTTGTGTGAGTTTTAACACATGCATCATTTATTATAATTACCAGCTCTCCCAGGATACAGAACAATGCCAAAGCCCCAGTGAATACCTCATAGAGCCTTCTTTGCAGTCAGACTTTCTCCCCACCCCTACACGCTGGCAACCATTGACCTGATCTCTGTTCTTGCAGTTTTGCCTTTTCCAGAATGTCATTCAAATGGCTTCTTTCCCTTAGTCTACTGCATTTAAGATTCATCCAAGGTGCTTTTTTGTATCAATAGTCCATTTCATTTCATTGCTAAGTAGTATTTCATTATATGGATATATCACACTTTGTTTATCCATTCACCCATTGAGAGATATGGATTGTTACAGTTTTTGGTACTTATAAATAATGCTGCTGTGATCAACATACATACAAGTTTTACACAAACATAAGTTTTCATTTCTCTAGCATAAATACCAGGAAGTAGGGTTGCTGGGTCACAGGGTGGATGTATATTCATCTTTATAATAGCTGCCACTGTTTTTCAGAGTGACTGTACAATTCTGTGCTGCGACCAGCAAAGCTCAGGGTTCCAGTTGTTGCACATTCTCACCAGTGCTTGGTCCTGTCAACATTTTTTATTTTAGCCATTCTGATAAATGTGTAGTGGTATCTTGTGGTAATTTTAACTTGCATTTCCTTAATGGCTAATGACGTTGAATATCTTTTCATGTGCTTATTAGTTATACTTTCATTTTCTTTGGTGAAGTATTTTTCAAATCTTTTGCCTAGTTTTAATTGCTTTTTAGTTTTGCTGTTTATTTTTGAATATTGAATGTTTTTTGTATATTCTGGATACAACTCTTTTGCCAGATGTGATTTGCAAATATTTTCCCTCAGTCTTTGAATTGTCTTTTCATTCTCTTAACAGTATCTTTTATGGAGTGAAAAGTTTTAGTTTTTATAAAATTCAATTTAATGCATTTTTTTAAAAACTTGATTATGCTTTTGACGTCATATCCAAGGACTCTCCCTAACTCAAGTTAACATAGATTTCTTTCTAACAGTTTTATACAGTCAATGCACTACATAACATTTTGGTCTATGACAGACCACATATATGATGGTACTTATAAGATTATATTACTATATGTTTACTGTACCTTTTCTATGTTTAGATACACAAAAACCATTGTGTTATAATTACCTACAGTATTCAATACAGTAACATGCTATATAGGTTTGTACCCTAGTAACAATAGGCTATACCAATGGCTTTCATGTGTAGTAGGGTATACCATCAGTGTTTGTTTAAGCACCCTCTATGATGTTTGCACAGGGATGAAATTTGTCTAATGATGCATTTCTTAGAACATATCCCCATTAGTAAGTGACACATGACTGTATTTTTACATTGTACCTTTAGATCTGTGATCCATTTCAGTTATTTTTTGTTTATGTTGAGGTGTAATTCAATGCTGATTATTTCACATGTGGATATCCTGTTGTTACACCATGATTTGTTATAAAGGAAAAACCTTTCCATTTTGAAATGCTTTTGCAACTTTGTCAAACATTCACCATAGGGTTCCAGTTCCAGGTAAGATTGTGTAAACACACATCTCTTTTTCTCTAAGTGAACTCAACCATGAAACCTGGACAAAATTCATGGGCAGCTATTTGGTATATGATATCAGCAGGCAGAGCAGAGAAGAACACCAGAATTCAAAGTACTGGTGAACCATCTAGAAGTTTGCCATTTTTCCCCTTTAGTGCCCCCTGACCTGAAGTCAATGCAATTTGAAACTTGGAAGTAACTACTATAGTTTGGACAGGGTAAAGTCCTCTAGTTCTGGCCCATGATGTGGAAAAGGGAACTCTTAAGCTCAGAGAGAATGAGGGAGACCTCCCTCCCATTTTTTCTCTTTTTCCTGAATTCACTCACCCATACCCCAGGCAGTCTGAAGCAGGAACATGGGCAGCAGCAAAATGGCTCACAGTGGGAAGCAGTAAGAACCACAATCCCAAGGGAAGGGAATATTCCTCTAATCATAGTGGAGCTCTGGCTACAGAGAGCCAAGATAAACCCTGTTGATTTCCTTCTTGTCTGTCCTCCCAGCTCAAAACATGGTACAATAGGAAAAGTGTGTAGTTTCTGACCACATGATGGAAAAGTAGAGCCCACAAATCCAGAAAGGACCTAGGAGATAATGGAGATAGAAAAGCCTTCCCATCAAATGTTATGGGGTGGGGGGAGGGGGAGGGCTAGCATTAGGAGATATGCCTAATGTAAATGATGAGTTAATGAGTGCAGCACACCAACATGGCACACGTATACATATGTAACAAACCTGCACATTGTGCACATTTACCCTAGAACTTAAAGTATAATAATAATAAATAAATAAATAAATAAATATATAGTGCTTTATAAACTTCTGGGATCTCTCCTGAGCTGCCTGTGTGCTGATCTGATCCTAATTAACATTATCATACGAAAGAATTGGAGAACTGAGCTCATAGATAGAACTCTGCTTTGGGCCCGGACTGAACAGTGGGTAGCCCTCCCGCTGCACTGACTCAAGAAGCACTTCAAAAGCTTTGGATGCATTGTGACCATAGCCTCCAGATGGATAAAACAAATTATCTCTCTAGAGAATATCAACATTATTTATAAATAATACCTCAATCCCTTTGTAAAGTCAAGGTAGCACAAGAGAGATGGATTAAAGGGTACAGTGGAGGCCGGGCATGGTGGCTCACACCTGTAATCCCAGCACTTTGGGAGGCTGAGGCAGGTGGATCACGAGGTCAGGAGTTCGAGACCAGCCTGGCCAAGATAGTGAAACCCCATCTCTACTAAAAATACAAAAATTAGTCAGGAGTGGTAGCACACGCCTATAATCCTAGCTACTTGGGAGGCTGAGGCAGAATTGCTTGAACCCAGGAGGCGGAGGTTGCAGTGAACTAAGATCATGCCATTGCACTCCAGCCTGGGCAACAAGAGCAAAACTCCGTCTAAAAAAAAAAAAAAAAGGGGGGAGGGAACAGGGCTCTAATGGAAGTAGTCATTCTTAAGTTAATTACCAAGTCAAGGACTATCTCTCAATGTTTAGTGCTTTAAGAAAACTTTCATCAGGTACTAGATCTATTACCTATGCGTATGGGAAAGGTGACATTTGATCCCTGCTTTGAATATAAAATAAATTCTAGGAGGAAAGGTAAAAACAATGAAATATCTAGAAGGTAATGTAGGAATTATTCTTCATAACATTAGAATATAGAATGGATTCTTAAAGAGGACACATAAAATACTATAACAAAATTAGACTACAAAAAAACCTAACACTTTTTCTTATCGAAAGACACCATTAGCATTATGACGAGTCAAGTCACACAGTAGTACGAAATATTTGCAAACTGTATAAAAGCCAAAGGCCTTATATTCACACTATGTAACTCATATAAATCAATTAAGAATAGTCTGAAAACTCCTTTCTCCAAAAATGACAATAGACTGACATACACTTCACAAAAGAAGACATCCAAGTGTCCAACAAAATATGCAAGAGTGCTCAACTTAATTTTTATCTGGGAATTCAAATTAAAACCACAATGTAATACCATTATATACCTACTACAGTGGATAAAAAGAAAAAGACAAATAATACCAAATGTTGGAGAGGATGCAGAACTATTCATACTTTTAGTACACTAGAAATTGATGTAATGGCTTTGAAAACAAGTTGACATTATATTCTAAAGTTGAATTTACATATACTCTGTGGCCCAACAATTCCAAGTCATCAAAGTCATGTGAACCATATTTATAGAAGCATGTTTTACATGCCCCAAACTGGGAATAATCAAAATACCCAAAAATAATAGAATGGAAAAATATACTCATATAATGTGGAGCAATGGGAAAATAAAACGATTGCCAAAGGATCAAAATAGGTAACACGAACATAGTGTTGAATGATAGAGACAGAAACAAAAAAAATACTATAGTGTTATATTTGTAAAAAATTTAGCAATAGACAAGACTGAAGTATGGCATTAAAAATAAATGTGATAGTTCCTTTTGAGAAGGAGAGAATGAATTAAGTTCTGTTTCTTCAAGCTGGTGGTTTCAAGGGTATATTGTCTTTGTGATAATTTATTGAGCTATATACTTAGGGTTTCTCTATTGTGTTATACATTAATGATTTAGGAAAGGTTTTCAAAATAATTAAAATTTTTGTCCTAACTATATGGTTTTAAAAGATGTGCTTCAAAAAACATTTAATGTAGGAAGAAACACTGTATACATTGTCCTTTGTCACTTTTTGTTGCAAGTTTGGAAGAATAAGGTATTATCCAAGTAGGCTACTTGTAATAGGACTTACCCAGGAAGATTTTCCTTATTAGATATTAGTCTTTCTAATATGCCATCAGATGAGGCTTGAGACTACTCCATTTTCTGTAGAGTTTTAGGAAAAAATTTAAGAGTGACTAAAGATGCTCTGTAGCCTCAAAATCTGTTACAGATTTTGAGGTTCTGTTACAGAACCGTGGCAGGGAGGTTAATTTAGGTACTCTTCTATAAATTTTTCATAAATGATATCTAGTAGATTTTATTCTTTCCCAGCCTTCATTTAACTCCCTCCACGTGGCTGTGTAGCAAACCATCCAATTTAAATGGGATTTATCTCTCACTAGCTTCATGATTGTGCCAATGCCATTTATTGCATCGTCAATGTTTGGTAAGGAGTGGGCATGTATAATAGTGTATTATACAAGCCTTGGAACTGCTGCGTTCATTTTTGTTCCTAAGAATTAAAGAAGCCTGAAAATAAAGTTGGTGCGTAGTGTTATGCATAGTCCAGAGAATCATAAGAAAATGTAGCTAGGACCCTGATCAGACCAAACCTGGAACTTTTCTTCCTTTGGACTTTGGGAAGTGTCTTAGTGTGCTTGGGCTGCCATAACAAAATAACACAGACTAAGTGGGTTAAACAATAGAAATGTATTATCTCCCAGTTCCAGAGGGTAGACAGTTCAAGATCAGGGTACCAGTTGTTGGTTTCTGGTAAAACCTCTCTTCCTGGCTCTGCAAATGGCTGCCTTCACACTGTGTACTCACATGGCCTTTCCTCCATGCATGCAGGAAGAGAGGGAGAGTATGCAAGTTCTTTGGTGTCTCTCCTTTAAGGACATTAATTATATCAGATCAGAATCCCATGTTTATAAACTTCATTTAAACCTAATTATGTCCTAAAGGCCCTGTCTTCAAATACAGCCACACTGGGGGGTTAGGGCTTTAACATATGAATTTGAGAACACAATTCAGTTCATACCAGGGAGTGTAAACTTCATGTAGATCTCTTCTTTATACCAGTTTGAGTTAGGTTTTCTGTTACTTGCATTTGAAATAATCTTAACTAATAGTGCTCCTAAGGTACAGTAACTCTTGCTTAACAACCCTCAGAAGTTTGACCAATTTATTCTATGCGTGTATTATTTACCACATTCAGCCACTGGGCTTTTGATTTTTCATCTTTTTCAAACTGATGACTTGAACATATAAGCAATTTTTTCTTTTTAATATTCATATTTTTATTGCATTTTAAGTTAGAAGTGTATTCTGTTAATATGTTCGTTTGTAAGAAAAAATCCTTTAAATGTCATGAAGGTATAAAATTGAAAGATAGTTTGTGGAATAACAGTTATTAGGAGGTAAATTTCTTCATTTCAACACAATTTCCCTGTTTCTAACATTTTTCAGTGAAATATAATAATATGCCCAAACCATCTTTTAAAATATGTACTTAAGACTTGACATTTATGATCAGTTAACCTCAAATTGCTATAAAATAGCGACAATATTATCTCTTTTTACAATTGGCCAACTAGATTACCACCAGAGGGTATTTATTTGTCACAGCAACCTGCATTACAATGTAACGTTATAGCACACTATGTTACTTATATTGAATTCTTTTAATTTTCCCTAAATGAGATTACCTAATAAGTTCCATTTTTTTACATTAAGAATCCTTTCAAAATGACCATTTTATGAATAATAAAATCAAGTTATTGAAATATCTCTCCCTAAGTTTTTATGCTTCCCTTTTTTATTCCTGTAGCTGATATACTTGCTTTTTAATGTTTGTTTTCTTTCTTTCTTTCTTTGTTCTTTTTACTCCCTATTTCCTTTGGGTGGATTGTACTGAGGGGTGTTGAACCTTTCAGATCTTTTGATATTATTATCGTACAGCATATTTTTTTTTGAAAAAGAAAGCCCAATTATTCCCCCATCAATATCTATATCATGGAGCATAAAAGCTTTTGCATAATGTGATAGGAAAAGAAGACCTGAAAGAAAGCAGTAGATACTTATTTTTTCTGTGACAAATTTGCCACAGTACCAAATTAAAACATACTAGTGTTCAATGATACCCATTAAACCCTTTGATTTAAGAGATAGAGAAAAGCTAACTGGAATACACAAACCTACAAATATGTCACTTAACATAATAAAAGTTTACAATGCTTCTGTGTCACATCAAGTCCAGTGGGCAAAAAAGGAGCCAGTGGAAGGTGTAGTAGGCTGTTCTTGCAATGCTATAAAAAATATCTGAGTCTGGATAAATTATAAAGAAAAGAGTTTAATTGGCTCATGGTTCTGCAGGCTTTACAGGAAGGATGGTGCTGGCATCTGCTCAACTTCTAGAGCAGCCTCAGGAAGTTTACAATCATGGTAGAAGGTGAAGGGGGGGCAGGCTTGTCACATGGCGAAAGCAGGAACAAGCAAGAGAGTTAAGGAAGGAGAAGTGCCACACATTTTTAAATGACCAGATCTTAGGAGAACTCACTCACTATTGTGAAGTCAGCATCAAGCCATGAAGGATCTTTTCCCCTGACCCGAATACCAGGCCCCACCTCCAACACTGGGATTACAATTCAACCTGAGATTTGAGTTGGGACAAATATCCAAACTATATCAGAAGGGATAGCATGGAATACAGGACACTGCTTCACATGGTCATTTAAGAAATTCAGATGATGGAAATTCTGTCATTCTTCAGGTGTCCAAGATTGTCAATAAAGACGGAGACTCTCTAGTAGTCACCAAAGGAAGAATATAACTTTTTAACTATGCTGAATAAATATGACAAATATTTATTGTTTGCCTGTTTGTTTTGCTTTTTAGCAAAGCAAGTGTTCTTAAACTGTTTTTTGTTTGTATGTATATTTTTTAAGAGAACTGTCACTTTTGTTTGCAATGTAATTTATTAGAAATCAAGAACATTTATAAAGTATTACCCTATATAAGGATAATAATGCCAAATGAGACATTCAGTATTAGAAAAAATGATGTTATTCAAATCAATTTAAAAACCAATTTAGGGAGGCTGAGGCAGGAGAATGGCGTGAACCCGGGAGGCGGAGCTTGCACTGAGCCAAGATCACGCCACTGCACTCCAGCCTGGGTGACAGAGCGAGACTCCGTATCAAAAAAAAAAAAAAAAAAAAAAAGAAAAATCATTTATTTAGCAAAAATGTATTGACACCTACTATCTCCCAAGTAGTAACATATATTTTACTGGATTTTTGATATTTACTGGAGATTATGAGAATATTATTTTAAAAATATTTTCTTACACTGTTTATTGATTTTAGTAGCCAAGTTTCTACGTCACGTTAGCTCTTTTACTGCTAACCTAATAGGAATTACCATAGAAAGCATCTGACACAAACCCTTAAAGTGTATAACTCCTTGTTTCAAGAAAGTGAGATTATGAAAATTGTATATTTTATGTTGTCCTTATACATCATTACAAAAACGATAATCAGTTGAGTCATAAAGTTTAGATAAGAAAGAATTTAAGCTCCTCATGAGAAATTCAACTAGTATTCCCGTCTCAAACTGAATCTTTATTATGTAACTCTTAAGGAAGAGGAATGTTGTGAATTATTAATCATATAAAAATACATTTTGGTATTTAAGTTGTATCTACTGAATATAAGTAACTTTTCTATATACACTATTATTTGCTACGACAGATTTTCTGAAAGAAACTGTTGACAGGATCTGGTATCTGGATGTAAGGGATGATATAATTGAAATGTAAATTGTTTTTAACATTTTAGCTGGAAAGTAATGGTGAAACAGAGAAGTCAGGGGAAAGGGAAGAACTTGCAATTTAATACTTTGAACCTTAGACAGTTTACTTCAACTCTCTGTGACTTAGCTTTCCCATGTTTTAAATGAACACATGACAGTATGCTTGATCTATCACCTGTAATTTTAGGAATTAAACAGGTAATTCATGTAAAACACTCAGCATAGTGCTTGGTACATATTACTCAATAGATGTTAGTTGCTTTTCTAATCATGAACATTATTAATGGTTCAGCTTGGACATGGTAGGTTTGAGGTGATATTAATATTTGTATCACAGTTCTTAAGGGTATGATGGTCTGACTGAAATTCAGAAAAATGAACCCTTAGATCATATCTAAAGTGTCCATTCTCAGTACCATATTTTAAGAGTTACATTGGCCAGGTGCGGTGGCTCACACCTGTAATCCCAGCACTTTGGGAGGCTGAGGAGGGCAGATCATGAGGTCAGGAGATCGAGACTATCCTGGCCAACATGGTGTAACCCCGTCTCTACTAAAAATACAAAACAAATTAAGTGGGCGTGGTGGCGCACATCTGTAGTCCCAGCTACTCAGGAGGCTGAGGCAGGAGAGTTGCTTGAACCCGGGAGGCAGAGGCTGCAGTGAGGCTGAGATCACCCCACTGCACTCCAGCCTGGGCAACAGAGTGAGACTCTGTCTCAAAAAAAAAAAAAAGTTACACTATTATTCCAGGTATAACAAGAGAAGTATAACCACTATGATAATAATTCAGACTAGAGAAGGGTTCCTCAACCTTGGCAATATTAGCATTCTGGGCTAGGAAAATGCTGTTGGAAGGGCGACCTATATATTGTATGATATTTAAGTAACATCCCACTAGATGCCTGTCAAGTGATGAAACCCAAAAATGTCTCTAGATACACTGCCAGATATCGCCTGGAGAACAAAAACATTCCTGGTTGAGAAACACTGTACTTGAGGCAATCCTGCATACAAGAAAACCTGTATATTCTTTAAATATATAAAGAAGTTTTAGCATACAGCAGACTGATTTTGTTTAACCTAGAAGGCAGACACAGCACTGGTTGATAAAAGTTAGAATATTGGCCAGGTGTGGTGGCTCATGCCTATAATTTCAGCACTTTGGAAGGCCGAGGCCGGCAGATCACCTGAGGTCATGAGTTCGAGTGCAGCCTGGCCAACATGGTGAAACCCCATCTCTACTAAAAATACAAAAAAATTAGCTGAGGTGGTGGCATGCACCTGTAATCCTAGCTACTCAGGAGGCTGAGGTGGGAGAATTGCTGAAATCTGGAAGGCAGAGGTTGCAGTGAGCCAAGATTGTGCCACTACACTTCAGCCTGGGTGACAGAGTGAGACTCCATCTCAAAAAAAAAATATATATATATATATATAAATATATATTTTCAAAATTTGAATTAACTAGAAAGAGAATGCACTAACTTGTCAGTCAGCAACTTCTCAGCTACAATGAGTATTTAATTAGGTGCTGGATCACTATCAGAGCTGTACTGGGAATTTCCTTCCTGGGAGGGACTTGAAACTAAGAAATCTTTTATAGCCCTTTCAAGGATAAGATGCTCTCATTTTGACAGGTGTAAAGATGCAGATTTGGAAATCATTTAAATTGAGGTCGTAGTTGAAATCAGGAAAATAACTGAGCTTTCTCTTTGGGGGCAAGAGAAAAGAAGAGCACAATTGCATGAAGTGAATTTTAAGGAATATCCGTAATTTAAAAGAGGGAATTTGGAATGTAACCTATATTCATTTAACCTATATTAGGTTAGGAAGTATTAAGGAAAACAAAACAAAACAAAATGAAAGAAAGTATTCAGGAGAGAGTTTTAAAGAATGAATGATTGGTATTGTCAATTGAGAAGTTAAAGTCTGATAATAGAGAAAGCACCAGTTTATACAATTTCTAGAAAATCATGGTGACTTTCTGTTGAAAGCAAATTCTGAGAAAAGTGTCCCCTAAAATATTGAATATTACATAAAGGGTGCTATGTTAAAAAATCACTTGTATGGTTGGAAAGGTTAGTATCACTGACTTTTTAAAAAATAGATTTCCTTTGATTCTGGAGGCGGGATTAGAGAATGGATATGGAAACAGAGTGATTATGGGATGGATAGTGGGCACACTTAGAGCTGCCAGCATATGGAAAGGAAAAAAGTTTGAGGCTTAAGTAGCTGGATTTGTATTTTGGTACTACGACTTAGTCCGTGTGGGACTATAAGCAATTAACTTCAAAATCTCTGAGGACTGGATTCCTCTTTTCTCAAATAAGAATAGTATATACTATCTTGAAGGATTTCTAAGACTAAATCCAATCATCGATGTGACGTACTAGCACAGCATCTGGAATGTGCGCAGCACTCAATGGATAGATGTTAAAATTGACATTGTTGTTATCGTTGTCATTGAAGGATATTCTAAGGTCTTCTGCTTCAAATGAGGCATAGGCAAGGAGAAAAAATATATTGAAGACTTGACAAGAGTGGAAAGTGTCAAAAATTGCCACTGCTTATGAGTGACTTAAGTGATGAACACAATGATTAAGGATGAGAACCAGGTTTTTCTTGTAATGTCCAGTGACCAGCGAATTTGTAGTGTCCCAGGTCTGTTCACTTCTGGGTCTTCTCATAGCATAATCTATGACCACAGAGCAAAGAAAGGGAAAATAAACAGTGATACAGGGTTGAGATTGATTAATGAGATTCATGTAAATCTCTGTCATTTTGAGATTTGTCAGGCTTGAGTTACTTCTAACAAAGTACCCTGCATTATCATAGTTTATTGCATATAGTACCTAATATATTAGACCACATGTATGAACATTGTAACTGACTTATTTCTTAAAGTAAACATTAGCATATGCCAGGGTTTCTCAGCCTCGGTACTACTGACATTTTGTATTGCTGATCCTTTGCTGTTGGGGACAGTCTTGTGCATTGTAGAATTCTTGCAACACCCCTGCACTCCTCTCCCAGTTCTGACAAACAAAAATGTCTCTAGACATTGCCAAATGATTGCCAAAAGGGTTGGGAACCAAAGGTTATTTTGGTTATTTAATATGTTCATACATAAAGGTTATTTAATATGTTCATATATAATATGTTCAGATGTAATTTAATATGTTCATATATAAAGGTTATTTAATATGTTCATATATAAAATAGTGATAAAAATAATATAAATGTACATGTGTGACGTTTGGATTTATAAAATTTCCATATTTTATAACTCATAATAGCAATTCTAAATAGATTTTGGTTGTGATTTCTGTTGCTTCATAAGACCAATGTAATTATAAATTTACATTCCTTCTGACAGAGAAAATTCTAAATATTGACCATAATCTATAGCAAGAAATATAAATATTTTTTCTACCTGTACATTTTGGTTTTGAGAGAACATTTTAAGCATTGGAAATTTATCATATTTTTGATTGTTTACCTAGACAAAGTTATTACTTATATATATATGTATTTGAGTCTTTCATGTACTGTTTTTTCATTACATAGTTCAAATAAGTTTTGAGCAAAAATTATTTGTGTTTTATTTTCCAGTTGTTTCCTATCCTTATTGCTGGTGGCTGCTGTGGTATGGAAGATCAAACAAACTTGTTGGGCTTCTCGACGGAGAGAGGTATCAGTAATATTATTTAATCTTTTGTTTAAAGATTTAAGCAAATATATGGATCTCTATTGTCTGTTAATTACCATGCTCTCTTGGAATGCAGAATTTCAAATCATTTTTACATACTAATATTCAAAAATCACTCTAGTATTTTTTAAGCTGTAGAGCAAACTTTATCACTGTAATTTTAAGTTAGTATTTGTAAAAGCATTGGTTTGTTGCAAACAGTTTCTAAAAATGGTATTGGAATTTATAGTGAATACAATTATTATGTTTAAAAAATTTTGTAATATATTTAACAGGCATTTAGTTATGCTATAAAGACATACTTTATTTTTCATAAGCGTCTGTTGAAATTTAAAATTCTGAGTGATAAATATTTATTTTTGGTTTTTGAAAAATATTTTATCTCCTAGAAATTTATTATAACATTCTTTTTTTGGGAATCAAATCTTTTCCATTTTCTGATTATCTAATAATCCAACTCTGTTTAAAGAGCACATCCATTGGATAAATTTCTGTATTAGAATTATTTTTCTCGTAATCCTAAAATTGATGAAAACAATAATATTCTTACAAAATAACAACTGATTATATAAATTGTGTATATTCGTTAATCGAAAGGAACGAAGAAACAAAATCATCTGAGGAGCAAAAGTATGCAGTAGATTTATTGTTCATACCTCATTTATTCAAAAAACTAGTTTCTGTTTTTATCAGTATTCTTTTATTATAATGTATTCTATTGTATTAATCTTAATATTTTATTTGCTATTGCATTTCTCCATATATTTCTATATGGATGGTTTTTGTAACAATATAAAACAACAGTATAATTGCTTACCTTCTTTTTTCCACATAAAAAATATAATATTTAAAGACATGTAAAAATAATCCAGAGTGTTCTAAGCTATAGAATTAGTGAGTGATATGGGTTCTTCTTAGTCTATTTTTAAGCACCCATCAAAGATCAGTACTATCTATAATATATTTGCAAACTGGAGTCCCTCCCTGTCTTCAAATAAATCATTCATCTTAATACTCTCTGCCTCTCTGATTTTCTGTTTATGGCCAGTGCAGCATCAGTGAGGGTTTACTTGGAATGACTGTATGTTAAAAAGTAATCCCATGGAAAAAGAGCTTATTAAATATAAATATATAACTATTAGGCAGGAAGTGGAATTCTCTGCAGAGGTAAACAATCTTCTAGACATGTTAGATGATCTATTACAGTAAAATTATAGATTCAGGAAGGAAAAATCATAATTATAGGCAGGTAGTGTGAAGGCCTTCCTTCCCTAATGGAATAAGGCAAGTGACAATTTATGTCCTTAATCATTAGAAGAGAAGGCTGAATCAATCAGGGAGCCTCTGTTCCCATTGCATCCTGAGGAGCACTATTTAAATATCTGATCTCTAAAATTTATAAAATGCATCTATGTAAATATAGCATTGTGAAAATATCAATTTGTAAGTAAAAAATATCTGCCATTAACTGGCAGCTGAATGTAAGTAAGTTGTCTAGTTAAATTTCCTTACCTCTTAAAAGAAGGATTTGTACCCTAGAGCTAATTCTCAGTTGTGGTCTAGTCTTTTGAGCCCTATAAATGTTTACATGTAGTAGCTAAAGTTTAGAAATGATATTTAATATTTGTTAAAACTAATATGAATAGTTTAGCTATAAAACTTTCATACTTCTCAAAATGACAAATTGATTTTGGCTAATATTGTATTATCTCAGTGTAGTAATGCTGTTTATTACATACTAATCAGGTGCTCTGGCAAGTTGATACTACTTCAATTTTTAAAATATAGATATAAATTTATCTTTTGGAAGTCAAAATCTTTCAATATATGTGGTAGATGTGGAAAGGATAAAAGACAAATAGTAGAGGGGAGCTAGATTAGGATCACTTTCCAGTTTTTATCTGTATTATTAATATTACTGTGTTCTCTGGAAATTCCTTTAATATAATGCCCTTCTTTCCAAAACTCATCCAGGTAGTGCTTCTTTCTATTAAAGTGTATAATAGTGTTTGCATTTAATTTGCTACTGCTTCCGAAAAAGAAAATGTATCTTGAGGGTTTATGTTATGCTATAGCATTACATGTTAAAACATATTTTGAGGAATTTTCTGAAATTTAATTTTACTAAATTCCTTTAAATGTAAAATTCTAAATGTTATAGAAACTATTCATATATTGATGTCCAAAGTAAAGATGACATTGTCTTTGATGATTATTAAAGATCTGCAATTAGCAAGTAATTTTAATATTACAATTGTCCCCCCTTATCCATAGTTTCAGTTAGTCAAAGACAATTGCAGTCCAAAACTATTAAGATATTTTGAGAGAAAGAAATGGTGGGGGAGGTGGGAAGTGACAGAGAGAGAGAGACCACATTCACATAAATTTTAGGACAGCATATTATTATAATTGTTCTATTTCATTATTATTGTGGTTAATCTCTTGCTGTACCTAATTTATAAATTAAAATTTATCATTGGTATGTATGTATAGGGAAAAACATAGTATATATAGGGCTTAGTAGTATCCACAGTTTTAGGCATCCTCTGGGTGTGTTGAAACATATTTAAAGGGGAACTACTGTGTTAAGAAATTGTTTTTCATTTTGGTCTTAAGAGCCCTGGAGATTTTTAACCACACTAGTTGTAGTTATGTGATAATTCCATTTATAGACTTTATGTGAGTGGAGGTAAAAATGTGTTTATATCTAATCCTCTCTTTATTCAGTTTTAAATATTAGATTAACTGTAATATTTCCCAAAGGAAAAGAACCCACTATTATTTCTTTATGTGAATGTTACTGTCTCTTCAAAACATTGAAGAAATCAATTATTGTAAAGCTCAGAGGACACCTTTGATTAGTAAAATGACAGTTTATCTGTTACAGTAAATGAAAGTTACTTAAAGGATTCTTCTTAGAAATTATGTAGTTTTATTTCAGCAGTTATACTAGTTGCTTTTCTAAATGTAATGAAAGTTTAAAATGAAAATAATCTTTGGAAATGTTTTAATATATTGTGTTCATTCAACTAGATGTGTTACTTTTTAAACCAAAGTTTTGTTTTCTCATAAACATAGATATACTTTTTGTGGCATAATTTTAAATTCAGAGGATAGTTAGTCATGTTATGACTTTTGAATAACACCCCTGAGAATTCAGGGGCTCTTAAACACACATTAAAAAAATGAAACTACACACAAAAGGCTTCAATTTTGATATGACCCCTTCATACACTAACCCCAAACAAATTTCTGTGGTGTTAAAAAGATGAAAACTTTCTTTTGGGATGCGCTAATGAATGGAAACAATAAGTGTATATTGATAAGTGGAAATATTTACACTAGAAAGATGAATTCATTTATATAGCTTGTCCTTTTTACAGCGGTATTAAAAACATTTAGCTTCAATGGCACATTCAGTTATAGTCATCACATTACTGAAATATTTGTCAGGAGCAAGTATATGTAAAAAGGAGTCTATTGAGCTATTTTTATGCTTGATAATCTTCATTCTTAATCTGAAATTTGAATATTAATAGGTATCATAAGGCAGAAAAATATGAAGATATTATAATTGTTCCCTGCAATGAAGATATTTGATCATATATTTGGCTATCGTGTGAAAATATGATGCATATTTTAATAGTTACAAGAAGTTAATTTTTTTCCATTTTGAGTTGTTTAAATGTAGCATGTCTCTGTGAAACTTTAACTGCAAAATCTGTAGAATAATAGATCCATAGGCAAAGGAAGGGTTATTTTTACATTAACTTCATATTACTAGTGAGTCTGAGTATTTGAATAATCTCTACATTTCATGTGATAGCAATTTTTCCATTTTTAATTCTTGTAAATTTACAGTTTTTTTAAGTTTAAAAATATTTTAATGTAGAACTTTACCACACTACTTTTTAATATTTCTCACATATTACACTTCTCTTCTGCTTCAAAATGAATACAGGAAATTTTGGAGGATAAGACATGCCCAATGAGGGATTGAATTTATGTTCATAATACCCTATCTCCCTGCATATTTTGTAATCATGAAGAATAAAACTTAGATTTGCATTTTTTATTATCACCCTGAAATTTGAGTTAAAAATAATAAACCAATACCCACAAGTAGAATTTTAGTAGCTTTGAGTAACAAACTGGTTTTCCAGAGGCAAATACATTAGTTCTTTCCTTCTATACCTGTTTTACTGGTACAAATCCAGACAAAAGTAATAATATTAAACTGTACTTTAATAATGACATTTTATGGTGTATAAACCAATTAGTTATAAAATATTCTCTGACGCAGTGATAAATAGATTCTCATCTAAGTAATATTAATGCAATGTAGCAGTGTTTTATAAATTAAACTACTCTTTTCTCCTTAGACACTAAATATATTTACAGAAAGAAGATTCGGCACAGAATAAAAACATTAAGGAAAATGTGAAAGTGTTATTTTAGGTGGATAAATTCAAATTAACTGATAAGGTACTGCCTGCAACCTTTTGTAGAATTTCATAGCACTTCAAAGTTCTGTATTTTGTAAATGTTTAAACATTTTAACATATAGATAAAGCTTTCCATTAAACACATGCTTTTTAAAACTCGTTAGTAAATATTTCACTCAAATAAATGCCTTTGCAGTTAATGGCCACAATGTCAACTTACTGTTGCTTGTCATTTGCTTTTTATTGAATTGCAAACTAAAATGATTATTATTGTATTAATTTTCTTCCTTTATCCTATGAGACTAGAAATTACAGGTCTTCCGCATGCCTATTGCATTATCATACTTTCAAAATTTTAACATAAATTTACTTTAAAATAACTTGAGAAGTCAAATATGTATGCAGTTAAGATTTGAAAAATAACTGATACTTACCTTGTAAACCTGTTTCCAAAGACTTCATGGTAAATATAGTGCTTTCATTTTGCTCAGTTCAACAAAGGTGTATCAATTTCTTGCTATATTATAGACAAATTGATAAATACTGAGGATATAAAGAAAAAGATATAGGCCCCATTATTGGGGAATTTGTAGTTTTAAAACATTTCAATAAGGCAGACACACACACACACATACACGTGCAAAGTTCTTAGGGGAGCACCTGGATTTACTTTATTGTGATGTCATGCATAGGGAGATAGAATATATCGAAAAGTTTTCTGGAAGTCAGATTAGTAATGGAAGTAAATGTGAACTGTTTCATAATTATACACAGGATTAATTTCAAAAAAACCCCTAAACAAAAAAACTTTGGGCACTGTTTTTACTGTATATACAATACAACAAATTTGTCTAAAATCACTTTTTCTTTATTATATGCTATTATCTTTATATTTAGACCCAGTTACTTAGACTAAAACATTATATTGATTTATTCTAAAAAATGTAGTCTCGCTAACCACAAAATCTTATCTGTATTATATATTCAAACGAATGTATATCTCGATATATGTGTCTGATGTTTATGTGTGTATATGTGTTTTTATGCTAAAAAGTTCATTTTTTATCTAAAATGCAAACTTAACCAAGTGTTCTGTATTCTTATTTGCTCAATCTGGCAACCCTATTTTCAACACAAATGCTCACCCTGGAGCTCAGGGGTGGGTTCAACCTCATAAA
Source organism: Homo sapiens (assembly GCF_000001405.40). NCBI lineage: Eukaryota > Metazoa > Chordata > Mammalia > Primates > Hominidae > Homo > Homo sapiens. Next base: position 115,555,178 of record NC_000010.11, read on the forward strand.
ATCCACAGGAACTCAGAGAGAAGTAGAAAGGAATAATTTTCTAAAGTTAGAATCTTGATTTGTTTTCAAAATAAGGGGGAGTTATACTGGGCAAGCAAAAATAAAAGATGTTTACTCCGTATATTATCTATCAAAATTAAAAACTCTTTGACTCAATGGTTAGATTTCTGAAAATATATCTTAAAGATATATATCTGCCTAGCTTTTCAAAGTATACTCATATATAGACACTTACAGAGAGATTTTTGTATATCAGAACTATTTCATATCATTCAAAAAGATTCGAGAAAGAAATTCTGTGTTCTTACAGTGGGATATTAGGTAACTGAAAAAAAGAATGAGGCATATTTGTGTTAATATTAAATTAGTTTATTCCTTCAACAAATATTTATTGAACAACTATTGTTGTTTCAAGCACATTTTTAGACAAATACAGCAATGAACAAGCCAAATAAAATCCCAGCCCTCAAAAATGTTTACAGATCTTAAAATCTATATTATTAACTGGAAAATATATGACATAGTTTGTATGATGTTTCTATTTGTATAAATCACACATGCACAAGCATAATGTGCATGGAAATTGTGGGTCTGTTGGTATTTGATAAAGAAGATTGACTGTGTTATTTGATAACTATAATATAAACAAATAGTCAAATAATGGGCAAGTTGAGAGAACATGATCTAACATTTTAAGTTAGGCACTTAATAAAAATAGTATTTAATTTTCACACTAAAAATATATATATTTGCCCTTTACCTATATAAGGAATTTGTGGAGACTAGAGTGCAATGCTCAAAGCTTACAACTAGTAAAAGAAGAAGCTGTAACTTAAAACCAAGTCTGTCAGACCGAACCATACAGAGAACTTTAGAGATAGCCTGAGTTTGAACAAGTTGGTTTCATAATGGACCACTTATAATGTAACTTATGCATCTGTTTGTTGTACTGGAAATATGTTATATTTCATCTGATATTATGACACAATCATTATTTGATGTACCACTTACGAAGAAAACACAGTACTTATTCAACTATTGCACAATGTTCACTTCCCACTCAGAATATTTATTTTCTACTTATTGAAAGAGCTCTTATATGATTATTTAGATATAATTTTGTCATATGTCATTCATATTTATACAGAGAGGAAAATAAAAGCAAAATAAATTGGGTAAAGTTTTGCTACGACTTATTCACCTTCATAGTCCAAGTTTTTAAAAATCACTTTTTGAGTTAAGCAAAAATATATTGTATGTTTCACATAGTATCATTGACTAGAATAATGAAGTTTATGTCTGTGCAGACAATGAAAACTACATCACAACTGTCATCTGGCCAGCAGTGATTATATAATGTCATTGATTTTAAAACACATTAGAGTTTAGAGATATTAAAATGTGAAAAAATGTTTCTTAGAATCAATCAAATATGGTAGAACCTTCTTTATAAGGTGTTTAGTACTAAGCGAATTAATGCATACTAAGGGGTTACCCCACTGCATTTTACCTAACAGACTTCAATAAATATTAGCTGTTATTGATATGTAATATAAAGAATGATCAGCATTATACATTAATATTACTAACAACAACTCCTGTATATCTTGGACTCCTCCTCCATTTCTACTGTAATGCAATGGTTCTCAATCTAGTAGGCCCTTGAGAATCACCTGTGGATCTTTAAAATGTGTGTGTGCGTGTGTGTATCTGTGTGTATGTGTGTATTTGCATGCCATTCTACTGTTCCATCCCCATCAGATATACAAAATCAGAATTTCTGTGAGTGAGGCTCAGCCAAGTGTGTTTATTATTAAAGCCCTCAAATGTTCTAATATGCACTATTGGCCTAGAAACACTGCTTTAGCTTCTACTCTGACAGAGCTGGGAAACTGTAGAAGGGTTTCCAACAAACTTGTAAAGATATCTGAGTTAAAAGGATCTGATTTTAAGCTGATCACTGTGCTTCTGTGTTCACTCCAAGTAAAATTGGTTTATGGAGAGGAGTTAAATTTTTAATGTTAAGTTTGGTACATCTACTAGACATCTAATTAGATCTATCGAAGAGGCAGGAGTTGCATCTGGCATGAGGAAACAGAGCTGAGTAGGAAGCTAAATTTGGGAATCTCAGCACATAGATGGCATTTGAAACCCTGAGCCTAGATAAAATTACCCAGAGAGGAGGATTAAGCCCTGAGACATTCAAATTTAAGAAGTCAGAGAGAAGACAAGCACCCAGCATGAATACTGGAAAGCAGCTACCAATGAAGGTGGAGAAAAACCCTGAGCTTCTGGAAGCCAAGGAAACACTGTATAAAAAGGAACAGAGTTATCAGTTGTCTAAAAAATTCTGGTGGTTCAAGTGAAATAACTGAAAATTGACCATTGTATTTAGCCACTTAGAAATCATTGCTGACCCCAACAACAGCAATTTTAGTGGACTGATGGATGCAAAAGTTTGACTGAAGTTTGATGAGAAAGAATGGAACAAGATGACTTCCAGAATGGCAGCAAGAGGATCCCCTGAGACCTATTCTCCAGACAAACAACGCTAACTAGTGAAAAAATCTTTAAAAAACAAACAACCGACTGGGCACAGTGGCTCATGCCTGTAATCCCGACACTTTGAGAGGCCGAGGCTGGCGGATCATGAGGTCAAGAGATCGAGACCATCCTGGCGAACATGGTGAAACCCCATCTCTGCTAAAAATACAAGAATTAGCCGGGTGTGGTGGTGCACGCCTGTAGTCCCAAGTACTTGGGAGGCTGAGGCAGGAGAATTGCTTGAACCCAGGAGGCAGAGGTTGCAGTGAGCCGAGATCCTGCCACTGCACTCCAGCCTGGCGACAGAGCAAGACTCCATCTCAAAAACAAAAAAACAAAAAAACAAAAAAAAAAAACCATTTAAAATACCTGGAAATAGTTTTAAGTGCATACGGAAAACAAAGAAACACTTGTTACTGGTGGAGGGTCTTGAGTATGAGTTGCCCGGGTCCTTGGAGATTTGGACAAAGTATTGAACAAAATGCACAAAGTAGCAGAGGAATGAAATGCAGCAAAGAAGCAGCAAAAGCAGAAACTTATTAAAGAGAGAAAGCACTCCACAGAGTGGGAGGAGGCCTGAGCAAGCTGGTCAAGGGCCTGGATGCAAAGTTTTCTGGGTTTTAAGTACCCAATTTGAGGTTCTTATTGGCTACCCCTTATCTGGAAGAAGGTTTTGTCTGTGGCTAAAGGCTGAGGTGAATTGGCAGCCCATGCAGATAAAGGGATGGTCCCTGCTCGGCCTGTGGCCTATCCAAGGCACTCTCCCTTTCCATCTGAGATGTGGCGGAAGGGGGAGGGCTGTAGGGAGAGTAGCTTTTGATCCTTTGTTACTCAGCTTGGGGAGAGGGTTCTTTTTTTCTTTTTGGTTTAGTTTTAGGAAGTTTGTATTAATTGGCCTCAGGTTCCCTGCCCCCAAACCTAGGCGTTTTCCTTTTGATCCAGCTTTGGGAAGTCAGCATGAATTGGCCCTAGATTTTCTGCCCCCAGACCTTGGTGTTTTCTGTTTTAGAAATTTGCTCAAATTGGCCTTAAGTTCCCTGTCTGCAGACCCTATTTTCCTGCCTCAAACTTATTTAAGAAAATCTACTAATTCTCAGTAAGAACAGCAAATCTATAGCATTTGAGCCTCAACTTGCTCCCTTCCTACCCCCTTCTAGCTCACTGTGACTAGCACTTCTCATCCCCCCAGCTCCCTTTTGCAGATGCTATATTCCAGACAAAATCAGCTGAGGCCTGAGGCTCTCTTCTTCTAATGAGCCCCACTTGTATGGCAAGAAGCTCTTCTCAAGGCATAGCAGCCTGATAATAACAGGGACCCAGTCTCCCTCTCTCCACCTTGCTTATAGGGCAGAAATTTCATGACTGGCGAGATAATATGAGAATATAAAAAAGTAACACCTCTGCTCAACACCCTGCTCATGAAGCAGGAACATTATTTAAGAGAGTTATGGGCCACTGTCCCCATCATTAGCTCTAGAGCTTGCACAAACTAGCAAAATCAATTCAAAAAGATAAAATCTAAATAAACCTATAGCAAGCACAGAGATTGCATTTGTTATTTTTAAATTTCCAATTAGATACATCAACATTCTGTTTGCAACAAGCACATCTAGCACCCAGATCTTGTTTTCTAATATTAGAGAACTCTTTCCAGTGGTTCCTCCATTCCTGACATACTCTCATTCTTGGTGTTTGTGTGTGTGTGTGTGTGTGTGTGTGTGTGCGCGCGCGCACGCACGCACATGCGCAACCCTTCTTACGTTTTGGTACCATAAGAAACTTCAGGTTTAGCTTGTACACTTCTTGCCCCAGTCCTAGAATTAGCTATTTCTCCAAGGATCTCTGGTTCCCTTTATTTTAGCATACATATTGCCTAGATCTTGATTTCTAAATACCATTCACCAATAAAAGGAGCTTGGATGCAAATCACATGAGAATCTCAATAGATATAGAGAAAGCATTTGACAAAGTCCAACAACCTTTTACCATAACAACACCCAACAAATTAGGAATGAAAAGGAAATCCTCAACCTGATAAAAGGCATCTGCCAATAACCCACATCTGGCATCATACTTAACTTTTTTTAAATCACTTATATCAGGAACAAGTCAAGGATGTCCACTCTCTCTAATTCTATTCAACATTTTACTGTATATAGTAGTCAGAGCAGTTAGGCAAAGAAATGACATAAGAGCCATCTAGATTGGGAAGAAAGAAGTAAAGCTATCTCTATTTGCAAATAACATGTTTTGTAAATAAAATTCTTTAGAAATCCACTAAAAAACCTGTTAGAACTAATACACAATTTTAGCAAGGTTCAGGATGCCAGAGCAATATAAAAATCAGTTGTATTTCTATACATTAGCAATGAAAAACCTGAAAGTAAAACTAAAAACGAATTCAATTCAAAATAGCATCAATAAGAATAAAATACACAGGAACAAACTTAACAAAAGCAGTAGAAAACATATGCTATGTGTATTAGTCCATATTCACACTGCTAATAAAGACATACCCAAGACTGGGTAATTTGTAAAGAAAAGAGGCTTAATTGACTCTCAGTTCCACATGGCTGGGGAGGCCTCACAATCATGGCAGAAGGTGAATGAAACTTATTCACTATCATGAGAACAGTATGGGAGAGACCCTCCCCATGATTCAGTTACCTTCCACTGGGTCCCTGCTATGACAGGTGGGAATTATGGGAGCTACAATGCAAGATGAGATTTGGGTGGGGACACAGCAAAACCATATCACTCTGAAAACTATAAAACATTGTTGAAAGAAATTAAAGAAGACCTAAATAAATGGAAAGATACTATATGTTGATGGATTCAAAGACTTTATGTTGTTAAGATGACAGTACTCCCAAACTTATCTACAAATTCAACATGATACTTATCCAAATACTAGGTAGTTTATTTGTAGAAATTGACAAGTAGATCCTAAAATCCACAGGGAGAGGCAAAGGGCCCTAAACAGCAAAAACATTCTTGAAAAAGAACAAAGCTTACACTTCATAAATTCAAACTTACTATGCAAGTATAGTAATCAAGATGGTGTGATATGGACATAAGACTGGACATTTGGATCCATAGAATGTAACTGAGAATCTAGAAATAAACTCTTACATTTATAGTTGATTGATTTTTACAAGGGTACCAAGACAATTAAATGGAAGAAAGATTCATCTTTGCAACAAATGGGGCTAGGCAACTGGGTAGCCACAAGCAAAAGAGTGAAGTTGGACCCATTACTCGTATCACCATACACAAATAAAGTCAATAGGAATCGATACACCAATATGTGACACCTAAACTATAAAACTCTTAGAAGAAAATACAGAAGAAAATCTTCTTGATCTTTCAGAATCTTCTTAGACATGACATCAAAAGAAAAGGTGATTAAAGAAAAAAAAATTGGAATTCATTGAAATTAAAAACTTTTGTGCTTAAAAGACACCATGAAGAAAATGAAAATACAACCTCCAGAATGGGAGAACACTTTTGCATATCATATATCTGATAAGATATTTGTATCTACATATGCAAAGGACTCTTCCAAGTCAGTAATCAAAAGGCAAATTACCCACTTAAAAATGTATAAAGAATTTGAGTAGGCATTTCTCCATATAATATATGCAGTTTGCCCTTTGTATTCATGGTTTCCACATCTGTGGATTCACTCAAGGATTGAAAATATTCTGAAAAAATGTTGAAAAATATAACAATAAATATAAATAAAAATACATTATAACAACTATTTACATAACATTTGCATTGTATTGGGCACTATAAGTAATCTAGAAATGATATAAATGGGAAAATGTGCATAGGTTATATGCCACTATGACACCATTTTTAAACAATTTACTTGAGCATCTCTGGATTTTGGTATCCTTGCGGGGATCCTGGAACCAATCTCCTGCAGATACCGAGGGACAACTCTGTGTGTGTGTGTGTGTGTGGGTGTGTGTGTGTGGGTGTGTGTGTGTGTGTGTGTTTGTGTGGTCAGTAACTCATGAAAATGAAAAGATGCTCAACAATGTTAGCATTAGCAGAAATAGAAATCAAACCTACAATAAGATACCACTAAATGCTTGTGATCGATAATAATGTTATTATTATTCACCAATAATCATCACCAATTATCACCAAAATGTTGGTGAGGCTGTGGAGAAATTAGATTCCTCACACATTGTTGTTGAATATTTAAAACTGACACTTTGTAGTGTAATACACTCTGACAATTCCTTGCAATATTAATGTTTCCATATGACCCAGCAATTCCACTCTTAGGTGAATACTGAAGAAAAATGAAAACGTAGGTCTATATAAAACTTTTACGTTAATGTTTATAGCACCATTATTCATTACAGCTTTAAAGTAGAAATATCCCAAATGCCTAACAACTGATGAATGGACAAATAAAAGGTGATATATGTGTAAATGGAATATTATTCTACATTAAAAAGGAATGAAGTACTGATGCATGTTATAACAAAGAAAGATCCTTGAAAACATTAGGCAAATCTAAAGAGACAGTAAGTAAATTCACGGTTGCCTTGTGCTGTGCTTGGGTATTTGATGGAATGTGGGGCCAGATGGAGAATGATTGTTAATGGGTACATGGGTTCTTTCTGGGATGATGAAAATGTTTTAAAATTAGACTGTGGTAATTGTTGTACAGCTTTATGAAAAATTTAAATATTATTGAATCTTATGCTCTAAATGGGTGATTTACAAATTTCTTTGTAGAAATTGACAAGCTTCTTTGTTGAAATGGTTTGGCTGTGTCCCACCCAAATTTCATCTTGAATTGTAGTTCCCATAATTCCCCCATGTCATGGGAGGGACAAGATAGAGATAATTGAATCATGAGGGCCGTTTCCCCCATCCTGTTCTCATGATAGTGAGTTAGTTCTCTTGAGATCAGATGGTTTTATAAGGGGATTCCCCCTTCACTGGGCACTCATTCTCTCTCCTGTCCCCATGTGAATAAGGATGTGTTCAGTTCCCCTTCTGCCATGATTGTAAGTTTGCTGAGTCCTCCCAGCCATGCTGACCTGTGAGTCAATTAAGCCGCTTTACCAGTCTCAAGTATGTCTTGCACAAATTGGGCTTAAGTTCATAACCAGTGTGAGAATGGGCTAATACATTTCTAGAAATTGACAAGTAGATTCAAAAACTTACATGGAAATGCAAAGGACCCTAAATAGCAGAAACATTTTTGAAAAAGAACAAATTTACAGTTCCTGAATTCAAACTTACTACAAAACTATGGTAATCAAGATGGTGTTATTATACTACACAGTATATTTCTTAGTTCTTTTGTGTTGCTATGAAAGAACATACCTGAGGCTGGGTGATTTATAAAGGAAGAAGGTTTATTTGCCTCATGGTTCCACAGGCTGTACAAGAAGCATGGGACCAGTATCTGCTTCTGGTGAGCGCCTGTTAAAGCAACAGTGTAAGATTCTTTATATTGCATAAATTACTGTGGAATGATAGTAATATAGTTTCCCTGAATTTTGTTGACAGGATTTGACATGTTAAAAGTTGAGTTTGCAGGTGATAATGCTACCTGCATTCCATATTAACTTCATTCATCATTCTGTAAATTGTTGCTTAAAATATAGAATTTCCTTCATTTAAAGAATTATGCCATAATTTGCACATCCGTGCTGAGCAATTCTCTTCCTACCACCACCCACCTCCCCTTACAGGGGAATTTGTTTGCTAGGTATATACTGTTAACAGGCATTTATATACAGATTTAAACCTAATACAGAATTCAGCAGTATGTATTTTATATATAAAGTTTCTTCTCATGAGCTTTTAAAATATATTCTACTGGTTCTAATTTAAGGAAAAAAAAGCTTTAAACAAAATAATTTTATTGTGATTTGAACATAGTTATAATGCTTTATTAATTTTCTGAAAATAAATTTAGTCATTTAACAATACATAGTTGTCTTAGTAACTATTTTGTATTTTATCTCAGAATAAAAATATGTTTGCAATAATAGCATCCTGAATAATTGGCTTTCACAATAATTCAACCACATTGTAAGGAACATGGAAATAGGTAATATATTGAATGACAGATATTGTGCATACTCCATCACTAGCAGTGGTTCACTATAACAGTGATTCTCAACCAAAGAGGATATCTTAAAATAATATAATTAGAAAAAAAGGCCTAGTCTGGTTGATTTTGATATCCTCATTAGATAAGTAATTCTGTTCTCCTCATGTCCAAGAATCACATCTGTACTGGAAATCATGCTGAACTGGTGTTCGACCTGTACTGTCCTTATCTATAAATTACAGGGTATTCCTGCTGCATAGTATATTTATTTATTTTTAAATTATTTTGATGCCAGCATAATTATGGTCTAATTTAGTTTATTGTCATTCACTGAAATGATTCATGTACTTTAATTGTGATATTTAGGTAAACCATTATTAGAGTATATTGAATGAACATGGTATTAGATTCATGCATGAATGTAATATTGAAAATGTTAACTATTATAGTATATTAATTATTTCCAGTCTGAAATCCACTGTTACTATATTGTAACAATTATGAAGCATTGTAACCAGTACTTTGAACAAGGGCAGTCAATCAAAGCTTGATTCTGTATTCCCACAGCCCATTCAAACTCATTTTCTGTGGCCAATTTGTTCTAGTTCCTTGAGTAGCTAGAATTGAAGATAATTTTTTTCTTATATCTCTTTTTAATAGATGTATGTTTTTCCTTTCCTTGGCAATTTGGTATTATAAAATTTTATTCTATTAATGGAAGAGATTTTTAGAAGTCATCTCCTCTTTATTGGAAATAAACATGGAAAGTTTGCTATCAAATCAAGCATTATTTTTATACCTTGTACATGTTTTCATATCTATTTTTAATAGGTGATATGTCTATATGTTTCAGAGTTCAACATTGCCACCAGCATTACCCACCCACTCAATTATTCTCTCCTCTCTATAGCCAATCAGTGTTATCAGGGCTTTTTTGTGTGTGTATAGTTTTCTGAAGTTATTTTATACATACAGAAGCAATATGAATATACATCTTTTTCTACATTACTTACGCTAATAATAGCATATTCTTTATAACCTGTTTTTGTATATTTTTGCATGTAACTGTAAAGTTCTAATAAATTATTATAATTCTGAATTATTTTGCAACATAAAAAATAATATTTCACATCTATTGATGAGAAGTCAAAACTGTACAAACTTATTTTCATTATAGTCACATTTTGAACACTTTATATCTTTATTTCTCTTTACTATTTATTTCTACAGTGGAGCATTTCTAATGCACTTAGAATATTCTTTTAGAGAGATATTTTTAAGAATTCCAGGATACCAATCCAGCTATGTAATTCTGAGAAATAATTTTTAGAACCACACTACAGTGGAGTACCTCTCAAAAACTACATGGCTCTAACTCAAGTTTATAACAGTAATATAAGGAAAATGACTGAGAATTTCAGTAGGAAATTTAAGATGCAGCAAGCTAAATTACAGTCTTAGAGAATTAAATTAAAATGTTGGCAAACTGCTTTAGATCATGTTATAAATTCTATGAAATATGACAATAATGTAAAATAATAAAAAAAGGCTTCTGCTACTTTTTCCTTCATTTAAATGAATGTGTGTGTGAGTTTGTGTGTGTGTGTAACTGCTTTTTATGTTGGTGTAGAAAGACTATGTAATTGCATGGTTATTATGTTATGCAAGTATACATTTGTACCATGTTATTGTGTTGAGTAATGGTACAGACTTACGGCATTCAAGTTCTGGCTTTCTACCTATGCATTTATAGCAATTAATATTTATTACTTTGGTCCTAATGGCTTGCTTTGGAAATTAACTTAGAATGACTTAGAAGCACACACTCATCAACTACTAATAGCTTATGGTACAATAGCATCCAAATTTCAAATCTATACTTGGTAAGTATTTTCAATCAAACTATGTAAGATTATAATTAAAAACTTTAAAAGTCGTTATATATTTTGCAAATTTACCATTTGATTATTTTTATTATTTATTATTGCCATCCTAAATTTTTCTACTAGTATAAAAGTATATTTTGTTCTTAAAAATGCCAAGTTATTGCCATAAAATAACATTAATTTCCATAGACGTACAGGTTAGCAAGATTCTACTCAGTCTATTTCTCTAAAATTGTTTGAGTAAAAGTGTTAGCTTCTTATTTCTTATTTCTATTCATGCTGAAGTAGTGACATTGTGAACTCCAATGACATCTATAATTGGTAAATTATCTTTGACTTTCAGAAAACACATAATTGTTTAAACAATTCTATACGATAGCTATAGTTTTCTTTTTTTCATTCTTTTTTTTATTATTATTGGAGATGGTGTCTTGCTGTATGGCCCAGGCTGGTCTTGAACACCTAGGCTTAGGCAGTCCTTCTACCTCAGCTTCCCAAATTGTTGGGATTACAGGTGTGAGTCATTGCACCTGGGCAAGAGCTGTAGTTTTCTAATCAAAGTGCAAGAAATATGCTATTCTTAGAAGCTGGTTTTGTGTTATATCATTTAACATGAAACACGTATCTCCTGTAGATGTGGACAATTTATTATTACTTTCAGAATAGTTATTTGCCTAACAGAAGAGCTAACATAAATTAAGCAGTAAATCAGTTTTGCTTCCTTTAGATAATTAGTAATTTACATATAACCTTTGGCTATTCTTTTATCTTAGGTTATTGATATAAGTTGCATAAAATTGTTTTCTATGTAGAATGTTCTTTGAAATGCAAAATCTAATTAAAATGCACTATTTTAGGACAGTTGAGTTGCTAAATGATATTACGGAGACTATTATGAATATTTTAGGAATCTGAGTGGAGTATGTAAGAAAGCTAAATTATAACCTCTATGGACTACTTTAGGTTACTTTATCAGTCGGCTGAAACAAGGAAAACTGCCCAGGTACTTAGATTATTGGATTTTTTTACATATACTATATTTAGAAATAATGCAATTATGACTGTATTATGATACCTAGACAGTTTCACATTAAGTTACACATTAATGTTTGCAAGATACACTAAGGTTAGTAAAGGAGGCTAATTGTGGCTGTAGTTATTCTGCCCAGGGGCTTTCACATGCACCCCAGGAGGCTGCTCAAAACAATGAGTATCAACACATTTATAATCACTTAATGGCATACTTATTGATGAATCATATTCCAATTACTAACAACCGAAATTCAGTTTTGTGGAAGGCATGGTAAATGATATACCTGTTTGTCCAGCCAGGACAAACAATGAGTATTTGTCAAGAGCCTCCTGTTTGCTTAACAAACATTGTTTAGCAAGGACCCAATACTGGGTAAACAACTGTTGCATTTAGTTTTCAAACTGAACATTTCTTAATTTTATAGTGAAGATTGAGTGTAGAATCTTATGGTAGCTGTGAAATGGTATGTAGCTAGGTGATTATTATCTAGAATCTTAATGTATTAAATCACAGTTTAGTGACGTTAATATTTTACAAATTAAAGATAATGCTTTTTTAGACTGCTGTCCTTCTTTTCCTTTAATATGTGTGGTAAAGTGAACTACTGTGTTTTAATTACTCTTTGATGTGTATTGGGATAAGTTTTTCTAAATGAAAACATATCTCATTTTGTCCTGAAGATTAATTCAAAATTAGAGTTTGCCTAATGAAAACTTTTCCATTTAATTTTGCAGATCTATTTTATGCAGAAATTTATATCAATTAAAAGTACATATCACATGATTTAGCCAGGGATGGCATGCATGCTAGCAACCTATTAAAAGATGAAGAATTGTTAAGATTCATTTCACTTTTGCTGTCTTTGTTGATAGTTTTAGTCTTTTACTCCAAAATTTTAATCATATACTGATTCAAATTCTATGTTGATTTGTAATTTTAGAATAATGCAGGAACTTTTTTTAAATTTTGTTAAAATGTACTTATTTTGAATGTTTCCTAATTAGTGAATTACCTGCTCATTAGTGAACAACTAGGAGGTATTTTAATAGCAGTTAGTTTAATGAGAATGGTGAAAACCAAATACATTCTCCAAAAAATCTTGGCAAGGAGAATAATGCATAATAAGTAACAGTCACAATGTCTATGATCTCTTTTTGTTTAACCTTTATAAAACCTGTATAGTTTTGCTACCTGATGAGTGAAATATTTGGTGGTAGCCTGAGTACTGTCATCCTTTATCTAGTTGTTATTCTACTTAATACGTCTAATTATTGTGCTTAGAATTACTTATTTTTTCTTAATATAAATGTTTGTTGGATTTCAAATGAAGGTGACTTTGATGCTGAAAGCTGACAGTTAATGGTAACAGTGGAATAACGTTTTATGAATGTAGGTACGTAGAATCATGCCTGGCAGAAGCTATTGTCATACATAGTAAGTGGCCAGTGCTCTTTTGTTCAGGCTATTAAATCATAGTGATATGTGTTATTTCAGCTAGAGGAAAAAGAGAAGTCCTTACTCAATATTGAAATTCACAAGATACAGAATAAATTATAATTGGTTTCATCTTTTTTATGTTAAAAATTTAATATTTAAAGTTAATTTAATTATCTGAATACAGGAATGCTAAACAATTTAAGTATATCCATTGAAAAGAGGATGCCCAATTACTAAAGCTATGTTCTTTTTGCTTTATTAAAGATTTTAAAGCCAGCAACATCACTTTGGTAGTGATATTTTCAGGTAATATTGATCATAAAGCATATATATTCATGTCTACATGAACTGGATATTATCTTAAATGTCTTTGCCAGAATTTAGATTCTAAATATAAAGCTCTCAGCAAGTTCTTAATGCTTGGAAAAAATTCAGCTTTTGTCTTAGCAAGAATGTGAGGTAGTGCATAAAAAACAAATGTAGGTTCTTCTATACTAGATTTTTAAAAACGAAATTTGATTTTGGAGTGTTAGGTTTTATTTCAATTTAATTTAATTTTTAAAATAAGTAATATATTAACATAATTCAAATTTAGGAAAAAATAAAAAGTTATAAATTAAAAAGTTTCACATTTATCTATAACCTAGTCCACACTTTCCCTCCCTGCCTTCATAGATAAACACTTGTTTATTATCTATCCTTCCAGGTTTCCTTTATCAGGATGTTGCATATTCCAATATCAACATATGCAAATGTGTAAACATGTATCCCTCCTTTATTATACAAAAATAATATATTTCTGTATTTCGTTAAACCTGAGTTCAGACAATTTGCACAACATTTTTGTGTACCACCAAGAAAGAAAAAATCTTGGCAATTAAAGGGTGACAGCATTGATTATAAAGAACATTGCAATGTTAGAAATATTAGAATGTGAAAAACCTCATCTGTTAGAGTTGAAGAAATATGGTATGTACCCTCTACTACATATTACTCTTGTCACTTATCAATATAACTTGGATATCTTTCCATTGCCAACCTCTTTTGTTTCTTTTATTATAAATGCATTCTATTTTGTAGTATGATTATACCCTAACTTATTTAGTCCCTATAAACAGACTCTTGATGTTTTTCTTTTTCATTGTTATGAACTTTGTACATTGTTCATTTTGTATGTGTGCAGGTATAATTATAGGATAAATTCCAAATGGGATTGCTTGCTTAATGGAAATTATATTTGTAATTTTTATAGCTATGAGCAGATTACCCTCTGTAGGGTTTTACCACATTATTTTCCTACCAACTGCATGAAGAGTGTTTTGTCAAACTTTGGATTTTTGCTACCTGCTAAGTGGGAAATGATGTTTTAAAGTGGTTCTGATTTGCACATCTTGAAGAAAAGCAAAGCCAAAAATATTATCCAGTGTTCAAGGGTGGTATTTTCTTTTTCTGCAAACTATTCATGTCCTTTACTCATTTTTCAATTAGATTGTTAATCTTTTTATTCTTTATTTCTAGAAGCTCTTTAACCTTGAGTAGGATAACTGTTTGTCTCTGGTATGAGTTGAAAATATTTTTTCTCTGTTTACCATTTAATTCTTTAAATACTTTTTTTTTTTTTTTAACAATGTATTACTCTGTTAAAGCTGCTGTAACAAAATACCATAAACTGGGTGGCTTATAAGAAACAGAAGTATATCTCATACAGCTCTGGAGGCTGGGACGTCTAAGATCTAGGCATCAGCAGATTTGGTGTCTGGCGAGGGGCTATTTCCTGATTCATAGATGGCACCATACAGCTGTATCTTCACATGGTGAAAGGAGCTAGCTAGCTTTCTGCTGGAGTGCAGTGGTGCGATCTCAGCTCACTGCAACCTCTGCCTCCCATGTTCAAGCAATTCTTCTGCCTCAGCCTCCTGAGTAGCTGGGATTACAGGTGCACACCACCATGCCCAGCTAATTTTTGTATTTTTTTAGTAGAGATGGGGTTTTGCCATGTTGGCCAGGCTGATCTCAAACTCCTGACCTTGTGCTCCACCAGCCGTGGCTTCCCAAAGTGCTGGGATTTCAGCTATGAGCCACCACACCTGGCCTCTGCCATCTCTTTTATTAAAGCACTAATTCCAATCATGAGGGCTCTGCCCTCATAATCTAAACACCTCCCCAAAGACCCCACCTCCCAACACCATCACCCTGGGGGTTAAGATTTCAGCATATGAAATTTTGAAGTTTACAAACTTTCTGACCATAGCAAACATGAAGATATATTTATGCTTGATTTCAAATTTTGTAAACTTCTTTTATGGTTTCTGGAATTTGAGTCATAGGTAGAAAGACTCAGCTTACTTCAAGTTTACAAAGGAGTTTACCCAGTTATGGCTTCATTTTTACATTTTGTGTATACTATTAGCTTGGTCACCCCCCAGTGACCTCAGTATCCAGATTTTCATGCCCATCTGTACTCTCTGTATTGACTGTAGATGGGGGCTATGAATGCTTTGACCAGTCAACTGTGGTTGGAGTGATGTGTTGGTAGTTTTATGTTTAGCCCTTAATTATACTGACAGTTGTTTTTCTTCCCTCTTTGGAGCTTACTAATGAGATGCTCCTTTTTGGAATCTAGCTATCATGTATAAAGGCATCCTCAGGGAGAGGCCTATATCCAGAGAGCTGACACTGCTAGAGAGTGACCTCAACTGAGCCCTCAGTTAGGACTCCACGTGAGCTCTCATTTGAGCCTTCAGTTGATTTCAGACATCCCGAGCAACCCAAGCATAGGGTTTATTCATAATTTGAGCAGAGCTCAGCTGGGATAGCTTATCTCTCCCCAACATGGCACCGGCTGGGCCAGCTTCACTGGGGATGGAGAATCTTCCACCCCCATTAACTAAGAGTTCAGCACAGGCTGTTGGCTAAGGACCTCAATTTTCCTCCATATGGGCCTATCCATATAGCCGCTGGCTTTTCTTATACCATGGCAATTGTTTTAATAGGAGGCAGCTTCTAGTCCTTTTATAGACTAGACCTATAATTTCCACAGTGTCACCTGCACCTGTATTATATTGGCAAAATCAGTATAGGACCAGGTCAGACATAAACGTGTGGAAAAATGGATTGTCCTGCTTTTTCATGGAAGGAAGGAGTGATGAAGAATTTCTATCTTTGATCTGCCACACATTTAAATATTTGCTTCAACTTACCGTTTTCCAGATAGCTGTTAGGTCATTCCAACACTATCTATTAATACATTCTTTACCCCCATATTTTGAGATGCTGTTATTACTGCATGTTATATTCCCATATACTTTTGGGCTTTCTGTTAGCTTCTGTTGAATTACCCATCCAGACACTACTACTACATTGTTGTAAGTATTGAGACCTTCCAATGTATTTTCTCTCTAGTAGGCTGGCTGCTTCTCATTTTTTGCTTGTGTAATTTTGTTATGTATTATTTTGCTATAACTATTTTGCTAAATAGATTTTATAAAGGGTTTGTGACTTTCTGGAGAAAATAGCTTGGTATATTTATTGTTAGAGTTAAAATTATAAATTAATTTGCAGCTATTACCTTTATGATATTGAACCTTCTAATTCATATTCATATATTCCTATTACTATTCCTAATAAACTAATATTTCTATTATAAATGTTATTTATAAAATTATAAAATATTCCTATTCATATAAGACATATTTCTGTGTCTTACCGTCTGTTCTACTTTTGTGTCTTTAGGGAATTTAAAAATGTTTTCCTTAAGTAGGTTTTGTATATTCTCTTTCAAGTTTATATACACACATAGAAAAAGCCATGTATTGTATGATGTTTATATGAAATGTGAAGAAAAAGGGAAATATAAAGAGACTACCTAGAGATGGATGTTGGAATGAAGAATTATTGCAAATGGACAGAAGTTTGGTTTTGGGGGTGATGGAAATGTTCTAAAATTAGATTGTGTAATGACAGTTATATTACTCTAAATATATTACAATTCATTTAATTGTACATTACAGTAAATTTTACTATATATATAGTATTGCAGTAAAAATGTTAAAAGAAAGTCATAGCTCTGGCTACAGTATGGAGAATGGATTATAGGGGAACAAGGGAAGAGGTAGGGAGAACAATTTGGAGCCCAGGGTATAAGAGAAAATAGTTGTTTGGACTACATAGGTGGTAATAGAGGTGGAGAGACAGAGGAAAATTTAGGATTTGTTTTTGAGGTCAAATATATTGTCACTGCTGATAGATTGGATGCAACGGGTGGGGAAAAAAAAAGACTAATTCTCACTCTACAATCTAGGGTTTTACCTTCAAAAACTAGGTACATGGTGGTACCTTAACCTAAACCATAAGAACTGGGAGAGACAAAAATGTGAGGGAAGTTAGACAGCAGTCAAGAGCATCACTTGAGGTAAAGTTTGCAATGCCTAAAAGAGATTCAAGAGGGGAAGGTTCACATAGCAGTTGGACATAAAGACATTTGGATATACAAGTCTGAGATTCCAGAGAGAGGTCTGGGATTCCAGAGAGAGTTCTGGGCTGAATCTATAAGTTTCCTAATTAATACCATAAAATTTATATTCAAGATCCAAGTCTTGATTAATGTTAAATACTGTTTGTCAGGGGTTGTTTTTGAAATGGGAGAGTTCCCTGATTCCCCTTGCAGGACATATGATTGGGGTGTGGCTTGCCTGTTTGGTTGCCCTGCAGCTCAAACTGCTTGAGGGAGGGGGAGCATGCAGACGGGCAGATGCAGAGGCCAGGTGAGCGCTTTGGGCTCCAACTCCACTGTAGTGTCTAGGGGTGAGTGTCTGCAACCCCAGTTTTGCAAAGCTCTTTCAGCTTTGCCTTCCGCAGAAGGCTTGAGTGTTAATCAGTTTAATGGACCTTCTGCCTTATTGCAAGGGTAAAGAACCAGTGTGACAGATTTCTGTATCCTAAGCTCTTGCCAGGCATCTTGGAAGAATTGGATCACATGTGGGCTCAAAGGGTGAGTGCAAGGTTTTATTGAGTGGTAGAGGTGGCTCTCAGTGATACGGATGGGGAGCCGGAAGCAGGGATGGAGTGGGAAGGTGATCTTCGTCTGGAGTTGGGCCACCTAGTGGCCGGACTCTTTCCTGACTTCCCCCAGCCAAATTCTTCTCAGTGTTCAGATGTCCCTCTTCTTCTCTCTTTCTCCCCTACATTGTTCCATTGTCTGTCTGCTTGCCTCCTCATCAATGTCCTCACTTGCTGGTCTGCTCTGGAGCTTGGGGTTCAGGGTTTACATGGGGGCAGGATGGGGGCATGGCTGGGGGTAGGATAGGGAGTGTGGCAGGCCAAAAGGCAGCTTTGGGGCACAAAAACAGAAATACCTGTTCTCATTTAGGGCCACAGGTATCCAGGCTTGAGGGTGGGGTCTTTGCCGGGGAACCGCCCTCTTCTACCCAGTATTTCCCTGTCTCCTGTCTGTGTTATTTTCAGAGCAGAAGTCTCAGTGTCCTTGGGAATGTTACAACTCAGTGAGCAAGATAAATAGGTAACACAAAGTGTTAAATTCCAATACCAGGTGAAGGCAGATGGTTAGAATAGCCTTCACCAAATAGGTGCCATTTGAGCTATCAAGAATATGTAGCCCTTTGCTTGATAGATAAATTGGTTAGGATGTTATTAAAAGTCAGTATGGGCACAGAGAAGGTCCTTGGAAAATACTAGCAGTTATGACAGTACCATTGCTTTCAAAATACTGAATAATCAAATGCCAGGTATGTAATTAAGAAAAGAGTTGAAAGACAAAGCTGAAAAGATACTTCTGTGTCCGATTGTAGGAGAACCTGTGACAGACAGGAAAGAAATGGGTAATCTAAACTTCTGTAAACCACTTAAAGCAGAAAATTCTTTGGGAAGTAGTTATCTCAATTATTTCTTGCAAAATCATGATTCTGTTTGTCTTACTTACGATAAAAAGCAAACTAGCAAACTACAGCTGCAGTTTTATATGTATAAGTACAGCCATTATATATAATTGTATATATAATACATATATATGTGTATCTATATATACAAATATAACTACAGCAATATATATAACTACAGTTATATATACATAACTACATATGTACATGTATATATCTATAACTATGCAGATATATATATCTACATATGTACAAGTAGTTTTGTATATATAAAACTACATATATATAAATGTATATATATATACACACATGAAGCATGAATGAAACTCTTTGAGAAAAAAGCCTATAGTTGCCAATGCTATTCCACTAAAACTAATTCCTTCAAATTTACTTCACTTGTTTTTAGGAACTTATATCAAAAGACAGTAACTAGTATATCATTATCAAAAATATTTAATATCAAATCTACCATGTATCTTAATCTTTTATATTTTCTGCAACTTGTACTGAATATTTGGCTGAAATTCCTTGCTAAATGTGTTACCATCTACTTCAATCTCAATCACATTTAAATCCTATGTTACTTGGGCACCAGATGCTCCTTAGTTGATTTCTGCATGCTGATTTCAGGAGCCCTAGAAATTCTCTGGCCATTGCTGATACCAAAGCCAGTTAAGGTTTGCTCAGCCCTGTTATTGACTACCAATTTCCTACACATAGGGTGCTGGCACAAGACTTTCCATCTGTCTGCCTTTTTAATTTTAAACATAGCCTATTTTCTTTGTAAAATATTAGAAACATCTCTTAAACAAAATTGCTAATAGACAAATGTAAATCATTTGGAAATGGCTATAACTTGTGGAAATTGGTTGAGATAATATTTCAAAACAGGTTATTGCATTTTAGGTCTGACTCTTAATGTGAATAATATGATGTAACTAAACTTATAGATATTTTAAAATAGAATCTTAGTAAACATTGTTGCTTTTTCCTTGCACCTTTTAAACTCATTGTTATAGTGGAAAGTGCTTAAACACTGTTTATCCCAAGAATTTATAAAATATATTATTTTAAAATATCAGATTTTAAAAATGATTTAAGTAGAGCATGTGATATATATTCATCTTTTACCACTTAATGTTGAGTTTTAGAAAATATGTGTTGTTAATGGACCATCGACTTTCAAGTCATTTTGTTTACTAAGCTTGAACTGAGATTTGAGCAATTATGTGTGTAGTAAAACCTTTAAAACAGAATGCATTGCATTAAAGAATGTTCATGTTCATTTGCAATGAAGCAGAGAATAGTGTCAGAACTCTGCCCTAACTAGGATTAAGTTGAGAAGTAAACTCTGTATACTTTCTTGCATTTATTATCTGAATGTCTGAAATTTTAGTGTTGTTGACATCTGGAGTGTTTTTCAACATGTTTTATAATGTGTTTTACTTTCATTTCATTGTTCATCACGTAGTCATTTGCCGTTCCTGTTAGTGTTTTCCAAGTGTTAGAAACCTTTTTCTTTCTGCATGCTAATGTCACCTACTTGCCACAATTGCATTTTTGCAAATATTCTTTTTTATTTTTTATTTATTTTTCATTGCATGTGTTTAAGGTGTGCAAGATAATGTTTTGATATACATATACATAGTGAAATGATTATTATAAGTAAGCTCTTACCTTTTTTTGTGGTAAGAGCACCTGAAATCTACTCTCTTAGCAAATTTTCAATATACAATACAGTATTTTTAGCTATATCCTTCTGCTATACATCAGATCTCTATAATTAGTCATCCTACCTAACTTCAAGTTTGTACTTTGATGAATATCTCTCCTTTTGCTCTGCCTCTCTGCCCTTGAAAACCACTGTTATTCTCCCTATTTGTATGTATTTGAACTTGTTTTAGGTATCACATATAGATGAGATCATGCAGTACTTTTCTTTGTGTCTGGTTCATTTCACACAGCATAATATCCTCCTGGCTCATCTATGTTGCCACAAATGCCAGTATCTCTTTTTTTAAGAGTAAATATATTCCATGGTATATACACCACAATTTCTTTATCCATTCATGCGTTGATGGACACCTGAGTTGTTTCCATATCCTGGCTATTGTGGATAATGCTGCAGTGAACATGGATCACAGCTAGCTCTGTGATGTGCTGATTTCGTTTCCTTTGGATGTACGTATACAAAGCAGAGAGATTTCTGAGCCATAGGATAATTCTTTTTTTCATTTTTTGAGGAATCTCAATACTGTTTTCAATAATAGCCATGCCAATTTATGTTTCAATTAATAGTGTACAGGGTTCACTTTTCTCCAAATCTTTGCCAACATTTTTTATCTCTTTTTTGTAATAGCCATCATAACATGTGTCAGGTGATATCTCATTATGGTTTTGAT
The DNA here is from genome assembly GCF_000001405.40 of Homo sapiens. Lineage (NCBI taxonomy): Eukaryota > Metazoa > Chordata > Mammalia > Primates > Hominidae > Homo > Homo sapiens. The sequence continues at coordinate 115,576,465 of NC_000010.11, forward strand.
TTGCATTTCCCTGATGATTAGTGTTGTTGAGCACTTTTCCATATATCCGTTAGCCATTTGTATGTCTTATTTGGAGAAATGTCTATTTACATTCTTTCCCCTTTTTAAAATTAGGTTATTTGCTATTTTACTATTGAGCTGTATGAATCTCTTACATGTTTTGGATATGAACCCCTTACACGTACATGGTTTGCAAACGTTTTCTCCCAATCCATTAACTGCCCTTTTCTTTTGTTGATTGTTTATTTTGCTATGCGGAAGTAACTTAATATGATATAGTCTCATTTCTTAATTTTGGTTTTGTTGCCTGAGCTTTTGCTGTGATACCCAAAAAAATTATTTCCCAGGTTTATATCAGAGAGCTTTTCCTTATATTTTCATCTAAGAGTTTTTCAGTTTGAGGTCTTGTGTTTAGGTCTTTAATTCATTTTAAGTTGATCTTTGTGAATGGTGTAAGATAATGGGCATTTTCATTTCTTTTCATGTTGACATTCAGTTTTCCCACCACCATTTATGGAAGAGACTATCCATTCCCTATTGTGTCCTCTTGGTGGCCTTGTGGAAAATAACTTACTATATGTGCTTGAGTTTATTTCTGAAGCTCTCTTTTCGGTTCTATTGGTCTATGTGTTTTAATGCCAGTATCATAATATTTAATTACTCTGGTTTTGTAATATAATTTGAAATCAGAAAGTGATATGTTTCCAACTTTGTTTTTCTTTCTGAAGATTGTTGTGGCTATTTAGAGTCTTGTGGTTCTATTCAAATTTTAATATTGTTTTTTCTATTTCTATGAAAAATATCTTTGGAATTTTAATAGGGATTATGTTGAATCTGCAGAGCTCTTTGGGTAGTATGGATAGTTTGACAGTATTAATTCTTCAATCCATTAACACAGAACTTTCCATTTATTTGTGCCTTCTTCAGTTTCTTTAATCAATATTTTATAGTTTTTATTGCTCAGATATTTTACTTTCTTGGTTAAATTTATTCCTCAGTAGTTTATTCTTTTTGATGACAATATAAATGGAATGTTTTCTTAATTGTGTATCTAATAGACCATTGTTGATACAAAGAAATGCAACTGATCTTACCATGTTGATTTTGTACCCTACTACTTTACTGAATTTATTTGTTCTAACAGGTTGTGTGTGTGTGTGTGTGTGTGTGTGTGTGTGTGTGTGTGTGTAGCCTTATAGGGTATTTTACATGTATAATCATTCAGTCTATAAGCAGTTATAATTTTATTCTTCCTTTTCAATTTTGATACCTTTAATTTCTTTTTCTTGTCTGATTGCTCCTGCTAGTACTATCAGTACTATGTTTAACAGAAGCAGAGAGAGTAGAAATCCTTACATTGTACCATATATTAGAGGCAAAGCTTTCAGTTTTTTCCCATTGATTATGATATTGGTTTTGGGCTTTTCATAAATGACCTTTATTATGTTCAAGAAATTTCCTTCTGTACCTGTTTCTTTAATATTAAAAAAAATCATGAACAGATACTGAACTTTGTCAAATGCTTTTACTGTATCTTTGACTTGATCCTGTGGTTTTTATCTTTCATCCTTTTAATGTGTTGTGTCACATATATTGATTTGTGTATGTTAAAGCAAACTTGCTTCCCAAGAATAAATTTCACTTAGTCATGGTGAATAATCTTTTTGTTGTGTTGTTGTATTTAGTTTGCGAGTTTTTTGTTGAAGATGTTTGCATGTATGTTTAGCAGCAATATTGGCCCATAGTTTTCTTTTCTCGTGATGTCTCTGTCAGCTTTGATGTCAGGGTGATACTAGCTTCATAAGATGAGTTTGGAAGTATTCCCTCTATTTTCATTTTTTGGAGGTGTTTAAGAATTACGGATATTAATTCTTCTTTTAATAATTTGCAGAATTCTGCTGTAAATTCATCTGATCCTAGGCTTTTGTTGCTGTTAGGAGGATTTTGATTACCACTTCAATCACTTTTTCTGTCATTGGTCTTTTCAGGCTATTTCTTCTCTGTTCAGTCTTTATATGTTGCATGTTTCCAGGAATTTATTTCCTCTAGATTATCCAATTTCTTGGCATGTAATTGTTCATAATATTCTTTATGATCCTTTTTTATTTCTGAGGTATCCCTTATAATGTTTCCTCTTTCATATCTAATTTTAATGTCATCTTCTCTCTTTCTTCTTCTAGCTAAGGGTTTATTGGTTTTGTTTATATTTTCAAAAAAATTTTAGTTTTGTTAATATTTCCTATAGTTTTTCTCTTTTCTGTTTGATTCCTATGCTGGTCTTTATTAGTTTCTTCATTCTGCTAATTTTTGATTCAGTTTGTTCTTTTTCTAGTTTCTTGAGGTGAGGTATGTTGTTTGAGATCTTTCTTCTGTTTTAATGTAGACATTTTTCACTTTAAGCTTTCTTGTTAGATTGCTTTTGCTGCATCCTATAAGTTTTCTTACGTTGTATTTCCATTTTCATTTCTCTCAAGATAGTTTTTGATTTTTTTCTTGATCTCATTTCCAAAGCATTTGGTTTCATTTTCACATATTTGTGAACTTTCCCATTTTTCTACTCTTATTGATTTCTATTTTCATACCATTGTTGTCAGAAAAGATTCTTGATATGATTTTGATCTTCTTAAATTTGTTAAGAATTGTTTTGTGGTCTAACGTGATCTATCCTAGAGACTATTACATGTGCACTTAAGAGGAATGTGTATTCTATTACTGTTGAATAGAATGTTCTATATATGTTGATTAGGTCTAAGGTACAGCTTAAATTTAATGTTCCTTTATTGAATTTTCATCTGGATGATCTATCCATTATTGAAAGTGTAGTATCAAAGTTCTCTATCATTATTGCTGTCTATTTCTCTCTTTAGTTGTTAATGTTTGCTTTATATGTTTATATTCTCTGATCTAAGATGCATATATATGTATAATTATTATGTCGTCTTGATAGAATAATCTCTTTCTCATTATGTTGACCTTCTAAAATTATATTGACTTTCTGTGATTATCGTTGACCTTCTTTGTCACTTGTTACAGTTTGTGACTTAGAACCTATTGTCAGATATTAGCTTAGCTTCCCTGCTTTCTTTTGGTTTCCATTTGCATGAAATGTCTTTTTCCATCCCTTCACTTTCAGCCAATGTGTGTTCTTGAATCAAAAGTGAGTATCTTATAGATGAATATAGTTGAATCTTGGATTTTTAAAATTCATTTAGCCAGCCTATATCTTTTTATTGGGTAGCTTAAACCATTTATATTTAAAGTGATAATTAACAAAGAATGAGTTACTATTGCCATTTTGTTAACTGTTTTCTTTTTGTGTTGTGGTTCTTTTGTTCCTCTTTTTCTTGCTTCCTGCCTCTTTTTTATTGTTTGTATTGCTAGATTTTAATTGCTGTTCCTTTTTCTTTTGTGTAACTTGTATAGGTATTTTCTTTGTGGTTATCAAGGGGCTTAAATATCTAATAGTTATAACAGTCTCTGCTTAGCTGATAACAGCTTAACTTCACTTGCATGCCAGAATTCACTGCTTTTACCTTTCCTCTCCTCACATTATACACTGCTGATGTCACAATTTACAACTTCTTATATTGCAGAACCATTCACACAATTTAGTTATAGTTGTATTTGAAACTTTTCTCTTTTACCTTTTATAGCAAATTACCATGTATCTATCTACCACTCTTACAGTAATACAATATTCTTTCTGTTCCTATATGTTTACCTTTGCTAATGAGTTTCATACTTGGTGTTCATTCATGTTGCTGTTTGGCATCCTGCTGTTTCAACTTCAGTGACTTCCTACAGCATTTCTCATAAGAAATGTCTAGTGGTGATAAACTTCCTCAGCTTTTGTATGTCTGTAGAAGTCTTTATCTTCCCTTTGTTTTTGAAAGGCTGGTTTGCTGGGTATAGATGGCAATTTGTTTCTTTTAGCATTTTGAATATATTTTTCTGCCCCCTTCTGGCCTGTAATGTTTCTACTGAAAAATCAACTGATAGTCTGATGGCATTTCCTGAGTAACAAGCCTTTTTTTCTCACTGCTTTCAAAATTCTCTCGGTCTTTAACTTTTGTCAAATCAATTACAATGTGTTTCAGTGTGGAACTCTTTGGATTCATATTATTTGATGTACCTGAGGTTTGCTGAATCTGGATTTCTGTTTTCTTTCCCAGGTTTGGAAAGTGTTCAGCCATTATTTCTTTAAATACTCTTTTTGTCCCTTTTTCTTTTTTTTCTCTTTCTCATCCTCCTATAATGTATGTAATTGTTACCCATAAGTCCCATAAAGCTGTCTTCAGTCTTTTTCATTATTTTTTCTACTTAGATTAATTTCTAATGACCTGTCTTCAGTTTTGCTGATCAATAGAGTCCTCTATTGATTTTTTCAATTCAGTCATTGTAATCTTCAACTCTATGATTTCTGTTTGATGCATTTTAATATTTTCTATCATTTTGTTGAAATTCTCAGCTTGTCATGCATTGTTTCCCTGACCGTGGTGTGAACACCCATATGACTGTTTCTTTGAATTTTCTCTTGGGTAAATCACACAGCTTTATTTCACTAAGGCTGGTTTCTGGAGATTTATCTTGGTTTTTTATTCGGAGCATATTTCTTTGTTTCCTGACTTTTATTGACACTCTGTGTTGGTTTCTGCACAGTCTGTAAGACAACTGTCTCTCCCTGTGTTATCAGACTAGTGTCTTTTAAGAAATGTACCTCACTAATCAATTCAGCAAGAGATTCTAGGTGCCCCAACTTTTATGCTTATCTTAATCTCTTTTTTTTCAGTGATCCCCAATTAGTATGTGCCAAGTTTTGTCAGTGCCCCAAGACAGACAAGATAGAAGCCAGTCCCTTGAGATGCATCTGGAAAATTTGGCATGTTAGATATGTATTGTCAGGGAGAAGCTGAGGATGGGAGTTTACCTCTTACTCAATCTGCACTAAGCCAGGAAGAGGATCTGTGGGAAATTCCTGCACTCTCATTTGAACTACACACTCTGATCTAGATGCATAGTTATTGGAAGTGCACCCATTCAAAAATCACATGCATTAAAACTCATAGAAATGTAAAAATTAAATATTAAAAGTCTAGTTTGATATATGTAAATTAAAATATATATGTGCATATGTATAATAATTTCAAACTATTGTAAAAAGATATAGCTAAAGTAGTGGATAATAATCAGATATAAGTCAGGAGAGAGATTGATCCAAGGTAAACAGGTCTTCCATTCTTACAAAGTTCGGAAGATATGTAAAGAAACCATCGACACTAAACTTTTTTTTTTATTATACTTTAAGTTTTAGGGTACATGTGCACAATGTGCAGGTTAGTTACATATGTATACATGTGCCATGCTGGTGCACTGCACCCACTAACTCGTCATCTAGCATTAGGTATACCTCCCATTGCTATCCCTCCCCCCTCCCCCCACCCCACAACAGGCCCCAGAGTGTGATGTTCCCCTTCCTGTGTCCATGTGATCTCATTGTTCAATTCCCACCTATGAGTGAGAATATGCGGTGTTTGGTTTTTTGTTCTTGCGATAGTTTACTGAGAATGATGATTTCCAATTTCATCCATATCCCTACAAAGGACATGAACTCATCATTTTTTATGGCTGCATAGTATTCCATGGTGTATGTGTGCCACATTTTCTTAATCCAGTCTATCATTGTTGGGCATTTGGGTTGGTTCCAAGTCTTTGCTATTGTAAATAGTGCCGCAGTAAACATACGTGTGCACGTGTCTTTATAGCAGCATGATTTATAGTCCTTTGGGTATATACCCAGTAATGGGATGACTGGGTCAAATGGTATTTCTAGTTCTAGATCCCTGAGGAATCGCCACACTGACTTCCACAATGGTTGAACTAGTTTACAGTCCCACCAACAGTGTAAAAGTGTTCCTATTTCTCCACATCCTCTCCAGCACCTGTTGTTTCCTGACTTTTTAATGATTGCCATTCTAACTGGTGTGAGATGGTATCTCATTGTGGTTTTGATTTGCATTTCTCTGATGGCCAGTGATGGTGAGCATTTTTTCATGTGTTTTTTGGCTGCATAAATGTCTTCTTTTGAGAAGTGTCTCTTCATGTCCTTCGCCCACTTTTTGATGGGTTTGTTTGTTTTTTTCTTGTAAATTTGTTTGAGTTCATTGTAGATTCTGGATATTAGCCCTTTGTCAGATGAGTAGGTTGTGAAAATTTTCTCCCATTTTGTAGGCTGCCTGTTCACTCTGATGGTAGTTTCTTTTGCTGTGCAGAAGCTCTTGAGTTTAATTAGATCCCATTTGTCAATTTTGGCTTTTGTTGCCATTGCTTTTGGTGTTTTAGACATGAAGTCCTTGCCCATGCCTATGTCCTGAATGGTAAAGCCTAGGTTTTCTTCTAGAGTTTTTATGGTTTTAGGTCTAACGTTTAAGTCTTTAATCCATCTTGAATTGATTTTTGTATAAGGTGTAAGGAAGGGATCCAGTTTCAGCTTTCTACATATGGCTAGCCAGTTTTCCCAGCACCATTTATTAAATAGGGAATCCTTTCCCCATTGCTCGTTTTTCTCAGGTTTGTCAAAGATCAGATAGTTGTACATATGTGGCATTATTTCTGAGGGCTCTGTTCTGTTCCATTGATCTATATCTCTGTTTTGGTACCAGTACCATGCTGTTTTGGTTACTGTATCCTGGTAGTATAGTTTGAAGTCAGGTAGTGTGATGCCTCCAGCTTTGTTCTTTTGGCTTAGGATTGACTTGGCGATGCGGGCTCTTTTTTGGTTCCATATGAACTTTAAGGTAGTTTTTTCCAATTCTGTGAAGAAAGTCATTGGTAGCTTGATGGGGATGGCATTGAATCTATCTGTAAATTACCTTGGGCAGTATGGCCATTTTCACGATATTGATTCTTCCTACCCATGAGCATGGAATGTTCTTCCATTTGTTTGTATCCTCTTTTATTTCCTTGAGCAGTGGTTTGTAGTTCTCCTTGAAGAGATCCGTCACATCCCTTGTAAGTTGGATTCCTGGGTATTTTATTCTCTTTGAAGCAATTGTGAATGGGAGTTCACTCATGATTTGGCTTTCTGTTTGTCTGTTGTTGATGTATAAGAATGCTTGTGATTTTTGTACATTGATTTTGTATCCTGAAACTTCGCTGAAGTTGCTTATCAGTTTAAGGAGATTTTGGGCTGAGACAATGGGGTTTTCTAGATATACAATCATGTCATCTGCAAACGGGGACAATTTGACTTCCTCTTTTCCTAATTGAATACCCTTTATTTCCTTCTCCTGTCTAATTGCCCTGGCCAGAACTTCCAACACTATGTTGAATAGGAGTGGTGAGAGAGGGCATCCCTGTCTTGTGCCAGTTTTCAAAGGGAATGCTTCCAGTTTTTGCCCATTCAGTATGATATTGGCTGTGGGTTTGTCATAGACAGCTCTTATTATTTTGAGATACGTCCCATCAATACCTAATTTATTGAGAGTTTTTAGCATGAAGCATTGTTGAATTTTGTCAAAGGCCTTTGCTGCTTCTATTGAGATAGTCATGTGGTTTTTGTCTTTGGTTCTGTTTATATGCTGGATTACATTTATTGATTTGCGTGTATTCAACCAGCCTTGCATCCCAGGTATGAAGCCCACTCGATCATGGTGGATAAGCTTTTTGATGTGCTGCTGGATTCGGTTTGCCAGTATTTTATTGAGGATTTTTGCATCAATGTTCATCAAGGATATTGGTCTAAAATTCTCTTTTTTGGTTGTGTCTCTGCCCGGCTTTGGTATCAGGATGATGCTGGCCTCATAACGAGTTAGGGAGGATTCCCTCTTTTTCTATTGATTGGAATAGTTTCAGAAGGAATGGTACCAGTTCCTCCTTGTACCTCTGGTAGAATTCGGCTGTGAATCCATCTGGTCCTAGACTCTTTTTGGTTGGTAAGCTATTGATTATTGCCACAATTTCAGATGGTGTTATTGGTCTATTCAGAGATTCAACTTCTTCTTGGTTTAGTCTTGGGAGAGTGTATGTATCGAGGAATTTATCCATTTCTTCTAGATTTTCTAGTTTATTTGCATAGAGGTGTTTGTAGTATTCTCTGATGGTAGTTTGTATTTCTCTGGGATCGGTGGTGATATCTCCTTTATCATTTTTTATTGCGTCTATTTGATTCTTCTCTCTTTTTTTCTTTATTAGTCTTGCTAGCTGTCTATGAATTTTGTTGATCCTTTCAAAAAACCAGCTCCTGGATTCATTAATTTTTTGAAAGCTTTTTGTGTCTCTATTTCCTTCAGTTTTGCTCTGACTTTAGTTATTTCTTGCCTTCTGCTAGGTTTTGAATGTGTTTGCTCTTGCTTTTCTAGTTCTTTTAATTGTGATGTTAGGGTGTCAATTTTGGATCTTTCCTGCTTCCTCTTGTGGGCATTTAGTGCTATAAATTTCCCTCTACACACTGCTTTGAATGCGTCCCAGAGATTCTGGTATGTTGTGTCTTTGTTCTCGTTGGTTTCAAAAAACATCTTTATTTCTGCCTTCATTTCGTTATGTACCCAGTAGTCATTCAGGAGCAGGTTGTTCAGTTTCCATGTAGTTGAGCGGTTTTGAGTGAGTTTCTTAATCCTGAGTTCTAGTTTGATTGCACTGTGGTCTGAGAGATAGTTTGTTATAATTTCTGTTCTTTTACATTTGCTGAGGAGAGCTTTACTTCCAAGTATGTGGTCAATTTTGGAATAGGTGTGGTGTGGTGCTGAAAAAAACGTATATTCTGTTGATTTGGGGTGGAGAGTTCTGTAGATGTCTATTAGGTCTGCTTGGTGCAGAGCTGAGTTCAATTCCTGGGTATCCTTGTTGACTTTCTGTCTCGTTGATCTTTCTAATATTGACAGTGGGGTGTTAAAGTCTCCCATTATTAATGTGTGGGAGTCTAAGTCTCTTTGTAGGTCACTCAGGACTTGCTTTATGAATCTGCGTGCTCCTGTATTGGGTGCATATATATTTAGGATAGTTAGCTCTTCTTGTTGAATTGATCCCTTTACCATTATGTAATGGCCTTCTTTGTCTCTTTTGATCTTTGTTGATTTAAAGTCTGTTTTAACAGAGACTAGGATTGCAACCCCTGTCTTTTTTTGTTTTCCATTTGCTTGGTAGATCTTCCTTCCTCCATCCTTTTATTTTGAGCCTATGTGTGTCTCTGCACGTGAGATGGGTTTCCTGAATACAGCACACTGATGGGTCTTGACTCTTTATCCAGTTTGCCAGTCTGTGTCTTTTAATTGGAGGATTTAGTCCATTTACGTTTAAAGTTAATATTGTTAGGTGTGAATTTGATCCTGTCATTATGATATTAGCTGGTTATTTTGCTGGTTAGTTGATGCAGTTTCTTCCTAGTCTCGATGGTCTTTACATTTTGGCATGATTTTGCAGCGGCTGGTACCGGTTGTTCCTTTCCATGTTTAGCGCTTCCTTCAGGAGCTCTTTTAGGGCAGGCCTGGTGGTGACAAAATCTCTCAGCATTTGCTTGTCTGTAAAGTATTTTATTTCTCCTTCACTTATGAAGCTTAGTTTGGCTGGATATGAAATTCTGGGTTGAAAATTCTTTTCTTTAAGAATGTTGAACATTGGCCCCCACTATCTTCTGGCTTGTAGAGTTTCTGCCGAGAGATCCGCTGTTAGTCTGATGGGCTTCCCTTTGAGGGCAACCCGACCTTTCTCTCTGGCTGCCCTTAACATTTTTTCCTTCATTTCAACTTTGGTGAATCTGACAATTATGTGTCTTGGAGTTGCTCTTCTCGAGGAGTATCTTTGTGGCGTTCTCTGTATTTCCTGAATCTGAACGTTGGCCTGCCTTGCTAGATTGGGGAAGTTCTCCTGGATAATATCCTGCAGAGTGTTTTCCAACTTGGTTCCATTCTCCCCGTCACTTTCAGGTACACCAATCAGACGTGGATTTGGTCTTTTCAGATAGTCCCATATTTCTTGGAGGCTTTGTTCGTTTCTTTTTATTCTTTTTTCTCTAAACTTCCTTTCTCACTTCATTTCATTCATTTCGTCTTCCATCACTGATACCCTTTCTTCCAGTTGTTCGCATCGGCTCCTGAGGCTTCTGCATTCTTCACGTAGTTCTCGAGCCTTGGTTTTCAGCTCCATCAGCTCCTTTAAGCACTTCTCTGTATTGGTTATTCTAGTTATACATTCTTCTAAATTTTTTTCAGAGTTTTCAACTTCTTTGCCTTTGGTTTGAATGTCCTCCCATATCTCAGAGTAATTTGATCGTCTGAAGCCTTCTTCTCTCAGCTCGTCAAAGTCATTCTCCGTCCAGCTTTGTTCCATTGCTGGTGAGGAACTGCATTCCTTTGGAGGAGGAGAGGCGCTCTGCTTTTTAGAGTTTCCAGTTTTTCTGCTCTGTTTTTTCCGCATCTTTGTGGTTTTATCTACTTTTGGTCTATGATGATGGTAATGTACAGATGGGTTTTTGGTGTGGATGTCCTTTCTGTTTGTTAGTTTTCCTTCTAACAGACAGGACCCTCAGCTGCAGCTCTGTTGGAATACCTGGCCGTGTGAGGTGTCAGTCTGCCCCTACTGGGGGGTGCCTCCCAGTTAGGCTGCTCGGGGGTCAGGGGTCAGGGATTCACTTGAGGAGGCAGTCTGCCCGTTCTCAGATCTCCAGCTGCGTACTGGGAGAACCACTGCTCTCTTCAAAGCTGTCAGACAGGGACATTTAAATCTGCAGAGGTTACTGCTGTCTTTTTGTTTGTCTGTGCCCTGCCCCCAGAGGTGGAGCCTACAGAGACAGGCAGCCCTCCTTGAGCTGTGGTGGGCTCCACCCAGTTCAGTTGGAGCTCCCTGGCTGCTTTGTTTACCTGACCAAGCCTTGGCAATGGCGGGCGCCCCTCCCCCAGCCTCGCTGCCGCCTTGCAGTTTGATCTCAGACTGCTGTGCTAGCAATCAGTGAGACTCCGTGGGCATAGGACCCTCCCAGCCAGGTGCGGAATATAATCTCGTGGTGTGCCGTTGTTTTAGCCCGTCGGAAAAGCGCAGTATTCAGGTGGGAGTGACCCGATTTTCCAGGTGCCATCTGTCACCCCTTTCTTCGACTAGGAAAGGGAACTCCCTGACCCCTTGCGCTTCCCGAGTGAGGCAATGCCTCGCCCGCTTCGGCTCGCGCATGGTGCGTGCACCCACTGACCTGCACCCACTGTCTGGCACTCCCTAGTGAGATGAACCTGGTACCTCAGATGGAAATGCAGAAATCACCCGTCTTCTGCCTCACTCTCACTGGGAGCTGTAGACCAGAGCTGTTCCTATTCGGCCATCTTGGCTTCTCCTCCCAACAAGTTCTTTTGACACTAAACTTTTAAAGTAGATGTAAAAATATCCATTTTAACTATTAAAATAACAAAGTTTATCTTCCAAACCAGTAGAGAAAACAAATAGAACAGAAGTAGTAATGGAGAAAGGAGAGGAGAGGAGTTTATTAATTCAAATTAAATGAAAAAAAGGAGAAAGAAATAAGAAATGAAAATCAAATTCAAGTATAATAGTAAACATGATAAATGCAAATGGTTCAAATTCACTAGGTTACACAGGGATTATCAGACTGGATAATAAATGGAAGTTTTCCTTTCTTTTTTACTAAAACACCCCTAAAACATGAAGAGACAGTACTGTTGAAAATGAAAGGATGGAAAATGTTAAACCTGATATGTAGCATCAGTTTGGCTCTCCGGAATCATTCTAGACTGTCCTCCCTTCTCATCCCTCTCTCACCCCCAACTCTCACCTCAGCTCTATGCCATGGATGGTGATTTATGTATGGACTACATAAATGAGCCTCTTTTGCTGTGCAGCTTCTGATGGTCTCAACCTGTGGGGGACACAATCTGGAGCTTAGAGTGTTGGCAGATAGAGAGGTCAGAGCATTGTTCTCCTAAGTTCCTTCCTGAGAGACCATAGAATGGCAATATGTGTGTTCCTCTGTCAAAAGCCAAAACTTTAGTAAGATGGCCTTCCACAGTATTCTGTGGCCTAGGAAGATTTATGAATGCAGAGTTCTTTCTGCTTTCAAAGCTAAGTGTTTTAAGAACCAAACCCTTTGGGAGGAACAACAAAAATTGGGGTGCTTTATGTGTGGTCTAAGCCCTTTGCTACTCATGGAAAAGCTGGGAGTTTGGGGTTCCTTCCCAGTCATTAGGTGCTGTCCCCAGGTAGGGTTTGTGTGTGAGTGTGTCCCAGATTTTCCTACCCGTGTTGGTGTGGGTATATTCTTATTTTCCCAGTGTGTACAAGTCTCTCAACTAGTTTCTGGTTTTCTCCAAGAGGGATTGATCAATGTGTAGCTGTTTATTTAGTGCATCTATGGAAGGAGGGAAAATCAAGAGCTTCCTATTCTTCCATCTTGCAGATATTACCACTGCAAATGTCCTTGGGACAGAATGGTAGATATAAAACAAGTATAAGTAATTTCCTTGCAGTTTTTGCATTTTCCATGTTTAGCATTCTTTTCAAAGGATTAGATTGTGAATTTTCAGTGCTAAATAAGTTATGACTAACATTCCAGCTGGTAATATATTGATCAGTAGTGGTTGTGAGAATGGCAAATAGATAAGACATAGAGATATGATAAGAAATATAATAAAAATGCATACCTCAATGGTTTGTGATGGTAGATACTGGAAAGAAGAATAATTTAAGATATAATTAGACTTTGACTATAACGTATTCAGATATTTTTGAATATTATTAACAAACTTATGATCTGTAAAACATTAACTTCTGCCAGTAATTCCAGAGAATTATGTGCAATGGTTATTAGTTGCATAAAGCTGGAGGAATATTTAAATGATCTACTTAAAATTAATTACTCTTTGATCAATAATCTTGGTCAAAAAGAGGGCTTCCTATATCAGTATGGAAAATATTATATTTATTCACATTATTTTACAATTATCCTTCCTTTTTCATTGGATTCTCATTTACTTAATGAAGAAAACACATTAAATTGTTATAGGAACTATATTTCAGTATCTGTTCCTTTGACAGTAATTGTATTAGAGTTCCAGACCTCACACAGCTTAAATTCTCATTGTACAAAGTCTACTTTCAAATGCTTTCAAAAAGACAAAATTTCCCTCTCCCCCTTATTATTTGAGTGTAGGATGATATATTTTCTTGGCCTAGATCATGATACATACTTATGTCTGTCTTTTTAGCAATAATTTTTAACAAAAATTTAGCAAATCTCATTAATTTTGATTGTAACTTTGAATTATATTGCTTTGATCTAAAATTATTTATATAACACATAATTTTTCCCAAAAGTCTTTTGGATCAAAAATGTCAAATTGAGTATTAACGAAAGATTACTCTGTTAGTCTTCCACAAGAAAGATCAGGAGCCCATCATGGTTAGTACCAGTTTTGTCAGACAGTTCCATTGATGAGAGGCCATCTTCATTGCTCTTCTTTATTATTTTCTGTGTAAAACCGAATTCTATCTGACACAGCTTTGTGTTGGTTGTCTGTAAGTTAGCTTTAATATAGCAGTTTGCTTTAGCATTGTCAGATTCACAATGTAAAATATACTGTGGCAAAATAATACAATGTTGTGTTAGTTAAATTAAAAGCATTGACTCCTCCAGCCTTAAGAATAAATCTGAATTGTAGAGCCTGATCGTTAAAAGATAATGATCATATACTGCCATAGGCCACAGAAATTTAAAAGGTCTTAGTGCTTCTTTCAGATAGAGATGCAGAGACTAATTTGAAATGAATACATAGCCTAACAAGATGAGTAGGTTTATTTAAGCACATGACTGACTTTTGTTCTTCATGTTGAAGAGGCTTGAATCTTTAGTGTCACCCTGTTTTTAATAATGATCTTAAAAGTTCTTTTCTTTGGCAGTTTGCTTTCTTTCTGTGTATTAACCTTTGGTTGTCTAATTATTGTTTCCTTTGGTACATATTTAATATTTTCTGCTTGTGCTCTTTATTATTTGTGTTCTAGATCCATTGCTTGCCCAGTAAGTAAATACATGAAGAAAATATACTAATACTGTGGAGTAGAGGAAGGGAAGAGGAATATTTATGAATATTAATGAATATTAATAAAATCTACTACAGTCTATTTTATCATACATACTTCCCTTCCTTTTGTATATAAAATATAGTCACTTCCCACCTGCCTCCTCCAGGAAGAAACTCAAAAGTCTCATCTAATTGTCTAATCTTAATAGCCTTGAAGTAAAAATGCAAATTATCTGGCTCCCCACTCACCACATTCAACATTCAATGAGGAAACAGAACAAGATAATCATAATAAACACTTCCATTGCAAATAGAAAGATGGACACATATAGTAGTCCCTGAATACTAGCATTTCTGAACTCCTGTTGATCAGAGGTTTCACCATCCCTCTTCCTGTGTGAGTGGCAAATCTTTGCTGAGGTTTTCTGGGAACAACTCCCTAGTTATTGTTCATGACTCTTGGCTCTGGCCTCTGGCAAATCCTTCTGTTTCAATGATCTCACTTCGTTATATCTGAACAGGGCATTTGAGAATCCGTCTTTTTTGGATCTGAGCACTGAGTCTGAAACTATGAAAGGTTCTAGGTACCACTGTACTAGCACGTACAAGATATGCATGTATACGTGTATATATTAATACATACGTGTATACACACTAACATGTGAGTACACATACACAAAAATGCACACACACATAGTAGCAATATCTTGAGATCTCTGGTTTGGAGATAGACTCTTTACTCACATAGTAACCTGTGTCACTTCCCTATACCTCAATTTCCCACAAGATAACATAGTATCAGATATATCCTGCACAGAAAATGGGGTTTATGACACAGGAGAGTTACTCCAAAATTATGAATCTTGGGGCTTATATAGGGTAATTGGCACATGTGGCCCTTCTGCCCTCTGGAGACTAGAGAGGGAAGCTTCTCTAGAATGTAAGCAAATCCTCTCGGAGAAGATGGAGAGGTCTCTACTTCACCACTCTGGAATGTAAATAAAACTCTCTGAGGGAGATGTCCATAAATTTTCTTGGAAATTTCTATCTTTATCATACAAGACTTATTTGATATTCAATCATTTTTAACCCATGTTACTTGGAATTTTTGTTCAGGAAGCTCTGACCATGCAGAAACATGAAATATTCGTGGAGCATTGTCTCCTGACATTGTGTAGCTTTCTCAACCTTTCTTCTACCTATAACTTTGGTCCAAAGAAGGTCCAAAACGCGTATATACTTTGGTGGGAATCTCACTTATTTCAGCCACATGGAAAGCAGCTGATTACTCAAAGAACTTACAACTACCATTTGATGATTGGGTATATATCCCATTACTGCACATGTATCCAAAAGAAAATAAATTGTTCTACCAAAAAGACACGTGCACTCTTATTTTCATCACAGTACTATTCACAATAGCAAAGACATGGTGTCAACCTAGGTGCCCATTGAAATTGGAGTAGTTAAAGAAAATGTAGTACATGTACAACATGGAATACTATGCAGCCATAAAAGAGAAAAAATCATGCCCTGTGCAGCAGCATGTATGTAGCTGGTGGCCATTTTCCTAAGCTAATTAGCACAGGAACAGAAAACAAATACTGGATGGTCTCACTTCTAAGTGGGAGCTAAACATTTGATACACAAGGTCGTAAAGATGGCAACGGTAGGTACTGGGGACTACTAGGGGTGGAGTGAGGGATGGAGAGGCAGGATTTGAAAAACTATTGGGTACTGTGCTCACTACCTGGATGATGGGATCAGTATACCCCAAACCTTAGCATTGTGCAATATACCCATATAACAATCCTGCACGTGTACCTCCTGTAGAGATCTAAAAGTTGAAACAAACAAGAGATCGCCAGTGATGGTGTTTCTTGAAATATAATTCATACACCATACATTTTATCCATTTAGTGTATGATTCAGCAGCTTTTACTATAGTCACAAAATTCTACAACTCTACAACTGTCACTCCAGTTTTAGAACATTTTCATCATCCTAAAAAGAAACAACATAACCATTAGCAGACCCACGCAGCTCTACCTTACTCCACCCCGCTAAGTCCTAGGTAGCCACCTCTACTTTTTGCCTCCATGAGTTTGCCTATTCTGGACATTTCATGTAAGTGAACTCATATAATATGTGGTCCTTTATGACTAGCGTCATTCACTTGGTGTAATATTTTCAACATTCATCCATGTACATTTTATTGCCAAATAATACTAGAAATCATCTGTTTTATTTCTCTAGCAATCAGTTTCTATTTATCCAGGATGGTGGCACTTTTAACAGCAGAGCTTCCTCAAAACATAATTGCTTTTGTTGTTGAAACTCTATATATTTGATTATAGTCAGCTACATGTGCCTACTTACAATTCTTTTTAGGGAATGTCAGTTCCTGATTCTCTGTTTCTCTCTGTCCCTCTTTCTTATCTAACTATCTGTCTGTCTGTCTATCTGTCTATCTATCTATCTATCTAGCTTAGTCCATTTTGTGTCACTATAACCACAGACTGGGTAATTTGTAATGAGTAGAAATGTATTTCTTAGAGTTCTGGAGCCTGAAAAGTTCAAGGTTGAGGGGCATGCATCTAGCAAGGGCTTTATTGCTGCATCATCCCATGGCAGAAGGCAGAAGGGCAAAAGAATGCAAGAGTAAGGGAGCCAGAAGGGGCTGAACTTCCTTTTATAATAAGCCCATTCTCATGGCAACTAGCCCACTCCCTTGATATGAACATCAATCCATTTATGGGGTCAGGGACCTCATGACGTAATCACCACAAAAGATGCTAAATAGCCAAAGCAATCTTGAGCAAAAAGAGCAAAGCCGAGGTATCTCACATCCTAATCCCAAAATCTATACAAAACTACAATAATTAAAACAGCATGGTATTGGCACAAAAGCAGAAATATAGACCAATGGAACAGAATAAAGATCCCAGAAGTAAATCTGCACATTTATGGCTAACTGATCTTTGGCAAAGGTGACAAGAACACACAATGGGGGAAAGGACAGTCTCTTCACTAGTTGATGCTGAGAAAACTGTATGCCCACATGGAGAAGAATGAAACTGGACTCTTATTTTATCACTTTACCACAAATGCCTACACTTATATGTATGTACCTCATAATACATTGTTGAGATCATTGTATGTGTGGAAATTATAGTATTTTTCCAATTAAAACTATATCATAAACATTCTCAATACATCTCTATTTTAATGATATAATTGAACAATTGTATCTAAAATTTGCATTGAAACAAAATTGGTGTAGACACTTCCTTGTAATAATTCTGAGATGGTTGTCAAATGGGTAGTTTTGTTGTTTAAATTAAAATTTTGCTTACACTTATTATCATTATCCTGTTTTAAAATGAAAATTTAATTATCTTATTTTTTCTACAGGTAGTATACAATTATTTTCTTCCAAATATATATACTTTATTTAATCTATTTAAATGACCCAAGAGAGATGGGTTTTCATACCTTGCTAGAAAATAAACTCTAAAACATATTATTAGGTCAGTAAGATTTCAGATATCTTTATATTTGATCTATTTATATCAGCTGTGACATAATTCATATTTCTTTTATTGATTCAGAAGAAATAAAACTATACTTTCGTATACCTATGAGTGATTTAGAATTCTTCTTGGAAGAGGGAGAAACACTTAGTTATTCTTTGATATCCAAAAGCAATAGTACTTCAAGATTCTAAGTACTATAATCTATACATATATATGCATGATATCATATGTGAATTCTATATTATAAATACTTAATATTTTATATTTCTCACATATTACAGATTGTATAATTGATGTGTTTTTAAGCCAAAATTTAGCAGATTTTATGAGCTTTTCTTTTTTAATCTGGGAAATTTCATCTTTGCTTTAATAAACTTGCTCAAGGACTCAGAATTTGAGTTAGGTATAGTGTGACTATGGGTGGGTCTTAATTTGCATATCCTAATGAGGAACTGTAGGATAAGAAAATAATTCTTCACTAATACTTGTTTTTTGTTTTGTTTTGTTTTGAGACTGTGTCTCACTCTTTCACCCAGGCTGGAGTGCAGTGGCGCGATCGTGGCTCACCGCAATCTCCGCCTTCAGGGTTCAAGTGATTCTTCTGTATCAGCCTACCAAGTAGCTGGGATTACAGACATACACAACTACCTGCTTAATTTTTGTGTTTTTAATGGAGATGAGGTTTCCTCATGTTGGCCAGGCTGGTCTTAAACTCCTGACTTCAAGTGATCCACCTGCCTCAGCCTCCCAAAGTGGTGGAATTACAGATGTGAGCCACCATGCCAGGCCAGTAACATTATTTCCACTAAATTCTCTAGGTCTCTAAAGAGATCAGCAGGTGGTTTGTGGCTCCAAGTCAAACAGAGCTTTTAGAGGTACATGACATCCTTCTTGAGCCTTCTTTTCAAGTCTCTAGTCATAAGTTTTTCATTAGATAAACATTCTATTGAGGTGTAATTTGCATACAGAACAGTAAACAAATCAGAAATATGTAGCTTGATGAATTTTCACAGAATGGACACTTCTGTGTAACCATCATCCATAAACATTCATGTAAATCAATAGAAACTTGCTGGCACCACAGAAGATCCACTAAGTCTCCTCCCAATCACAGGCCTGTCCAAAATGATAGCTGTTCTGGCATTTTAATTAAAGTCATCTATGGGTTACTTTGGGTGTTTGAATTTTTTTCTTTCCTTCCTCCCTTCCTTTCTTCCTTCATATTCTTCCTTCCTTCCCTTTTTTCTTACTTCTTTTTAGCTTTAAAAGGGGTCAAGTGTGAGACACTGATATAATCTATATAAAATTACGAGTTTTCAACTGGAAAATATCAAGCACACATGAATTATATTTCTGCTTTGAGTGTAGACTGCCATGAGATTTGTAATATTATATATTAACTAGTGAAAATAGTTATTAAAAGCTGTTGTGCTTTCACTTTGAATTTGGTAATTTATTTTCCATTTACATTTTTCTGTTAATATGTTAAATTTATTAAGGCAGTAGTTAAGAGCTTAATTGTTGTGCAAAAAGAAAAACAGGGATTTTCATTTCCTTGTTTGCTCTTTTATTACACTCCCACTTACTTGGAGTGGCTGGATCTATTTATTATCTTTTCCTTTTAAGATCTGAGTGCACAATAATATTTGATTCATTTGAGTCTTTTTATACATGAAAATAGCAATATGGCAGTTGCTCAGTTTTTTATATTTATGACTCAGTATTTTATGGATTGATTATTATTCACTTGAAATGTTACAATTTGGTCTCAATTTGAAAAGGTTAGAATTAATTATAATGAAGCATTAGCGATTAATCATTAGAACTTAAAATCAAAATGTCAGTATATTTATTGTGAAATTGCTTGAATTGGCTGAGAATTTCACTAATATATCAGACAATCACCAGTCCTAACTACTTCATCTCAAGTCAAAAGATAACAGCTTTTAAAGGTTTGTTCCAAGTTTTCATCTCTGTGGTTTTGTAACTAGAAAACAGGTATGAGCTATAGTAAGTGTTATTCGTAAAAGTTACATAATGGTTTGTATGTATATTGTGTTGGTGTTCGGAAATGTGACGCCCAAATTATGTCATTATTCTTTTTTTTGAGACTGAGTTTTGCTCTTGTCACCCAAGCAGCAGCGCAATGACATGATCTTGGCTCACTGCAACCTCCGCCTCCTGGGTTCAAGCGATTCTCCTGCCTCAGCCTCCTGAGTAGCTGGGATTACAGGCACCTGCCACCACACCCAGCTAATTTTTGTACTTTTAGTAGATGCAGGGTTTCACCATGTTGTCAAGGCTGGTCTTGAGCTCCCAACCTCAAGGGATCCACCTGCCTTGGCCTCCCAAAGTGCTGGGATTACAGGCATGAGCCACCACGCCCGGCCCGTCATTATTCTCATTTGAATCAGTTGGTATAAATTATCATTTAAATAAATATATGACTACATACAATTTTCAACTTATGGTAAACACAATGACATTCATGGATTATCATGAAGAAGTTAAAGTAGTCACAAATGGAAAGGAAGATCTTTGTGCTTTTATCTTAGCAATTTCACCTGACATCTTACAGTAGGGAAAATGGGCAAATGTCAGTGAGCTGAAGGGCGTGTTTAGTTGGAACTGGCTAAAAGGTAGAGCTAGGACAGTATTGGAAACCCGTGACAGTGAGAGTAATTGACATTTAACATGATAGACTATGGGAAGTTTGTATGTAGAAATATACTTTGTTAAGCCTTAAGGTAATATGAGAGTATTACTTATTGTTATAAATCCATTTATTTTTAAGAATATTAGTTTAAGAATATTATTATTCATAAATGTGAGACATCAATCTTTATCAAATAGGACTAGTTATTGGTATCCTAAAATCAAGTGAAATTTATTGTTACTACAATAATTGATTTATAATGTTACATTTATTTCCTATTTATTTTGGTTGCCAATAAGTATGAACAACAAAAAAGGTTAAAAAAAATCCTTCACTGTATTGTTAATTTCCTTTGGTATTCACAGCTCACATCTAACAAAATATTTCAGTCCTAAATGAGTTTCTTCTAGTTTAAATAGTCTAGTAAAACATTTTGATTATATTTACTCCAAAGGATACATCATTAAATTATTTTAAATGTAAGGTAATAATTTTTCTCTATGTTTACTAAAATTTTTTCCTCAGTAGACGAATGGTTACCAAAATGATTTGAGGCTCTAGTGAATCATGTAAGTTCCATAACACAAATATTCATATGTAAATTTAAAAACTAGTTCAAATTATAATTTATTCATAATTACACAAAATTATTGTTTTATGAAAGGTTGAGAAATGAAGTAAATGTAATATACAGTAATGTCTATCTATGTACCTGCTTATCTATGTTGATGACACAATTTTAGAAAATTGTATTTTTAGATTTACTAAATATTTATCTGTTGTGTGAATTAAAATGGCAATCGAATACAAATGTGGGTTAATAATGATGAAATTTCAATTACAAAATATGAGAAAAAACTTTGTAAACATTACATGAAACAATTCATTTATGGGAGCTTTTTTTTTTTTTTTTTTTTGGAGACAGAGTCACACTCTTGTCACCCAGGCTGGCGTGCAGTGTGGGGATCTCAGCTCACTGCAACCTCCGCATCCTGGGTCAAGCAATTCTCCATTACAGGCGCCCACTACCACGCTCAGCTAATTTTTGTATTTTTTAGTAGAGATGGGGTTTCACCATGTTGGCCAGACTGGACCTCAGGCGATCTGCCCACCTCGGCCTCCTAAAGTGCTGGGATTACAGGCGTGAGCCACCGCGCCGGGCCTCTATGTGAACTCTTTAAATTTAGACATTTTCAACAACATTGCTGTTCATTTCTGTAGTAGATTAAGGTGTGTTCATATAACTGAACTTCTAAACTCGTGATATATAGATTATTTTTGGCCTAAACAGTGTTTTAAAAATTTAAAAAGCTTCACATACAAATCCAGGTATTTAGCTGCTATTGAAAGATTGTAAGACATAAGAGCAATAGACCTAATTTGAACATGGTAAGTTAACTAGAGGTGAATAGTTATATAACTGTTGCATGGTAGGTGAGGAAGGAAGAAATGGGGAAGCAGGCTGAAAGCAAGCCCAGGCAAGCGATAAAACAATAGCATCAGCATATTAACAGCAATATTCCTTTATTCAGTATAGCAGCTCTCAGACTGTTTGGTGTGAGCATATAACTATAGATATTTACTACTTTAGAAATATAGAAATTTAAATTGATAAATTGAGAAATTTACTACTTTGGAAATTTAAATTGAGAACATTTTACATTATTTATTTAAAAAAATTATTTATTTATTTATTTATTTATTTATTTTGAGACGGAATCTCGTTCTGTCGCCCTGGCTGGGGTGCAGAGGCGTGATCTCGGCTCACTGCAACCTCCGCCTCCCAGGTTGAAGCAATTCTCCTGCCTCAGCCTCCTGAGTAGCCAGGACTACAGGCACACACCACCACGCCTGGCTAATTTTTGCATTTTTAGTAGAGACGGGGTTTCACCATGTTGGGCAGGATGGTCTCAATCTGCTGACCTTGTGATCCACCTGCCTCAGCCTCTCAAAGTAAAAATTATTTTTAAAATAATGAAAAACCCATTCCTATTATAATAAATAACATATTCTTTATAAAAGTAACTATGTCTTTTAAAAAGTGAGAAGAGTGGCTTTGTTTCACTCTTAATAAGTTTCTTTAATACCTGACTCAATAGAAGTCAGCTAAATTCTCATACCTGATTCCCATATTTAATCTGTTTTAATATGTTCATCAGGTTGAGGTGTATAAAGAAAATCCAGCCTCACACAGAAACATAGTTAGAAAAGAGAGGAGTATTTTTTAAGTTTTTGCACGTAGTTGTGAATATTTTCTGTTATACTTTATTGAAAGTTGACAACTGGTAATTTCTTGAAGTTGGTTTAAATATTTTTTTACCCATGCAAGATTTGCTAGCATCATGCATTGGTCCTCTGGAAAATGTTGATTCACTGAGTTATGCAGGTCTTCTGAATATTGACCCATTTCATTTTGTAATACCAAGAAATCACCACCAATATAATAAGAACAAGCTTAAAGTACTGTATTGGAAAGCTATCAGGCTCACAGTGTACTATAAAATTTTTCCCAAACTATGATTTTTGCTTTACCCTCCTATTTTATCATTGCCAACAAATACAGTCAGTTATTTTCCTTCAAGTGACAGAGTTTTTTCATTTTTGTGAAAATATCTGTAAAATATCTAATGTGAATGGTTTGTGTGTCACTTGTGCTTTCAACTTAAAATGGTGCTTCATGAAAAAGGCAGCTAAATGAGCATGCAACTCAGTCTCATAAGTGCATTTCCAGGAGACAGTTAATTAGTTACAGAAATGCTGTATTTGTACTTCCCATTTGTTATACTTGAGTCAAGATTTAATAAAATTAATAATTTTACTGATGCATCAAGGATATTTTTAAGTAAAGTAAACCCGGATTTTTTTTGTTATTCTACAAGGGCTTGGCAGTGAAAAATTCAGTGACTACTAGTAGTTTGCTAACACTGCTTTGATTTGTGCTAAGGTTCCAGCAGTTTTACCTATCATTGCTTTTTCACCATCACTGCAAACATCAGCACTGTGCAAAAGGCAAATGGAAATTTGGAATGACTAACAAAATAGTTTTGACTTAGTTGTATCCTCAAAAAGATGCTTTAGAACTCCCAAACACCCACTGTCTACACTACGAAAACTGTCACTCTATAACAATGTGCTAACTTAAAAAATCAATATTATAAAAATATAACATATACAATAACGCAACTGATTTTAACTGTACAGCTTAATGAATTTGGACAAATGTATGTATCCAGTTAACCACCAACACAATCAAGATAAAGAACATTTCCATAATCTCAAAAGGTTCCCTCATGACCCTTTTCATTCACTCCTCACTCCCATCTCCACCCCAGGCAACCATGCGTGTGCTTTCTATCACTAAGGATTTTATTTTGTCTTTCCCAGAGTTTCATTTAAATAGAATTATGCAGCATGTGTGTGTGTTTTTTTCCTGTCTTCCTTCTTTGACCCATCTTAACAATGTTGAGATATATCAGTAATTTTATGTATTATACCACTTCGTTCATTGATTTCACCAAGTTCTATTCCAAAACTGTTATGAATGTTTGTTTAGAAGCTTTTGTGAAATTTAAAAAAATTTAACTTGAGTAAATGCCTAATAGTACAATTTCTGGATTTTACTGTAAATATGTTTGATTTTATTAGAAAATGCCAAACCCTCTTCCAAAAGGATTGTATAATACCACATTTCACCTATTCCATGTGAGAGTTCCAGTTTCTCCGCATCCTTGCCAGCATGTAGTATTATTGGTATTTTTCATTGTAACTATTCTAGTAGTTTTACTCTAGTACCTCATAGTTATAATTTTCAGTTTTTGTTGGCTAATGGTATTGAATATCTTTTCATCTGTTTCTCTTTTGTCATGTGTGTCTTCAATTTTTTGCTCATTTTTAAAATTGACAAAGTATTCTTATTATTGAGATGTAAACGGTTCTTATATAATATGTTCTGGGTTATAAATCCTTTGTCAGTTTTATGCAATGCAAGTATTTTCCCCAGGTCTATAAGCTTGCTTTGTATATTTTTACTACCTTTCAAAGTGCAGGTGTTTTAATTTTGATGAATTTGATAAAATTTTATTCTGCGGTTTGTGTTTTCTTTGTTCTACTTAAGGAAACGTCCATTTGATGGTTACAAAAATGTTTCTCCCATTTTTTTCTAAATATTTATGGTTTTAGCTTTTTTATTTGAGTCTATGATTAGTTCAAGTTAATTTCAGAGTCTGATGTAAAGTAAGGATTGAGGTTTTTTATTTTCTTTTTTTTTTTTTTTTTTGCCCTGTATGGATGTCCACATTTTCTAGAACCATTGTCGAAAACATTATCCTTTCCGCATTGCATTTCTTACAATCTGCTCTTTTTCTGCTTTTGTAGCATCTCACAATTTTGATATGTTGCATTTTCATTTTTTTCATTTCAAAATAAGTTATATTTGCCCTTTTAATTTCTTCTTTGGCTCATGACTTACTTAAAAGTATTTTGTATAATTTCCAAATATTTGACATTGTTTCCAAATATATTTCTGCTTTTGAATTCTAATTAGTTCTGTATTAGACCTCATATGTAGACCACATACGTAGACCATATACATATCATTGTAGTGCTATTGGAAACTTGTTTTATGGCTCAGAATATGATCTACATTCATGCATGTCCTATATATGTTAGAAAAAATCGTAATTATTGGGTTAATTATTGTAATGTCAATTAGATTAGACAATGTTTGCTTGTAGTTTCATGTCTTCTATATTCCGGCTTATGTTCTGTCTGCTTATTCTATAATGTGACAAAGAGAAGTGTTGAAATATCCATCTATAATTGTGGATGTATCTATTGCTCCTTTCAGTTTTGTCAGTTTTGCTTCATGTACTTTGAAGTTTTGCTATTGCTTGCATGCAGTTTTAGGATTGGTATGACTTGTTCATGATTTAACATATTATTATGAATATCCCTTTTTATTCGTAGTATTAACTCATGTTCTGGTCTATTTTTATGATATTAATGGAGCCAACTAGCTTTTTATGCTTAATATTTGCACAACATATCATTTTTCTTTCTTTCTAACTTGTCTGCTTATTTAATTTAAAAGTAGTTTCTTATAGACAGCATATAGTTGTAACTCTTTCGTTATTCCAGCACAGTAATTTCTTCCTGCATTTCTAATTGCAGTGTTTAGACTACATATTTTTAATGTAATTATCTATACTATGTGTCTCCCATCTGGATTTTTCCTCTATATTTTCATTGTTCACTTTTTCCTCATTTCCCCCCTTTTTTCAGGCTAATTGAGTACTTTTTGGATTTTTTTTTTTTTACTATTTTCTTACTAGATCTACTTTTCTTTTTGACAATGGCTCTAGAGTTTACAATATGCATTTTGAACTTATTGAAGTAAAAGGAGGCCTGGCACAGTGGCTCACGCCTGTAACCCTAGCACTTTGGGAGCCTGAGGCAGGTGGCTCAACTAAGGTCAGGAGTTCGAGACCAGCCTGGCCAACATGGCAAAACCCTGTCTCTACTACAGATGCAAAAATTAGCTGGGCATGGTGGTGGGCACCTATAATCCCACCTACTTGGGAGGCTGAGGCAGGAGAATCTCTTGAACCCTGGGGTCAGAGGTTGCAGTGAGCCGAGATCATGCCACTTCACTCCAGCCTGTGCAAAAGAGCAAAATTCAGTCTCAAATAAGTAAATAAAGTAAAAGGAAAACTGTTTCTTTACTCACAATACTTCTGACACTAAATGTTTGGGATTTTTTTGTTTACACACACAAAAAAACTCTCTGGACACCAACTTAGTGTCTTATATGCTTACTCAATTCTGACACTGACTATTCAGAATTAGTGTCAGACGCTACAAGGTTAGAGGCTCCGTCCTACAGGCCTGCCCCTCACTTGAAATAGCAATCATGGCCGGGCGCAGTGGCTCATGCCTGTAATCCAAACACTTTGGGAGGCCAAGGTGGGTGGATCACAAGATCAGGAGATCGAGACCATCCTGGCTAACACGGTGAAACCCCGTCTCTACTAAATATACAAAAAATTAGCCGGGCGTGGTGGCAGGCACCTGTAGTCACAGCTACTGAGGTAGGAGAATGGGGTGAACCCAGGAGGCGAAGTTTGCAGTGAGCAGAGATCGCGCCACTGCACTCCAGACTGGGTGACAGAGCGAGACTCCGTCTCAAAAAAAAAAAAAACATTGCAATCACAAGTCCAGTCCCAAATGGCTGATAATTTGCTAGAATGACTCACATAACTCAGGGATACACTTTATTTAAATTTACTGGTTTATTATAAGGAATGTTAAAACAGATACAAATGAACAGCCAGATGAAGAGGTACGTAGGGCAAGGTCTGAAAAGTTCCTGAGTAGCTTCTGTCTCCATGTAGTGGGGGTATGCCACTCTCCCAGCACGTGGATGTTCACCAACCTGGAAGCTCTTTAAACTGCAGTTTTGAGATTTAATGGACGTTTCATTTCATAGGCATAATGAATTAACTCAATCTCCAGCCCTGTTCCCCTCCCTGGAGGACAGGGGATAGGACTGAAAATTCCAAGCTAATGATAAATTAGTCTTTCTCATGACCAGCCCTCCTGAAGTTATCCAAAAGCCCACCAAGAATTGCTTCATTAGAACAAAAGATGCTAATATCGCCTGGGAAATACCAAGGGATTTAGGGGCTTTACATTAAGAGACTCCTGTCATCCCATCAATCAGGAAATTATAAGGGTTTTAGAAACTGTTTTAGGAGCTAGAGCCAGAGACCAAACATTAGAGCAGACGATGCTCCTAGTACCCATATCACTTAAAAAATTACAAGAGTTTTATGGGGGCAGATACATATTTATTATTATATCACAACAGTCTACCCTCATAAAATTTTAAGAAACTTATAATTTATTTCCATTTCAATGTATAAAACTTCTGACAATTTATTTCTTATACTATTGTGTCATACATTTAACTTATACATATTTTATAAGCATCATCATAAGCAGGCATCAAATCTCATTCAAGTGAAATTTTGAGATGAAAAAGTTTTGATATTTATCTAAATATTTACCCTATCCATTGCTCTCCATTGCTTTGTCTAGATTTAAGTTTTTAGCTAGTATCATTTTCCTTACTCCTGAAAAAGTTTCTTTAGTGTTTTCATTAGTTCAGATAGGCTGGCAACAGATTCTTTCCACTTAATATGGAAAATGTTTTATTTTGCCTGCAGTTTTCAAAGATATTTTTACTGATTATAGAATTCTAGGTGGACCTCTTGGAGGCCCTTAAAAAATGTCTTTTCTTTTTCATCTTTGTCTAGTTTCTCTTGAAAAATGTCTGCTATCTTGTATCTGTTCATCTGCATATAATGTGTCATTCTTTCGATGTCATTTCTGGGTCTATTGTTTTTTACTGACTTATTTTTCTCTCATTATAGTCAATTTCCTGCTTCTTGGCCTAATAAACTTTTATTTGATTCAAGACATTCTATATTTTTATGTTATTTTTGTAAATTTACATTACTGAGGATATGAATTTGGTTGTATTTTTAATAAGCATTGAGTTTTGTTCTGCTAGACAGTTAAGTTACTTGTGATTAGGTTTAATTCTTTTGAGGCTTGTTTTTGAACTTTATTATGATAGAACAGCCTTGACTGTCCTTTTGTCTTAGAATTCAGCCTACTATTAAGGTATATCCTTTTCGAGTTTTCTACTGAGTACTCTGAATGATCAGCAAAGACTCCACTCTAGCTGGTTGGAGCTCAACTGTCTTCCAGCCAGCCCTTTCTGAGCTGAGAAACTGTGCAAGTCACCAGTTTTTGGTAACCCTTTGTCTGCCTTTGTGCCTTTTAGGATTTGGTAAAAATTCAAAGAGATATTTAGAGCTCTTTTTCAGCATATATCCATCCTCTTCTGATTGACACCCTACAACTCAGCCTCTCCACACTTAGACCTCTTACTCCTTAAGTCAGTTCCCATTTAGGATACCCTTCCTACATCACAGGCTATACTATGCTGCAAGACAGACAACAAGGCCAATTTTTGACTCACTTTATTTGTTTCCCTTCTCTAAAGAATCACTGTGCTTCTCTGCCTATTGTCTAATACCCGGAAGCAAGACTTTCATAGATTTTCTCCACTTTTCTAGTTATTTATGGCGGGAGGTTAAATCTGATCTCTGTTACTCAATTAAGACCAGATGTGGAGATCTTATTTTGCTTGATTTTTTGTATTTGCAATTTTCTTTCTTTGTTAAATGAGTACTTGAAATATATGTTACCAAAGATATTTATCTCAATTGTGAGCTTTATACAGGTCCTAAATAATAGAGGATTGTAACATTTTGTATTATTTAAAATATTAACTTTTAATGTAAATTAACATGAGGGACATATTAGAAGATGGCTGATTATGCATAACAACTACTTACCAAATACAGATTATATATATTTAGTGTCATTTTTACACAGTTTATACGCATACATCAATTTAAATGTTTTTACTACCGTTATTATCTCCTTATAATACCTTGACTGCCAAAGTTTTTCTGCATCCAGTGTTGCTATCATCTTTTGTTCACGAGGAACAATCTGTTCTGATCCCTGGGAATTGAGCAGGATGTTTGGTTTCCCTCTCCATCTGATGGTAGTAATTTGTCTTTCTTACTTACAAATAATATACTAGATCTTGATGATGGAATAAGCTTACTTCTTGAGGAATGTGCAAACATGACAACTAATAATAGAAATTTCTGTAACTACAGTTAGCATATATATTTTAATAATACACCTTTGCATAGATTACTTACATTTATTTTCATATTTATACATATGACCCCTAACTTATGATAGTTTGATTTCCAATTTTTTTGACTTTATGGTGGGTTTATGAGGGAATTAAATCTATTTCAACTTACAGTATTTTCAATTTACAGCAGGTTTATTGGGAAATAACCTCATTGTAAGTCAAAGATCATCTTGTATTTCAGCATATTTTATTATACAACAATGAATAATTAAATAGACATGTGCCTTTTAGTATGCATATACAGAAATGCATCGAAAAAATATCAGTGACTCTCATTCATCAAAATATTCAAGCCATGATTGCACCACTGTATTCACCTGGGCAACAGAGTGCGATCAGTCTACAAATAATAATAATAATAATAATAATTCAATCTGTTTATCCTATGCTAAGTATTTCCAACATTTGTAATCCTAATTCCTACAGACTGAGTTACTATATAACTTAGCTTTTGGAAATAAAAATGTGAATGAGATGATCTTTACTATATCAGTAAGAAAGATGCATGCATAATGAACAAAAAATGTGGGGATAGGGAGAAAAAGAAGAAAATTAAGGATATTTTTATCTGAGTTTATTGTATTCCTATGTATCAAAAGCCTAAGATTCATTTTCTGACATTGTTCTGAAATAAACTGAAATGTATTAGGGATGATTTGGATTGTTATTTTTGCAAATGTACACTGTTGTATATTTTGCAAATATTTTTCACATAGACCCTTTAATTGAGAGGCAAAAGTTCAGATAGCAATTGTACACATTAGGCTCGCATATTTGATTCTAGGAATGTACATTTTCAGCAACACACTCATAGAAAAAAAATGCACAGCTGCCAAAGCTGTTAATGGGAGCTGCATGCTGAATTTATTGCTACATTGAAAATATATCCCTTCTTGTTCAACATATTCAGTCAAAAATGTTCATTAAGAAGTAGTCTTATCTGCTTTTCATTTTCAGGGTATAACACAAGAATATTATATTCCATTAAGAGCAAATGTTTAAGTAACATTTCAGAAATAAAATAATGAGTTTTTGCAGTGCTTTTTGGGAAAATTTAATTTATGAAAAAGAAAACTCTTAGAATACAGTTGTAGCATTTCAATCTTTTCTTCTGTGCTTGCAATTATTATGCAAATATTATTGCTACTGCAAAAGATCTTTGTCATGAATTGCTTTGTAATGGGGCAAGGTTATTGAGCACTACTTTTTAAAGAGATGTTTCTATGACAGTATTATACATAAGACTTCAAAATAAATTGCTAATGGTAAAAGACTAAACAAATGCACCCACCATTTTTATTTCTACAGTGCCAGAATTAAAGACGTTTATCCAAATGCTTTAAATCAGTTTATTTTATATTTTCTAGCCATGCCTGTTCTAGTAAACATGAACAATGATTGTACACAGTTTTCTTCTTTAGCTGTCACTAAGATGGTGTCATAATGTTTAGAGATACGCTCTCTAACTGTCAGCGTTTGTTACAGTTCAGTGATGCGTGATAAAGTATGAGGGACATTGTCTTCTTGCACTGCTAAATGTATTAATGCAGTGATGATATTTCTCAATGACTTTTTACTCAAGGTCAAAATGATGAAATTCATCTGTACTTTTCAATAATTTGTTTATTAATCAATATATTTTTCATCTTAGCCTGTTCCTTCAAGTTTTTTAGGTACATTTTAAAATTTGAAGCAAATGTATATTAAAATTTAAAGAAGACTGTGTCATATTTTTACATTTAATTGTATTTTAAATTACCAGCCATTATTTTTCAATTCATCTTTTAAAATAAATAAAACAGCATTTAGTTATTGTTCTTTTTGTTGCTACCTATGAAAATATAACTTGAGATAGACTCTAGAATTCTCTGATCTATTTGAATTCTCTGTTTATGATCTCTGGATATAAAAATTACTTAAAAAATGATAATCATTATATGATAACCATTCATACTATGTATTTAGTAATTGTGTCTTATTTACATAATCCTTTAAAGTTTACAACTTTAAATTGCTTGATTTCACAAGCAATAGTTATTTTTGCCCTAATACCAATTCTATATGGTAGAGACTTTAGGAAATATAACCCCCTTTTTACAGTTGAGGAAATTGAGCTCATTGTTGTTAGTACCCTAAGGTCACAGATATTGAACTTAAATCTAGAATTTTGGACCCCAATTCCAGTATCTTTTCTTTAGTTCCATTCTTATTTGTTCATATTTATAGACAATCTGCAGATTGTATATCACTGACATAAATATTGCAATGTGTTATAGAATAATGAAGTTACTGATAATGTAATTAAATATTCACTGCTTCTGGATTAGCATTTCTAAATCACTATTCTAGTGATGTAATGTCATTATTCACAAAACTTCATGGTTCATTGCCAACCCTATTCCTTCTTCGTATATGGAAATCACCATCTTCTTCCACTGGAAATATTTTCTCAGATTAGAGATGCCATTGTTTATAGATTTTCAATTACTGTAGTTGATCTAATTTCACCTAGGAGGGTATATATTGATTATAAATGTTTACATGGGATAATTACATTTTATCGGTTAAATAGGAACCAGTATATATGCTATTGGTTTAGTAGCAATGCCTTTCCAATTACAGCCCACCTTTATATGATATAAATTGTCTTTATTCTTTCCCCTTAGCATTTTTAGAGTTTTTAAGGACATGGTAATTTGTATTGAAAGTTACACTACTCAGTGGTATTTTCCAAGAAGACTCTGCAAATCTTTTACATTCTGTGTTACTAGCAATGTGATATAAATCAGTTAACATCCATAACCGATAGCTACTCATCTACAAAGAGTCTTAAAGAGTAAAACGTACAATTCAGAAATCTGAACTCTGGTGTTAAAAAATCCTCAAGATTATTAGAGCAACTACCATTTGAAAAACAGATCTGAACTATGAAGTTCTGTATCAGAATTTTGATTTTGAAAAATTTCTGTAGGTTAAATAACAAGAATCAAGAACACTACATACCATACTTTTGGACAAAAGTTTATTATAACCCTATATTATAATAGGCCAAGTATATCACAGTGGATTCATTGTTATTACTAAAAGTATGCATTCATAGTTTCAGTCACTTTAATTATCATACATGGACAATGACTAGATTTTTTATTATTAAAGATATGTAAAGTAAAATACATAATATATCAAGAATATACATCACTGCCACTAAATAGAAGTGTTTTCATTGTTGGAAATTTAAAATTATTTACCTATTATGAAAACGTTAGTTCTTAAAAGGATTAGGTTCAGCAAGAGTACCAACAGATTAAAGCTGGACAACTTTGGCATTCCTCTGTTTTCGCTGTCAAAAATACACTTTGGACTTTGCAATAAGTTCCTCAATAGTTATAAATCCTAGTAGACAAAATTGAAAAAAAAAATCTCTTCAAGCTTTTGTTTGCTTTACTGTATTATAATGGTAATAGTTACTGGGGATTATTTTTAAATTTCCAGTTGTTTGGATGGCATGAACTGATTATGTGTATCTAAATAATATACTTGTATTATTAATATAAATATTTTGCTAATAAATATCTTTAAATAAAATATTATAAGTTAAGTTGAAATGTTTATCTATTTTTATGTTATTAAAACGGGTTAACACTAATTCACGTGAGTTATGGTTGGTGAAAATTCCAAATTATTTGTTAAAGATATAATTGTAATAGAGCTATAGAGTCTTCACTCTGTCAAAATTACAGAGCTTTCTCCAGAAGCATCACTGTTTCTTTAGTTCTCCCGCACCCTGCTGACATGATGTGGAATACACTGAGTATTTGTCAGTGGAGTAGCCAGGATGGGTGCAGTTGAGAGCACTGCTGAGGAGCTTTCAAGGAAAGACACTCTGCTCTGAAGCACCAGAAGTTACACCCACAGGGAACTTTACCCTAACTCCTGAGTTGAAGTAATATAGGCCATTATTATAAAAGAATGCTTAATTTAGAGTTAAATTAGAGTTAAAAACTATTAAATAACCGAATAAATCTTTGTTTTTATGAATCACTATTTTGTAATAATCATTAAAATGGTGTCAGTCCTTTAAGAACTCACATTTTATTTTTCTATGTTCTGAAATATACACAAATGTATTTTATTACACCTACCCTGCACAAGTGTGATTATTTTGCCTGCTTTCTCCTATTCATTTTTTTTTAACACAGTACCTGAAAATAGGGAAATGGGCAGTGTGTTGTGGGAGGAAGCAGGGGATAAAATCTCAAATTTTGGCACTGGTAATATGAGACAGAAAGGAGTGAATCTGAGAGTCAAATAGTTCGTTACACTGAGGAGAGGTAAATGGTGAAATATCTGGCGTCCATAGATCCCTCAACATAAGTGGAAGGAGGATAGATTTGTTCTTACGGTATCCGTGGCCCACTCTGTACATTTGGGACAAGTAGGTTTATGGATGCTGATTTTGTGAGACGTGTTGTTTGTGAGTCTAATCATGTGGACAGAAGATAACTGACCATAGAAATGGATAACTGACAATAAAAATAAATGTATTTACCATGTATTATGCTATATTCTATGCTGAATACTTTCTAAAATAGACTTTCATTTTTCTTTCAACTTTCTAAAACTTTCAGTTTGTGAGATGAATAAAATTATTATCCCCATTTTATAAATGAAGCTTGTAGACGTTATGTAACTACCAAGATGACAAAGCTAGTAATGGAGCAACCGCAATGCAAACCCAGGGTGTCACTGTTTTAGAAACTGTGCTCTTAACTGCTACACTCTCATACAGTCTATGGCCTTTCCAAACTTGCAGTTAAAACCAAATTTTAGTAGCAAATAGAGGAAATTTAATAAACGAATGAAAGCAATTGATTTCTTTGAAAATAGTTTTGCATTGTAGACTGTCTATGACTACAAAAAAAAGCTTTATTTTTTCTCTTGGTAGCTTATTTCTATAGAAGTGATGAGTCAGTGCCTTATCAAGAATTTTCATTTCTTGCTTGCACACTCCCCAAAATGGTACTTGCAGCTATTTATCATTTTAGTCTTATCAGTGAATTAATTTTGGTTATGATTAACCTTTAATAGAGACAGAATAGCATGGTGGCTTAGAGCCAGTTTTTCATCATGTTATTAAATGTCTTTTGAGCCCAATTTTTTATCTGTGAATCAGGGAAAATAATAGTACCTCAGTTATAAAGTTGTGCCCACAATAAATAAATTGCTGTATGTAGAGGTCTTTGAACAGTGCTTACCTTGCCTAAGCACACGATAAATGTTATTTAGCAATTATTGTTAAATAGGATTGCATGTCAAAGTTAAGGAAACCAAAGTTGATTCTGTTTTATTGAAGTTCAACTAAATATCATCAACTTGAGTTATATACTTAAGGAACCTTCAAAATGTCGGAATGAAGACTATTTTCATTGTAACTTTAAATTAATAAAGATTACCCTGAAGGGACAATAATAAATATAAACATTAATTTGTTCTAAAATTTTAAACATGTACATGATATATTACACAAATTTAGAGTTTCAAAATATGAATCTTTTCCAGCCAACACAGTAATTTTCAAAGGACTTTTTTTTTTACTATATACCTCTTGATAAAATTAGTGAAAAAACAGCTTAAAATGGAACTGATTGGATTGAACATTTGTATACCTCTGTGGGTATTGTTTAATTGCCCGTGAAATTGAGTTGTTAAACAAGCAGAATAATACATGTGACATAAATAAGGTAAATCATAAGAAAATTGGAAAAATAATTTCGTATCTAATGTGCAATCCTTAATTATAAGTAGTATTTCGGGCTTACAAAATATATGCATTTCCTTTGGAGAGCAATTTTTATCTTACTTATCTCGGGTTGTTTAGATTCTACTTCAGATATTATTGGTTGGATATTGTCAAAATACAACATTTAAAGTTAAACAGAGGTAGATATATTAGAAAATGTAAATTGATAGAATAGTTATTTTGTGTCCTTTTAGGATGATATAATTCAGTAGGTTTAGCATAAGTATTAAGTACACTTATAAATTATTTATTAACTACTGTCTTTCAGGTGTTTATATTCTACTGTGAAGATATTTGTAGTGAGGAAATAAATATTTTTTATAACTCATTTTTAATTGATTTAAAAAGACAATTTTAATAGTTAGATGGTGTGATATATTTCCTTAAATGCTATCAGTTGTCATCTAATGCATATAGACATAAAAGTTTATTAATATTAAGATGATTAATATTCTTTGAAACATAATTTATAATTTAGGATAATATTTCATCTCAAAAAATCAAGGCCAGTAATGTAGGGAATTTTATTGACGGGATGTGTTAATCAGAGCAACCTCTCCAGTAAATTTTAAAATAGTGGATATGATTTTTTAAAATTTATTAATAGCATCAAAGAACTAAATTGACAAGAGAGATAGTCATTACAAGGCCAAAAATTATGAGGAAGGGGGAATTGGAAAATAAGAAGACAACTGAGGGCCAGCCATGGTGGCTCACACCTATAATTCCAGCACGCTGGGAGGCCGAGGCAAGTGGATCACCTGAGGTTAGGAGTTCGAGACCAGCCTGGCCTACATGGTGAAACCCCATCTCTACTAAAAATACAAAAACTTAACCGGGTGTTGTGGCGGACGCCTGTAATCCCAGCTACTTGGGAGGCTGAGGCAGGAGAATCGCTTGAACCTGAGAGGCGGAGGTTGCAGTGAGCCAAGATTAAGCCATTGCACTCCAGCCAGGGCAACAAGAGTGAAACTCCATCTCAAAAGAAAAAAAAAAAAGACAACCGAGGAAGTTTGGCCTTTGTTAAAACTGTTCGTTCAACAAACTCACCATAATAACCTGTTTTAGTGTGCAACTTCTTTCTTGCCACAGTGTTTACTAACATACTGTCAACCTAAATAACAGAGAGAGATTATCTAAAGATACTCATTCTATTCTGGAGTGTGCAGTATAGATGCTAATCCAGGATATGTGGACTATGGGGATCATAGGCATAGCCAAGGAGTTTGAGACAAGAGGAAGCTTTCAAAGGAAAAAGTGAACGTAATTCGTTTTAAAACAAACAAAATATTGATTACAGTGGCTTATCACAGGAGTTGATGCCAGGTCCTTGTGGAGACAGTATGTCAGGCAAGTGTTCTTATGCATTCACTAGCTGTCCTTGTGACTCATGTAACAAGATGCAGTTTGAAAAGTCCTTGGCAAAAGTTCTTTTTACAGGCATATGTGCAAGTAAGAGACTTTCAGATGTTCTTTGTAATAGTTCTTATCATAGGCATGTGCGCATGAGGGCCCTCCCTTCCTAACCTACCAGCTTAATTTTTGACACAAATGACTCCATTTGTGGAATCCAAGTTTGACACAAATGACTCCATTTTGATCCTGACAACTTTCACATTTCCTCATTTGATCAAGGTCTTTCTCCAAAAGCATTGCTGATCAACCATCTCAAGCATCTCATAGTTAGGTTTTATTTCTCAGTGCTGGTATGATCTTGTCCTGATTGTTCAGTTCTTCTCACATCAGTGAGGATGGTCAGCAAATTCTGAGTCAGTTTTAAAAACACTTTAGCAAAATGGCCGCAACAAGTATGTTTGAAAACCCTGTATCTCTGATTAATTTTGCCTGAAGTCCATTGGTAAGTTCCATTTTGTTAGTTCCAAAGGTGTTGGCTATCATTTTAACAAAACCGGACCAGTATTATTCTATTAGGAGTCTTGCTGTTGCAGATGTTAGACAGGCAACAAAGAGATACTGATCTTTATCAAACGTTTTGCCTATGTCTGTTGAGATTATCGTGTTGTTTGTTCTTTATTCTCTGATGTGATGTTCCACATTTAGTTATTTGCACATGTTGAAACACCCCTACATCCCTCATGTAAATCCCACTGTATTATTGCGTGTAATCTTGTTGATGCTCTGTTAGATTCGCTTTGCTAGTATTTCTGTTGATTTTTGCATCTGTATTCATCAGGGGTTTTTGCCTATAGTTTTCTTATTTTGTTGTATTCTTGTCTATTTTTAGTTTCAGGCTAATGCTAGCCTCATAAAATGAATTAGAAAAAATTCCTTCTTCATCAGTTTTTTGGAATAATTAGAGAAGAATTTATGTTAGTTATTTTTTAAAAGTAGTTTAGAATTCAGCAGTGAACCCATCAGGTACTGGGTATTTTGTTATTAGAAGACTATTACTGGTTCAATCCAGTTACTGATTTTATATATGTTTGGGTTTTCTATTTTTTCTTGGTTCAATCTTGGTAAGTTTTATTTTTCCCAGAATTTATTCATTTTCTTGAGGTTTTCTAGTTGGCATGTAGTTGTTCATATTTTTTTCTAAATGGTCTTTTTGCATTTCTATGATATCAGTTATAATATCTCCTATTTCATTTCTGATTGTTTTTATTTGGGTCTCCACTGTTTTTTTCTTACTCTAACTAATAATTTATTGACTTATGTTTATCTTTTCAAACAACTAGGTTTTTGTTTTGCTGATCTTGTATTATATGGGGTTTTCTTTTTGTCTGTATTTTGTTTAGTTCTGCTCTGATCTTTGTTATTTATTTTTTATACTAATTTTCTGTTTGGTTTCTTCTTGCTTTTTTAGTTCCTTGAGGTGCATCACTACATCATTTAATTAAAATCTTTCTACTTTTATGATGTAGGTTTCTATGGCTATAAACGTCCGTCATAGTACTGCTTTTGCTGTATCCTGTAGGTTTTGGGGCGTTGTTTTCTATTTTCACTTGTTTCAAGATTTTTTTTTCTCTTTAATTCCTTCCATGACCCATCAGTCTTTCTGGAGCATGTTGCTTAATTTCAATGTATTTGTACAATTTCCAGAGTTCTTCACGTTATTTGTTTCTAGTTTTACTCCTTTGTGATCTAAGAAGATATGTGATGTGATTTTGATTTTTGATTTTTCAATATTTGTTGATGCTTGTTTTGTGGCCTAACATATGTTCCCTCCTGGAGAACATTTCATATGCTGAAGAGAAGATTGTTTTCTGCAGCTCTTGGCTGAAATATTCTGTATATGTCTGTTAGGTTTATTTGGTCTATAATGCAATTTAAGTCTGATGATTATTTTTGTTTTTCTGTCTAGATAATCTGTCCAAT
Source organism: Homo sapiens (assembly GCF_000001405.40). Lineage (NCBI taxonomy): Eukaryota > Metazoa > Chordata > Mammalia > Primates > Hominidae > Homo > Homo sapiens. The sequence goes on from NC_000010.11 coordinate 115,614,608, forward strand.
GCTGAAAGTAGAGTGTTCAAGTACCCAACTGTTACTATATTGCTGTCTATATTGGTCTTTGATTAATATTTGCTTTATACATCTGTGTGCTCCAGTGCGTGTGTGTGTGTGTGCATATTTACAATTGTATTTTCTTGCCAAACTGATCTGTGTATCATTATATAATTGCCTTATTTGTCCCTTTTGTTCTTCGACTTAAAATATCTATTTTGTCTGATATAAGTATGGTACTCCTGCATGGTTTTGTTTTCCATTTGCCTGGAATATCTTTTTCTCATCCCTTCATTTTAAGTCTATGTGTGCCTTTAGAGGTGAAGTGAGTTTCTTATAGCCATAATATTGTTGGGTCTTGTTTTTTTTTAATCAATTCAGCAGTTCTGTATTTTTTCATATGGGAATTTAAAGTGTTTACATTCAAGGTTTTTACTTTTCTATTGAAACATATTCCTGTCATTTTCTTAATCATTTTCTGATTATTGTGTATATCCTTTGTTTCTTTCTTACTTTTATTATTTGTGTGGTTTGGTGGTTTTCTGCAATGATAACATTTGATTCCTTTCTCTTTCTCATGAGGGTATCTGCTATACCAATATTTTTTATGCTTTTTGAGTGTTTTTATAATAATATATACTGTATTTTTGCTTCCAGATATAGGATTTTTAAATAATATCTTGTAGGGCTGACCAGTAGTGATGAATTCCCTCAGTTTTTGCTTGTCTGAGATATCAACAAGCAAATTTCTCCACATTTCTGAAGAGACAGCTTTGTCAGTTATAATATTCTTGGTTGAACACTTTTTTTTTCTTTTCTTCTGGCAGTTTGAATATAATATATAATATCATTCTTTTCTGGAGTGTACAGTTTCTGTTGAGAAATCTGCTGTTAGTCTGATAGAGATTCCTTTAGATACAACTTGATGCTTGATATGGTTTGGATCTGTGTCCCCATCCAAATCTAATGTTGAAATGTAATCCCCGTTATTGGAGGTAGGTCCTGGTTGGAGGTGATTGGATCATGGCGGTAGATTCCCCTATCAGTGCCATACTCGTGATAGTGAGTACTCACGAGATCTTGTCATTTAAAAATGTGTAGCACCTCCTCGCTATCTTTCTTCCCGCTGTTTCAGCTTTGCAAGGCACCAGTTCCCCTTCAGCTTTTGCCATGATTGTAGCCAAGCAGATGCTGCCAGTCTTCCTGTACAGCCTGCAGAACCGTGAGCCAAGTAAACCCATTTTCTTTATAAATTACCCAGTCACAGGTATTTCTTTATAGCAATGCGAGAATGGACTAATATAGAAAATTGGTATCAAGGGAGGCATTGCTATAAAGATACCTGAAAATGTGGAAGGAACTTTGGGACTGGGTAATGGGCAGTGGTTGAAATAGTGGAGGCCTCAGAAGAAGACAGGAAGTTGAAGGAAAGTTTGGAACTTCCTAAAGACTTGTTAGATTGTTATAACCAAAATGATAATAGTGATATGGACAGTAAAGGTGAGGCTGATGAGACCTCAGTTGGAAATGAGAAACTCATTGAGAACTGGAGCAAAGTTCACTTTTGTTCCTTAGCAAAGCAATTAGCTGCATTGTATTGTTGCCCTAGTGATCTGTGGAACTTTGAACTTGGTAATGATGATTTAGGTTATCTGGTGGAAGAAATTTCTAAGCAACAAAGCATTCAAGTTGTGGCGTGGCTGCAGCTAATCACCTACACTGATACGCATGAGCAAAGAAATGACTTGAAACTGGAAGTTATATTTACAAAGAAAGCAGGGCATACAATTTGGGAAAATTTACAGCCCAACCATGTGGTAGAAAAGAAAAACCAATTTTTGGGCAGGTAGGGGGATTCAAGTGGACTGCAGAAATTTGCAGAAGTAAAGAGGAGCCAAGTACCAGTAGCCAAGACAATGGGAAAAATTCCTCAAAGGCATTTCAGAGACCTTCATGGAAGCCCCTCCTATCACAAGCCCAGAGGCCTAAGAGGAAAGAATGCTTCCATGGGTGAGGCCCATGCTTATAGCCTTGTGCAACCTTGGGACACTGCTCCCCACATCCTAGTCACTCCAGCTCCAGCCAAGGCCAAAAGGACCGAGGTACAGCTCAGGCCACTGCTACAGAGGGTGCAAGCCATAAGCCTTGGTGGCTTCCACATGGTTTCAAGCCTGTAGATGCACACAGTGCAAGATTTGAGGCTAGAGAACCTCTGCCTAGATTTCAGAGGATGTGTGAGAAAGCCTGGATGGCCAGGCAGAAGCTGGCTGGACTGCAGGTTAGAGCCCTCATGTAGAAACTCTCCTAGGGCAGTGCAGAGCGGATATGTCAGGTTGGAGCTCCTACACAGAGCCCTCACTGGGGCACTGCCTAGTGGAGCTGTGAGAAGAGGACCACCATGCCTCAGACCCCAGAATGTTAGAGCCGACTGTAACTTGCACCATGTGCTTGGAAAAGCCACAAACACTCAACAGAAGTCCATGAGATCAATCATGTAGAATAACCCCTGCAAAGCCACTGGGGCAGGGTTGCCCAAGACCTTGGGAGCCCACCTCTTGCACCAGTGTGCTCTAGATGTGAAACATGCAGTCAAGGGATATTATTTTGAAGCCTTATCATTTAATGACTGCCCTACTTGGTTTCAGACTTGCATGGGGCCTGTAACCACTTTCTTTTGGCCAATTTCTCCATACTGGAATGCGAGTATTTAGTCAGTGCCTATAACCCCTTTGTGTCTTGGAAGTAACTAACTTGGTTTTTTTTTGTTTTTTGTTTTTTTTTAAACGGAGTCTTGCTCTGTCGCCAGGCTGGAGTGCAGTGGTGCAATTGCGGCTCACTGCAACATCCGCCTCCTGGATTCAAGCAATTCTAGTGCCTCAGCCTCCCAAGTAGCTGGGATTACAGGCATGCACCACCACACCCAGCTAATTTTTGTATTTTTTGTAGAGACGGGGTTTCACCATGTTGGCCAAGATGGTTGTGATTTCCTCATCTCATGATCCACCTGCCTCAGCCTCCCAAGGTGCTGGGATTACAGGCATGAGCCACCACACCCAGCCAACTAACTTTGTTTTTATTTTACACACTCATAGGCATAAGGGACTAGCCTTGTCTCAGATGAGACTGGACTGTGGGCTTTTGAGTTAGTGCTGGAATGAGTTAAGGCATGGAGATTGTTGGGAAGGCATGATTGTATTTTGAAATGTGAGAAGGACATAAGATTTGGGAGGGCCTGGGGTGGACTTACTTTGTTTGGATCTGTGTTCCTACCCAAAGCTCATCTTGAAAACTACTTCCTAATGTTATAGGTGGGGTCTTGTGGAAGGTTATTGGATCATAGGGTAGATTTCCTCGTTGCTCCCATTCTTGTGATAGTGAGTGAGTTCTCATGAGATCTGGCCTTTTAAAAGTGTGTAGCACCTCCCCCATCTCTCTTTCTCCTGTTTTGGCTTTGTAAAGTTTCAGCTTCCCCTTTGTCTTCTGCCATGATTGAAGCTGAGCAGATGTTGTCATGCTTCTTGTACAGCCTGTGGAACCATCAACCAATTAAACCTCTTTTCTTTATAAATTACCTAGTCTCAGGTATTTCTTTAGAGCGATATGATAATGGACTAATATAATGCTATTCTCTTACTGTTTTTAGAATTCTGTTTTTCTCTTTGACTTTTGATATTTTAAATATAATATTCCTCAGAGAAGACCTTTTGAGTTCAATTTACTTGGGAATTTTTTACCATCTTGTATGTGGATGTCTTTATCTTTTCCAAGACTTGAAAAGTATTCTGTTATTATTGTATTAAATAAGAATTTTTTATGCAGCTTTCCATTTCTTCCCTTCCTGGAACTCACTTAATGCAAATATTGGAACTTATTTGCATAATGGTATTTCATATGTCACATTGGCCTTTTTACAATTTTTTTTTTCCTTTTCCTTTTTCTTTTTTCAGACTGGTTTATTTCAAAATACCTTTCTTCAAGTTAGTAAATTCTTTCTTCTCCTTGATCTACACTGTTGTCAAAGCTATCTTTTGTATTTTTTATTTTGTTCATTAAATTCTTCGTTTTCAAGATTTGGATTTTTATAATGATATCTATTACTTTGTAGAATTATTTATTTAGATCACCAGTTTTTCCCTGATTTCTATTTATTGGGTAATTGTTTGTTCTTTTATCTCACTGAGTTTTCTTAAGATCATTATTTTGGTTTTCATGCATTTAAAACATTTTCTTCTGTGGTCTCCTCCTGGAGTATTATTATGTTCCTTGGGTGATGCAATGTTTCTTTGCTCTTTAGGGTTTTTTGTGTTCATACCTGGATGTCTGTGCATCTGGTGTAACTGTTGTTTCTTCCAGTGTTACGAAATAGCTTTCATAGGATGTATTTTTCCTTTAGATGTATTTATAGTGTCAGTTGAATAGGATACTTTGGCTTTGGTTCTGTGACTGTACAGTAAGGTAGTCTTCATATGATTTCTTTGGCTGTAATCAACATCAGTTATGTCTGTGTGTTCCTCACGGTTTAGGTTGTGGTTGTTTGTGTAGGATGTGGAGTGGATTTGCTGGGGACAGGGACATCAGGCAGGCCAATCCTTGGGTCTCTGGGGTCATGTGTAAGTGCATGGTTGCCACTCTACTGAAGGGAGTGGGTTTGCTGGTAGCAGCAGTGGTGAGTCCCATGTGTGGTGAGCCATTCCATGGGGCCATAGAGGGCACATGTGAACACTGGAAGGTCCACTGTGAGCCCTGTGCAGGCTGGCCCCACAGCCCCTAGTACCAGAGGTGCATAGCAGTTCCACCAGTGAAGTGGACTGTGTGCCCTGAGCAAACTGATTCTCAGGCCCCTGGCGAGTACACATGAGCTTTGATTGTGTCAGGGGTGGGTGCTGGGTGGGCCAGTCTTCAGGCCCCTAGGCCACACTTGCAAGCATCCGTAGTGCTATTGACAGACTCCAGGCAGTCTGATCCTGAGGCCCCTGGGTGGCTTGCATGGATGCTGTGATACTTTTGTAATATGAATTTAAAAGTATAGAATTTTAAACTTCATGTTTAACCATTTATTTTTCAGTATCTTATCTCATTTGGATATGACCCAGACTTTTTATGAATATCCATTGCCTAATTTAATATAACTTTAATATTTTAAATTACATAAAAATTTCATTTATAAAGTTTCTCTGATTTGTATTTACCTAACGTATTTATTTTTAACAACACCTGGATTACTTATAAAAACTGGGATATTAGACAAGGATAGTCATCATTTCTAATTATCTTCTTGTTACAGCCTGTCAAGATCAGGTGTTTATCACCCAAGTATGAATCTTAAGGTTAAATGTATTGGTATTTTGCTGATAATTAAGAAGATAGAGGTGTTTACATTAAGCCAGCAATATTTAATTAGTCGTTTTGTTAATCCATTTCACGTTATAAAGGAATACCTAAGGCTGGATAACTTATAAATAAAAGAGGTTTATTTTGCTCACAGTTCTGCAGTCTGTAGACGTGTGACACTAGCATCTGCTTCTGGTAAAGCCTCAGGAGGCTTACAATCATGGAAGAAGAGGAAGGGAAATCATGGCAGAAGAGAAAGGGGAAGCATGCCTGTCACATAGGTAAGATGTGGGTGGGAGAGGTCTCAGACTCTTTTCAAGAAACAGATCTCATGGTAACTCATTACCTCAGGAATGACACCAAGCCGTTCATGAAGGTTCCATCCTCATGACCCAAGCACCTCTCACCAGGCCCCACCCCCAACACTGGAAAATCACATTTCACCATGAGAATTGGAGGGACAGATATCCAAATTATATCAGTCTTACTTATCAAGGAGTTACATAAAGGATGATCGTTTTGCTTTTAAGCTGCTTATATAATTTTATGCCCTTAAACCATTTTAGAGACAAATATAAAACTGTCTGGCCATTAAACCCAGGCTAAAAAATATATGCTAACAATTCTAAAGATTATTTTTATTTTACCAGCAAATTTAAAGCCACCTTATTTATTAAAGATTTACTCAAAGCATGTGAACTAAAAGGCATTTGGATAAATTAGTAAATATTTTAACAGTCTTAAGTATTAAATTATATGAGTTCTCATTTATTAAAACCAATCTTAATAGAATTTATTAAGGTATTTCTGACCAATTATGCTAGATTTTACCCTGTAGACACAACATACTACGTGTGTAAACACACATGAACACATATGTACACACAAAGATATAGCTTTCATTTTAGAATTTTAGACATGAGACATTAATATGTTCTGATCTGTAATCTTATCATGGCTGTAAACCAAATTTTGGGTAAAGCAGTTTTCATAGAAATTTTTTTCTAAAAAATGCATATTTTACTCCATTTCCCCTTTTTTTTCATTTTCAGTTGAGTTAGGGGTTAATTCCTTGTCGCCTTGTATCATTGGAATGCCATTAGAAAAACAATCTATGAGTGAGATTTTCCTTGTTTTTATTTAAATTTGTAACTACAAAGACTGTTGAAGCATTCAGTTTTTATTTTAATACAAGCAAAAGAAAAATCAGCAGATTCAGAGTAGGCAGAAGAAAAACAATACATAGAGAACTTGAAAGCCTGTACATGTAAATCTTATAGATGCAGTTTCCTTATAGAGTTCAAATAATGGCCATTGAGCTCTGAATATATATATATATATATATATAGAGAGAGAGAGAGAGAGAGAGAGAGAGAGAGAGAGAGTGTGTGAGTGAGTCAGCATCTTACTTGTCACCCAGGCTGGAGTGAAGTAGCATAATCATGGCTCACTGCAGCCTTGACCTCCTGGGCTCAGGGAATCCTCCTTCAGCATGCTGAGTAACTGGGGCTACAGGCCCATACCACCATGCCTGGCTAATTTTTGAATTTTTTGTAGAGACGGGGTTTTGTCATATTGCCCAGGCTGGTCTTGAACTCCTGGGCTCAAGCAATCCACCCACCTCAGCTTCCCATAGTGCTGGGGTTAAATGTGTGAGCCACTGCTCCTGGCCAAGCTCTGATTTTTTTTGTGTAATTTCCTCATCAGTTTAAAAATGTGTACAAGAATGTGCTATAATATAGCCCTCCTAGAATCCCTGAAAGAAGGTTGTTCTGGAATGCCATTAGAACTTGAAGATCCCATTCCATTTCTTATTAATCTTTCAGAGCAAAGAAAATCATTTTCCCTGCTGTATGAAATTTAAAGTGTATACTTACCAGAAATTCAAAATGTCTCTAATAGAAAGGACTTGTGTTAAAAATGCAAAAAGTCTTTTGTCTTCATAAGAGAAATGCGGGTTCCTTATGAAGGTGGATTTATCTAAGTCAGATCTCAAATAAAGTCAGCAGGAAACATCTGCCAAAAATAGGGCATCTTGGCCTGAGAGGAGACTCACCAGACACTAAAGGTGAGGTGTGGAAGGGGAGAGCAGAGGGCTCAGGTGACTGCTGCACACTGTTCTTAAGAATTACTGCTTTTTTCCAAAGGTAATCTTGCTCCACTTCTGACTCTAGATATGTCAACCTAAATAAAAGACGAAGAGAGAGTCTCCGAAGACACTGAGTTTATTCAGGAGTGTGCAAGGGATTTGCACTTCCAGGATATGCAGCCTATAGGATTCATAGACCTATCCAAAGAGATTGAGGAACGGGCAAACTTTTAAAGACAAAAGGAAAAAGAACATGTAATTTGTTTTGAAACAAAGAGAATATTGGTGACAAGGGCTTATCTCAGGAGTCCATACCAGTTCATTATGGAGACAGTGTTAATCAAGTGTTCTTATGCATCCAGCTAGCTATCCTGTAACTCATGTAGCAAGCTCAAGTTTGAAAAGTCATTGGCAAAAGTTTTTGTTACAGACATTTGTAATTGTTCTGATCATAAGCATGAGTGTGTGAGGGTCCTCGCTTCTTAACCTCCCATCTTTATCTATGTTTTGTTGGGGTTTGATGCAAGCAATCCATTTTGAGTTTGATAACTTTTACAATATCAAGCAAATTCTAAGCAAAACAAAACTGATGTAGTTGTATTAATATTATGTAAAATAGAATTTAGGGCGGGGCGCGGTGGCTCACGCCTTGTAATCCAAGCACTTTGGGAGGCCGAGGCAGGTGGATCACGAGGTCAGGAGATCGAGACCATCCTGGCTTACACGGTGAAACCCCGTCTCTACTAAAAATACAAAAAATTAGCCAGGCAAGGTGGCGGGCGCCTGTAGTCCCAGCTACGTGGGAGGCTGAGGCAGGAGAATGGTATGAACCCGGGAGGCGGAGCTTGCAGTGAGCCGAGATCGCGCCACTCCACTCCAGCCTAGGTGACAGAGCGAGACTGTGTCTCGAAAAAAAAATAGAATTTAAAACAGAAAGCAAAGATAGAAAATCTTCACTGCTAACAGGTTGTCTTTATCACAACGGTATAATAAATTATAATTTATAATTATCTAACAGCATAGCGTCATTGTATTTTTAAAAATGGCAAAATTTTAACATAACTTTCTCAGTAAATGATAGGTCAAGCATATAAAAATCATTTAAAAATTGTACAATATAATGAATCACCTTGATTTATAAGGTATATGGAACCCTGATCAAAAAGGGAACAAAAATGTATGTACACATACAACATTTATGAAGATTAACTATATATGACACCGAAAAGCAAGTTTCTGAATGTTTTAAAGAATCAGTTTCAGACAGACCGCATTCTGTTACTGTAATGCAGAAAGTTTCAAACTGAAATTAAAAAATTGAACCTGAAATGCCAGGAATGAACAAATTTTAAAATGTAAGCACTATCTAATATGACAAAGAGGTAATTGAGGTAGAAATTAGAAAATACTTGGAGTTGAATAATACTGGAAATGTTACTTACCAAAACTTCTGAAGTATGGAAAAAGCACTACTTAGAGAAAAATCTATAGTCTTAACTATTCATATTTAAAACAAATACAAAAGCTGAACATTAATGAGCTATGTATCTCATGTAAGCAATTTAAGAACTACAAAAAAACCAAAATAAAGTACAAAGAAGAAATAATGAAGTGAGTAACAAAAATTTTTAAAAAATTAAATAGTGGGGGTAAACAAATACCACAATCAGTTTTTTTAAAAATACTAATAAATGAGAGAGACTGGCTAGATTATTAAATAGATGAAAGAGAAGGTATACATAATCAATGATAGGTTTGAAAAGGTAGACGTAGTAAAATAGTATGCATTTTCTTGATTCTTGTAAAATAAAAATATAGATATTTAGTAAAATAATGTGTTTACAAATTTACTACATTTCAACGGGGCCAAGCAGTCTATTAGTCACAGTAGGTACAGGGCCTAGGGCTCAGGATATTTTTAGGGACGCATGAAAGGATTTAATTTTACTTTTTAAATTGTAAAAAAAATGAATATAGTCATAATGAATATCTAATAATGAATCCAGGCAGGATTAAATTTGTTTCTATACCCACATAGTCATAAAATATTATTTTTCTATATCTATTGCTGAATTTATGTATTTATTTTTTAATATATGTTTAGGGAAGAAGGAGCTAACAAAGGCAAAAGTGCTTTGGACCCACTAAAGTCATGATACAGCCCTGAATTCAATAGCATACAATAATAAATTTTAAAATACTTCAAGTTATATTAAGTACAATATATATAATATGATTTTATAATAATTATGCCTCCTAAAATACTTTGCAACTACATGTTTAAATTATGTTTTCTAAAGATAGAAAAATATTAAACAGTATTTTATTAAAGTCCTCTTAAGAATCAGTTTTTAATTTTTATTGCAAAATAGTCAGCAATAAACATATATGTTATATAGTTGTAAATATAAGACTTGATATTAACATTATTGGAATGACATAATTGTTTTGGAAAAACTAAGCAATATCATCTTCGATTATAAAATTTAACAATGAGATATAAAAGCAATGTGAGAGTGGTATGCAGAAGCTGCCTGGAGCCAATTTGTAGGAGCCTATTGTGTGCAACTCTTCCCAACTCTGCGTTCAGTGTCATCACCTTGGTATTTTGAAGTAGGCCATGATGAGAGTGTTTGCAACACAGAAATCTGCAAACCCTGCAAATGAGGACCCCTCCCCCACTGTTTGGACAGCTGACTGTTAAACATTTACTACCACACTACTGTATGGAGTATACGATACATAAAAGTAGTGTCTATAATGCTCCTATATAAAATAATTAGGGGGTGATAAGGAGATTATCTTTGAATAACTTCTACTCGTCTTTACAGGATATATTTCATTTTCTTTAAGTTTCTAAGTTGGATCTGCAATATCTTTAGAATTTGTAACCAGAACTACTTTTTAATTCCCCTTAGAAGATTTCAAATGTTTTCAGGCAATATTAGTTTACTATCATAATACTAAATTAAAACCAAAGCAGGTATGGCCTTTAAAATTCAAGGGGATACTTTGTGGAAGGGAGGTTGCGAAACAAGCAGTGTAGACTGGCAGAAACAAAAATTATATACCTTCCCTAAAAGCCAAATAAGATATTGGGTTTTATAACAGTGTCTTATTTGATACTTTACAGTGTTAGTGGATGCTGCCTTTAATAAGGAAAATATAAATATATTTGGAACAGTACATTTTGTTTTTCAATACAAGGTCTTTTGGTAGCTGCAAACACTGATGATTAGCATTTTGTTCGAAATTGTATGGATGAAACTGAAAATGGAAGAGTTGTCACTGTAAATTTTTTGAGCTGATAGAAATTTCTGATGGAATTTTTTACTTTGGAAATTTTCAAAAATACTAAGAAGCAAATAATAATTTGTATTTCCACACTCATAATTTAATGCTATTAATTTCTTGGCATAGTTGCTTGTAGTTTTATACCTTTTTTGTTAAGAAAAATCACTATTGTTGCTGAAAAATATTACACATGTGTATTGAAAATATTCAAACAAAAAAGTTTAGAAAAGAAAGAAAAAATAGACCATGAATATTCTATCTGGAAAGTTTTATCCATAACATTCTAGAAACACCTTTGCAGGTGTTTTATCTGTACATAAATACAGAAAAATGAGGGTTCAAAGAAAGGAAACTTCACACATTCAGTCCCTGAGTTCCTAGAACTCCATTCATGCAATTTAATCAAGAACCTATTCCCAGAACTCCATTCATGCAATTTAATCAAGAACCTAGAATTGGATGCCAAGGCGCATAGGAATGACCCTATATGCTTATATTTCCAACCTCAATGAACAAACTCTTCTTTCTCTAGATGACATTTCCAATCCTCCAAATCTAAGCCCCTCAAGCAGCCCCAACTTGTTCGTTCCTCTGTCAGTATAAAGATTATCCTTGAATGCATACCCTTACTTAAACAATCCTCACACTTTCCCCCTCATCTCCTGAATTTTCTCCAGCCTGCCTTGCAGAGTAAATATTTTACTAATAATAATTTGTACTACATGGTATATCTCCATGCCCCCTGAAACTGGTATTGACCTGAATCAAAATACTCCAAAATATTAAACCCTTCTCAGCTAGTTTGGTTACTTATCATTCATCATTTTTATAACACACACACTCATATACATACACTTACTTTGTTAAAAATAAAGAGAACTTAAAAACAATGGCATACATAATCTGTAAGTTGTCAGATAAAGCATTTGTTTTCTTTTCCTATGTCAGTTGTTGTTTCTGGAAGGTGGAAGAGGGAATTAGGAATAATTATACTTTATTATATATGTTGCTCAGTGGCCAAATCAACATAGGTTCATTTTAAACATCAGCTGTTCTGGTAATCATCATACTTAGAGGTAATAGTAATTTGGCTCAAATACTTTATTTTTGGGCATATTGCTTAAGCATCTGTCCATGAATTAGCTTTTGTAATGTTTCAATATGTTCTGGTTCATGTTGGGTATATTTGATTCTGTTACAGTAAGTTAATACCATAGATTTTCAAAGTAGTCCTTGGATAATGTTTAATATGTTTCCTTAGACAGGCAGCAATTTAAATCATTTTTTGTGACTCTTAATCTACTTTTCATCTTATTCAAATTTGATACTAGCAATGAACTTGCAAATCGCTTTCTCAGATTTCACAGACTACATTAGGTTAGATTTGAAAGAAAAATAGGTGAATTGTCACAGTAAAGAAAATATTTATTACTTATTCATATAGATATAAAATTTATTTTTCAAACTCAAGTTATTGTATTATTGTTGATTTACATATGAATTCCAGAGTAGCATCTGCATATGAGCCATTTCCTAATGCAGAAATCATCAATAGAGAGGTTATACTGTTGATTAGCCTCTTGAATATCCTCAGCACATATGTATTTCTATCTCCTAATATTTAACATGGTTTTTGCCTCCATATAACCTCCATATTTTATGATTTGATGATAGAAATATAATTAGGCACATAAATGAGGTAATTTTTACAAAATATTTTTTAGTGAGATAAAATTTGCAAAACTTGAAAATCAACCATTTTAAACAGCCCGGTGTCACTTTGTGTATTCACAAAGATGGGCACCCACCGCTTCCATCTAGTTTCAAAACATTACAGCACCACAAAATAAAACCCTTTACCCACTAAGCAGTTGCTCCCCATTCTCCTCTCCCCTGCCAGATCCCTGGCAGTCACCAACCTGAAGTGGGTCTTTGTATTTACCTATTCTGAGTATTTCACATAAATAGAATTACACAGTATGTGACCTTTTGTGTTTGGCTTCTTTCACTTATCTTTACGTTTTTGAAGTTTATTCAGATTATGTCATGTATTAGTATTTCTTTTTTTTTGAGACATAGTCTCACTTTGTTGCTAAGACTGGAGTGCAGTGGTAAGACCTCAGCTCATTGCAACCTCTGCCTCCTGGGTTCTAGCTATTCTTTTGCCTCAGCCTCCCGAGTAACTGAGATTACAGGCACACACAACCGCGCCTGGCTAATTTTTTGTATTTTTAATAGAGACAGGGTTTCACCAAGTTGGCCAGGCTGGTCTTGAACTGCTGACCTCAAGTGATGCGCTCCCCTGAGCCTCCCAAAGTGTTGGGATTCAGGCATGAGCTACTGCACCCCACCTCATTGTATTTTCATACCACAATTTATTTGTCACTTCATCCCTTGATTGATATTTGGGCTGTTTCTACCTTTTGGCAATTGTGAATAGTGCTGCTAAGAACACGAGTGTATTTGTTTGATAACCTGTTTTTACTTCTTTTGGGTATACTCCTAGGAGTGGAATTGCCAGTTAATATGGTTGTTCTATTTTTAACTTTTTGAGGAACCACCAAAATGTTTTCCACAGTTTGAAATGAACCATGTTGGCTGAGGCGGGCAGATCACAAGGTCAGGAATTCGAGACCAGGCTGGCCAACATAGTGAAACCCCAGCTCTACTAAAAAAATACAAAAATTAGCTGGGCATGGTGGTGTGCACCTGTAATTCCAGCTACTTGGGAGGCGGAGGCAGGAGAATTGCTTGAACCCGGGAGGCGGAGGTTACAGTGAGCCAAGATCGCACCACTGCACTCCAGCCTGGGCAACAGAGCAAGACTCTGTCTCAAAAAAAAAAAAAAGAAAGAAAAAAAAAGAAATGAACCATTTTATAGTATTTCCACCAGCGATGTATGCGAGTTTCAGTTTCTTCACATTTTTGCCATCACTTATTTTTGATTTTTAAAATTATACAGCTATTCTCATGGGTGTGAGGGCGTATCTCATTTTGGTTATCCCTAATAACTAATAATGTTGAACATCTTTTCATATGCTTCTTGGCCATTTGTATATCTTTTTTGGAGAAACGTCTATTCAAGTTCTTTGCCCATTTCTTAGTTGGACTGATGATTTGTTGTTGTTGCATTGTAAGGGTTTTTTATATAACCTAGATGCTAGATCCCTATCAGATAAATGATTTGCAAGTATTTTCTCCCGTTCTATAGATTGTCTTTTCATTTTCTTTAAAATATTATTTAATGCACAAAAGTTTTAAATTTTGATGAAGTTCAATTTATACTTTTTTTCTTTTGTTGCTTGCGCTTTTGGTGTCATGTCTAAGAATTCATTGCCAAATCCAACATCATAAAGATTTATCTCTTTGTTTTCTTCTAACAGATTTGCTTTAGCTCTTATAATTAGGTATTTGATCAACTTTGAGGTAATTTTTCTATGTGGTGTGAGTCCAACTTCATTCTATTTTTGCAATAGTATTTGGTTGGTGCAAAAGTAATTGCGGTTTTGGTATTACTTTTATGGCAAAAACTGCAATTATTTTTGCACCAATCTAATATATCCAGTTGTCCCAGTCCAATTTTTTTGAAGAGTCTATTCTTTCCTAATTGAATAGTCTTGGCCTTCATGTCTAAAATCAATTGGCTATAGATGTATGAGTTTATCTCTCATTTTTATTCCATTACTCTCATTTTTATTCCATTTCTATTTAATACCATTTTATTTTTATATCATTTTCATTCCATTACTCTATATGTTTTTCTTTACAAATATTTCAAAGCTAAATAACTTAGGAATTGGGCATTATCCACAATGTTTTTAAATGATTAATCTGGAATTTTAAATTAAGATATAATTATGTAGATAATATGTTGTAGGCACTGTGCTATGTAGAGCAAACATAGACTTGAATATGATACTGTCTTTACTCTCAAGGAAGAGCTTAATGTTTAGTGCGGGTCCAACTTTAGTAAACCAACAATTTAAGTTCAGTCTGATAAATGCTCAGATTGAGTACGGGATGTTATAGGAGTGTAGGGGATGTAACAGGTGTACTCACCAATGTCTATTCTACTCCAAGTAATTAGTCTGAAGTAATCATGAATCCTATTCTCCTTGCCAGACATGATGTTTTCAAGGATAGGTATGCCTAAGTCAATTTAAGCCATGAGAGTCCCCAGGAGAGGTTACTGAGGAGTTCTGGATATGGTTTTATTGCTCTTAAGAGAAAGTATAGGAAGCTTCTCTCTTCCCAGTGAAAATAAATGAGGAAATGTTTTCCAAAGTGGTAATTGTTGCATGAAGCCATATTGGAGACTGCAGAGCAGAGAGTCAAGACTGAACTGTCTTCTGATGGCATCACTGAATCATTAGTTGAACCAACTCGGAATTCAGAACCATCTGTAGTCTTCCTTTTCTGTGAGCTCATCATTTCCTTAACTCTTTATTATAGTTTAAACATGGAATTCTGTTTCCTGAAGATAAAAAGTCCTGTAAGGAACACAGTACTAGAAGTACATCTAAATCGGATTGAGGAATACTTAAATGGCTTCTCGGAGAAGATGGTATTTGAGTTGAATGTTGACTTTTGAATTAAATGTTAAAGAACAAGTAGTAGTTAGCTAATAAGAAGCAGCATGATTTTAAAATATTTTCTCTCAACTTATAGGTTCCCTTTTCATTTTGTTTCCTGTACTGTGCAAAAGACTTTTAGTCTGATACAATCCCACATGTTTATTTTTGCTTGCATTGCCTGTATATGGTGTCATATCCAAAATATCTTTACCAAGACCAGTGTCGAGGAGCTGTTTCCCTTTGTTTAATTATCAGAATTTTATGGTTTCAATTCTCATACAACTTAGTAGAAAAAAAATTTAAAAATGGACAAAAGACTTGAATAGGCATTTTCCCAAAGAAAACATACAGAAGGACAATAGATATATGAAAAGGTGCTCAACATTACCAAGCATCAGGGAAATGAAAATTAAAACCACAATGAGATATTATCTTACATCTGATAGGATGCCTGTTATCAAAAAATAAAAAGTACAAGTGTTGGTGATGATGTGAAGAAAAGGGAAACTTTAAGCACTGTTAGTGAGAGTGTCAACAGGTACAGCTATTATAGAAAACAATACGGACATTCCTCAAAAAATTAGAAATAAAAATACCATATGATCCAACAAATCTACTTCTGGGTATATATTCAAAGAAATTGAAATAAGTCTCTCCAAGAGACATCTGCACTCCCATTACAGCATTATTCATAATAGTCAAAATATGCAAACAACCCATTTGTCCATTGATAGATGGATAAAGAAATAAGATTTATGTATATTTAAATATTTAAATATATATTTACAAATTTAGTATTTATATATGTATATTATATCCATATTGAATAGATATTTAATAGATATCATATATCTATATTTAAGATATATATTTAATAGATATATATTTAATAGATATGTATTGTACATCTATATTTAATAGATATATAATATATGTATTATACACACACACACACACACACACACACACACACACACACACACACACATTGGAATTTTTTCAGCCTTAAAAAAGGAGATCCTGTCTTTTGCAACAACCTGGATGAATGTAGAGTACATTACACTAAGTGAAATAAGCCAGACACCAAAGAAAAATATTGCAGGATCTTACTTATATGTGGAAAGTAAAAAGGCCTAATCATAGAAGAAAGTAGGACTATGCTTACCAGGGGTGGGGAGGGGGGTGTGTACGGGAAATGGGGAGATGTTGGTCAAATGGTACAACGTTTCATATACTAGAATGACTATATTCTAGAGATCTAATGTGCAGCATGGGGAGTATAGTTACTAATATTGTATACTCGAAACTTACTAAGGTGAGGCTAGATCCTAAATATTCCCACCACATCAAAAATTAGTAACTATATGAAGGGATAGATTTATTAATTAGCTTGACTGTAGTTCACTATGTATATGTATATCAAAATATATTGTATACCTTAAACATACATAAATTTTATAAAAATAAATTGACAATAATTAAATAAATAGAGAGCACAAATGGTAGTTAAAAAGAGCCTTAAGATATTACACATGCTAACAAAGATTTTACAGTATAAATAGGATAATAGAATATAGAAATAGAAAGACAATGTATGCTATCATATGTAATATGTTTTCTAGGTTTCACATCAATCCTCTTAGGAAGATAATTGAGTATAAGGGAATAGATGGGAGAGACACTTTGAAATGCTGTAACTCAACAGTAACATAATTATATAAGCACATAATTGTTGAGGCCAGATGTGTTGATACCACACCTTGAGGAGTTTTCAAAGCATCAAAGTTATAATAAAGAGATGATGATATGGTCTAGTTAATTACTGCCTATAGTAGCATATTAAATCTGTAAACTACAGTGCTGCTACCAAATCTAAGATACTGATACCTTCTGATATTATCGAGATCACATTTTGAAAGGAAGAGAATGCCTAGAGACCATTTTCAATGGTTTTCTAGGACTGAGCTGTGAATAGCGGTAATCTGAAAAACAATGGCAAGTCGAGTCTATATTCCAACCCATATTTAAGGGGAAATAAGATTTGGCACTTTGGAAATTCATCTATCAAGAATATATATCAATATATAGTTGTACTCATCACTGTGTTCATACTCTGCTGACCAAAATTTAAATGCTAGCTAAAAAGGATTCTGGGAAGTATGGGTTTTAGTTATGCATCCTTGTACCTGTCTAAAATTCAGGATGTTTTATTACTAAAAAGAAGAAGGGAAGAATTAATTCTGGAAAACAATTAACTGTGGAATTATATAGATCCCAGCAGTAAGTTATTTAGTCTAGGAACTAGGTGGAAGCAAGGAGACCATATAGGCAAGTAATCCAGTGATCTAGATGTGAAGTAATAAATAATGCTACCAGACTTATGAGGTTGGCACTGAAAAGGATTGGGTGGATCCAATAAATGTTGCAAGGAAAGAAGCACTATAACTTCATGACTGGAAAACAGAAAGAAATAAATAAAAATCAATGCTTGATTATTTTTATATGATCTTCAGGGAAATAATCAAGTTGGTTATAAATAAGAACTCCTGTTATATTAACAGTAATAATAGGGATAAGAAAGAGGATGGTTCTTTTTAAAAATACCTGGTTTATAGTTTTAAAGAATCTATTTTGTAAAGGACAAGAACTGTCTTTCTCTTACAAATTTCACTCAAATATGTAGATGATTTTGATTATCTTGACAAGCAACCTAATTTTACATGTTGTGATATACTTGATATTCTGTAAGAGGTCTAAAGAACTGATAATGTAAAGGGAAAATGCATTCGGTGAATGAATATGCTGCATTATTTATTTGTTATTCATCATACTGGGAAATTGTAGCAGGTAGAGACTGGTGAGATTATCACACACAAACACACAATTTTTTGGTAAGCCACAATACATGAATAATGTTATACTAACTTTAAAAAATGAGTCAATATTATAAATACAAATTCTAGGGCCTCACATTAACTTTTTATTTTATTTTATTTTATTTTATTTTATTTTATTTTATTTTTTGAGACAGAGTCTCACTCTGTCGCCCAGGCTGGTGTGCAGTGGTGCGATCCTAGCTCACTACAACCTCCGCCTCCCGGATTTAAATGATTCTCATGCCTCAGTCTCCCAAGTAGCTGGGATTACAGGCATGCACTGCCACACCCGGGTAATTTTTGTATTTTGTTTTGTTTTGTTTTAAGTAGTAGAGACAGGGTTTTACCATGTTGGCCAGGCTGGCCTCGAACTCCTCACCTCAAGTGATCCTCCCGCCTCGGCCACCCAAAGTGCTGGGATTACAGGCGTGAGCCACTACACCTGGCCTAAAGTTAATATTTTAAGCGACAATCTTCTTGCCCATTATTCACTGCAAAAATGCATACATCTCTAATGGGATAACCACTTCTATCTTGAAATAAAGATGTGTAAGTCTTGGTTCTGTCTATGCTAATGTAAGTATTTTTATCACTGTAAGTTTGTACATTTGATTGTTTGGGACTTGTCTTGGACAGTTTCTTACTGTGTGTTTGAATTTGGTCTATAGATTTACACTATAAGGAAACAAGTTTATTATTTTCTTCTATAAGAATTTATAGTTATTTCAAAGTTATGAGTTGAAATGTTTTGATAGAAGACTACATAACCATGGGTTCTGATTCAAAAATAAGTCCAATCAGTAATACTCATAGTTACTTGCTATGAGTTGTTAATTAACTTGTTGTTAATTGTTTGCAAGATAGATAAAATTAGTAATGGTTTATCATTATTGACTCCCAAACCATCCTGTTTGGATATGTGACATGTGCATTTTAAGAGTTACAGATACTGAAAGCAAGATCTAATATAGAATTTTTAAAACACTTTTAGCTATCTACCAAGTCCTTTGGTCATAGATTATTTCTAAGAATAATAAAACATTGATATCCTAAAGTATTTGACACCAGTGATTTCTTGGAAAGTGAGCAATTTGATATTTCCATTGATAGACATATTAGCATGGCTATATTTGCTAGTAGTTGTAGGTAAATTCCTTTATTATAAAATAAATTTACCTTTATTATCATTATTATGTTTTATACCCTCAAGTGGATTGCCAGTACTATCACAGGGAAAAGAGGGTTCTTGGGTCTGAGAATTTTGAAATTTTGTTTCCTCTTAAGAATAAAAAATAAGTGTTATATGTAACATCTTGATAAGGAAATATTAATGATACCGAGCTCTGAAAATTAAAATTAGCGTCTGTGGAAAAAGTAAGCCAAACTAGTTTTATTCACTAAAACACCTAAAATCAACTTTTTGATATATACAATCTACCGTGGTTATTATGCACTTTTATATCTTTGCCAAATTATCCTTACAATTTTCCGACTCACTGTAATGAAACATATTTTCCACTTCATGCTATACCGTGGCATTTCATTAGTGTCTATAATGGTACTTGAATTCAATCAGCCATATTAAGAACTGACCTATTTACAGGATGGTTCAAACAATGGTGATACATACATTTAGATATTGATAGTTTTAAATTCTGGTAAAAGGTAACGTTTTATGACTGATGAAATTAATACTGGAACAATGAGTTTAATTGACCACCAGACAGTATGCAAATAAAATGTCAAAAATTCATATAATTTAATAGTCCATTAAGCCTAATGGAGTTATATCCCATATAAGCCAAAGGATTCAAGTAGAATTCTATTTTGGATAATCATCTGTTACTATTTGAATATAATTTAGAAAAATGCTTAGTTCTTTACTGTTTGAATGTAACTTAGAAAAATGCTTAATCTAAAATATTTAAAATATTTATATGATTTTTTACTGGATAAAAATAAACATGCTCAAGAGTTTAAAAATAGATGCATTTTATCACTTCTAAAGAGGTTATAAGTCTACAATGCAAATATTGTCAGTGTCTAGATGTGCCGGCAAGATGGCCTCTGATCTGCCACCACCTGATAGTGTAGTTCCCAGAAAACCTTGAGTTATCAAAAGCTGTGTTATAAAAATTGCATATCCATGAGAACAAAAGGGCCTTAGGGCCTAGAGAGTTTGAAAAAAAATTACAAAAAAAAATTATAGTTTCCTGTAGAAATTTTAATAAATGCTCTCTTAGATTCTCTAAAAGATGTTATAAATCTAAATGTGAAAACAAAATATTTATTAACATATTTTCATGACCTTGGAGTAGGCAAAGTTTTCTAAATGAGACTTTTCAAATCATTAATCATAAAAGAATAAAACTAATAACCTGGACCATATTAAAGTAAGAACTTATCTTCGTCAAAGTACATTATTAAATTAGTGAAAAAACAAGCAATGGAGTGAGAGAAGGTATTTTCAATACATAAATCTCATATTCAGAATACATAAAGAACGTTTTACAAATCAATGAAAAAAGATAGAGACAACAGAGTGGGAAAAGTGGTAAAAAAAAAAAAAAAATTGAACAGAACTTCATCATAGGTATCCAGACACCCAATAGGCATATGTAAAGGATCTCAACTTCCTTAGTTATTTGAGAAATGCAAAATAAAACTACAATGAGATACCATTACACATCTATCAAATGGCTAAAATGAAAAAGACAATACAAGATTTGAAAAAGATGTGTAGCAGTTGAACCTCTTATTCACTACTGTAGAGTGTAAATTGGTACAACTCTTTTTGATAATTATTTGGCAGTATATATTAAAGCTGAGTATATGGATACCCTGTAACTGAGAAATTTGACTCTTAGCTACATACCCAATAGTAATGCAAACATAAGTTTGCCAAAACCACCATACAAGTATGCTCATAATAGCATTACCAATAATAGCCACAACCTGGTATTACTCAAAATGCCCGTCAGTAGTATCATTTTTAAAAACAAAAGATAGTAATGGTATGTTCTCACAATCAGACACTGTACAGGAAAAAAATCAGTGAGTGAACCACTACATGTAAGTATAACAAGGTAGATGGATTTCAAAGAAATAATGTCTACATATACACAAAGCTAGAAACATAAGAATAAATACTTAGGATTGGGTTTATTTACAGTTCAATAAAAGACAAAACTAATCAGTATGTTATGTCAGGTGAGCGCTTCCCCATGTGAGGAGTGGTCTTCACTGGGAAGAATATGAGGAGGGCTTTTGGAGTACTGCTAATATAGGATTTCTTATTCTAGATCATAGTTACACAGATATGTTCAATTTTCGAAAATTAGTTGAGATACTTACGATTTCTCATCATTTCTGTATTTTCTACTTCAGTAAAATTTAAATTGTGTTCCGTGCAGGTAGGCAACCATCAAAAGGGACCCAGTTCACAACAAGGAGATAAACCTTGGTAGCCTCTTTATCCCTTGGTTCCGACACTCTTCTCCCTCACTTAGAGACGTAGAGGCAGCTGGCAATAGCAATAGGGGGATCCCACCACATCCCTATCTCACAGAGAGACATCCTGCAGCCAGCCCTGGAAAATCCCTTCCATTCTTCCCAGGTAACACCAGTATGTACCAGTGGGAGCTGCAGAGGCACCAAATGTACTGTAAGACCAACATAAGATCGCAAAGGCTATGAAATTTAAACCATCATTGGAACCACAGCCCACCATAGTTATGTCAAGACCTACGTGTTATGTGCTAACAAAGAGAATGCCTACTAAATAAAAGATTTAAATAGAACTCAGAGTCTCCTATGTGAGAAACATGTTTCCTCAAAAATTGCTTGTAGAAATATAAAGTGATTTCATCTTTTATAGGAAATAGTTTGGCTATACCTCAAGGTATTAAACATAGGTTACCATATGGCCCAGAAATTTAACTAGATACTTACTCAAGAGAAATGAAAACATAAGCCTCAAAAACTTACATATGAATGTACATAGCAATATTATTCACAGTAAACAAAAAGTGGAAACAGCTCAAATGTCTAGCAACTGATTAATGAATAATCAAATCATAGCATATCCATACAGTGGAATATTATTTGCTAATAAAAAGGAATGACGTACAGTCATATGCCACATAACAAAATTTCATCATCAGACTGCATACACAGCAATGGTCCCAAGAGATCAGGAGTTATAGGAACTGAAACAGGACGATAAAAAAAGAAGAACCCCCAAGTAAATTCATAGTAAACAGGTCAGAAGAAGCTGTTGCAGACCTCAAGAAGCTCCTTAAAAAGTTTGAAAACATGGACCTCAATACCTAGTGGTCTTAACTAACAGAGAAGAATGT
The DNA here is from genome assembly GCF_000001405.40 of Homo sapiens. Taxonomy (NCBI): domain Eukaryota; kingdom Metazoa; phylum Chordata; class Mammalia; order Primates; family Hominidae; genus Homo; species Homo sapiens. The sequence goes on from NC_000010.11 coordinate 115,637,121, forward strand.
CCATGGTGTATTATCTGCTTAAAAGCAAATCTATGATGAAAATTAACTGACCATATCACCGTGGACACATTTCTGAAAAGGGTGACAATTCCTCAAGAATAGCCCCACACAAGTCCTTTAGGAAGCATTCCAGAAAAAGGCATGCTTGTCTAGGAGATGACAGCTTCATGAATGTTATTGCTCCTGAAGACATTCCGGTGTAATAAGATGTGGAGGTGGAAGACAGTGATACTACTTAACCTGAAGGGTAATATATGCATCTGTCTTAGTTTTTTTAAAAAAACTTTAAAAAGTAAAACCAAAGTTAAAATTTTAAAAATGTGAAAGTAAATCAAAGCTTATAGAGTAAAGACCTAAAGAAAATATTTTTGTATAGCAGTATGTATGTTTTAACCTGCGTTATTATGGAAGTCAGAAAATTAAAAAAATTACAAAGCTTATAAAGTAAAATAATTAAAAAGTAAGCTAAAGTCAATTTATTACTATTATTATTATTATTATTATTATTATTATTATTATTTTGAGATGGAATCTCGCTCTGTCACCCAGGCTGGAGTGCAGTGGTGCAATCTTGGCTCACTGCAACCTCCGCCTCCCGAGTTCAAGCAATTCCCCTGCCTCAGCCTCCCAAGTAGCTGGGATTCCAGGCATGCACCACCACACCCAGCTAGTTTTTGTTTTGTTAGTAGAGACAGAGTTTCACCGTGTTGGTCAGGATGGTCTCGAACTCCTGACCTCGTGATCTGCCTGCCTTGGCCTCCCAAAGGGCTAAGATTACAGGCATGAGCCACCGCGCCCGGCTATTAACTTCTTATTAAAGACAGAAAAATATGTTTATAAATGTAGTGTGACCTACTTATACTATACAGTTTTTATAAAGTCTTTTATAAAGTCTACTATACAGTTTTTATAAAGTAGTATACATTAATGTCCTAGGCTTCCACATTCACTCACTACTCACTCACTGACACCAAGAACAACTTCCAGTCCTGCAAACTTCATTCATGATAAATGCCCTATATAGGTATGACATTTTAAATCTTTTATCCTGTATTTTTACTGTACCTTTTCTATATTTAGATATGTTTAGATATATAGACACTTACCGTAGTATTACAATTGCCTACAGTCTTCAGTACAGTAACATGCTGTACAGTTTGTAACCTAGGAGCAATAAGCTGTGCTATATAGCCTAATATACTCCATGATGTTCTCACAATGACAAAATTGTCTAATGATGTATTTCTCAAAATGTATCCCCGTCATTGAGTATCACATGGCTATATTAATATGTATAGTAAGCTTGAACCTTGCATGCATTATTCTAAGTGAAAGAAGCCAGACACAAAAGGCCACTTATTGTACAGAATGTCCAAATAGGCAAATCCAGAGGCAAAAAGTAGTTAGTGGTTTCAGACACTTTGAGAGTAGGGAATGAGTAGTGACTGCTAATGGGTATGGAGTATCTTTTAAGGAAAACCAAAACATTATGGAATTAGATATTGGTGGTAATTGCACAACTGTATAGAAAAACTAAAAACCGCTCTTTGGACATGAACATGGCGAATTTTATGGTATGTATAAAACTTATTTTAAATAAAGAATCAAATGAAGATTATAAAACTGAAAGATTCAGTAAGAGAAATAAAAATAATTTGCTGGATTAGCCAGTAGTAAAGTAGAGATGACAGAGAATTGAATCACTGAAATTGCGGATAAAACAATAGTATTCACTCTGCAGATAAAATAGAGTGAAAGATTATGAACATAGCATCAGTTCTTACATGATAGGAACTAAAGAGCCAACATTAATACCATCTGAGTCACAGGAGTGGAGAAGAGGGTGGGGCTGAAAGAATATTTGAGGAAATAAAGGCTGAAAACTATCCCAATTTGGCAAAATACAGAAACCTACAGGTCCAAGAAGACAATTGAACACCAAAGAGGTTAAATGCTAAGAAATCCCCACCAAAATACATCATAATTAAGTTTTTGAAAAATATAATCAGAGAAGAAAATCTTAAAAGCAACCAGAAACAACACACTACATATTGACACCAATTTGAATGTCAGCAAATTTCTCTTTTTAAACTATGGAGTCTGTAAAGAAGTGGCATAATTTCCAAGTGCTATAAGAAAAGAACTTCAAACTGTGAATTCTGTGTTTAGAGAAACTATCCTTCATGAATGAAAGGGAAACAAAAACACTGTCAGATGAATGCAAACTAAAATCATTTATCTGCTACAGACCTTCCTTTAAAATTGTGTAACAGAAGTTCTTCAAATGGAAAGGAAATGACAAAGGAAAGTAATTTAAAGTATAACCTACATACCATTGGCTATCCTCTTCCTCATGAAATTTGTAAATCTTTTATGATTGAAACAAAAAGTATAATCCTATCTGATACTCAGTGCAATGATATTTAAAAGTTGAGAAGGTAAAGGTAAAAATTGGACATGTGGTTTCACACTTCATTCTAAGTGGAAAATGCTGATACTGGTGAACTACTTTAATTCATATATGTATGTAGCAGTACACAGAGCAACCACTATGGAAACTACACAGGGAGATACATTCAACACTATAAATAAATCAAAATAGATTCCTAAAGTATGTTAAAGTAGTCCAAAGGAAGGCAAAAGAAGAGAGAGGGATAAAATGATGAAAATGAGGGGTTTTTTTTTCAATTTTTTTGATTATACTTTAAGTTCTGAGATACATGTGCAGAACGTGCTGTTTGTTACATAGGTATATACATGTGCCATGGTGGTTTGTTGCGCCCATCAACCGTCATCTAGGTTTTAAGCTCCACATGCATTAGGTATTTGTCCTAATGCTCTCCCTCCCCTGGCCCCCTACACCCCGACCTGCCCAGTGTGTGATGTGTTCTTATTCAACTCGAACATCCCGTGTTTGGTTTTCTTTTCCTGTGTTTGCTGTTAATGATGGTTTCCAGCTTCATCCATGTCCCTGCCAAGGACATGAACTCATTCATTTGGCTGCATAGTATTCCATGGCATATATGTGCCACATTTTCTTTATCCAGTCTATCACTGATGGGCATTTGGGTTGGTTCCAAGTCTTTGCTATTGTGAATAGCGCTGCAATAAACATATATGTGCATGTGTCTTTATAGTAGAATGATTTATAATCCTTTGGGAATATACCCAGTAATGGGATTGCTGGGTCAAATGGTATTTCTGGTTCTAGATCATTGAGGAATTGCCATACTGTCTTCCACAATGGTTGAACCTAATTTACACTCCCACCAACAGTGTAAAAGCATTCCAGTTTCTCCACATCCTTGCCAGCCTCTGTTGTTTCCTGACTTTTTAGTGATCGCCATTCAAACTGGCATGAGATGGTACCTCATTGTAGTTTTGATTTGCATTTCTCTAATGATGAGTGATGATGAAGTTTTTTTCATACGTTTGTTGGCCGCATAAATGTGTTCTTTTGAGAAGTGTCTGTTCATATCCTTTACCCACTTTTTGATGGGGTTGTATTTTTCTTGTAAATTTGTTTAAGTTCCTTGTAGATTCTGGATATTAGCTTTTTGTCAGATGGATAGATTGCAAAAATTTTCTTCCATTCTGTAGGTTGCCTGTTCGCTGATGATAATTTCTTTTGCTGTGCAGAAGCTCTTTAGTTTAATTAGATCCCATTTGTCAATTTTGGCTTTTGTTGCAATTGCCTTTGGTGTTTTAATCATGAAGTCTTTGCCCATGCCTATGTCCTGAATGGTATTGCCTAGGTTTTCTTCTAGAGTTTTTATGGTTTTAAGTTTTACATTTAAGCCTTTAATCCATCTTGAGTTAATTTTTGTATAAGGTGTAAGGAAGGGGTCCAGTTTCAGTTTTCTGCATATGGCTAGCCAGTTTTCCCAGCACCATTTATTAAATAGGGAATCCTTTCCCCATTGCTTTTAAAGGTAGGAACAAAATGCAGTTGCTTACAACCACCAGTGTTATTTTGCCCTGATCTGGAAGATGAGCCAATGCAAGCAGATAAGAAGCATATTTATTAGTAATACAATCATATCTATTGAAGAAACAGCAAAACAATAATATAATTCATTATTGCAGATAGTTGTAACATTATATTAAAGCTTTTAAAATTCTTTGCCTATGGAATAATTATAGCTTCCTTTCTAAGTCTGATTTCAACTTGATCATATAATCAATTGATGCTTCTCTATACTCTTCCAGGCTGGAATATAATAGGAGCTACCATTTACTTGTTTGATAGGCTCTACCTCTGTCATGCTTTCACAGAAGAGGCTTTTACTATAAAGAAGTCACACATTGCCCTAGTTAAACTGTCCAGTTAAGTTCCTGAAATATTGTTACAGTGCCAAAACCAATCATCTTTGTAGATATGGTTCTTAGTATTTGAGAAAACAAATCAGGTTGTTTAAGAGGGAGACCTTCCTAGATAGAAAAACTAGACTCCACAGATAGAGGATTGTGTGCACCTATGTGATATTACTACTCTACTAAATTCTATATTATTTCATTTAACTATTTACATAATTTTCTCATAAAACATTAGCTAGCAACATGCTTATTTAAACCTTTTATGTTAAAATTTTTGTAATTTTGCACTGTAAGATGAGCTAATGCAAATAGATAAGAAATGTATTTATTAGATATTCAGTCGTATCTATTGAAGGGACAGAAAAACAAGGTAATTCATTATTGTAGATAATTATAAAATTATTTTATATAAAATATTTTAATATTCTTTGCCCATGTAATAATCATAGACTTATTTCTCAATCTGATTTCATCGTGATTATTATAATCATTTCATGAGCTCTCTATAGAATATTTGAAAAGTATGTGATTGATTACTTAAACAAGTAAACTATAATGTAAGCTGGCACTATTATAAAATAAACACGCAGAGCAATAGAGTTATTACTATATATGTGAACCTAGAGATTTTAGTATTATAATGTTACTAATATTTTAAATTACATCGTACAGCATAATAACAAAAGTTTTCAGACTCAATGGTGTTAGCAAGGGTAGCACATACAAGGCCAAAATATAAAATCAAGGGTATTTCCATATATTCACAATGAACAATAAGAAATTGAAATCAAAAGAATGCAATTCCTAAAACTTCCTAACATAGGAAACACTTACATATGAATTTAACAAAGTGTTCTGAAAACTACACAACACTGATGAAAGAAATCAAAGAATACCGAACTAATGAAGAAATAGACATTTTTTGAATTAGAAGAATTAATGTTGTCAGTCTTCCTCAAATTGATCAATAGATTCAACATACTCCTAATAAAAATTCTAGTGCTTTTTTTTTTCTTTTTTTTTGAGATGGAGTTTTGCTCTTGTGGCCCAGGCTAGAGTGCAATGGAGCAATCTTGGCTCACTGCAACCTCTGCCTCCCGGGTTCAAGCAATTCTCCTGCCTAAGCCTCCCTAGTAGTTGGGGTTACAGGTGCCCACCAACATGCCAGGCTAATTATTTGTATTTTTAGTAGAGACAGGGTTTCACCATATTGGCCAGGCTTGTCTCGAACTCCTGACCTCAGGTGATCCGCCCGCCTTGGCCTCCCAAAGTGCTGGGATTACAGGCCTGAACCACTGCGCCTGGCCAATTCTAATGTATTTTTATGAATTAGTAGGCTGATAAAATTTATATGGAAATGCAAAGGAACTAAAATAGCCTGAGCAATTTTGAGAAAGAATGAAGTTGGAGGATTGGTAACACTTGATTTCGAGGCTTATTCTAAAGCAGTGGCTCTCAACAGAGGACTCTTTTGCACCCTCAGGAAACATTTGGCAATGTCTGGGGACATTTTGCTTCTCATAACTTCGAGGTTTCTACTGGCAGCTAGTGGATAGAGGCTAGGGAATCTGATAAACATTTGCAATGCAAAGTATGGCACTCAGACAAATTATCCAGCCCAAAATGTTAATATTGGCAAGGTTGAAAAAACCTGATCTAAGCTCCAGTAATCAAGAAAGTGCAACATTCATTAAAGAGTAGATCCATATATCAATAAAACATAAATATACCCACATATATATGATCAACTGATTTTCAACCAAGATGCAAAGGTGTTTCAATGGAGAATAGATAAACCCTTCAACAAATAGTGCTGGAACAATTGGGTATAAATATGCAAAAAATAATAATAACTTTGACCTCATACTTCACATTCATATACAAAAATTAACTCAAAATTGATTATAAACCTAAACGTAAAGCTGAAAATCATAAAATACCTAAACAAAACACAGGAGAAAATCTTTGTGACCTGGACCAGGAAAAGACTTTCTAGGTATGATATCAAAACCATGATCCATGTAAGAACATATTGATAAATTAGAATTACAAAGTAATAATGAATAAATAAGCCACAGACAGGGATAAAAATTTGTAGAGCACATATCTGACAAAGAACTTGAATCTAAAATATATAAAGGATTCTCAAAACTCAAGAAAACAAAAATGATGCAGTTTTTAAAAAGGGCAAAAGATTTGAGTAGACACTTTAACAAAGAAGATATATGGATGACCAATAAGAATATGATGATACTCAATATCATTAGTCTTAGACAAATACAAATTAAGAATGCAGTATGACACCACTGCTGCACCTACTTCTACTACTACTACTACACACACACATGCACACCCCCAAACAAACAAACAAAAACCCCTTAAAATACCAGATGAGAACACAGAACTTCTGCAATTCCTGTGCCTTGCTGTTGGGAATACAAAATGGTACAGTCACTTTGAAAAAACAGGCAGTTTTTAAGTATAGTTAAGCATATACATACCAATGACATAATCTCATTTCTCCATCTTTACCCCAAAGAAGCAAGAACTTAGGTGCACACAAAAGCTGTATGTGAACGTTTGTAGTGGCTTTATTCATAAACACCAAAACCTGGGAACAATCTAATATTCATCACCTGGTGAATATATAAACAAAGTGTAGTATGTTTACACAATGGAATGCTACCTGGTACTAAAAGGAACTAAACTACTGATACAACAGCGTGGATGAATCTCAAATGCATTATGCCAAACAAAAGAAGCAAAATTTCAAAAACTAAGATCTTATTTGATTCCCCAGCAGCCTGAACCAATCACATTGAGCTTGTTTTGTGTTACAGAAAAACATTTTTTTACTCTTTAATCTGTGTGTTCTTGGAGGCCTCTGTTACAATGGCCAACCTTACCTTAACTACGCACAGTGTGTACCAAACACTGCTGCACTCTCACATTTAGTTCTCACGACAATATTGTATGTAGGCATTTTAAACTCATTTTTACAGAAGAGGAGAATGAGTCTCAAAGAGATAGAGTAACTTGCTCAAGGTCGCATAGCCCAAACATTTTGGATTCAGATCTATTCCAAAGTCTGTATACTTTTGCCATATATAGGGTTGTAAGTCAGACAGACCTGGGTTCAAATCCTCATTTAGCCATTTACTCCTCTTAAGATTTGCTAGACGTTAAAGATAAATTTGGATGTGGCTATTTCACAGTGCTGTGAGAATTTAAGTAATAAAAGGATATACAATTTGGTTCAAAGTAAACACTAAATAAATGCTGACTGTTATTATGCCTCAATGCCTCTCCTCATCTGTATACATACTTGGGATTTTGCAGTAATTATAAAACTACATATAAAGTGCTTAGAAGCAATATATCTGGGATGTTGTTAGCTTTAATTATTATTCTTGTATTTGTTATACATGCTTAATTGGGGAAACTTCTTTGATTCCAGTAAGTTCATTCTCAAAATGTGCTTTGCATTCTATCTAAAATTTCTCGTGAAATAGTTACATTCCTGAACCAGTCACTTGCAAGATAGAAAGGCGTATATCACTTCTGACATTCATTCCCAGTTGAGTTTGGAGCATATACAGTCAGAGATGTTATCAAGATACCAAGATTTTGCTTCATTACTCAACACTAATGGACAAGCTGAAGTAGTTTATTTTTCGAAGAGACTCTGAAGCACACTTAAGGTTTTCATTGTTTACTATGCTATTCTGTGTTCAACAATAGAAGGGTATATATCAAGCTTGTCCAGTTCATTCACTTACATGATATTTTATAATATAAATGGGAAACTGTATGGGATACTTCTGTTTAAGCCCATAACTCATTTTTTTTAAAAAAAGTATTCTCTTCATCTAAATACATTGTTTCTTGAAAAAAAATTTTCCAAAAAGTAATGCAGTGAAAATTGTTCTTTCTTCCTTGTTCCTCCTCTACACTGTTCCTATTCCATTCTCAATGGGAGATATATATATATTTGTATATATATAATATAGATTTATATATCTATATAATATATTTATATATCTATATAATAGAGATTTATATATATATAAATATAAAAAAATATATATCCCTCTGGATATTTCTCCTTTTTTGAATGCATATAAAAGCACTACAGAATTTTCCAAGAATTTTGTCATTTAACCAAACTGAACTCTTGGCACACCATTTAGATGAAAAGATGTGTTTGTTCCATGTGGATCCCTAGTATGTCTGCTAACAGGATTGACAATAACAGACATTAGAAACATACTCTGAATGTTTACTAGTTTTACTTAATCTGTTTGTCTCTGGCAGTGATTCAGAATGGAGTTAGTCTGGAGCTGTTATTGAACTTCATTGTTACTGTTCTTGAAGCCCCACTCATTTCCTGCCACCCCATCCCTATTGTGTTTGAAGTAGAAAGCTAAAGTGTTGTAAGATGGTGAAGAGGAACACAGACATGTTTTAGTCCTTGGCATCTCAAGGCAAAATTGGTACTTGAAACCAGATATCAACCTTTAGATCCCATATTCTTTCACCTATACATTGCTCTAGTCCATTTCATCCTCTTTGGTATGTTTTTACAAAATTTTAAAATTTACACACACACACACACACACACACACACACACAAACATATATGCCCATTTAAGCTGAGGGAATACTAGAAGTTATGGATGATCTGTATAAAGGAGATGATCTTTATTGAAAGAGCCTTAAAATTATACTGATTTTTTAAAACAAAGAATAACTTTATTCTAATATTCGTTTAAAACTGTACATTGATATTATTTTATAATAATGGCTGCTATAGTGTGAACATTTACGTCCATAAGGTCTGCTTTGGACCCTTTATTAGATAATTTAGTAATACTAATTATAATAACCAAAGGAATGTATTTACTTCTCATGGACCAGTTTAATGTGGATGTTCGCACCAGTAAGATGTTTTCCTCCATATAGTGTGTTAAAGACCCCTGTTCTTTCCATTTTATGGCTGCTTCATTTTCTAGACTCTACAGCTAGCAGAATGTTAAAGAGACAGTGGAGAAGGCATCTGGTTCTTAAAAACTATGGCCTTGAACTGGTGCATAACCACATCTGCTGCATTTCAGCAACAGGAAATAGTAATCATGTGGTCATACCTGCTTGGAAGAGGACTGAGATATGTGGTCTTTTTCTTTTCTTTTTTTCTTTTTTTTTTTTATGATAACCATTGTTAATATTTTATTAAAAGCCCTCCCATACTTTTCCCTATGGACTAATACATATATATATTCATGTATGTGTATTAGGCAGGGCATAATACTATACATACTATTATCTAATCTGCTTTATTTTTCACTAAATAGCATGTATGAATTTTTTTTATTATACTTTAAGTTCTAGGGTACATGTGCACAACATGCAGGTTTGTCACATATGTATACATTTGCCATGTTGGTGTGCTGCACCCATTAACTCGTCATTTACATTAGGTATATCTCCTAATGCTAGCCCTCCCCCCTCCCCCCCTCCCCCCACCCCACAACAGGCCCTGGTGTGTGATGTTCCCCACCCTGTGTCCAAGTGTTCTCATTGTTCAATTCCCACCTATGAGTGAGAACATGCAGTGTTTGGTTTTCTGTCCTTGCGATAGTTTGCTCAGAATGATGATTTCAGCTTCATCCATGTCCCTACAAAGGACATGAACTCATCCTTTTTATGGCTGCGTAGTATTCCATGGTGTATATGTGCCACATTTTCTTAATCCAGTCTATCACTGGTGGACATTTGGGTTGGTTCCAAGTCTTTGCTATTGTGAATAGTGCCACAGTAAACATATGTGTGCATGTGTCTTTATAGCAGCATGATTTGTAATCCTTTGGGTATATACCCAGTAATGGGATGGCTGGATCAAATGGTATTTCTAGTTCTAGATCCTTGAGGAATTGCCACACTGTCTTCCACAATGGTTAAACTAGTTTACAGTCCCACCAACAGTGTAAAAGCGTTCCTATTTCTCTACATCCTCTCCGGCACCTGTTGTTTCCTGACTTTTTGATGATCGCCATTCTAACTGGTGTGAGATGGTATCTCATTGTGGTTTTGATTTGCATTTCTCTTATGGCCAGCGATGATGAGCATTTTTTCATGTGTCTGTTGGCTGCCTAAATGTCTTCTTTTGAGAAGTGTCTGTTCATATCCTTTGCCCACTTTTTGATGGGGTTGTTTGATTTTTTCTTGTAAATTTGTTTAAGTTTTTTGTAGATTCTTCATATTAGCCCTTTGTCAGATGAGTAGATTGTAAAAATTTTCTCCCGTTCTGTAGGTTGCCTGTTCACTCTGATAATAGTTTCTTTTGCTCTGCAGAAGTTCTTTAATTAGATCCCATTTGTCAATTTTGGCTTTTGTTGCCATTGCTTTTGGTGTTTTAGTCATGAAGTCCTTGCCCAGGCCTATGTCCTGAAGGGTATTGCCTAGGTTTTCTTCTAGGATTTTTATGGTTTTAGGTCTAACATTTAAGTCTTTAATCCATCTTGAATTAATTTTAGTATAAGCTGTAAGGAAGGGATCCAGTTTCAGCTCTCTACATATGGCTAGCCAGTTTTCCCAGCACCATTTATTAAATAGGGAATTTTTTCCCCATTTCTTGTTTTTGTCAGGTTTGTCAAAGATCAGATGGTTGTAGATGTTCAGGATACAAAATCAATGTGCAAAAATCACAAGCATTCCTATACACCAGTAGCAGACAGAGAGCCAAATCGTGAGTGAACTCCCGTTCACAATTGCTTCAAAGAGAATAAAATACCTAGGAATCCAACTTACAAGGGATGTGAAGGACCTCTTCAAGGAGAACTACATACCACTGCTCAGTGAAATAAAAGAGGACACAAACAAATGAAGGAAGATTCCATGCTCATGGATAGAAAGAATCAATACCATGAAAATGGCCATACTGCCCAAAGTAATTTATAGATTCAGTGCCATCCCCATCAAGCTACCAATGACTGTCTTCACAGAATTGGAAAAAACTACTTTAAAGTTCACATGAAACCAAAAAAGAGCCCACATTGCCAAGACAATCCTAAGCCAAAAGAACAAAGCTGGAGGCATCATGCCACCTGACTTCAAACTGTACTACAAGGCTACAGTAACCAAAACAGCGTGGTACTGGTACCAAAACAGAGATATAGACCAACGAAATGGAACAGAGCCCTCAGAGATATGTAGTCCTTTTCTAGGCAGTTACTTCCTATCATTAACTCCTCCCCAAGGAATGGGAACCGTTGATAAATAGCTATTCATCTGTGCACAAACTCTATTTAAGGTAGTTTATTACTTTTGGTATTGTTTCATTATGTGGCCCTGAAATTTAATATGTTGGTGGGTTTTGTGAAATTTTTATTTTAATTCACTGAAGTGGCAAAATAACCACCACACTTTGTTGTGTGCCATTTTGTGGTAGAACATTTGTGTGTGAATTCTCATTGCAATGCAGAGTATTTCTTGAGTGAGAATCAGGTCTGTGTTCACCTCTAGCCTCTGTAACTCTCTAGGTGTGAGGCCTTGGAGAATCACTTAATTTCTCTGAGCCTGTCTTTCTTCATCCATAAATCAAGGAGGTTAGATAATGTGTTATAATCTTCAAAGGTCCTTACAATGTTAAAATTATATGATATTTGAGTGACATAAATTTTAAAAGTTTATAGTGACGCTTTGTTTTATTTATTTGTCGCTTTAATTATTGTGCTTAAGAAATACGTTATCATTTTGAGTTAACAGTCCTCACTAAAAGATTAAAAATTTGCTATTTGTATTTATTCAGGCCTAGTTAAATTTAACAGCAACATGAAATAAATGATTACCTGTTTTAGATATAATTTCATAATAAGGCCTCTGAAGGTCGTTTGAAATACTGCACTAATTAACGTTTTATTTCCAGCCTTCCTTAATTATTCTAGCCAGATGGTCCTTTATTTATGTTATTGCTAGAGGTTTCCAGCTGAGGTTGTTTGATTGTTGAAGAAAAATATGTGATGGCACCATAAGATAATTGTAATTGAATTGTTAGGTATGTTAGAGCATTTGAGCCTTCTGTCCCGGTTCTATCCACATCTGGGAAATAAGTTTGTTAACAAAGCACTTTGACACCTCATCTGATGCTTGAGTGAGATTCTGAACTGTCCAGATGGAATTCAAATGGGGAAATGACTGTGCATTTTATTGTAAAAGGCACTTTGCAAATATCTGTGCAAAATTCATTTTGTGAATGAAAAGAAAAAAACCTTTAAAATAAAGTACACTTTTAAGGGCATGATCTGTTTTCCAAGTGTCATAATAACTTCAGGAATAAACTGTTGCATTAAGGTCAAATTTAAAATTTGTGCAGATTAACCACCATTTAGGAAGCAGTTAAGTGGAGTTTTTATGGCATGGAACTTCAAAAGTGTAAATGAATTATCAGCTGAATAGATAGTCCAATAAAAGAAGCAGACTTAAAGTGGAAGATAAAAGTGATAAAGTGACAGTAAATTAGAGAATAGAACTAAAAGCTCTATTGTTATGAAGAACAACAATAGACCTGAATTATCTATGTTTCTTTACAAAGTATCTTTTCTCATTTCTGTGCTTATGAGTTTTACAATTACTAAATAAATAGTATTGGATCTGAAAGCTTGTATCAGCCAAGTTAGGTAGAAAGCCTTATTAACATGGCCACTGGCAACTTAATACTGGGCAATTTTCCTCCAAGCAAACGTGATTTCATTATTATAGTACTTAAGCTGTGCACATGCAGGATAAATCAGTTCAATGACCTTCTTCCCAATATGTTCAAAGATGTTGAAATCTCAGCGTATGCAGAGCTGACACGATTGGACATGATTGTTCAACATCTTGGTAATTGAGATGCTGTTTTTTCAAATCATGGAGGCATTGTTTATCTTATATTGTTTATCTGATTTATATATAAATAAAATTTTATTGGTCAGAAGACTTTCATAAGTCAAGTTACTGGTTGAGTATAAGGCACTAATATAATTATTAATGATTATGGAGGTATCAAATCTGGATGATAATTTGATACCTAATGAAATGGTAAAGCAAAACAAATAAGTAACTTCCAGTGGAACGCACACACACATGCACACAGATACGTTTGAATAGAAAAGCTGACCATGTTGATTTAAAAAGATTTTCAAAGAAACTAGAGAGGAAGGGGATTGGATCTGTTGTTTTGTCTTCTTTTTTTAAATTTCTTCTATCACTTTGCTTTCTTTTGCCCATAAAAATTAAATGGCATACTTAAGTCACCCATCTTAGAGGCACTGACTTCTGCTAAATAAGAGAAAGAGCTTATGGAGTGTTGTGTTGTTCATTTTTTTGTGTTTTTTATGTTTTATTTTTTCCTTATTGACTTGTCCCAAAGCCATTTCTGTGTTTTGGTTCGTTGATTATTCCCACTTGAATAATCTCTCTCTGCAGGAGGCTTTTTGTACCGATCACTAAAGTAAGTCTCCTAATTTATAACTCTGAATATATTTTAATTTGCCCATTGTGGAATATGTGCTATCTAAGAATATCTACATGTGCTTCAATACATATACTTAGTTCTAGGCAGAATGAGAGTCAATTTGAATGTTCCGCTGACTTGCTTTGGAAACACACATAACTACAAGCCCTTATTCAGCTATTGGCCACGACTTAGTTTATAAGGGGAGATCAATGTTCCTAGACTCTGCATGAATTAAAAGAAAGTGTATGTTTGAAAATGTGATCCAGTCTTTTTATTCATGCTACTAGACGTGGAGTGAGAGAAGAGAACAAGGGCTACCTATTGGGTACTATGCTCACTACCTGGGTGATGGGATCATTCGTACCCTAAACTTCAGCGTCCCGCATTAGACCTATGTAACAAAAGCTTGCACATATGCCCCTTAAATCTAAAATAAAAGTCGAAATTATTTTAAAAAGAAATACTAATATCAAAAAGAGGAAATTAGTCATTACTACTATTGGGTTTCACTTGTAACTGACAAGTCATTTCCTTTTACTGCTTTCAAGATTTTCTCCTTTTCTTTCTTTGGCTTTCAGCAATTTAATCACGATGTATCTATATGTGGATCTCTATGCATTTATCCTACTTCATGTTTGTTTAGCTTCCTGGATGTGTAGGTTAACGTTTTTCAATGAATTTGGGAATTTAAAGAAAATGAAAATGTGAGCAAGGCATTCGTGAAACTAATACAGCTTACGAGAAATTAGAGAGGGGGATCTTTACATAACCATCTTGCTAGAAGTTATTAAATGTGTTTCTATTGGGATTAATAAGAAGATGCAATGATACCTTTGGTTAGTTTGCTTTAATTATGTATTTCGAAGTTGGCTTTTTCTTTACCGATGATTGGTTAGTGATGAATTCATCATCCTTCTATATGGCAACAGTAAATAAATATGATATAGAGAATTTGTAATTGGCCAACTAAAAGATACTTGTAGAAAATATATGTTAGAATGAACTGTTTAGTTAACTATTATAATAATGAAAACAACTGTAGTAACCCTGTTTAAAGGATTTATGAAATAGATTATAAGATTTCTTTGTTCTATACATTAAATGACCATTTTGTTCACAAATTTGTTATGGATTGTAGTAAATTTATGCTGCAAAGTAGACTCCTAAATAATTGTTAGTAAAGATTTATGCAGTTTTAATTTTTTATATAATTTTACATATTTTCATAGCTGTAAAGGGGATTGTTAGCATTTCTCTATCCAAACATACCTGCCAGAAATCAGTCATTGTTGTTGTTGTTATTTTTTTTTTCCATTATACTGACACAGTCTAAGGAAAGTTAGAGGGTTTTCTATTTTGTATTTTTCTCATTATGTTTGAGATGACAAAATCATTCATCATTCTCAATTACTGGAAGGCAATTCACTGAATTCAATGTGAGTTAAAAGCCAGATACCTATAAAATTCTTGCACTGACCAGTAATAATAAGTTGTGATGCACATTTTATCCCTAACATATTAATAATATACCTATTTTCTATTGAATTATTTCTGAGATATGCCAAACCAGTGCAAGTGAACATTAACGGATGGCTTAAAGAATGGAGAACATATTTACGATAACTAGAAGAAATGGACATATTAATAACCTTTACTATTAATAGCTAGTAAAATGTCTTTGATCTTTTTTGAGGGCAGCACCTTAAAGAAGCAGTATATATTCGAGGTCTCATATACTGTAAAAGCATCAGAATGAGTGCATACCATTCTGCATACAGTTTACTTTTAAGAGAACATTATATATTATTAATCCTAAAAGCCATTAGACAAGAGAACATTTGCTGTTTATTTAAATTTTACTTGGATAAAAAGAATTTTTCTGAGGTTATCTTATGTTTTAACTAAATATTTGTCATTTATTATAGATGAATTATTAAGAGATTTATAATGCATGTAGATTTTCCTTCAATTTAGTAAAAAGGAAAGTTTATTACTAATTTATGTATTGTAAGTTATGTAGTTTCTAGTTAAAAACTAGAACTGAAGCTTTTGATTTATTTTTAAATAATAGTTTTTATTTGTCATTGCGTAAAATAATTACAACTCTTAAACTGTAAACTAAATCAATAGGTAATCTAATAAATGTAACAATTGAAAAGACACATTTGGCTGGTAAGTAAAACCCTTCAGATTTATGACATTAAATGTAAAGGCTTTCACATGCTTTTATTTTTAAGCTCTGATGTGTCACTTTTCAAAAGTGTTATATTGGCTGTTTACAAATATGCTTTTATATATGTAGCTATGCACATGTAAGTTTTCATCTGAAATTGTCATGTACATTTATTTTGGTCATGAGTGCCTCTTTGTGGCTTTCAGTATGAAATCCATACTCATTAGCATCTAGTACAAGGCACTAAGTGATGTGATCACAGTAATCTCCTTAGGCCTATCTCTCAATGTGACTTCTTGCCCCAGATTTTCTCTTCACCCTAACTGGCTTTGCTCTGAACCCACCATGGTTTTTGTTTTCTAGATCTGTTTGCAAACTTTGCCTTTCCGTTTGGAATGTTTGCTAAGTCCTCTGTTACCCAAAACTGGCCCCTATTTTCAAACAACAGTAACAATATCCTTCTGATGGACCTTTAGCACTCTGGTTATCATTGTTTTCTGGAAGGTCTTCCATTGCATATTAACCCTCAGTCCAGGCTAAGTATTTTCTCTGTGTTCTCTAGCAGCCTGTGTTTACCTCTGTGATGGTCATGCTGTTATGGAATTTCCTGTTTATTCATTTCTCTCCCCAACACTCTAAGCTCCTTGTTTGCAAATATTGTGTCTTATTTATCTTTTTATCTCCAAAACAATCCTGCACAGTGCCCTGGCTCATAGCAGACACAAAATAAATGTTTGTTTCATTAGTGTTTATCAAACAAAATCACTCATGAGTTTCACCTACAAATGCAATCTTAAATGTGCCTGTGATCACATCCTTTTTTATGTGTAACTTCTGGAATCAACAATGTACCATGAATACTGATATTAAATATGATTATCTCAGGTATCTCCTGTGAGATAGTGAAATAACCCACCATATTTGTCTCTAAAACTATGTTTTATCCTCAGAACTAAATACAATATAAGCAGTCTGAAATATATATTGAAATCTATGCAGTCTGAAATATTCATTATTGACATTTCCTGAAAACATGGAAGTGTTTTCCAGTTATTTGTTTGAGAGACTGGCATTGCTGTTGTAGACAGAATGGAAATCTGTGAATTTCTTTTCTTTTTTTTTTTTGTTTTTGAGATGGAGTCTGGCTCTGTCACCCAGGCTGGAGTGCAGTGGCGCGATCTTGGCTCACTGCAACCTCTGCCTCTCGGGTTCAAGCGATTCTCCTGCCTCAGCCTCCCAAGTAGCTGGGATTAAGGCACCCGCCACCACACCTGGCTATTTTTTGTATTTTTAGTAGAGACGGGGTTTTGCCATGTTGACCAGGCTGGTCTCCAACTCCTGACCTCAGGTGATCCGCCCGCCTCAGCCTCCCAAAGTGCAGGGATTACAGGCATGAGCAACTATCATTCCCATCATTCTTCTTTTCTCATTGACTAATTTAAAATGTTACCTGGGAAACTGTTTAACTGTTAATGGTTGCCTTTTACATTTTTTGAGTAAAAATTGTAATTCCTTTAAGTAAGACACTGTGTTTTATATAGCTCCTTTACTGTGCATGTTGTTGGTGTCCATGTTTAGATGAGTAATGAAAATTATTGATGGGAAATAGGGTCATTTTTATTATTGCTGCAGACAAGATGTGGTGGATTTAAGATGACCACAAATTCTTTGACATTACTCACAAAGAAAGGTGACATTTATGTCCCCTCCCCTTGAATCTGGATGGACTCTAAGAAGGCTTTGTCCAGTTGTGTACAGTGGAAATGATGCTGTGCCAGTTTCTTAGCCAAGACCTTAAGAGACTGACAATTTCCACTTCTTGTCTCTTAGAGCACTTGCTCTTAGAATGTTTGTTCTGGGTAGGCCAGCTACCATGTATTGAAGTCTGTCTTCCCTGAGTGAGGAGGAGTGAAAGAGGGAAAAGAGGAGGGAGAGAGAAAGATGGAGAGAGACCAAGGAACACCAGGATACCAGATAAGTGAATGAAGAATGTGAATCCATCTTGGAAGTGGATTTCCCAGTCCTAATTTCCTCAGCGGCCACAACATGAGTCAGAGATGAGCTACCTATCCAAGTTCTTCCAAGATTCCTGACTCACAGTCATGATTTAACTATGGGTATCGTTGGTTAAGCCATTGATAACCGGAAAAAAAGGGCGATCACTTTATACAAATAAGGAAATTTAACATAGTTTAGTCTCTAATTTGTGAATAGTACATATAAAGAGTGGATTGTGAATTATATCTTGAGCGTCCTTGGTAATAGGCATATGTTGCCAAAATTTCTTTCATATTCCTTATTAATTAAGTATTAAGGTTATTTTTTCTTCATAGATCGACATGAACAAAGTTTGAAGGACCCTAAGGAATAAAATTTTAGTAAATAAAGTAGAATGCAAGATGATCATCTCATTCTGTGATAACTACTTCTTTTGAATTTTGTAACAGTTTCTGTGATATGCATGTTGATTTTTTAGGCTTACTTTTACCTTTTGGGCAAGCCCAGTCCTCTGAGGTGGCAGCAAGAACAACAAGCCACTACAAATAGCTAGTAATCCAAGTCAATTTCAGTTTTTCCATATATTAATGAATAAAACTTAAAATAAAACTTAAAATTAATTCAAATGTGAATTAATGAAAGTTCTGTTTATTTATCCTACCAATGATCATGTCAGATCATGTCAGTAGGAGAAGCAAGGATACTTTGAGCTGTTAGGGTCAATATATTTTCTTTAATTTATAACTAAGATCTTTGCCCTGTAATTTTATCCTTTGTCTACTGCAAAAATTTCCTCCCCAAACTCCTACTTGCACCGTGCACTAAATAGGAAAATAAGCCTGACCATATGTGCTGCTGCCCCTAAATACTCTTTATTTGCACATGAGTTTTCTCTTTATTATGTTATTAACATAAATCAGGATCCCATGACCAGGACAACTGAGATTAGCACCTCTACTCTTTGGTATTAGCCAGGCCTTCTGCTATGCTTAATTGATCTCCAACAGTATTATTGGCCCGTTTCACTGTTGTGCTTCCATGAATGTAACTGATTCTGAATTACATGTCATTAAAACAAATACTTTGTAATGTCCCCTTTATTAGCAAGAAATGAAACTCATCACCAGCATGACTTATATATATAGCTCCTTAAATCACTTCTTTTCATTCAATGTTGTTTTGATATAATATTAAAGAGAAAAAAATACTTCCTGGATGAAGCCAGTATCTTTATAGAGTTTGCACATTCTCCCCATATCTTTATAGAGTTTGCACATTCTCCCCATATCTGTATGGGATTCTCTGGCTACTCCAGTTTATTCCCACATCCAAAAGATGTGCATGTTAGGTTCATTGGCCTGTCTAAATGATCCCAATCTGAGTAAGTATGGGTGTGTGTGTGAGTGCGCCCTGCAAAGGGATAGCATCCTGTCCAGGGTGGGTACCTGCGTTGCTGCCCCAAGGTGGATAGGTTCTGGCCACCCACCACCCTGAACTGGAATAAGTTGGTTCGAATATGAATGAATGAATGAATGAATAAAATGATTGTAAAATAAAATTTCATGAAGTTTACTATAGTCATGCAAGTGTATGGCAGTAAATGATGTGGTAGGAGAGTGTTCACTGACCCCCAAGTTGTGATTGTTTGTTTTTGAACTGAGTGGTGGTAGGAGGTTCTCCTTATAATTTTCTCTTCACAAACATTTATTCCTTGATACATCCTACCACCACTATGATTACTGTCACTCACTGACTCACCAAAAATTGGGTAAATCATTATCTTACTTGTTTTAATTACTCCTTCTTAAATATATATATAGCTCACATTTGTTTCAATGTTTAATATTAGAAGTGTTTGAGGTCTTTAGTTAGAAGCGATGATGTTACATAATTAGAAATATACCAGAGGAAATTAACTCTTGTTTATATCAATTAGCCTGCAGTAAAGTTGGTTTCATTATACATCATTTCACTGAAACTCAGTTTCCAAGGACATATCAATAATGTTAGGTGAGGACTTAATATACATGATTTTAAAAAAATACAGTAAAATGTCCTAATGTAAAAGATACATAAAATGAAGGTAATTTATAATAAATCAATATATATTTAATAGCTAAATGTTTATGTGACTGTGCTACAAACATAACGATGTAGTTAGATGCTTGCATCTATTCATAGAATTAGCAGAAATAGATGGCTACAGATGCTGACAAATAGATGCTTGTTGTTTTGGTGACTCATCCACCATGGGCAGCATTGCAGTACAGTGACATTTTTTGAAAGGATAAATGGCTCACAATAAATTTAGAAACAAAGTGAAGGGAAGTCTTCTCTTAAAATGCACATGGCATGGCAGTTGCATTCTTGAAAAATTCAGTGTTAATAACTGTGCAAAATGTACTTAGTATTTACATAAAAATATAGTTAGGGATTGGATTTAGATAATTATAAATGGGTGAGTACTTGGTTAGACATTTGAATGTCATGCAGGAGTCACGATGGTTCACAGTGGGGAAAGTATCTTGGGCATTGCAGGATCTTTAGAATTCCCGGCCCATTAAATGCCAGCCCAGCTGTTTCCCCATTCATTGTCATAACGGCCACACTGACACACACCCAAGAAATTTCCATTACATCCCTTTGGGATGTCACTTCCACCAATTAAGAATCTTTGCTTTAAACACTCTCCCTTTTCTTCTTTATCTTTTCTGTTTCTACCCCTGTATCTTTCTGACAGTACATGTTTCCTGAATTCTCTGGATTAATACATAAAATGTATCCTAACTAAACATATCACAAAATGTTATCAAACTTATGTAATAACATAATTGTAACTCTTTATGAATTCTCTTACCAAATATATTCTCATAAATCTTGGCATATAAATGTTAAACTATACCCTATTTTTAATAGTATACCTTTTAACTAATATTACTCATCATATTGTATAATTCTCAATTTATACTGTTAGTAATTTTTTTCCTTTTTTTTTTTTTTTTTTTTTTTGAGATGGAGTCTCGCTCTGTCGCCCAGGCTGGAGTGCAGTGGCGCAATTTCGGCTCACTGCAAGCTCTGCCTCCTGGTTTCACGCCATTCTCCTGCCTCAGTCTCCTGAGTAGCTAGGACTACAGGCACCTGCCACCATGCCTGGCTAATTTTTTGTATTTTTAGTAGAGACGGGGAATTTTTTTCCTTTTATATCTATATATGAGTCTACTCATTTGTAATAATACAAAACCCCTTAAAGGAAAGAGCACATTTTTGTATTTAGGGGTCTCTTACCCAAAATAGATGGATATATGTATATAATATTTATTATATTTGTTGAATGAATGAAAAATAGACTATTCTATTAGTATCCTTCTTCTGTGGATAATTATGAGTCTTGGAGGTTTCAACCTTTTTTAGTGATAGGAATAATTTGATAAACTTTTAAGCAATTTGTTTCAAATTAGCAGCATTCTCCACTGAAGGAGGGAGAGTTCCAGGGGGTATAGTATCCTCCCTATCTGGTCAGGAGGATATCAGTTCAGGCACCAGCTTGGAGTGTAAAGCACACTAGTGAGGTAAAGGTATTTATTCCCTCTGCCTCTTCCCTGTAGAGTTGCCTCAAGCTGGCTGTGTCCTTTGCTGTAAGGTCAGAGTTTTTCTCAAGGTAGCCATCTGTATCAGTCCATTCTCATATTGCTAATAAAGACATACTTGAGACTGGGTAATTTATAAAGGAACAAGTTTAATTGAAACACAGTTCAGCATGGCTGTGGCGGCCTCGGGAAACTTACAGTCATGGCAGAAGGGGAAGAAAACACATTCTTCTTCATATGGTGGCAGCAAGGAGAAGAATGAGAGCTGGGCCATGGGGGAAGCCCCTTATAAAACCATAAGCTCTCATAAGAATGTACTCACTATCAGGAGAATAACATGGGGGAAACTGCCCCATGATTTAATTGTGATGGGTGTCTCCCATCACACATAGGGATTATGGGAACTACAGTTCAAGATGAGATTTGGGTGGGGACACAGCCAAAACATATCACCATCTCTACACAACATTCTCCTCTGGCTTCTAATAACCTTCCCTCCTTTTCTCTTTTTGGCTTGTGGAGGGTCCTACACAACCCAATATAGTTTCCCTGCACTCTGCCCACACCTTTGTAAATAATCCTTTTGTGAACCTTCCTCAAATTATCCTAATTTGAATGTGTCATCTCTTTCCTCTTAGGCACTGACTGATATAACCCCCAGGCACAGTTAATTATCTGCTTGGTGTTTCCATGACATTGTGCATATAGCTCCTTTATTCATTTCTTTATTACATAATTCAGCATATATTTATTGTGCATCCACTAAGTGTCAGGCAGTCTCCTGGGCCCACAAGGAAAATATATCCATGTAAGTTATGCCAGCATTAGTTAGGCAGTTGTATGCTATTTAATGTTATTTAATGTAATGTTATTTACATTACATTATTTAATGTATTGTAATACAGTTATTTATGCAGTTATTGTAATGCAGTTATTTAATGTAATGAGTCCTACACATACAGAAGTCTATAGTGCTATGGAACTTCATAAAAAAGGTTCATAACTTACACATAATCATTGGAGACATTGTCTCAAAGAATGTGAAATCCAAGCTGAGACCAGAAAAGTGAGTAAGAATTAGACCCGCAGAGAGGGCTGACAGTGAGAAGGGAATGTTCCAGCTCAAGAAAAACATACTTACAAAACCAAAAAAGGAAGACATGGCATATTTGAGTAATGAAAGGTAACAGATGATGTGTTTATGACGAGTGAGGGTGTGTCAAGAGATCGTTCTGGAGAATATGGGTCAGATTATAAAGGACATTGTAAACTGTGCTAAGAAGTTTACCTTTATTCTAATGAGGATCCACTGAAGCAAGAAGCATGACATGAACAGGTTGTAACTTTGGAAATGTTATTCTGATTAGTTGTAGAGCATAGGTAAGAGGAGAATAAGAATGGAGGGAGGGAGACTGTATGTATGGTCATGATAGGGGGACGAACCAATGTATATTCACCTGGTGGGGAAGAAGAAGAGTAATCAGATTTCAGAGAGATTTTACAGATAGCACCTACAAGACAGAGTAATTTACTGGTATTTGGGGGTCTGAATCCCTAATTCTAAAGACGGTGGGAGATTTCAAGCCTAAACCTCCAAGTTTATGACCAGGCAACTAGTTGGCTTGTAGTGATAGTCAACGAAATAGAGAAGGTGAACTGTGAGCAAGTTTTGGAGGAAAAACCATGAAGGCAGCAATAGATAAATCTAAGTGGAGGTGTGTAGTAATTATATAGATAAGTGGGCTTGAGTTTTATGAGACAGATGAGGATTGGTAGTATGGTTTTAGAAGTCATCAACATAAGCTGACCATTAAAGCAAAGGAGATAAGATGAAGCAGTGGGGGCAGTAAGTCAGAATATGATTGTATCATATTCTAAGGCAAGGATATTTTAAGAACGCTTCAGGATGACACCTAAGTAAGGACTGAGAAGGGCTCAGAGAAAGAAATGAACAGGGTGACAAACCTTGATTGAGACAGTTTCCATGATAAGGTGGGGAAGAAAGCCTAGATTAGAGAAGTAAGAGATGAGAAAGTAGAGTGAGTAAAAATAACTCTTTCAAGTATTTTTTTCCCTGAAAGAGAAGAGAAAGGATTTTAGTTTTGGTAAATATGGTGGTGGCTCAGGGGCATCGATTGCATGCATGCATGCATTTACATATGTAAGTACACATATGAATATGTAGGATTCTATGTATGTTAATGGGAGTATCTTAAAGTGGTTTAAATGCTGATGGAGACAGGCACTAGGGAGTGGATTAAAGGTATAGGGAAATGAAATAATCATTAGATTCAGATTTAGGGGAAGGTAGGATAGGAACAATATCATTATTATCAATGTATATTGTTCTTTCTTACTAGCTTGATCCCTAAAAAGGCAAAGACTATATTTTTTTTGTATCCTCAGCATCTAAGACATTACCTAGAGAATACTGGGATCTTCTATATTTTAGTTTTAGGAAAAAGGAATAATAGCTTGCTAAAATAAAATAGTTAATTTACCTCAGAACTCTTCCAAGATCCTCAGCCAACATTTGCATTATATCCTACCTTCAAAAACTGTCAAACGTATGTCCTTTAGGTATTTTATGCATAGAAATGTTTTTTAAATGATCCCTTTTGGACATTAAATAACAGTTTTAATAATTTTGAATTAGTACTAAGTGCCATTTAAGTGTTCTCCTGATATATACTAAATGAAAACAGAAAATGATGCATGGGAGAAATGAGTTAGATCAATATGGTTAAATTTAATAAAATTCAAATTAAAGAATCTACATTATTTCTATGGTGATATCACTATGATATGTGATAATAACTCCCTCAATGTATAAGTTCCAGTCAGAAGATGATTATGTGCAGAAAGCTTTTGCTTTTGTGACCCTATATCTCACCTGTTCTTTTTTATTGATTGATTATATTTGAAGAGACTCAAATCTGTTTACATTAGATTAGGCTATATACCAGCCACGTGATTTTCTGTCATACTAAAATTTCAAACTTAAGATCAGAAGTAATCTAGATTCTATAATAAAAAATCATGACATATGCTATGGAGCTTGGCTGTGACTCAATTAAAATTGCATTTTTTTTATTATACTTTAAGTTTTAGAGTACATGTGCACAACGTGCAGGTTAGTTACATATGTATACCTGTGCCAGGTTGGTGTGCTGCACCCATTACCTCGTTATTTAACACGAGGTATATCTCCTAATGCTATCCCTCCCCCCTCCCCCCTCCTCCCACCCCACAACAGGCCCCAGTGTGCGATGTTCCCCTTCCTGTGTCCATGTGTCCTCATTGTTCAATTCCCACCTATGAGTGAGAACATGCAGTGTTTGGTTTTTTGTCCTTGCAATACTTTGCTGAGAATGATGGTTTCCAGCTTCATCCATGTCCCTACAAAGGACATGAACTCATCATTTTTTATGGCTGCATAGTATTCCATGGTGTATATGTGCCACATTTTCTTAATCCAGTCTATCATTGTTGGACATTTGGCTTGGTTCCAAGTCTTTGCTATTGTGAATAGTGCCGCAATAAACATATGTGTGCATGTGTCTTTATAGATACCATCTCACACCAGTTCGAATGGTGATCATTAAAAAGTCAGGAAACAACAGGTGCTGGAGAGGATGTGGAGAAATAGGAACACTTTTACACTGTTGGTGGGACTGTAAACTAGTTCAACCATTGTGGAAGTCAGTGTGGCGATTCCTCAGGGATCTAGAACTAGAAATACCATTTGACCCAGCAATCCCATTACTGGTTATATACCCAAAATTAAATTTTATCTAATTATGTTGGTGGTAGTCAGATGTGTACTCTTTGACCAGTTACCTGTAGCCAATTTGTCACACTTTCTTTCTGAAACTTATTGAATAGTTTTTAAAAGATATTTTATCTTTTGAGAATTTTTGGTAAAATGCTTAGTTGGCAATAACATCTGATTTATGAATTTATATGATATCCCTCATAATAGAATTTCAAAATACATTTTAAAAATTACTTTTTAATGATAGAAGGCAAATTCCACCTATCTGATCATTCCAAAGGCAGAATTATTAATTTGATGGCAAATTGATTTTCATATATTATAAAAAATGATGCTCCAAATAGAAAAGTTTTACTTAAAATCATAATAATTTTGCCATTGATCTTATACAAACTTTAAAATCCATATGTTCAAAGTACTTAAGGGAAAAAGGAAGTAGTTGATATATCCTTGACATCTGCTGCTAAAAATTAGATTACTTTGTATTCGCATTTAAAGTAAACAATGTTAAACATGGAAACTATCAAGTGAAGAAATATGTACTGTTATCTCTTCTGAAGAGTTATTCAAATTTTTATTGTTATATAAATTAAAATTTAGTGTAATTTTAAAAACTCGTTTTCTCTTTGTAACTGGTTAGTATATGCCAAGGCCTGTGTTAAGTGCTCAATATACATTATATTATTTAATTTATGCAATACTATGAATTATTATTATTTCCACTTATCCAGTGAGTAAACTGAGGTTCAAAGAATTTAGATAACTTGATATGCTCACAGGCTAGTAACTAGGCAAAACATGGATTCAAATTTGGGTTTCTGTGACTTGAAAGCTCATACACTAGACCCTTACTATGTATATTATAATTTCAGCCATTTGCAACATTTTTACTATACTTTAAATGTAATATTTGTGCATACATAATATAATAGGCTATATTTGTTTATATATCTTAAATGCATTAAAAGAATATGTGGTACCTGTTACTGTGCTTAGAACAGCTGTAGGAATTATGATTTACAAGCATGTATAATATGCTATCTACCTTTCATTCTGCTTGGAAAAGGATGACATATATGAGTAAAATAGTGAGTGATATCATCCAAATTGTATGATATACATTATCATATAATAGTATAATATACGAAAAGTGTGTGTTAGAGGCAGCAAATCCTATAGGAGTTTTGTTAAAAATGAGTTCAATGTAGTCATATGTCATCAAGTAGAACTTTTTGGGGGAGATGAGGACTAAACATGGATGGATGCCAAAAAATCGCATTGGCTTGTGTACACACAAACTGGACCTGCTGAGATCCATCTGCTTTAGGATTAAGGTTCCTCTAAAACTGAAGAGCGTCATGAATTTTCTGGTTCTGAAAATACTTTTAGCACAGTGGCCCCATGAATCTCTATGCCCTGTGACTGCTTTATATTACTCCGATGTAGCCAAAGAAGTTTACTTGGAATTCTAGCACCTGCCTTTGCTCATTGGCAAATCCCACTGCTTGACCCATACCATTTTCCCACAGCTCCCACTTTACCTGAGTTTTGTCCTGGACGGTCTGTCCCACCATGCTCTCACCTAAATCCAGCCTTCCTACAATAGCATCCTTCCTTGATTCCTGTTCTCATTGAGACTACCTTCCTGGCCCCTTTGCCAGTGTTCTCCGCTAAAGAGATGTTCCCCACAGCTTCTGTGGCTGGCTTCTCCAGAACTTTCTAACTCCCTATACCAATCTGTAGGAAGCCTCACAGTCAGTATTATGCTGTGTTCTCCATGGCTGAGTCAGATATTCAGAACGTGTGTTTTAAAAGTAGTAACAGCTTCACCATAGCAAAAGCATAGCAAAGAAAGGCAGTAAATCCTGACACAATTATGAATCTCAAATGTATTCTTTCTTGCTGTGCTATTAGATATGAGCAATAATAGTTTATAAGGATATATGTAGGCTTTTGATAATTTCTATTTTTAATTTGCTATGAATAATATATATGTGAAAAGAAAATATTTGTGTTCAAGATGAGTCAGTATTTTGCTTATTAAATATATGTCCTATCACGGTGTATAAATAAGCATACCACTTTGAAACAATTAAATGTTTTGCAATAAAATAAAATTCAGATATAAAATAGTTACACATTTTTCAAATTAGTCTATTTTTATCAAGGTTTATAATCACTTTCCAGTACATGAAAATTATCATATAAATAATTTAATAGAAGACTCTGCTCTCTTCACATTTCAAAGTTTATTTTTTAGGTATAGAAAAAAATCAATATTTTTTTTCTCATTTTCACTCCTAGAATTAGAATCCAAATCATTTTTAGGTATTTCTTTTAATGCTTACTTTTAAATTTACCTAACTGTAATTTTATCCAGCGGTGAAAATCTACAGGATCAGGGTCACCTTGCCCTGTGTCAAGCTATTCCACTTCTTAACTGTCTCTGTACTTAAAAATCTATGTCATTTGATATTAAATTCTGAGTTTGTGTTTATTTAATTTTAAAGCCAAAGATAAAATAGTTCAACACAGGAACATTATCCCAGAAATGTTGTTACTACCTGGTCATTTGGCCACTGAAACTGAAGACCAGATGGGAAAACATCTAATGGTTTCTCATTAATACAGAGAATGTAGTTCAATAGAAGAGGCAATATGTTTGTTGTTGTGGCCAGCATTAAAATAAAAGTAATCAAGAAGGTAAAGACTACTGATGTAGGTTGGGAGACAGGAGTTGGGGAGAGGGATTTAGTCACTATGTTTAATAGAAATATATAACAGAGTCATTGATTATTAAACTATGAAGATATTTAAAGATCACTAATACAAACTCCTCACTTTCCTAGAAAAAATTGAGGCACAAAGAAGGTAAGTGGCTTAACCCAGTATAATCCAAAAAATTAATAATTAACCAAGACTAGGATATCATCTCGTGACTTTCAGTCAGTACTCTTTTGGCCTTTGAAAAAATACAGACCTGCGTAAGTATTTATATGCACCAATATTTGGAGAAAATATATAAGGAGGAAGACGAGAGGGAAGAAGAGGCAGATGACGAGGAGGAAGAAGAAGAAATCCATGAAAAAGCTACTGAGAATCAGTGAATACTTCTAATAAAAAATGGACACCAATTTAAATCTGTTGCTATCTGGAAATTCTCTTTCTTCACCACATATATTTAAGAATTACTAAATAAATGTTAGAAATCAAGCAAAAACATAACTTGTGACTCCCCTTGAGTCACAGTTTGACCACTGTTGCTCATCCAGGGCAACCTGTGAAGAGTCATTATCTAGAAAGATTCGCCTGAATAAGGCAGACATTGGACCAAAGCAGCCTCACCCTATGACTAGGACTCGATTTCAGTAAGTTGTGTTTCCTGTATATTTTTGTTCAGAAAGTGGTACCTGTTCCTCACTGGTCTATCAGACTCATTAAATGTTAAGGATTCTTAAATGGGTTGTAACTTTGAGGCATCTTCTCTTTTGCAGTTTTGGTTTTGTTTCTTTGCTTAGGTTTCAGGGTGAAAAGTTGATGAAAATAACATTGGTATGGTAATTTGATTATGATAAATATAAATAAAGGTTAGATGTTCTAAGACATAGTTAAATTCAAAGGACACCTGTAAGAAAGTGGAAAGATAGCTGTAAAAAGTTTCACTGACAAAAATATAGATTCTTTCTCAAGCCTCATATTCAGAAATTCTGATGTAGGAATATACAATTTTAAAAGAAACTTCCAGAGTATTTTAAAGGTCGTCCAAGGTTTGAAAAACACTGACTTACACTGTCTAAATATTGGCTGTTATGATTAACTGATAAAGTTTATATTCAATTCATTGTGTATCATGTTTTGACTAGTTTATTGTTGCTTTTATGTGTTTGTTTATGCTTTTACTCTGTGTTTGGATTATTCATAGCTTCCTTAACACCCATTACCGTAGTTTATTGAGAGTTGGCTCGGTTGCTTTGGAAAGCTATATTTCTGCAATTCTACAACTCCATACTTTTGTAATTAAAATAGAGTTCAGACTTATTATTTGGAACTACCTTTAGGGGTAACTGGCAAAACACATAAAGAAATTAGCCTCACTGCTATAGCTATGCCTCATATTTTTTCCCCAAAAAGATATCTAGATCTGAGCCTTCCAATATGACAGCCACTGGCAACATATGGCTATTTAAAGTTAGTTAAAATTAAATACAATTTAAAATCTAGTTCCCCAGTCATACCAGCATCATATCAAATCCTCAGTAGGCACAGTAAATACTTGGTATTTAACCTCTCAATATTAAACAGCATAAATATAAAGCAAAAAGTTCTATTGGACAGCACTCATCTAGAATGACCACCTACCCTATTCACAAGACTAGTCTGTAGAACTTTTAATTATTTGCAATACTTAAATCCACTTTTAAAGGGTAAAAGAATTTGCCAACACTAAAGATAGTCAAATAATTTTGCCATAGGATCTAAGGGAGGGGACAGTGCTCGTATTTTGAGCAATATCTCAAATACATGCAGTTTAGGGACTGTGGATGACTATAGATGAATAGCACAGCTTTTATATGAATATGTACATTTTGGTAGTGTACCAGGTATATTCTGCCTGCCCCTCCAGGTCCACTCTTCACTGCTGTCTACCCTGCTCTCTGCCCCAGAAGCTGACTGTAGTTACTATGCCAATGGACTTCCTTACACTTTGTCTTCCAGTAGGTTTGGTATGGAGTATGAGATCAGGATATTGTCTCCCACTCCCTTCTAAAAAGGTCTCAAAGGCTGACTGCACTGCACAACCCAAGGTATATCAGTTATCTATTGTGGTGTAACGAACTATCTCAAAATTTAATGACTTAAAACAACAATAATGTATTCATTCTCACAATTTGATGGGTTTTCTGCGTTAATAAGTAATCTAAGAAGTTCCTCTTTTCCATGTTTTGTTGGCTTATGCGATTACATTGAACAGGGAGGTCTGCTTAAGTCAGAACCTGTCTGGCATCTCAGTTGGAGTAGCTAGAACAGCTCAGGGTGGCTGATCTTTTCTCTATATATTACAGTTGAATGACACTACATCATTGCTCAGGGGTTCAAGAGGAGGAAAGTACAAGTTTCTAGACCTCTGAAAGTCTAGGCCTGGAACTGGTCCAGCATTACATCCACAACATTACATCTACTGCATCTTTTTTTTTTTTCCTCCTTTGAGATAGGGTCTTGCTCTGTCACCCAGGCTGGAGTGCAGTGGTGTGATCATGACTCAGTGCAGCCTGAAACTCCCGGGGGCTCAAGTGATCCTCCTACCTTAGCCTCCCCAGTAGCTGGGACTACAGGTGTGGGCTACCATGACCAGCTAATTTTTTAATTACTATTTTTTTAGTAGAGGTGTGGTCTCACTATGTTGCCCAGGCTTGTCTCAAATCCCTGGGCTCAAGCAATCAGCCTGCCTCTGCCTCCCAAAGTGCTGGGATTACAGGTGTGAGCCACCACACCTGGACCATCACTGCATTTTATCAGCCAAAGCAAGTCATGAATCAACTTAGTTTCAAAGGATGGAGATGAGACTTGATGGGAGAAGCAGCATGCACCTACAAATACAGGAGGGATTGCTGGTAGCCATATCCACCATTGAAAATCACAGATTCTGTCTAGGGACCTTTCTCCATGACTTTCTTGCTTTTGATTTCTTGGTAACCACTTGTTCCCCTTACCCCTCCAAGCTTAGGGGTGGTGTGACTCCCCGGTTCTTACGAATCCCTACACACTGAATTACACCTTGTGAATTTCCTATGCCTGTTTACCCCAGTGGGGTAACTTCAAAATACCTGAATGGAGAATTATTTTCCTGCTTGATCCTGTTTCATCTATTCTCAAAAATTAGTTATGTTGCTTTATCTTACTACCTTATACCTGAAATTGTTCACAATATTCTATTAATTTTTTTGTAGCAATCATAAAGCATTTAAAATTTTCCTTTACCCAGTTAGCTTTACATTTAGTCTTTATGATTTCTTACATTAGGATTTAATCTTGATGGAGAATGAATATTAAGTTTAACTAACATATCTGTAAGCCATTATTTCAAAATGAAATCTTCTGATTTTGGTAACATCTGCAACCTCCAGTGACCAGACCTACAGTCTTTAACTGTATGACTCAGTTCTGTGTTCTGTGTTCAGTATCAATGTCAGTAGTGTACTAAAATGTCCATTTTTTCTCTAGGATTACATAAATCTTTTACATTTGTGTCTTAAACAGGTCACCAAGCATTTAACTTTAACCTTTTTATATCATTTATGTTCAATAGAATTCACTACTTTTACTACTCTCATCAGTGCTTGTCTTCTGACTTATTAATAAATTAATGAGCTTGTTTTAACAATTGAAATTTAAACCAGATGGTCATATGATTACTCAGTGTTTTCAGGATCGAGGATTTTAAAAACTAAATGTCATTATTCCCCTCAGACATACTGATTTCTTGATATTAAATTATTTTAAGGTTTATAGAACTAGATCCAGAAAAAAATGCTTCGTATTGTAGAAGGAAGAGAGCTTTCCATCTTTAATTTACCTAAAGTGGTTTTCCAAATGATTATATGTAAATATCTGACACCACATTGTTTTCTTTTATAATTTATTTTTGATTCTGCTTAAAGAAATACAAGGCTTTAGCAAATTTAAAGTGGTCCACTACCCCAAGACTTAAGAAAACATTTATACTAAACAAATTTAACAATGTATATGTCATATCAACTGAAAATCTGAATTTTTACTTTTTTGCTCATTTTTCTGACAGAATATGATAGCTGTCTGAAGGATATGTAATATTTATAAATGGGATATAGCAGATACAACCTGTTAATATGATATACACTAGAGTTAGAGTATATCTAGATATAGAAATACTAGATTTGTAATATTGAGACCACATTACTGTGATATTTCATTGCAGCTATAATAAATTTTTATGACTTATCATAAGGTAAATGCCAACTTTGCAACATGTATCTTTTTTTCTTTGCAACTGACATTCTATGTTCAGATTCATTGTGCTCCTGATATATTCCCATCATTTCCTTTCCTGGGAGAATCCCTTTCTTGTGAACTACAGTGACTTTTTTATTGACATACTGCAAGTGCAGAAGCTTTCCAACAAAGCATTGCTTTGTAACAGTAGACCAGGTACATTCTGCTAAGCAATAAATCATGTATATATTCACTGGAGCACAAAAATATTTTGGTGATATACCAGGTAAAAATTGATATTCTAGTAGGGAGATTTTGATTAAATGCCCTTTCTTCTACAACTTTGGTCAAATTTCAGGTGTTTAATTCCCATATATGATGATGTTTGTGAACTTCAATATACATTGTTATGTTTTTCACCTGAATTCCCAGCTGAATGTAAAAACTGAGAACAAGAAAAGGTGTTATTACTTAGAGGTGTTTTTAACAGCTCTCCAATTTCATAACTTGTCATTTCCCTTTTCTTTGATTTAGAAATGTGTTATACTCCTGGAAGTTTTCACATTTGATAGATGTAAAAAATAGAATACTTTGAGAGGGATTATACTAGCATAGTGGTTAAGAGCTCAGACTCTGGAGCCAGAGAACTGGGTTTTACATTTCATCTGTTTCTTACTTGCTTTTAACACTGTACATGTTAATGTCTCAATGCCTCAGTTTCTTCATCTTTAAAATGGAAATAATATCCATATACATAGGGATAGTCATACTTTATACAGTTATGGTGAGGATTAAGAGTTAATATATGTGTAGTGCTTAAAAAGTGGCTGTCATATAATAAATTCTATGTGTTTGCTATCATTGTTGCTATTGAAAGACAATGAAAGCACATTTGCTCATTTAATTAGTTCCAGTCATTGTTATTAATGTATTTCATTTCATTTTTCCTGCAGTGAAAAAGAATGCAATGGATCCTTTTGCCATTATTTAACATTTTAAGTTGCATTTTTAAGTTTATATATAATGTATTCTACAATATTTCACAATATATGAGATATTGGGACTTTAATAATAACTTGTGTGAGTAATGTCTCTAGTCTTAAAGACTCTAACACTATCTTAACCAGGCAAAGTAAAACACTGTCTTAACTACTGAGCAAGTAGTCTCTTTGAAATCAGCCCATTTTGTGGATGCCATATACATGTTACACTTTAAAGCATATAAGGTTGATACTTTACTCTTTCTCAACATTGATTAGAGACTAAGACCTTGTTTTGACTATAAAATATATTTCTTTAAGAGGGAGAAGGAGACAGTGCCCTGTGTTTCAGTGAGGTATGGAACACCTGAGTTCAGGTCAAGGTCACTGCCATTTACTTGCTATGTTGATCTCTTACCTTTGTGACTCACAGTTTCTTTATCAGCTAATTCTGTGATTAGTATAAAAATCAAATATGAGAAATAATGTCGAAACACTTTAGATGCTGAAAATATTACAGAAATAAAAAGCAGTGTTATTGAAGCCACTGTACCTTTATCCTGCTGAAGAGGTTAAGGATTAAATTGGTTTTGAATATATATTCTGTGGTAGTGGGGTTGGAGCATTGCAGAACATGCTGATGCACATGCTTAGGGAGAGGGACAATGATTTCTAGCCAAGTGTCAGAAGGACTGTGTGGTCGTGAAACACAGGCTGCATTTGGCAGAAGTGATCCAAGCTAGAGGTCAGATCAGTGGTGTCCAAAAGATGATTTAGAAGTCTTCTTTTTGCCCAAAGCCTTTTGATGAATTTCCTATCAAGTATTTTTCTAAGAACTGTTAATAAATGTCAAAATTAACAGATTTCAGTTGTATCTCCTTTTCATCCTGACTCTGCAAGATAGACTCCAGAATATAGCCTAAAGGAAAGAGAAGAAAAGAAAAAGTAATGGATAGAGTAGATGCTTCTAATATAAAAGATTTCCAATAGGCTGAGTGCTATATAAGAAAAAGGAAAAATATTTGATATTTTTAACTAACATTTATTGCGCTACACATTTTGATAGCATTCCAATGATGATTCGACCTGCCTTGTCTTTGAGATTCTTCAACTAGTTGAGGAAAGACATCTATCAAGGAAAGTATCTACATTTCTCCTGAAGCTATCTGAAAGAGTTCCACTGTTTCCCTAATCAGGTTGTTAGGTAAGGACAAAGATGAGAGCATGAGTAATAGAATTTGTGGGGTAGGTGAGGGCAGCCAGACCAC
Organism: Homo sapiens; assembly: GCF_000001405.40. Lineage (NCBI taxonomy): Eukaryota > Metazoa > Chordata > Mammalia > Primates > Hominidae > Homo > Homo sapiens. The sequence continues at coordinate 115,671,684 of NC_000010.11, forward strand.
TGCCTCGGCAGGGAACAATTTGGGCAGCCTCCAAAGGAAAGGGATCTTTGAGGCAAGAGATTTAAAGAAGGTTTTTTACGAAGTTTGTTTGTAAGTAATGTACCCTTCTCTTCTTATCCCAAGAAAGCGTCACTGAACTTCTGTATTTCATTTCAGTCCATTTGAGTTGAAGTTGTGGGTATTTAGAGTTATTTTTGGATATGATATTATCTTGAGACTGCCCATAAGGTGAGAGAAACAAGATGTCCCAATAAATTTTGCATACAGATTTATAAAGAAATAAACAAAATACAGGGACACTGCCACTAGATTTTTACATAATATTCACTTTAAATAACATTTTAATTGTAAATATTTTTGGTCACGACCTCTAAACAAGTCAATAATTGAAAGAAAAACAAATAACATAATTGTATATAACACATTGTACTTTTAATGATAAAAACAACAATTACGACTACCATTTATATATGCCCAGCCAGGAAATATTCTAGATGTCTTTATATGATCTAACCCTAACAGTAACTTGAAACATGGTAGATGTTGATAGCCTCATTTTTAATATTAGAAAAAGGAAGCTCAGGGGTTAAGTGACTTGCCCTAGATTAAACAGCCTAGGAAGTTGCAGAGCTGGAATTTCAATTGAGGTTGCCTCCGAAGCCTATTCTTTTTCCAACTTATTGTATTCCTTTTGAAAGAACACAACTTATTTTAGGAATTACTCATAGAAGCATCTCCTGTTAATTCGATATTTATAGTCTCATAAATTGAATCCTAAATTATAGCGTTTTAGAACATAATATATAAAAAAAGTGGAAAACATTTCGACTGGTGCAAAGAAAATGATTAAGAGGATAAAAATAGCCCAAGGCAATAGTATTAAGTTAGGCAAACGTAAGCTGAATGTTGAGAAGTTAAGAATATAGGCTTCTTAGATTTCGATTTTCAAAGTAATAACTTTTCTTATTACAGAAATTGTTTTTTATGTATGGTGCTTATTACTAAAAAAAGATTAATTATCTGTCATTCATGTCACCAACTTACTAAGTTGTTACATTGGCCAATTTTTGTCTTTCTTAAATTATTTTTTATCTCATGTTTCTATCTCATTTGGGGGAAAGAAGAAAAAAGGCAAAAGAAATTCCTTTCTGAATATCCATACACATTGAAGTTTTATGTTCATAGTAAACTAATAACTATTTCTTCAGTGTATGACGTTATAGTATTTTTTCCTCCACCCTCACCACACCTTGTTTTAGCAACTTAGTTCATTGCCAAATCCTGCCACACCTCCCTTTATTCCACTCCCATATCCAATCCAGCTCATCTTTTATCGTACTGATTTTAGGAATGAATATGGTCCCCTTATTTACCAAAAGGTGTCTCAGAAGTTCGTGTTGTTTCCTAGTGTTCATTAAAGCTTGCAGATATTGAAGTGTCACCAGGGCATTCTGATGGAGATGCCCAGCAGGTGTTTGAGATTGTCCCTGGGAGGTCAGAATTTAGGATTCTATTTAAGACAGTAGTTTCAAATCTGAGTGATATAATGGCTCTCCTTTAAGAGAAGTAAAAATAAGAAATCTGCAAAAGACATTATTTTATTCTTTTTCATGGCTGTGTAGTATTTCATGGTATATATGTACCACATTTTCTTCTTCCAGTCTACCATTGATAGGCAACTGGCCCCATGAGCATCTTGCAAATCCCAGAGTCAGAAGCAACTACAGTAAGAGCTGGCATGTAAGGGTTGCTGAACTGCAATATCAGACAGGCATTTGAGTCTCAGTGACAGCAGCATTTTCTAGAAAACAGTGGTATCTCCATTGGTAAAGATGATTGGAATGGTGGGAGAGACACTTCTTATGAACCAGTAATTTCTAAGCCAAGTACAGTAATGTTAAGTTCAAGAACTATATGCAACCAAACACTAGATAATATAAAAGTAAAGCAAATTAATATAACCAACTTCAACATCTGTGACAGTTTGTGTTTTCCAGTGATGACCACAATATCTCCTATCCCATATATTCTTCTGTAATGTGACTTTGCTCCTTCCCCATAAACAGGTAGTCTTATTCCCCTCTTTTTGAATGTGGACTGACCTTACCAACTCATTTATAACCATTGGAATGGAAAAGAATTCATGTGTGTTCCTTCCAAGGCTAGATCAGAAGACGTGTAGCTTCTTCCTTAGTGTACTGTTCTGGAACACTGACTCTCTGGAAAATTCCCGCTCAGCATGCTTCCTCTTGGGAGCTGCCATGCTGTCAGAACCCCAGGCTACATAAAAAGGCTACGAGCCAGCACTACACTTAATACATCCAACTGGGCCCAGCCTCCAAGTCATCCCAACTCAGGTGCTAGACTTATGAGTGAAGGTCTTTATGTGCAAAGGAGAAAGCAAAGAGATCTTTGATGACCAGAAGAAATATATTGCCACAGAGACAATAATGCTTACCAAATATTCTATGCACACACTCACATTTTTTTAGGCCCCTTGCAGTTATTTGAGGCCAAGTAATTATTCTTGGAGAGTGAGCTATGAGTAGCATGATAAATGTCACTTCCCAACCATAACAGAGAAGATCAGGTATGAATAAACATGACATTTCTGATGTCGGAGCTTTAGATAGCCTAGATCCTTAAGTCACTATGTGGAAGAGAAAGCCCTGCCAACCTCTGTTAGACATCATGTAGTGTAAGTGAAAAACAGACATTCTTATACTACTGAGATTTTGGAGTTATTTTACTACCTGGCCTATTCTTGAATAATATACTTTCTTCATTTTTAAAAAATTCCATTTTACTTAATCATTGATTTATTACACTTACTGAGTTCCTACTGCATGTCAGCTACATCCTGGGAATAGAAAGATGAATAAGATGTAGTCCCAGTTCTCAAGGACCTCCGAGTCTACTGATGAAATTTTTGTAAGTACTTAACTGTGTATTTGCCCATTTATAGACTTTCTTCAAAAGAGATCTTCTTGGAAAATTCAAATTATTTAGCCTGGAATGCAAAGCCTTTCAAATCTGATTTTACTTGTCATACATGTATTATTTTTCACAAATTCCAACCACACCACATCTCACTTTTCTAAAAAAATGGACTGTATTTCTAGACCACTGTGATTCTTGCATATGCTAGCAACTTTGCATAAAATGACATAAATTATCTCTGTTCATAAAAATTCAACCCAGCCTTTATAACCCAGTTAAAATACCACATCTTTATGAAATATGTCATGACTGTATCACCAAATATGATACATTTCTCTCCTAAAACCTTAGTGATAGTGTGTTCATTTCTTTTAACTCTGTCTCCACTAGACTGTGGGTTCCTTGAAAACAAGAACTACTTGCTTATTTCTGCTGAACCTACACACAGTCTAGAATGCATTTAAAATCTCATGTTTAGCTGCACATGGTGGCTCATGCCTGTAATTGTAGCAGTTTAGGAGGCCTAGGTGGGAGGATTGCTTGAAGCCAGGAATTGGAGACAGCCTGGGAAAGATAGCAAAACCTAATCTATACAGAAACTAAAAAGATTAGCCTGTAGTCCTAGCTAGTTGGGAGGCTGAGAGTGGAGGATCTCATGAGCCCAGGAGTTTAAGGTTTCAGTGAGCTATGATTGTGCGACTGCACACTCCAGCTCCAGCCTGGGCAACAGAGCAAGACCCTGTCTCTTACAAAAGAAGAAGAAGAAGGAGAAGAAGAACAAGAAGTGGAAGAGAAAGAGAAAGAAGAAAAGAAGAAGAAAAGTTCATTTTCTGTCATGGGGTATATTATTTATCTGCTTAAGCCAAACAGACATTTTAGGAGCTTCTGTCTTGCCTTATGTTCTTGCTTGTCTAGAAATACATTGTAATGAAGTTCCTTTTAACAGATATTTCTCTAGGCATGCTATCTTCCAAAGTTCAGTGTTCATTTTATTCACTGCAGTTATTTTTATTACAGCAAATAAGAACGGAAAAATGCAAAAGGCCATAGGACTTCTACTCGGGTACCCACTGTGGTTACATACCTGGCAAGATGTTGTTAATAATGGTGTAATAGCTAACATTTATGAGTGCTACTGTGTGCCAGATAGTCTTTTACATACTTTACATATATTCAATTTAATTCTTATAACAACCTTATTAAATAGCTTATTATTATGCTCATATCTTAAAGATGAAGCATGAAGAAAGCTCAAAAAGCTAGTGAGCTAGAAAACAGTAAGTCGAGATCGCAGGAATCCAGGCCGTCTGTCTCCAGAGCTGTGCTGGCAATGCTCTCAGCAAGAAAGGAAGTTCCAAGCCCTTTGTAGTTGTTCCTAAATAACACCGGGCAAAATTTTGCAAATCAATCTATCTGGAAAGAAAATCTAATAGTCGTTTCAGTGACTATTAAACAATAACAAAAAGTTAACAGTCCATATAATTATAGTTTCCTAAGGATAATTCTTATTGTTAGATGAAATTTACTCTAGCATATGAAACCATATACAGTGACAATAAGGGAAGGATGTTGTGATGCACAAAACTTTAATCACAAAAACTAAAGAAAGCAAGTTTCTCAGTAATCATGGCTGGAGAAAACAAAAAGAACTTTCAAAGATATTGTACATTTTACTAGAGATCGACCATAGCTTAACTCATTAAAGAAAACAGTTAATAATACTTCTAGAGAAGTACATGTTTATTCAGCAATACCTTGGCATAACCATCTGCAATACATGTCTTATATGCAAAATTTAGTAGAATTATTTACTCAGTTATCTAAATAATTCTAATCCACATGCAACTTCACTTTCCAAATGAGAAAAAATAGCAGATTAGTTATATATAATTTGGAGTGAGTGACTGAGATCTCTGTCTATGTATGTATATCTGTATTATCTACAACTGTATCTGTATATGTATATATATATATATTTATGATTCAGTAAGTATGCAGTTAAGAACACAATTCTGAACTTTCTAACATCTAATGTCTAATTTATGCTGTGTCAAATGTATTTTTTTAAAAAAAGATAAAAGGCAAACATAAGTCAGGGGAAAGGAGCATAGAGTGGAGGGGGAAAGAAAAAAGAGTAACAGTGGAGAAAGACGGACAGGAAAAGGATAAACAAGCAGAGCAGGATGGCTGATTACTTACAGCATGTGCTGAATGGAGACACTCACAGGAAACATCATGTCAGATATGCTTAAATATCGAACTTATTTCTGAGTTTGTGTTTTTTCTGCTACACCCATGACCAATGTCTCAGTTAAAGAAAGTAGAGACAAAAGACAAATGCTTAAATTTCCTGATACATACCTCTTATTTACAGTACTTCTTCCATTGCTGTACTTGTTTTTATTTCTGGCAGCTTTATTTGCTTATTTCTGAGTACCCAGCATAATGTCTTACATATAGTACACATTTGGTTAATATCTGTTGAATAAATGCATTCATGAAAGAATGAATAAAAGAAAACAAGTCGATAGAGGGCTATTGATGTGTGTACATAGTCTCATGGGCTAAAAGCTCTAAATGCAAATATAAGGGGTTCCAGGAATTTCAGGGCTGCTCCATGAAAAAGATATGGCCACAGGTAGAGGTAGCATACATAAGCTTTATTTTGCTAACACTTTGACAGGTTTGATACAGGAAAATCCCTCACAGCATGGAACTGTCCAGAAGTTACTGCATGAGAGCCACCATTCAGAAGGGGAGGACAGCAAGTGATATGGTTTGGCTGTGCCCCCACCCAAATCTCAACTTGAATTGTCTCTCCCAGAATTCCCACGTGTTGTGGGAGGGACCCAGGGGGAGGTAATTGAATCATGGGGGCTTGTCTTTCCCATGCTAGTCTCATGATAGTGAACAAGTCTCACGAGATCTGATGGGTTTATCAGGGGTTTCTGCTTTTGCTTCTTCCTCATTTTTCTTTTGCTGCCGCCATGTAAGAAGTGCCTTTTGCCTCCCGCCATGATTCTGAGGCCTCCCTAGCTATATGGGACTGTAAGTCCAATTAAACCTCTTTTTCTTTCCAGTCTCGGATATGTCTTTATCAGCAACGTGAAAACAGACTAATAGAGCAAGGAAACTCCCAGAGGAGGGAGAGAATAGGGAGGGGGCTTACCTATCTAGGTGATGTTCCTCGGCAGCACCACATTGAGTCTCTGCATCAGAGAGCTCCAAAGGGTATCAGTGGCTTGGCATATATATAGCCCAGGTGCTATCTATAGCCTGGGGCCAGCAGATATCGGGCATAGTTTCATGGGGTATGCAAAGTAGGCTGTTTGTAACTATTTAAATATCTACTTATTTAGTCTATGTTGAAAACATAGTGAAACGAATGAAAATTTGAGTTTGGTATGGGTTTACTTTTGGACTACCAGGTCTCAGCCTGCTGTGAAGAAATAAACAATCTATGGACCAATATACAGGAGCCATCTTTGGCTGATTTATATAACAGTAAATAAGCATGATATAAAAAATAATAATTCAACAAAGAGAGGAAGTGAGTTTATTGGTTTTTACCAAGCATTATTTCATATACTAAATTTCTTCAGGCACATCAAGCTAAAACATTATATTAAGAAACAGGTTTACACCACTGTACATGTGCAAAAATTAAGGATCATTTCTATGATTTAACTAATATAAGTACAATTGAACAATAAATACCAATCTCTATAGGTTAAGAAATAAACTACGAATCTTTTTATAAAATTGATTATGAAATGAACTCTCCCACTTTTGTTATTATTTTAAAAATTTATGTGGAGTAGTTAAAATGAATTAAACTCCGAAGAAAAGTAAATCATCATTACATTTTCTTTTATTACCACTTTGCTCATTAGGAAAACTCAGTTCTGGCTTCTGTTTTGGGAAACAGTTTGTAACTGTGTTTAATATCATTTGAATATCTATAATCATTCTTATGCAAATAGCATGATAATAAGTATTAACATTAAAGACAGAAGTTTATATTTGTCTTATATTATCTGTCCCCTTCCAAAAGGAACTTAAATCTTAAGTCAAATGCTGTAAGTGCATGTAGGTTATTTATATCATTTCTGTCACTAAAGGTGTCATATGCATATCATAGATGCCAGCAAGGGAGAACAAACCAAAAGTCCTATCCAGTCACTGCAGCTGGCTCAAGTTTAGAAATCTGGTCATATAATGTAGTCTGCACATTATGTTCTGACTTGGGTTTCTTGGTCCTGAGACCTAGGAACTGATAAAAGAAAGTATCTCCTCACTCCAAACCCAATAGACAATGGTGGAAGAGGAATAAGTTAAACAGTGTAAACCCTCCATTCAAAAATGGGAAAAATAGCAGGCACCATTAGGCATAGTCTGCAAGCATTTTGGAAATCCACTGTGCAGTAGTTGTAAAAGTGAAGGATCCTGATGCCTGGGAGGAGGTCCTTCTCTTACTATTTCCTGGAATCCCTGCATGGCATGTACTCTCTGGAAGGTACTTCTTTTCCATTATCCTCTTTGGCCATATCTGAAGTATGTGTGACGGAATATGCCTTACTTGGGGGCTTCAGTGAAGGCTTTTCTTCCTACTTCCTGCTTAAAGCAAGTTGGTAGCCCAAGTGTAATTTTAAGTCTTGAACAGTACTAGTTTTTGTTTGTTTGGTTGGTTGGTTGGTTTTTTTTTTAATTCCAGGTTTGTTGTTCCTTTTGCAGTACAACCCTCTCTGAAACTCACTGGGCTTCTTATCTGTTTGATTACAGTGAGTCCTATGTGCCAATTACCCTGCCTGCAGGTTTTTTTTAGAGATGTTATTCTCAGATCTGCTGTATTGCTTTGCTTTCTCTCCGCATACTTCACTCTCTAGACTCAGTGAGAGCTACATTGGGACTATCTGACTTCTGCAGAAAGGTTGTTTTCATTCTGATCTCTACCCTGAGTCATTTTATCCAGTTGAAATGTTTTGGGGTAATAACCCCTAATTTGATATTTGCCCTGAGACATCATAGTGAGCTCAACAATTGTAACAATAGGCATGAAGGCTATACCTTTAATCATATCTTTGATACTGATTAAATTTTAATGGGCCTCTGTCATTCAAAGTCTTCCTCAGCTATATTTCTTACTGTTTAGGGCCTTTAGTAGTTAGCTTTTCCAAAATTGCAAGGCCTCAAATTTTTGGACTCTCTGAATTCCATTTCATTTCTCTTTGCAAACTGACATTACTTTTTGATTAAAGGTCTTTCCTTAATACCCTGTTAAAAGTAGTCAACATACTCTACTAATATTCTATTTTCCATTATCTTCTCCTAGAACTTAAACACATGAGATATGTGATCTGTCTCCCACTTTATCAAAGACAACATTTAACCAAATGTTTTTGTACTGCATAACATAGATTGCTAGCTCTTCAGCTTCCAGTATCAATTTTCTCATAATCTGCCTGCTAAGTCAATGCCACAGAGTTTAGGTTTTTGTAACAGCAGCGCTCTACTCCTGATACCAATTTCTGGACTAGTCTAGATAGGCTTTGTTATGCTGTGATGGCAAATTAACCCTGAAATATCAATGGCTTTATATGAAAAGTGTTTATTTCTCACTTCTAAGGCATATCTAAGACAGATCAGCAAAGGGTCTCTCTTCCATCTAGTTACTCAGAGACCTAGGCTAACAGAAGAGCCACATCTAGATCCTCACTGGTCACCAAAGCAGATGTAGAGAGAGTACCTGGAGAGTTGACATCTTCTCTGCTTTGGCCCAGAAATAATAGATGTTATTTCCACTCAGTTTATTGGCAAAATTAGTTACATGGCCCTGCCTAATTTCAAGATGCCTAGTAACTATAGGGGATCATATGAAATATTTGGTGAGCATTGCAGTCTCTTCTACAGAGAAAACTCTTAAAGTATATGCAGTTATGAAAAGTCTATGTAAATTAACGGCTGTATGTATTTGCTAAGGCTGTAGTTCCAGAGCTATTAGAAATCCTGAGCTTTGTAGTCTTGGAAGACTAGACCAGATAAACAAAACTAATTCTTCTTTCAATGGGTTAATAATGTATTTATCAAACACATTAAGGAATGATATGGACAAAAATTTTAAAGTAAGTTCAAGAAAGAGATGTATTGAAAGCAATAGCTATATATATAGCAAGTGGACTATAGAAAACAAGTGGTATCCTTGAAGTGTATCCTTGAGCTTTGGAAAGATAATCATGTGAATACCATGCTCTTTAACAGGGAGACACTTGGGACATTTATTAGACTGAATGATGGGCTTGAGAGAACACTTGTCTGACCTGGTATTGCACTTTTTGTGTTTCAGGAGAAATGATTTATACCTATAGTGTATCCATATTTGAAGTCTAGTGTGGTTCTGCTTTAGTTGGCAGTCTATGAATAATATCCTTTTTTAAACTATCAAAATTTACATTACGTACCTCTTTCCAGACATGTGGAATGGGATTCTACTATTACTAGGGAATGGATTATGATGAATACATCTTCTCATGTACAAAATAGAAGGATTTAAAATATAACTTTGAATGTCAATTAATAGGATTATTAAAAATAGATTTGTTTGGTCCTTCTATGTCATGTGTTAATTAGAGGCTAAGTCCTTGAAAAGTTAATAGATCAAAATTAATACAGAGTAAGTATTGGACAAAGTCACTGTAATAATAATGCTATTCATTGAGTTATCACATAAAGACTTTTACGTGTGTTATCTCATTTATTTCTCATAATAATCCAGTGAGGCAGTAAAATTATTATCCCCACTTTAAAGATGTCAAAACTGATAGCAGTAGGTTCAGCAGCTGACCCAGTGTCACACAAAAAGTAGCAGGACTGGTATTCAAACCCAAGCAGTCTGACTCCAGAAGACCACATTCTTAATTCCAACTGTATACTAGTATCCTTCCGTTTGATAGAAGGTTGTGTTTTTATTAGATCATCAAATTGAACCATCTCAAGAGTGTATTTGTGTTGTTAGAGTGTAACTCAGTAGTTATCATGTCATAATCAACTGAGGGGAATTCTTCAAGCTACATAGATCTTTTTCCTGCTCTTCTCCCTTGCATCACAGTCAGTCATTCATTCTCACATGTTTACCTGGGTGAATATATAACTAAAAAAGAACTTTCATGTAATTTTAATACACCATCCCACCCACCACTTCTTTTTGAGAACCACTGCTCTTGGTTATATTGGTAACTGTTTTTGCTGTGTAAGGAGAAAGGTGACATGTGAAAGAAATATAGGTAATTTTTTCTGAAACACATTACCATAAATTGATCCTGAGATACAATGCAGTGGTTAAAAGTAAAGGATTCATGGTCAAACAAGGTGTTAACTTGGTGTGCAGCCCTTTATTGTTGTAGTGATTTTTTTAGACTGTTTTAGACTTGATAGAGGTCTAATACCAGTTCTTACTCTAGCTGTGAAAATAAAACTCTGTTGGATTTTCCTTTCTTGTTCTCTTTGATTAGCAGGATAGATAAACTGAACACAAGTCTCACCCTAGCTCCACAACTTACTGTGTGAATTTAGGCAAATTGCCTTAGGATCCTGTGCCTTTGTTTCCTAATCTGTGAAACAGAAAAAAAGGAATATGGGCCAGGCATGGTGGCTCACACCTGTAATCCCAGCACTTTGGGAGGCCAAGGTGGATGGATCACTTGAGGTCAGGGGTTCGAAACCAGCCTGGCCAACATGGTGAACCCCATCTCTACTAAAAATACAAAAATTAGCTGGCATTGTGGTGGGTTCCTGTAATCCCAGCGACTTGGGGGGCTGGTACAGGAGAATTGCTTAAACCTGGTTGGGGGACAGAGGCTGCAGTGAGCCAAGATCGCACCACTGCACTCCACCTTGGGCAACAGAGTGAGATGCCATCTCAAACAAAACGAACAAACAAACAAAAAGGAATATGTACTTGATATGTTGCTGTGGGAACCAAATAATGCCTATTTGTAAACTGTATAGAAATGTGCCCATTTTATAGTAAACACTCAATAGATAATACATATGATGATGATGATGATGATGATGATGATGATAGAAGAGCCAGCCAGTTCCCTACCTTTATGCTCTTGTGCTCCCACCAGTGGAAATCTCCCTCTAAAGGAACAAAACAGTTGACAACTGCTAGCTCTTAGAAGCTGTAGACCTCTAAGTCAAAGTTTCATCAAGAAACTACATTTTTAAGTATCACAACAGAAGCAGTATTAGGAAAGAGATTAAAGGCACAGAATCTAGACTGAGATTACTTGGATTTGAATTCTGGTTCTGCCTTTTCTAGCTATGTAACTTTAAGCAAGTTACGTATTCTCTCAGAGAGTCGAGTTCATCTTCTGTAAAAGGGGGATGGGGAAACAATCAAAAACTTTTCTCATAAGGCTATTATTAAGTACATATTAGCATTACTAAAGTGTTTGTAAAACAATGAATACATTTGTATAAATTGATAAAGTTTTTAATTTAATATATGTTTATACATATGGATATTATGTATTAAATTATGTTTTAAATTTAAATATATTTGTCTGCCAACACATATGTTATTCCATATTAAAATATCTTTTCAATTATTTCATGGAATTCTGGACCAACAGAGGTGCAAACATTAACCTTTAGATTTGACTCTGAGCTTCCTAGAAGACCAAACAAAAAGACACTGTCATTTATATAATTTTTATTATGATAAGCTTTCCAGTATTGAATTTATTGCCACTTAATTTCTCAAACATTAAGTTAATTTCATTATCTGTAAGGAAAGCATTATTTCTACCTTCTATACCTAGAGAGTTTTTCTGAAGATCCTCTTAGATAATGAAAATGAATATGCTTTCTGTGTTGATAGAAACCCTACAAGCAAGGTATATGGGAAGAAGAAGAGAACTAGCGTTTTTTTTTTTTTTTTGCATGCCTAATATATTTAACACCTTTTGATATTAACCTCACAGCAGCCTCACTGACTAGATAACTTATCAATAAAAATACATGACTAAGGTTTTATAACAAATTGTAGTGCTGGAAAATTCAACCCAAACTTACCTCCAAAACCCAGAGAGGGCAAATAATTAAAATCCAGATGAATCACGGAGAATTAATAGAACAATGTAAACAAATTCCTAAGTTGAAATTTGTATAAGCAAATTGAAATTTATTCCTCAAAGAATTGATATAATTTATGTAAGCTATTTTTTAAGATTTAGCATAAATTACATACACATTAATAAAGCATATAAGCAGAGACATAGCAAATAAATAAGCTCTGCCTAAGAAAATTTTCATTGACCTGTGTTTTAGCCCAATTAGACTGTGAGATAATAATCTAGATATCTGATACACATATTTTTATCTAATCATGTATCATAAGCTCTTCTAGGAATAGTATCAGTATACTATTTATGGTAATTATTTCCATATACAGAAATTATTGTTCTGTATTAATTATTACATAGTAGTTTAATTGTAAGGAAAGTTGTTTTAGATACCTGGTAATTTCTGTACAATTTATATTTTTTCATTAGCAAGGGCTTATAATTTAAACTTTCTACTTTTTGTTAATTTTTTTTAGTATATAGTATATAATATTTATGTTCTTAACAAGATATTTCTACAAATTTATATTGGGTCCTCCAAAATCAATGCATTTTGAGGGTATGTTACAACTTGAATATGAAGTATAGCAAGAAATATTTTTCTCTGTGTGTCTAATGATCCACTGTGTTGCCTGTGTGAGTATAATGTTATTACAAGCATTTTTTGTAATAACATTAGTACAAATAAAAAAAGTTTCTGTTTTTTTTTTTATTTTTCCTCTAACAATTTTATATCTGTAAGGTTTTTTAAACAGATTTTGGTTCAGGATATTTACATTAAGAAATAATATTACTGAGACTTTGTTCAAATAGAGCTAATTATTGTCCATAATATAGCATAATTTAAAATAAATATGAGCTTTTGAGTAAAATTTCCCTGAGAAAAATTCCACTATGTAATATATCAATAAACTTGGGTTAATTATCTAACTTCCCTGAATCTTAGCATCCTTATCTACAAAAATTAGAATGACTGTATGTTCATTACAGAGTTGTTGGGTAAATTCAATCAGATAATTCAACCCAAATTGTGACCAAATAGTGTAATGCACATATAGTGTAATATCTGTATATTACACACTGTATGTCTAAATGGCTAGCATGTTATGATACTTAACAAATGTTAGTCTTCCTCCTCATTTTTATGTTAATTTAATTGATTTGTGGCTGTCATCACAGAATATAGTATATTCTAAAATAATGTTTCTTTTACAATAATTTTCAACATATAAGAAGTAAGTAGTTATCCACAGATAGAATTAGCAACTTGGAGTACATCAGCCATTTCCAATCATAAATCCATGGATGGGTACTGGCCTCTGACTTCATTTTCACTGTACAATTAGAAAAATAAGGATAATAAAATTTATTAAGCTAAGTTAATTTCAGTTAATTATTGTGGTCTAATTGTGTTGTGATTCAGATGTCTTCCACAAAATTATTATAACATAGTGATGTTTGAGATTTTAAAAATACCCTTTTGTAGCAAAATCAAGAAGTTAGAACTCCTCTGTCAATTATTCATCTTTATTTCTAAATTTATTTTAAATATCAACTCTGCCATGTACTACTTGTATGACTTAGGACAAGTTATTTAGCCTCTTTATGATATAATTTTATCATCTATACAATGGAGATATCAATAATGACTACCTCGTGGATTGTTAAGATAAAATTAGATAATACATGTAAGACTCACAGAGCAGTTCTGGCATATAATAAGTATTCCATAAAGAGCTAAAGCTACTGTCATCATCACTAGTCTGTGAAATCCAAAATGTGAGAATCATCCATTTAGATAATTCGTCTTATGCCAAAATTACTTTAAAAGTAGGAAAGCCTATGTTTACAGATGTTATAATACCTCAAAGTCATAGACAGTCTTTGTAGACACATGAAGTTGTTATTGAATGTGAAGGTATTTTACAAAATATACCTATTTGCTACAATAGATTGAATATTGTCATTGAATATCATCTGTATTTTTATTTGATGATTTTAAAAGGCCTATTTTTATATTAGACTAGGCTTTTGATGCTTTTGTTAAGTCCAAGAATACAATTGATGCCTATATTATATTTTGCATGTAATTTAATTATCAAAATTTTTCTTAGTTTTTAAATATTTCTTAAACTTTTTCATATACCAAATGCATAATGATGAGAGTCTCAATAGTTCTATTTCAAATAAAAATAAATAATTGCCAAATATGGAATATTATTTCTAATTTTTGTTCACTTTTGAGTTACCATACATAGAGCTCTAGAAACTTCTACAAACTTTATTTATAGAAGTTTAGGAAAATTAGAACAATGTTTATAATTTATTAATTTATTAATTATTTATCCAATAATTGAATAATATTTTTAAAATAGCTTAGCATTTTATTTGAATATGAATAGCATTTGTTCTATTTTCTCAGAAGGAAGTGCTATTTTTATCTAAATTCTGAATTATTAATGCCACACTGTAAGCAAAAAGTACATCCATGTTTGAATGGTTGAAGACGAAGCATTGCCTTTGAGAAAGAAAACAGTACAATACCGCAAATGGTTCCTTACAGCAAAAGACTCTGCTTCCTTACATAGTTCTAGAGAATTCTAGCCTCACCATTTCTTGAGCTACACCTACTTAGAAACCTTAGTCTGACCTTTTCTAAGTATGAAAGATTTGCCCTTTGTCCTTATGGGAAAATGAGAGGGTTTGGTAAGACCTGCTATTAACCTTCATTAATCTGCATTTTTAGAACACTAACAAAATCCCATTCCTAGAATGTAAAAGCTAAGTGGCAGATACTCTATCTTATTTATCTTTTCATCACTATTACTTAGTATGATGCTTGCAAGGCACATTAATAGGTGCTCAGTTAGCATTTGTAAACTGAATGGATTTCAAGTCCGCTAACCAAACCAGCACATATCAAATATGTGATTACTTTTAAGGAGTCATGTTTCAAATGGGTCATTTAATTCATGTTTCACACTCTTAGGCTTGATATCCAAGTTATCTTCCATCATTTTGCATTACATCTATTACAAAACTGATAGAAACCTTGACTGCTACATTTGGAGAAGTTAGCTAAGCACCTTATTGAGTAATAATATAAAGTTTTGTTAAACCACTTTATTTAAGGGTGACTTATATTCAAAAAACTCTGCATATTTAACGTATATACTTGATGAGTTTGGAGATAAGTATACAGCCATGGAACTATCGACAGAATCTATGCTATAAACCTATTCATTACCTCCAGAAATTTCCTTCCACCTTATTTATTTATTTATTTAGGTGATTGTGGTTTTGATTTGGATTTTCCTGATGATTAGCAATTTTGATTTGGATTATGATGTTTTACATAACAATGGAAAATCTCGTCTCAGCAAAATGTTAAGTATATAATACATTAACTATACACATTATGCTATAATTATACATATAATTGTGTTGTATAGTAGGTCTCTAGGACTTGTTCATCTTGCTTAACTGAAACTTTGTACACTTTGACTCACACTTCTCCACTTCCGTCTTCCCCCATTTCCTGGAAAATCACCATTCTACTCTCTTGCTTCTATGAGTTTGGCCATTTTAGATTTATCATATAAGTGGTGCCATGTAGCATTTGCCCTTTTGTGTCTGGCTTATTTTGCTTAGCATAATGTCCTCTGGGTACACCTGTGTTGTTGCAAATCGCAAGATTGCCCTCTTTTTTGAGGCTAAGTAATATTCCATTGTATGTATATACCACATTTTCTTTATCCGTTCAAATTTAATGGACATTTAGGTTGGACATGGACATGGTTGTTAGTATTGTAAGCAATGCTGAAATAAACATAGGAATACAGATACCTCTTTGAGATATTAATTTCATTGCCCCTTTGGAAGCAGGATTGCTCCATCAAATGATAGTTCTATTTTTAATTTTTCCCTTTTATTGATATATAATAATTTATATAGTTACAGGGTCCATGGGAGTGTTTGTTGCAGGCAAAAATTATATAATGTTCAATTCAGGGTAATTGGAGTATCAATCATCTTGAATGTTTATCATTTTTAGTGTATTGGTATTCTTTCAAGTTCTCTCTTGTACTTATTTCAAATATACATTATATTATTGAGAAGTATAGTCACCCTAGCCTGCTATCAAATATTAGATTAGAACTTATTTTATCTAACTGTATGTTTTTAACCCTAATCAGTCTCTCTTCATTCACTCCCCCGCTCCCCACTGCAACCCTTCCCAGAGTCTGGTATCTATGGTTCTATTCTCTATACCCATGAAATCAAGTCTTTTATCTTCTATAAGTGAGAACATGCAGTATTTGTCTTTCTGTGCCTGGCTTGTTTCACTTAACATAATGTCCTCCAGTTCCATCCATGTTGCTGGAAATGACATGATTTCATTCTTTGTTATAGCTGAGTAGCATTCCATTGTGTATATATATATTACATTTCCTTTACTCATTCATCCATCGATGAGCATGTAGGTTGATTCTATAGCTTTGCTATCACGAACATTGCTGGCAGTAACCATGTGAGTCCAGGTATCCCCTTGATACACTGATTTCCTTTGGATAGATACCCAGTAGTGGAATGGTTGGACTATAAGGTTGGTATACTTTAAGTTTTATGAGAAACCTCTCTACTGTTTCCACAGTGGCTGCACTAATTTACATTCCCACCAACAACATATGAGTTACCTGTTCTCTGCATCCTCACCAGAATCTGTTATTTTTGGTCTTTTTAGTAATAGCCATTCTAACTTGGGTGAGATGGTATCTGATTGTGGTTTTGATTTGGATTTTCCTGATGATTAGTGACGTTGGGGCATTTTTTTATATATACCCATTGGCCATCTTTATGTCTTCTTTTGAGAAACAACTATTCGTGTCCTTTTCTCATGTTTTAATGAGGTTTTTTTTGAAACTGTTGAGTTGTTTGAGTTCCTTATATATTCTGTATATTAGTCTCCTGTCAGTTAGTAATTTGCCAATATTTTCCCCATTCAGGGGGTGGTCTATTCACTCTGCTGATGGTTTCCTTTGCTGTGGAGAAACTTTTAAATTTAGTATTATCCCCCCTTTTTTATGATTGTGCTTTTGAGGGCTTTGCCATAAAATCTTTGCCTATACCAATGTCCTGAAGATTTTTCTCTATGTTTCTTCTAGTAGTTTTATAGTTTTGGGTCTTAATTTAAGTCATTAATGCATCTTTTGAGTTTACTTTTGTGTATGATGAGAGATAGGGGTCCGAGTTTCATTCTTCTGCATACAGTTATCTAGCTGTCCCAATACCATTTATTGAAGAGAGTATGCTTTCCCTAGTGTATGTTCTTGGTAGCTTTGTTGAGGATCAGTTGGCTGTAAATATTTCAATTTGTTTCTGGGTTCTCTACTCTGTTCTATGGGTCTATGTGTCTGTTTTTATACCAATACCATGCTGCCTTGTTTACCATAACCTTATAATATGTTTTGAAGTCAAGTACTGTGATGGCTCCAACTTGTCTGTTTCTTCTACAATTTTTTTGTGTGGTTTGTTCTTGATTTTCTAGCTCCTTGAGATGCATCATTAGATTGTTGAGATGCATTATTAGATTGTTTATTTGAAATCTTTTTGGCTTTTTTATGTAGGCATTTATTGCTAAAAACTTGCCTCTTAGCACTGCTTTGTTTTTGTGTCCCGCAAAACAAAGTATATTATGTTTTCATATGTTGTGTTTTCATTTTCATTTGCTTAAAGAAATTTTCCTCTAAGAACTGTTCTTATGTTGCTATGCCCATATTGGCAGCAGTGGGATGAGCATGCTTGATCTTGGGCCCCAGAACAGCATACACTGGCACCAGTATTAGCAGGATCAGACAGACTGATTCTTAGGCCTCTAGGTGGCTGCTTGCTTGGATGCTGGTAGTGGCAGCAGTGGACCAGGAAAGTATGTATCTCTGGGTCTTGATCAGTGTGCACTGGTGTTGATAGTGGCTGTAGTCAGAGATCACCATTCACAGCCCCAGACACAGAGCTCGCAGGCTGTCCTGCTCTCTGCAGCAACAGTTCTGTAGAGGTGGGGAAGGACCCTGCCTGTCACACACTGTCCTGGACGCTGGGGCCACACCATCAGTGGGGGCACAGTTGTCATTCATAGCCCCACACAGGTAGCCTCTGTTCATGCACCTCAGCCTCCAGTGGCAGCAGCAATGGCTGTACTTGTAACAGTGTGCAGACGGAAAGAAGGCATCCTACTCTGTACATATGAGGCCTAGCAGAGAGGTCATTTTGCTGGTGAGAGGGGATCTCACTCTCTGCTTGCAAGGCCAAGTACAGAATTTGCACTACTGCTGGAGACAGAGTCACTTCTCATAGTCCCAGACAGGGAGGTCTTGGCCTCTGAAAAGCATGTGCTTTGTTTCCTTTGTCCCACGGATGGTGCGCTGTACCATCCTTTCCCCAGGAAATAGTACTCCCTGTGGATTACAGCAGCAGTCCCCAACCTTTTTGGAACCAGGGACCAGTTTCATGGAAGACAATTTTTCTACAGATGGGGGTGGGTATTGGGGGGAGATACTTTCAGGATGAAACTGTTCCACCTCAGATCATCAGGCATTAGTTAGATTCTCATAAGGAGCACACAACCTGGATCCCTCAAAGGCACAGTTTGCAATAGGGTTCTCGCTCCTGTGAGAATCTGATGCCCCTGCTGATCTGACAAGAAGTGGGGCTCAGGTGGTAATGCTCACTCACCCACTGTTCATCTCTTGCTGTGTGGCCTGGTTTCTAACAAGCCACGGTCAGGTACCAGTCTGTGGCCCAGAGGTTGGAGACCCCTGGACCAGAGTACTGGGGACTATGCAGAATCTTTTGAACCAACCAACACTGTGCCACTTTAGTGGACACTGGGTGGACACTGAGAGATGTCAGTTGGGGCTCATGGGATGTAGAGATATGGGGGCTATGATTCCCAGGGCAAGATGCAGTCCCATGGCAACTGTGCCCTCACAAGGGTGCCCAGCTGCTGCTGCTTAGGTCTTGGCAGGGACAGGAATGAGTGACAATGTGCAAGTCCTCTTTCTGGAGCAATGTCCTCATGGACCCTGCAAATCACTCCCTATGCTAGCGTCAGGGTTTCTGTGGGCGTAAGAACTCTCCCATTGCTCAAATTGCAGCAGTCCACAGTAGGGATGTGGACTGCTGAATTACGCTTTACCTACAATACCAAGCCCCTTGGGGCTCCCAAGCCAACCTTCTCTGAGCTGGCTGCTGGGTACCTTTTCCTTCTCTGCCTCAGGTGTTTCCTGTGGCATCTCTGTTAGACATCAGTATTCTTTCCTAGATGTTCTATTCAAGGTATGATTATCTATTCATAATTTTGGTGCTTCCTTCTGGAGAAGGCAGGTGCCCAATGTCTGTAGTTAGCCATCTTGAACCAGTGTTCTTATTTTTAACCTTCAGGAACTTCCATAGTGTTTTCCATCGTGCCTGTACCAATTTACATTCCCACAAACAATGTACAAGGGTTCCATTTTCTCCACTTCCTTACCAACATTGATTATCTTTTGCTTTTTGGGTAATAAGCATCCTAACAAGTGTGAGGTGATAGCTCATTATTTTGATTTGCATTTCCCTGATGGGTACTAAAGTTGAGCACCTTTTCATATACATTTTGGCCATTTGTATACCTTCTTTGAAAAAATATCTATTCAGGCCAGGCGTGATGGCTCACGCCTGTAATTCCAGCACTTTGGGAGGCCAAGGCAGGTGGATCACCTGAGTTCAGGAATTGGAGACCAGCCTGAGGAACATGGCAAAACTCCGTCTCTACAAAAAATACAAAAATTAGCTGAGCATGGTGGTGCATGCCTGCAGTCCCAGCTATTTGGGAGGCTGAGTTGAGAGGATGGCTTGAGCCCTGGAAGCATAAGTTGCAGTGAGCTGAGATCACGCTACTGCACTCCAGCCTGGGTGACAGAGGCAGACCCTGTCTAAAAATCAATCAATCAATCAATCAATCAATCTATTCAGTTCCTTTGCTCATTTTTAAATTTTGGGTTTTTTTCTTATTTTTCATTTTTAAATTTTATTGTTTTTGCTATTAAGTTGTCGATTTTGTTTATATTTTTTGGATATTAGTCATTTACCAGGTATATAGTTTGCAAATATTTTCTCCAAAGCTATGCCTTTTTATTTTGCTGATTGTTTCCTTCGCTTTGCAGAAGCTTCTTAGTTTGGTGTAATCCCACTTGACAGTTTTAGGTTTTGTTGCCAGTGCTCTTTTGTGTCATATCCAAGAAATCATTGACAAAGCCAAATATAAAATTCTTAACTTCACCAATGAGGCAGTTTTGACTTCATGAGGTTCTGAAACTTTTTCCTAGAGTTGAATCAAATAATACAATTTAAATTCCTAATTCTTTAACAAATTAAAGAAAAACTATTTCCTCCAACTATAGTAAGGCAAAATTTTGGCTATTAAACAACTGAACTCTTTTTAATAATGTGTGAAGCTAATAGGTGCCTGATGGGACCCTATTGCTTTGAGGATCTAATTGCAGACAGAACTATTTATTCTTTGATTACTAGACTTGTAAAGCAGGAGTTCAGGAATAATGATTAGCAAACAAGATTGTGCAGGAATTTGAAGAATAAATTGACATATATCACTGAAAGCATACAAAGTTTCAGTCAGGAGCCATGAACCCAAAGCATATACTGTTCTAGGTACATTACAGGTGAAGGTCGCTGCATTACATTTAAGAGCCTACGGGCCCTTAAAAGTTTAACTTGACAACAGATGTTAGATTGTTCAAGTACTCTAAAAATAATCCCTTAATATATCTTTGTAATACAATAGCACTTGTATTCCTAAAATAATTTTATAAATTTTATAAATAATAAAATAATTTTTAAAAAATTTGAAATAAAATGAAATATAATCCTATAAGAGATTCATTGAATGTTTTTAAAACATTTTATTTATTTATTTAGAATGCATTTTAACCTACTGAAATCCAATATAAATAATATGTAGAAAATAGTTATAAAAAACAAGTTGTAGTTGTAGAAGACATTAATGTTTTAGAACAAAGTATTTCAAGCTTAGTGTTCAATGTATATGTGATGCTAAGGTCATTATCATTTGGCCACAGATATAACCTATGAGTAAAGGAGAGTCCTTGTTTTTTCATAACCTCTTCTGAATGCAACATCCCTCTTTATAATAGGCAATATTGCTTCCAAGTTGCCATATTCTTAAAAAGGCACTGAGTAAGATCATTGATCACTGATATTTGACATATTTATGTACTGAAGAGCACTTTTGTGGAAAATTCTTCCCTCAATTAATTAGATATGTTTATATGTTTATATGTAACAGAATAAAAAGGGAAGATTTCATTCAAATAAGGGCATTTCACCAGCCCTTTTATGATTATATATAGTAATAGTTTTTTACTATTTAAATGGCTGAAAGGTAACCACTTTTTTAAAAATGTTTTTTACATATATTTCTGTTTTAATATCCTATTATGGGCAGAAATGAAATGGGACTTAAATTCAGGTTGTTACCAATAGTCTAAGATTCTAAGTGCATCACTATTTCATGTACGCAAATATTGGCTGAGATTTAGCAGAGGTATTGAACCAGACAAATCTATTTATGCAGTGGCTGTTTTACATTTCTTCTATAGAGTATTGGCTTCATGCTTTTTGTTAGCTTCAGTACCTTTTGTCCAAACCAAATTACTCACAAGCTGAAATGTAAGACAATTCAAGATTAAAAACGCTATACAATCAGGCATCACTTAATGAAAAGATACCTTCTGAGAAATGCCTCATTAGACAAGTTCATCATAGTATGAACATCACAGAGTTTCCTTAAAGAAACCCAGATAGGATAGCCTACTACACAACTAGGCTATACGGTATGGCCTATTGCTCTCGGGCTACAAACCTGTGTTGTATGTTACTGTACCGAATGCTGTAAACAACTGTAACACAATAAGTATTTGTGTATCTAAATATAAAAATTAAGTAGAGCAAAAATGCAATAATGCATTATATAAGATAAAAATTGGGCACACATATATAGGGTAGCTCCATTAAATTCTCATGGGCGCCCTGCAATATATACAGTCCATCATTGACCAGAAACATAATTAAACAGCACATGGTTATCTTTGACAGGAGGGTGCTAGGCATAAGGGGCCAGAAGCCTACTGGCTTTTAATTCTCCTGTGAATGGAAAATATAATGTAAGTCAAATGACTATCCATATAGTATGAAGTCATAATACCAGATGACTATCCATATAGTAACCCATGTATAATCCCTAAATCATAGTACTTGTTCCTTATCTATGCCTCTTTCTATTTGCCATTTTCTGTTCCTAAATATAACTTTCCTATTTTTCACTTCTACTCCCACAGTCTACACAGACGCACACACACACACACACACACACACACACACTTCCCACTGTATATCAGTGTATAAAAACTAGACCTGTCTCATGATTGGTTGTGTTTACAAATATGTTCATATTTATAGTAATAAATTACTGAAAAATATGGGCATATATGAATTCAAAAAATAAAATGTTTAATATATAAAAGCATGTTCTGAATAGGTACAATTTATTATAGAAAGACTTTGGATGCTCTAACATTATGGAACTAATGTGGATAAGTTCTTTGGAAGTAAATACTAGACAAATATCTTGATTAAAGTAAAATTCAGGTAGCAATGTTAAAACTTTTCATAATGTAAACAGCTATGCAAAGCATGACTTTTGAATTTATATATAAAATACATTTTCAAAGACACAGATACTGCTATATTCATTTTGTGTATACTGAATGTTATTTCTGACATTCTTTTAGATTCTTGATAGTAAATAAATGATATTTTGGAGAGTACTAAAGCTTATTTAAACATGATTTGATGTTCAATACAACTAACAAAATTGTAGTGGAACACAATGATATTATAAAAATGAAGCTTCATTTGGGAAAGCATTTCCCCAGGTGGGAATAAGGCATTTTCTATGACTAGTCTAAATAAAAGATTCACTTTTCCTTGCTTTATTTTGGGAGGGTGGAGGATGGTAGAAATGCAATTTCAAGTGAATGAGTGCATTCTATTTTTCCTGTTTTTTTTTTTTTACAAATGTTATAAAATCACACACACACACACACACATGCACACACGCACACACACACACACACACAGAGTATCTTCATCCATTTTTATGACTCCTTAGAGATAAAAGGGGTTGAGAAACATGGTTTGGATTTAGTTAATATTTCCTAAATACCAAAGGAATACTGTTTTTCATAAAATAAGGGTGATACTTTCAAAACTGTGCTCAGAGAAAAATCAACTGACACATTTTTTAAAAGAAAAGAAAAAAAAGAAAAATTCAAAACCCTTTATTAGTTTAGAAAAGGACCGTTGTCAATACCCTGAGTTCTACCAAATTCAATTTTGGCTATTTAGTACAAATCTGAAGGAGAATTTTTTTATGCTCATCAGTCAGGTCCAAATTCAAGGAGCCATTATCAAAGTTAGGAATTTAAACAACGCTGGAATTCAATAATGTGAAAATACTACTGATTATTTTTATAGGAGTTTTATTCTGAAAAGTATGAAGTATTTATAAATAATATTTCAACATTCTTTTTTTTGAAAGATGGAAGGTGAAGTTAGTAACGGGTAAGTTATTATTTGAATCTCCTAGCATTCAGTCCAAGCTTTCAATACTTTAAACCTAATATGATGTCATTCTAAAACCCACGAGGAGTAAATGTGATTTGTATTGTATTCTACATTCAGTATGAAGTGCACATTCATGATGTTGATAACCTTATATATTAGAACTATATCATCATTTCCTATAATATAAACAAAGAAAATACTAAGGATATTAAATTGAATAAAAATAAAGAACATTTACATCTTGATGCTTAGGTAATGATAAAGATTATAAAATAATAAGAAATTCATTGACTATTCCCAGCCATTTAATAGTAACATCACAATAGTTGAAGAATGAATGCATTGGTTTGCTAAGGACAATGTCCTTCAGCTCCATCCATGTTCCTGAAAGGATACAACCTTATTCTATTTTTATGGCTGCATGGTATTCCATGGTGTATATGTACAACATTTTCTTTTTTTTTTTTTGAGATGGAGTCTTGCTCTGTCGCCCAGGCTGGAGTGCAGTGGCATGATCTTGGCTTACTGCAAGCTCCACCTCCCAGGTTCACGCCATTCTCCTGCCTCAGCCTCCTGAGTAGCTGGGACTACAGGCGCCTGCTACCACACCCGGCTAATTTTTTGTATTTTTAGTAGAGACGGGGTTTCACCATGTTAGCCAGGATGGTCTCGATCTCCTGAGCTCGTGATCCGCCTGCCTTGGCCTCCCAAAGTGCTGGGATTACAGCGGGGGAGACACCGCACCCTGTCACAACATTTTCTTTATCCAGTCTAGCATTGATGCTCATTTAGGTTGATTCCATGTCTTTGCTATTGTGAACAGTGCTGTGACAAGCATACCTGTGCATGGTCTTTATAATGGAATGATTTAATTAGCTAGGCATGGTGGCATGTGCCTATAATCCCAGCTACTCAGGAGGCTGAGGTAGAAGGATTGCTTGAGCCTGGGTGGCAGAGATTGCAGTGAGCCAAGATCGTGCCACTGCACTCCAGCCTGGTTAACAGAGAGATACCCTGTCTCAAAAATCAAAACAAAACAAAATAATAGGACAATTTATGTTCCTTTGGGTATATGCCCAGTAGTAGGATTGCTAGATCAAATTATATTTTTGCTTTTGGGTCTTTGAGGAATCTCCATACTGTCTTCCACAATGGTTGAACTATTTTACACTCCCACCAACAGTGTGTAAGCATTCCTTTTTGTCCACAACCTTGCTAGCATCTGTTATTTTTTTGACTTTCTAATAATAGCCTGTATCAGTCCATTTTCACACTGCTATAAAGAACTACTTGAGACTGGGTAATTTATGATGAAAAGAGGTTTAATTGACTCACAGTTCCACATGGCTGAGAGGCTTCAGGAAACTTATAATCATGGCAGAAGGCAAAGGGGAAGCAGGTACAGTCATCACATATCAGAGCGAGAGAGAGAGAGAGAGAGAGAGAGAGAGCGAGCGAGCTAGGGGGGAAATGCCACACTTTAAAACCATCAGATCTCATGAGAACACAGTCACTATCAGGAGAACAGCAAGGGGGAAAATCCACCCCCATGATCCAATCACCTCCCACCTGGCCTCTTCCTTGACATGTGGGGATTACAATTTGAGATAAGATTTCGGTGGGAACACAAAGCCAAACTATATGATAGCCATTCTGACTGTTGTGAGATGGTGTCTCATGATGGTTTTGATTTGCATTTCTCTGATGATCAGTGATTTTGAGCTTTTTTTCATGTAATTGTTGGCCACATGTATGTCTTTTGAAAAGTGTTCATGTCCTTTGCCCACTTTTTAGTGTGTTTTTTCCTTGTAAATTTGTTTAAAGAACCAATGTATTCTGCCATGTTAACAGAATATCACAGTTGGAATTTATACTTTACAATACAAGCATGTTTTGTATTTTTTTGAGATAGGATCTTGCTCTGTTGCTCAGGCTGGAGTGATTATGGCTCACTGCAGCCTCCACCTTCTGGGCTAAAGCAATTCTGGCACCTCAGCCTCCCGAATAGCTGGCAATACAGATACATACCACCACACCCAGCTAATTTTTGTATTTTTTGTAAAGACAAGTTTTCACCATGTTGCCCAGGCTGGTCTGAAACTCCTGAGCTCAAGTGATCCACCTGCCTTGGCCTCCCAAAGTGTTAGGATTACAGGCATGAGCCACTGTACCTGGCCTATTTTTTTAATCAATAAAAAATTTCTGTGTGTTACATATATAATTCTATTATAATTTACTTTTATTAATGTAAATGTTATGACATGTATGATATGCTATTTTGGAATCTCATTTGAGTTAGAGGTCTTTATCTTAATGCCTCTCTTAATGCTATGAAAACAAAGCATTTTTTATAACTAAGAAGACAGAGCCTCCTTTTGACCGTGTCTTTGCTACTATCCTGTACTTGGCTGTCCTTTCTGTTGTAAATTAAAATAGATGAAGGCTGTCGAGCCAAGCCAATGATGGAGGCTAATTTAATGCGATATAATTGATGAACTCTAAATTGTTCCACTTTTCCCTTTTGAAACACACTAAGTAGAGCTTAAAATGCCAGATAGAGTATTTTGATTTATGCTCTTTGTCACATTAATACTGAAAAACTCATTGTAGTGATAGAGAAATGGGAATTAACCCTTTATAGATACTTTCATAGTTTCTGTATATTTGGCTGTACAACAATCAGAGAAATGGACCCAGTTTAAATATACTACCAGAATAACCATTAAATAATAATAAGAAGAAATGTAATGAAGAGGCTACTAATTTAATGCTCATGAAACTAGTTAAATGATATGAAAACAAACAACTCTAACAGAAAAAAAATCAAATTAAGTCCAAGTAAAATACTGGATTTATATCCACATGATTTTTGTGAATTTTGCTAAATCTGATGCCCTTGAACCAGAATACATGGAGAATTTACAAATAAGGACAGGGGAAATCATGAAGGCATTTTAAGATGATGAATTTTCTTAACATGTGGCATACTGATAGAGTTCAGTTGAACATAAAGTTGCTACAGTTGTTGCTAGTGTCAAGAAGAAATGTGGGCTGGGCACGGTGGCTCAAGCCTGTAATCCCAGCACTTTGGGAGTCCGAGGCAGGCAGATCACGAGGTCAAGAGATCCAGACCATCCTGACCAACATGGTAAAACCCCGTCTCTACTAAAAATACAAAAATTATCTGGGCATGATGTCGTGGGCCTGTAGTCCCAGCTACTCGGGAGGCTGAGGCAGGAGAATCACTTGAACCTGCGAGGCAGAGGTTGCAGTGAGCTGAGATGGTACCACTGCATTCCAGCCTGGCAACAGAGCGAGACTCCATCTCAAAAAAAAAAAGAAGAAGAAATGTGAGTAGACCAAAAAAAAGAGCAGCTATCCAGAAATGGCCATTACTAGCAATATTCGTCTCAGTGCTTTTTGTATTAAGTTATTAAATTTTAGTAATATTTAAAAGTTAACAAAGTAGCCAGATAAACTAAATACACTAAAGGAAATTTCATATTTATATACACCAGCAACAAATAGTAAATATGATTTTTTTAATCTATATTAGCAACAAAAATGGCTATTTAGGAATAATTTTAACAGATGCTCAAGATTGTTATGTAGAAAATTATGAAGTCATAAAATTGTAAAGTTTTATAAAGCTTTGTTGAGAGGGATTAATGATGACTCAACCAAATGGAGAGGAATAGCTACTTTATGGATAAAAAGATCTAGTAAAGTCATCAATTCTACTGAATCTAAGAAGATTCAGTGTAGTAAAGTTATCAAATTGATCTATAGATTTAATAAAATTCCCATTGCAACATGTTTTTATAAAACATGAAAGATAGTTCTAAAATTTACATGGAAAAGCAAAGTATCAAGAATATCCAAGACACTCTTGACCAGGAAGTATAAGATTAGATGACTTGCCTTTCAAGATACTCAGTTTTGTTTTGTTTTTTAATAAAACTAGAGTAATTAAGAAATGTGATTTTTTGCGTAAGGATAGGCAATTAGATCAAGAGAACAGAATAAAGAGTTCAACAACAAACTCACATAGAATTAAAAACTTGATATGTGTCACTGCAAATTATTGGGAGTAAAATGAATAAATGAGAGCTTCACACAGAAACATAAATGGATGTTAGAAACATAAGCTGAAGTGAAAAAAGCAAGATATAAAGGACCATTCACAGTCAGAGAACATTTATTTGTTTGTTTATTTATTTATTTATCATTTATTATTTTAAATAATTGCAGCTTTTATTTTAGATTCAAGGATACATATGCAGGTTTCTTACATGGGTACATTACGTGACTGAGGTTTGGGATACCATTGACCCCGTCATCGAAGTAGTGAGCATAGTACCCCATAGTTACTTTCTCAGCCCTTTCCTCCTGCTCTCTCATCTCTAGTAGCCTCCTCTGTCTGTTGCTGTCATCATTATGTCCATGAGTGCTCAGTGTTTAACTCCCACTTTTAAATGAGACCATGTGGTATTTGGTTTTCTGTTCCTATGTTAATTTGCTTAGGATAACGGCCTTCAGCTACATCCATGTTGCTGCAAAGGACAAGATTTCATTCATTTTTATGGCTATGTAGAATTCCATGGTGTATATGTACCACATTTTCTTTATTCATCTGTCATTGATGGACACTTAAGTTGACTCAATGTCTTTACCATTGTGAATTGTACTGGAATAAAAATACAAATGTGTGTGCCTTTTTTGGTTAAATGATTTATTTCTTTTGGATATATACCCAGTAATGGGATTGCTGGGTCAAATTGTAGTTCTGTTTTAAGTTCTTTGAGAAATCTTCAAACTGCTTTCCACAGTGGCTGAGCTAATTTACACTCCCAGCAACACTGTGTAAGTGTTTCTTTTTCTCTGCAGCCTCACCAGCATCTACTGTTGTTTGACTTTTTAAAAATATGCATTCTGGCTGGTGTGAGATGGTATCTCATTGTGGTTTTGTGGTTTTGATTTCCATTTCTCTGATGGTGAGTGATATGAAGCATTTTTTCATATGTATTTTAGCCACTTATATGTCTTCTTTTGAGAAGTGTCTGTTCATGTCTTTTGCCCACTTTTTACTGGGGTTATTTGACTTTTCCTTGTTGAATTGTTTAAATTCCTTGTAGATTCTGCATATTAGACCTTTATTGGCTGCATAGCTTGTGAATATTTTCTCCCATGCTGTATGTTGTCTGTTATACTTTGTTGATAGTTTCAGGCTTTAAACCAATAACAGTAAAGAAGGACAAAGAAGGGCATTATATATTGATAAAGAGTTCAATTCAACAAAAAGACTTAACTATTCTAAATATATATGCACTCAACGTTGGAGCACCCAGAATTATAAAACAAGTCCTTCTAGACCTATGAAAATACACAGACAGCTACACAATAATAGAGGGGAAGTGCAACACCCCACTAACAGCATTAGATAGATCATCAAGGCAGAAGACTAACAAAGAATTTCTGGGCTTAAATTCTATGCTTGACCATTTGGACCTAAAAGATATCTATAGAAAACTACACCTGTTAACCACAGAATATACATTCTTCTCATCTGCACATGAAACATACTCTAAGATCAACCCCATGCTTGGTCATAAAACAAGTCTCAATAAATTTTTGAAATTGAAAATATAACAACCATACCCTCAATCCACATTGGAATAAAAGTAGAAATCAATACCAATAAGATCTCTCAAAACCACACAATTACATGGAAATTTAAAAACCTGCCCTTGAATTGACTTTTGGATAAACAACAAAATTAAGGCAGGAATCAAAAAATTATTGGAAATAAGTGAAAATATAGATACAACATACCAAAATTTCTGGGATGCAGCAAAAGCAGTATTCAGAGGAAGCTTATAGTGCTAAACACCTACCTCAAAAAATTAGAAAGATGTCAATTTAATTATCTAACATCACAGCTAGAGGAACTAGAAAAACAAAAACTAACCCCAATGCTAAAGAAGAAAAGAAATAACTGAAATCAGAGCATAGCTGAATAAAGTTGAGACACAAAAATCCATACAAAGAATCAACAAAACCAAAAGTTGGTTATTTGGAAGTATAAATAAGATTGATAGACTGCTAGGTAGATTAGCAAACAAACTGAAGAAGATCCAAATAACCAAAATCAGAAATATCAAAGATGATATTACAGCCAATCCTGCGAAAATATAAAAGTTCTTCAGAGAATATTATGAGCACTTCTGTGCACACAAATTATAAAATCTAGAGAAAATTGATAAATTTCTAGAAACACACAATTTCCCCAAGATTGTATCAGGAAGAAATGAAATCCTGAACAGACCAATATTGAGTTCTAAAACTGAATCAGTAGTAAAAACCTACCAACCAAAAAAATCCCTGGGCCAGATTGATTCACAGCTGAATTCTACTAGACATACAAAGGAGAGCTGGTATTCATTCTACTGAAACTATTCCAAAAAATACAGCAGGAGAGACTCTTCCCTAAGCATTCTATGAAGCCAGCATCACCCTGATACCAAAACCTGGAAAAGACACAACAAAAAAAGAAAGTTATGCAAAATTCCTCAACAAAATACTAGCAAATTGAATCCAGCAGCACGTCAAAAAGTTAATTCACCATGATTGAGTAGCTACATTCCTGGCATGTAAGGTTGGTTCAACATATGCAAATAAATAAATGTGATTCAACACATAAACAGAATGAAAAACAAAAAGTTTATGATCATCTCAATAGACACCAAAAAGTTTTCAATAAAATCCAACATCCCTTCATGATAAAAATCCTGAAAAAACTAGTCATCAAAGGAATGTACCTCAAAATAATAAGAGCCATCTTTGACAAACCCACAGCCAACATAATACTGAATGGGCAAAAGCTGGAAGCTTTTCCCTTGATAATTGGAATAAGACAAGGATGCTCACTTTCACTATTCCTATTCAACATAGTTCTGGAAGTCCTAGTCAGAGCAATCAGGCAAGGAAAAGAAAAGGCATCTAAATAGTAAAAGAATAAGTCAAATTATCTCGCTTTGCTGATGATATAATTCTATACTTAGGAAACACTAATGACTCTATACTTAGAAAACACTAAAGACTCCACCAAAATTCTCCTGGAACTAATCAACAACTTCAGCGAGGTTTTAGGATACAAAATCAATGTACACAAATCAGCAGGATTTCTATACACCAGTAACATTCAAGCTGAGAACCAAACCAAGAATACAATCTCATTTACAATAGTCACACAAAAAATAAAATACCTAGGAATCCATCTAACCAAGGAGGTGAAAGATCTCTACAAGGAGAACTACAAAACACTGCTGAAAGAAGTCATAGATGACTAATGAAAAACATTCTGTACTCATGGATTGGAAGAATCAATATCTACTGCCCAAAATAATCTACAGATTCAACACTATTCCTATCAAACTACCAAAGTCATTTTTCACAGAATTAGAAAAAGCTATTGTAGATTTCCTATGGAACCAAAAAGAAAAAAAAGCCCAAATAGGCAAGGCAATACTAAGCAAAAAGAACAAACTATAGACTTCAAACTATACTACAAGAGTACAGTAATCAAAACAGATGGTACTGGTACAAAGACAGACACATAGACCAGTGGAACAAGATAGAGATCGCAGAAGTAAAGCCACACACTTATGGCCCTGTGGTCTTTGACAGAGTCAAAAAAAATAAGCAATGAATAAATGACTCCCTATTCAATAAATGGTGCTGGCATAGCTGGCTAACCATATGCAGAAGAATGAAACTGGACCCCTACCTTTCACCATATACAAAAATTAATGCAAGATGAATTAAAGATTTAAATGTAAGACCTCAAACTATAAGAATCCTAGAAGACAACATAGGAAACACCATTCTGGACACTGACCTTGGGAAAGAATTTATAACTAAGTCTTCAAAAGCGATTGCAACAAAAACAAAAATTGACAAGTCAGATCTAATTAAACTAAAGAGCTTCTGCACAGCAAAAGAGAACATTGTTATAAATATCAAAAAGTACCAAAACTACTTATGACAGTGGTTACCTCTGGAGTGATAAGCAGGGAGATAAAATAGGGAAGTAGCACATAGGTTGATGGATGATCTAGTAACATTCTGGTTTTTAGGTTGAGTGGTGAGTTCATGGATGTTCATTATCTTATGTTTTTAATTTAATAAATGCATGTAACATGCATTAACTTAATATACAAACATATATGTAGATAATATATAAACATATAATCTTTTGTATATTTAAAAATATATTTAAAACAAACATATTAAAGAAATGAAAGAAAGAAAACCAGAATGCTCTATAAAAATAGAATAGTTTGGGGGAATTTTCTTTCCAAATATCAAAATTTACTGTGGAGCTTTCTGAAGGATAAATCCTTTATGGAACTGAATAGAAAGTCTAGATTTAGGCCTCTTATCAAATATATGGAAATTTGATCTACGGCTTGATTTTCAAGTCAGTGGGAAAATGATAGAATATTTAATTAATGATGGTGGGACAACTGACTGTGGAAAAAAATGAAATAGAATCCCAATTTGCACATGCACAAAAATGAATCCCAGATTTATTAAAGACAGTCAGTTTTCACTTAAAAGGAAGAAAATTTTTAAACTTGAAAAAGTATAGGAGAATATTTGAGACAACAGAAATGTATTCTTTTACGATTCTGGAGGCTATAAGTCTAAGATCAAAATATCAGTAGGGTTGTTTCCTTCTGAGAGCTGTGTGTGCCTCTTCCTAGCTTCTGGTGGGTTGCTGGCAATATTTGACATTTCTTGACTTGTAAGTGCATCCCTTTGATCTTTGCCTTCTTCATATGGCATTCTCCCTATGTCTCTGTCTCTCTACATTGAATTGTCTTTATAAGGAAACTGGTCATCTTGAATTAGGGGGCCCACCCCATTTTATTGTGACATATTAACTAATTACATCTGCAATGGCCCTATTTCCAAATAAGGCCCCACTCTGACATACGAGGGTTTAGGACTTTAACATTACCTTTTTGGGGAGACATATTTTCAACCCATGTAATTGTTATTTTTAAATTGTATATATGAGTTATATGTACTATTTTCAGGATACATTTAATAATTTTATTTTTAGGAAAAATATTAAGCAGAATAAATATGAACAATAACTATTTTGTTCCTTAAACTAAAATTTTTAAGCTAAAAAATGAAAGCTAACACACCTAGGTTCGCCATCCCTATAGAATACTTTTTGTGATATGGGGTATACGGTCTTGCCTACCTGTCTAGCTTCATTCCCACCACATTTTCTTATATTCTAAAGAAAGCAAAATATTGACTGTTCTATGCTATTTTATAGAAATATTGGTGTCTTTCCATTTCCTATTATAGTCTTTCTGCTTATTATATCCTCATCTTTCTTCTTCTATCTCTTTCTCCTCCTTTCTTCTTCCATAACCCTCTTCTCTTTCTCTTTCTTCTCCTAGTTAACTCCTTCTTCTCCTTCACGTTTCATGTGGAAGCCTTCCCGGCCCCACTCTCCAGTCACTCTCATATGAGACAGCCCTCCTCTTTTGCTTCCATGGCTGCATGTGGATTTCTCTTTCATTGCTTATTTGATTTATGTGTACTGAAGACAGAGAATCTCAATGCCTAGGATGATCCCCGAAATCTGATCTGTACTCAGTAAATGTTAATTGAACCAAACCAATGATGTTAAATATCTCATTTATGTTTCATCTATACCTATGACCTTGGCCATCAGATTGCCTGCTTCCTCTGGATCCTGAGAACTAAAA
The DNA here is from genome assembly GCF_000001405.40 of Homo sapiens. Taxonomy (NCBI): domain Eukaryota; kingdom Metazoa; phylum Chordata; class Mammalia; order Primates; family Hominidae; genus Homo; species Homo sapiens. The sequence continues at coordinate 115,705,240 of NC_000010.11, forward strand.
ATACTGTCTGTATGCTTCTATTTTTCAAGCACAAGTACACATTATAGTGATTCAAATACTAATGGATATTTTAGCATTACATCTAGAAATTTTCTTCACTTCCCAGAAAATAAGATTGGTTAAAATAATAGAGGTATTGATTTTAAAAAGCAGGGAATATGCTGTATATTTATTACTTCTCAGACCAGTGATATTTCTTCATTTTTTTATACTTAGTGAATTTTATCTCAAGCCTCATTTTACTCTAAATCTGTTCTCTACTACAGGATAGCTCCTTGCTTTGGTTAATATTTAACTTTTTAAAATATATCACATTACCTTGGTGAGTAAAATATGCATGTACTATAAGATTACCATCACTATAAAATTATGCAGGTACTATAAGATTATTGTCTTTTACTGTAAGATTACTGCACTATAGATTACTGTAAGATCACTGTCATAATAAAATATGCATGTCCTATAAGATTACTGTCTCCCAAAGATTTCAGATTTGTAGAGTAAAATGCTTTCACTATTCTTTTCCTTTGAATTACCAGGTCAGACCACAGGGATTATGCAGAAAGTAGTTTATTTTTGTGCGTTGTGTTTGGTTTCTTTCTAAACAATCTAAACAACTTTTTCTAGGCTTAAAAAATTAGTTTGTGTGCTAATGCATTACTTATTGACAGACATGGTCATATTTAGTATCTAATTAGTGGACAGAGTTAATTTTTTCACACTTCTTACATTTTCTTATATCATCCCAGCCTCAGGCCGTCTTCCACTTAGCTGTCATATTAGTTCCCTGTGGCTAGTACAACACAATTACTGTAAACTCAATGACTTAAAACAAGTTATTCCCTTGCAGTTCTGAAGATCAGAAGTCTGAAATTAGTCCTACCCTGCTGAAATCAAGGTCTCTGTAGCCAAGCCCCTGCTAGAGGCTGTAGGGGAGAATCCATGTTCTTGCCTTTTTTAGTTTCTAAAACTGCATTTCTTGCATTCCTTGGCTCCTGGCCCTTGTCAAAACCAGTACTATCACATCTTACTTTAGTGGTCACATTAGCTTGACTTCTTCTCTAGTTAAATCTCCCTATACTTCTGTTATAAGAGCACTATGATTACAGTTAGGGCCCCTCAGGATGATCCAGGAAAAAATCCCCATCTTAAGACTTAATTTAATCACATCTGCAAAGTCTCTTTTGCCATATAAGGAAACTTGCACAGATTCTAGAGATTAGGACCTGGAGATTTTTTGGGGGTGGGCATTATTCAGCCCACCACAGCTACTATCTGACCAAATCACATAGTGCACTTTTATCTGCCACAGCTTTAATTTCCCCCATGAATTTATTTAATACCAATGTTGTCTTCCATTTTTACACCCATTTCAAAACTCTGAAATAGAAATAGGTTAAGTGCAGACATCCGACTTGTATCACACTGACCACCAGATGGCAAACTTTGTCATTATATTTTTAGGCCTAATCTGAATTAATTTGACAGCCTGAGTAGTTAAATATGCCAATTTAAAGTCATGTATAGTGCCATGCAGTTTAGATCAACTGAAGTTTTATCACACTAGATCATTTTTTATGAGAACAGCTACACATAATCAGATATTAATTTGAGCTACTTTAATGGCTTCTGAAAAAGATTACTTCCTTATCTAGCTAACGTCAACAACTAAGCATGCTTCTATTTCACAGAAAATTCTTCCAATGCAGTCTCTCTTAGTTTTTGAGTAATTTCTTACAAATTCTAAATTTAATTGATATGATTAATTATTAATCTCAATTTTAATTACTTATATACAGGATTTTTCCTAGAACTTGTTTCATTAATGAATTCAACTCAGGCAGGTACTAATCCGTGTCGCTTTTATCCTGTAGTATCACATAATATATAATAAAAATAATGGCTACAAATAAGGCAGCTTTCTAAAATAGCAAAAATTATTATTGTTCTACTGTTTTCCAAAATCATTGCACTCTTATCGTATCAGTCTAAACAATTCAGAGACATCAAAATAACAGCTAATATTCTTCTTCTTTCCCTCTTACAGAAACTTTTATAGAAAAGTTCAGAAAATGTATATTTAAGTAAGTTAAAATTCATGTTCTAAAGATAACACTTTTTGTATTTCCCAGGCATAAAGATATAGGTATAGATGTGGATATCAATGATATGGAAATATAATTGGGATGATTCGTACAGTGAGTTTTTTCTTCTTTTGAACCTCATTCACAATATCATATTAAGTTTATTGGCCCTCCCCTATTCCATCTCCCCGTATCCCCCAAGCCAAAGTAAACATTATTCCAAATCTTATTTGTATTTTAAATATATGTGTGATTATATATGTATGTGCATTTACCTATACATATATATACACATTAATTTATTCTGATTTTTCATATAAAGTTATATTCTTAACATTTTCCAATGTTATTAAGATTCCTTGAAAAATTTTTAATGGTCATATGATATTTTACCTTTTTGGTATTCCAGTTTAACCAAATAGACCAAATTGTCTCCAATTTTTCACTATGATAAATGACACTTTCATAGAAACTTATAAATCTTGCTTATATCTCTCATTATGTATTTCATTAATATAGAATCTTAGCGGTGGAATTACTAGGTCAGAGGATATGTGGACTTTTGATGTTTTTGATATCTGTTGGCAAATAGCTTTCCAGAAGGGCCAAACCAGTGGCATTCTCTTAATACTCTTGCCAAAGTGCTTCATTAATTTAATTTTTGCCAATTAGGTAAAAATATTCCTTGATGTGCTCCTGTTTACTAATTTATGACTCCCTTTCAAGTTATTTAAATTATATATAATGAAATTTATATAAAATAATCATTATCCAGCTTACTGCACTAATATTGAAAAGGAACATAAACATTTGAGATGATGAATATAATTTATAAAGGTGGAAGGGATTACAGAATGGAATTCAGAGTCCTCTTTATCTTTTAGAGTAGGGTTCTCTGGCTTCTTACTTCACATAGATCAGTGTTGTCAATACTGTAATAGAAAGAAAATGAGAATAAAAGTAACACTATTAACTAGAATTTTTTGTGTCTTTAGCTTTTAGTAAGTCCCATAATTGCTTTGTAACTTCTTTTCCCTGAGAAAATTGGAGCCTGAACTCTCAGGGTTCTTATGAAGATACAATCACTTTAAAAAGTGTGATCTTCCTAAGGGGAATTATTGTTTTAACAAAATCTATATACGTTGATAATTTTAAAATATTTGAAAATTTATAAACTCTTTCTTCCTTTTTAATACTGTTTGTTAGAAATGGCTAAGATCTTTGTATAGGAAGGGGACATAATTTCAAGTGACATTATATTTGCTCTTCCTCTTTTGTTTGCACTAGAGAAAGCCTTGCCATATCTGATACATCATTGTCTGAAGGTATGCTTGCGTCATTTCCAATTAAATGTTTTAAGTCAGCAGTATACAGTAAATTATCATAAATGTTATTGTAAGTTCAAGCTGAAATGTTAGCAAGAAAATTGCTAAAGGATATCATTTAAGCTCTTACTGGTTCTGTGTATTTGCTAATGTCTGTGGTGTATATTACTTTGACGAGCCTACAGTGACTTCTAACTTGAATTAAAATACAGTTTTGGTTAATTTTGTTAAGGTCAAGACAAGATTTAAATTAGAATATAATTTGCTTAGTTATCTCACTTTTTTTGAAGCAAGTAAGCAATGAATTGGGAAAATAAATTATGATTGTTTACTTAAGATTCTCAGAAAGGGAACACACATGCTTCGTTGACAACAGTGGCATCAGTAGACTGAATAATAATTTATGCTATATTCATTACTTTTTTATTCCTGATGGAAAGAAGAGCTGGTTAAAAGGTAGCAGAGACCAGTTAAATGTTCAGGTCTATTTTAATAATATTTATACAAATTCATTGACTTTATAATAATTTGCATATTTATTTGAATTTTGACCTACTTGGCCTTAGAATTGTCAGTGAATATAAGGCAGTTTCTGAAGAAAGCCCGAAACACTCACTACAATGCTAGAATTCAATCGGTATTTGTTGGCATGTCACACATTCAGATACCTTGCATGTCTAATTATTATATACTGAAATATATGTAATGAAGAGCAAATATAGTGAACAAAATATATATTGGGTGAGCAAAGTTTATGTCAAGTAAATGATTGACACAAATGTAGTTCTGCTTTTTTGGAATTCTGGTATCACAAACTTATTCCAATATATCTGAAGAGTAAAATCTTGTTCCTGTGGTTACTGTAACTAAAAGGGAATGGAAAAGGCAGGGCAGGAAAAGATTTATGGGATTCAGAGATGAGAAAATGTGAGAGATTTGAAGAAAAAGAAGGTAGAAAAGAAGAGCAATGTATAGACTTTGACAAATGAGAAGAAATAATGAACAGGAATTTATAGTATAAAGAAGAAGGATAAAAGGGTACATTTAGTCTCACAAAACTAGAATTGTACAATAAAAGAATTATTCTAACCCAAATTATTTAATTATCACAATGTTGTTATTCAAATCCTGCACATCCTTTGTCTCACAGACATCTGAAGGCCTTTAGTACCAGTCCAGTCCATGACAATGTCTTTTCCTAAAATCTCATCACTTGTTTATGCTACTTACTTGACAACTGATTGAACACTTGTAATTCTGAGTTGTTCTGTGATTAAAATCTGCTATTATAAGTTAACATTTTATGCTTTAAATCTCAATTTTCTAAGTAGAATACAAATCTGGAAGACAAGCACTCTGTCCTATTTCTTGATAGTTTCTGTAGTTTTAGCAAAGCATCTTGCATTGTAGAGGGATCTCAATTCTTTAATGACTGAGTGTAATATATAGCATTTTTCACCAAAAAGAGTCATTTATCCTATAGTAAAAAAAAAACAATAAAATAACACTGAAAGCATGCAGAGACTTGGGTGAAATTTAGAAGCTTTGGAACATGTATTTCATCAGTAAGTTATTTACTTTGTTTATGTGATAGTCCTGACATGGAAAATCAGTGTAAGCCAAGATAGTATTGACAGAAAGAGCATAATAAATAGAAAAGGGGTACATGAATCAGATTATTTACATTTTGAAGATGGTGGCTGCAATGAGTACTGCACTTGAATTAATCCAAAAGATCTCCCTTGAGCTGAAAGTGTGTGTAGTCATAATTGCGTGACCTGTGACACATTGTCTTTGTCCCACTGGCAGGTTACAAAATTGGCACTGAATCAAGATAGAGTAATTATAGGAAAGTAGAAACTGTCTGGATATTCCACTGAAAGCTGAAGATGTGATCCATTCTTGATTTGCTTTGCTAATAGCTTTAACTTTGAGAAGACAGAGAGAATAGTAAGATAAACAACCAACAGGTGGGGGATGTAGGAGTCCTGGGAGAGAGAAAATTATCATGCCATTTGAGAGTATATAATATAAGGAAAAGAGAATAGAGAAGTGAAGCATTTACATACCCCCAGGTTTTGGCAAAATGTATTCCAAAATGTTTACAGGAAAGCTATTTTGATTCTGTGGCAAGAGAGCTAAAATAAAATACCCTAATAAATCATTCATTCATTTATTCAGTTTAAGTAATGGTATTAGAAAGGGTAAAGCTATAAGTGAGTTAAGCCTTCAAAATGAACTTTTTTTCTTTTTTTGTTAGGATAACCTGACTGATACAGCAAGGTTATGCTGCAGATATGATATATCTTAACTTTGTAATGGCATTTATGAATATCTGGTGTTCTTTTGAAGTTGACAGAAAAATGGACACTGGGTAATAGCATAGCTATTGTTGGTGGTTTCTGAGAGGGGCCAATAATTAGCACTCTTTTCTTTCTCTGGGTTCTAAACAAATAGGAACTAACAGTTAATTTGAAAATACTGGTCAATATATCATTTTTATTATTGATAAAAGTCATGCTGCAGGACATAACTTTGGGTCCATAAACCAAATTATTTTGCTAATTCTGAACTCAAGAATTAGGCAGATTTTGTCACCTGCCATGGATAATACATTAAGGTATGCTGCCTCCTGTGGGTAGGCTTCCCAGATAAGAAGTTATGAGAGACAGGATCCAAACCAAACTCACATCATCTGCAGGCAGACTTGCTTCTAAAAGGAAGAGAGGCAGATTCATCTGTAGAATTAATCACTTCACCTCCTTGGAACACAATGAGTAAGAGCAGGAGAGAAGCTAGGAGAGTATCTATGGAAAATTCCTCCTCATCAAAATTAGGAATGGCAAAAGCTTTTCCCCTCTAACTTTGCCTTGCATCTGTTCTCTTAGGCCACTGAGTTTAACCATAAAGCCTGTGGTCAACTATGTGAGGGAGGAGATCAGCAGTTTATTTGGGCAGGAGGCGAATTCTAATGTCAGCTGCTTTGGGCATTATCCTGAGATCCATGGTGGTCAGTTTTGATTCTACACTGAGAAGATTCTGAAATGGGTTGGAACAGGACATATATCAAATCAGCTTCAATGACACTCTGTATCTGAAGCTGGAAATTTACCGCCAACTTATTTCTTATCTTAAATTATATATAACTCTATGGCCATATTAAATAACTCTAATACTAGAATGTGTAAAGATACATCAGTAATAAAATTCCAAAAACATAGAAATGCCCTAATTAAATAAAATCTCCTCACTTTATCAACTTCCCAAGGAACAATCATTAAAGTTTAAAAGATTATATTTCTTGGCAAGTTAAAACCATAAGTAAAGTCTAAAATTATTTTGCCTTTGTGAGTTAAAAATTCTTCAAATAAATTCCAAAACCATTCTTCAGTATTTCTTATTAAAATATTAAACATTCTTCAATATTAGTCTCAGCCATAAGCACTCACCATTCACAGGAAGAGTTGGGATTGTCTGTTTCTCACCAGAATGCCTAGAGCTCCTTCAGTGTCAACACTGCTATATTAGTTCAATGCCAAGCCTTCTGTGGGCCTGATTTTAAATAACTCAAATTATTAATAATACATGGAAAATTTTCAGAGCACTGGCCACACAGTGACCAAATTTAGAAAGCAGACCAATTCCTACCCTTTAAATGAGTTATCTCAGGCAAAATGATATGCCTAAACCTAATTCTTAGTGTGGCCAAACACCATACCAGAGACTCAGTGGTATCTAAGGAAAGAAGGGTAGATTGTAAACCCTGATTTTAATCTTGACATGATACTATTGGTCTATAAAAGTTGTCCAGAATTCTTGAGCTATGGGTTTAAATCCCAGTGGGAGAAATCCCTAAGCAAATGGTTGATTTTGGTATTATGCATACTTACCTCTTAGAGAAACATTGCTGCCTTCTTGCAAGATTTAGAAATTTGTGGCTGGGCGGAGTGGCTCATGCCTGTAATCCTAGCACTTTGGGAGGCCAAGGCAGGTGGATCACTTGAGGTCAGGAGTTCGAGACCAGCCTGGCCAACATGGTGCAAACACTGTCTCTACTAAAAGTACACAGATTAGCCAGGCGTGGTGATGTGCGCCTGTAATCCCAGCTACTCAGGAGGCTGAGGCACGATGATCGCTTGAACCCAGGAGACGGAGGTTGCAGTGAGCCAAGATTGTGCCACTTAACTCCAGGCTGGGCGACAGAGTAAGACAATGTTTCAAAAAAAAAAAAGAAAAAAAAATTAGAAATTTTTAATCATATCAACCCAGTCCCGAGCACATCTTATTCATGCCTTCTCCTCCAAGACAGTATTTTTAAAACTTTAGTTTCCATTTATCCCAACCCTAAATTGAGAGTGACTGTGTTTGGTGAATAGCACCCATGCTTTTGTGACTAACTAGAGGCATTTCAATCTTATTTTGCTGTGGCTGTTGCCACTGTATGTCTCTATGACTTTACTTCCCAGGAAGTATTTGTCTCTCCTCTGTCATTAGCCAATTCAGAGACAATCTAAGACCACATGGTAGAGAGTGACCTTGAGCTTGTGTTCAAACTAAACGATTGTAAGTTTCATCCATAGGTCCTATCTTAGTCCTAAATTAATTTTTAAATTCAACAAATATTTATTGAACATCTTCTATCTACCAGATACTTTCTAGATGCTGAGATTAACATACATAAAAATCCAAGTACTATCAGTAGAGACAAACTTTAAATAAACAAGCAAAATATGTAGCATATTAGATGATAGAGAATAATGCGGAGAAAAACAAAACAAGGAAGAGGGAAAGTGGCTGTGTGTGTGTGTGTGTGTGTGTTTGTGTGTGTGTCTGTGTGAAGATGATTGACATTTTAATTGAGGTGGTCAGGGAAGAAGTAGAAAATGAAATTTTAGGTAAAGGAACTAGTGTTGGCTACTTAAGCCTAACACTAACCATTTAAAGCTCATGCACATTCTGTTTATATATATACACACACACACACACATATACACAGTAACCATTTAAAACTCATTCAGGTTCTGTTTTCTATCTATCTATCTATCTATCTATCTATCATCTATCTATCTATCTATCTATCTATCTATCTATCTATCTATCTATAGTCTCTCCATAAGAGATTGAATGAGCCAAGAAAGCTGTCTAGTCATCAGTTGCTGAAGGACTGGCTAAGACAGAAATACACAGATACGTTTCTCAGTTGCCCCAAGTTTGGGACTCACTCCTCATATATGTGTACAAAGTACAAAAATTAAAATTCAAGTTCCGTAAATTTAGAACTTGACTTCTTTGTAGTTTACTATGTTTGGTAACAGCAAATATTCTGCTCAATAATTTCCAAAGCCTTTTTTTCCATGTGATTAAGTCATTGCCTCAGCAAAGCTTAGAAATAGTTGCATTTGCATAGTAAATGGCATATTAAGGCCTTGGCCCTAGTTGAAGCCCAGTGATCTTCATTTTTGTTTTCTGGATTGCCCCATCACTTGTTCTATCCTTAAGGAAATGGAGTGGCTTATTTGATTTCTAAATTTAAGTGAAATAAACAGCATCAGTTATAAAGATGATGTTGTAGGACCTTTTCCTTAGTTCAGCTAAAAATGGGGTCCTTATCACATGACCATGAAAGGTTAGGCTCACAGATACATTGAAGGGTGGGAAAAATTGAATTTATTGGGTGAAAAGAAAAAAAAAAACTCAGCAAAGTGAGAGAATTTCCTGTTAACAGGCCCCCATCTCACCAATTGACTCCCAGGTACCACCCTAGAACAGGAGAGGCCACGTTCCTCCCGCTGCAAACAGCACGAACTTTCTGAGGCTCCACCCAGTGTGCATTCCTCCCATTGCACAGGCCTGTCAAAGGTTCTGCCAGGCGGCCCATTTTACTTGGCTATCTCAATGATATTATGTTCTTTATCTTCACTTTTTACTTTTTAACTTGTTCAGAATCCCAAGCGGATGAGAAGGGTCTACTTAATAATAGAAACCTTATCAGAGACCCCAACAGTTCAATAGATTCATTATTGATTGCTATGTAAGTGTCCATTTCTAGAGAAAGGGTAATGAAGCATGTATTTCTTTTCTCTGATCCACTTAAAATTTTCATCAACCAAGAAATAAATGGCCTGATTATCAAATTTAGATATTTATGGGAAAATTCATGGAAAGGAAATATATTAGAATAAAGAGAATTTGTAGATTAAGTGTGAAATATATAGAATATATTTGGTGAAAGTTAAAATGCTTTTGGTAAAGGGAAGAAAATCATAGGGTTAGATATGTCTTCTTAGCAGGAATATATCATAAGCCAATACATTCAAGAAAATTTACCAGTTGGTTGGTGAAGCAGACAAAACACAGGAAGACGCTGCAAAGTTTTTGGGAGCATCATTAGACCAAGAGAGGTTGAATGAGCCAAGAAATCTGTCTGGTCATCAGCTGCAGAGGGGCTGACTAAGTAAGAAATACACAGATGCCTTTCTCAGTTGCCCCAAGTTTGGAACCCACTCCTTATAAAAATATATACAAAGTACAGAAATTAGAATTCAATAACATATGGTCCAAAAAGTTGTATTCCAGAGCAAGGGCTAAGGAGGGTCAAGTTTTGGGTAAGTTTTGCAGTGGACAAAGGATGGTTTCACAAAGTTTGAAAATAAGGGAAAACATGCCTAGTCTGCTAGCTAGGGAACTTCTTGGGTATCATATACCTCTTGCCACCCAGAGTAGACATAATAAACTGAATGTTTCTAAATCCATATACCTTATCTGTCCTATCTTTTGATATACGACATGGAGGGAACCCTGGAATATGAAAAAGCAATACTCATTCTTGTGGTGGCTTTTATGATTTTTATTGAATTACTAGCAAGTATGGCAACTCACTATCTTGATTCTCTTTGCCCCCAAAGGGCATTGACCTGTTCAGGGGATGGAATCGGGGTCAACATGAAAGAAAACATGCAGAGAGACAACTAACACATTGGAAGTTTAAAGGTTCAAAGAGAATTCTGCACTCAATAAAAAAACAGGTTAAAAATAATCACAACAGTAAAACATGAAAAATGTATAATAAATACCAATGTGAAGTTCCGAATTTAGTTTCAAAAATTTACTCATAGACATGCTAAGTAAAGAAGACTTGTCTTGATCAAAGTTCACGTCAAGGTATTCAAGGGTCCTAGATGACCATCTGTCAGGAAAGTCACAGCACTTCTGAGCCTGCTTTAATAGGAACATTGGACTTAGTAACCTCCAGTATTCCTTCCAAATCTGGGAATGAGTTACTCCAATGAGCCTGTGACTTTCTCACCTTCTGATTTTTGTGGTTTAACACATTGTTCCAAGTACATAAGAAAGCCGATTTATATCAGTCATGAGTAATCTATGCTACATCAAACTGCCCTTCACATTTAAAAAATTCAAACAATTGAAATTCATTTTTTTTAAAAAACATCATGTCTCCTTTCACAAAATCTTAAAAGCAAGTCAGATTGCCTATTCATTTATCACACCAGTTAGTCAATGATTATTATAGGTATCTTCCAATGGAGACTTAAAAAAATTATATTTAGCAGATGTCTTCACAAAGGAGCATTTTACTGGAGAACCATTTTTTAGCATTTTGCAATATTGAACTGAAAATGACTCCATTAGCTAATAGCAAAATAATCCCATTTTCCTCAAAGGAAAAAAATATCTTTAATATATGTATTGATTAAAAGGAAAATGCCAGTGTGTGGGTCATTTACGTATCCAGGAAGATTTAAGAACCTCTTGAAGAACTTCAAAATTATAGTCATAAACTACTTAAATGTTCAACACGAACTCCTTATACACTAAATGAAAAAGCTAACTGGATTATGTTGCATTTAGAATTTTTTAACCTAGAAGCTAGCATGTTGTGGCTCAGAATTGAATCATTAGCTTTGCATTAATTCCCAGAATCAGGGAGAAAAGAAATCTTTCTTCAGTAAATTACTTCTTGGGGTTGGGGGAACTACTGAGAGATTGATCTGAGCTTTGTTGCAGCAAGAGCCTCAAGTCATAAATTATTGGCACACAAGCAGAAGTCAGTGTGTCATTTCTATTGTAGTCAGATGCTTTTATATTTCCACTCGTCAAGGTTGACTTGATCATATTGTACACCTCCTGGATGTCCGAGACATAGCATTCATTTGTCCCTCTCTTTGAGAGCAGGACAGGTATTTCTTTCACAACTTAAACCTCTAAGTTTAAGAAATATACTCCATAGTATGACTGTGGGGGTATTCTATGTGTGAAAAATTTTTTCGAGTGCAGATTTCAAAATTTGAAATTAACCAGGTTCTCATTTTTGCTCTTTGAGGAGTAATATGTATTAAAATCCATTCTGAGGATCTAGCTTTTAAATGACCTTTTCAGTACTCATCCTTTTGCTCATTTTGATTTGCTCAGATAAATTACAACCACCTGGCCTTTTGTATTAAAAAAGGTTACATACAAAATTGACCTTTTGATACTTATTGAGGGAACTAGGTTCATTGTATTTGAGATTAACTGCTGTTGCTGTTTTCTGAATGATGTCTTAAATAACTTTACTTGAGGATGGTAAAGCCTATTTCTTGTGCCATTTTGTTCCAGGCTAATTCTAACACCATAGGAATGGACTGTCTGAGATATACAAAGAAAATTATGTTTTAGAAAATAATGAATCTAATTTATTCAGCTCCTGTGTGCCTAATGATTTACAGATGTGATTTCAATGTATCTTAATCTTGATAAACCCAATATTATACTTTGGCCAGTCTGCCCTTCACCATATTGCTTATTAAGATTCTAGCTTCTTTCTGTCTGTTTCTTGAATATTTTAAGCTCAGGCTTGCCTCAAAACTTGGTGCTTGATTTTCCCGCTGCCTGAAATGTTCTTTTTTTTTTTTTTTTTTTTTGAGATGGAGTCTCGCTCTGTCACCTGGGCTAGAGTGCAGTGGTGCAATCTCAGCACACTGCAATCTCCACATCCCGGGTTAAAGCGATTGTCCTCCCTCAGCCTCCTGAGTAGCTGGGACTACAGGCGTGTGCCACTACGCCCAGCTAATTTTTGTATTTTTAGTAGAGACAGGATTTCACCATGTCAGTTGGCCAGTATGGTCTCCATCTCTTGACCTCGTGATCCACCCACCTCAGCCTCCCAAAGTGCTGGGATTACAGGCGTGAGCCACCTCACCCGGCCTGAAATGTTCTTTTCTAGCTTCCTTTGTTCCATTCACCTAATATTCTATTTGCCACCCTACATTTTCTGGCTTCTGTGTAATTAGGTTGGACTGTGTGACTATTTCTGATAATGAGTTGTATCACTTGTGGGCTGAAGCACTGAAAAGTCCGTACACGATTCACTAGTCCTTTTTCTGCCATGATTCTTCGGGAAGTTTTGGGTTGAGATGGAAAGTGACAAGATTGAAACAATCTATATGGCTGATTTCCCAAATGGGAAGTTACCTAGACCAGAGGATTTTGTGTGTGCAAAAAATAAACTTTTCTGTGTTCAACTACTGAGCTTTTGGGAATGTGTGCCTATTCTGATTAACTATTCAGGGTTTCAGGGCAAATGTCATTTCTCTTCTGTAACCATTCTATCTAAAGCACTTTCCCTCTGCACTGTATCTTTCCTCTGAGCATTTTGTTTCCCATAGCAATTTTTTTCCATAATACTTTTATGTATTTGTTTATGTAAGTCAACGTCGAACAAACAAGACTTCTGTGTGCTGTTAATTATGATTCTTAAGTGCCCAGAGTATTTTTAAAGTTGTCAATAAGCATTCATTTTTCAACATTTTGTTTTAATGTCAACAAGTACAAAAAGCAAGATAAAATACTATCTTGCAAAGGTCCATTGAATTTCCTGTTGGTCACCAGAAAAGATAGCCTGTATCAAGCCATAGCACAGTTTTTAAGACTCTCCTAGATAAATCCATTTTGCATTATTTCTTTTATCCTGAAATGAGATCATCTTTGGCAAAGTCTTTATAGGTAATGCTATCTGTATCAACACAGAAAAGATTTAGAGTCCGTATTTTCATTTTAAAATTTCCCGAAGAGTCACCTTCAAAAATTCTGCAATATTTTTGCATATATGGAGGTGTTCGTCCACTAACGAATAGCTTTGTTGCTTTTAACTCCAGGCTACATAAGTACTTCCTCCAATAGCAGACTATACTATCTGCCAGCTGCCTGCTTCCAGTTTTCTGGCACATGGTTCAGAAGAGTCTCTGGTATTTTTTTTGCTGGCATGGAGAAGCTTGCTGAATAGAATCAAAAGAGTCACCCCATACATCAGTTACTAGAAAAAGGGCATGCAGTAGGAGCTCAGTAAAAATTCATTCAATTAATTATTACAGGCAAATTTATTCACCATGGAAATCTTGATATGAGCAAACTATCACATTTTTCTACAAATAGGCTTTTATTTTTTAAAAACGATGAAAGAAAAAAACAAAATTTTTCCTAGAATTTTAGTCTAAGCTATTCAGGATCATCCTTTGGAATTTGAAGTAAAGAACTTCATAATTTGCTTCCAGTCCTTAATGGAGTTTCTTGACAAGGCATTAAGACTTTACAGAAAAATATTTTCTTATTGCTAATGCATGAAGACATGTGCCACATGAAGTACAGAACTTCATTTCTCATTAAGGAACAAAATGAGATATGTGATCAAGTAGAAGATAAAAACAAGTATACACAGGTATATCATCTGCATAATCAAAGTTTTGCATGGAATATTCATCTTCAGTGTTATGAAGACTTAAGTGATTTTCTTTTGAAAAAGTGTTCACAAGTTGGAATTCTTTGTTAATGAGAAGTCAGCAAGCACACAGTTGACAAAAACCAGGGATTGTCTATGCTGGATCATGTTAGTGTTTCACTTAGACTAAAAAGAAATGATGAAATTCTAATCCTTTCCTAATTTACTTCAAAATACTCAGTGTTAGCAAACATTAGAAATTTCTGGAATGGATGTGATAATTAGATAGGGATATTATTTTACTTTTCTTTGTTTGCTCCATACTGCAAATTAGCATGATCATCCCCCCGCCACCAAAAAATGATTTTACCAAGGTCTATCCAGAGATACAAAGCTTAACTGATTTGATTAACAACTTTGTGATATGCTTCAAGACACAGCTTTTGTGTTGAGAAAAATTCAAATTTTGGTAAAATTCTATCCACCCCCCCACACACTCTTTTTTTTTTTTTTTTTGAGATGGAGTCTTGCTTTTTTGCCCCAGGCTGGAGTGCAGTGGTGGTCTTGGCTCACTGTATCCTCTGCCTCTCAGATTCAAGCCATTCTCCTACTTCAACCTCCTGAGTAGCTGGGATTACAGGTGTGCGCCACCAGGCCTGGATATATTTTTTGTATTTTTTAGTAGAGACAGAGTTTCGTCATGTTGGCTAGGCTGGCCTTGAACGCCTGACCTCAGGTGATCTGCCCGCCTTGGCCTCCCAAAGTGCTGGGATTATAGGTGTGAGCCACTGCGTCTGGCCCCTATCCCTTTTAAATTAAATTTATTTTCATGAAGACTTACAAATGGACAGATGTCAGGCAACCCTTCCATTTTCTTGACTTCAAAATTTAATTACAAAGAATCGCCCCTGTAAGAAGTACTGTTTTGTCTCCCATGATGTTTAAGTAGGAATGGATAGCATGGATATGTAAAGATAAGGAAGATTTGCTAATGAAGATTATTCATTTTCTCTGACATTTCCTAAATTAACCTAAACAATGACAGCCCATGCTTAAAAGGACCATACTTGTAAAAGTAAGGTATATTTTATTTAATTCCTGTCAGTAGAAACCTTTTAAAAATACCTTATTACAAGGAAATGATGGTGATGCTATCAGGTCATGTAGTTTGTACCACCCTGCTCTTGTTAATATTGACAATTTCCAGAGTTCCATGAGACTGATTTTACATTGAAGTTATGATCTACAATCAGTATGTAAGGCTGATATCTTTAAGAAACAAGATCATTCAGTATAGAGTATAGGTGGCATTGCATATACACCAAAGTTTACAGAAAAAAACAAAGTTTGAGAACCAGTGAGCTACATGAAGAAAACAAATAAATGAAATGTTTCCAATTAAATGTCTGAGCTTTGAACTAATTCTGCCTTGAAGATCATTTTCAAATTCTTATCTAGCAAATAGGAATGTGTCAGTAATTCTAAAGTAGTTTTGCTGGCTTTTAGAATTTGTTCCCTTTTGTTTTAAGCATTAATATGAGTTGATTGATTTATTTCTTGAAATAACTTAAGGAAGTAGAGTTACATTTTGGTTCAGGATGAGGGGCTGTTAGCTTCTGAAGACAGCAGTAAGTTAATGATTGAATCCACTGAAATTGCAGGGAAATAATTAAAGTATCATCTATTAGTGCCAGGTTCATAGACTTTTCCAGTCCTCATCTATTTGCCCTTTAGAGGTCTGTGATCTGCAGTTTGAGGAATCTCTGGCCTAGAGGTTCTGTGAGGTTCC
This sequence comes from Homo sapiens, assembly GCF_000001405.40. NCBI lineage: Eukaryota > Metazoa > Chordata > Mammalia > Primates > Hominidae > Homo > Homo sapiens. Next base: position 115,721,152 of record NC_000010.11, read on the forward strand.
TGCCAGGTCTAAAAATCTGTGGAGATTGTGTCTTGGTCATATGAATTATATAATCAGTGTTATCCAGGTGACAACAAGACCCTCATTTGTTGACATAATTTAATCCGTTATTTTGACCTTTTGGTTTAATTTTACTTTGAGTGATAACGTATTTACTTTGATACGCATAGTCATGCTTATACTTTCTACATACATTGACATGCATATGTACTATATATGCATTGGTATATACATATATATAAGCTTATTGTATTAGTCCCTTTTCACACTACTGATAAAGACATACTTGAGACTGGGAAGAAAAAGAGGTTTAATTGGACTTACAATTCCATATGGCTGGGGAGGCCTCAGAATCATGGTGGGGGGCCAAAGCACTTCTTACATGGCAGCGTTAAGAGAAAATGAAGAAGAATCAGAAGCAGAAACCCCTGGTAAACCCATCAGTTCTCATGAGACTTATTCACTATCATGAGAATAACACGGGAAAGACCAGCCCCCATGATTCAGTTCCTCCCACTCGGTCCCTCCCACAACACGAGAGATTTCTGGGAGATACAATTCAAGTTGAGATTTGGGTGGGGACACAGTCAAACCATATCACTTATATATGCTATTAACATTTTAGAGGATATTTTGAAATCTATATTTTAATCAAAGATCCAGAAACATTTTCCGTTTTTCCTTTGTCTTTCCTCTGTCTGGTAGCAGACCTGATGACAGTGAAAGGTAGGTTTAGGTTTTGGCACATTACTGCCCAAATAGCAACCCCAAATAACTGAACAACCTACCTGGAAAATCTGCTGTGGCTATTTGACAATATTTTGCTTTTGAATAATGAAGAAAAAATAACTAATCTTAAGGTTTTATGGAATCTCGCATTATTAAAGGCCTTCTGGACAGTCACTCAAGTTTACTTTGCAAGTTAATACAAATATTGCAAAAATACCATTTGACAAAGAAATTTCAAAAATCATTGGAAATGAATATTATCAGCCAACTCAGTGAATACTTGTCAGTGTTAGACAGGTAGAATTTTTTTTTTATTTTTAAGTTAACACATTATGTCAAACACAGCATATTGCCGGCAGGTCAAAGATTATAAAAGCCTAGAAAAAAAAATAACAACTGTAACCTGAATAAAGATGTTTTTCCAAACCACTCCCATAATGACTAACATCACTATCTAGGAAAATTAACCTCACACTGGAAGACTGAAAGCAGAAGATTTCCAATATTTTTCTGAACAAGAATTTGAACCTTGTGCCTTGAAGATTTAGTTATATAAAATGGTAGAAAACCATGCTTTCCTAATTTAATGATACTAAAAGTTCTTGCCACTTCTCTTCTTTACACCATCCTAACATCAAAAGAACAAAAAATGATTTTTTACTTGTATTACTGTATGCTAAGTATGTTTGTGTTAATAACAGAAAGCCTCTTATTTCATGAATTGTTGCATAATCTTTTCTTCAGAGGCTTTATTTTAGTTTGTAGCTCAAAACTAATGACAAAATCATTTTGAGTGCTCTTTTTATACCTTTCCAAATTGTTTTGAATATAATTGCTGTTAGAAATATTAATGCATTGTGATGACTTTATGGCAGTTTTTTTCTATGATCTTTGCAGTATTGCCATAAGCTAGATGATGAGGAACAATATGAAATCTGATATTGATTTGCAAGACAGGTCCACAAAACATCCCCATTCTAAAAAAATAAATGTCTACCTACTTTCAAGGAGAAGACATAAATTCTAGAACATCAAAGGACATATAAGAGTTTTAAAAGTTTATGCATAATTAGAGTCAGTTTTATCATAACTTGCCTTTACCCACATTTGGATGAAACAGATTCTTATACTATATTTTATTCACTCATTCATTGTTCATTCATAAAACACTGTTGACTATCAACTAAGTATTGTGGGGAATGAAAAACAAAAATAGGCTTTTGCCTTAAAGAAGATCCCAGAAAAGCATGGAGACATAAAGAGATGGTGCCATATTAATATCACAAATAATTCATAGAAGAGGTGATCATTTCAAAGTTGAGGTGAGGTAGAAGGACATTTGAAGGTGGAGGAGAGAATAGATAGGGAACCTATGCAAAAGAGTCATGTAGTAGGAGGTATGAAGACAATTGCAGGCAGAGTTAGTCACTGCTTTGTTTTTTATGTATGTGTATTTTTAAGGAGTATTATCCTAAAGTCATTCAAAGAGTTGTATGCCTTGTGGTGTTTGGAAAGGTAGCTAGTATCAAGTTTGGGGAATGATACCGTATTTGAAGTAATAGTATTAAGTTGAAGAATTATCTGTATTCATATTTGATAGAATCACTGACTCTACCTGGTTGTCAAATTTAAGCGTAGATATTCTTTTCTTTTGTATTTATTTATTTATTTATTTATTTATTTTTGAGACGGAGTTTCGCTCTTGTTACCCAGGCTGGAGTGCAATGACGCAATCTCAGCTCACTGCAACCTCCACCTCCCGGGTTCAAGTGATTCTCGTGTCTCAGCCTCCTGAGTAGCTGGGATTACAGGCATGTGCCACCATGCCTGGCTAATTTATTTTTATTTTTATTTTTTAGCAGAGACAGGATTTCACCATGTTGGTCAGGCTGGTCTTGAACTCCTGACCTCAGGTGATCCACCTGCCTCGGCCTCCCAAAGTGCTTACAGGCGTGAGCCGCTGAGCCTGGCCTGATTTTCATATCATTTTTAATTCCATGGTTTGTTTTATAAGAGATTTTGAATAGCAAAACAGTTATTATGTACAACAAATAAGATAGTAACATCTCTTTAATTTTTAAATTTTCTTCACAACAATGTTTATGGCAGTATGATTATAATCTATTGTATTATGATCAATTTGTTCTTTTGGCTTTATTGTTCTGCTGAATAATTGGCAATAGCAGATTAGTTATAAAACAGACACATCTGCTATATGGCTTCTTATGGGTATACAAAATGTTAAGCTTCATTTTATATAAAACACAATCCTGGAAAATCTATTAATTTTCAAATTTTCTTAAGAAAATACGATACAGTTTTTCCTAATTTTCAGGATGAGTTTTTATCATTCTTAGTCACAAATGGTGGAAGGCAGTTCCAAATCTAAATTCATTTTACCACAATAATGACAGTTTCCAACTGTCTCATAAATTTGCAAAACATTTGTTAAAAGGGAGACTAGTAGAGCAAAATGTGTCACTGTTGCTGAAGAAAATGGGCCTGTGGTAATTAGTGTGCCGTCTTCTGAGACAAAAATAGTGCTTGAAATTTAACATTATAATTGTACCAATTAGCAGTTATTGAGTGCTCACAATGTGCCAGCCTCTGTGTGGAACAGCCCAAGTGTGTTATCTCTTTAGTCTCAACCTTATGACTTAAAGATACTATTGCTATTCCCATTTTATGGAGAGAAAGAATGAGTGAAAGGTCTCAGTAATTAGATTATGATCCAATTGCTGGTAAGTTCAACAGCTGGGATTTAAAACAGGTCCTCTAAGGTATAGGCGTAGTGTAGGTACTGTTATTATTTATAGATGAAAAAAATTGAGGCTTAGAGAGGTCTAAATAATTTGGTTAAGCTCAAACAGCTAAAAAGTGGAGAAACTGGTATTTAAAAGTAGGACAATTGTTAAGAATTAGGGGAGGAGGGCAGAAATTAGTTGCAAAGATAATCACGATTTACTCCATTTGATTATTTTAGGGCTATCACACTAAAGCAAGAGTGCTACGAGGGAAAATGATGTTCTCTTCCTAAATTTCACAGTAAGAACATTTGCATTAGTCTCCCAAAGGCAGAAACTCAGCTGTTTCAGCAAGGACTCTCTAACTAGTCTTCTACTAGGTGACACAGAATAAATTTATTTGTCTAATTCTTTATTTGTAACTTTACTGACACACTATATTGTGCCCTAATTATTTCCATTTTACCAGATTTGCTTTACAAACTATAGTAGTAAAGTCCTGGGCAAGAAGAATATTTTTCTTGTTCTTTACATAAAGTAATTTAGTAGGCATTCAGTTCTTAAAAACTGATAGAAACACAAAGCTCAGGAAACAAACTAGAATTTTTAAATATACTTTCGCATTCTACAAATTTAAAAATTGAACAAAAGTATCAGTCACTGATTTTTTTATGAGTTTTTGGGAGTCACAATAATAGATTACAGTCCATGGAACTCTATTTTTTGTCAACGATTGTGAGTTTGGAATATTTGTTGATTTATATTACAATATGTGATATTGAGTATTCATTAATTCTATTTTGTAGACCTTATACTTTTAGATATAAGGAAAAGGCAAGATGAGGAAAAAGAAGCTGTTCATTTTGTCTAGCAATCACTTGTCATATGAGATGCCGTTTATATGCTGAGGAGAACAAATACAAATGGAGATAATTGATAATACAAATCTTAGAAAATTGTGTTCAAACACAAAGTGGAATTTACAATTTTCTCAAGACTTTTTGTACATGAGTATAGGAAGGGTAGATTGTATATTTGTGTGTGTTGTCTGGGCATGTTGGTGTGTGTGTTTTTACCAAAGACGAAGAACCTGGTGTCTTCTGCATTTACTATCCTTAGCATTTGAGATAACATTATGTTTGCATTTTGCATAGACATACTATTCAGATCAATTTCCCATTCCTATTGAGAGAGGCATAAACCAGATTCTATTTGCCAGGAGCTGTATTTTTAATAATATAATTTTGAAGTTATATTAAAGTGAATAATTTGATAATTCAGATCACATTCACTTTTTACTTTGAATATGTATTTTTAAAATGAATTTGTTACTTCAAAAAAATGTGATCTACAAACTTAAATTGTTACTTATTAACAGTTGCATTATTTCTATCCCATATTGTCATGTGAATGTTCTCTTTTTAATAATAAAAACCAGGTATTAAAACAAACATTTTAAATAATAAACTGTCATGGCAGTTTATTATTTAAACTTCTGCTTAAATAAATAAACTTGTGTTTAAATAATTTGGCCTGTGTTCCTTTATCATCTACAAGGGAATTTTATGAATCTTCACTCACAGGACTACATCCATTTACATTCAAAGACTAGTAGTTAACATTTTAAGTAAATGACAGAGAATCTTTAAAAATATCTGTGAATAATGAAGCCATTCATTGTGTTCAAGGATTTTGCCTTTCTTCAATAATACAATTTTCTTCTCATTTTAAAGAGTATTTAATTGCATCACACGTCCTATTTTAATATTTAATAATAATTTTATTAGCTGTATAGAATGAGAAGGGCAAGAATTGCAATATCTAGTGCTGGTCATCAATTTTTTTATCATGACTTAATGAATATCATAATTACAAGGAGAGGCAAAAAGATAAATTAGCTTAGTAGTTGGTTGGGACTTGCTAGTTTATTGGTTTTAGCCTGGGCACAGCCCAGAATAGTCACAAAGAGAAAGAAACAAGTATCTGGGGGTGCTGTAGAAGTCCTTGCACACAATTTCTGCACCTTACTAATCATGCCTCATTTTGAATGATAAACAGAGGCTTTGAACAAAATTATAAACACTGCCAATAATAATTCCTTCTGGTTCCATAGCAGTTCACAGGGGATTCTGATGACTTACAAAACTTAGTCTTGGCAGGTATATGTTCCTTTAATTTCTATTAATGCATTTTGACAACTTTTCATTATCTTTTCTTAAATATTTTTACTGTTTTTTTTTTTTCTTTTTCAGCTAAGACAAAAATCTGAGTTATTTTGAGTAGGAAAATTTGGCATAGCCATCACTGTAATAACACTTTTTACTCAAGTAGCACCTCTCACCCGAGGCTTTCAGAGTGCTTTTGAGTACATTGTATTAGGCCTGCAGGATGGAGGTCAGGGGAAAAGTTATTTGTAGGCACCGTACATTTAAAGCTTCTGTGGACATACAGCCAAGGCCACGGGGAGAAAGTAATTTTCATCTTTAGTATTCTAGATATGGATATCTGTATAAAATGATTCCTAACTTTTCAATGCCATTTGTTAAAAGAGGGAACCAGATATTGTTGAATTTCATGTGCTTTTAAACCTATTTTAAGATAAATCATTTTTAACCCCCTCCAGCAACTGCTTCGAGAACGACAGCAGATGGCCAGCCGTCCCTTTGCTTCTGTTGATGTAGCTCTGGAAGTGGGAGCTGAACAAACAGAGTTTCTGCGAGGGCCATTAGAGGTAGGAACAGCGGTGCTGAAAGAGGACCACTGTGCTTTGCATATTTATTATATTGCTTCTCTAATCTACATCTGCTTATGAAGCCAAACAGAGTCTGATTATCTACAGTTGACAAGATTCAGCTACATATGTTATGCCATTTTCAAGGCACATAGTTTTAATAGTATGACATGAGCTGTAACCAAAGCCACTGGAGAATCTATTAGCCTAGGCAGGAGTGACAGACTGCTCACCTGGCAGCCTTTCTCTGACAGAGGAGCTGAGGGAATTTAAGATATAGGTATGATCGAAGAAACAAAGCGCCTATATTTAGTCTTTGGAGTACTCTGTGCACCAAGTTAACAATTCACATCTATCTTTATTAACAAAGTTTACTTAGAAAAGGTACGAGTGGAGATGAGTTGCATTTTAATTACATAGCTTCATTTTTGAATGTTGAAAAGTGAATGTTTCTCACATATAAAATGAATATTTTTATTTGTGGTTAATTGCTGTATTATTACATTCCTTTATTGCAAAGGCAGAAATAGAGTATGATGAAACAGAAATCATTATATGCAACTAAATATGGTATTAGAATCCAAAAGTAATACATGAAGTGGTTTCTGAAAATAATAATCCCTAAAGATGCAAAATTCGGCCGGGCGCGGTGGCTCACACCTGCAATCCCAGCACTTTGGGAGGCCAAGGTGGGCAGATCACGAGGTCAGGAGATCGCGACCATCCTGGCTAACATGGTGAAACCCCGTCTCTACTAAAAAAAAAAAAAAAAGAAAAAAAAAAAAAAAAATTAGCCGGGCGTGGTGGCAGGCACCTGTGGTCCCAGCTGCTCAGGAGACTGAGGCAGAAGAATGGCGTGAACCCGGGAGGCGGAGCTTGCAGTGAGCCGAGATCCTGCCACTGCACTCCAGCCTGGGCGACAGACAGAGTGGGACTCCGCCTCAAAAAAAAAAAAAAAAAAAAAAAAAGGATGCAAAATTCACAAATTATGATTAATGACTATTCAAAGCATTATGATGCATACTAATTTAATTGTATGTTTATTACTTTTATTTACTTTTATATGTGGTAAGATATATTTAAGTAGAAAGGTTAAGAAACTCTAGAATTGAAACATTTTATTCTCTTTTTTAAAAATGTCTTTATTTGACTAATTTTATGTTGCCATTTTCAGATTTTACTTTTTGTCAAGGAAAATAAAGAATGGAAAAATAGAATCATTCAAAAACCTAGGTATACATATAATAGATTCTGTCTGTAGCATTTTTGTTTTTTCTGAAAAAATAAGACAAAATCACAACTCATGGATGCTACTCAAAGGGTCAGTTTTTAGAGGAAATGAAATATTGGGTGCATGTTTCCCTATGATTTTTAAGACATTTTGTGTACTTGATTTTTTACTACTCTAGATCACAGGTTACCATGGAAGCTTAGAACATCAGGAAATTTGTGTGTATATCTTCTATTTGTTGGGGAAAAAATAACAAAAAAGAATGATTAAATGAAAGTTACAGCAAGTGCTCTAATTTCATTTTGGTTCCTTGTTTCAAATAACTTTTATAAAAAACTTTCACACACAGAAAACTTAGACTATTTTTGGACTATTATAAATTCTTTTTATCCCCATCTGTTTAAAACATTCTTAAATACTGCTAAAAATCGAGTAACAAGAGAAAAAAAATGTAAGTAATGCACACATAGACTAAAGAAGAAAAGAAATAAAGAACTAGAAAATTCACAAACTCAAGGAACAAATATGACACAGACATATGTCACCATAGTTTGTCAGTTGCACGTTAATAGTGTTCAATAATGTATTGTTAGGTACCCATGTGTTCATAATCATCATATCTTCATGTTCTATTTTTTCCAAATGTTGGTTCTTTCTTTATCATTGTGAATTTTTAACCTTAAATTGTATTTTGTAGAGTTAAAAAATGTCTAGCCCTACTTTCTTTTAGTCCATATTTTCTGATATTCCTTATTTCATTTGCAATTTCGCTATATCCTTTTGTTTTACAACTATACTTTCTGGAAAAAACTGTTAGCTTTTTTATTTTTTCATTTACTCTGTTTTTTATTGATGTTAACACTGACATTAACTACTGTTCTACCAAGGCTTATTTCAGCTACCCCATTTTGTGTGTGTGTGTGTGTGTGTGTGTGTGTGTGTGTGTGTGTTGTTACTAGCCTTGCTTCTTTTTGTTTTTTTTTCCCAGCTTCTGTCCATAAACTGATTTTCATCTACTAAACAGAATATTGCATATTCTATTTTTATGTTGCTTATAGCTACCCTTTCCTTATCAAGATTCATAGTGATTTTTCCCTAGCTATGCTTTAATCTTATTAAAACATATTCCTCCATTGCCCATCTCAAATAAAATTAATACTTTAGCATGCTCTCAACTTCCCTCTGTTTCTCCTTCCATATGTTAATACCACCTGGAATTTTTATCAAAACGTTATGGATGTACTTCTTTCTTTATTATGGCCTATGTAAAGAACAATGAACTTTATTTGTTCTCCTTTACTTTTGATATCTAGTTGTTTGCTCATGCATTTCTTTTATTTTTCACTAAGATTACCTCTCTAAAAGATTTTTTTCAAAGAGAAACTTTGGGTCCAGCATGGTGGCTCACTCCTGTAATCCCAGCACTTTGGGAGGCCGAGGTGGGTAGATCATTTGAGGTTAGGAGTTCAAGACCTGTCTGGCCAATATGGTGAAACGCCATCTCTACTGAAAATACAAAAATTAGCTGGGCATGGTGGTGCACGCCTGTAATCCCAGTTACTCTGGAATATGAGGCAGGAGAATTGCTTGAACCCAGGAGATGGAAGTTGCAGTGAGCCAAGATTGCACCACTGCACTCCAGCCTGGGCAACAGAGTAGGACTCCTCAAAAAAAAAAAAAAAAAAAAAAAAAAAAAGAGAGAGAGAGAGAAACTTTGTATGGCATTATCTTTGAGAACCTAAATGCCTACCAATATGTTTTTCTCACATGTACAAAACAGTTTAATTGAATATGAAATTTTAGGTTCAAAGTTCTCTTCTCCACAGCTTTAACCATTGTCTCAAGTCTGATGTCAATTTGATTTTTTGTCCTTTGTAAATGATCTCCATTTTCTTTTTGGAATTTTTCAGTATTTTCTCCTTTCTCAGTGTTCATACATTTTTCTCCAATGTGTCCATATGTGTGTGTATGTGTATATATACATATGTTTCTTATTTCTTCCCAAGTAATAAAAGATACACGTAAATTTACGTATTTGCTAGATCGGCAGTTGAGGCGGGAAGAAGTGAATGTTTAGGGTTATCTAGCCATCTGCTTTTATAGCTATGGGATTTCTTCCCTGAGATGAGCCCTATAATTACCCTGTCATCAGTGTATTAGTCAGGGTTCTATAGAGGGACAGAACTAATAGGAGATATATAGTTGTGTATATGTATATATTCTATATATATAGGAGTTTATTAAGTATTACCTTACATGATTACAAGGTCCCACAATAGGCCATCTGCAGGCTGAGGAGCAAGGAGAGCCAGTCCAAGTCCCAAAACTGAAGAACTTGGAGTCCAGTGTTCGAGGGCAGGAAGCATCCAGCATGGGAGAAAGATGGACTAGGCCAGTCTAGTCTTTTCGTGTTTTTTTCTGCCTGCTTTATATTCTAGTCTCGCTGGCAGATGATTGGATGGTGCCCACCCAGAATAAGGGTGGGCCTGCCTTTCCCAGCCCACTGACTCAAATGTTAATCTTCTTTGGCACATCGTCGCAGACACACCCAGGATCCATACATTGCATCCTTCAATGCAATCAAGTTGACACTCAGTATTAACCGTCACAATCAGTCTCCAGCCTTAGGCTGGCACTTGACTGGTTCTGCTGCTTTCCTGCCCCACAGCAGGTGGGATCGGTACCAATCTATCCAGGACAATGTGGACTGTGGCCCATATTATCTCCATGTTTAAAATCAGGAGAGGGAACAAATGACTCATTCTGATTTGCTATTTTGTTGTCTGTGGGGTCATTTTTGCAAGTACTTGGTATAACATAAAGCATTATATTAATTGTTGCAATTCTTACTATTTTTATTTTTCACTCAGTTCTCTTAATAACTAGCATGCCTCTATTTCTTTTGTATGACTTTTTGCAGAAAAATAATTACATGTAAATTCTCGTTTAGGAAAGGCCTTTATATTTGGGGATCAAGATCTAGTTATTAATGTATGGTATTTTTATGGAAATAGCTTTATTGAAATATAGAACATATACCAATAGTTATTATATTTATATTTAATATATATAATGTTCTAATATTTAATATATATAATGCACTGATTTTTGGTATATATACAGTTATGTAACCACCACCAAAGTCAATTTTGGATCCTGTCATCACCCCGAAAGAAACCCTATGCCTTTCAGCAGTCTCCCTACCCCACATTTTTCTTCAGCCCCTGCCCCCCCACCCCACACCCATCTCCTAGCCCTGGGCAACGATTAATCTACCATCTTTACAGATTTTACTGTTTTGGACATTTCATACAAATAAAACTATATACAGTGTGATCTTTTGTGATTAGCTTCTTTCGCTTAGCATAATGTCTTTAAAGTTGATACGTGTTGTAGCGCCTGTTAGTGCTTCATTCATTTCTATTGTCAAATGATATTCCATTGTATGGATGTGGCACAGTTTGTTTGTACATTAATTAGTTGATGGTTATTTGAGTTGTTTTCACCTTTTGGATACTATGAATGATGCCACTGTGAACATTTGTGTAAAAAAAATTGTATAAACATGTTTACATTTTTTTGGGTATATGCCTAAGGGTGGAATTGCTGGATTATATCGTAACTTTTTACCGCTTGTTGAAAAGTACTTTCTTTCTCCATTGAATAGTCTAGGGACCCTTGTTGAAAATCAATTTACCATAACCATGAGGATTTATTTCTGGAATCTCAATATTATTCTACCAATCTATTTATCTATTCTTATGACAGTACCACACTATCTTGATGACTCTACCTTTGTAGCAAGTTTTGGAATCTAAAAGTGTGAGTCATCCAACTTTGTTCTTTTTAAAGACTGTTTTAAAGATTGAATTTCAACTTCCTAGGTCTTGGGAATGATCAAAATGTTTAAATTGAGGTTAAAACATTATTTTTCAAAATTCCTTTACATACACTATCTCAATCTCATTTGAGTCTTAAGTCAATCCTATAAAATAAGCAGAACATATTTCATCTTTTTTTTCTATTTACTATTGAGGAAACTGAGGCTCTGAGAGCTTCAGACCTATGCTGAAGATCACAAATTCAGTCACCAGTAGAGCAAGAACCAGGGTTCAAATCTCATATTGGCCTAAGGGTTTCTTTCCCACATTGCTTTTTATATATGCTGATTTTCGTTCAAATTGAGAAGACATCTTAGACCTTAATATATCTATAGAATTTTTTTTGTAAGGAATAGAGTTACTTAAAGTTCATGTAGTATACTTTGATTCCAGGTGCTCAAATAGTCATAGATAATTGTGGATCTTAAGGAAGAACTTTCACTTGGAAAGTTATAGGCTGTCTTAGTATATCAGAGAATTCCAGCAGTTATCCATTGTAATCTAAATTGCTATAAAGAAATCAAAGTGACTTACTAAACTGCAATAAACTCAGCACACAAGCTTTCTTTTATTTTTATATTAGAAGTTTCTTATAAAAATAACTTTTGTAGTTTTGTTATGCTAATAAAGTAACAGTTCTGTAGAAACAAAGTAATTTAAGATTGTTTATTTGGTAATTATAGTCAAGTAGGCTAATTAATAATTTTAAAGACAGTTGTTTACAGCATGATTAATTTTTACCAGACTAATTATTTCATTAGTATTCTCTGTATATATTTTAACTACTTTATACCAGAATTTTCATTTTACAAATTTGTAATGTTTTGATTCTCTCCACCTATAAAGAAAATTATAGCTTTCGAGTACTATAAAGTGGAGTTTTCAAAAAGACACTGGACATGTAAGAAGCATACGGTAACCTAGAAAAAATTAATTTCGAATCTACTTTCTATTTGGTAGCTCTAACAGTGCTAATTTTGACATCACATTGAAGTTCATTCTCTGTTTATTGGGACAGTTCAGCCTCGTATCTTATGTAAGAAACCTCGCTCCCAAGGTGAAAAACGCATTGTTCAAGTCTAAGGCAGTCAAAGTGAAGCAGCTGTCCTATTAAGAGCATTGATGGCCTCATTCCTGGACCACATTAAGCCCAGTCCTCTGCTCTTGGGCACAGCCAGTGGTCCCCCTGGTTCCTCATTCCTGTCCTGCCATATCCATGGACAGTAGTTCCAGTGACTGGCCTAAGCAGCTTATTTAATTTTCCCCAGGTTTCCTTTTTTCTTATAGCTGATTTGTGATATTTGATATTTTTAATTATTATCATTTACTGTTAATATTCTGATTATGTAAAGAATACATCCTCATTATAGATAAATATTAATGTAAAAGATATAATACAAATTAAAATATTTCATTATCCCATTACCCATAAATATTCAGTGCCAGAACTTTTATTTCTTTCCAATAACATTTTCATTTTGCATATTTGTATTTTTACAAAATTGAGAGCATATTTTATAGTGATTTTGCATTCTGTTTTTCTCAGTATTAGAATAAGAACATTTTTCACATCTAAGTTTGATTCAAAAATACATTTTAATTATTTTGTGGTATATCATCATTTATTTGCCTATTCTGTTTTCAATTAGCATTATTCTAATTTCACACTATTATAAATAAGACTGCATTTCATTTTTGTATATAACTCGATCTTACTTTATGAAAAAAAACCTACTGAATCAAAAGTTATTAAGTTTTAGGATCTTGAGGTATATTGCTTATTTACTTTCTAGAAATGTCGCTGTTCACACTATCTTTAGCAAAGTATGAGAATTTCTATTTTCATGCATCCTTGTCAAAAATGATTGTTGGTGTTTTTGCAACTGTTAATTTGATACAATAAATGTTACCTTCTTTCTTTTAATCAAATTTTTATTGTTAGTAAAATTGAATATTTTTGTATTGTCTGTAACCATTTGTATTTTTCCTAGATGTTCATTTGTTGATCATTATTCTCTAATCCTTTTCTATTTTAATAGCATTTATTGATAGTCATCTGATTATATGAGAAATATTGTATTAATTCTAGAAAACTTAGAAATGATAGCTCATTCGATATCTTTCTTCATCTTTCTATTGGAACATTCCTTGCCTTTTTACTTCTAGATCAAATATATTAAGCATTTGTAAATTACCTGCTATAAATGTTTTCTCTCTTTGGATATTGATTTTAAATGCTATATTTTCTCTACTTTTAATTAATCAGCTTATTGTGTCTTTTGGTAATATTTTTCAGACCCTACCTTTGCTTTATTTTCATCCTGAATTTCCTATTATTTTTCCATCTTTAAAAAATATTCCCTTTTATCCTCAATTGATTTGCATGTTATAAAATTTATTTATTTTAGTGGTTACTCTTAACATTTTAACAGGCATAGTTTAAGTCAAAAATTAATGAACATTTTTCCCTCTTCCCAAACAATATAAATCTTGCTTCCAATTTAAGAACAATTTAAATCTTGCTTCCAATTTTCTTTGTTTTTGTTACCTTTGTTAAGTTCTATGAGTTTTGTCATTCCTTGAATTAAACATTATTGTTGTTGTATTATATGATCAATATGTGTTTAAATTTACTTACATATTGTGTATTTTCTTGGCTCACAGTTGTTCTTCGCCTTCAGAGCTTCCTTTTAAAATGTTTCTACTTTCCTGCTCTGTCTTTAAGTAATGCCTTTAGCATATGTCTTTTGATAATAAACTCTCTTAGTCTTTCTATTTCCCTCTCCAGTTTCAGTATCCTCTTATTGTTTACAATCTAAGAAATGTATTTAAAATATACTTTATCAAGCATTCTAGTTATCTTTCAGTGGGAGGGTCACACTCACACATTGTGTTCACGTGAAAATTGTTCTGACACTGGCTTCTGATTTCCGTTGTTGCTGTAGTAGGTCCCTTCATATCCCCAGGGAATATGTTCCAAGAGTCCCCGTGGATGCCTGAAATATGGGATAGTACCAAACCGAGATATACATACCTATGATAAAGTGTAATTTGTAAATTAGGCACAATAAGAGATTAACAGCCGTAACTGATAATAAAATAGAACAATATTAATAACTTGCCAGCATCACTACTCTTGCACTTTGGGGCCATTATTAAATAAAATAAGGGTACTTGAACACAAGTACTATGATACTACAAAGCTGATGTGATAACCAAGACAGCTACTAAGTGATGAATGGGCAAGTAATTTATACAGTGTAGATGCAGGCTGAATATGCTAGACAGAGATAATTCGCATCTTGTTCCAAGTCAGAATTATGTGCAATTTAATCTTTTTCTTCTGGAATTTTTCCATTTAATATTTTCAGACCACAGTTGACTACAGATAACTGAAACCATGGAAAGTGAACCCATGCATAAGGGAAGACTACTGTACTAAAAACTTTCCTTCAGTATCATTGTCACTCCTTTATAGAGAATCTAGCTTTTCTCTCCAAAATCCCTGTGTTTGGTGTTCAGCAGTTTTATCACAATTTAACAAAGTATACCTTTATTTGTTTTTAACCTACTTGGCATATTTTGTGCTTCCTATATTTGAGGATCCAAGTCTTTGGTTATTTCTAAGTTATTGAGTCATTATCCCATTTGTATTTTCTTTATTCCCCTTCTAAGACTCTGATTAGATGCGTGTTAAACCTCTTTCCATCTTCACAATCTCTTAGTCTTTCTGTTTTGTTTTCTATCTCCTTCTCAATGCTGTTTCTTTTGGCTTATTCCGAACATTGTTCCAATTCACTAACTATTTTAAGTGTATAAAATCTGTTTTTGACCTGCTTTCTACTATGTCCATTTGGATTACTATCAACACATATTTTTATTACTTTCTAAAGTTATATTTTATTATTTATTTATTAAAGTTCTATTTGGTTCTTTTTTTAAATCTGACAGTTTTTGAAAGTCTCTTCTTCCTTACTGTTTTCATTACTTCATTTTTCATTCCGAATAAAATTATTTTTACGTTGTATCTGATCATTTCAATATCTGAAATCCTTGGAAATCTAAATCTGTTGATTATTTCTGCTGGCCCTCAATCATTATGACTGATTTCCTTGTGTATTTGGTGATCTTTATGAGCTCTTATATGATCTTAGTTTGTGGTTTGCTAGTGACCCAAAGAATGCTTTCCTGCATAGAGGATTGCTTTTGCCAAAAACCAAGGGCCTCTCTTTATTCTGTAGTCACTTCTTCCAGGGTCTCTGGAATAGTGCAGGAATCTCAAACTCAGTTTTCCTTTTTATTTATTTATTATTTTTTTGAGACGGCGTCTTGCTCTGTCGCCCAGGCTGGAGTGCAGTGGCATGATCTCAGCTCACTACAACCTCTGCCTCGCAGGTTCAGGTGATTCTCCTGCCTCAGCCTCCCGAGTAGCTGGGACTACAGGTGTGTGCCTCCATGCCTGGCTAATTTTTGTATTTTCAAACTCAGTTTTCTTACCGTGTGAGTTGCTCATATTAACTTTTACCCTCAGGGCCACTCTGCTGTCATATTTGCTTGCTGCTCATTGCACCCTCTCCAGTTTTATCTGGTTGCCTTGGAGCAGTTTTATCTGGTTGCCTTGGAGCATTCCCTTACTGGCTGCATTCTCAGCAATGCATTAAAAGGTATACTTCATTGGGTAGGCACGGTGGCTCATGCTTGTAATCACAGCACTTTGGGAGGCCTAGGCAGGAGGATTCCTTAAGCTTAGGAGGTCAAAATCCACCTGAGCAACATGGCAAAACCCTGTCTCTACAAAACATCCCCCCCCCCCAAAAAAAAAGGCTGGGCATGGTGGCATGCATCTATGGTTCAGCTACTCAGGAGTCTGAGGTGGGAGAAGTGCATGAGCCCGGGAGTTCGAGGCTGCAGTGAGCCATGATCATACACTGCACTCCAGCCTGGTTGAACAGAGCAAGACCCTGTCTAAAAAAAAAAAAAGAAAAGTATACTTCATTAAGCATTTGGTTATTTTGAAGTGGGAAGGCCCTACTTACACTATCTGTAGTTGTCTCCTCTGGCAACTCTATTTTACTGAACACAGGTTCTCTTTGGATTGCCATTCCTCCTCCTGGCCTTGGCTCGATATTTTCATTGTCACCAATTTAAGACTCAGGCTTTGGCAAGTTGAAAGGGATGGGAAGGGAGGTCCCCTTCACTTGTTAATGTGGTAGTAGCATAGAAACAGTCAAGCCATCCATTTCCTACAGACCTTTTGGTACTCCCCCAGTTTCAGAGAGAATGAGGACTCAGACCCCCAATTCTGCTTCTTTCTAAGCCTCTTGGGGACCAGAGAGTCCAGGTATAGTCTTTTAGGAACTGTATTGACTTTTCTCTTGGTGTTTACAGTTCTCTCTAGACCAAGCCTCTGTAAAATTCTTACACTGGGTCTTGATGCTGGTTCCTATGCACTTGGCCAGTCCAAATGGGAGAAAGTAAGGCATGAGTTCCCTCCACCAGAGTTTCTATAGGACCCAATCCCTAATTGCACATAGTTGCCTATAGGCCCCATGAGCCATTTGCCTTAAGAGAGGGAGATGATTTTCAGTTGGTAGTAGACAGAAGGAAATTGTAAGGAAATTGCCAAATTCTTCATAAAAAATGATTTAGAAGATAATGATTTTTTTTTTTTTTTTTTTTTTTTTTTTTTGAGATGGAGTCCTGCTCTGTCGCCCAGGCTGGAGTGCACTGGCACGATCTCGGCTCACTGCAACCTCTGCCTCCCAGATTCAGGCAATTCTCCTGCCTCAGCCCCAGTCTGTAGCTGGGGTTATAGACACCCACTACAATGCCCAGCTAATTTTTATATGTTTAGTAGAGACAGGGTTTGACCATGTTGGCCAGGCTGGTCTTGAACTCCCGACCTCAGGTAATCCACCTGCCTCGACCTCCCAAAGTGCTGGGATTACAGGCATGAGCTGCCATGCCCAGCCATGATTTTTTATTTTAAGAAAATTATTTACAATAAATAAGAGATTTTTATAGGCACACCTTTGGTTCTTGAAGTGAGGAAAGATCTAGTTTCCCAGCTGCATTTTGGAATTTTCTTCATCTTTATGTTAAAATTATAAAAAGACCTTTCTTCACCAAAACCATTTAGCAGGCAATGTTTTGGAAAAAATGTTTTGGAAATGTCAGATTTGTAGTATTAACATAAACATCGTGAGTTTCATGATTGATTGAAGCATGAAATAAGAATTAAGTAATGGTGCTTCTTCAATATTAACATGATATAAATAGAACTATTAAAAAGGTATGAATATAATGTATTACTGAAATTATTGAAATCTACATGGTTTTAAGTTAATATAATCTGAACTTTAAGCATGATAAAAGTCATTTGTTTACAGTTTAAATAAATAATTTGATAAATGCCCTAGGTTAACTGTCCTAATAAAGTAAATTACTGCTATCATCTTTCATTCAGAATTCACTGAGTCAAAAGCTAAATATATATATTTATAATTATTGTATACATCCAAAATTAAAATTTTACAAATGAAATTTTTCATTGCACTATTGAAATATTATTTTTATCTTATCTTAAATCATTTAAGATGAATATAAGCTATGATGGAGAAAAATGTAAAGATGAAAATGAACAACAGCAACAACAAAAAACTGGTTTCTCTTCACTGTGTCTGACATAATAAATAGAAACATTTGGATGTACAAAAGGCTTATAGTCCTGATCAACCTTATTCATACTGGCTGCCATTCAAGAGAATAATGTATTATTTAAGCATATGGTCACATCACAGCTGAATCAATCTAGCATAAACTATTTTTATACAGCATCCTTGCAAGTAAGAAATGGCTATGTAAAGTAAGACTATAATATCCTTTATTGGAAAGTTATAAATACAGTTTAACAATGCTTGGGAACAGTGTTATAGCTTTGGATAAACAAGACTGAATTGCCAACACTGTCCTCCACCCTTCACCTACTGTCAGATAAAAGAGGTAACATATTGAATCCACCAAAAATAACTGTGCTCAACAGAATGGGCAGATTGTATCTCCTGCACCCAAGAACATTCCACAATCTATGAAACACAGTAGGGTAAATTTGAGTATTGTCAAACCCTTTGAATACTCATTCCTATGTATGTTAAAATGATTGTGTTTAAAACATTAACACAAAAGTAGTATTAACATCCTAATTAATACAACTTTCTCAGTAACAGCAATCAGCTAGTCATATTTTTGGCTCCTGTTTCTAACCTTTTAGATTGTCGTGAAGCATTCATTTTATGTCTGGTAGTATGCAGTAGTTATTTCCTAGTTTTTGTTTAAATATTTTATTAGGCTGTTATTGCCTATGACAGTTACTTTTACACTAAATTTATGATTTTGCTTAATATATTTTTTGCTTATGTTTCATATAAAATCAGTTACTAATTTAACTTGTATATCCTTTTTTCTGTTACACGCAGTAGGAGATAATCTCATCAGGTTTATATCCTCAATGGAATAGCTGACTGTAAGAATCCTTAAAATGCTGTTAAATCAAATAGAATCTTATGAAGTGAAATACCAGATATTCAAAATGTAAAGCTAGATATTTTATGTGTAGAATCTAAGAAACCAATAATGTTATACTTTAGATAAACATTTTCATGTGTTCCCATATTTTACTTCCTTAGAAAATAAAATAGCAACTAGGTCAAAATTTAGAGTATTAAATATGCAAATTTACCTCAAATCTTAATATAGATTTTTTTTCATCAAAGGTCATAGTTCTTACATATTTCATACCAGAGACCTTTTCTTATATTCACACTTGATAATTTTGTTTATATTATTATATGTCTTTTTAAATTTGCTTTATAGAGAAAGGCTCTGGATTTACCATTAATGACATATAAAAGTGGGGCAGAAAGTTGGGTGCAGCAGCACACACCTATAGTCCCAGCTACTTGTGAGGCTGAGGTGGGAGGATCATATGAGGCCAGAAGTTCCAGGCCAGGCTGAGCAATATCAAGATCCTATCTATCTATCTATCTATTTTGTTTTTTTGAGACGGAGTCTTGCTCTGTCCCAGGCTGGAGTGCAGTGGCACAATCTTGGCTCACTGCAACCTCCACCTCCCGGGTTCATGCAATTCTTCTGCCTCCGCCTCTTGAGTAGCTGGGAATACAGGCACACACCACCATGCCTTGCTAATTTTTGTATTTTTAGTAGAGATGGTGATTCACCATGTTGGCCAGGCTGGCCTCAAACTCCTAACCTCAAGTGATCTACCTGCCTTAGCCTCCCAGAGTGCTGGGATTACAGGTGTGAGCCACCACACCCGGCCAATCCTATCTCTTTAAACACACACACACACACACACACACACACACACAAACACACACACAATGTTATGGAATAGACTATCAAGTATGTAAAGTTTAAGTGCAATTTTTTATGAAGGAGTTTTTATTTCTTGATTTTTTTACTCATCCCAGCACATTTTGGAAAATAAAAGTAATAACAGCTCAGTTTTATTTTTCCATATTTTAAACTGGAAATTCTACCTTAAAAACAAACTCTATATACTATGAACAATTGTCTCCACAAATATTGACCTATATGCAAAGCAATACAGGAGGTAGATATGGAAAATATGTTATCTTTACCTTTCAGAAACTTACAGACTAACAAGAGAGATATGTGCGTGTAAAAATACCTCTAATAAAAATATGTTATTAATGCCAAAAGGACAATAAGCATGAAGAAGAGGAAAAAGGAATACAATACTCAATGTATTGCTGAATGTTTCAGGAAAGGTTGTGGTCATTTATCTTGGGCTTTAAAGGTACCTAAAATGTCAGTAGGCAGAGATAGGAATAGGTGAGGATGGAGACAGGTAAGAAGCATGCCAAGTTGAGAGAGCAAGGTGAGCGAGGGACGGAGACAGAAAACAGGGTGGTATGTGAGTGAGGCAGTGAGAAGGCCACATTCACCCAATGAGGAAGCAGCTGTGAGAGTTAAGGTAGCAAATATAGGAGCATATCATGGAAGACAATTTAAACAAGATGCCGAGGATCACACAGAAGGTTTTTGAGAAGAGTTTTATGATTAATTTTAGAAAGATTACACTGGCAGCATTTTCTAGCATCAACTGGATTGAAGAATAATTGAGGTAGAGAAACAATTTGGAAGGGCAGGCGCTGAACTAGTGATTGTCAAAATGTTAAGGTGCAAATATTACTGAAAACTTTGACAATGTAGAATATATAGAATGTAAGTAACTGAATATAGGGATAGTCTGGGTCAAAAAGAGGGAGGGGTCAGAAGGTTGGGTCTTCTTCATATGTACTTGAACTCATGGGAGTGAGAAAAGAGAATTGAAGGTAGAATCTAGGAAAATTGCTACAAAGAAACAAAGATTCAAATGACAGGCTGAGAAAGAGTACAGAATTAAGAAGATTGAAGAGTTTTAGAACTATTAGAATTAAGAATAAGACTGCATGCCAAGAAGGATGGTGTGGTAAAATATGTCATCCATTTCAAAGCAGTCAATGAAGATAAGCACTAGGAGAAAAGATGGAATTTGGTAATTATGCAGTCATTGGTGGCTTTTGAGGAAGTAATTTCTATTAAATGGCAGAAGCCAGACCGCAAGAGATGTGTGAAGATGAGAAAGTGGATGCAACAAGGATAGATGACCCATTTTGAAACTGACAATATTGAAAGGAAGGAAGGACATGAGATAGTAATTTAAGAAATTGGCAGTTTCAAGAGAAAGTTTTTTTGGGGAAGAAATATTCAAGGGAAAAAATGTATAGTAGGATAAAGGGGAGGTGAAAGCAGAGAAAGGATCAAGAAGTCAAGTAGAAGTATTAATTTTAGAAAGATGAAAAAGGATAATAAAATTATGGGTAAAGATGAAAGTACATTTTGAGCCTTTCTATTTGATAGGAGTTTACCTTCGATGATCTTATAATTTTTCACGATAATTGAGAAGTAAGGTCACCTGCAGAGAGTGAACTTGATGTACAAGGTTGAGGCTTAAGAATAGTAAGAGATGTAGAACATTTGTTTCAAAGGCTATGATGGTTAAGACAAAAACTGAGTTATCCATCTCCTTTCACTCTATTCTTCATTTTCTATCTGTCATTGAGCTCTGCCTGTTCTACAGCCTAAGTATATCTTAAATGAATCTCTTTATCATCACTACTGCCCCTGTTTCAAGCCTTCATGATTTTTTTCCTGCTCTGTTACATTATCTTCCTTACTGGTTTCCCTGCCTTCACTCTTCCAGGCAGTTTTCCACATTGCTACTAAAGTAATCTTTCTAGCATGCAAATCTTCTCATATCACCTTGCTCAGAATTCCCCAATGGCTTCTCTATTAGTCCATTCTCACACTGCTAATAAAGACATACCCCAGACTGGGTAATTTACAAAGGAAAGAGGTTTAATTGACTCACAGTTCAGCATGGCTGGGGAGGCTTCAGGAAAGTTACAATGAAGGAGGAAGGGGAAGCAAATATGTCCTTCTCCACATGGCAGCAGGAAGGAGAAGTGCCGAGTAAAAGGGGAAAAGTCCCTTATAAAGCCATCACATCTCATGAGAACTCACTCACTATCATGAGAACAGCATAGAGGTAACCACTCCATGATTCAGTTGCCTCCCACCAGGTGCTTCCCAGGACACCACACATGGGGATTACGGGAACTACAATTCAAGATGAGATTTGGGTGGGGAGACAGACAAACCATATTAGCTTCCTATCTCTTATAGTAAAAAAAAAAAAAAAAATACAACTCTTCTATATAATGTACTATATACCCTACATGGATCTGATACTACCATTCCTATCCAGCCATTTCTTGTCATTTCACCCCAATAAGCTGACTCCACACAACATCCCTGCCCTTGCCTCTGACTCTGTCTCTGTTGTTCTCTTGTCCTAGAGGAAATTGCCTAAAGTGGTAGTTTAACTAATTCTTAAAGTTCGAAACAAAAGAAAGAAATAATAAAGAAAAAATGAATGAGAAACATTATCTTAAGGTGATAAAAAGGATTGCTGAGCAACAGTGAAGCATTGAGGATATAGAAATTATGTAGGAGCACAGTCCCTATTCTTGTGAATAACAGTTCAAGTAGAAGTGAAAGGGAAAACTGATGTTTAAGATCTTAAAAAATATTTGAGTTACAAAGTAATTAGGACTGCCTGATTTTGCTTTATTTATTGATTATTCTCAATTAGATAGATCTGTGTTTTAATTGCTCAATTATGCAACTTTCTTATTGTATTTTAATGCATTAAAATACTATGTGTATTTTATTAAAATTGTATGTGTATTAAAATACACATACAGTAACTCAGACTTAAAAAAATAACAAAAAGAACTTTGTTTAGAAAAAATATAGATTTTAAGTGAACAGGAAAAATCTTTTTGTAACCACATTGAAAGAAGTTGTTCAGCCAGTATATTGTACACATCTACACATATGTTTTTATTCTAGGAGTAAATATAAATGAATATGTATTCAACATGAATAAATGTGAGTAAATATTGAGTATTAATGAACTTACATAAATTTTTTGCTTATAACTTCCTGTTAGAAGAAGCATTCTTTCAAAACTTTTAAAAATGTATTGCATATGTGGCCTCTTAAATGTCTTTGAAAGATACATCATAACATCTATGTGTTTGGAGGAATTTTAGAAATTTTTAGAAACTACGTTCACAAAATAGAATGATTATGCCTATATAAATTAAATTTCAAGCAGTTCCAAATAACATTTTATTAAAAGTACATTAAATTTTGATGACCTCATTCATTAAGCAAAATAATGTACAGTGCTCTATACTAGACATTCCAGATAGCACAAAAGTGCTTATGACATAATTGATACTCTAGAATATCTTAGAATCTGCTGTTAAGGATGACATTAATTATATCACCCCTTGAATCATCTCTTTCTTCTTCTGCTACTGCTTCTTCTTTCATTCTCTTTCAGTCTAGTTCTCTTACTACACACTATTTCTCATGTGTTACAATAACATGCAAATGATGATAAACCCAAAGCACCATAGGATCTCAGAATACTTTTAATTCATCTAAGTAAGTTTAATGTTAGTATAATTAGTAATAAAGATATTTCATTATATTTACATTAATATATAAACCCTCTTTTTGCCATAATATTTGATTAACTATATACCTCTAATCAGCCTCCCACTGTATTGAATTTAATGTGAGTGTATGAATATGTAAATGCACGCATAATACATATACACAGTTTTCATCCAGCACTGAACGACAATGTGATTGTCACAATAATTATTTTCCTACATATTCTTGAATTGTGAGGGCAATATAGTTATAACATCAGTTGTTAATTTTTAAATAATGTTAGCTATTTCTCTAAGAAAAGTAATATATCTTAATTGTAAAATTTTGTAAAATGCAGAAAAATATATTATACAAATAAGAAGCCTCATTCATACTCCATCACTGTTTGTTCTACAAGTGTGTGCAGTCATACAGTGACCACACCAATCAAGATATACAATGTGCTCATCACCATGGAAAGCAAAGCCCATCACTCTGCCCCAAGACCCTTAGAACCACTTATTTGTGCCTTTATAGTTTTGCCTTTCCCAGAACATCATGAAAATGGAACTTTTTTTTTTTGTGACCGAGTCTCACTCTGTTGCCAGGCTGGAGTGCAGTGGCAAGATCTTGGCTCACTGCAACCTCCGCCTCCCGGGGAACCATATTTTATGCAGACTTCTGTGTCTTGTTTCTTTCACTTAGCACAATACTTTCAATGAGCTCCAACCATGCCATTACGTATCAGTAGTTTATTCTATTACTAAGTTTATTCCATTGTATATCCACCACAGTTTATTTATCCAGTCACCAGATAGTAGACATTTGTATTTTTCAGGACCTGGAGCTACTGTAAATAAAGCTATCATTAATGTTTGCATACAGGTCTTTCTAATAAAATATGTTTTTATTTCTCTCAGGTAAAAAGCTATCAGTAGGATTTCTGGGCCATATGGTAAAAGTATGTTTAACTTTAGCAATTTTCCAAAGTGTATATGCCATTTCGTATTTCTCCCCACAACACATGAGAGTTTCAGTTGCTTCACAACCTCACCAGAACTAGGTATTGTTGAGATTTTGTATTTTGTTTTGTTATTCTAATGACTGTGTGATGGTATCTTGTTGTATTAGATTGGTGCAGATGTAATGGCAAAAACTGCAATTACTTTTGCACCAACCCAAAATTTGGTTTTGAAGAGACGTAAATTAATTTCCAACATTGGTGGGGTCTGGCTACCCATTTATAGGTATGCATATCTTCAAACGTTAGTTTTCCCATAGCTATATATGCATAGATATCAACTGAGGAATATTCTGTAATGAAATACTAGGGGTGGGGAATATGTAATATGTGCTTAAAAAACAAGAATCCAAAAATTGAATTTTGGAAAATATCTTCATAAAATAAACAGTTGTATATTTCCAGTTCTTATGAGGCCTTCTTAGTGAAATAACTCCATTATATAAGAAAAGAAATATTAATATCAAAGGTTAATTTTTAACTTTTATAAGAAAAAACTGAGTGTACATAGAAATAGAGAGATAAGTCATATCACTCAACTTCGAGAACTGCTGACTCATGGCCAATCTTGTTTCATCTTTATGCTCTCTCACCCCGAACTTCAGCATTGATTATTTTGAAGCAAATCCCAGGCATCAAAGATTAACTTTTAATTGAATCTCAGAGTTTTTGATTTATCATATTAGTATTGAAAATAATTATCTTAAAATGTTTAAATTTTTAAACTTTTAGTATTAATCCCTAAGGTTTTAGTAGTCTCTTGATTTGACCCATTTACATGTGGAGTATTTACTAGGTATGATATTCCAGGCATTTATTCAATAAGCAATAGGAAAATCATTATACCTGAATGGGAATAAAAGCTTATTAAGTGAGATTGTTTTACTTTATTAGCATACTTTGTATATAGTTTCTTTGATAGCATTTTATAGACATTAAATTATATGAACTGTAGGTTTTGCATAATGGAAGTTGCCACTTAACAATATTGGCCCCTATTTTTTATTCACTATAATATATTTTTGAGTTACACATTGACTATAATCCTAGGAGTACTTTCTTAATTCTTATATTATAATACTGATCTAATTTTTCTCACTGGGAAGCTCAGCTGAAGTGCATAACAGGTTTTAATTAAGAATAAAAGGAGGAAAGAAAACAAAACTTCACATCATTAGGAATTCTGATTTCTGCTGCTCTAACAAAAAAGACCACAAGCAATATGAGATTCATCAAATGTGAGAAATGATAACTAACCATGTTAGGGGTCACCTATAACAAACTACAATAATTGAGAAAGTAACCTTGACGCATTTCAGTTGAAGTGTGAGTATCTGTAGTTTATTATATTCCAGACAGTATACATTACCAAAGATGTAGGGCCAAATTAACTTTAATGTTGCACTCTTCACAAGACATTCCATAGCTAGCAATAACATTAAGATAACGCTGTTAAAGTAAGAATTTCAATTATAAGGCAGATGAGATTGTGAAAACATGACAGCTTTAATGAGCAATAGTAGTTGGGATTACTTTGATAAGGAATATAGTTATCATAGATAGAAAAGAAACAAAATACAGCCTGCAGCCTTTTCTTATTGTGTCATGTCACCCTCTATTGATAACAGCTTTGGGTTCCAATTCATTTCTATTCATTCTCCCAACCTGTGCTAGAATGATGATCCTTTATCTTACATATACTGTTAGAACACCTTCCAATTCTGCATTCCTTCATTCTTCCAAATAGCTGATAGCATGTTATCTTACTTGCTCTCATCACATCTTGGTTAAGAAAGAAAGGCAATCAAGATATTGGCCCCATCTTGCAGGTGGGAAAACTGGATCGATAACTCAGTGGTAATACTGGGAATAGATTCAGATTACTTGAAAGATCACCAAATGCTTATTCAGGAGGCTGACTTTAACCAAGGAATATGTAATGAATAGAACCCAAATACAGTATCATTCTTTGTGGTTGTATGAGACATGCTCTTGTTTTTGAATTTAGAGTGGTAGAGAGAGACATGATCTTGTTTTTCACTCTGGAATGACAGCCTTCTTTTCCTCTGATCTTATTGTTCCCACCAGTGATCTTCACTATTCCAACTAGTGAGAGGTGTGTTATTCCATCTGGACTGCTACAACAAAAATACCATAAACTTCTGTTGACTTATAAACAACAGAAATTTATTTCTTACAATTTCAGGGACTGGTAAGTTCAAGATCAAGGCACTGGCACATTCAGTATCTGGTGAGGGCCCAACTTTCGGGTTCATAAATAGTGCCTTCTTGCTGTATCCTCTTATGGTGAAAGATGCAAACACACTCCATTGGCCTTCTTTCATAAGGACACTAATCTCATTCTTGAGAGTCTGGCTCTTATAACCTAATTACATCCCAAAGACTTCACCTGATAACACCAGGACTTTGTAGATTAGATTTCATATGAATTTGGGGGAGGATACAAACATTCAGACCATAGCAAGAGCGACATATTCTTTGTTGCCCCTAAGCATGTAACCATTCCTACAGTGGTTGTATCTACTGGCCTTGCTAGTGAAGCCTGTAAGTCATGTAGAATGTACTGCTATTGCTTTTCTGATATTATTTAACAAAGAAACCTACTCCCAGGGCAGCCAGCAATGTTGACAACATTTTGACCTCTCCTGAAGCTTCCAGGCTGTTTTATACAATGAAGGAAGGGTAACAGGTCATCATGCTTATCTGATCTATAATTCATTTGATTAATGTTACTGATCAGCTGCATCTTTTTTTTTTTTTTTTGCCTCTCTGTTGTAAATTGGTAGGGATTGTAGTTTCTTGTTCACTTTGGATTTTTCCATTACACATGCAAATGGAGATTTTTCTTTACATAAATAAATCTTTATGATCATTTTGGTTATTTTTAAAGGTCTGGAACTTTTTTCTGTCTCTGAAAGCCCTGGACACTCTTTTGGTTTCAATCACCCTATGCTGTATGTCACTATTTACTCACCATTTATATAATTAATATAAATATTTTTCCTCAATTTCTTTTTAAATACATTTCTCATAAAACATTTTCACCCACATTGCTTGCTCTAGAGCATGACCAATGTTCATAGTCTTTGCTACAATATGTTGTAGAATACCATAATGTTTGTGCTGTCTACTCTCATATTTACTTAATCTGTCATCAAAGGGAGCATTGCCGATGCCTTTAAGTGAACCAATCGATTATACAGCATTATGTTTAGCTTCCATAGCAGCAATTTTGTTTTCTCCCTTAGGAATCTTAATTCTGGAAATGAACATTTTATCTAGATTCGGAATGCTTATTTATTAAATGCAAATGTATTTAGCTTAAATAATATATTTATAATGATTCACAGTAACAATGAAATGTATAAGACATTTTACTAGAGTCTATGATGATTTTCAATATAATCACAATGAAATGTATTTAAATTAAAAATATTACTGTAAATCTCTCAAGATGAACCACAGAGCTCAATACAAAATTGATGTTCTTAAGTTAATCAGTTAGTTAATGTATTGCCAAACAAACTAGAATAGAATACTATATTATCAGGGCAACTTTGTTAAATAGATATTCAACTTTTTAAATATAAGAACATAGTGTATTTCAACCATCTTTTAATACTAATTTTATGTATTTTTATTGTACTTATTTTGTTTTATTTCTTTATCATTAGAAACAGTAAACCAATAATTCCAAAACAAAGAAAACTCACTAATTCTTTTTATTCTTGTTCATTCCTTTTTGTCCTGTTAATCGTACTTAGAAATACAGTATTGACATTTCCTGGGCTGCTTTTGTGTAGAGCCTTGTGCTGATATATAAACATAGAAATTTATACATAGTTTTCATTATATATTAGTAAAAAAATAAGTGAAGTAGAAAAACGGGTAAAAGACGTGTACAGTAAAGATGCTGAACAAAAACTCACGTGTTTTATTTTTTAATACCACCCTCAGGCATGTAATTAATATTATTATCCTCAGAATAATGTTTAAAACTGATCTTTTATAACTGTTATTTCAGCTCTCATGCATTCTTTTTGCTGGAGAATAATTGATTCATCTCATTATTTGCCAGGTTTAGACCTTAGTAACTTGTACATCCCTATGATAAAAATTATTTTGGAATGGAAAGAGAGATATCTAAAAAGGGATGAAATCATGCCAAACATCTTATCTCTAACATAAAAAAAATTAAATTTGAAGCCAGAATTTCAGTTCCAGTTCTACTTTTAGCTTGTGTGACCTTGAGAAAGTCACTTAAGCATTTCTGAGCTTCAAGTTTCTCATTTGTAAAGTCGAAGTAAGAAATACCTTTTATGCCTAGCACTCAGAGTTCTTGTTGGATCAAACAAGATTTGTACATTTAGTTGGAAAACTCAACATTTGTATCTAAACATAATGTATTCCAGCAGAGAATTACTGTCCACCATTTTCATTTATACATTTTAAATAGTGATTTATTGATGATCTTCAATATGCAAGGAGCACTGCTAGACACTAGGGAAATAAAAGGGAATTAAGATAGTACCCAAACACTTCAAATCCTCATGGGCAAGGACACGTGAACACATAATAAAATACTTTAATTTCAATTACAGACACTAATGGGCAGGTTGTTAATAGAATGTTTGCCAACTTTAAGTAGTTTTATAATAAAATATAATAGTTTAAAAGAAAGGTCTATTAATAAAAACAGAATTAAAATATATATAGATCAAATAAAGTATGGAAATTTAGTTGAAAAATTGGCATTAATCAGTAGGAAAAAGATGGGCTTCTCAGCAAGTGGTATTGGGATAGATGAACAGCTATATGGGAAAAGAGAAAACTGAATCTGTTCCAAATGTAACAGAATCAAATTCTAAAAAGATCAAAAATTTAAATTCAAAAACTATTATGTTACTAGGAGAAAACAAAGGTGAATTACTCTGTAACCTCAGAGTGGCCAAAAGTTTCTTAACTGATTCTAAATCCAGAAGCAATAAAGGAAAAGGCTAATAAAGGTGACAATATGAAAATTTAGAAAAAAAAACTTTTTATACTAAAATAATTGCAAATATTTTTCACTTGTTAATGCACAATAACAAATGGAAAATATTTGCAATTTTTGTCATAAACAAAGGGTTGTTATCCCTAAAATATAAAGCACTTTTAAAATTAAAAGAAGACCAGCAACTCTATAAAAATGGGCAAGAGACATCCAAAGATAGTTTGCATAACATAAATGCAAAGGGTCCTTAAATATAGGAAAAGATGTTCCAATTCACTCATAAAAATGCTAATTGAAATCACTGAAATTACTATTGTTTATCAGTAAGGTTGGCAAAAACACAAAAGGTTGAAAACATACTTGTGGTAAGCAGAAAAGTGACCCCCAAAGATGTGCACATCCTAGTTCCCAGAACTTCACATGGCAAAAGAGATTTTGAAGATATTAAGGATTATGAGAGATGAAGATTATCCTGGATTACTCAGATGGGCCCAAAGTAATCACAAAGGTCCTTACCAGTGAAAGAGGAGTCAGTCAGAGGAGATGTATCTGATGATGGAAGCAGAGGTTAGAACGGTGTGATCAGTGCCTTTGAAGGTGGAAGGGGACTGCAAGCCAAGGAATGTGGGCAACCTCTACAAGCTGGAAAAGGCAATGAAATGGATTTTCTCCTGGAGCCTCTGAAAGGAATACAAATCTGCTGTCGCCCTGATTTTAGCTCCCTGAGAACTATTTTTGACTTCTGATTTCCAGAACTGTAAGATAAGAAATTTGTGTTTTTAATCTACTAAATTTGTGGTAACTTGTTGCTATAGCACTAGGCAACAAATAAAATACTCTTAAGAGGAAGGTTGTGAGAAAACAGGCACTTTCATTTATTGTTGGGAATGCAAACTGTACAGCCTCTGTGGAGGAGAATTTTGCTATATTTACATATACACTCACCCTTAGATCCCACAAACACATCTCTGTCACTGTCAAATATTGTAAAAAGATTTTTCAGCCCTATTTGTAATAGCAAAAAATACTGGGAACAACCCAAATATATATTAATAGAAATTGGTTGAAAGAAGTGTGGTATTACGTTGTACTATGCAGTTGTAAAAAAATTAAAGTTTTCATCTTATGCTGTGGAATGATCTCAGGCAATATTGCTAAGTGAAAGTGGCAAGTTGAAAACAAATGTATGTTACTATTTGACGAAGAAGAGGGAGAATATAAGTATACCTTTACCTACACATATATATTTGCTTTTTTAACAATAAAATGATAAACTAAAAAGTATTATTTGGGTTTTCTTTTCTTTTTTAGTGGTTATTCATAGGACTGAAAAGACCAGGATGAAGGAAATAGGGATGGTAGGTAGACCTAAGTGTACTTTACTTCGTAGATCTGACCCTCTAGCCCTATAAATGTATTACAACTATGAAGTTTTACTGATTTAGGAATTCAAAATATTTCAAATATGCACAAGTTAGAATTAATATGTGAATGAATATAAATATGAATGACTGAATCTTATGAGAATTTCCTAATTTACAGAAAGCAGTTTTCAAAACTGATAGAGGATGGAGTTCATTAAAAATATTTATTCAGAATTCATTATGACCTCATCATCAAGTAGGGGAATCAGATGATATATAATTATACTGCAAGGAAGATGATGAAACATCCAAAAGAGAGATTTAAAGGGATTTCAGAGAAATGAGAGTGCACTTCCACCTAGGAGAATAAGAAAGATTTTGCGCTCATTCAGTTAGTTATATATTCAACAAATATGTACTGAGCCCCTATTATGAGCAAACTCTGTTATAGGCAGTAGGGTTCAGTGATTTTTAAAACAGTCAAAAACTCCTACCTTCATAGAGCTTACATGCTTATAAGAATGAGGGTAACAGACAATAAATAAAAGATGAAAAGAACTGATAATTGACCATTACATTTAGTGTAGTGGAGATCAGTGTTGACCATGGCAAGAGCATGCACATTCCTATCACCAGGACATTCATAGTCCCCCTAGATGAAGACAGACATTTACATAAGCAAGTACTATGTTGTATGATATGTTGTACCTATTTTAAAGAAGCCTCTATAGCGCTTGTAGTACGTTGAGCACTTTAATAGACAGTGAGTACTCCATAAATAGACAAGAAAATGATAGTTATGCAAACTAATGTTAGCAATTATTTTGTACTTATACTGTCCAGCCTCTGATATATTTATGCCTAGTATTTTAAGTAAGTAGCGTTCTTTTCATTTTCTTTGCTTTACCAATGAAATTCCATAGAAACAAAGTATTGCCAACACTTTTGGAAATGAAGCTGTGCTGTTTTGCATGAGGACTGTTCTGCGTGAGTTTGGTCAAGGGCTAAGGTCAAATTTGGGAGACTCCCTTCTACCATGTAATAGTGGCATGACACTAGGTGAATTAGTTTACCTACAGCTCAATTTCTGCATCTAGAAGATAGGAATAATAATACCTGTGTTCAGTGATGTTGTGAACATGAAATGGGATGCACATATGGAAGATTTGATGTTATTAATCACATATTTTTGATAATAAAAATTCTCTTTAACTAGAAGTCCCTTTTTTATTATACTTTCAGTTCTGGGGTACATGTGCAGAAGGTGCAGGTTTGTTACATAGGTATACATGTGCCATAGTGGTTTGCTGCACCCATCAACCTGTCATCTACATTAGGTATTTCTCCTAATGCTATCCCTCCCCTAGTGCCTCATTCCCCAACAGGCCCCAGTGTGTGATGTTCCCCTCCCTGTGTTCATGTGTTCTAATTGTTCAACTACCACTTATGAGTCAGAACATGCGGTGTTTGGTTTTCCGTTCTCGTGTTAGTTTGCTGAGAATGATGGTTTCCGGCTTCATCCATGTCCCTGCAAAGGATGTGAACTCATCCTTTTTAATGGCTGCATAGTATTCCATGGTGTATATGTGCCACATTTTCTTTATCCAGTCTATCACTGATGAGCATTTGGGTTGGTTCCAGGTCTTTGCTATTGTGAACAGTGCCGCAATAAACATAAGTGTGCATGTGTCTTTATAGTCGAATGACTTATAATCCTTTGGGTACATACCCAGTAATGGGATTGCTGGGTCAAATGGTATTTCTGGTTCTAGATCCTTGAGGAATCACCACACTGTCTTCCACAATGGTTGAACTAATTTACACTCCCACCAACAGTGTAAAAGCTTTCCTATTTCTTCACATCTTCTCTAGCATCTGTTGTTTCCTGACTTTTTAATGATCGCCATTCTAACTGATGTGAGATGGTATCTCATTGTGGTTTTGATTTGCATTTCTCTAATGACCTGTGATGATGAGCATTTTTTCATATGTTTGTTGGCTGCATAAATGTCTTCTTTTGAGAAGTGTCTGTTGATATCCTTCACCCACTTTTTAATGGGGTTGTTTTCTTCTTGTAAATTTGTTTAAGTTCTTTGTAGATTCTGGATATTAGCCCTTTGTCAGATGGATAGATTGCAGAAATTTTCTCCCATTCTGTAGGTTGCCTGCTCACTCTGATGATAGTTTCTTTTGCTCTGCAGAAGCTCTTTAGTATAATTAGATCCCATTTGTCAATTTTGGCTTTTGTTGCCATTGCTTTTGGTGTTTTAGTCATGAAGTCTTTGCCCATGCCTACATCCTGAATGGTATTGCCTAGGTTTTCTTCTATGGTTTTTGTGGTTTTAGGTCTAACATTTAAGTCTTTAATCCATCTTGAGTTAATTTCTCTATAAGGTGTAAGGAAGGGATCCAGTTTCAGCTTTCTGCATATGGCCAGCCAGTTTTCCTAACACCATTTATTAAATAGGGAATCCTTTCCCCACTTCTTGTTTTTGTCAGATTTGTCAGTGATCCAATGGTTGTAGATGTGTGGTGTTATTTCTGAGGCCTCCAGTTCTGTTACATTGGTTTATATATCTGTTTTGGTACCAGTACCATGCTGTTTTGCTTTGCCTTTTAGTGTAGTTTGAAGTCAGGTAGCATGATGCCTCCAGCTTTGTTCTTTTTGACTAGGATTGTCTTGGCAGTGAGGGCACTTTTTTGGTTCCATATGAACTTTAAAGTAGTGTTTTCCAATTCTGTGAAGAAAGTCATTGGTAGCTTGATGGGGATGGCATTGAATCTATAAATTGCCTTGGGCAGTATGGCCATTTTCACGATATTGATTCTTCCTATCCATGAGCGTGGAATGTTTTTCCATTTGTTTGTTTCCTCTCTTATTTCCTTGAGCAGTGGTTTGTCATTCTCCTTGAAGAGATCCTTCACATTTCTTGAAAGTTGTTTTCCTAGGTATTTTATTCTCTTTGTAGGAATTGTGAATGGGAGTTGACTCATGATTTGGCTCTCTGTTTGTCTGTTATTGGTGTATAGGAATGCTTCTAATTTTTGCACATTGATTTTGTATCCTGAGACTTTGCTGAAATTGCTTATCAGCTTAAGGAGATTTTGGGCTGAGATGATGGGGTTTCCTAAATATACAATCATGTTATCTGCAAACAGGGAAAATTTGACTTCCTCTTTTCCTAATTGAATACCCTTTGTTTCTTTCTCTTGTCTGATTGCCCTGGCCAGAACTTCCAATACTATGTTGAAGAGGAGTGGTGAGAGAGGGCATCCTTTTCTTGTGCTGGTTTTCAAAGGTAATGCCTCCAGTTTTTGCCCATTCAGTATGATATTGGCTGTGGGTTTGTCATAAACAGCTCTTATGATTTTGAGATACGTTCCATCAATAACTAGTTTATTGAGAGTTTTTAGCATGAAAGGCTGTTGAATTTTGTTGAAGGCCTTTTCTGCATCTATTGAGATAATCATGTGGTTTTTGTCATTGGTTCTGTTTATGTGATGTTTACCTTTATTGATTAGCGTATGTTGAACTAGCCTTGCATCCCAGGGATGAAGCCAACTTGATCATGGTGGATAAGCTTTTTGATACGCTGCTGGAATCAGTTTGCCAGTATTTTACTGAGGATTTTTGCATCGATGTTCATTATGGATATTGGCCTGAAATTTTCTTTTTTGGTTGCATTTCTGCCAGGTTTTGGTAACCGGATGATGCTGGCCTCATAAAATGAGTTAGGGAGGATTCCCTTTTTTTCTATTTTTTGGAATAGTTTCAAAAGGAATGGTACCAGCTCCTCTTTGTACCTCTGGTAGAATTTGGCTGTGAATTTGTCTGGTCCTGGACGTTTTTTGGTTGGTAGGCTATTAATTACTGCCTCAGTTTTAGAACTTGTTATTGGTCTATTCAGGGATTCGACTTCTTCCTGGTTTTGTCTTGGGAGGGTGTGTGTCCAGGAATTTTCCATTTCTTCTAGATTTTCTAGTTTATTTGCATAGAGGTGTTTATAGTATTCTCTGCTGGTCGTTTGTATTTCTGTGGGATTGGTGGTGACATCCTCTTTATCATTTTTTATTGTGTCTATTTGATCCTTCTCTCTTTTCTTCTTTATTACTCTGGCTAGAGGTCTATCTATTTCGTTGATCTTTTCAAAAAACCAGCTCCTCGATTCATTGATTTTTTTGAAGGGTTTTTCCTGTCTCTATCTCCTTCAGTTCTGCTCTGATCTTATTTCTTGTCTTCTGCTAGCTTTTGAATTTGTTTGCTCTTGCTTCTCTAGTTCTTTTAATTGTGATATTAGGGAGTCAATGTTAGATCTTTCCTGCTTTCTCTTGTGGGTATTTAGTGCTATAAATTTCCCTCTCCACACTGCTTTAGCTGTGTCCCAGAGATTCTGGTACGTTGTGTCTTTGTTCTCATTGGTTTAAAAGAACATCTTTATTTCTGCCTTAATTTCATTACTTATCCACTAGTCATTCAGGAGCAGGTTGTTCAGTTTCCATGTAGTTGTGCAGTTTTGAGTGAGTTTCTTAATCCTGAGTTCTGATTTGATTGCACTATGGTCTCAGAAACTGTTTGTCATGATCCGTTCTTTTGCATCTGCCGAGGAGTGTTTTCCTTCCAATTATGTGGTCAATTTTAGAATAAGTTCGATGTGGTGCTCAGAAAAATGTATATTCTGTTGATTTGAGATGGAGAGTTCTGTAGATGTCTGTTAGGTCTGCTTGGTCCAGAGCTGAGTTCAAGTCCTGGATATCCTTGTTAATTATCTGTCTCGTTGATCTGTCTAATGTTGACAGTGGGGTGTTAAAGTCTCCCACTATTATTGTGTGGGAGTCTAAGTCTCTTTGTAGGTCTCTAAAAACTTGCTTTATGAAACTGGGTGCTCCTGTATTCGGTGCATATATATTTAGGATAGTTAGCTCTTCTTGTTGCATTGATCCCTTTACCATTATGTAATACTCTTGTCTCTTTTCATCTTTGTTGGTTTAACATCTGTTTTATTAGAGACTAGTATTGCAACCCCTGCTTTTTTTTGTTTTGCATTTGCTTAGTATATCTTCCTCCATCCATTCATTTTGAGCCTATGTGTGTCCCTACACATGATATGAGTCTCCTGAATATAGCACACTAATGGGTCTTGACTGTTTATCCAATTTGCCAGTCTGTGTCTTTTAATTAGGGCATTTAGCCTGTTTACATTTAAGTTTAATATTGTTATGTGTGAATTTGATCCTGTCATTATGATGCTAGCTGGTTATTTTCCCCTTTAGCTGATGCAGTTTCTTCCTAGTGTCGATGTTCTTTACAATTTGGTATGTTTTTGCAGTGGCTGGTACCAGTTGTTTCTTTCCATGTGTAGTACTTCCTTCAGGAGCTCTTGTAAGGTAGGCCTGGTGGTGACAAAATCTCTCAGCATTTGCTTCTCTGTAAAAGATTTTATTTCTCTTTCACTTATGAAGCTTAGTTTCGCTGGATATGAAATTCTGGGCTGAAAATTCTTTTCTTTAAGAATGTTGAATATTGTCCCCTACTCTCTTCTGGCTTGTAGGGTTTCTGTCAAGAAATCCACTGTTAGTCTGATGGGCTTCCCTTTGTGGGTAACCCAACCTTTCTCTTTGGCTGCCCTTAACATTTTTTCCTTCACTTCAACCTTGGTGAATCTGACAATTATGTGTCTTTGGGTTGCTCTTCTCAAGGAATATCTTTGTGGTGTTCTCTGTATTTCCAGAATTTGAATGTTGGCCTGCCTTGCTAGGTTGGGGAAGGTCTCTTGGATAATATCCTGAAGAGTGTTTTCCAACTCGGTTCCATTCTCCCCATCACTGTCAGGTACAACAGTCAAATGTAGATTTGGTCCTTTTCACATAGTCCCATATTTCTTGGAGGCTTTGTTCATTTCTTTTCACTCTTTTTTCTCTAATCTTGTCTTCTTGCTTTATTTCATTGGGTTGATCTTCAGTCTCTGATATCCTTTCTTCTGCTTGTGATTCGGTTATTGATACTTGTGTATGCTTCACGAAGTTCTCGTGCTGTGATTTTCAGCTCCATCAGGTCATTTATGTTCTTCTCTAAGCTGGTTATTCTAGTTAACAATTCATATAACCTTTTTTTCCAGGTTCTTAGCTTCCTTGCATTGGGTTAGAACATGCTTCTTTAGCTCGAAGGAGTTTGTTATTACCCACCTTCTGAAGCCTACTTCTGATAATTCATCAAACTCATTCTCTGTCCCATTTTGTTCCTTTGCTGGCGAGAAGTTGTGATCCTTTGGAGGAGGAGAGGCCTTTTGGTTTTTGGAATTTTCAGCCTTTTTGCACTGGTTTCTCCCCATCTTCATGGATTTTTCTACCTTTGGTCTTTGATGTTGGTGATGTTGATACTATTCCTTTCTGTTTGATAGTTTTTTCCTTCTAACAGTCAGGCCCCTCTGCTACAGGTCTGCTGGAGTTTGCTGGAGGTCCACTCCAGACTCTCTTTGCCTGGGTATCACCAGTGGAGGCTGCAGAACAACAAAGATTGCTGCCTGTTCCTACCTCTGAAAGCTTTGTCCCAGAGGGGCACCCACCAGATGCCAGCCAGAGCTCTCCTGTATGAGGTGTCTGTCGGCTCCTACTGGGAGGTGTCTCCCAATCTGTATACACGGGGGTGTCAGGGACCCACTTGAGGAGGCAGTCTGTCCCTTATCAGAGCTCAAACACTGTGCTGGGAGAACCGCTGCTCTCTTCAGAGCCGTCAGGCAGGGACATTTAAATCACTGAAGCTGTGCCCACAGCCGCCCCTTCCCCCAGGTGCTTTGTCCCAGGGAGCTGCAGTGGGCTCCGCCCAGTTCGAACTTCCTGGTGGTTTTGTTTGCACTATGAGGGTAAAACCCGCCTACTCAAGCCTCAGCAATAGCAGAATACTTTTAATTCTTATGGGTGTACATAAATGTTAAAATACATTAGCTTATTTTTGTACTTTATAGAGTAGATGCAACAGAATCAATTTTGTTTTTATAAAAAAACTTTTGGTTATGTAATAGTGTCAATAACAAAATATTTGTATTACAATTTTAAAATACTTCATTCAATCTTTGCAACAGCCCATTAATATAGGCATTTATACTACCTTAATCTTATAGAGCAATAAAAGGAGCTCAGAAATACAAAAATTAATGCCTATAATATTGTATTATTTTGTTTACGCGGATGCAGGAAGTCTGGGTTAGGCTGAATATATTTTGTCTTGAGGAAATTGGCATTTTTAAATAAATTTTTGTTTTGATTTACCTTTCTCTTTAAATCAGGGTTTCTCAACTAGTGACACTAGTGACAGTTTGCACTAGTGAATACATATTTGGGTTGTTCTATGAGAAAACATAAGCACTAGTGACATTTCGCACTGGTGATCCATTGTTGTGGAGGGCCGATCTGTGAATGGTAGGATGTTTAGCACCCTCTCTAGCCACTACCCACTAGATGCCAGGAACACACTTGCTCCATTTGTGATAACCAAAAATGTCTCCTACCCATATTGTCAGATGACCCCTGGGGGAGTGACCAGGGGACATTAGTGAGAACGAATGAGTGAGGAAAAAGTGAGAATTAGTGAGATGTGTTAAACTACAGTAGAGCAAAGTTTTAATTAGGTTTTGACTAATGTTTTCATTTGTATTAAAAAGTAAAGATGATAATTTTAAAGCATTTTATGATATAGTCACTAAATATTTGAGTAAATAAAACTTTTTTTTTTTTTTTAAGATGGAATCTCTCCCTGTCGCCCCGGCTGGAGTGCAGTGGCATGATCTTGGCTCACTGCAACCTCTGCCTCCTGGGTTCAAGTGATTCTCCTGCCTCAGCCTCCTGAGTAGCTGGGATTACAGGTGTGCACCACCACACCTGGCTATTTTTTTTTTTTTTTTTTTTTTTTTGTATTTTTAGTAGAGACCAGGTTTCACCATGTTGGCAGACTGATCTCGAACTCTTGACCTCATGATCTGCCCACTTCAGCCTCCCAAAGTGCTGCGATTACAAGCGTGAGCCACTGTACCCGGCCTGAGTAAATAAAACTTTCTAATTGTGAACACTTTACATTGATCTGATAAAATTTACAGAAATAAAAATGTGAATTTTAGTCAAAACAAAGAACTATATATAATATATATTTTTCCATGTGGCTCATTACATATGATTTTAATTAATACTTTCTACAAAACACTGTTCATTACTCCCCTTTCCAAAAAAAAAGACTAAACTCTTACTAAATATATTTGTGGTTTTGGTTTTAATGGTTTTGTTTTTGGTTTTACAAATACTGATTAAATGTTAGTAGGGAAGAAGTTTAGTTTTATTTTTTGCTCTAGTACATGTAATATTCTATAAATTTTATTGTGATGACATGACATTTTCCTCCTTCAAAAAGACAGCAGATGAATGAAAAATATATTTTTACGTATTCATTGGTACTGAATTTTAAATAAAAATAATTTATAACTAATTTTAAACATTCCTAAATGGTAAGTCTAGAAGACTTTTAAAAATTGAATAAAACAATTTACAGTTTAATTATATGACTTAGTAGAGCACATTATTTCCTATTATCCTATTACCCTGATTGAAAGATAAATATAAATGTTGGGTTATTGTTGGTATAATTAAGCCATTGAATTGTAAACATCTTTCTTCTGAAACAATACACACACACGTATATAAAAAACAATATTATTCTTATTAGCTATGAATAAAAAATACATTCCTATGTATATACTGGATTTCAGATGACAGAAACAGATAGAAGATAGTGTCCAATATTTTTGTTCTACTTGTTTGAAAGGTTATCAAGTAGTAAGTAATACCAGCAGAGCATGAAAATGACCAGTAATTTAAAAGTAATCAGACAAGGTATAGTTTGTTGTATTTTTAACTACAGAAGGCTGGTCAATAGCTGCACTCAATTTGCTGTTATTTCCCCATGGAAAGCCCAGTTTGTTAGCTTTAGGATAGGCGCAGTCAATAGATTCTTTTTTACTAAGAGAAATGATCCATGGGAGGTCTCCTAAGGAGTAAAGTCATGAGAAAACATAGGCAGCCTTTCATGCTGCACAACACAACTAGGGAAGTAAGACTCTGACCTATTTGAGGTAGCGTTTCAAAGACTGCACTGTTGGAGCTCTTTTTTAAAAAAATCAAATCATGTAATCAAAAGAAAGCTGAAAATAATAGCAAAAGGCTAGTTTTATTAGAAAACTTTTGTTCTATTATAATAATGCATTATGTGAAGTGCTTGGAATTGGCCTCAAATACTGTTAAAACACATATTAAAGAAGCCAATAATTACACTTTGTAAGTTTGCCTCTTTGTGGGCACCCTTTGTCATCTCCTTGTGGAATAATTTGAGAGGTGGAGGAGACACATAGACATTGGGCGAGGTAAGGAAAAAGTTACAACACACATTCCAGTGCTCTAAGACCTCATTGGACCACCTGCTGATCCAGATATGTGTATGGTGGAGACACAAAAATCATAAATAACTTCCCCCCCAGTTAAATATCGCTGCAATTAAATTCTCCATTTGAGAAAACAGGATTGAAGAGTGATGCCCTTGTTGACAGCATTTATTACTGTGGGCTCACCTACTTCCAAAAAAGAATTGAGATGACTTACAATGAAAAGGAAGGACAAAATAACAGCACATTTGCTGTTGCTGGTGGTGTTGGTGTTGGGTTTTGTTTTGTTTTGTGAGTGGTGTGTTAGAATAAACTTTGGAGTCACAGCAGCTGGATAAAAATCCTAGCTTTTTCTCTTATAAGATTTTGACTTGGGTAGGTTAATTCAGTTCTTTGAACTTTGTTTCCTTAAATAAAATCAGGCACAATAATGACTAATTCAGGATTGTGGTGAGAATTAAATGAGCTAAAATAGGTAAAACACCTAGGATACTACCCAAAACAAAGTCGGGGCTCAACAATAACCATTACTTTCCTCCCTTAAGAAGATGGAGATTTTAAGGAAGCTTACCCACAAGGGCTCTTTTCTCTTTCTCTGTCAACTTATTGTCTTTTAAGTATCTAAGATCACAATAAACATCTCCAAATTATGTAAAAAAGAAATTGGCCATTGTCAGAATTCATTATTCACCAAAGCTTCTCTGAGCACTTGCTCCATGTATGACACCTCACACATGAACTCTGGGGAATATGAGAAGTAGCTGGCATGCCCCAGCCCCAGCAGAAGGCTCTTTGCTGCTTGGAAAAAGGAATTCAAAACACTAAGTTTCCTTCTTTCTTCTGTTTCAAAAACTATTAATAGATATGTCAGTAAGCCTGAAAGTTTTATTCCTCCTGGCTCAGACTGCACTGATGACTTCTTCAGAAAGCCTGCCTGGTCTTTTGGCAGATTTGCTAGGATTTGGATGACCTCATCCATGATGGCTAAAAGTATATAGAAGGGTCAGATTAATTTAATGCAGAAAATCTAGTACATCCTAGAAAATAATGAAAAGTTCAAAATTAAGAATTCATTGATGGAACCAGTCATTTAATGTGAGAAGAAACAACACAGTAATATAGAACTCAGTATTTAAAAAATAATCAGTACTTATGAATTATTTTCTTAAGGATTAACTTAGAGAACTGAAATCTGCCATGTAATTTATCTAGATTGTAACATGATTTGGGGAGAAAGGGTACATTTACATCCCACCTAAAACTAACCTCCCATAAATAGTATATAACATTATATAAATTATAAGAATACAAATTACTCCATACTTGAGAAAGTTACTATCAATAATTTATATTGACAGATTCTAATGACATAAAAGTTTTAAATGTAACCAGTTAATCATCAACATAATTATTCTTTAATAACTTTACTTTTGAATTTCTTCAGTGGCTTAGAAAATGAAAGCATACAATTTTTCTAACTGTTGAAATATCTTTATTCATTTTTGTTTAAATTTTTGAAATGTTCTTTCTTAAGTTAAATAAAAATTATTTAGAAACACTAATAGGTAAAATATAAAGGTATATTAAAATGTGATCAGCACTTTTTATGGCATTTGTATAATATTTGATAAAATTTCAGATGGATTGGGAAGGTTTAAATAATTTATCTAAGTTGTAAAAGTTATCATGCAATAAATATACTCAGATTCTTATCAGTGAGTTTTTTTGTTTTGCGTATATATTTTACTCTATGCAGTTTGTATCAAAGGTTAAGATTCATCCATGAATTAATGTATTTATTTATTCATTCATTTATCCATCATTCAAAAATATTTATTGAACAACTCTTTTAGACCAAGATCTATGTTAAATCTGGAATTGGAAACATGAATATAACACAGGCCTTGCTCCTGAGACTCACATAATCTACTAAGGGAGAGACACAGATACTTGACCATGTGACAGTACATACATAGAGAAATGTACGTATTCTCTGTGAACAAAAAGAAAATAGAAACTAATTATGCTCAGGAGAAGTGGGGTAATTATTTCAATGAGAGGGCAGTATTTGAGCAGGATCTTGAAAAAGAAAAAAGATAAATTTCCCTAGTGAACAGAGGGCATTCCATTCAAGAGGGAACATGATCTGGTTGGCCTAGTTGTGACATGGAGCCTAAGGAAAATGATGAGAGGCAAGGAAGGGGAGTCGGGGATGGGCACAAAGATTCTGAATTCTGTAGACAGTGGGGGACTGGAGAAGACTTCTAAGCACAATCAATAAGAAAATGTGTGTGTGTCTGTTATATGTATTTAGAAAGATATCTGTGTGTGTTTGTATACACACATATCCATTAATGTATATATACAGACATATACATATGTATGTATGTATTTATATGTATTTTTGTATTTAAAAATGTATGTATGTTTAAAACTTCTATAGCATGGAAACACTTTTAGAAGAAATATTGAATTGTTTTAGTAGATACTAAATGCCTATTACATAACATTCACGTTAAAAGTTTGAAAGAAACAGAAGATGATACGGTGAAAATGAAAACTAAGCCATTCTTCTATCTCAATTTTCTAGCCACCTACTTGCCTTCCTAGAGGCAATCACTGTTTTCGGGATTTTTGTGTTTCTTTGAGGTATTGTATACAGGTACTAGTATTTGTGTTCTCTGCTTTATAGATGCAGTGTTCTTACCTTGCTAGATAATTCCATATCAGCAATTAAGGAACAACTACGTTTTTAAAAAATTAAAGACTTTATTTTTTTAGAGCAGTTTTAGGTTCACAGCAAAATTTAGAGGTAGGTACTGAGATTTCCTATATACCTCCTGCCTCTGCATGCACAGCCTTCATCATTATCAGCATCCCCACCAGAGTGACACAGTTGTTACACTTGATGAAGCTACATTGACACATCATAATCATCCAAAGTCCATTGTTTACACTAGAGTTCACTCTTTGAGTTTTACCTTCTGTGGGTTTGGGCAAATGTGTAATGACATGTATTTATCATTATAGTATCATACAGAGTATGTTCAATGCCCTAAAAATTCTCTGTACTCTGCCTATGCGTCCCCACACCCACTCCTGCTCCCACCAACCCCTGGCAAACACTGATCTTTTTACTGTCTCCATAATTTTGCCTTTTCCAGAATGTAATATAGTTTGAATCATACATTTCTATGATTATTGTGATAATATGTAGACTTTTCAGACTGTGAAATGTATATTCACACAGAAATATACATTTAAGTTTCCTCCGTGTCTTTTTTGTTTGTTTGTTTTTTTGTTGTTGTTGAGATGGAGTCTCACTCTGTTGCCCAGGCTGGAGTGCAATGGTGCAATCTTGGCTCACTGCAACCTCCGCCTCCCACATTCAAGCAATTCTCCCTGCTGCAGCCTCCCAAGTAGCTGGATTACAAGTGCCTGCCACCACACCCAGCTAAGTTTTTTTATTTTTAGTAGAGACGGGGTTTCGCCATGTTGGCCAGGCTGGTCTCAAACTCCTGACCTCAGGCAATCCGCCCGCCTTGGCCTCCCAAATCGCTGGGATTATAGGCATGAGCCACCATGCCCAGCCTCCTCCATGTCTTTTTATGTCCTGATAGCTAATTTCTTTTTTAGAGCTAAATAATATCCCATTGTCTGGATATATCACAGTTTATTTATTCATTCACCTACTGAAGGGAGTCTTGGTTGCTTCCAAGTTTTGACAATTATGAATTATGCTGCTACAAACATCCATGTGCAGATTTTTGTATGGATATAAGTTTTCAGCTCCTTTGGGTAGGTATCAGGGAGCACAATTGCTGGATCATATGGTCAGGGTAGCTTAGTTTTGTACTGCCAAACTGCCTTCCAAAATGACTTTACCATTTTGCATTCCCGTGAGCAAAGAATGAGAATTCCTGTTGTTTTATGTATTTGCCAGGATTTGGTGTTGTCAGTGTTTTCGATTTTGGTCAGTTTAAGAGATGTGAAATAGTATCTCATTGCTGTTTTACTTTGCATTTCTCTGATCTACAGAACATCATCTCATATGCTTCTTTGCCATGT
This sequence comes from Homo sapiens, assembly GCF_000001405.40. Lineage (NCBI taxonomy): Eukaryota > Metazoa > Chordata > Mammalia > Primates > Hominidae > Homo > Homo sapiens. Next base: position 115,765,450 of record NC_000010.11, read on the forward strand.
GTGTATCATCTTTGGTAAGGTGTCAGTTAACAGTCTTTCATCCATTGTTATTGTTGAGTTTTAAGAGTTCTTCATATGTTTTGGATAACATGCCTTTATCAGACGTCTTTTGCACATATTTTCTCCCAGTCTGTAACTTGTCTTCTTACTCTCTTACATTGTCTTTCACAGAGCATAAGTCTTCAATTTTAATGAAGTCTAGTTTATCAATAATTTCTTTCATGAATTAAGCCTTTGGTGTTATATGTAAAAAATTATTACAGTACCGCAGGTCATCTAGGTTTTCTCCTATGTTATCTTCTACAGGTTGTATCATTTTGCATTTTACATTTAGGTCTACAATTCATTTTGAGTTAATTTTTGTGGAGGGTACTACCTCACTTGTAATGGCTGTATAGTGTTCCACAGTACTATATTCAACTAGTCCCCCACTGATGTATACAATTAGACTTTTTCCAATCTTTAGCTATTGCAAACAATGCGACAGTGAATATTCTTGTCCAGCTCTCCTTATTAACCATCCTTTCCCCCCCCCGGCTCACTAAAGATCTTATCATCATCTAACATACTATGTATTTTCTTTATTGCTTTCATTATCAAACTTCACTCCTGTCACATATTAGCATGTTAGATCCAAAAAGCAGAGATTTTTTTTAATTTGTTTCCTACTGTAACCCTAGTCATAGAATAAATGTTTAATGAATATTTGTTGATTGAATGCCTCTTACACAAGTATATCTACAGGAAAAAATCATAGAAGTCAAATTGCTGGTTCAAAAGGGATAGGCATTTGTAATTTTGACAGATATTGCCAAATTGATCATTATAGAACAGAGCATTTCAACCTTGACACTACTGACATTTTGGCCTGATAATTCTTTACTGTGTGAAGGTATGTGCTGTAGGCTGTTTAACAGATCCTCCAGTTGTGACAACCAAAGATGTTTCCAGACATTACTAAATGTCCCTTGTTAAGAAGCACTGATTGTTATGCAACCTTTGACTCTCACTGACAATTATGAAAATATCTCCCCACAGCCTTGCCAATATCGTCTTTTAGGAAACAGTTCACTCTGAATATCTAATGGTGAAAAGTAGTATCTCATAGTTTTAACTGGCATATGAATTCACATTTTGATGGAACTTTGCTGTAACAAATCCCCAGCACTGTACATTGTAATGATGAAGGTAAGTTTGGTTTTCCACTGTAGAGGGAAGGCGGGGGATAGAGTGAAGATATGAAATCCACAATCAAGTGTAGAAAAAGTGCTTTTTGCTCTTATTTTTCTTCGTTAAAATATCTGTTTTATAAATCCTTTCTTATCTTCAGACTATTATGCATTCATGGGCTGAATCTTCTCTAGAATTATATCAACTGGCCTTGATTAATGAACAAAATTTGGAGTCAAAAGCCTTGGAATTTGAGTGCAGGCTCTCCTAATTACTAGTTGTGTTACCTTGGGGAAGTCACATAAACTCTGAGCTGCAATTTACTCATCTGAAAATTGTGGATAATAACATTTGCTCTCTCTACATCACTGAGTTATTGTAAGAATTATTTTTTAGACTGCAAAGCCTTTCACAATTGCAAGGGTTTATGATAATTATTATGAAGGTTTTATGACCCGCTGCTTTATCTCATGACTCACAGTGTCCCGAGAGTTTTTCTCTTCTCAGTGCTTCTGCGATCACCTCAAACTGTTCTCACTCATTTATTTATTAAACATGGGCATTGTGTAGCCTTACCATATCTTCAACTCTGTAGCCTAAATAATTTCAGAACAATTCTCCTCCTAACTGAACAAGTCCCAGATAGACTCATCATTTATTCAGCATTCATTAAATAAGTACCATTGTCTTCCCCAAAACTGCCTTTTCCTCCCAACAGCCCCATTTTTGTCAATGCCATCATTTTTTCTAGTCTTGAGGGTGGGAACTTTGCAGTCATCTCTTGTGCTTGTGCTCCCTGTCCCATGGATCCTGCATACCACAACCAGATTAAAGTAGACTACCTCCTTCTTCAGGTCCCTTCTTGTGATTATAAGCTGAGAGTCCCCTGTTGAGTGCCACATCAAATCCAAATTATATTTCAGTAGCACTCCTTGTTACCCATATTCTCCTAAACTACTTTTTCTTTCCTTGCACCAGACTCATTCTTGCACCTATGCTTTTGTTCATCATGTTTTTCTCCCTAGAATTTTCTTCACCTGTTCCTTTACCTATCAACCAGCACCAACTTTCAAGACGTCTATCATCCCTATTACTCTATGTTCTCTTTTTCTTTATAGCTCAGCTTACTCTAATCTCTTTTATCACTTCACTCTCATTGTTATTGGTCAGTTTAACTTAATGTATCATAGTGGATCTCAATCCTGACTGCATATCAGAATCACCTCAGTAAAGTTTTGTTTGTTGTCTTAATATAATCCCAGGATCATGATTGGGGATTCTAATTCTAGACAGAGCTTTGTTATTATAATTTTAGTAGAGTGGTTTGAACATCTTCATGGATATTTTAAGCAGGTCATTTTTCTCTTCCAGACCACAGATTTATAAATTTACTGGTAGTAAGAATGTTAAAGACATCAATATACCCAATGCTCAATAATTGATTAACTGATAGTGTGATATAAAAATATTTCTTATTCATTTCCTGCACAGCCTATAATTTGTGTGCTACCTCTTCCAGTTTGTGGCTCTGTGACTTTGTATAAATTGCTGAATCTCTTAACCTCATGTTTCTTTGTATGTAAAATGAGAATAGTAACATATATGTTGCTAATTATGAGAAGTAGAGCTAATGTACATAAATTTTCAGAGCTACATGGTGGCTTTTTTATTACTATTAATACTATATAGTCTCTCTGCTGTTGTAGAGATGCTTAAAAAACCCTTTTTCTTTCTTGCTTTATGATTTGCTATTTTATGACTTAGTAGATTTACTTATTTACATTACTATTGGAATTAAGACAGGATATCAAGGCCCTATCAAATCACCATGTAATTTGATACCTAATTACCTTTGATACCTTTGAAACCTAATTACATTTTCATATTTTAAGGAGCAAATGAGTATTCTATTTTTTGACCATCGTTCTACTGACTGTTTTCTTGGTTACAAGAGAATATGCACCATTACAGTTTTTCCTTGTCAGCAGCAACTCCACGCCGTGAACACGCTAACTTTATGTATCTTCTTCACTTTACCTGACATTGCCAAGTAGGTGTTTCTTCCTCCTAACTGTAATTTAAAAGAGGATATTTATTTTTAACTTAGCTCATTTTATTTTATTTCATAGTTTATAACTATCCCATTTAATTTTAAAATTAAAGGAATATAATACTATTCTATTAAATTTAGACTTACAGATTGTGCTCCTGGGATCAGCAAGAAAACATAAAGTACTTTGTTTCCACAAAAGACACTTCCTATATAAATTATTTTTATTATTAAGTTCTGTATCTTTAAATGAGTCACTTTTAAATCTTTTTCTTGTCTTACTAGTGAAAAAATTTAAATTGTATTATTAAAGGAAAACATATAGACATATGAATGAGAAAGTATTCATTAATAACTTGTCTTCATTAAGTTAGATGAAAACAATAAAAAAGGAATTAACCAAAGTGGCACATTGCCAATCATAAGACAGGAGAAAGTTTCCAGAGCAATTAAAGGAAAGAAATTATTTGTTCAACCATGGACATTTATACTGTTTTTTCAGTTTCAAAGTTGTAAAAGTAATGTATGGAGGCTATCTTCTCCTGCACCAAAACAAGAAACCGTATAGGTTTCTTTGGAATGCCTATTAATCATGCATTGCTCCCATAAATTAGTCAAAGCTAAAGAAAAAGTGTTGCTAAATAGTGCACATTTTCATTTCCCTGAATATTTGTAGCTGCAATTTATACAGATACCAACAACACTGTGGGCTCAGAATTAAAATGAAAGTGCTTGAAAACTTGTGTGAATTACCTTTCTTACAGTATATTTATGGAGCCAAACAGACATATGTTTGATTCTCATTTCATCCGTAACATGAATATATTGATACTTACTTTATAAAATTATTGAAAGGATTACATGCATTTACCATGGTGCCTGGCACATAGCGCTCAGTACATTGTAGTAACGGGCTATGCTGTTTTGAGAAGATTGTGTGGAGAGAGGATATCACTGACTTTGGAGTTATTCATGCCTGGTTTTATATTCCAGATCTATCATCTGATAACTGGCTGATTTCGGCCAAATTACTACTCTGAATTTAGTTTCCTTGACAATAAGCTAAAGTGAAATAACAGCAACCTCATAGGGTGGTTCTGAGGATTTAATAAGATCATACATATAAAGGGCTTCCAATGCCTGTTACATATCATATCTTTCAGTAAGTAGTAGATCTTATTACTCTTATTCTTACTGCTAAAATCTGTGTCTTAGGTTCTTGACTTCTTTGTAAATATGCCTTTGAACAATGTGGAAGGGTCAAACAACTATTACCCCAGGAGTATATTGACTTTGAAGCTAATGCAGCTTAAGCCTAAGGGCCTCTCATTTGCACAAGTCCCTTCCAAACTGACACTTAATACTCTTCTTAATTTTATATTCTCTTTCTTAAAGAAGACCTCCGAAGCTCCAAAAATTTCAGGTTTCAGAAAACCTGGGTCTAGGTTATACTATTACCTGAAGGGTTTTTTTTTTAAAACTAAAAAAAACAAGAGAAAGTTTATAAGGAAGCACAATAATGTATGCTATCTAATGAATATATTGATAGCAATATTTATATTAAATTGCTATTTTAAGCCTAAATCCTATAAGTTCTATTTTGTGCATTCAGCTTCAAAATGATTCTACTGGTAATAAAAATGGCATACTAAGCAATGAAAATAAGAGATAACTTGAGTACAGCAATAAAACTCAAAGGAAATGTAATCAGTGATACAGAATTATGTAATTTTGTATACTCAATATTTTCTAAGCTACTTTTCAGAAGAAAAAGAATAGTTTTAACCAATCAGTGAGAAAGGTAACTGATTAAGCTTATTCAAAATAAATATCTGTCTTCCTCAAGGCAGGCTGTGTCAAAAGCATATTGAGGCATAGATCTTCCAACAAATTATAAATTAAATGTCCATTACTCACACATGCAAAAATTGAAGTTGAGAAAATTACATAACTGAAGTCAATAAAACAAACTCTGGTATTATATAAATACACTGTAATCCACAGAAGATATATTCATGTTTAAAATGGTTAGCTTCAAATTTTTGAGAAAAAAATACTTCAAGGTCTTTCTGGTAACATCAGTTGGTAAGTTAGAATAAAACCTTAATAAAACCAGTAAAAAGACTTTGTAATTTGCATTGCTCATCTCATTCTTTAAAAGAATTTATTGATAGATTTTCTCATTATACCTACATGTTCAGTATAAAATATGAAAAATATCCAAAACGTTTTTAAGTCAGGTGCTTTTAAAATATGTGGCTTCCCCTTGAAAAGTATATATCTACTCAAAATATATAAAGTATATTAAAATTTGTTCATCTTAAAACAAAATTGCAATTTTATGAGACAATATTAACTTTTGAGGACGTCAAATGTAGAAATTGAAGCTCACAGTTAATAACAGAAAGGATTTGCTACCATTTATCAAATACCTTACCCTGGTATTATGATAAGAAACATCATTCCCATTTTACAGACAAAGAAATATCAGAGCAACCAGGGTTAAATGACTTTACCAAAGTTATTATTACAACCAGGACTAGAATTCATAGGATTCTTACTTTTTTTTTTTTTTTTTTGAGACAGAGTCTCACTCTTTCGCCCAGGCCGGACTGCAGTGGCACTATCTCGGCTCACTGCAAGCTCCGCCTCCTGGGTTCACGCCATTCTTCTGCCTCAGCCTCCCAAGTAGCTGGGACTACAGGCGCCCGCCACCACACCTGGCTAATTTTTTGTATTTTTAGTAGAAACGGGGTTTCACCGTGTTAGCCAGGATGGTCTCAATCTCCTGACCTCGTGATCCGCCCGCCTAGGCCTCCCAAAGTGCTGGGATTACAGGCGTGAGCCACCGCGCCCGGCCAGAATTCTTACTTCTTATCTGCCTCTTAATCTTGTTAGGTCAAAATCTCTCAGCATTTTTAGAAAATGCCTTTTTTATTATATTTTCAGCAGATCATGAGTCTAATATACCAGCGTTACCCTTTTCTATGCTTTCCTTCCTTGAGAACGCTTTCAGGAGAGAAATCAGTTATAGTTTTCTGTCTCTTCCAAATAGTTAAAAACATAAGAGATCATAGATGTAGTAAATCAGTTTAGAATCCCAATGCCTTGATTGGGATGCTTAATTTTACTATAATAGCCTAATCTGAAATGTTATCTGAAAGGCTTATTTCTTCACATTCTTTTCTACACCACAAAAATTGTTCATAACAAGAACAATCTTGGGGGAAAAATAAGATGAGATGTTTTAGACAGCTTAATGGGGCTGCCACTGTCTTGGATAACCACTGTTTAGAGCTGTCTTGGATTAGCTGAAGGCTAGTGTTGACTGAACATATTGAACACCATCTTAAGTTGTACTTTAAGTCAGGATAGACAGTCCTTACAAGAAATGAAAGCTGCTCCTTTGACCATTATAGGTGTTCTGTGGCTAGAGATGAAGTGCCACACTAACAGAACAAAGCTTGCAATTTGTGGAATTGAATTCCAAGGTGAAAAAGAAGGTTAACAATTTGTGTAAAATCCTCTCTCAAGAACAGAAATTCCAAAAGTATTGATTACAATATTCACAATGGCATTTCACACTGTGGCTGGTGCTTTTAAATAGGAGTCAGAGAAAATATCATGTTGCTTAATATTTAGGCAACTAATTACAAAATTCTCGATTACCAAGTCTCACTGAAGTGTTCCCTTACGAAAACGTGAACTTTATTAGGTATCAACTCATTGACATGGTCCATTTGAAGAAGCAATTTATTAGTCTAATGGTTAACACCTGTTAGATGAAGCTCAAAAATGAAAAAGATTTTAATGAAAAGCAAATGCAGTAAATGCTAGCTTTTAACTGGTTTCATAAAAGATTGAATATATATTCAATATTCTGTATATATATATATACTGTATAAATATACAAAATATATACTCTGTCTGTGTGTGTGTGTGTGTGTGTGTGTGTGTGTGTGTATTACACAAACTCTCCTTTTCCCTGGACAATTTAAGTACATTTTCCCTGTAAGCTAAAAGCCATAAGTATCCCTACAGATATTTTTTGCAAGTGAAATTGCTTTTCATTTGGCAAAAACTAAACCTGTGATTCATAGCAGCTTAGAGCACTCAAGGCCAAAGAGTACATCTTGCTTGCTTTGACTGACATTTTTGCAGGCTAAATCAGACCTGCATGATTCAGCTGTACTGAGATTCATAATGCTGTGAGCAGAGAAATTTGGGGGTGGTATAAAAGAGCATGGAGGGAAATTGTCTTGGAAATTGTGACTACTGACTGAGGCAAAAATCAACCACAGCCAATAGGCGGTTTCAATTGATATTTGATTGGGGAGGCGTTTTCTTGCTACCCTCTTTATACAAAGAACATTAGAGAAATTTTAGTGAAGAAAACTACTACGGAAGCAGAAAAAGAGGGACTTTACTATGAGAAATGAAACTGCAATAGGGAGCAAGAGCAGGGAGAATGACTCTTTTTAACAGTTGTCAGCTCAAATATTAAAGGGAAGTGCACATTGTATATAAAAGGAAAAGTGGCAAAAAATCCATTCCCAAAAAATTTCTCCTAAATGTCTACCATTAGCAATTCATTCCTTTCAGATTTCTTCATTGAGTTCATTCCTCAGTTGCCCTTAAAATTCATATGCCCAGAGGAGTAAAAATCTTCCTACATGAAGTTATTTCCTATCTGGACTACAAAGGGAGCACAAGAAAATTGCTTTGGGAAGTTCAGGCCTCAGGAAAATACGGTGTTTAAAAAAGATTACTATATAGCTTATGCTAACCAACACCTCATTTTTGCTTAATATTTATTTTATTCTGTCTCACTAGTAATATATAAGATATAGCCCAGTCATAATGGATCTTATTCAGGTATGGCTACGTAATCTATGGTACAAAATGTAAGTATGAGCCACTTATTAAACAAATTATTAAGAATTTCAGCAGAGCATTCAGCCAAGCTTAGAGCCCTTCTAAGACTGGGGACCCCTGCACCTGCACAGATCACATGCTCATGAAATCAGCCCTCATTTTATTTGATGGTAGTGAACTGTGTGAATTCCAAACTTAGTTAATGAAAGTGTTTCGTTACAGATTACCTAAATATTTTGGCTTGTAAATGCTCAACACAAATATTAATACCAAAAATTCAAACCCAAATTCTTTTTGGGTTAATTGGAGGCTTTGCAAATCACTAAATTTAACTATTTGTTCCTATCTCCCTCCCTTTTTGTGTGATCTTCTATGGGAAAGTATAGGATTTATGAGGTTACACATTATCATTTCAGATTTGGACCTCTCCCTTAAACCTGAGGTTCAAGAGCCTAATCTTCACTCTCTATTCCTAACTTATGAATCATCTAGCTGAAAATAGCCAAAGACTGCTCTCTAATAGCCACCCCAAACCAGCACTCATCCTAGAATAACCAATAATTTCCCCAGCCCCAGGTGTGGAGTTAGGATGAGTGTGGATAATACCTGGTTGTGCCAAACACTAAAAGTAGATTCACTTTGGGAGGCCGAGGCGGGCAGATCACCTGAGGTCAGGAGTTTGAGACCAGCCTGGCCAATGTGGCGAAACCCCGTCTCTACTAAAAGTACAAAAATTAGCCAGGCATGATGGCAGGCACCTGTAATCCCAGCTACTCAAGAGGCTGAGGCAGAAGAAGCTTAACCCAGGCCACGGAAGTTGCGGTGAGCCGAGATCACACCACTGCACTCCAGCCTGGGCGACAAGAGCAAGACTCCATCTCAAAAAAAAAAAAAAAAAAAAAAAAAAAAATTAGATTAGTGAAAGCTAGGGGTGGCTTTGGGCAAGGTGCTCTGAGGGCCCAGATAATAGGGAAATTAAGCCTATAAGAGTCTTGATCACCTAAGCTATAAAAAACACTTCTGGGTAGAAGAAGTTTTTACATTCCAATTCAAACTTGAGTATGCTGCTGTTTAAGCCAATATTTATTTCCTCTTAGCATATGTTTCAACTTTAGTACCGTCCAACAATAAGATACGTATTCTCTATTAAAATCTCCCTCTTCATCTTTTGTTGACACAGCACTATAATTAGTATCACATAATTCCTACCACTGACAGAATGCCCCAGAATATTTTGTCTTATTTTTTTTTCAAGATTAGCTAGCACTTATAACACTTCTTGCTAACGTTTCACTCAGTTATAGTTGGAGTTAGTGAAGTCATGGTTTGTTTTTTTTTTTATGTAAAGCTGTCTTTTCTTCTTCTCACCCCCATCCCACAGGCATCAAAGGAAGTTAAATAAAAGAATGACTATTGTGACGTTGACTAATAGTCATAAGACATTAGCTAAGAAATGAATACCATTGAGGTTTTGAATGATCAGCTGTTAATTTTTAAGATTATACTTTAGAAAATAATAAATCCTGCTTTTGATGAGATGTCCATTAAAAAACTTATTTTAAAAGTAATATATTTTGAGTAACTACATTCTGTCCAATGCAACTCTAACTGCATACTTCTGAAATGTTTACCCCCGAATGATCCCTTCTAAAACATATAGCTTTAGCTTGTCAGTTTACTGGCATTGAATTTCAATACTTAAGTTAAAATATATTGAATCAGCTTTGCAATACTTGGCTGGATCTTTTAGAATAGTATTATTCTTTCATCTTACTTATAGAAAACACCTAAGTAAAATAGTATTCATTTTTAAACTTCAATTTATTGTATACAGAGCTTTCTTTCTTAATAGATTGACTTCAAGAAACATTTTTTCTTCAATCAGAAAATATTGACTTATTCTTCTGAATTGAATCTGTATAAGATTTAAACCTTCCAGTTATTACCCAATATAACAAAATTAACATGAAACCAAAGCTCTCGAGCAAAAGTTATAATATTTGAACTTAAAAAGACAAATATCCTATATGGACTTCAAAATATATAATAAATCTTAAGGAGTCAGTGCAATAATTTTTTTAAAGCACAATTTTATTTAAGGTACAATAAGGGTTTAAGAAGGAGAAAATGGGCCAAGCACGATGGCTCATGCCTGTAATCCCAGCACTTTGGGAGGCCAAGGCAGGCTGATCACAAGGTTAGGAGTTCAAGACCAGCCTGGCCAACATGGTGAAACCCCGACTCTACTAAAAAAAATACAAAAATTAGCCGGGCATGGTGGCATGCACCTGTAATCCCAGCTACTCAGGAGGCTGAGGCAGGAGAATTGCTTTAACCCGGGAGGCGGAGGTTGCAGTGAGCCGAGATCGCACCATTGCACTCCAACCTGGGCAATGAGAGTGAAACTCCATTCTCAAAAAAAAAAAAAAAAAAGGAGAAAATGAATTTACAGAAAAGTCGAATATTCTTTTATTAAAGCAGCTCTGTTATACAAGAGGTAACACTGTTATAGGCTGTCTGCTTTCTTGATGACATAGCCAATTAGTTTGTAATCTAGGCAGTTATCAAGGTTAATCACAAATGGAAGACAATACATATTTAAAATAAATGAGATAGTTCAGGAATAAGTGGTATATTATCTAGCGAGTAAATTCAGTACCAAAATCAGTCTCTAGGATCTTACTCCAAAGTAGACCTTGGCCTCCAATTATATAAAGCGTATGTTAATCTGGACATGGAGTATCTGTAGCTAAATAGTATATGCCACTACCAAGTACCATTTGGCCTCCCTAGAAGAATGTGACCTGATGAAGAATAAAGAATATTTCATAATAATGTACAGTTGCTAGATAATCTTACCTCTTTTGGTAGATTAAAGATGGCTTCAAATTCTTTGACACTTCTTCTGTTAAGAGGTGGGGTCTAGGTCTCTTCCTCTTGAATCTGGGTGGGATCTGACTGTCTGACTAACAGAATGTGGTGGCAGTGAAGTTTGTCAGTTTTGGGGTCCAGGCTTGAAGACAATGGCAGATTCCCCTCCTGTCTCTCGTAATATTCATTCTTGAAACGAAGCTAGAGGCTCGTACATCTTAATGTTTGAAGAGACCTGTGTGCAAAGGAACCAGTGTCCCTGCTGACAGCCCTTGATGAGCTGACAGCTGACAGCCAGCACCACCTTTCTTGGCCTATGAATGTGTTATCTTGGCAAAGATCTTGAGAGATGAGCCACATCTCCAAGCCCTACCCAAATTAGATTCAGTTGTATTGGGAATTCTGGGATTGGTTACTGCCATTTGCAGCAGGGTTAGCATCTTAAGAGTGCAGGAGAAGGGCCAGGCGCGGCGGCTCACACCTGTAATCCCAGCACTTTGGGAGGCTGAGGCAGGCAGATCACTTGAGGCCAGGAGTTCTTCTCAGTACAGATAAGCATAAACATTAATTGTAATACATACTGAAGGTTTTAAGGATGAAATGTACTGATGTCTCTAACTTTGAAATGTCTCAAAAGAAAAGGTGGATTAATAAAGGAACAAACTGATAGATCTGTGATGAGGTTGTGATAAAGCAAATGTAGCAAAATATTAAGAATTGTAGAATTGAGGTGATAGGCATATGGTGGTTAATATACAATTTTACTTTTTTGCATGCTTGAACATTTCTTTTATGAAATGTTGGGAAAAACAAAGATGTGAGGTGTTTGACACCTAGTAAACATTCAAAAAGTACAAGGATTTTAAAATTGTTACTAGTTTTATATTTACTAGTAACTGAATAAAATAAAGTATTTATATAGCTTCATTTCCTTGAAAAATTCTTCTAAAATATTAATTTCAGTATAACTTGATATACTAAAATATCAAGTTATTGATATTTTACCAATTTTGACTTTGTTATATCAAGAAATGTAAAGTCTTGCTAAGCAAATAGTATATTTCCTGTAATAGATCTTGAAATTCAGTAATAATCCTGTAGCACTAAGAAAAATTAATTGACCCAAATTCCATGGTATTTGATGTATTTTAAGATAAGTTTTACTAAATTTAAATTTAACTCTAGTTTAACACAAGAAAGAAGAAATCCAGCATACAATTCTAACTGAATATACTGTTTTCAAATAAACAGTTCATTTAACAAAAACTGGCCCTGTGCTAGATGCTGTGGGACAGAAAATTGAGCTGCTTAACACAAGGCCCTCACCCACAAAAGGCTTTCAGTGTGGTTAGGAAGAAATATGCAACCCTTGGGGAAAAAAGGAACAATGCGTGAGTTAAAAATATAAAACATGTAACAAAGAAGTAAATGATTAAGAATCAAGTGAATAATATAGATAATATGAGCTGAGAGTTCAGAAGATGAAAAAAATCATTATAGCCTTGAAGTGAAAATTTTGGGAGTTTCACTGCCTATTTAAGCCCTTTGGAACATGAAAGAAACTTATTGCGAACTTGTGGTTTTGGTAGAAGACAAAACACAATTGAATAAAGAGTAATGTTCAGGGGCCGGACTTTCTTTGAGAATTATGGAGAGGAGGGAAGAATAAAAACAGAACTTTTAGCCGCAATCAGCTAGAAATTGTAGCTGAATATTACAACCTCTCTTCCTTTCAAGAGATGCTTATTTATTGTCTGGTTCATATAAAGCATTAGGATAGGTGCTGAGGGTTACTATGAATGAAATTTGGCCCTAACTTCAAGAGGTTTAAGAGTAACAATAACAAGAGCTATCTACTAGATGACAAGAGTATGCCAGGCTAGTCGAAGCTTATGGCCTATTAGAAGAGGTAAGGAAAAAAAACTGTAATATAGAAAGTATAAAATGTCAAATGCCATTTAAAAAGACCAGATAAAATGCTAAGTGAATTCAGTGAAGAGTTTTCTTATAGTTGTATAAAGGAGGATAAGTATTTATGCAGGAGGTAACACTGAGTTGGTCTTTAAAGAGCAATAAGTAGATTGTGAACAGAGATATGGTGAAAGAGTAAAGAAAGGGATAAGAATGATCCAATGAACGAACTAAATCATATGCATGACATCGAATATGTGATTCTTTCCAGCTACAGTGCAGACTATGGAGAGAAGGATGATTGAAAGGGAAATTGGGCCAGACCGCCTAGGCCTTGAATACCATGCTGAGTGTCTTGGGCTTTATTCTGTTGGCAACAGGAAGACATTAAAGAATTATGACCTGAGGAATGAAAAGTTGAGAGCTTTTTGGTTTTTATTGTTTGGTGTTAGTCTGGTAGCTTGTGTAGGAGGAATTGGAGGAAGAAAAATCTAGAGGCAAAATGACCACAAGGCAATGAGGACGTGAACCAAGGACACTGAAGGAGCTATTTCAGAGGATAAAGGGATATAACCTTGCAACCAATTCAGTATCAAGAGCAACAGGACAGCAGAGTATACCAAAGTGGGGTTCAGTAAGTTATTGACATTGTTTAGAATTGCCAATACATGATAATAATAAAAAGCCGACTAGTTTTTAGTTATATTATTGTTCTTAAATTCCCTAGAAACAGTATTCCTTTTGCTGCCTGCACCCAGGGCAGATTGCTCCCAATGTCCCCCACCTGGTAGGCCATTGCATGGAAGCAGAAGCACTTAAAGAAGCTTCAGAAATTCAAGCTTAGCACCTGGGAGTTTGATGGTGCTTCTAATAGAAATGGAAATCAGGAAGATAAAAGCAGATTTGGGAATGAGTTCAGTTTTATACATGTTAAATGTGAGTTGTGGTTGGCTGGCCAATTGATAATGCCCAACATTCTCAATGTGATAGTGGATGTAACTCAGCTGAGAAGTTAGGACAGTGCTCTAGGTCAGCGAGTCATCTGTTAAGAGGTGGCAATTAAAGCTAGCGGAATGCCTCTAGGTCTGAGGGAGTTAATATTTATAATTGAGCATCTACAATGTCACTCACATATCTGGTCTCTAAAGCTAGTGGATCTTAAGCCAAACAATACTCAATGTGCACAATCAAGGGCACCTACCAGAAATTTCCATCTTGAATTTCATTCCTTTTGGCTCCTGCCAAAAGTACAGCTGAGATAATTGGCACTTGAAAGCTAAATATTAGGAGGACTGTGCATATATCCTTTTTTATTTTTTCTAAATTCTATCACTACAACTTAATTATTTGTGCCTAAATAACTATAAATATCAGAAAATAGATTACACTGAATAGATTAGAACTTAGCTTTTACAGGAAATACTCTCAATGATTTAGAAGGTAATGTTCTGCCTTAGCCTTCCTCTAGGGTTGGTACAAAACATATAGAAAATGCCAATGTAGTCTATAAAACTAGTATGAAACATATTGTCTTATACACACATGATATGTCCTGGAAAAATGGTTCTTTGAGAGGGGCAAAGCAAGATGGCCATTGATCATCCCTACTGCAGGAACACCAAATTTCACAACTTTCTACACACAAGAAAAGCACCTTCATAAGTACCAGAAATCAGGTGAGCAATCACACTTTCTGGTTTTAACTTCATATTGCTGAAAGAGGCACTGAAGAGAGTAGGAAATACTGTCTTAAATTGCCACTGCCACTCCTCCTTCATCCCCCAGTAGCAGCCACATGCACGGAGAGAGAATCTGTTTGATGGGGAGAGGGAGAGCACAGTGATTGTGGGACATTGCATTGAACTCAGTGCTGCTCTGCCACAGGATACAGCAAAACCAGGCTGAACTCAGCCAGCACGCACAGAGGGAGCATTTAGACCAGCCCTAGGCAGAGGGGAATCACCTGTTCCAGTGGTCAGAAATTGAGTATTAGCAAGCCTCAACACCACAGGCTAAAGTGCTCTGGGGTTCTAAATAAACTTGAAACACAGTCTAGGCCGTGAGGACGGCAACTCCTAGGCAAGTCCTAGTGCTGTACTGGGCCAGTAGACCTTGGTAGGGGGCACAGGACCTAGTGAGACACTAGTCGGGGCTGCTAAGGAAGTGCTTGTGCCACCCCTCCCCAAACCCCAGGCTGAAGAGCTCATGGCAACAAAAGTGACTCCTTTCTGTTTGAGGAGAGGAGAGGGAAGAGTAAAGAGGACTTTGTCTTGCAACCTGGATACCAGCTCAGCAACAGTAGGATAGGGCACTGGTCAGAGTCATGAGGCCCCCTTTCCAGGCCCTAGCTCCTGGATGACATTTCTAGTTATATCCTGGGCCAGAAGGGAATCTGCTGGCCTTGAAAGGAAGGATCCAGGCCAGGCAAGATTCATCACCTGCTGACTAAAGCGTCTTTGGGCCCTTAAAAACCAGCAGTGATGCTGTGGGCTTTGGGTAGAATGCTATAGGCTTTGAGTGAGACTCAGATGTACTGGTTTCAGGTGAGACCCAGCACATTCCCAGCTGTGGCGGCTACAGTGAGAGACTTCTGCTTCAGCAAAGTGGAGGGAGACCAGAAGAAGGAATATATATGGAAGTTCTCATATACATCTATATATGTGAACTCCAAATCAATTTTTAAAAGGCACAGTCAACTTGATAGAGAAATTAGCAAAATACTTGAGGAGACACTTCACAAGAGGATCTGCAAATGTCCAACAAGCATATATAAAGGTGCTCGACTTCATTTAGTCATCAGAGAAAAACAAATTGAAACCACAATGCAATGCCATTACATATCCACAAGAAAGGCTAAAATTAAAGACAAGCATCACCAAATCCAAGCAAAGATGTGAAGCACCCATAAATCTCACACATTACTTTCGGGAATATCCATTGCTACAACCATTTGGAAAAACAATTTGGTCCTATATTCTAAAGCTAAACATATACATACTGTATGACCAGCAATTCTCCTAGATATAAGCCTAACAGAAATGAGTACAAGTGCTTACCAAAAAAAACATGTACAAGATGATTTATGGCAGCGCTCTGTATACAGTCAAAAGTCAATCAAGATTAAGATAAATACATTTTAGTATAGTCACATAATGGAATACTGAAGTGAACAAATCACAACTACATGCAACCATATGGGTGAATCCCACAAACATAATGTTGAACAAAAGAAGCCAGACACTAAAAGAGTATCCTACTTATATCAAGTTCAGTAACAGGAAAGACTCATCTATGATAGTACAAGCCAGCATAGTTGTTACCCTTGGGAATGTGGAGGAAGTGCCTGGAAGAGGGAATAAGGCAAGTTTCTGAGATGATGAAAATCTTTTATTTTTCTCCTTTAATATGGGTGATGGTTACATAGGCCTGTTCCCTTCATAAAAATTCACAAAGCTATATATTTAATATTTTTATAGTTTTCTGTATAAGCTATATTTCAATAACAACCCATCCATTTAAAGAAAAGTAATCTTTCTCCACGGGCTGAAATCGGCCAGATTGGGTAATTATGGTCAGCTGTTATATAGTAGCAACTCTTACCCACAATGTTTTTTATTCTGTTGCCTTTTTGCCCTGAATGATAATTCCTGTCGCTCCATGGATATATTTAGATAATTTAGGATATTTGTTCCAAATGATGATTCATGAACCCAAGAAAGGATTAAAGAAAGAGTTAATATCACTATGCTTTTGAAAATGGAAAGACTGCAAATGTCTCAGTTTAAGTGTCTTTACGCTATTCTAACTCAGATAAAGTGGTATGTAAGGAGGCCATATGCCACAGAGCCCAGATGTTCTTGAACCAGTAAACATTCTTCAATCTGAATCAGGTAAGATCTTTAGCTTTTCTTAACTGCTTCAAACCTTAACCACCTCAACTTTACAGTTTATTTAACCAAGCTCCTTAGAAACTAACAGCAGGCACAGCAAAATCTGTTTTTAAAGGAATAAACAGGGCAAAATGAAATTGAACCTTTACATTAAATTAACATTATTTTATCCCTAATGTTGATTGTTGTTTCTGTTAAATAATTATGATGAAAAGAAAAAGTGTTGATGCAATCACAACTTGACATTTTGTTGTTAAGCCTCCTCATTTTGTTAAACCTCCTCACATCATCTAATTGATTATTAGGTGGCTGATTTCATTCACCTGGCTATAGTAGGCCACCTGTAAAGCAACTGTGCCTATCCTACAGCATGACTCTTCAGTGCTCTGAAAAGAGAAAAGGGCTGAGAAGTTGAAACTGGGAGTCTGTCATGTTCTTGATTCTATTGGTCATTCTGTTGGATCTTTTAGAAAATCATTTTACCTCTCTGACCTTCAGATTTTCAATCTGTAACTTAATAATAGCCCTTGGCAGTGAAATGTCTTGAATGGTGACTTTTAACATAGCAGCAGTCATAAAAATATAAGAGTATAACTATATAAAAGGGTTTCTAGGAGCTTACTCTTGGGGCAAATTGTTTTGCCACATAATATTTTTTAAACGGACAGGACAGTTATGAAAGATTCTAGAGAGTGTTGTCATGTTAACTGATCAAATATATTTGTTAGGAGCATTTTTATTAATCAGTACACATGACTTAGCCTGTTTTAAACAATGTCTTCAAATCTTAAATATTTCATTTAAGGATATTAAAAGTGCTTAGTGATCTGGTTGGTATTATTCAGCATGGATTAATTTTTTTCTAAAAGCAGACAATGTATATAATTTATTGTGGACATCTAAAGTCTAATGGCACTGCAGAGGTGATGGTGAATTGTTAACCCTTCTCAATAGTTTATGAACAGGATGAAAAACTAGAGGCTATGGATTCATATTTGTCTATATGATGCCACACACACACACACACACACACACACACATTTAAGTGTGTATTAAGGGCAGGTAGTAAAGAGACCAAAAAATGCTTTTAATGTTCTAAATTAGACTGATAAAAATCCGTAGACATATGGGCCTCTGTCATGATCAAATAAAAAGAGTTCAGATTTGGAGATGGAAGTAGAGGTTCAAGTCCCTTAGACTTACTAGCTAAATAACTGTGAACATATCATTTAACCTCCATTCACCTCAGCAGGTTCATTTTGAAAAATAGAACAATAATGCTTAAGAGCTTACTGTGACTATTAAGTATGATAATAAATGTTAAAATACGTATAAATTGCAAAGTACCTACACATTTAAGATATTATTGAGATAACCTTTGAGTTTTCACATTCAAATATAATGTCATTTAAGCTCATAGAATAGTTACTCTTTGATTCTTGTAAGTGAATTACAGGAGATCAGCAGGAATTATTTAGCTCAGATAGTAATGAGAAAGAATTATAAAGTGATTCGGGGCCGGGCGCGGTGGCTCACACCTGTAATCCCAGCACTTTGGGAGGCCGAGACGGGCAGATCATGAGGTCAAGAGATTGAGACCATCCTGGCCAACACAGTGTAACCCCGTCTCTACTAAAAGTACAAAAATTAGCCAGGCGTGGTGGCGGGCGCCTGTTGTCCCAGCTACTTGGGAGGCTGAGGCAGGAGAATCACTTGAACCTGGGAGGCTGAGGTTGCAGTGAGTGGAGATTGTGCCACTGCCCTCCAGCCTGGTGACAGAGCGAGACTCCATCCCAAAAACAACAACAACAACAACAAAAATGATTCGGAGTCAGAACTGTGTTGAAGACCTAGCTTTATCTCTTATTTGTTTTGTGAACTAAAACAAGAGATTAAATTCTCTGAATGTCAGTTTTCTTTTCTGTAAAATTGGAATGATATGCCTTATAGAGTGTTGTAAAACTTCAATGAGACTCTGTAATCGCTACACACAGGGCTTATTGGCTCTTAGGATTAAGATTTATTTTGTATGCCAGACATAGTCCTAGATGCTGTGGATACATAGGAAAAGACGTGAGTCTTGCCTTCAAATCCATAAACGATTGTGGGGGTAATCACATATTAAGACATAATGTCAATAAAACATGATAATTCCCATGATATAGGTATGCCCAAGGTTCATGGAGTAGTAGTAGAATCCGAAAAGATTTTCACAGGAGCTGGTCCTAAACCGAGGGTTGACAAATGAGTTAGATGTGTGTCAGTTGCAAGGCAGATTCTGTATTAGTTTTCTAGAACTGCCGTAACAGATTGTCATAAACTTGGTGACTTTAAACAATAAAAATGTATTCTCTCTCAGTCCTGGAAGCCAAAATCAAGATGTCAACAGGGTTGGTTTCTTTTGGAGGCTCTGAGGGAGAAACCATCCCATGCCTCTCTCTTAGCTGTTGGTGGTTGCTGGGCATCCTTGGTGTTCCCTAGCTTATAGTTACATCACTGCAGTTTCTGCCTCAGTCCTCACATGACCTTCTTCCCTGTATGTTTTCACATGGCCTTCTTATAAAGATAGCAGTCATTGGGTTAGACCCACCCTAATCCAATACGACCTCATTTTAACTAATTATATTTGTAAAGGACCTCTTTCCAAGTAAGGTCACATTTTGGGTGGACATGAATTTTGGAGGGACACTATTCAACCCAGTACAGGGACTCTCTGGTTCCCCCAAATTAAGTTCTATTTCATGTGCAAAATACATTTGCCCCATTTCAACATCCTCCGAAGTCTCTTAACCCATTCCAGCATTAAATCTAAATCCAAATTCTCATCTAAAAATTCAAAAAGTCCCAAATCTCATCATCTAAACCAGGTATAGGTAAGACTGTGAGTATGATCTATCCTGGGGCAAAACCCCTCTCCATCGGTGGATATGTGAAACTAGTAAACAAATTATCTGCTTTCAAAATACAATGATGACAGAGGCATAGGTTTAGACATTCTCATTCCAAAAGGGAGCAAATGAAAGGAATAAAGGGATCACTGGTTCCAAGCAAATCTGAAATCAAGCAGAGAAAGTTCCATTAGGTTTCAAGGCTTGGGAATAATCCTCTCATGATATTCTATCTTGTGGGCCTTTGTTGGGGCATCCCCACCCTCTATGGCCTCTTCATCCGTGGCTCCACCCTTAGAGTCATTCCTCCTCCATTTTCTCTCATCTGTGTCCCTTTCAGTCCAAGCCTAGCAGTGCTTGTTGGTATAAAATTCTCAAAAACTGTGTTGATTGCTCATGCAATTCATGGGAGTCTGTGCCATTATGCAAGAAGGCCCTCCACAGATCTTTTCTAGATAATCTCTTGTCTATTGCTGGCTTCTGCTGAGATTGGTTATTAGATCTGTTAACCACACACCTAATCTATTCAATGAAATGTCCAGCTACAACCTTTGTGTTCTCTCCAGAGCATGTTTTCTCATCTTTTGCTATCCAAATAGACTGAGAATTTCCCAAATCATAAAGTGCTGGTTTGTTTTTGCTTAACAGTTTTTGCCTCAATTTATCTCTTCCCTCTCGCATTTTACCATAAGCAGTAAGAAGAAAGCAGGCCACACTTCTCATACTTTGCTTTGAAATCTCCTTAGCTAAGTATCCAGATTCATCCTTTACATGTTTCACCTTCCACACAACACAATTGAGTTGAACACAACTCATTTCTTTATAACAAGCACTGACTTGCCTCCAGTTTCCGATAATATGTTCTTCATTTTCATATGAGACCTCATCAGAGGCACCGCTAATGTTCTTATTTCTAGAAACATTCTGTTCATGACAATTTATATATTCTTTAAGCTGATAGAAGCTTTCTCTACAGCTTCCCTCATTCCTTTTTGAACCCTCACCAAAATCACCTTTAACATTTATATTTCTACTAATATTCTTTTTAAGTCATCAAGGCTTTTCCTATCATATGCTTCATAATTCTAGCCTCCACCCATTACCCAATTCCAAATTCCAAAGCCATTTGCAGACTTTTTTTTTAGGTATTATTACCCCTTACTTGGTATCAAAATGTGTGTCAGTTTCCTAGGGCCACCATAACCAATTACCACAGACTAGGTGGCTTATACCAACAGAAGTGTATGGTTTCACAGTTCTGGAGGCCAGAAGTCTGAAATCAAGGTGTTGGCCATGCTTCCTTGGAAGGTTCTAGGAAGAATCATTGCCTCTTTCTACGTTCGGGTGGTTCCTGGCAAGCCTAGGATTCTTTGGCTTGTAATTGTATCACTCCCATCTCTGCCTTCGTCATCACATGCACTTCCTCTTCCTTCTTATGTGTCTTCATATGGCCTTCTTAGAAGGATACAAGTCATTGGATTTAAGGCTCATCCTAACACAATTGAACCTCATCTTAATTAATTATATCTGCAAAGACTCTATTTCCAAGTGAGGTCACATTCTGAGATTCTGGATGGACAAGAATTTTAAAGGGGACACTATTCAACCCAGTATGTGTTCTTACAGACCTCTAATTCTTCCTCATCTTCTCTTTTAGGTGACAAGACACTAATATTAAGTTGCTATGGTGATAGTTTATTTATTTGACCTACTATCTGCATTCTATTTCTTTTCAAAATGTGTTTCTTATATGTTAAACCTTTATTATGTCAGACTGTGGCAACACCTAGAGAAATCTAAACATTATGTTTTTGCCAAGATGAGGTCAGAAACAGTAAAACATTGTTTTTAAGTTATTGGATTAATATGTCTGCCTGCTACTAACTGTGGTTAAATAATAATCTTTGTTTTTATTCATAGTTAATTACATGCTCAAGTTGAAAATATCAAAGGTTCTTTATCTGATTCTGTGAATTGATATTTAATACATGGTCTGCCATGGTTACCTAGCCTGGGATTTGTTACTTTAACACATCAATCAATGGCAAAGTCAATGTGTAAGCTGCTAGTGATTTGGGAAGCATCTTTGTATTCAATAGTCTTGTACCTTGTTTGTGATTGAAGGTCATTCTTTAAGAAAAGAATGATATCTAAGACTGTAAATTCATTGTACTTTCTAAGCTCTTGAGAGTAGAGATTTGCAACATCAATATATAGCCAGGCTTTACCCATTCGGGCCACTAAGACTGATACTCATAGTTTTAATTATTTTCACTTGATGAAGCTAATTCCAGGAATACTATTCTTTACTTTCTTGGCTCTTAGAAGATATGTCTATTTTATCATTTGGAAACTTAGGAAACAATATCCTTTTGGTTTTTGTGCAGGCTTTTTTCTCATCATATACTTGCAATATTTTACTTATCTTACCTTCATAGTAATCCACATACTAGGGATATTATATTTAGAAGCTTCATGTCCCACTACTTATTAACTATACTGGAGTGTTATTTCTTGAGGTTTATTTTGAAAATATGATCCAAGCTCCTATTTCATGTGGGTTTGTTGTTGGCTAAAAAAAAATCCTCTTCAGCACCCCATTTCCCCCAAAAGATATCATGTCCTAATCTCTGGGACCTGTGAATGTTACCTTACTTGGTAAAAGGACCTTTGCACATGTGATTAGGTTAAAGACCTTGAGATGGGAGATTACACTGGATTATTGGGATAGACCCTCAATGCAATCACCAGTGTCCTTATGAGGAAGAGATAGGGGAAGATTTGAAAACAGACAGAAAAGAAAAAGGCAATATGATAGTAGATGCAGAGATTTGAGCCGTTTAAACACAAACTGATTTCTAATCCCTGGCCTCCACAATTGTGAGAAAATCCATTTCTGTTGTTTTAAGCCACCAAATTTGTGTAATCTGTTACAGCAGCCTCAGGAAAATAATACAGGTACGTAACATTTTCCCTTGGAAAATATGAGATACACCATACTCCTAACAAAAATGTAATTGGCTGCTGGATTTATATATAGTAGTTATGTTTCTCAGTAGTTCTATGCAGAAAATGCATCCTCTGAGTTGATACTGGGTTTCGAGTAACATTCCTCCACTTTGTCCTTAACTGAAATACTTAACCTGTCAAATTAATTCTGAACTTCCCCATAGAATAGATTTTTAAATTGGGAGACTATTTCAGTGATGTCTTTTATAAAGAGGCACATCTTTTCCTACCTAAATAGTGTATTTCAGATTTGCCCCCTCTGTAAACATTCATATTTCTTTATAAAGCCTCAACTTCTGTTCAGTTTTCATTTCACATTATAAATTACAGATTAAACCAAAGCTTCCCTCCTTTATGGGTGCAAAATTGATGGTATAAGTAACTGTTCTCTCAAATGGCTAATTATATTTCTAGTTGCCTACTTGAAGGTCTAATTAGCCAATTGCATATGCTTTTGTGGGGGCAAGGAGATAATTGGCATCCTCAAGCAGGTAATTAGAAAAGCAATTATTAGTGCCCACGGCTAATTACAAGAATGAAAATTGTCCCCACCAAAATGGTACCAGTGTCTACTGGGCAGAAAACCAGTCCCTGGAAAGTGACAGGAAACTTAATCCATTTGGCAGTGTTAGAATGGCAGGCAGTAAAACAAATCATCAACTAGACCTACATAATCTATAAGCAACCTCCTGTGAGAGGGCTGTCAGAAGCCTTTCTAACTGTGGCAAAGGGCTGCAGTTGGGGCAGTTGCCCTATTGCCAATAATAACCTGCACATGAACTTGTATCCCTGTCAGGAGCACTGTGATCTTCAAAGTTCTTTCATTCCTAGAAATAACGTATTATGAAATCCATTCTCGAGTGGCGATTTTTTATGATGTTGTGTTATCACACACGTTATAAAATAAAGGATTCTGTGGGGAAAGCCACTTGTGTTTAGTTGCTTTTCAACTGCATCTGACCAGTTCTTTAAGTAACAGAACTTCAGTTAAATGTTTCAGTGAATTCGTCTTTTGCAGAAAGCTTCCTGTGGTTAGCAGGTTTTGGTGTTGAAGTCCCTGCAGGTTTTATGCCCAATTAAGCCTCTGATTGGGCTCTTTGTTCTTTATTACCCAAGTATTTATCCCATGTAAATGAGAAAGGGTAGAAATAGGCAAATTTGTTTTATCTGACAGCAAGTCAACAATTTAGCTCTCAAGTAACAAGAAAATAAAACTTGTTGAGAAAGTTGGTACTGTATCTGAAAAATTTAAGTCTGCTGTCAAGAAAAATGAAAAAGCCTGAATCGCTGCATCTCCTGACACATTTCAAAATGGGGATACATAGCACAAATTATAGTGTGCTTGATGGTGCTGTTGATAATAGCACCCTGCGCTCCTCCCAGGGCACCGAGCACTACTGCTGAAAGGGCTCAACTGCGGGGGTTGTGCGCAGATAGTTGCCTGGGAGAGCTAAGGACTGTTAGGTCAGAGTTTCCAAGAATAGAGAAAATACGCCAGAAGAATTAATGATTTAACTGGGAAAATGCCTTTGTCATTTTTTCCTATTTTAAAATTTCTTTGCCCTACTCTGTATTTTCCCATCATTCCTCCTGCCTAGTCTTAGTCATTTACTTTAATCAGGACCCCCTGCTTCCTACGCCAGGGCAAAATGTCTAGAACTATGGGAAAATTTTGCCTCGAAGTAAAAGTCAAAACAAATGCAAATCTGCTATTAGAGTTGAGCAGTTTAAATGCTCCAGTACAATTGAGGATTAAATTCTGGAAAAGGGTATCCAACATAAATACACAACCAAGAGGTTATTTTTTTTAATTAGCCATGATTGAAGGATAGTGAAGAAGAAGATTAAAGGCATTAATTATAGAAGAGACAAAGAATAAGCAGACTTTTCTTAAAATGTAGTATAAAACAGTTTTGTTAGCCAGAGAATAAAGATATTTGTATTCCATTAAATATTCTATGCTTTTATTTTTTTCAGACACATTTTCTTGTACATTTGTGTATTTCATGTGTTTCCCAAATCAATTTTGAGATCATAGAATGCATGGTCTGTCATTGTCTCTCCAGAGCAGGACAATCTGACAAGTGGTCACCCAGCCTCTACCCAGTGGTGGCCCCCAAAGCAGCCTTGTTAGTTTAAAAAGAAAAAAAAAAAAAAACTCTTATTATTTGAAAGAGCCTTCTTTCCTTGAATTGACTTGCTTATTCTAACTTCCACCCACAGTTTCTGTTCCCCAGAACTGCCACAGGGAGGTTCTGACCCTGAATAAATGGCAACCTCTCAGATATCAAAAGGCTCACGTACTAAATCTTTCCTCCAAATCCCCAAGGCCTCTACGGCCTTTCTGTTACGATTGAATTTTAGCTGATTTAATATCTGTTCCTAAACAGTGACCAAACAATAATTCAGTTAAGCTTATATCCAACCAGAGGATCATTATGTAAATTTGAGTGAGGGTAGAGAGAGTGAAGGAAAATGAAATATTCTGCCTCATTTACCTTTAGAAACTTGTAACTTGACTTAAAAAAAAAAAAAAACTTTTAAACTGAATATATTGGTGTCAGAGAGATCTAGACCAGTATGTTTTTAAAAATTCCATGCCTAAGGTAATATTTCATCTGCTTTTCTAGCTTTATTCTCTTTTTTCTATCTTCTACTACTTTTTTAATAAGCTTAAAGTAGAAAGAATTAAAAGGCACCTATTTTCTTTACTCAGTTTCTTACACATACTTCAAGCTTCACATAGATGTTCGTTAGCATTAAAAATGTTCGGGGGTTTTTAAATGAACACATTTTCTCTTACTCTGCCATCTGCCAAACCAGTGCAGTTCCTATATGATTTATGTGAGATAACCCAGAAGAGTCAGAGACATAAATAAAAACTAAAAATCCATCAGTGGTAATTAGAATCTGTCTAATGACAATGGTGATGTTTGGAAGAATATATTATACATGTTCCTGTCTCAGGACTTTTTAATATCCTTCTCTTTTTTGCTGAAAATCTTTTCTCCCCCAGGTCCACATAGCTTACTTCCTTACCTGCTTCAAGTCTTTACTCAAATGTCACCTTTTCAGTGAGGCCTTGCAGAGCCAGACCCTATAAAATTGTGCTTCCCCCTTCCTCATGCCAACATACTTCTAACCACCAACATTTCCTGCCTTATTTTTCTCCATAACATCCATCATAATCTTACCTATGCTTTTTCTCATTATTATTTGTGAAATATATCATGTGTACAGGAGAGTGTACAAAATACATATGCACAGTTTAGAACAAACACCTGGGTAAGCAAACACCTGTCTAATCACCACCCAGGTTAAGAAATAAGAAGCTCCCTGGGTGTTCGGAAAGGTAACCACTGTTTCAACTTTTATGATAGTCATTCCCATATGTTTTCTTATTATTTTATCAATTATGTATATTTGTGAATAATAATACAGACTTTAGTCATTTATTCTAGTTAAAACAACAGACTAAGATATCTGGCACTCTTTGTATATAGATGAGTTCCTAGACCTATTCCAGAATACTCCAAAACTTATTCTCAGCCCAAGCAACTTGACTCTTCCTTCACCAGCTCTCTTAACTCTGTCTATTTCACCCCCAACCTTCCATCTCTTTCCAACCTTTCTTCCCTAGTTTGGCATACCACTACTAGATGTTTAGATTCTTCTCCAATTCTCTTAACAGGACAGTCTTCACTTTTGATATGAGTCAGAATCAACTGACCAAGGTAATCAAATTTTAATGAAAATAGGTAATTTCTTTCATTCCTGAAACAAATTTAAATAGTTATAGAGTTTCTGCTATTTGTTACCTATTCTAGTAACAGAAAACCTCATGCTTATCTGGACAGCCAAACTTTTTGTTCTCTGGTACAATCCTCAGAGTGACTTTGCTTTGCTTACAGTTATCCCATGTACAATTTCCATTTAGATTTATTCCAAAGATTTCAGCAAGCATACTGCTTCACAGATGATCTCACTTTGTTTTGATAATGTGCTCAATCATTTCATATACAATCAAAATGAGTAATCAGAGGTTATGCAAATGAAACTTTATCATCATTGGGACTGCTGCCTATTTGCAAGTATCCTTCATCCTCATCTAGTTGAAGTTAGCTATTATTCTATTCTACAGAATTTTCAGTGGAACAATGTCCACCTTTCTTTTGTACGCTACAGAGTCCAGAGAACTGTACTCATTTTCTTTTTATGTTGTTAGAACTAGATGTATCATTCAGCTATAATCTGAGTTCTACAATAGCTGTAATCACTGTGTCACTGGCCCCTGAAATGAATTCTTAGATTGGGCAATCACTACACTATCAACATATATTGGGTGTAGCATCTAAATCTTCTGTTGAGAATATTGCCGTTTTACTTATCTAAAACAGTATGCAGTAAGTGTAGCAGTATATATCTAAATTAACTTCTTTTGTAGCATTTTATCAGTGTTCTGCCTTTTCTCTACATTGGCTGCATTTTACCAGAAACAAAAGTTGTGGAGCAGTAAATTATCCATAGATAGTCTAGAAGCTCTTTTGATAAAGGATATTCAAAATGTTATATGAAAAAAATATAAGTTTTTCTTTAGTTTTTTCATTTATTAGCTTCAGCATTTTTCATTTATTTCTTCATTCAAAGAACAGGTTTTTAACTGATAGCTAAAATTATTATATCCTCTGCTCAATACGGTTAAGTTCAAATAGGCAAAAATATACACAGAACTCTACTTCTAAAAATATAACTGAAATATCTATTTTCAGTTTGAAAAAAAAATCATTCTTTCTAGAGGGTACCTAGCTTCAGTGGCAGACTGATCCAGTTCTTTGAGAGACATGTTATTGCCAGATATTTAGAATAAGTAGTATTTGGAAGAATACAAATATACAAATGATTTTTTCCATATAAGTAGTAAAACTTTAAGGAGATGCTTTAAAGAAGAGGCTTAAACATTTTTTCATCACTACCACAAAATAATAATTTCACCATTTTTAAGGGTTCGGCACTGAACTGATTATGAAAAGAAAGTCTTGTTGCAAGACTTCAATGAAAATAAAATATAGTATTTTTAATAATTGTATGGTTAGTCATTATCTGTGCCCTACTGATTTTTGGTCATAAGGTTATATTTGAAGAAATGTCTTCTTTTATATATTCAACTTCAACTCAATCATGTAATAAACTTATCTGGCATGTGAAGAATTTTATGTAGTCTCTCATCATAGAAAATGATGGTAGGTTGCCCATCTGGCAAAGGTTGTAAGTTCAGATATGCTGATGATTATTATCTGTGTTAAAGCAGCCTCAACACTTTCCAAAATATATTCATATAATAGTAGCTCATTATCTATATTAAACCACAATAAAGTTAATATTAATACCATGGATTTTATAAAATAACTTTGAACGAAGCTGAAAGCTTCATTTAGTTTAATAATAACGATGCTTGAGGACCACTTTGGTTTTAATAAAAACATGGAAAGTAGCAGATGAGAAAGAACCATAAAGATGCCAGTCGAATAGCTGTAATACCAATTAGTTGGCAATTGATTCATTCATCAAATATTTATTGACTACCCACTATATTTATGTACCATCACACCTTGGACCAATAGAAACTGAATTAAGTTTTAAAACTACGATGAATAAGGGTGCAAATGAGGAATGACTGATTGATAATCCCAATGAGTGTGGGATTTTTCTTTGTGGTGGGTGATGAAAATGTTCTATAATTACATGACAACAATGGTTGCACAATTCTGTGATTATACTAAAAATCAATGAACTATGTGCATCCACTCTAAACATGTTGATTTTATGGTATGTGAATTAAATCTCAGTACAGCTACTTAGAAAAACAAAGCTTTATTGATGGAAGACAACAATGTCATAATGATATTGATCATAAAGTTATTGGCTCTCAGCCAGTGTTGAACAAGTAGACAAGTGTGCATCAAACGGTTTATGAGACAATCCTAAAGAAGTCGGACTATTTGGATTTGGGATTAACATTTGCTCTACTTTGCATGCACAAGAAAACTCAGGCCTTGTGACACAGTATGCATGCCTGTTTTTAAACAATCACAAATTTACAAAAAAGTATTTACAAGTATATATAAAGAATTTTTTTCCTCATACCATTTCAGAGTAATTTGCCACCTGACACCCTTTTATCTCCTAATACTTTGATGTATATCTCCTAAAAAAGGAACATTTTCCACATAACCACAATGTAGCCATCAAAATGGAGAAATTAACACTGATGTACGACTACCACCTAATCCTGACTCCATTCAAGTTACAGCAATTTTTCCATTTACAGCAAAATTATAGCAAAAGAATCTAGTTTAGAATCATGCGTTGCATTTAGTTTCCTCAGTATACAACAGTTTCACAGTCTTTCCTTGACTTTCATGGGCTTGATAATTTTGAATAATTATTTTATAATGGATTTTAGAATGTCCCTCAATTTGGATTTGTTCAGTGTTTCCTCATGATTACATCCAGGTAATGTAATCTTTAGTGGTGATATTCACTTCAGCAAAAGTGATTCTATATTCTTTTCATTGCATCCTATTGGGATGTGCACAATGTCATCTTGTGCATTGCTGATGATGTTTGCTTTAATCATTTGCATAAGGTAGTGTTTTCTTCAATATAAAATTATTATTTTCCTTTGTACAATTAATAAGTTCTTTATGGGAAACACTATTAAACTATGTAAACCTCCCATTCCTTATCAAACTTTCAATTTAATATTTCCTTATTTATATGACACCTTCCTATTTTATTCACTGAATAATAATCTGTTACTATCATTATTTTGATGCTCAAATTGTCCCAGATCTGAGAGGCCCCTTTAAGATGGCTTCTGTGTCCTTTTGAAAAGTCTCTATATTCTTTGAGCATTTCTTTACTTTCTGGCACAAGATATTCCAGTCTCATCTTGTACTTTCTATGCCTCAGTGATTTCTCCAGAAAGTCCTGGTTTCTTTTAGTGGAAAATGGTATTTAGAAGCCACAATCTGACATTAGGTGTGCTCATTGCTATTGAGGTATTGCTGCTTCCAGGCCTCTCTGTAGACAGAGCTGGAAAACATAGCTATGTATATATACATTTACATGTATATTTATTTCTCTGTCTATATACTGAACACCATGAGTTTATATAAATGGCTAAAATTCTGATCCAGAATCCAAGGTTCATTTATCTGTTCCCATATTTATAACTCCTTTACCTAATTAGGTGATGAACCCGGTTTCCATTATCCTTAATGTATTGAGTCAAAAATAAAGCCTCCTTTTATGTGACCAGTCTCCTGGTCTCAGCTTTCCTCCCATCCCCAGTGCAGATTCCAGTCTCCCATGTATTAGTCCGTTCTCACACTGCTATAAAGACATACCTGAGACTGCGTAATTTATAAAGAAAAGAAGTTTAATTGGCTCATGGTTCTGTGTGCTATACAGGCTTCTGCTTCTGGGGAGACCTCAGGAAACTTACAATCATGGTGGAAGGCTAAGGGGAAGCAAGTGCATCATTACATGGCTGGCAGGAGAGGGAGAGAGACAGCAAAAGAGGAGGTGCTAAATGCTTTGAAACAACCAGATCTCTTGCAAACTCTATCATGAGACAGCACTAGAGGGATGGTGCGAAGTGCTAAACCACTGGAAACCACCCCCATGATCCAATCACCTCCCACCAGGCCCCACCTTCAACACTCGGGATCACAATTCAACGTGAGATTTGGGTGGGGACACAGAGCCAAACCATATCATCCCCCATTCAATCTCCAAAACCCATGCTGGGCTGGCTTCTGCCCCACACGGATCCCTCCTTATCCTGCTAATGCCCTTGTGCTGAGTGCCAGATCACTCCCACATCTAGCTTCCCTCCTCACTCTGCCTGGGCACCTGAACTCCAAATCCCTGTGCAGAGTTGTCCCCTGAATGCACACACATCTCACCTCACTCAGGCTTTGGATCCCCACATGGGCCACAACATGCTGCACTCTGCTGGCTCTCAGACACTTCATGCCAGGCTGCCTCTCTGTGGAGATGCCGTCATCACCCTGCTTGGGACAGCTTTAAAACAGGCAACTGCCATATGCGGTTGCCTTTTCCACCCCACTCATGTTCTGATGCCACGTCTGCCCTCCTTCACATGTACCTCCTCACCCCAATGGGGCTCTGATGCGTGTTCTGGCACACCATGGTTTCCCCTTCCCACCTAATCTGGACACCTACCTTGCTCTGCTGCCCCTAATGGCTTTAGGACTAAATTGTTGAAACAGGTAAGCAAAAGGAAGCAAAAGGGAAGGGGAAGGGGAAAAGCTCATGCAATATTTTAACTTAACACATCTTTCTCACCCACTGGACTGAAGTTCATGGCCGAAGGAACCACATTTTTTCCATCTTTTTATTCTCAGTTCTTAACAAAGTATCTGATTCATAGAGGTAGGTAGCAGTGCAATAAATGCTTGTTAAATTAACCTCATTCAAGTGGAAAGCTGAGAACTTAAGCAATTCCAGTCTTTGGCTCTTATCAGTGATCTCAGTCAAACCCTTTGAGCATTATTTTCGAAAGGAAAGTAAATCATAAGCAGTTTGGCCAGTTGTCCTCCAAAGAGGATCTTTCTGAAAAAATGTAACAAAATGAAGCCTTTTCATGGGGGCTAACCCTTCTATATACAATTTGCTAACAATATAAATTAAATCTATTGATTTATTTTGAAATCATAAACTTAAAAAGAGCAATGTTCATTAGATGTAGAGCTTTTATTCTTAATTAGTATCAAAAATCATTGATCAGAATTATGCCTTCTTTCTTCCATTTTCATAATATAGGCAAGTGAATTAGTTTCCATATAGTTTCAACCTTATAGCTCCTCCAAGAAATGTAATAAACAAAAAGATAATTAAATGATATTTGGACTGAAGCATTACATAGGAATAACAAACATAAAGGCTTTATTCTAAAATATAGGGACCTTGACTTTTAGTTCCTGTTAATGGCAGGAACAAGCTTTTATTTGTGTCTTTTCTGGGAAGTTTGTTCATTTATTCAAAATGTAGTTATTAGACAACTCAGGCCAGCAACATAATTTGTGGGGCCCAGTACAAAATGAAAATGCAGGGCCTCTTGTTCAAAAAGTAGGAAAAATAGGCCTTTAAAAGTCCTAAAATATGACACCTTTTCCTTTCTTCCGTGGTCTCTCTCCTGGCCTTTCGAATAGTGTTTTTTAATTTGCAATTTAATTTTACACTCAGGCACTGGGATACTCACCAAGCAGGTATCAACTTTTATAGGCACCTGAAGGCTCACCTGGGGCAGAAGGAAGGGCTGGGGTGCAGGCATCCACAGCCCACCAACTGCAAGGCTTCTTCTGCCAATTTTTGGACTGACACTGGGGATATTAGAATGAACAAAACAGACAAAAAGTCCCTGCATCATGGAATGTACATGTCAGCAGAAGACTCAGTTAAAAAAAAAATTGTATGTGTGCACGTGTGTGTAGTATCTGTTAGGTAGTGATAAACCCTTTGACAATCAATAAACAAAGCAGGAAAGTGGGGTTTGGAGTACTCAGTGTAGTGGATAGAAATGGGCTCCAATTTGAAGTAGGTTAGGAAAGCCTTCACTAAGAAGATGACATTCAAGCAAAGATCTGGGAGAAGTACAGGAGCCAGCCATAGGGCTATCTGGGCTGAGATGTTGCAGGCAGTGGCAGGAGCAAATGCAAATTCTTCTCAGTCAATGTTGCAAATACTTCAGTGAGACAGTCTAATTTTCTCAGAGACCTTTTTTTTTCTTTTTTTGAGACGGAGTCTCGCTCTGTTGCCCAGGCTGCAGTGCAGTGGCACGATCTCCGCTCACTGCAAGCTCTGCCTCCCGGGTTCACGCCATTCTCCTGCCTCAGCCTCCTGAGTAGCTGGGTCTACAGGCACCTGCCACCACGCCCGGCTAATTTTTTGTATTTTTCGTAGAGACGGGGTTTCACCGTGTTAGCCAGGATGGTCTCGATCTCCTGACCTTGTGATCCGCCCACCTCGGCCTCCCCAAGTGCTGGGATTACAGGCAGGAGCCACCGCGCCCAGCCTCTCAGAGACTTCTTTTTACTCCACACCCCACCTACCTTTCCCCACATCACTAATCTTGTTTCTGGAATTTGTTCCACCTTCTCTTTTCCAAATTTAGTTAGCCTAGGTGAGATTCCTGCTCTCTCACCTGTTACAGGAGGCTTCTAACTTCCTGCCTCAAAGCTCTCTGCTCCCCATACCACTGCCTGTTGCCCTCAGCACTGCTGGAGCTCAAGTCTCAAACATAACTGACTGTGTGTTCTTACTCAGAAGACCCATTGTGTGGCTTTCATGCACCATACCAAAATGCAGAAGTATGGGACCCTATGTTATGTTCAGAAATGCCATAAAATGATCTGCCCCATATGCTGACTAAACTGGTTTTGTCCTGTTACAGACCATCACCTGCTCATCTACACCTCCATGCCTTTGCTCATCCTGGAGGATATTTGTTCAGTCTCAGAACTTGAGGGCTAACTTTTCATTCCAATTTCAACTCCAATGGAGTTCTTCTTGAAATGTTTCTTGATCTCTCCAATTAGAATAAACTACTTACTTGGTTTCAGTTTTACTTAAATATCTCTCTGTCCACCAAGTAATGAGGTTGCTTTTTTTTTCTTTTTTTTCTTTTTTCTTTTTTTTTTTTTTGAGTCGGAGCCTCGCTCTGTTGACCAAGCTGGAGTGCAGTGGCGCGATCTCAGCTCACCACAACCTCCGCTTCCTGGGCTCAAGTGATTCTCCTGCCTCAGCCTCCCCAGTAGCTGGGACGACAGGCACGTGCCACCATGCCTGGCTAATTTTTTAATTTTTAGCAGAGATGGGATTTCACTATGTTGGCCGGGCTGGTCTTGAACTCCTGACCTCGTGTTCCGCCCACCTCAGCCTTCCAAAGTACTGGGATTACAGGCGTGAGACACCAGTAATAAGCTTTCTTTACGTCGGAGATCCTGTCTTATTTATCTTTACATTTATAATACCTGTCTCTTTGCTTTGCACACAATATGGACTTAATACATGCTTGTTGAATTTAACGTTATTAATGCAACTCATATTATTAATTGTAATGGTAGTAAATTCTACAATAACACACCTGGCAATAATGCAAATTAGAATAGCTTGAATTGAAACATGGAATGATTGGAAAGCAGCTTTTTCTCCTCTACCTGATTCCTTTTCTCAGGAAGGAGAAGGGAACATAGAGGCCTCTCCCTCATGGGGATGCTGGACAGGGAAAAATCAGACAATCCTATTTCAGGAAACAGAGAGGTGGGGGTTAGTTCCCAGTATTCTCCCAGCCCATTCTCTCTGGATCAGGCCAACAAAACATTCACCAATTAACGAAGAGATTCCTGGAATCACAGTTGCTCTCCCAGAAGTCCCAGCCAGGCCCCAGAATTCTGCCCATCAATTTTTATGTTAGAGCAGTCACCACTAGGTGGTGCCGAACTTCAGCCCAGGGTAGGTGAAATTTGCATCAAATAGACTCAGAACTTCCAGATGTCCAGTTGCACAGGCTCACCTTGGCCATTTAGCTAATCTCATAATAACACAACCCTACATTTTACACAGCTGAATTTCTGGGGCACTACTTATTGCATTATGGCAGTTTTGTTGTATCATTTTCTAAAAATCTTTCAATATCAGATACTCTGCCAGCCACTTTACAGGCTTTATCTCTAATGCTCACAGTAACCTGTATGGTAATGGGTACTGATACTTTTCTTCTTTTAGTAAAGAATCTGAGCTGGGCATGGTGGCTCGCACCTATAATCCCAGCACTTTGGGAGGCCGAGGCGGGTGGATCACCCGAGGTCAGGAGTTCAAGACCAGCCTGACCAACATGGAGAAACCCTGTCTCTACTAAAAATACAAAATTAGCTGGACGTGGTGGTGCGTGCCTGTAATCCCATCTACTCAGGAAGCTGAGGCAGGAGAATCGCTTGAACCCCACGAGATGGAGGTTGAAGTTGCCAAGATGGCTCCATTGCACTCCAGACTGGGCAACAAGAGCAAAACTCCATCTCAAAAAAAAAAAAAAGAAGAAGAATCTGATGCTAAGAAAAGAAATGTCTCTTGCCCAAGAGCTGTGCCTTGTACAGCTAAGTGACAGGTGACAGACCTAAGAATTACATTCAAGCCTGTCTCACTCTAATGCCATACTTGTCATATTTCTGCTATACTTCAATTTAATGATCAAAGAAAGGAAGGAAAGAGACAGTGGAGAAGAAAAGTAGGGAAAGAAACAGAAAGAGAAGGGGAGAAAGATATGTTTGACAGAAAAGTAAATGAAGTATGTTACCATCTGTTTTTTTCAACCCCAGAGGTCTGATTCCCCCGCAGGAAAGAGTTGCTTCTAGCCTGTCCTTTATCTCTGCACCTGCCCTGCTTATCTCCTGCACCAGAGGCTCCTACCATGACCATTAATGGACTGAGTTTTTGTGTCCCTACGAAATGCATAGCTTGAAGCCCTAACCCCCAATGTGATGGTATTAAGAAGTGGGGCTTCAGGAAGGTAATTAGGTTTAGATGAGGTCATGAGGGTGAGTTTTCTCTCTCTCTTTCTGTCATGTGAGGACACAGCAAGAAGGCAGCCATCTGCAAGCCAGGAGGAGAGTCATCACCAGAACCTAGCCACACAGGTTCCCTGATCTAGGACTTCCCAGCCTCCGGAACTACAAGAAATAAATGTCTGTTGGTTAAGCCACCCCAGTCTATGACACTGTGTTGTAGCAGTCAGAGCAGGTGAAAACTGTAACTTGTTATTCTCTAAGGAAAATACAGGTCTTCTTCTCAGGCCTGTCTTCAGAAACAGGTTCACATCCCCATCTTCCAGTCATTGAACTAAATGGAAAAGTTTTTGTCTTCCTAGTCATTGTCTGCACCTAAACACAGGCTTGCCCATCTGTAGTCCTAGTCTGTTCCTTTTCTTTGGTGAGGATAACCCTTCCTGTCTTGCTTTAACACCCTGTATTTTCCGTTCATTAGTGACTCAGACCTCTGATAATGGTATACTAGTTAACCCCCTGTCTCGTCTGACTTTAAATGATTGCCTGTTTTGACCTTGAGGAAATATGAGTCCACTAGGAACTACAATCTTTATGGCCACTTGAAAATCTTTATTCCACTTAAGGTGGAATAGGGTACCTTGCCACAGAGGAAACAAGTAAGGAGAGAAAGAGAGTAAAGATCAGTGAGAGGAAGAGAAAACTAAAACTACTAGTATAAAAAGTTCTGAAATTTCAGCAAATTATTTTGCTTCCAACTGTACTTAACCATTCTGCCCTTTATTTGCAATAAAAATATTGGGGTATTATTATCTTTGAAATGCAGATTATGTGGTTAACCATTGTTCACTTTCTAAACCCTGTAAGTATTTAACTTGTGGATGGGGAATATTGTTTGGGACTGTATTGGTTGCAAACCAAAATGATCTACACTCACACAGCTTAGTGTCAACATTAACATGACTTTACTTTTTAGCTGTCTTTGTTAACATGACTTTACTGTCCTACTGTCTTCATCAACATGATTTTACTATTCCAAGAAACTCTTGCCTTGGAAGATAAAAATAGCAAATGATTTTCTTGTCCCTTTCAGAAACTTTTTGAAAATTCATTTAAAGGAATATTAAATAATTCAACTTTCACAGTTAGCATCAGATGAATGTTTATGCTCCAAAATTCATTGTGAAACCTTCAGCTTGTGTGTCTTCCAAACTTAAATTATTATGTAGTGTCTTAACCAATGTTAAGACATTAGTGTCAGCATTACTGACACACAATCAAATGCTCCCCTATGGAAAAACTTGCCTTAAAAAAAAAAGAAACACACACACACACACACACACACAAAACAAAAAAAAACAGAATTTCTACCTTCCGCCCCCCACCACCACACACACACACCTAAATTCTCTTAAATATCCCGACTTTGCCTTCCTCCTCCCAGAGACTACTAAGGCCATGTCAAGGAAGCTGTCTCCCCTATGGTGGTAAACAATGAACTCAGCTCTGTCATATGACAGGCTATAAAAAGCTGATTTTGTTGATATTCTGGGAAAGCTACCATTCAGCAGGCAAGTGATTGAAGCCATTTCCTCTCAAACTTATGAAAGTAAACTAAAGGTCTGATTCTGCCCAGGGAGGAAGTTTCTCCACTCTATCATATAGAATCCATATGTCCATCATACTTTTATTTGAAAAGAAGGGATGCTAACTCTCAGAAGCATGTCATAGTAAGCACAGAAGTGGAAAAAAAGAATTGATCATTTTTGTGAGGGAAAACTTAATGAAAAAATTACAAAATCATTATAAATACAATTCATTTGAAGTTATGTTTTGAGATTACATTATTTTCTCTCTGGCATTTAGACACCTAAAATTCACTTTAAAATATGTTGGTGAACAAATCTCATTCTCCAGAAGTACATTTTTAAAATGGCAATATTTCATAATAACAGTATAAAATGAAAATAATTGACTATCTCTTGCCTTGTGGGACTTGGCTTTTAGTCTAAATAGATATGAAACAAAATGACATTCATCTATATGAGACGTTTGTTAACTTAAAAGAAATTAAGTCAGAAGCCTATAAGGCTAATCCATAAATCAGCAAATCAGATAAATTAGTAAAACTTTTCCAGAATATTATCCAGGGGCTCCTTACTCCTTTGCAATTTGTTACCTGTTTTACATGTCCTTTTAGGAAGGGTTCATTTCCCATTGACAGGCAAAAAGAATATATGAAATTAGAATTTTCAACAGCTTGCAACATTTGTGTCATTTTTGATTTAACAATTTTAGAAGACTTGTTCCAAAATTACACCTGAATTTCATTTTCTTTGTAGTTTTCTAAAATGCTGCTACTATCAGGACATAATAAAAGCCACACAGCCAGTACTAGAAATGCTGTCATGTAACCACTAAGACCACACTAAAAGGCAAAATGCTGCAGCTGAAAGTATTTTTAATGACTTGAAATTGCTTGGAATGCTTTCTAGAAGTAAAAGGGTGCAGATTTATTTACCTAGTATACTTACCTAAATTAATTTGGCAAGATTATTTTGGTTCAAATCCTCATTCAATAAAATTTATGTTAATATTTTTAAGTGGTTTTTTTCCTGAAGGATATAATATATTGCATTAACACAAATTTACAACAGTCATGAAAGTAAAAGGTAAATTAAGCCATTTCTGAAATATGAATAAGGACTACATTTTTAAATAGACTACATTTATGATTTTATGTGACCTTGCAGATAAACATCACTATGTAAACTGTTAATGAGAACAAATAGAATCACATTCTATTTTTAGTTTTTCCTGATGTATAGTTTCCATTAGAGATATGGAGGAAACTTTATTCTTGCATAATTTTTGTTTTAGAAGTTTGGGTTTTTTTGTGTTTTTTTTTTAACATTTTAAGCAAATGGGCTTTTTATATATCTTTTTGATTCGGTACATTCCTTACTACAGAATGAATCCTAGTGAAATTCTCACTATAGGCCATTTTTCCATGTTTTTTTCTTTTATGGAAATTTTAACCATGGTTACTAACATATAAATAAACTCTTTTAACTGCAAAGTCAGAATGGGTATACTTTGTTATGAACATATTAACTTATTCCAGTTTCATGTCTTGTGTTTTTCTGCACTCATTAACATCTCCTTGGTACTTGGGATCATGGCCTGGCCAATACGCATAAAGATGACGAGATATCTATGGACTACAGTACATCTGTTTAATAATTAGTAATTGTTATGCATTGTAAATGAACGATTTTGACTCATACCACTGACATTTAATTAGTTTTTACTATATTCCAGGTACATATGAGAATGTCACATAATTATCTTCTTTAATTTTTACAGTAACTGTTATCATTACTTCAGAAAGGAACAAAACTCCATTTAGAGAGGTTAAATAGAAGGTCCAAAACATGTAGCAAGTAAAAAGTATCCAGAACTTAGATCCAGGTTTGTATACTACTCCCTAATTGGGGCTCTTAACTACTTTGATGCATTGCCTTTTAAACTTACTTTCTTGATTATCTATTTGACTAACATCTCCCCAGGACACACAAAATACTTGAATTCATGCTATTATGGCCTGAATGTTTGTGTCCCTTTACAGTGTATATGTTGAAATCCTAACCCTCAATGTGATGGCATTAGGAATCAGGGCCTCTGGGAGGTGGTTAGGTCATGAGGTTGGGGCCCTCATAAATGGCATTAGTGCCCTTACTAATAGAGACAGAGACCTGGCTCCTGCTCTTTGCTCTTTGCCACGTGAGGGTACAATGAGAAGACAGCCATGTGCAAAGTAGGATGAGTGCCCTTGCAAGACACTGAACCTACTGGTGCCTTGATCTTGGTCTCTTCAGCCTCTAAAACTGTGAAAAATAAACGTTTGTTGTTTAAGCCGCCCAGTTTATGCTAAATTGTTATGATAGCCTGAACTGACGGAGACACATGCGTACCACAAACAACAAAGGCTCAAGGATCCTTAAAATAAAAACCAAGACTTTCAGTGGGTTGTAACATCACGTAGTGGAGGTAGGTTTCCTCTCCTCTATACCTCTCCCAAGTAGGAAACATATTAAGATCACAGGGGAGTTAATTGGAACTATTATTTCATATGTAAAGAATGTATTCTTTATAACTTCTTGGGAATATATCTTAATTTCTTTTAAAGAAGATTAGTCTAAGTTATAGTTTAGTCTATAGTTTTGTAGGTTAGTCTAACAACATTTTCGTTAAGTCTAAAGAATAATTTGCAAACTATGTGTATGTGCTACATTTGTGTATTGAGTGGGTGAAGATCGAGTTCAGCACAGCATGCCTCTTAGGTAAATATGTAAAATTCTAGGAGTTATTTTTCAAGGGGTACAATTCTACACCCAAACATTCCCCTCCTAATTCTACCTCCTAATCGTAGAAGAAGCAGCCCCTTGGTTATTTAGCCCAAGAATCCAATGTGACTTATCTGTAATCCTATTAGTCCATTCTATTCCCTTGATATTGGGAAGTTTTGCCTGTCCCAAAAGAGGCCATTCGGAGGTTATTCTTGGATGATTCACTCACTTGTGAAAGCAAATTGTGTTGGCTTCAAGATGCTGCATTTTTTTGTAAACAATGCCATGACTTTTACATTTCTTTACATCTTGGAGCTACCCACTTCTGCAGGTCCATTCTCTCTCTGTCACCATTTAAAATTATGTAAGGTAAGTTTTCATAAACCCGTAAAATAATGGTTACATAAATTGGAACTTCCTACCACTCATATCTTAGTTGTATTAAATCAAACATTTACTACTATTTCCATCTGTTTCACTCCATGACAGCATCACCTACTTGACTCTGTTATACTAAGAGTTCAGTGAGAAGAGCATCAGGGAGCTTAGTTCTATGTAGTATCACAGAACCAAAAAGCACCTTAAACTTGTCAGGGTTCTGTTTCTTCAGCTGTAGAAGAAACCAGGGTTAGGGTTGGGGGTTATGGGGAAGATAATACAAGTACAGGTAGGCAGCCTGTGTGACTAAAAGTTGTATCTGGTATGTTTGTCACTTAGGGACTTTTATGGACCTAGATTCTAAAAATCATCCCAATAATAACCTTAAATCATGTCAGAAAACTCTACAATGGAATAGATTTTTGCATTCAGAAATTACGTGCATTTTCCCCAGCATGGTATCCACTTACCTAACACTTTATGCTACATAAAACGATAAATTATCTAGTGTGATCTAAAGCCATCAGAAACATTTAAAAGTTTTATAGTACAGTATTTTAAAGTTTACTAACCATTATATAAAATTAATAAGATAGTTTATACAGTCTCTTGCTTTATTGATTGTGGGTAATAACCTGTAGATGGGAATATAGTGGAATAATGTGCCTAACTGCCTTTAAAAGAACTTACTTAAACTTCAGTAATTTATTTCTGTGTTTCTTGGATTCCTTTTACTTCTGAAGTCTTAGTGAGGAACGGTCAGATATTGAGTTGCTGTATTCACTAAATATTTTGTGGAGAATTTCTTTAAGGAAAGATGTGGATTTTAATGCATAAATTTTTTAGACAGACTATTGAAGTTGAAATTTCATTTCAAGAGGCAGTCAGCTTTGTTTAACTCTATATTTTTAGTATCCAAAGTTACTGAGCCAGACTTTGCTTTAATTAATTACTATAGGATGTGAGGCAGTTCCAGTGCTGCTTTTTCTATTAACTTGCAATTTCCTGTAGGAAATTAATAAAATGAAAGAGGGGGTGGCCGGCAAGAATAAATATATGCTACAGTTGCAAGTCACTAAAATTCATCAGAATAAATTAAACTGCACAGGTTTCCTTTTTTTATAATTCTATAAAGCTTCTCAATTCTTAAGGCAAATTTGACAAAGAAACAGGGCCATCTAAAAATGATCAACTTTCATATAATATACATTAATTAATTGATTAGAATATGAAATTTGTCAGATCAGTGTTGTTTAATGGTTAAGAAGGTAAATTCTAGAAACAGACTGCCTGAGTTTAAAATCTGGCTCTGCCATTACTAGCATGAGACTTTGAACAATTTACTTAACCTGCTGTACCTCTTTATGTTTAAGATGCAAATTATAATAACACTTATAGGGTTCGTATGAGGATTAAATTAGTTAATATGCATAGTACCTGGTATATACAAAGTACTACACAGGCATTAACAGCAATTAGCATCTGTTTTTTCATCAGTATTAACATTTAAGAAAAATCATCTTACTTTAGCTATCCCTTTCTGCAACCTCTGGAGTCAAATCTTAAGGTGACAAATTTAAGTTTTTAAAATATTTGCAAATTTTGCTTTGTTTTTCTGAGTCCTTTTTAAGTGAGTTACCAGGAACTCCAATGAATGCATGTCGTTGTACTCAGGTACTTTTTTTTTTTTTTTTCTTTGAGATGGAGTCTCGCTCTGTTGCCCAGGCTGGAGTGCAGTGGTGTAGTGGCATGATCTCAGCTCACTGCAAACTCTGCCTTCTGGGTTCAAGTGATTCTCATACCTCAGCCTCCCGAGTAGCTGGGATTACAAGCGTGTGTCACCACACCTGGCTAATTTTTGTAATTGTAGCAGAGACGGATCTTCATCATGTTGGCCAGGCTGTTCTCAAACTCCTGGCCTCAAGCAGTCCATCTGCCTCAGCCCCTAAAGTGCTGGGATTATAGGTGTGAGCAATTTCACTTGGCCTACTCAATATACTTTTAAGTGAATACTATGGGTACCAAATTCAAGTGTCTGATAATTTTACCCCATGAGTAAAAGGATTTCTCTTGCTGAGATTTCAGAAATTGTTGAGAAAATATTTGGAAGAATGTTAGCAATTGACCAGGATATAAAAAGAAACACAGAAATTACTCGCATTTAGATCTGCACCTCAACCACATTGAAAGGGTGGCAGGATTTTCAGAATGTGGTTGCCTTTTCATTGTCATGCTTATGTTCATTCTACAATCAATATGTATTGCCACTGAAATAAAGATATAATACAAGATAGAATTAAGGCCTACTGCTTTGACTCTATTGTTTATCTAGTTAATAGCGTTAACAAATTTTAGTTCTAGCTTCCTTTGAACTGCATGTAAATGCTGCCTAGTCAATGACATACCTGAAATAGCTTCTTGTTCTTTATTATGTGTTTATGTGCTCATCTGAGCGTGTCTTGTTACTAGGACTGCCTTATAAAAGTCGGTTTTAATTTCCCGAGTTAATTAAAGGTTTCTCTTACAATTACAGCCTCCCTAGTTTTCAGGGGTTTGTTCTTTTTGTGTGTATGTGAAGTGGGGAAGAAGGTAGTTGGAAGAGTACTACCTTTTATCATTCCATCTTATATGATTTATCTTCGCTGTGTGTATTATTCACCTATTATTTTTCATTAAGTAACAATAAGTGATTGAAACAAATGTTAATAAAATGATTAAAATATATTTAGTAACAAATTTATCTGTTTTTCCCCCTTTCTAGTACTGGTTTAAGTGGACTGGAGTGAGAAAGACATTATTCGAAAGATGTTGCAAATTTATCGTGTTTTCATGTTGGAAATGACATAAATGACTTTGTCCAAATGATGTCTTTTTCAGTGTAGAATACTTAAACCAGTGCTAGGAAGAAAGTTTTTTATTGTAAGAAAGTAGATTTCTTTTTATTATAAGTAAATAAAATATCCTGATTATGGATATTTCATAATTCGTTCATTCATCAGTTTATGGACTTTTGGCTTGTTTCTAGTTTGGAGCTATTATGAATAAAAGCTGCTATGAGCATGTGTTTATAGGTCTTCTTGTAGACACATGATTTCATTTCTCTTACGTAAAAGTCCAGGAATAGTACTGCTAGATTGTATGGCTAGGTATATGTGCAACTTTATGAGAAACTGCCAAACTGTTCTCAAAGGGGCGGCACCGCTATGCATTCCCACTAGCAATGTGCAAAATTTTCAGTTGCTCCACACACCATTAATTCTTGAACTAGTCAGCATTTTTAATGTTAGTCATTCTATTGGGTACCTTATGGTGATTTGTTTTTCCATTTCCCTCATGACTTCCGAGGTTGAGCATCTTTTCATTTGCTTATTGACCACTGATATAACTTTGGCGATGTGTCTGTTAATTTTAATGATGTTCAGTTTATTGACTTTTTCTCCTTTTATGAATCATGCTTTGATGTCAAACTGAATAATTTTTTGCCTAACTCAAGGTAACAAGGATTTTCTTATGCTTCCTTCTAGGAGTTTTATTGCTTTTATTATTATATTTAGGTCTGTATTGTATTTTGGCACATGTTTTGTTTGTTTGTTTTTCTTAATGTTGTATGTGATAAGGGCTGAAGGTTTTTTTCATAAGAATACCGAATTGTTCCAGCATTTATTTTGCCACCATTGGATTACCTTAACCACTTTGTTGCAAATCAATCAACTATATATGTATGATTCTATTTGTTGACTTCATTCTGTTTCATTGATAAATAGGTCTATCCTAACACCAATCCCACAATGTCTTGGTTATTGTGACTATATTAGGTCTTAAAGTAGTGTGAAGCCTCCAATTTGTACTTCTTTTCCAAATTTGTTTTGGCTATTCTAGATCCTCTGCATTTCCCGTATAAATTTTAGAATCAACTTTTTCAATTTATCAAAAAAATCAGATTATGAATGAGATTGGGTTGAATCTATGGACCAATATAGGGGGAATTGA
The DNA here is from genome assembly GCF_000001405.40 of Homo sapiens. Taxonomy (NCBI): domain Eukaryota; kingdom Metazoa; phylum Chordata; class Mammalia; order Primates; family Hominidae; genus Homo; species Homo sapiens. The sequence goes on from NC_000010.11 coordinate 115,809,418, forward strand.
TATCTGAAGTCTTGTGTCTCTTCTAAGCTACAAGTTAAATAATATTACCTCTTTTATTTAGGTTTTCTTTAACTTCTGTCAGTAATGGATTTTTAGTGAAATATTTTAATAAATTTGTACCTAAATTTTTGATACTACTATAAATGGTAGCTTTTTTCATTTTGATTTCCAATTGTTTGTTACCATTGAATACTGAAATGCAATTAATTTTTGTGGATTTATATTTTTATCTTGTGACATTGCAACACTCAAGTTATTAATTGTAGTAGCTTTTTTGTAGATTCCTTAGGGTTTCCTATGAAACAATATTGTCATCTTCAAATAAACACAATTTTAGTTCTTCCTTTTTCATCTGTATGCCTATTATTTCTTTTACTTGCCTTGTTGCACTGGCTAGGTTGTCTAGTACACTGTGGAATTGAAACGATTCAAACAAATACCCCTACATTATTTCATATATTAGGGGGAAACATTCAGTCTTTTACCATTAAGTATGATGTTAACTTCAGGTTTTGTAAGATGGTCTTTATCAGAGTTTAGGAAATTTTCTATTCTTAGTTTGCTGAGAAATTTTTTTTAGGAATGGATATTGACTTTTAACAATATTTTTCTTATTTTTTGAGAAAATCTTGTGGATTTTACTTAGTATAGTTTGTTATTATGGTAAATTAAATTGATTTGTTTTTCCAATGTCAAATTGACATTGCCTTTTTAGGATTAAGCTCACTTGTCATGACATATGTTTTTTGTGCATGGCTAGATTCAATTTGCCAATTTGTAAAAGGATTTTTACTGAGATGTTGATAAAGTATACTAGTCAGTAATTTTTATTACTTGCCATGTCTTTTGCAACTTTAATATCAGAATAATGCTGGTTTCATGAAATGACTGGGGACATGTTTCCTCCTCATCTGTTTTCTGGAGAGTTTGCATAGAATTGATATTATGTCGTCCTCAAATGTATTTGATAGAAATTGCCCACTGAAGCTGCCTAGTCCTTGGGGTTTTCTGTGGAATAGTTTTAATGACAAATTCTTTTATTTTTCCATAAAAGAACTTGATGGTTTTTATTTGACCTACTAACCTTCGGCCAGGGTAATTTTGACAGTGTCTGTAAGATAATAAAGTGGCAATTATAGTAGTAAGTTTGATTTAAAACACCTTTAACATAAAAAAGAATACTTGTTAATTCTTGGAAGTAAAACCACAAGTGTTTATACATGTGAATATATATAATATTCTTTAATAAATTCTATATCTTTAGTAGATATATGGCTGTTCAAGTTATATAGTTCTTGAGTGAGTTTTGGTATTTTTAGATTTTCCAGGAATTTATTATTTTATCTAAGTTGTCAAATTTATTGGCAGTCTCTTATCTTCTAAATATTCCCTTATTATTTTTTAAAATGTCTGTAGGAACTATAGTGATGTCTTCTCTTTCATTCTTGATATATGTTGTTTCTTTTTCTTGGTCTGTCTGGCTAGAGATTTATCATATTTATTGATATTGTCTGAGAAATAGCTTTTGGGCTTTATGGATTTTTTCCTTTGTTTTTCTATTTTGCATGTTATTGATATTTGTATCTTTATTATTTCCTTCTCTCTCTTTAGGTTTAATTTACTATTCGTTAGTGTCCTAGGAGGGAAGCTTGGAACATTGATTAGAGACATTTTTTCTTTCTTAGTATAAGCATTTAATGCTATAAATTTCCCTTCAAGCATCCTTTAGCTGCATTGCACAAATTTTGACTTGTTATATTTTCATTTTTATTCAATTCACAACTTTTTTCAATTTTCCTTGTGACTATTTCTTTGATCTTTGGCTTATTTAGAAGTGTGTTGTTTCTAAATGTGTCACAATTTTCCAGATTTTTAAATTTATTTTTAGTTTATTTCTATTTTGGTCAGAGAATATTACTCTATGGTTTTTATCTTTTTTAATTTGTTAAGGTTTGTTTTATGGCTGAGAGTATGGTCTGTATGGTGAAGGATTCATTTAGATTTGAATTGAAGGTGTATTCTGCTCTTGTATGGAGTTCTTGAATTGTCAGTTAGATTAGTTTCATTGATAATGCCATTATGTGTTCCACATACTTAGTTCTATATTCTTACTGATTCTTCCTCAGAGAGGAGTGTTAAAAATCTCCAACTATAATTGTAGTCTTATTTATTTCTTCTGTATATTCTATCAGTTTTTGCTTCATGTATTTTGAAGCTCTGTTATCTTTAAGCACATACACATTCAGCTGTCTACTATTAGCTAGAAGCTGATAGGTCTTCTTGATTAATTGACTTCTTTATTATTATATAATGTTATACATTTTCCTGGTACTATTCCTTGATCTGAAGTCGTCTCTTTGTGCCTTTAATATAGCCACTCCAGCTTTCTTTCTTTAATTAAACATTTTTAGATTTCTTTTTTATTATACAGGTAAGAAACATTTAATTATAAAAATATGTGAAAATTTGAAAATACTGATAGTCAAAAATAGGAAGGTAAAATCAGCTGTAAGCTCACTACCCAAAAGTAATCACTGTTAACAACTTTGTGTATATACCTATTTTTAAAAGTTTTATTTTTATGGTAAAATACACATGACATAAAATTTACTATCTTCATTCTTTTTTAGTATACAGTTCAGTGGTATTAAATACATTCATAATGTTGCACATCCATCACTCCAGCTTTCTTTTGTGTTTGCATGAAATTTCTCTACCTTTTTATTTTTAATCTGTGTTATATATTTATATTTAAAAATAGGTTTCGTATGGGCAACTATAGTTGGCTTTTACTTTTGTATCCAAAATGACAATCTCTACCTTTTAATTCATCTATTTAGACCATTTGCATTTAGTGTAATTATCAGTATGGTTGGGATAAAATCTATTATATTATTATTTGTTTACAAGGTTCTTGTTTGGATCTTGTTGTCCTATCCCTGTAGTCTCATACATATTTCACACTTCTTTTCTTCTACTCTACATGTAGCCTTCATAAGCTTATTCTAATACCTTCAAAGGGCCAATTTTTTATACCCCACTGATATTTTTACAAGCTATTCTCTGCCTACTTAAGCAGACGGAGTTTTGTTCTTGTTGCCCAAGCTGGAGTGCAATGGCACGATCTCGGCTCACTGCAGTCTCTGCCTCCTGGGTTCAAGCAATTCTCCTGCCTCAGCCTCCCAAGCAGCTGGGATTACAGGTGCACACCACCACACCCAGCTAATTTTTTGCATTTTTAGTAGAAACGGGGTTTCACCATGCTAGCCAGGCTGCCTCAAACTCCTGACCTCTGTTGATCCACCCACCTCGACCTCCCAAAGTGCTGGGATTAGGGGCATGAACCACCGTGCCTGGCCTTTCCCCTTTTTCTCAACCACACTTAACAAATTATTGCTCATCCTTCAGATCTCAGTAAAATTGTATTCCTCTAAGAAGCTTTTCTTATATTTCAAGTCTAGAGTAGGTGCCTTTCCCTACTTTCGCTTCACTGTCCCTAGAATTAATAGAATTAATATCAATATTAATTATTTAATTTAAACTGTGAATGGAAGAAAGTATGCTAGAGAGTGAATATGGATGTCTTCTCTTCCTTTATAAAAGGAGAATTCCCTAGCCAGATTGCCATGACAGCAATCCATTCTTTCACACTGTTAGAATGTCATTTTGAAGTGCCTCTGTGGGGTTCTTTTGCCCACCCTGCCTGGGATCATCTAAATGACGAGTTAATAGGTACAGCACAACAACATGGCACATGTATACATATGTAACAAACCTGCACGTTGTGCACATGTAACCTAAAACTTAAAGTATAATAATAATTAAATTAAATTAAATTTTTAAAAAATGAGAGAGGTCCCTGACATCCCTGCAGGGATATGGGTTATTATGTATAGTCTGTCCAACTATAATGTTGCATTTTTGTTTCATTGTTTCTTAGAGATTAATACCCCAAAGAGGGGTCTATTTCCTGTAATTTCTGTATTTATCAAGCTGAAAAAGCATGTCCATAAGTTTAGAAAACTGAAGCTGAGATGATGAAAATACTGTGCTGTTGTTTTTCACTAATAGTTGCCTGATTATATCACTGAAAGAATATCAAAAACTGATTTTATGCTATTGCAGTAAGATAGCTGCTGGTTGTACTTGGTATCCTTATGAAACAACATTCTTTTGGCATTAGATTATCACTAACATTTAAATAACCTTCTCTAAATTAATTTTTAAAATTTCCACAACAAAGTGCATCACCATTAAAACATCACGTTAGTGGCAATTATAAAATGGTATTAAATAATAGAATAGATGCCTGAATAATAATATGTAGTTTTTTAAAATCCTTAAAAGATAAACTACAGTAATGGGTATTGATGAAAAATGTGGTTGGTCTATTTATAGAAAAGCTAACTATAGCAGACATTTTTAAATAATATTTTTTATTTCTCCTTTAATTAAGTTTGTTCAGACATTCATAGATCATCTTGTACCTACAAAAAGATATTATTTGACAACCAAGTACACTCTGAAAAGAAGAACTTTATAAGTTATCTTTTTTAATTTTCCTTCATTGACATAATGACAGTGAATCTCATTATGTTGGTGCTAAGAATCTACCATTGTGTTTTGTTTTATGGAAAGAAAATTTAAATTATGTCGTGTTTAAAAAATGAGTAAAGTAGGTCAACACCCAGCTCACTCCCTGACATCACATAAATGTAAGATTAAGTAAGTGAATGACCTAATGTTCAGCCTTCTAAATATTCCTATATTTCAATTTAGGGAGCAAATATGAAAGTAAAATTAATGGATCAGTTCATACTTTTAACCTTGAGTCATGATAATAACTGTATTGAAGAAAATATCATGATCTTGATATGGTAGGCAATGGCAAGTTACTTGCCCCACAAAATATTTTTAAGTAAAAAATAATTTCCCAAGAGAATTTTCAAGACTCATTATTGGCTGAAGATCAGAATATTCCAGTGGTTCCTTTAATAATAATACTTTTATATACTCATTTTAATCAAACTATAGAGTTCAACTTTTGAAAGCAAAAGTTTAAATTTTGAAAATAAATTTTTGAAAGTACAAGAAGATAGTTATATAGACATATGTGATAGTGAGTTACCAGTCCCACAGAGATCCAAGTATTAAAATGAGCGATTGCTCACTGGACAAGGCAGACTAAATGTTTTTTTCCTAAGGGTTTCTTCTTAACATTCCTGTCTCAGGAAGGGCTTTAATTGACAGGGTAAGGCAGAAGGACAAAGAGGAAGAAGCAGCACTGGTTTGATCATTGACAAAGCACTTTCATTTTATGCAGCCTATCTTACTGTCCAGCTTGGTCAGAAAACACAAAAAGTTAGTCATGAGACCTGAGTTTGAGTTCCAGCTCTTCTACCTACTTGGCATAAAATCTGTGGCAAGTTACCAAGTTTCTCTGGGCCCCAGTGGCTTAATCCGTTAAAAAGATGATTGTAATGTCTACACCACAGAATTACTATGCTACCTAAATTCCATAATTATGTGAAATGAACATTTTCAGATGGCAAAGAATATTACATATCTTAGTTTCAGGTAACATACCTGATCAAGTTAGAAGAAAATCTGAGGAGCACATTTCCAAGACAACCCACCTACAGATTTCTGATATGAACAGACAGTGGCTATTAAACAAATAAACAAACACCACAAAATTAATCCTAGGTGATGGTAGTATGAAATGCATAGTTTATTTCTATACTTATTTCAGGCTTAACTTATTCTCACTTCTAACTGAATATAATAGAGTCTCACAAGCTAAGACCTGGGGCTGAGGATCTCCTCCCGTATTGTGAGAACTCTACATTGTAGAAAAGTCTAGTTTTATTATTTGAAATTAATAGACCTATTCTGTTCATGTGTTAATATTTGAATTATTTAAAGTACCTAAAACGAAGTTGCTATTGAATTTTACCACCACAGATCAACACATCCACTGGTATGTGGTGTGTGTGTATGTGTGTGTGTGTGTGTGTGTGTGTGTGTGTGTGTGTATTGTAATATAGAATATGCTAAATTCATAAGTTTCCACTTGTGTTTTTTTCAGTACTTTTCTTAAATCACAAATTACACGAAGCTTAACAAACATCCAAAAACACTAACCTAACTGGAAAATACTCTACCATCTTTAGGTCAATGTTAGTGGACTGTCTTCAAGTGGAGGTTGACTTCAGAATAGAGGCTCTTTTCATTTTTAATCTATCTTTTCTCCTTGGTCTTTTATCAGGAATGATGTAACAAAAGTATATGTATCCGTGAATAGAAATGTGTGCAAAGAATAAGTGGCAGTAGTGGGAGAAGCCTCTAGATCTGTGTCTATTTAGAAAGGCTGGAAAATAAGAAAATAGTAGAACCCTGAATATATGCTATACATTTTATCTTCTCAGTGATTTCCTGCCTTATAATTCTTTTTAAAAATCACATTATAGCCTCAAATTGCCAGGTAAGAGGAGAATAAGTAGGAAACCAGGCTGATTTCATAAACCTTCAGTATTGTCCCACATAAGCATGCATTTTGGGCCTGATTATGTTCTCTGCAAACACTGTCCAGAAACAGATTCAGTGAATTACAGTCTTAGGACTAACCAAGACAATTTTGAGCAAAAAGAAACCCCTCTCTAATGTGACAGTAGAACATAAGAAACATCAGTGTTATCACTGAAATTCAGCAAGTGCAGATGTTAATCACTGCACATCTAGCTCTACCTGCCAAATTGGTCAGATTCTTTGAGTCTGTGGCCACACAATGTGATCTGCCAACTGCAGTTTGTCACAGTCTGCCACTTTGTTCTGCAAAAGAAGACTGCCTACATTGTATCACTAAGTTCTTTTGGCTGTTACTCCACGGGAATGTTGCTAAACAATGAGAAATCCAATGAAACATTCCATTGGCTTAAGAATCAGATATTGTATAAGTCGTTCATTCATTAATTCAACAAATACATAGTGAGAAGTTACTCTGTGCCAGATACCGGGGCACTCATAAGAATTTCTATAGATTTAACATCGTTAGTAATGTATATATAGCTAACAAGTAAGGCCATATATTGTCATTAGCCAATGTCTTATCATCAGGGACAGACACATACATATATTACAGAAGGACGTGAAGAAGAGTGAGCGACCTGTTTAGACACACTTATAAGGACACACACAGACACACACACACACACACACACACGTGAAGGAAGAAAACAGCCTTACCTGTTAAGTTTCAGTCCTCTACTACGCACTTTAACTATTTTCCTATTTTTTAGCAGAACCACCTTATAAGATGTTAAGGTGTTTCTTCACGTAATGCCTGTCTCTTTCATCTGTATCATATGCCCTCATCACTGTGAGGAATGGGAGAAAGAAAATTGGTAACTCTGATCCATACTATGCCTCTGAAATATTTTAGCAACAGTTGGAATAGAATCATGTCTGGAGCTATGTGTGCGTTAGAATAGGTATTTACCAAACCTTATTTTTCTATTTCATCAAATAGAAATTCTGCTTTTTTAACCTAACTGTTCCTCTTCCTACTGCATTGCTGGATAATTTGCAAGAAAATTGATTCCCTAAACCCAACTCTCAGGCTAGATTGGAAATAAAGAGCTTATAGACCCTTCAGAATCCCCATGCCTTTAGAATCCCCAAGGCCTCCATCTGCATGTTTACTTACACAAATTTGGCCCTAGAGCCAGTGAAACACAGGGACATAAAGACATCCTCATTAAAACCAAGAATTTAAGCTCCATCTCGTGGTCGGATTTGAATGACCAAGAACATAGGTTTTCCTTGATTCTTTGAATTGAGGATCAATATGATTATCCTGTACTATTTAAAAATTTTTCGGAAAAAAATCATGAAATTATTTATGAGGTCATAATAAACATGGATTACATTCCCAGCATGCATTTCATGAGGCTAAATTATCTGAGGAGTTCTAGCACCTGAAAGACCATAATTTATTTAACCAATATTTATTAAGCACTAAGTATAAAATATGGCACTAGGGCTCAGGCAAAAATGAATGAGACACAGCCTTTTATCTGAAAGTCATTTACAATCTAATAAAGCCAGATGCATACATATATGACAGAAGGACATGAAAGAAGAGTGAGCCACCTGTGTGGACCCACTGAGAAACACTTAAGGGTGATTATGTTGAGGTACACCTTAGCAATCTTAATTTTCCTTCTTCTACCTTTTTGTTTCACTAGTAAAAATAAATCACCTCTTATACAAGAAGGAAAAGAAACTGTTTCATGCGCTGAATTAACACTTAGCATTAAATGCCTATGCTAACTGGCCCATAAAAAAGTAGTTTTTTTTTTTTGGTTTGTTTTTAATTGAGAGATATTTTAATTGAGCCTATGACATAGGCTACTTTCCCAAATACAAAATTTTAGCATATGGCTTTGATTTTACGTTGTGTTTTTTTTTTTTTTTTTCTGTTTTAATGTTTAGTCACACAAACTTGAAGTTATCGTGGCTCCAACAGAAAATTCTAGATGTCATTAGCCAGTGTTTTATCATCAGGGAGAGACTATTTTACAACAAAATTCCAAAACAAAACTTTTCCTTTATTACACAGTACTCGTTCTCCATTCCCTCCTCTTTTAGCTGCTCCATTAGTCTGTGCAAATTGCCTTTCATTTTATTGCTTTCCAGGGCTTCTAAGTGCTTGTTTAGAAACAAATTTTCTTAAGTCCAAGCTAAAGTCCAGGGTTTATTTGATTCCGTTTTTTTTTTTTTTTTGGACAGTCAGCCAATGCTTTACTCACTAGTTTCAGTTTCTGTGAATAAGTGCCAGAAGCATGGAGCTGCTGAGCTTTATGAAAAGGTATAGACTTTTATTACCATGAAGCCACACTGCAAGCAAGTCTTGCCTGTTCTGTCCCTAAACTACTTTCAGGTTAACCAACAGTTGGAACTCATTTGGCTTATTGTATTATTCAGGATTTTCAAATGATTTGCCATTATATTGATGGCTTAATGCCCTATTCAAAAATGTTTCATAGTTTTATTATAAGGATTTTAATCTGTATTCTGCTCTCATGTTAGTCTAGCAATCAGCAGTCATTAATATGATGCGACTCTATTGTAGTTAAACTGTTGTCAGAGAAAAGGTTATTTTCTAGAAATTATGTTGGCTGTGCCCTTCCTAACAGTTCTTCACATCTCTAATATTTGAAAAGCCAGTGATATTTATTATGCTATTTTCCTTCTAGTCACTTAGATTACACTTTCCTCACACTACCAGGAATCTCCTAATTGGCAAATCCAGAAGAGGCTCTCCAGTCCTTTCCTTACTTCACTGGCTGTAGCTTTTTGTACTGCCAGTTCCTCCTTCACTAAGTCATTCAAAAATACATATTGAGTCCTACGCTTGTCCCAGATGCCATGCTAGTCACTGGCAAGACAAGGTGAGCAAGAGAACCACGGTCATCACCCACACAGAGTCTATTGTCCAGTGGCAGATTCCAAGAAAACCTGCAATTACAGCCCACAAAACTCTCTTCCCTTTCATGTCACAATTGTGTTCAATCCAGATTTTATCTACCTTATCAGACGTCTCTATCACAGTATCATTTGCTGGCTGCTTGCCCTTGTGTTAAGGATGACTGTTGCTCAGGCATCCCTCCTAGGCTCTCTTTTTACCCCACCTGTTCTCTACAGATAATTTCAGCTCCTCTTCAGATTTCAACCACACTCCATATGCCTGTGATGCCAGTTCTCTGGATCTGCAAGCCCATCAGCCACCAGCTTGCTAGACATCTCCCCTTTAGTGTCCCTTTGGCATCTTAAATGAAGCATGTTCAAAATTGAACTCATTAACTTTAATATGTACTCTTTATACTGTTTCCCCCCTCCAGTAATACTTGATTTCTTGGTTAATTGCATTACTATCTATCTAGAATATTTTCACTACTGAATTCTGTGAGGATAGAGAACTTTTCTGATCAGGCCTATATCTCTAGGTTTTAAGAAATTTAGGAATTCAAAATATTTGTTAAGTAAATTAAGAGGTTTTCTTGACTCTTCTTCCTCACCGCTAGCATGAGTTGTTCAAGTGATCCCCTAGTCCTGCAAATTATACCACCAAATTCTCTCACCAAATCCATCCCTTTTTTATTATCATTCTGCCTAATTCAAGCCCTTTCTTTTATACTTTTAACATACTGTTTCTTCTCTGTATCACTGTTTCTATCTCTGTCCCTCTCAGTAGCACCCTGTACTTTATATGAAAATTAAGTTTTACTTCATAAGTAAATTCAGTATAGATGCAAGTGCTTGAAATAGGCAGAGTTTTTCATGTTCTTCCACCCCAAGTCACTGGTTCTTGCCACTGAACACTAAACTAAACATGAAACATTGCCTTATCTCAAAGCAGGTCTTTTTCTCCTCACCTCCTTCATTCACGTATAAACTAGAATTCTATTTCCAAGAAATAAGTCAAAAAAAAAAAACCCTAACACCTGGCTAAGGTGGAGGAATAGGACTAGGTGGGAGAGGTGGCAGTGAGGTTGTTTGCTTGGAGATGAAACCAGGAAATGCTCTAACACTGCTGTGTTACTACAGCCCCAAATCCACATGTGAAAATGGCCTCCAAAATACGGCTCAATATTAGGCTGCTCTCTTTTTATCATTTATGTACATCCTCTTTCAAAGCATGAGTAGGACACAGCTTTTTCTCTGAGCCTCACTCTAAAAATCACTGAGGTTTTAACATTGTCAGAAATTTCATAATTTATTGGAACATGATATTCATTTTCCCCTTCATCATTTCATTCTGTCCCACATAAGTAAATGTCATCTTCATGCCCATCAAGTTCCCTCTACTACTGATTAGTAAGTTTCTGTTACAATAGAATATATTGATTGTCTTCCCTAGTTGTGCGTATCTCCAGCTTTACACAGTGTTTATGGCAGGGAGCCCCATTACCTGTGTGCTCCAGAACTGTAATGCTTCAAGTAATTCCTTCATCAGGATACAGAAAGGAGATGGAACCATCTTTGGGGGAAATTACTAAGTGCTTTTTGCAACATATGTCAAGACTTTGGATATTCGTGATTTAAAAACTGATCTCTGATAGTTTGTTTTTTCCTAATGAAGGCAGGTCGGCCTGAACTATATCACATCCAGTTACTACAGCCTGTCAGAGGCAAAGGGCTCTGGTTCCAGTGTTTTCTCTATTTAGTCCGTTTTTCATAGTCTCTAGAGCACCCCTTCAGATCCTCATCTGAGAGGCGGTACAAAGTCGTGGTAAAGAGTGCATGCTCTGAAGTCACACTGACTTGGCTCTATCAAAGACTAACTTTGTCACTTCTGTCTCACCCCTTTGTGCCTCAATTTCCTCATTTTATAATGGGTAGATGATATGGTTTGGCTCCGTGTCCCCACCCAAATCTCATCTTGAATTGTAATCCCCATAATCCCCAGTGTCTAGGGCAGGACCTGGTGGGAGGTGATGGGATCGTGGGGATGGTTTCCTCCATGCTGTTCTGATGATAGTGGGTGAGTTCTCATGAGATCTCATGGTTTTGTAAGGGGCTCTTTCCCCTTTGCTTATGCACTTTCTCAAGCCTGCTGCCATGTAATACATGCCTTTGCCTCTCTCTCACCTTCCACCATGATTATAAATTTCCTGAGGCCTCCCTCACCATGTAGAACTATGAGTCAATTAAACCTCTTTCCTTTATAAATTATCCAGTCTGAGGTATATCTTTATAGCAGTGTGTGAACAGACTAATACAGGAAATAAAAGCACCTACCTCATAAATAGTTGCAAAGATTAAATATATGTTATTCAATCTTTCTTAGAAAAGTAGCTTGTGTGAATTTGATCCTGTCATTATGATGCTAGCTGGTTATTTTGCCCGTTAGTTGATGCAGTTTCTTCATACTGTCAATGGTCTTTACAATTTGGTATGTTTTTGCGGTGGTTGGTACTGGTTTTTCCTTTCCATTTTTAGTGCTTCCACATAACAATATTAACCTTAAGTGTAAACGGGCCAAATGCCCCCAATTAAAAGACACAGACTGGCAAGATGGATAAAGAGTCAAGACCCATTGGTATGCTGTATTCAGGAGACCCATCTCATGTGCAAAGACACACATAGGCTCAAAATAAAGGGATGGAGGAAGATTTACCAAGTTGGAAAGCAAAAAAAGCAAGGGTTGCAATCCTAGCCTCTGATAAAACATACTTTAAACCAGCAAAGATCAAAAAAGACAAAGAAGGGCATTATATGATGGTAAAGGGATCAATGCAACAAGAAGAGCTAACTATCCTAAATATATGTGCACTGAATACAGGAGCACCCAGATTCATAAAGCAAATTCTTAGAGACCTACAAAGAGACTTAGACTCCCACACAATAATAGTGGGACACTTTAACACCCCACTGTCAATGTTAGAGCAACAAGACAGAAAATTAACAAGGATATTCAGGACTTGAACTCAGCTCTGGACCAAGCGGAGATAATAGACATCTACAGAACTCTCCACCCCAAATCAACAGAATATACAATCTACTCAGCACCACATCACACTTATTCTAAAGTTGACCACATAATTGGAAGTAAAACACTCCTCAGCAAATGCAAAAAATGGAAATCATAACAAACAGTCTCTTAGACCACAGTGCAATCAAATAAGAACTCAGGATTAAGAAACTCACTCAAAACCGCACAACTACATAGAAATTGAGCAACCTGCTCTGGAATGACTACTGGGTAAATAACAAAATGAAGGCAGAAATAAATAAGTTCTTTGAAACCAATGAGAACAAGAACACAACACACCAGAATCTCTGGGACACAGCTAAAGCAGTGTCTAGAGGGAAATTTATAGCACTAAATGCCCACAGGAGAAAGCAGGAAAGATCTAAAATCAACACCCTAACATCACAAGTAAAAGAACTGGAGAAGCAAGAGCAAACAAATTCAAAAGCTAGAAGAAGGTAAGAAATAACTAAGATCAGAGCAGAACTGAAGGAGATAGAGAGACGAAAAACCCTTCAAAAAAATCAGTGAATCCAGGAGCTGGTTTTTTGAAAAGATTAACAAAATAGATAGGCCACTAGCCAGACTAATAAAGAAGAAAGGAGAGAAGAATCAAACAGACACAATAAAAAATGATAAAGGAAATATCACCACTGATCGCACAGAAATACAAACTACCATCAGAGAATACTATAAACACCTCTATGCAAATAAACTAGAAAATCTAGAAGAAATGGATAAATTCCTGGACACATACACCCTTCCAAGACTAAACCAGAAAGAAGTCGAATCCCTGAATAGACCAATAACAAGTTCTGAAATCGAGGCAGTAACTAATAGCCTACCAACCAAAAAAAGCCCAGGACCAGATGGGTTCACAGCCGAATTCTACCAGAGGTACAAAAAGGAGCTGGTACCATTCCTTCTGTAACTATTCCAAACAACAGAAAAAGGGGGACTCCTCCCTAACTCATTTTATGAGGCCAGCATTATCCTGATACCAAAACTTGGCAGAGACACAACAAGAAAAGAAAATTTCAGTCTAATATCCCTGATGAACATCAATGCGAAAATCCTCCATAAAATACTGGCAAACCGAATCCAGCAGCACATCAAAAAGCTTATTCACCACGATCAAGTCAGCTTTATCCCTGGGCTGCAAGTCTGGTTCAACATACGCTAATCAATAAAATCCATCACATAAACAGAACCAATGACAAAAACCACATGATTATCTCAATAGATGCAAAAAAGACCTTTGACAAAATTCAACATCCCTTCATGCTTAAAGCTCTCAATAAACTAGGTATTGATGGAACATATCTCAAAATAATAAGAGATATTTATGACAGACCCACAGCCAATAACATACTGAATGGGCAAAAGCTGGAAGCATTCCCTTTGAAAACTGGCACAAGACAAGGATGCCTTCTCTCATCACTCCTATTCAACATAGTATTGGAAGTTCTGGCCAGGGCAATCAGGCAAGAGAAAGAAATAAAGGGTATTCAATTCGGAAGAGAGGAAGTCATATTGTCTGCGTTTGCAGATGACATGATTGTATATTTAGAAAACCCCATTGTCTCAGCCCAAAATCACTTTAAGCTGATAAGCAACTTCAGCAAAGTCTCAAGATACAAAATAAATGTACAAAACTCACAAGCATTCCATACACCAATAATAGACAAACAGAGAACCAAATCATGAGTGAATTCCCATTCACAATTGCTACAAAGAGAATGAAATACCTAGGCATACAACTTACAAAGGACGTGAAGGACCTCTTCAAGGAGAACGACAAACCACTGCTCAAGGAAATAAGAGAGGACACAAACAAATGGAAAAACATTCCATGCTCATGGATAGGAAGAATCAATATTGTGAATATGGCCATACTGCCCAAAGTAATTTGTAGATTCAATGCCATCCCCATCAAGTTGCCATTGACTTTCTTCACAGAATTAGAAAAAGCTGCTTTAAATTTCATATGGAACCAAAAAAGATCCCATATAGCCAAGACAATCCTAGTCAAAAAGAACAAAGCTGGAGGCATCACACTACCTGACTTCAAACTATACTACAAGGCTACAGTAACCAAAACAGCATGATACTGGTACCAAAACAGATATGTAGACCAATGGAACAGAACAGAGGCCTCAGAAATAATGCCACACCTCTACAACCATCTGATGTTTGACAAACCTGACAAAAACAAGCAATGGGGAAAGGATTCCCTATTTAATAAATGTTGTTGAGAAAACTGGCTAGCCATGTGCAGAAAACTGAAACTGAACCCCTTCCTTACACCTTATACAGAAATTAACTCAAGATGGATTAAAGACTTAAACATAAGACCTAAAACCATAGAAACCCTAGAAGAAAACCTAGGCAATACCATTCAGGACATAGGCATGGGCAAGGACTTCATGACTAAAACACCAAAAGCAATGGCAACAAAAACCAAAACTGGAAAATGGGATCTAATTAAACTAAAGAGTTTCTGCACAGCAAAGGAAACTATCATCAGAGTGAACAGGCAACCTACAAAAATGGGAGAAAATTTTTGCAATCTATCCATCTGACAAAGGATCCAGAATCTACAAGGAACTTAAAGAAACTTACAAGAAAAAAAAACCCCATCAAAAAGTGGGCGAAGGATATGAACAGACACTTCTCAAAAGAAGACATTTATCCTGCCAACAAACATATGAAAAAAAGCTCATCATCTATGGTGATTAGAGAAATGCAAATCAAAACCACAATGAGATACCATCTCACACCGGTTAGAATGGCAGTCATTAAAAAGTCAGATGCTGGAGAGGATGTGGAAAATAGGAGCGCTTGTACACTGTTGGTGGGTGTGTAAATTAGTTCAGCCATTGTGGAAGACAGTGTGGTGATTCCTCAAGGATCTAGAATCAGCAATCTCATTACTGGGTATATTCCCAAAGGAGTTTAAATCATTCTACTATAAAGATACATGCTCACATATGTTTATTGCAGCACTGTTCACAATAGCAAAGACTTGGAACCAACACAAATGCCCATCAATGATAAACTGTATAAAGAAAATGTGGCACATATACACCATGGAATACTATGCAGTCATAAAAAAGGATGAGTTCATGTCCTTTGCAGGGACATGGATGAAGCTGGAAACCATCATTCTCAACACAGGAACTAACACAGGAACTGAAACATCATTCTCAACATCAAACTAACACAGGAACTGAAAACCAAACATCGCATGTTCTCACTCATGAGTGGGAGTTGAACAATGAGAACACAAGGATGCAGAGAGGGGAACATCTCACACCAGGGCCTGTCGGGGGTTGGGGGACTAGGGGAGAGATAACATTAGGAGAAATACCTAAAGTAGATGACGGGTTGATGGGTACAGCAAACCACATGACACGTATATACCTATGAACAAACCTGCACGTTCTTCTGCACATGCATCCCAGAACTTAATGTATAATAATAAAAAAGGACCTAGCGTATATAGACTTTCTATATTTAGACATTATTAACTTGGTACACTCATGCTTAAAGTTGCCCTGATCTGCCACCCCCACCCCCAACATGGCATCTCGTTACCTAAAATATGCTTAAAGTTACAAATCCTTTGCCTACAAATGGCACACAGACCCTTTGAGATCTGTCCACACTGTGCCTCTCCATTTGTATCTCTCAACTTTTCCTGTTAATCGTCAGTGTGTTTTAACCATGTCAAGCTGCATGCCAGACTCTCTCTGGACTTCCCAAACATTAATAAATACTAGTCCTTTGTGACCCAGCTTTCTGGCCAAATGCTGTCTTCTCCTGGAAGATTCCTGGCTCTAGCAGTTAGTCAACTTCATATAGTTATTCAAGCTGTGCAAGCTTGTATAGCCTATGTATCGTTGCATTGTGACCTTTTTTTTCCCTTAGGGTCTTTCCCACTTGAACTATTCCACCTGTTAAGCTCAGTGCCTAGCGCAATGGTGCACTGCTGAATGAATGAATGCTGTAAATAGAAATTAGTATTATATATGTAGACATGGGATTTTAGCTTTTATTAATTAAGCTTTTGGTCATTTAGTGTCATACATCTTGAAGTTTTTGCAAGGGTGAACTCACATGAAATATACACATATGATAAAAACTACCTCCTTGGAGAGCTGTTTCCTGGGGAATCTATAGATGGTCATGCTAGCTATGACTGTTCTCTAGTATATTTTTGGAAATGGATCAAACAATATACTATCCCATTTTTTTTTCAAATCTGTTTCCCTCTGAATTTCTCTTGGGTTGCTGGACACTGGCACCCTCTGTCACAGCTTTCTTGCTCCCACAGTTAGGCAAGCAGGAAGGAGTGGTACCCAGTGGCTTCCCTTCTTCGCTCCCATAGCTTGGCGGGAGGGAGTGGCAGCCAGTGGCATCTTCTCTCCCATTGTTCAGCAAGCAAGAGGGAGGGTTACATCTTTTTTACTCCAGCTGCCTGCAGCTCGGTGAGCTGGAGGGAGTGGCACCCAGCAGCTTTTTCACTCCCATAGTTTGGCGTATGGGAAACAATGTTACAGCCCTTTTACTCTCACCTCCTGCAGCTGGTGAGCAGGGGTGTTAGAGCTCTTTTTGCTCCCACAGTTCAGCAAATTCCGGGTTCTTGTCCCATGACTAAGAGGAATGAAGTCACGGACACCGGAGAGCGAGTAAGGCAGAATAGAATTTTATTGAGCAAAAGAAAAGCTCTCGACAGTGAGTGGGCACCTGAAAATGGGTAGCCATCTGTGAAGCTGAGTCCGGGGTTTTTTATGCATTTGGAATGAGGAAGCGCAGGCTGTAGGTAATCTTAGAAAAGGCAACATTCGATTAAAAAATGATAAAAAAGCATTATTCAGAAAGAACCAATTGAAAAAGAGTGGGTAACAGGAATAGAAGTTCTCACTCTAGTTCATGGACTCTATCTGGAATTGGTAGTTTGGTTTTCAGACTTCAGAGGATCCTTGGCTTGTAGGTCAAGTTTCACCAGGGACCCATCCCTGTCTGCCTAGAAATCTGTCTCCTGACACCTCCATTCAAGTGTCATACATCAAAAAGCTACATATTATCAAAATGTGTTTCCCCACAGACAGATTCCTTTGCAAAACTGGATGGGAGTGAACATCATGGCTGGCCGTCTTGTGCTGTGTGACAGAACATTAACATGCCCAAAGCCAGAGGTCTAGAAGACAGTGTCCCTGCCACAGAGGGAGCCTCCAACGTCTGAAAGTCCGACAGCATTGACTTTAACTCATTGCTTTATAAAAACTGTAAACAACTAAACCCATGAGGCAAGAGCCAAAGTATTACAGCTCAGTCAGGCCACACCCCCTGCAAACTGTTTCTGGATAAAACAGTCATAACATTGGCTTGTGTGCTGGGATTTCACAGTTTAAAATATGCATGATTAGTGCCTATGATTGATGTGTTAACTAATGAAGCCTATACCAGTTTAGCAGATAATGCTGGCAGGACGTAAGGTGTCTCAGACAATTTCCCATGTGGTGTTGCATCAGTCTAAATCCCTTTGAGGTCACAGGCAGGATATTGGTCGATTTTAATGTTGACGATTATCCAAAAGAATGACCACATCATGAACACATTACATAATGTGGTGGGGGTTTCAGTCTTCATATGGACAAAAGAATTCTAACATCCTAATGGATGTACCAAACTTCTGGCTGGGATAGATATGAAATTTAGAGAAGAGATGAGAGCTGCCTTGTCAACAGATTGGCTCCACATGCCACATGTTGGCATAGGTAAGAGATGACATATGAACAAAAGCAGTTGTCGAATACTGACACAAGGGAGCTTTCCTGGACTCAGTGAGCATGAAATAGACTAGCCTTAAGCAGTGGTCACAATGAAATCATGGCTAAAGAATGTTTCCGTGGGGCTGTCTCTGAAGGCAGTACCCCAGAGCTCCTTCTTGCTCAGCACCCAAGACAAGTGGACCACAGAGAACTGCAGCAGTCCAAATGGAGCCGAGGGCAGATCCATTAACAAAGGCCCCAACTCACATGGAATGGAATGAATGCTTCAAGAAACACCAAGCCTGAAGCCGGGCACGGGGGCTCACGCCTGTAATCCCAGCACTTTGGGAGACCGAGGTGGGCGGATCACCTGAGGTCTGGAGTTCGATACCAGCCTGACCAACATGGAGAAACCTTGTCTCTACTAAAAATACAAAATTAGCCAGGCGTGGTGGCGCATGCCTGTAATCCCAGCTACTCAGGAGGCTGAGGCAGGAGAATCACTTGAACCTGGGAGCCAGAGGTTGCGGTGAGCCGAAATCACACCACTGCACTCCAGCCTGGGCAACAAGAGCAAAACTCCGTCTCAAAAAAAAAGAAAAGAAAAGAAAAGAAAAGAAACACCAAGCCTGATGCAAGGCTTGGAAGAGCAGACTGCCTGCAGCTGTTAAGGCTGTGTGGAAAGGCACTGTGGAAAATGGAAATCAAGGAAATAAAGCAGAGATTCTTCATGGCTTGTCAGTTATTTTACTCTAAAGGATATTTCAATTGCAATGAAAGGTTTAAATAGACAGGTAGCTACAGTACAATGTTTGCTTCTCACTCTGGTACACAGCATGGTGGTAGTTGTCTACCTGTTTTTGTTGTTGTTTTCTAATTCCTCAGGATTTAATTAATGTTTTACATTCAGTATTATTTAGACAAGCTCAAATTATAATCATTATATTTACCTCCCTAAATTTTATTACTATTTCAGTGGCCTAGGGGGAGTTGTTTGCAGATCTAACCTTCATAATAGTCTATTAAATGGCTGCCAAGTTTCACCACCTCGATCTAGTCTGTGCGAGTAGTGAAATAAGTATGCATTTATCAGCCTGTGCAGGACAAATCTAAGAGTCTCCTAATAAATTTAAAAGAGCATTACTAAATTCCTCTTTAAAAAATGTAATGTCCCATTATTAGCCCTCTCCAAATTCCCAATGTCATTAGAAACCTCAAGGTGTCTACATGCTGATAGCATTTTTAGGGGAGAGGGCCTTGGATTCAAGATAAAGAGTCCTAACTTCTGCAGATGGGCATTATTTCACAATCACCCTTTTTTTCAGTTTTCCTATCTGTAGAATTTCCCTCCATAAATATCACATGAAGACCAAAAGCCATAAGTGAAGATTTATAAAATATTTTTATCATAAGAGTGATATGCCACATAGCATTTGAGGGAAAAAAAAATGCACTGAATGACCAGACCTACAGGAAGATAATCCTTTATCTCTACAGATTATTTCTACTTTAGGAAAAGAAAAGGGAAATTTATGGCAGATAGGAGTTGAGAGCAGCAGAAGTGTTAGGAGGAAGACCAGTAGAGCAGACCAGCCATGACTGGGTTGGAGTTTTTATAGGGAAGAGAGCAAAGAGATTTTAAGCGGGTAAGACACATAGGTAGATAAAAACAACTTTTTAGGAAGGTTAATTCTGTATTACATGATCAAGCTTATGTCAATTTCCACTTTGCAGTCTCTTCAGGAGATTTCAGCAGGCTTTCTTTTTAAATTTTCTTTTTCAAAAAAAAAAAAAAAAGTAAAATATTCCTTATCTGCAATGCGAGCTGAGCAGCACAGTGCTCCTTGGTATTTATAACTCATTTCCCTTCCTGAGCTAGCATATACTTTTAAGCCAAAAAAAGATATACCCTTTTCCAAGACCTTCTCTGTCTTATGCCACCAAGGAATTCCACTTCAGTAGTTGCAAAATCAAGGGATTTTCTTTTCCTTTATGGTTTTGGAGACTCCCCAAGAGCTAAAGCAGAAAAAAATCAACACTAGATGGCCCTAGAAGATGTACTCTTCATGGTTTTGTCTCTTGTCTGACTGCCCGGAGAAGAGTTCCTTAGGCATTTACAAACACAGCAATGCCACCTTTTAGCCCCACTCTTTAGGGATTTTACATGACTAATTTTAATTGCATAAAAGGAACTCATCTTTATCTTGGTGTGTGCAGTGCAAAACACTTAATGTAGGGTCTGACTCTATTCTACAGTAAGTGCAGTAAGTGTTAGCTACTATTACCTCATCAGCAGACCTGCAACAAGAGAGTCCTTTGTTACTACAGAATTCTCCTGCCCTAATACTGCCAAAGTCTGCAGTTCTAGCTGCATATATGCAGTTCCTGGTGCATTGGCGGATCTCAATAATATTTGGTTTGTGGATATACAAGTGAACAAAGGGCTTTGGGTTTTTGTTTTTGTTTTTGTTTTTAGCAGAAACTAATTCATCTGGCTAAATAACCTAAGAATATGTAGGAAAAAAATTACAACCAGAATAAATTCTTGTTTGCTCTTTATAAATGGATCATTGGCAACCTTTGAGGTAAGATTTGATGCATCTCTTCAGTAGAAATTCAGCAAGATCAACCTCCTCATTATGTGGAGCAGCACACTGAGTAATAAGAAATCTGGCATGGCTACAGTATCTTGCACATAGGCCATGCTCAATAAACATTTATTGAATGACTGTCTTGTTACCAAGACTTTGTAGCAATAAGCTTTAGGGGTTTTAGCCTGACCATCTGCTTGGCTGGGATGAGTCGTGATGATAGTTCACATTGGGTTTGTGTTTACCAGTTCCTAAAATTCAAGTGTGTTCAGATGTAGATCCTCTGTTAGAAAATATAGCAGTATCTGAAAATGTCTTGCTTTTCAAATAAAAGGTGCAGAGGTGTGAGTGTTTTTGCACTGTTGGTTTCAGATGGAACCACAAGCATTTGGCAGCATATTGAAGAAGCTGTCACAATCGAGCTTTTCCTCTTGGGGAACCTCAACCAAAGCTCAGCGGTCATTTCCCATGGAAAACTATGTGCCTTTGGCCAGTTGTGCTAAGATAACTTATTGGCCTCTCTGATGTCAGCTAATTTCTGTCCATCAGTCCTCAGTGCCTGAGTGACTTTCCTCCAATTCATATGAAAGTATGCAGAAGGAAAGTTTTACAGCTTTACAACACAGAGCAGGCCTTGCCTTTTTATCCCTTGGCTGTGAGCACCAGTCCTTAGCCACATACATTCTCTTGTATTCTGCTCCCTTTCCTGTCCCACATTCTTCATAGATTTTTCCACGTTTTCTGGAAAAAAAAATCAAGAAAAGCAATTTCCTAAGATAAATGCTCCCACCTGCCCTTGTTCTTCCAGAAACACGGATGGGCTGGTTGGTTCGTTGGTATTTCCCGGTTTGCTTCCCTTTTCCCTAAGTGCGTCACTGACTCTTTGCTCCCGGGAGAGAATGAGCATGTGGAAGCCAGAGGAGGCCTGTTCACGCCCCTCTCCCCTCCTAGCACCTCCCGGCCTCCTTCCTTGTATGTGTTTCCCTTTAATCTCTCAATCTTACATCTTTCATATTTGCAAGAGTGTACAGAACTATTTGAGGAGAGAGAACTGGAGATCTAGAACTTTTTTTTAACAGATTTTATTTGTCATAGTTCCTTAATAAAGAGGAATGAGCATCTCATAGATGAGTGCATATGGATGAGCATGATACAGCCCAGAGCCCACCTGAGCTCATGAGAAAATCCCCCCAGTGAAAAGCACGCCGGGGTGAGGGTGGAGCGGAGCGTGGAAAGCAAACCAATTGGAAAGGTGTTCCCTGTATTACCAAGAGCCCAGGAGTCAGTGTTTAGATGTTCACTTCTTGCACCGGCTAACATGACATAGCTACTTTGTGTCCTCAAGCAAGTCTCTTAACTCTCAGAACCTTAGTTTTGTCATTTGTAAAGTTTGGGTAGTAAAGGCTGCTCTCACCACCTCACATAGTAGCTGCAAGAGTCAAGTGAGTTTTTTTTTTTCAAGTGAGATTTTTAAAAAGCTTTGTCAATTGTTAGGTGCTTTAAAAAAGTCAACAGAGAGTGTTATAACTGAAAGAGATACTTTAAAATTGCTATAGCTACCTGCTATTAACTAAAGGCATTAAGAAACTTGAAAACCAACACCAAGAAAAAGAGTATAATTAAATTCCCCGACAAATAGTAATTTCATCTTATTCAAATAGTCTTCTTCTGAAGTGATCTCAGAAAATATGGAGCTATTTACAGGATTAATATGTCCTAACTTCCCTTTTATGAGGTAAATAAAGGGGGAAAAAGCTAAGGTCATAGAAAATTTGAGGGTTATTGGTTGCCAGAATTGGCAAAATTAATTTATATTTCTGCTTTGAAACCTGTTTAGTTTCTGTAGAAAGGGGAACTTTTCAAATTAAAACTGTAGTCTGGGTCAGAAAGCTATCAAATAGCCAAGGTAAAATAGGGAGGAATCCAGGATTTTCCCACCATTCACTCGTGCTGTTGACTCCTGCCTTGTGGGCCTCATCTTGGTCAGGAGCTGCCACTCACCTTTTCTCACCTGCAGAGGCTCCACCAACCTAAGTGGGAAGATTGGCTTCTGTTACCAAGAAGCAGAGCATAATGCTAAGGGAAGGATAGAAAACCCTTTCTGTTGTGTTTCTTCTATACTTGCTCATCATTTGACATTGTTTTTGCACTCCCTTCATTCCTTCAAATCTCATAGACTTTCTGGATTCTGAGTCTCAGACCTTGAACTACAACGTATGCGTCTGTCTGTCTCCTGTGGTATGTCATTACTTCCAGATGCTAGTATGGAAAGTGGGGAAGAATTAGGCATTGGAATTATGATAAGTCTGAGTCCAAGTCTCGACTCTTCCACTCTCCTTGCACAGGCAAAGGAAACATTAGGTATTCAAAAATGGCCACTATTATTATGTATGTCACTTCTAAACCCACAACTGATTTATCCATTCTCTAACCCTTTACTTTTGCTGTCCTTGCTTGCTTGCTTCAAAGCCACCCCTTCTTGATCCTGCATCTCTGTCTCAACCTTTTATCTGATACTCACACCTGAATCCCCTGCCCCAGCTCTGACAAGATCATGAATTAGAGTTTCATTGTAGAAAGATCTATGGTGAAGAGATGCAATGAAGTATCAAGGTAATTCCCTTCTAAATGGAAAATGACCATCACAAGTATTTTTATGTCCCAGTATTTCATTTTAGTGAGATTTTTAAAAATTCCTTCAGGACATGTAAGAGGAGAAAAAAAAAGAAATTCAAATAGCAAACTAAGAATGTATGGTGTTCATTTGTAATAAGCAGGAAAGTTAAATATATTTTTAAGGAGATAAAGGAGCTAAATCATAACATAGCTGCCATTCATTGAATGCCTACTGTATGCAATACAATATACCAGGTGCTTTAAATAAGTTATTGAGTTTACTCGTTGCAAAAACCCTATCAGTAATTAGCACTATTATTATTCTCTTTTATAGGTGAAGAAATTTGGGCCTAGAAAGATTAGTCTAGTTACCTAAAGTCACGTGATCTGTATGTGGTAGAGCCAAGATTCAAACTTGATTTTACTTTTCACGGCATAGCGTGCTCAATGTAGAACCAGCCTGCAAGAGTTTCCTCAAAGGCTGTGTCACACCAGGGCCACATATAAGCTCCTGGGCTATTCTATCATAAATCAGAAGATACAGGCTAAGTTATAAGAATAAGTTATTATTATAGTAAGAGTGTATGCTATGTTAAACAGACCATTAAAATGATAAAATTAAATAATAATCACTGACATTTATTGAACACTTGCCCTACGCCAGGCAGTACTCTAAATGCTTTGTAAGTATCAATTTAGTTTATCCTTACAACAATCCAGTGAAGTACATATTATAATTATTGCCATTTTACAGATGAGGAAATTGAGCACAGAGAGTTAAGAAACATGCCCAAGTAAGCGGCAGTTAAGAATTAATTCTAGGCAATAATGTACCAGAGCCCACATGTTTACCCTCTATCCAATACAAACTGCCTAGTTAATTTAATCCTGTGTTCTAATTCTTTTGAATTCTAATATAAAGCACATTATCTTGTAAAGCTTTAGTTTAAAGGTCTGCCACATAAGCAACAGGGCCTGCTCTTCACCATATGTGTTCATAATCTGGATAATTCCCTGATGGGGATCATTTGGAGCAAACATTTCTTATGGAATGATTTTCTATGACTGTGCTATGCTCAACTGCCGGAGCACTTCACTGCTATACCTCAATGGAATGCCAGCGACCGACTGTCTTTCTATCTACAGTTAATTTGGTGGCTACCGCTATGCTCTCAGGAGCCAGTTGTCTATCATATCCCTGCATACCCCACACCTTTAGTCCACTCCAAGAACTTGCTCCCCACAGTAGGCCTGTGAGTCTGAGGTTATATACTCTTATTCTACTGGCATCCCATTAGAAACTACTTTCTGCGGCTCCAATATTCCTTCTTTATTTTGTCACTTGGGATTTCAATCAGATATTTTAAAGCTTCCTGTCCTTTGAGCCATATTATTTTAGATTCTCTAATGGTGGGATTATACCTGTAATTTTTTCTGAACTTTTTGAAACCCACTTCCCTAAGTTTAGTATATATGTCTGAATCCATAAGGCTCAACAACTCTTCTTTTCTGACCCAATCGCCTACTTCTCCCTTGCCTCTCAGACTCTTCCACCTTGTTTGCAAAGTTTGTTTGCCTGTCTCTAGGCAAACCTCTATATTTTATTGGAATGTTCCCTTTACCATTTTGCTCTGGTAAGGTAATATGATCAGTTTCTACTTGTTTTGAATAGAATGAGATTGCCAACAGACAGGCAGCTGTTGTCGGATTTGGAATCTGTATTAGCAAAGCATCTTCCTTGTTTGTTCTCCAATGGGATGTCTACGTGTAGAACCACAGTGATGTCACCTCACACCTTCCCCTACTACCTTCCACCATGTGTTAATCTTCAAGATAATGAATTCTCCTCTGCTGTGTATTTTCTTGCCTTAGTGTGATAGGGACCAATATTTATCTTAAAAGGATTGATGTAAATCTTCCACCCAAAGGGTTTAGTTTGCTTTGTTGCAGTAGTTTTTACAACTAAGATGACATATTCATGTTCTGGATTCAAAAACCTTTTAATCTTGCTAATACTTGGAACATGTATTAGTACTTAGCAGTGTCCACCAACTGCTTTTTAGTTCACCTTCCACTTCTCAAGGGAGTGCTCAGTAAATAGTACATGCTCAATTAATAATAGTTGACATTATTATTATTATTAGAGAAAAGACATATAAAGTTGCAGTTTTCCAAGAGACAATATGACTTAGCAGGCAAACAGAGGATATTGGCGTCTTCTCTGCCATCCCTTTTGACACCTTACAGAACCTTGGTGAGATTAATTAATTACTCATCTTCCACTGTCCCTGAATGCAAAATAAGGGTGACCTTATTTCAGAGGAAAGGTGACCTCTTCCTCTGAAAGCTTCATGACTTAACAAAAAGTAAGATACATTGAATCATTTGAATGCCAACTGTGAAGAATAAAATATTGAGTAATGCTTACTCAGTTCTTTAAACTATTGACCTAGCCATGGAGTTAGCACCAAGATCATAATTTCTGCCCTTTTTTGAAGATAAAAATCACCATCAGAATTGCCAGCCAAGGTAGGAAAATTGAAGAGGAAGGTTACAGTCCTGAAGAGCAAGCACTCATATGGGAGAATTGGGAAAGGCAATAATATAGCGGCCTCAGAAGCCTGGTGAGGAACAAAAGTATAAATGCCCAATAACCTTATCTATACCACAACATATAAAATTGGGCCTTGGCCCAGTCACTCTTAGCTAATAAAGAAATTTATCTTTAGAACTGTGAATATTATAGTAGGACTGGGATGTGCTGCCTGCATTCCCACTTCGAGACTGAGCCTCTCATTTTCACAGCTCTGAGCAGAGTCCTTCTCCAGAAATCACCCTCTGCTGAGAGAAGCTGCCTCTCACAATGGCCATGCCCCCTCGCTGAGGACAGCCTCCATCCATGGATAGGTTCAGAGACTTAGCCTCTTGTCTCAATGTGATACAACTCTAAAGAACCACCCACTCAGGCAGAGGCTGCCGCACCACAGGTGAACTTCTCCCTCTGCCACATTCTGCTCTGTCCCCCCACACCGATGTTGTTCCTGTGGCTACTTCCCAATGAACCTCCTGCACACATGTCTCAGAATCTCAGAATCTATTTCCTGGGGAATCCAACGTATAACGTATACTACCTTTGCATTCTAAGGAGCAATTACAACTATTTTCAATTTTAAGAACATCATCAATCATACAATGATCACAGAATTCCCATAACTAAGTGAATCTCCCTCTTGACCTTTGTGTGGGCTGCATTTGCCATGCTATGTGATATGTAGCTAGTTTCTCAAGTGCAAGTGACTTGAATGGCCCCCAAATAGGGGAAATATTCTGAGGTATTGAGACTGGCCAGTTACCGTATTATACTTATGATCATTTCCAAAACAAAAGAAAAAGATGGCAAGTAATCAATACTCCTTGGCCATTCTGTTGAAGGTTGGTTTGTGACTAGGGAGACTGTATTAGCTCCTGAGGGCTAAATTACCACAAACTTGGTGGCTTAAAAAAACAGTCTGGGGGCTAGAAGTCTGGAATGAAGGTGTTGGCAGAGTTGATTCCTCTGAGACCCTGAGGGAGAGTTTTTCCGTGCACCTCCCCTCGCTTCTGGCGTTGCCTGCAAACCTTGGTGCTCCTTGGCTTGTAGATGCATCACTGCAGTCTCTGCCTCTGTCTTCACATGGTGAACTCTTCGGTGACTCTCCCGTGTGGCATCTCCTTGTATCAAAAGTAGGGCAGGCCTACCCTAATGGAGTATGACCTCTCACCTAATCTTAACAAATTACATTGGCAAAGGCCCTATTTCCAAAAGAGGTCACATTCTGAGGTTCTGGATAAACATGAACTTTTAGAAGATGCTATTCAACCCTCTGCAGAGAACAACTGAGGAAACAACCAAGATCTGCTTCCCAGTTGATACCTGTATTTGTGCTGTGGATCTTTTAATTAACTGCCTTAAAAGAAAACACAGTGACCCAGATGTGTGCAGTGGGCGCCACCCAATGACAGAAGGCTCCTTGAAGGCTTAATCAATTAGATAATTAGTAGGACCAACAGGGAGTTGGTAAAGCAGCATAAGTAAAACCAGGGAAAGGATCATTACCCAGACTCTGACCATTAATTTTTAGTCATACTGAAAAAAGGAGCTTTGGGGAAAAGACAGATTTGAAGAGATATTTTATTCACTCTCATATACTTCATTTTCTAAAGCAACATGATGTGGTAGTTGAGTTCACACAGTAAAATATTAGATAATTTGAGGAAAAGACCTAAAGGAATGCTACACAAATATATTTAGTTTGGCCACATAAGGACTCCACGTATCTCAGGTCATGCACAGGGGTAGCAAGTCCTGTCTTGTGAGTTCCATAACTTTGATTCCTGCAGGAAGACCCCAGAGACCTGCAAAAAGCATCCTCCGTCTACTAACATCCTTTCTCTCATTTTTCCCTCTTACCTGACTTGATTATAAAATTAGGAAATTTAAATTTAGGAAATAATGAGGAGACAGCTAGTAAGCAAAGAGGCTTCCCAAGCCACACACACACACACACACACACACACACACACACACACACACACACACACACACACACACCAGAACACCCTTAGGAGGCATTTCTAAGCATATCCATCCATAAAATATTTTTCTGTTTGCTGTATAAGCAGAAAGGTTTGCATAGAATATGTCCTTTGTAATGGCTTTTGCCTCTGAGCTTTCTAACACTAGCATTGATCAATTATCATCTTCTCCACAATAGACTAATGTTTGAACTTGGAACTCAGTTCTAGACCAGACACTAGAATACTCGTGCCATACTTTCGGACCAAGCCAGAGAGAATGACTTCACCCAGGAGAGAAAGATAAGAAAAGATCTTGATGTGTAAGCCTCCTTTATTTACTTGCCATCAATCACCAAAACAAAGTGGAAGGAAGGGAAAGGGAACTATTAACATTGACCCATATAAAATTGCTGATATTCAATTGGTTTTGACTTTTAAAAATTGCATTTGCAAGTGATTCTACCTAATATAAAATTGTATTTAAACAACTACTTTTTGCCAGTCACTATGCTAAGTGCCTTATTCTTATATTATTCTTTATAATCCTCAATGTAAACTTTCAAGATTGGCATTATAATCTCTATTTTCTGTATGGAAAAGCTGTGGCACACAAAAGTTCAATAATTTATTCAAAATCCCATAATATTTGAACCCACACCCACTTCATGTCCAGTAAAGTCATTTGGGTCTGCTGAAGTATTTCTAGACTTTATAGTAAGATTATTTTCAAACTCTATTGTCAAAATTCTTGAAATTGCAAAGGCTACTCCGTCTACAAACTTCAAGGGACGTAAGAGGATGGTTACAGACTGTCAAGAGGATGTCTGTGGTACATGGGATTGGTAATGTAGAAATTAGGCAGTGCTTTGAATGTTACTGACAGGTCACAGCACACTGACAGCAACAGGGAAGAAGATATTGTGGAAAATAAGACAACCTCTTGAGAAGGTCATCTCAGTATTTGTATCACTGATGGGGTTTACAGAAAAGCAGTCACTTTATCCACTGGCAGCTGCATAAGTTTTAGGTTGCATTTATGTAAAGAAACAAATAAGTAACAAGCAAGCTGGCATTGGTGGTTTCTGGGACTGAGGAAGAGGAGGGAAAAGAAACCCCTAGGGCTATAGCTGTAACATACTTACTCATTCGCACATTTGCAGCTCTATGTGTCTTTAGCATTCTGTGAAAGCTGATGTTCATAATGTTGATCATGGAACATCGAGACAATACTAAATTATGTTTAATATAGACTTGTTGAGAAGCAGAGAAAAGGATATTCGTTTTAAGCAATTTCGCAGTATTTTTTTTAATACCCTAAAACGGCAAAGTTTTAGCTCTTGTAGAGTTAATGTTCACCTTTCTGGGAAAACTCTGTAATCCAGAATGACTTATTCTCTGAGAAATCCAGGTAGTTTCATACATGCTTTTGTACCAAGTCATATTAAACTCTTTCATTCATAGTTTTGTCCATGCTTTTGTACTTATAATAGGTTGCAACTGGTATAATAATTACAGTAGAAAGTCATTTATTATGTGGATCTATTAACATCTGATTCCTCATTAAGCATTAAGAATATTGCCAAATCTGCACTTTTATTCTTTCTGCTGACAGTTAGTTTTCACAGTGCTTCTTGATTTACTTTTATGATTGAAGTTTCAGGAATAAATGTTTTAATTTAATGTTCCCTCAGTATAACAGATTTGACTAATAGTTTAATAAAGGGACACCGCAAGTTTCTAATAGAGAGAGGTTTGCTTGTGTTCACGAGGGATGATGCGCACATCTTGATGAAGGCTGCCCATGACCCACTGTGTGCTGCACGTGTCCGTTTCCATCCGAGCATCTCAGCACAGCATTTGAAGCAGGTAGTGAGAATCCCAGTCATGGCCAGGAAGGATGTGAAGGGCTAACGGGGGACCTGGATATTTTGGAGGGCCTCAGTCTTCCTCTCTTGCCTCTTCTCATCCCTCTTTACAGAATATTTCCTAGGCTGTATCCCCAATGAACTTCTATCGATTTCCAATACAACCCATATGTCTTTGCACCTCTGTGTGCATGCCCTTACTTCTGCCAGAAATCCTCCTTCATCATTCTCCTGGTGAACTCCTAGTCATCTTCTGCAAGGTAAAGTCCTTCTCCAGAACTTCACATACCCTCTCCTGCCTGCCTCCCTCCGTTACTACCCCCAGGACTCTATGCATAACTCTTCCAGTGCATTCAGCTCCAAATTAGTCAGAGTTGCATTTAGCTTAAAAGGATGCTTCACCAGAGTGGGTACTGTGCCTATGTAGCACTCTGCCACCAATAATTAGCACATTTACCTTTTAAAAAGAATTGATCTATCAGCTGTATTCTTATGGTGGCCTTCTACATTAATGAATGACATAATGTGTTTTAGAATGGACTAGCCTGGGAAGTAATACCAAGATCTTGATTTTTCTAACTTTCCCAATGGTTTACATCTATCTATTCTAGATTGAGATTTTGTTTATAACTTTGAGATTTACCTTGTGCACAATTTGGAAAAGGGAAAACAAACATCCATTTATTCATAAAATATTTCTTAAATGCCTCAGTCTTAGGTGCCAGGGAAAGTCTGTTCTCGGCAGCATATAATGCTTACAGTCAGGTCAGATTCCTTGATAACAGCAGGGAACAAAAATGGGAAGAACAGGCAGGCTTTCCGGGGCAGTGTTGATGTGGTAAGTATGGGAAGTTTGGCATTGGGATTAGATTTTTCCTACCCTGAAAACCATCAATAAAAATCTCTCCTCAAGGCTGAATTTCTTAATTAATTCATTTCAAGCCATTAACAGAGATTTTAAAAATATGGTCTATGTCCTCAGATATCTTTCTTTTGAGTTGAGCATATTCTTCATACGGAACAAAGAGCAATTCCAAAGCAAAGTGAAAACTGGACAGAATGGTGTAATAACAATCACTGACTTACTGAGTACTTACTGTGTGCTATACTTCATGTATATATATTACTCCTTTAATCATTATAATAACACTGTGAGTAAGGTATTTTTAGCTCTACTTTACAGATGAAGAACTTGAGGCACAGGGAGGTTAAGTGCTTTAACCAAACTCATGCTTGGATGAGAGCATGGCCTTGAACCCAGGCAGTTGGGTGCTAAAGGTTGTTCTCATAACCACCACGTTACACTTCCTCTCAATGCTTAAAAAGGAAAAATTATTTACTCAGAAGTATTGAAAGAGAGTAGAGCAAAGAGGTCCTGGAGTGGCCTAGCATGACCTGGCATGGCTTCTTGCAGGTAGAGAGATTTAAGCCAATATAGCAGGAATGGTAGATGTTGGCAAGAAGTCTACGTGAATGGAGGGGCCTGAAAAAAAAAGCCTAAGTCTGGGCATGAGCAAGATGGGAAGTGACTGATTTGGCAGGCACAGTTGTCTCTCACACTTAACAGTACCTTTCAAGGCCAGAAAGGATGTTCTTAATTTTGAAACTCATACATCAAGTATAGTGGTTAGGTTGCTTTTTGCACTGAGCTGTGGAGAAAAGTACAGGTTGTTACAAACCTAATTAAGATAATTATTTAATAGAAATCTATTTTAAAGTTTTGAAAAATGCTAACAGGAATCAACTTTTAAGGATAATCTATTCAGAGTCACCTCCTATTAACAGTCATGTTATTAACCAACTCAGGGCAAAGCATGATTATATAATAGCTCAAGAAGAGGTAGTGTTGTCTCATTTTACTTTCTGGGACCTAAACACCTAGGGAAAAATAGGTGATAAAACTGAAGCTGTCACAATCCAGCCTCTTTACTCCCAAAGTCAGTGCCACACAATTAAAATAACTACAAAACTCAGTTAATCTAGATAGTATACTATAAAGATAATCCTTAAATATGGGTACATATGAGTGTGTGTGTTTGTGTACATGTGTGTGTTTAGTTAGAAACTTTGAACACAGATTGAACTTGAAGGCATTTCAGCAAGGAGAGATATTTGGTAGGATATGAAAATGAAGTTTACGGTTGGAATACCTTCAGAACCTCAAGTGCAGCATCCTGATTCTGTGAAGATTATGTTTTATTCCTTTACCTATTCCCACGTGTAATACTTTATTCTCTTTGAATTGGCTTCTAATGCAATTTAACCCTGTTTTTGAGTGTCCACTAGCTTAATTTCTTTTATTAATATGAATTCTTCTCCTTCCTACTGAATAAACCCAGCTAATGTGTTTTTTTCTCCTTTATCATTTCATGCAAAGCAAAAAGTAAATAAGGAAAGAATATGATTTTCGCTTCCATTTTTTTCCCCAAGCCTAAACAATGGAATCGGAGAATCTGTTTTTGAAATCTGGAATCTTAGTATTTGCTGATCCTATGGAATCAGGACACTTGATTAGCTGCGAGCCAAGTCATCAGGCCCACTTAATACAATACTCAGTAAATTAATTCAATTTTACTGATGTGACTAAAAACTAAATTTCATATCAATATAAACACTTATTAAGCTGCAAATACCACATCATGCAAGCTGTTGAAAAAGACTCATTTTTATTTATAGATGAATTCTGATAAGAATAGCATTAGAAGTATTTTAGTAGGGAAATGTTAGAGTGATTAATGTGTAGTTGTTTGCATTTTTAATATTTCACTCATATATCAGATTAGGATTTGTGCATACTGTCAGAATTTATTCTGTTCTTGTCAAAATACTTATTACTGCTGACAGGTATAACATATCCACATTAATCCTTAATTCCTTGATTCAATTTTCTAATTGCTTTTTTGGCATGCGATGGTGGCCATTTAGTCTTATGTGATGTATTCATCATATGGTATAAAAATGTTCTTTAAAAATTAGATGTGCCATTTAAAGTAACTGAGCAGGAAGAAAAAAATACTAAGGATTGGAAATTTTAAATTTCACCATACTTAGACAAACTATTAGATACTGGTATGTCACAGATTCTGGAGGTTGTCCATAAATCATAGTCACAGAATGTTAAAGAGGAAAGGGACCTTAAAAATCATCCAACCTACCTGTTCATTTTCCAGTTGGGGAAACTGACTTAGTAACAAGCCCAGGATCACACAGCTAGCTAGTGGGAGAGCTGGTCTGAGTACTTATATGTTCTGATCACTAGTCAGAAATGGGGTAGGTATTTGCATATAATTGTTATAACTGGTATTCTAAATTGATTTTTACTATTAATAGGCTGACAGAATGAGAGACTCCTTAGCTTCTTAAGCTGTATGTTTTAGTAATATTGTATAGTGGCTGAAAACCTAGATTCTAGAATCAGAGTTCCAGTCCTGGATCTGCCCCTCACTAGCTGTCTTACCCTGAGAATACAGTCTGACCGCTCTGAATTTCAATTACTTCATCTGTAGGAAATGGAAAATAACAGTATCCTGCTAATAGGACTGCTGTTTAGGTTACATACAATAATGCATGTAAAAAGCTTAGCATAGCACTTGGCATCTAGTAAGTACTCAGTAAATGTTACATATTATTATTATTAGTGTTTTACTATCCCTTTAATATCCACAATTTGGAGAGAAACTTGGTCATGCCTTGTCGCTTATTTCACCATGTGACCTCTGTGACAACTTCATTTATTCATTCATTAACTCTTTCACTTACCATGTGCAATGCACTCTAGTAGTTGCTATAGGTAAGACAAGAATCTAACATGATATCTGCCTTGCAGAAGCAGGGCTATACAACATGTACATCAATAAGTATAATAAAACATTGGGAGACATAGGTCCCAAAAAGGTGGCACAAGCACCGTGCTTGGACATTTCAAAGAGAGGAAGTGAGCATAGGGGATATAGGGATGAATAAGAAACCGGACCTGTTCTCAAGGAGCTTGATCCAGTGGGAAATAGACATTTACCCAGCTGTTATTCAAAGTAGAAAATAAAGAGGGTCACAAAAGTTAAAGTTAAAGAACTAAAGAGGGAGAAACTAAATATCTCAGATCAGAGAAGGCTTTATAGATGAAGTGACATTTGAGTTGGCTTTGAGGGACGCATAAGATCAGGAACGTTGGAGACCTGTGGGAAGGATGCCTTAGACAGTAGGAAGATTAAGAGTGAAGAAGGCACAGATGATTCTGAAAACCCTGGGAACAGTTGTTGAACAGTTATTAATAGCACTTAATTTGACTAAAAAATAGAGCTTGTGCAGAATAAAGGATGTGATTAGATGAGTATGTAGGGAATGTCATTTTGGACTCAAGCCTCTTTTGACCCAAGACATGGTCAGCACACGTTTTAAGAGTTAATGTCTTTAAAGAACTTTCTAGTTAGTACCCACTACTTTTTATTGTCTTACTCTAGAGGATAAGTCAGTCTTCCTACCTATTACAGGCAATATAGCATAAAGTTAAGCATACAAGCTCAGAAAATGGACTGCATTGGTCCAAATTCCTGGTTATGCCACCTATTAGGTCTACAACTTTATTTATGTCACTTGAACTCTTAGACCTTCAGTTTCATCATCTGTAAAATGGAAACAGTCAGTGTCTCATCGGGTAGGTATTGACATCAGGCATATAGTAAGTGCTTAATAAA
Source organism: Homo sapiens (assembly GCF_000001405.40). Taxonomy (NCBI): domain Eukaryota; kingdom Metazoa; phylum Chordata; class Mammalia; order Primates; family Hominidae; genus Homo; species Homo sapiens. Next base: position 115,844,053 of record NC_000010.11, read on the forward strand.
TGTTAGCTATTATTACTGTGTTACCCACCTGTGCCTTGAAGCGACTTAGTTTACAAGTTCTGCTTTGGAACTACTGAAAAGGTTTTTGAGAAAGGATGTAACATCTTTTTAATCTTGAGTCCTTGAATGTTCTACTAAACCCCACTTAAATTGTAGTGACTCGTCCAAGGACATCAGATAATTCTGTTAAGCCCTCACCTGCTGGAATATGGTTTCTAGTGATGGGTCTCAGTGTGATTTACAGAAGTGAATCCCTCACTCGCCATTGGAGAGGGCCAGTGGAAGAACAAGTAGCCAGCTTTACCCATTGATGTTTTCCAAACGTGCAGTGATTCATGTAGCAGGAGTTTCCCAGGATTGATCCTGAGCTCAAATGAACACCTCATTTTCAGAACAAATTATTAGGAGTTTTAAGAACTATACCTTGAAAATCTTCATGATTCTAGAAGCTTCTCTGGTAACATTTTTTTCTGTTTGTAATAGCTGAAAAATAGAAAGCATTTAATATAGAATTTTTGCCCCTAAAACAGCAACTTGAAAATAAGAGTACAACAGTTTTAAAAACACTAGACTGAACAAAAGCAGTCTTTTTAAAAGTGCTGTGGGCCTAATACACAGGGACTGCTAATTACGTAACTGTCAGTGATGTTTTCTGGCAGAGCCTAACACCAGCTTCTTGCAGTACAACGAATATGAAAATGCCTAGAAGTAAATCACAGTTGCTGAGTGCTGTGGGCAAACAAACCCAGGCCTTATCTCTTTGAAAGGCAGCAATGGAAAATACATGATAAATTGCACAGCTCAGTGAACATGTTATGTCATTGTGAAATGATTTTGATTCATGGTTATGTAGTTATCACGAAACAACTGCCAAACCCCAGGGTATCAGAAACATTATCATTTGTGGGGTTTTGCTATTTTCTGTTGTAAAATTCAAGTGCTATAAAGAGATGTTTGGGTTTTTTTGTATATAAAATTCTGTATTGAAAGTGATATTTGCCACATACTCTTTGGAAATAATATTTTAAATTATGTGAATTTCTTCCAGAAGTATCAAAGAGCTGTGCTAGTAACTAATATTTTAAACAGAATGAATAATTCATATTTTTGCTAATATCCTTTTATGAAAATTATTTTACCTAAAATAGACTAAGTTGTAAGTCAATTTGATTTTTTAAAATAGAAGTATAATCTCCTTTTATATAGCTTATCAATATACAGAAATTTCTGAATGTTTTCTATACAATAGCAGTAGAACTAAGAATGAAAGAGTAATTTTTTAAAGGAAGATTTTATAGAAGTAGCTTTTATGCAGGCATAATTTCCTTTCCACGTTTGAGATATTCTACTCCACTGTCCTTATTTGTTGCTAAGTCTCTGAAGTTTAAAGTGTTAATTAGACCATATTCCACCTGAAGTTTAGTTATTTTTTGTTAATTTTTTTCTCCGTTGATGCTGTTGATGATTTGATGTTTTGAAATATTTTCTGCTTGTGTTAAAAGTGGCAGAAAGATAGCCTGGCAAAAAGATCAAATTGATGTACTACTGAATCATTTGTCGTTTTTCTCAATCTCCTAAACCAAGACCCACTGTTTCTCAACTTTTTTGTATAAACATACAATTCTACTGTTCTAATTTTTGCAGTCGAGTTTTTTTTTTAACATGCCTTTGGATATGCTGAATAGTATCAGTTAATACACTGAGAGTTTAAAAAGAAAAAACAAAGAAAAGCTTGCCCGTTGGTAGAAATGATTGATTGTTTCTTAGGTATGGTTTTTCCAATATATCACTATCGTTTAAACCTTGAGTTTATTTTATGTTCTGTTAGTATATTTTAATCAATTGACCTTTACATATTGTTTGCATTTATTAAATTAAAATAACTTTTAGTAGCCTGTAAATATGATTTGAAACATTTCATAGTATTTTTCTTTTAGCTTTGGAATAAGACAAACCTATTCTCTAAATATTTACATCACTGGAGAATATCTATGTACTTATGCTGATTTTTACTTAACATTTTCAAAAATAAGTCTGTTAAATTAAATGTAAGCTTTAAAGTGTAAAACCATAGATCATGTAACTTGATACAAGTATTGCAACATGGCTTACAGCATTTTCTTGGAACATTTTTATGCCCTTTGCTTCCACCACCATCGCCACTTTCACCTTTATATTGAATGCTCCCAAAATGTATCTATATGAGGATAATTTTAAAACATGAGATTTATGTTGCTATAAAGGAGAAATCCTTTATAACCACATAAAACCATTGTCACCAGAAATTTCAGTCCAAGTTTTACAAGAAAGCAGGCATATTTTATCTTTAATGCCTCATTAAACTTTCTAGAAACGACAGTATTCTAGAATATTCTAGGTGAATGACTGCATATGTCTGTATTTCTTCTTAAAAGTTTAAATATCATCAGTGAAAAAAACCTGAACAAATCATTTGTTCTAATAATTAAAGCCGTGGTACTTATTCTTCTATTTAATTTTGCCTTTCCTCAGAAATGTTGCTTTGATATATCAACCATGTCTCTTCTATAGCTCTTTAAATGATGGCCAAAACTAACATTCCTAGGCTAAACTGATAGCCTCACTATTCCAAAGATCACATTGTGTTTAATTCCAAATTTCATATGTGGATTTGTGTACACGTGTGTACTTGTGCATATGTTTATGTGTACATGTGTGGAGGTGCATGTTTGCATATGCACACATGTCATAAGCCTGCATTGTGTGATTAAGAATGTGAACTCAGGAGGCAGCCTGCCTGAGCTTAAATGCTAGCCCAACTACTGCTAACTAGCTATATGAATCTGAGCAAGCTTTGTTAACCTCTTGCTTCAGTGTTCTCATGTTACAGAGTTGTTGTGGGTTTAAATAAGTCAATATATGTCATGCACTTTGAACACCTAACCCATAGTAACAACTTAATAAAATACTAGCTATTACTATTATTATTATTATATATTTATTTACTCTATGTTATTTCTAAAGTTATCTATACAAGTGCATTGATGGGTGATTAGTAAGTAGGTATTTCACTAAAACAATATTAAAGATATGCCAACCTGATCTCACATTTACATGTGGATTCTTAAAAAAAGTCAAAGACATAGAAACAGAGAATAGAACAATATTCACCAGGGACAGGGAGGGGGAGGATATGAGGAGATGTAGGTCAAAGGGTACAAACTTGCACTTATGTAGGATGAATAAGTCTATAGATCTAATGTAAGCAGGAGGACTGTAGTTAATACTGTTGTATTGTATACTGAAAATGTGCTAAGAGAGTGTATTTTAGGTGCTCTTTCCACGAAAAAATAGGTAGCTGTATCAGGTGATGAATATGTTACTTCGATTGACTGTAGTAATTATTTCACTATGTATATGTATATGTATCTGTGTATGTATATGTATATGTATATCAAAACATCATGTTGTACACCCTATAGACAGTAAAAATAAGAAAATTAAGATATGCCAACAGAATATTTTGAATTGTGATCACTTAATTAGATAAACTATGCTATGTTATACATCATTGGTGAGAGGAAACAATTGGGAAAAAGGAACAAAAGTTGCATAACTTTGTGGCTCACAAGCTGCTCGTCAAATATAGTGAAATTTGTTGATTTATTCAAGTGTAGGCCAAGTGCACATCCATAGTGTGCAAGGAGCTAGTGTTAAAATAACACATGGTGTGTCCTGAACAACTAGGAATGTACAGCACAGCTACCTAAAGGATAGATAAGGTGAAAATTAAAATAGCAATGCTATGTCAATTTTGCAAACTTAAAGTGGGTTTTCTTTTTCAGGGGGCACCCAAGCCAATTGCCATTGAACCATGTGCTGGGAACAGAGCTGCTGTTCTGACTGTGTTTCTTTGTCTACCACGAGGATCATCAGGTGCCCCTCCCCCTGGGCAGTCAGGTATGATAAATGAGGAGCCTTCAGCAGTTAAGCAAAACTTGTAGACTGAACAGAAGAAATAAACAATACCACTAAATAGCGCAGTAAGGACCTTTGCAAGGTTCTAATTTAGAGCATGGTAAAATTTTATGAGAATACAAACTTTTACCCAACTATCTAGATACCTGCATTGTTATAAAGGTAGATTTCCCAGTGTTTCTCCGAAAAACACATGTTGAATATGTGTTTATTTGTGTATTATACACACATGTATGTATGTTCCCATTAATTGCTGGAATTACAATGAGAAATCTCATTAGAAGGGCCACCATGTTCTAGACCCTTCCAGCCAGCTTCCTTTCTTCCAGTATGTGTGGCATGTTGGAAACCAAATTATAAATATGATTAGAAATTTGCTTTGTGAATGTGGAACCAAACTAGGGAACGTGTATGTTTGGAACGTTGAGTGGCATCAGAGGATGATAGCTTCACGCAACCATCTCAGTAGGTTTAAGATATGCCATTGCTTTCAGCACCAGCTGGAGTTCATGGACCAGGGAAACCCTCTGTCTTAGGTGGGCACAGCCAGCCTTTGTTCTGATTCTCCTTTTCCTGTAGGAAAAGCATGTTTTTGATTTCAGGATAATTATACCTGTCCTCTTAGAGCTCTGCTCATTGCGATGGTGTTGTCCACATTCTAAGCATGCTCAATGTTGAATATAAATCATACTTAAATTACAGACCACACTTTTTTCTCTCTTTTTGCATATACTATTCCATCTTTATAATTTTGAATTTTTCTGTCTCCTGATTATTTTATCTATCCAACCACTACTGGAATGAATGCTTTTTGAGGGCAAGGGTGATTTCAAATCTGTTTTTCTCTTCAATTCCCCTTAAGCATAAAATAAAATGCCAGCAAGCTGGCAAGTTCTCAATAACAGTAATTGATGATGAACCGGCCTCCTTGCTTATTTTATCTTTTCTTACTTCCCTACTTGGCTTTGAATTTGCTCCTCACTTTCTTGACTTGTGTCCAACCAGACACAAAAAATGGAAAATGTACTACTTTATGCCTTGTAAACGTTAGGTATTCATGTAACAGAATTTTTCCCATATATGGGAGCAGAGAGTTTCCATCACCTTCAGATTCATCATTCATGGTACCTGATGATATCTTATTGCAGAAATTTCTATCCAAAGTTCATTTATGGATGTTTATTCAAAGAAATAAACATTTTCTGCACCTTTTCATACATTGAGTGAATGTCTTGTTCTTTTCCTTTCAGCACCTCCAAGGTAAATGGGATGCAATAAGTAAAATAGTTTGGCACTGGTCAGATAAGATGGATAATTATAGGTACTTGCACAGCTAATGGAAGTATTGTTTTAAAACTGGGATGATTTCCAAAACAAACACTTCACTAATGAAAACAAGTCTGTGTGATATACACCAAGGTTTTTCTCGATCCTTCACGAGATGGGCAGACTGAAGGCAACTGCCAATTCTCTGTCCCTTTAACCTTTGAAGTCCTTTTTGACTGATATGAAAGAGACAAGTAGCAGTGTGAACCATTACCTCAGCTGTGTTTTCTAACAACTGCATTATGATTACTAATGTTAATGTTATCTTAGATATGCATAGTACTTTACTCTTTCTAAAATGTTTTTTCTGTTTTTCACATGTGATCCTCATGACAGGGTTGTGAGATAGGTATTATAAAACTAACATCATAAATGAGGGGAGTGAGACGTAGAAAGCACTGTATATCTACACTCAAGGAATAATTGGGGAGAGGGGATACTAGAGTATAGAGCAAAAGAATAAAAAATACTTACTGCTAGCATTCCAGGTAATTGTTCCTGATGATTTGTAGCAGAAAGCCTCTCTAAAATCAACAGCCCATGTCTTTACAAAAGCAAGCATTTGGATGAATACTGAAAATGTCTACAGGGTTGATAGAGCTAGACAAAAGATTGAAATAGCTTACCATACTTTTTACAGAGCCTGAGGATGAAACTATGATGAGTATCTGCGTACATAATTCAGAATGAGCTTGTTCTTTGTTTTCTAAAAACAATCTAGTAGATTTTTCAAGCTCTTAGAGGAGTAAGACAGTGGTTCTACTCTTTAAATTGCAGCATTATCTGTTATCTGCATCAATTTGGAAGATGGGTAAGAGGGGTAGATGGACTGATATGTCATAAAGCAAGTAAAGTAAAATGTTAATGGTAGGATCTAGGTGCTAGGAATACTGATATTCATTATAAAATTCTTTTAACTTTGATATATGTTTAAATATTTAATAATGAAATGTTGGGAAACAATAAAACAAAATGTCTTGATTTCACTGCAAGAAAAAAGGCAGTATCTGTAGAGAAAAATTTTTCCAATATCATCATCTAGGTTTTCCCAGAACAAGGCAAATACTGACACCAATATATGAACTAAGTGACTATTTTTTTCAGTGCTCGTCCAAATATTTAGTGTATGCACAGCCAATTAAAACTTCACATATTTGAGAGGAAATATATCCCAGTGATTATTTGGGAACCATATTGGCTCTTGGGAACCAAATGCTGACACTGGTTATCTCATTGCTGAAGTTTGGTTTATTCTGTGTCTTCACAGAAAGTCCTTATATATGCCTGTGCTTATCCCAGTGCCCTACACATAGAAATCAGTTAATAAATTATTTTGATAATGATGATGACAATGATAGGAGACTTGGGAAATGTGACCTTTAGCAACCACTTGAATCTGTTAGCTTCAGCTAATTTCAGTAAAATGAGCAACAGAGTTCAAATTCATTTACCCTTTCCCAGATTCCTCTCCTAGAAGCCCTCTATGTTCTCTTGAGCCTCCTCCACTATTTGTGCAGGGTGACAGGTTGGGGGAGTTGAGGAGGAGGTAGAGGTGGAGCTTTGTTGGCAGACTCCTGACCCCAACCCCACTGTGTGAAGGACAGGGTGCCAGGGGTCTTCTCTTGGCTATTGGGCTATTTATTTCTCCAAATGTTAGTGTATCTGTTCAGTTATTAAATTAGCGTTCATTATTAAGAGTCTTCTTATAGATTAAAAGTCTTATAGTACTTTGCATAATCTCAAATTTTTTTGTCAGGCTCCTTGTTTGAAATGTAGCTTACTAAAATTTTTTTTTTATCAGGCTCCTTGTTTGAAATGTAACTTACTAAATGTCAGTGTCATGTGTACTCTCCGTTGGCATGAATAAGAGCATTTAAGAAGGATGAGCTTGAGGATCTGCAAAGGCAGAAGCATCCTATGAGCATGGTGGATTTCTCTCACACAGTGAATTTCAACCCTGAAAATGAGTGACAGAAATGCACAGGAGCTAGTTTGGCCATCTCTTTTCAGGAGCAGCTAGTGATTTTTTTTTTTTAATTTAAAAAATAGCATTATCTTTGGACTTGATTTTCTTTCCACCAGCAACTGCTTCAGCAATATGTGGCAAGTAATGCTTAGACATGGCCATTTTAGTTTCTTTCTGAAATGTGTGAACTCCCTTCCTTATGGATCTTGTCTTAACCAGAGGTCAAAAGAAAAACTGTGCCAACTCATCCCTTAGATTACCCATGCACTAATCTCTTTTTAATATAATAAATTTAGGTGCTTGGGAGAAATTCTCCCTTTAGGGGGCTTAGAATAGTAAGGCAAAAGATATTAAGTAGGCTTTTTGGCATTCCTAGAGCTGGGCTAATTAGGTTTCCTGCTTCCCCGCCCAGTAAACCTGCTGCTTCATTTCTGTATTTTCTGTGAGCAGCCACTGCAATCCGTGCCAGACTCTTCGGTTAAGGTGGGATTTATGCTGTTGTTTATGCATATGTTCACTGTGCAGCCACTTTGTCTTCTGACCTCAAAGTGGTTGAAAGATTGACATCTCCATGAAAACAGGACACATTAAGTAACTCTCCTACATGACACTTAACAACCAAGCATGTCTCCAGTCACCCCGGACAGCATGGTCCCCAAGCGTTTTAGAGGCACATTAAGATGAAATGTGGACAAAGTAAATAGAGCTCTTCAGATGCATAAATTGAAAATGATAATGATTGCTGTCACTTTGTGATGGAAGATTATGGATTTCATAATTTGTGGATTCTTCCTAATGAGAAGCAGATTAACTTTTCTCACTGAATCAAAAATCCCAATGGCCCAAATATCCACTGCTGAAAAGAAGCTATGTGCTACAACTGGAAGTAGAATTTTGCCATGATCCTGCCTCATATATGATTGACTATACCATTACCAAAAGAATACTGCCAGAAAGTCTAAGGTTTTGAAATTCTGAAGTTTTCTACGTTAGCCTTAGAAGTTTGGGCAGAATGATTAGATTATTTTGAATAATCTAGAAATATTACATAATGTTTAAAATGATAGTTTACTCATGGTGTCATGGATGTCTTTCTTGTTTATAATGATAACAATAAGATAACTTTGGTTTAATTTAATGAAAAGAGGAAAGGGAAAGAGGACCAGGCATTATATTAAGCGCTTTATGTATTCATTGGTGTGACCCTCTTAATGATTCTGTGGAGATGATTATCCCACTTTTACTATTTAGAAAACCAAAACTCTAGAGAGATTAAATGACTTTCCCAGGGTAAATGCAGCTAGTGAGTGAGTGAGCCAGAATTCAAACCCAGGGCCACTGGCTCCTCAGCCAGTGTGACTCTCCCTCATCACTGTGTCCCTGTGGATAAAGATACTGGGGCATAGCCCTTATTCCTAAAAAAGCTTTAAATCCAGAGTCAAGGAGGAAGGACCTAGAGGGTCTCTGCTGAGCAGTGGGCTTATTGTAGTAAGGACAATTTTATCTTTGCCGGTGACTTCAGAAATTTGGTAAAATGCAAATCTGTGCATGCCGTGGCGCATCTGCTCATGAAACTATGACTCGGTGTATGTAATAGGAAGAAGCCCGTGAACTCATAGGAAAAGAAATTAAACTTGTATGTCTGAGCTCTGGACTTGGAATCACAAGCCCTAAGATCTAGACCTAGCTCTGCCACTGACTAGCAATGTGACCATGGGCAAGTCTTTCAGTCTCTGGGTCTTCTATTTTCCCATGTGAAAAATGATGGGGTCGGGTTAGATTCCTAGGATGCGTTTCACTCTAACCCCACTGCACAGTTTAATACTACAAATTATGCTAAGTCATGACAGTTTGGGGTGGGGAGAGCAAATAACTTGCTTCTGAGTGGTACCTTGATTTATCTTTTCAGTTGCTCAGAGCCATTGGGAAACTTAATTTTCATATGTATTATTAGTGACTAAAAATAATTAGCATTGCTCCTTACATTTAAAAAAATCTTAAAACTGTGTTAATGAAATCTTCCTAGCATGTTTGAAAGATGTAGATGGTTTATAGTGCCCCTATTTTAGAATTGAGTAAAAGGAATCTAATACTACCAGTGAGAGGTACATTTCCCATAATCTCAGAGATGGATTGGAAATGGACTCCGGGTCTGCTGGCTCACAGTGTAGTACTTTCTCCTCTGAACACAGTTTTTTAAAGCAAATTTCCAGTTTCTAGCAGCCTCTGAAATTTCTATTCCTTCACACTTTGTTTTTCTTTTATAATTCTGCCACCATATCTTCACACTTGTAGAAACACATCTGTTGATATAATCTTAGCACTTTCTTTGTTAGAGGTGGCTAGAATAAGAAATAGAACTACTGAATTATATCAAAACTTCATTATAAAAATCTGGCATGTTAGTTACCCTTTAACCTCAAATACAAATATTGTTTATAGGCAGCGTATGTGTCTTCACAAAGAAGAAAGAAAAAGTGGCATTCATGGTAAAATAAACTAGAAAATTAGGCAGAGAGCCCAGGAAACAACAGAGATAAGAACAAATATCTGAGATTCTTGTTAATAAATATGACTCCGTGTCAAAAAATATCTGATATTAAAAGACTTTAAAATCAACAGAAGAAACTATTTTACCTTGTATCCAAAATACAGTTATTGTGAATCCCCACTTGCTACCCTTACTCATTCAAGAAACGTGTAAAAGTGTCTATTATATGACAGCACTGGATATACTATAGTGAACCAAACAGTGTTCCTGCCCTCATAGAGGTTACAGCCTATGCAGAGATAAACATTCAACAAATAATCATGCAAATAAACTCATACTTACAAGTTGTGTTAAAGTGCTATGAACAAAGAATAGAGAGATGAAATAAAACAGATGGACAATTGCTAAGTTTAATATTTGTCTACAGCAGTAATCGAGTGATAAACATAGTCATTAAAATGCCCTTTCCTCAATTCTCGCATCTCTGTAGTGTTTGACTGTCGATTATTCCCCCACTTCACCTCCCCACCTTCTGGAAACCTTCCCCTCCTCTGTTGTTTTGTGCCTTGACCCATCACAGGTACCCACTTAGAATTCACTTAGTGGCGATGGCTATAGAGCACCTCCTTTCTGTGCATCCTCAGCTTCATCTGCCCCTTGCCTACAGGCATTCCCCCAGGTCTGATCCTTAGCCAGCTTCTTTTACCTCTCCACTCACTTAGGGAAAACTTCTCTGCAGCTAACTGCCGATCCTGTGGGTCTTCAGCCAACACCTCTCACCTGCTGAGCAGCAGCATCTCAACCTGGATTTCCTCCCGTTCAGATGTAAAGTGAGCCGTCCTTCCCCCTTTCCTCTGTCACTTCCCACCATTCCCCAGACCAGCTCTTCTCTCCTGACTTGTCTGTTTTTGTAAAGTCTGTTTCAGAATGGCTCAAGTTTGAAACCTTCAAATTAGCCTGTCTTCTCTCTCTTTGTGCCCTTTTACATCTCAGTAATCGTGAAGTTCTATAGATTTTATCCCTGGAGCGGACAGAGAAGACATCTTATTTTTTCCATTCTTATTCCCTCCATGCTTTGTTCTGGGAGTGGTTGCTTCTCACCTGGGTTGCTCCCAAAGGAAGGCACAGCTCTAATCATATCGCTTCCTCATACCTTTGCAGACTTTTCATTGCCTGTTGAAATAGGTCCAGACGTTTACTCTGGAATGAAAGGTCCTCTCTGACTTCTCCTCAACTTCTCTTCCAGGTTTAGCACCCTCAGAGTCCTAAGCCTACCTGCACAGCACCACTGGCTACATGGGGGTCCTTGGACAATTATTTTAAACTCTCAGACCTTTAGTTTCTTCATGTATAACATTAGAAAAATGACTAGATAAAATATCTTTGTGATTGCTGCTAGGCCTATCATTCCATACATATTTTTCTTATGATTCTCTGAGTGTAGGTGTGGTCTGTCATACTGCTGTTTCTTGTACCCGAAATCCCCTGTGTTAGGCTGCTTATTTTCAAAGCCTGGTTCAAATGCTATTTCGTCTTCCTTGAGACCTTTTCAGTCCCTTCCATACAAATGTGACCTCACTGTCTTGAAATCCCACACCTTCTAACATATATCCATGCCTTCTAACATATATCAGAGTTGCTATGTTCTTTTCTTTTTTCCCCAGTAGTAAGCTCTCTGAAGGCAGTGGCAATATCTTATTTCATCTTTGAATCCCTAGCTGCTAACAAGTTTCTGGTACTTAATAGTTGCTTGATAAATATTTAATTGATGAATAAAATTATCTTTAAATTTTGGAGACTCTTCACCAAAAAAGATGTGCAAAAGATGTATACTCCACAAATGTATACTTTACGATGTAAAGTTTCACTTCAAGCCCATAACCTCGATAGACTGGATTTTGTGTTTTTATAATTCATGTAGGATGGATCAAGCTACATATCTCAGGGACCGAAATCAAGCCCAAAACTGTACTTTCAATGGATTACATCTATGAAAACTAACTTGTTTAGCTTTAAGTTTCAATGAACATGAGAATATTAGTGAAAGATGACACAAAACAATAAAGCAATTTATATTTCCAATGTAGCATGTCTGAAACCTATCATAGAGATCTTCTGTTTTCATGATTTGAACACTGATTTATTCCTTGGATAGTAATTTTTTTAACTATTTTATTTAAGTTTGAAAGAGCCCAACTCAATTCTACCCTTTATGACCAGAAAAATAAATTACTTTGAATCTTATGGAAATGTCCACATATTAGTTATACTCAGGACAGATAACCTCACAAAAGATAACTGGCAAATAAAAAGCATCAATTGTTGGTGTAGTCATTAAAACATACTGTTTGGAAGACCAGGCACGGTAGCTCATGCCTGTAATCCCAGCACTTTGGGAGGCCGAGGCAGGTGGATCACCTGAGGTCAGAATTCAGGACTAGCCTGGCCAACATAGTGAAATCCCGTCTCTACTAAAAATACAAAAATTAGCCAGGCGTGGTGGCAGATGCCCGTAATCCCAGCTACTGGGGAGGCTGAGGCAGGAGAAACGCTTGAACCCAGCAGGCAGAGGTTGCAGTAAACCGAGATCGTGCCATTGCACTCCAGCCTGGGCAACAAGAGCGAAGCTCCATCTCAAAAAAAAAAAAAAAAAAAAAAGCCATACATACTGTTCGTTGTGAATCTATTCTTTGCACCATGCTGTCCTTTGAGTTACTGTAACCCTATAGGGCAGCAGTCCCCAACCTTTTGGCACCAGGGACGGGTTTCGTGGAAGACAATTTTCCACAGACCTGGGGGTCAGTGGCAGGGGTGATGGTTTTGGGATTAAACTGTTGCACTACAGGTCATCAGGCATTAGTTACATTCTCACAAAGAGTTTGCAGCCTAGATCCCTCACATGCGCAGTTCACAATAGGGTTCGTGCTCCTTTGAGAATCTAATGCCTCCGCTGATCCGACAGGAGGCGGAGCTCAGGCTGTGATGTTCACTCACACCCACCCATTGCACAACTTCTGCTGTGAGTGCTGTGAGGCCCGGTTCTCAATAGGCTACAGGCTGGTACATGTATGCAGCCTGGGGTTGGGAGCCCTTGCTGTGAGGTATATGCAGTTGACCCTTGAACAACATGGGTTTGAACTGTGTGGGCTCATTTATATGCAGATTTTCTTCTGTCTCTGCCACCCTGAGACACCAAGACCAGCCTCTCCTTTTCCTTCTCCTCCTCCTTCTCTGCTTACTCAAAAATGAAGACAATTAGGATAAAAATCTTTATAATGATCTATTTCCACTTAATGAATAGTAAATATATTTTCTCTTCTTTATGATTTTCTTAATAACATTTTCCTTTTTCTAGCTTACTTTATTGTAATAATACAATATATAACATATACAACATACAAAATACGTGTTAATCAACTGTTTAGATTATTGGCAAGGCTTCTGATAAAAAATAGGCTATTAGTAGTTAAGTTCTGGAGGAGTGAAAAGTTATACAGGGACTTTAAACTGCACAGGGGGTTGGCACTCCAACCCCCATTTTATTCAAAGGTCAACTGTGTTATCACTTTTCTTTTATATATGAGAAAAATGAACCATGGATATTAAGTAACTTGCCTACAGTCACATAGTAAATAATTATGGAGTCAGAATTTAAAACCAGAAAACTTTTACATCAAAATGCTCTTTATAAATGTTTTTGTTTTGTTTTGTTTTTTCATTTCTTAGCTATGAGTAAAGACCATTAGCTGTTTGTGTTTTGAGGACAGCACAAGCTTTTTCTTTTACTGACCAGTGTCACTGTAAAATGACATGGTGATGGTCCTTCCATTTCAGACTTTTAAATATATCTTTCCGTCACTTTTGTGAGAAATTGATTAATATGTAAAGGAAACAAAAGAAAATAAGGATGAGAAGCTTAAAGAATAGTGAAAATGGCTAATTAAACATGCTGCAGAAAAGAGTCAACTTTAAAAGTTAATTCAAATACTTTAAAGACTGACCAATTAGAAACAAACTCACATGACAAATCAGGATTCATGGAAATGAAAAATGAGACCACTAGCACTGAAACGTGACCAACACATTTTTCTTTTCTTTTTTCTTCTTTCCCACCTGCCACCTCTTTCTGGTATTTCTGGAATTCACTGTTAATAATTACTGTGCTCAAAGAGAAAAACAGGAAAAAATTAAAACTCAACAAGACAACTTACAAAACCAAAGAGGAAAATCAAAATGTGTTGCAATACCCAAGCTGCCTTTGAAGCAACAAAACAACAAAGCAAGAATGTTGTGGGTGTGAATACAATGTTATGGGTCAACTATTGTGAAAGACAGTATGGTAATTCCTCAAAGATTTAGAACTGGAAATACCATTTAACCCAGCAATCCCATTGCTGAGTGTTTACGCAAAGGAATATAAATAATTCTATTATAAAGATACATGCACGCATATGTTCATTGCAGCACTGTTCACAATAGCAAAGACAAAGACCAAAATGCCCATCAATGATAGCCTGGATAAAGAAAATGTGGTGGTATATATACACCATGGAGTACTATACAGCCATAAAAAGGAATGAGATCATGTCCTTTGCAGGGACATGGATGAAGCTGAAAGCCATTATCCTGAGCAAACTAACACAGGAAGAGAAAGCCAAATACTGCATGTTCTTATTTCTAACTGGGAGCTGAACAATGAGAACACATGGAAATAGTGAGGGGAACAACATACACTGGAGCCTGTCGGGGGAGAGAGGGGTTGTGGAGAGAGCATTAGGAAAAATAGCTAATGCATGCTGGGCTTAAAACCTAGGTGATGGGTTGATAGGTTCAGCAAACCACCATGGCACACGTTTACCTATGTAACAAACCTGCACATCTGCACATGGACCTCGGAACTTAAAATAAAATAAATGTTAAGGGTAAGTTTGTGAGGTCCTCCATTTTTTTTTATGATAGCTGACACCATGGTTTATATAAAACTGCCAATTGGTAAAAAAAATTACTTTTAATTGGTTATGAATTAAATAGTCCTACTTTACATAGGTTTGGGAGAATTTAACAGAAGTTTGCTGCCTTCATTACCTCGGGCTGCTATAATAAAATATTAGAGTCTCGGTGACTTAAACAACAAACATTTGTTTCTCACAGTTCTGGAGGCTGGGAAGTCCAAGATCAAGATGCCTGGACAATTTGGTGTCTGGTAAGGGCCCTTTTCCTGGTTTGCAGATGATCACCTATAGCTGTATCCTCACATGGCAGAGAAAAAGAGCTCTGATTTCTTCTTATAAGGGCACTAATCTCATCCTGAAGCTCCACTCTCTTGCCCTTATCTAAACCTAATTAGTCCTCCCCAAAAACCCCCCACCTCCAAATACCATTATATTAGGGATTAGTGCTTCAATGTATGAATTTGGTAGAAGGTGGGGCACAAACATTCAGGCCATAGCAGGCTTCTTCTGTAGTTAAAAAGAATGGAAGGGTTCTGAGTCTCAGAATGACTAGAACCAAGGTGTCTGGATCTCTCAAGCAGGGAGCGAGAGATCCAGAGACCTTGGTTGTAGTCCCTGCTCATATTACCCCTCCCTCATATTTATTGTAACATGTTGCAAAACCTAACCAGAAAAAGAAAATAATATAATTCACCTCTTACCAGCAGGCAGTACTGCACAATTCTGCCACACAGAGCCCAGAAAAGGCAGGCAGAAGGGAACTCCCTAGATCCAGAAAGGAAAATTAAGTGACTTGAGAAAATATGTAAAGGCTAAGACTGGGTAAGTGGCCCTGCAAATTCCTTCTAGTCACAGAAACATTTTTCTGGGGGTCACCTCATAGGGCCAGTGGTCCGTCAGCAAATCCAGAAGTATGTTCAAGTTTTGATCAAAACTCCATGTTATACTGATAGCTGGTTTAATCTCGGGTCCTCCCACAGACTGTTTAATGGTGCCATAGTATCTACCAAAGGCATTTTTGAGTATGGATGTCCCCTTACTCTTAATGGAAGTCCTGGTGGAGGAGCAAGTGCCAGCAGTAAAAATGTAATTCTATAAAAGGTAAATGTTGATTACAATTATATTAACTCCTTAAGACCACAGTGATCTTTCTCTAAGAGCTTGTAGGGAAAAAGTTAATGGCCCTCTGAAAAGAGAGTAATTCATTTCCTTTTATCCACTTTATAATTTGCAAATTTGCAAATGAGCATAGCCCATGCAAGTTGAGCAGGCTTCTCTCACTGATGGGTAGCATATCCAAAGCTTTCATGCAGGTAAAAGCACTGGAAAAAATATGAGAGAGTTCATCTTCTTCCTTAGGAGCTGGGACTGAAACTGGTCCACAGGACTTCAGGGAGGTGGTTTGAGGAATCCTACATGGTCCCTGGGATCATCATTTAGAAGCTTTGAGGGAATAAAGATTCTTGTTCTCTGAACCTGCTGTCTGATATAATTTGAATTGAACCTTGAAGCCCCTAAAAATCTGGATGCAGTGACCATACATTCAGTTCCATTTATTCAACAAGCCAGGCAAGGATCATCAAATCAATAACATGACTGTGCCATCTGCCTTCCCTTTGCTCACCATCACAATGAAAAATGACTCCTTAAGTGTTCTGCAAGGCAATTAACTCTGAAGGCAGAGCTGTAATGGAGAGAGGCTGAGTTACATTTGTATTCAGAACTTTACTGGTAAAATGGAAAGGAAGCTGTTGTCCATATTAATAGATACATAAAATAGATACATAAAAAAAAATGTATAAATGGGATAATTTGGTATTACTCTATTTATGCATAATATTATACAACTGCAGAAACACAGAGCTAGGAAGGGCACTGAAATGACATATGGCTCCTCCAACTGCATGCAGCCACAGCTGGTGACCCTGTCCAGAATCATCTTGGACAGACAGACTGTTTCTAAAGACATTCCCAAAAGTCATGCTGATAACTTCCGGGACTAATTCATTCTGTTATTTAACAGTCTTCACTGCAATTTGATTCCATTTTCTTTTGTTCTCTTTCTTCTTGTTCTCATCTCTCTAGAAATAGAGAACAGCTAATTATGCTCCCTATAATAATCCATCATGTGGTAGAAGGCAGTTTTGAAATCACCACCCAGCCTTCAGTTCAGGTTCAATACAGCACTCCCAGTCCTTCCATCTGGGCCTTTGAAGAGCCTGGCTCCTAGCCTGAGTCATCTGGTGACTCTCAGAATGCTCTTCAACCTTCCCAAATATTATTGATTCAAGAGACATGAAATACAAAGGGACTCTGTATTTCTGTTTGTTCTGGTACCCTCTGCAGGTACCATTGCCTCTGCCTAGATTGTCCTACCCATCAGCCCCTCTCCGATATACACACCTCCCCTTTTGCACCAAGAGAATTTCGAATTCAAAGGTCACCTCTTTCATGAAACTAGTCCCCATGTTTACCCATCCTCAGTCCTCTGCTTTGCTTTTTCATTTACTATTATAAAATTTTTCTTACGCTGTCTCCGTCCCACCCAGGCGAGCTAAGGGCAGGGATGTTTCCCTTATTATTTCTGTAGGGGCTAAATTGTGCCTACAACATAGTAAAAGACAATTTGCTTAATTATTTCCCCCACTTTTCTTACCTGTGCATGTTGGTGCTAATGTCCCAGAGTCCAACTCTTAAGCTAGCTGTAAATTCACACTTTCTACTGCCCTTTGTCATGTACCTTGCTATAAATTAATTATAGATGCTTCTCAGGTTTTAAAAATGATAAACCACCCTAATCTCTGGCCTGAAATTTGGCTTATGAAAACTTTATTGAGGTTAAATCAGTTCCTTACTACTAACTAGGCCTGTTGTCTCAGCCCCATCCTTGTGACCTATTTGTCTCAAGTCTTAGTAGTCATTTCGCAATACATGATTTTTTCTATGTTTAACAAATTTGTTTCGGTCTTTTGTTATTTTTTTCCAGATATAAAAATATCACTTTGATACTCTGGTCATTCATAAGATCATTGTTTGATCATTTTTAACACCATTCTTTTTCCTTTTCTCAAAAATGAGGCCAGGAGCAGTAGCTCACACCTGTAATCTCAGTGCTTTGAGAGGCCAAGGTATGAGGATCGCTTGAGGCCAGGAGTCTGAGACAAACCCAGGCAACATAGTGAGACCCCCATCTCTACAAAAATTAGAAAAGAAAAAAAAATAATGTTTCATAGATTCTTTATTCTCAGTGCTTTAAGCAGGATCAGAGCCCTTACCACTTTTCTTGATGACCTGGGTATGACTCACCAGACTCTGCTTCTGCTCCTTGGACCATCCATTTATAGTTTCTGCTGACTCTTGCTAGGCTACCTGGCTCCTGTATCCTTTGTTGTGGATTTTTAGATCACAGTTGTTCTTTAAGACTGAAATTTTTCAAGCACTTTGAAAGTCTCTTTTTAAAGCATTATTTGTTATTAGTATTTTCTGTTACATATAAAAACAAGCCAAATTTTTAAACTTATTGCCTACTGCATTACAGGTTATATTCTGTTTCCCTTTATGTTTCCAGTGGATCACTTTAGTCCTCGCTTTATTGCTTTTCACCTTCCCTGATGCTTCAGAATCATCATGTTTTGTCAGCTTCTTAGGTGACTTATAGTCTTGTCACAGCACTCCTAAGTTCCATTTTAGCTCTTTGTGCAGCTCTTGCCTGTCCACTTGAACTTCCCCTCAGCCAACTTTTTTCATATGCATTAAAAGTATTTCTCAGAAATGCAAATTAAAACACTACTGAAATACTATTTCTTACCTCTTATGTTGGTGAAATTTAAAAAGTGTGGCAACCTAGTGCTGGGAAGAATGCAAGCTGGTACAACAACCGTGTTGGAGGGGAATTTGACAAGACCTAACACAGCTACACTTGTACTCTTTTGACCCAGCAGTCCCACTTCTAGGAATTTACCCTAAAATACACCTCCAGCAATATGAAACTACATATGCATGAGTTATTTATTTTAGTACTTTTTTGTAATCACAAAATGTTGGAAATAACCTGAATGACCATACATAGGGAAGCAGTAAAATGAATTTGGTACATGCATAAATGGAATACACTGTACCTGTAAGAAAGAACAAGGAAGACCTTGAGAAACTCATATGAAATTATTTCCAAAATATATTAAGTGAGAAAAGTAAAGTGCATACAGATATCTAGAGTGTCTGTCCCTAAAGTAAGAAATAGGGACTATAAGGAAATCTACAAACGTCTACTCATTTTTGCAAAAGATGTAAAGAAAGATAAGTCAGAAACCAACAAGACTGTTTACCTACAGGAAATAAAGCGAAATGGGGTATAAAAATGGAGCAATGAGAGGGGGAGTTGGAGGGACACTTCTCTGAGTACACTTTTGTATATAACTCTGACCCTTAGAAAAAACCTGACCTTTCACCTACCCAATCAGTTAGGATGTGGGAGAACCCAAAATGAAATACGAACTGTAAAAAATGAACCTAAATGTATTCAAATGAATAAATAACTATGCTGGGGGTATAGGGAAGAAAAGAGCAACCTAAGTACCTTTAGAAAATGATTATTTTGACTATATACTGTAACACCAAAAGCAACCAAAAATATATATATGAATGTACTATAGTTGTATATTTGTTTCTTCTACAAACAGGAGCATGGACCAGCAATTCTGACACTATTTAATGTCCATGCTAGGATTGAACAAAGTAAATATTTTCTGGGTAATGAGAGCTAGTTTTCTCACTGTCAGAGAAAAATGATACATATGAGGAAAGTGAGAAGACTAGAATGAACCCTGTGGCATTGGGTTGGAATTAGAGGGATCAGTATGAGTTTATTCACTGTAGGTGGATGCACATAGAAATATAGATGTATGCACGTGTGTTGGTATACAATTGTATGTTTCTTAATGCTGCCTGCTGAGAGGTCCTAGAAGCAATGATATCTCAGTAGCAATAAATGTACTTAGCACTCATCTCTTGGTTTTTTAACACCATTCTCCAATAAAATGAACAAGGACTTTTGGGTATATGGTTGATTCCAGGGCTAAGAAGGGCCAACCACAAGATAAGCTTGGAATATCTAATGGTTCCAGAAAATAAGTACTCAAAAAATTGTGAAGACATGTTAAAAGGACTTAGGAGCCAACCTGAAGGAGCAGCTAATGGCCAAAGTTGGAACAACTCGAACAAAGTAAATAAGTATAGTATTGGATTATTACTCAATAAATGTATGATCCATGAGTCCACACTGAAAGATTGAATAGATAAAGAATAGATAGTTCGAGACCAGCCCGGTCAATATGATAAAAACCTGTCTCCACAAAAAATACAAAAATTAGCCAGCCATGGTGGCATGTGCCTATAGTTCCAGCTATTCAAGAGGCTGAGGTGGGAGGATCGCTTGATCCCATGAGATTGAGGCTGCAGTAAGCTGAGATTGCACCACTGCACTCCAGCCTCGGAGCCTGGGTAACAGAGTGAGACCCAGTGTCACAAGAAAAAAAAAAAAAAAGAAGTGGGAGAGAAGAGAGCAGTGGTTTCTTATAGTAGAATTCTAATTAATGGATGTAGAAATAAGGGAAATAGAAAAATCACCATTAGACAAATACCACAGTAGTAATTGTTAAAGGTAAGAACCATTGATGAAATCTAAAGTTAATAGGACAAAACACATTGTAAAACAACACATTTGTATAGTCAGAGTATCTTCCCACAAGACATTTATTGATTACAAAGGGGAAAGCAGTAAATTTGTAATAAAGAACCCTAGCAGACATGACTTATCCAAATGATCAAGGTCAATATAGCTAGTAATTAAACATATAGAAATCATATGCCTGCTGACATGTTGCATGGAGAAGAGCAAAATATCACTTCTGTGGTATTCTTCTTAAATGTGTAACACCAATGTAATCACAAGAAAAGAGGCCGGGCGCGGTGGCTCACGCCTGTAATCCCAGCACTTTGGGAGGCCGAGGTGGGCGGATCACAAGGTCGGGAGATCGAGACCATCCCGGCTAACACGATGAAACCCCGTCTCTATGAAAAATACAAAAAATTAGCCAGGCGTGGTGGCAGGTGCCTGTAGTCCCAGCTACTTGGGAGGCTGAGGCAGGAGAATGGCGTGAACCCAGGAGGCGGAGCTTGCAGTGAGCCGAGATGGTGCCATTGCACTCCAGCCTGGGCGACAGAGCGAGACTCCGTCTAAAAAAAAAAAAAAAAGAAAAGACCAGACAAATCCAAATTGAGGGACAGTTTACAAAACAAAACCACCAAAACTCTTCAAAAGTGCCAAGGTCATAAAAGACAAAGAAAGACTGAGGAAATAATACATTGGAGTCTAATAACATATACACGCAATAAAATCCTGCATTAAATCCTGGACCAAAAATAATATATAACTGAGAAAACTGGTAAAATTCAAATAGGGTTTGTTGATTACTCAATAATAGTATATTAATGTTGATTTTCCAGTGTTAATCATTGTACTCTGGTTATGTAAAATGTTTTCATTTGGGGAAGCTGAATGAAGAGCAAATGAGATCTCTGTACTCATTTGCAGTGTTCCTGCATGTCTAAATTTATCTCAAAGTAAAAAGCTAATAGAAGTATTTTGTCAGGACTCTTTTATAAGTTGGTCATATTCCAAAGTTCAATCTATAGTTTACAGGCTCTATTTTGTCATAGAAATCATATTTATTTCATTATATGGTTCCTGGGCCAGCCTCAAAAGCTTACTTAACCTACAATTTTTATATATGTATGTGTATCTCTATTTATTAAGTAGTCTCACTGTATTCTTGAACATAACATAGTATAGCCATGTTCCCATTATAGAAAAATACCCCTATCTTACAGGTAAAGAAATGAGGTTACAGAAAGGTTTCTTTACTTGCCCCACATTTTTTATTTTAAGATTTTAGAGCAAGCAAGTTGCAGACCTGATTTTAGAGCCAGGTCTGTGTGACGCCGT
Source organism: Homo sapiens (assembly GCF_000001405.40). Taxonomy (NCBI): domain Eukaryota; kingdom Metazoa; phylum Chordata; class Mammalia; order Primates; family Hominidae; genus Homo; species Homo sapiens. Next base: position 115,865,748 of record NC_000010.11, read on the forward strand.
ATGCTGAGTTTCCCTGCTGAGGTATCTGAGGCTTTGTCTGCTAGGCCACTCACTCACACATTAGCTGCTGAAAAGGGGCAAATCTTATGGACACTTCTGTGCTGTCCTCTGGAATCTTTCCCTTGATTCTTTTTCTTTTCCTGGATTGTTGAACAAAATGTTCATGTTTATTTTGTTCATGAGAATTGCCTTGTTTTTAGAAATAGTGACTTTTAAATAGTTTGTGGATTTTTTTTCTCTAATTCTGCCTATCATTTTAAAACCATGTTTTATAGATAAATCAAAAAGTGTAGAACTCCTAATGCAGCATTTGGAGCAAAGTTAATAAAATTTTAAAACAAGAGGATATATATTTACTAAATTACACTGTGCTTATAATGTGCTGCCATATTTTTGTTAAAATTTTTTAATGCTTTAGATAATTAAGCATCTCAAGACTATAATATTAGGCTAAGAAGCTCTTTCCCATTAAAATATTCATAAATTATGTTGACACGAACATGGTGTTCTGAACAATTATAAGGAGTGGGGCTCCTAATGCAAATGTCATTCCTATTATGACTTTTTCTGAACTTAGAAAATACATTCAAGTAGTCTATGGAACTGTCCAAAAGATACACAGAAACCAAAACCAAAACAAACAAAAACCACCATTTATCAGGTACTTACTGTGATTCAGTCACTATCATAAAAGTATTTTCTTATGTTTTCTCATTTAATCTTGCAGTAACTCTGTAAGGTAGATACTACTGTGTCTATTTGACAAATTAGCAAAATCAAAGTTCAAAAACCTACCAGTAGTTAGAGAGTTCATAATTGACAGGACCAAGATATGAACCTAGTTTTTGTGTCTACTCTACAGTTTATGCCTTTAATCCTTGTACAGTACTCTAGTGTTTCCTGACAGGAAAGCATTAAATACAGCATAGAAAACTAAGAAGGAAAAATGGCACCAACATGAAATATGTTAAGCTTATATTTAATCTGCTGTTTTATGGGAGTTTTTTTTAAAGGAGCGAGAAGAAAAGCTACAAGGGATTTTAAAGAGTAATTCAAAGATCAAACATGATTTTTATCTTTTGTCCCAGAGCACTTCAGATTCAAACCCAAGGCTTCACCGCTGCTGATGCACATCCGCCTCTGAGTCTCGTAATTGGTAAATTTACATCATGTGTGTCACCAGCAGCTTAAGAAGGGAACAGATGTCAGTTTTAGGAAATCCTGTGAATTTCAGGCTTGCTCAGACTAATTGGTCCAATTGATAAAATGCTAATGAGAAAGTAAATTCAAACCTTTACCATAATAAGTCTGAATTCTGACCAGTAAAGATGAATGTAACTGCCTTTCTGAAATTCCTATTTTTCACAGAGTAAAAAACATATTTTTTTCTTTAAAAAAATAAAGCCATATTTGTCCTTTAAGAAAGTGTTAATGTTGAGCTGGTAATGTAAGAATTACCTAGAAATTTTAATTGAAAATATTAACTGTTTTATACAATTAAATTCATTTTTTGGATTTCTTTTTTTAGAGCAATAGAATTCCATGCTGTCACTTGTTAGATTTAATGTCATCTTGATAACACATCTAGGAATACCAAGCAACTAACTGCTTAAGCATTAACGTTTTTTCCATGTCATATAATAAGAGGAAGTTTCCATTTACTTATACCATCTTTAATAGAAAAGAATGGTACAAGTCAAGGTCAAAGTCTCCTTACTGGAAGCAGCAGCCTGGCAGGCTGCTTAGGGGTCCTCATATGCTTTTTCCTCTCACTGAAGTAGTCCTCTTTCCTCTCTTCCAAGTTCAGTGTCATTAGCATAACAGGATCAGACAACTAGAGTTCATCTTGTTCAGCCCTCTGTCTTGTGCCGCTTCCATCTTATATTTTTTAACATAGCCACAGATTGGGAACACACAGTTTCTCACAGTAATAATTCCACATCTTATTTCCTTTTAGTGTTTGGAATGTGGCCACCCTGTGAATTTTTTTTTTTTTTTTTAATTTTTTGAGACAAAGTCTCACTCTGTCGCCCAGGCTGGAGTGCAGTGGCACGATCTTGGCTCACTGCAACCTCCACCTCCCGGTTCAAGTGATTCTCCTGCCTCAGCCTTTCAAATAGCTGGGATCACAGGCATGTGCCACCACTCCCAGCTATTTATTTTTTAATTTAATTTAATTTAATTTTTTTGTATTTTAGTAGTGATGGGGTTTTGCCATGTTGGTGAGGCTGGTCTCGAACTCCTGGCCTCAAGCTATCCATCTGCCTCAGCCTCCCAAAGTGCTGGGATTACAGGCTTAAGCCACCATGCCCAGCCCATGATGTGACTTTTATACAAACATAGAGCTTATACATTGAATTGGTTGCTGCCCTTTTCAAGACTGTTACCTTGGAAGGTCAAATGTATATATTCGAGTGATATGCATCTTAGTATTTTAGGTAAGAGAAGACTCTGGGAGTTACAACTTATTCTAGCTCCTTTGCCTTCTCTTTCATCTTCTTCCAAAATTTCTTACATTACCATCTATTATTGCCATCTTCATTTATTCCCTAGCCCATTGTAATCTGACTTCAGTACTCACTTCTGTATTAAAACTCTCACCAATGAGGTTACCCGTGACCGCCAAGTCTCTTAATAGGGACAATTGGGTGCACTCTCATTTTCTCCAACCCACTCATTACCCTAAGAGTTATCATCTGCCTCCTTAACTAAACTAAGAGCAGCATGGAGGCGAGGGCCATCTTTCTTTATCACAGTATCCTCTATGTCCAGCACACACCTGATATCACAGACCGTCAATGCTTCACTGAATGAATGAATGAATGCATACTCTCTGCCTCTCATTTTACACACAGAGACACAGAAGCCCTAAAGAAGGCATGCAGTTCGCCCAGGGTCATACAGCTGATTATTAGGAGAACCAGCATGTGACCTCAGGTCTCCTAACTCCCAGGCCAATGCCAATGGGTTTCATATAATACTGATGTGGCTCAAAAGAGGTTTCGGCTCCTTTTAAATTGTTTTCAAAGCCCACAATATATTCTTTTGAATATATCTGGTGGCAAGTCTTTATTCTTTTTTTTTTTTTTTTTTTTTTTTTGAGACGGAGTCTCGCTCTGTCGCCCAGGCTGGAGTGCAGTGGCGCGATCTCGGCTCACTGCAAGCTCCGCCTCCCAGGTTCACGCCATTCTCCTGCCTCAGCCGCCCGAGTAGCTGGGAGTACAGGCGCCCGCCACCACGCCCGGCTAATTTTTTGTATTTTTAGTAGAGACGGGGTTTCACCATGTTGGCCAGGATTGTCTTGATCTCCTGACCTCGTGATCCGCCCGCCTCGGCCTCCCAAAGTGCTGGGATTACAGGCGTGAGCCACCGCAGCCGGCCAAGTCTTTATTCTTTTAATTGGTGGCTTTTATTTTTGGAATTATCCTAAAGCTACCAGGACACACAACGTGTTTCACAACCTATAAGGCATTACAAAATCTGCAAAGGGGTATTAAAAGAGCTGTCCAGTCTACTTTTAGCCTAAAGAATTTAAGGCCTCATAGTGGGAGCATGATTAGCCAGAGCAATTTGCATAAAAATATACAATGGGAGGCTTTGACTCTGTTCTCATCTGTAGTAGCCAGGAATCCCCAACATTAGTGGGAAAGAGCTAGGCTCCTTGGGCAGTCAGATATTTGTCTACATGTGTGTGCCTGTGAGTGCATGCCTGCATGCACAGGTGCTGTGGACAGGGGAGGTGGAAGAGGGGCCAGGGGTGTTGGGATATTCCTTCTGGGAAAGGAGGACTCATTTCTCTTCTACTGTTCATTTCCACTCATCTCCCACCACCACACACAAACATATGCTAGTCTCCCCCGTAGCTCATGGCTATTTATGTTTTATAGGTTGATTTTCTGATTATAAAATTAATGTTTTCATTGTTTAAAATTTAGGAAACAGAAACAAAAATCTTACAACCCCGAGATAACCAATAAAACACATATTTTATTCAGGACTTTAGACATATTTGGATTTCTTTTTACATAAGCGGCATCATTTTTTAATGAAGTTCTGTATTCTGCATTTTTGCTGAATGTTATAAAATGAGTATTTCTCCATGTCATTAAAAATTATTCAGCAATATAATTTTAATGACTGCATATTGCTTTTTATGGATGTATCATAAACTTCCTAATTATTCTCCTCTTCTTGGGTATTTATGTTGTTCCCAGACCTTTTTTTTTTTTTTTTTTTTTTTTTTTTGGTGTTATAAATAACGCCATGAAAAAGATTTCTGGGTAAAACTTTTGTCCACATCTCTGGTTATTTCCTTGGGACACATTACTTGTTCTGAAGCTAGTATGTATGAACCATACTTAGGTTTATCAATACATATTGCTAAATTGTTTTTCAGGAAAATTTTACCAACTTTTCTCAGCCAACTGAGGTATTTTGAATATCACAAAAAAGTAAATTATGGTAAATGGCCATACTCTCTCCCTAAGGAAAATGGCAGTGGGACATAGCAAGGCAGTCAGATTTTCCAAATCAAGGGGTTGATCACAATTGACTAGCTATTGGCTCCTGCCTTTGGCAAACCAGAAGCCTGGCAGAGGCCTAATAGAGGAAGAGTCTAGCAGAAATCATCTGAAATTAAGATAAGGCCATCCTTTTGCATATGAAGGGCCAGGTAGCAAAGTATACCAATATGTAGCTAGTGCTTTTGGAATATGCAGTTTATTATTTGACACATACCTGCATCCTAAAAGCATTTGAGGTAAGCACTGGTTATCTGGGACCCAACTGCTCCTGAAGGACTAACCCCTGAACTCCCCAGCCTGCATAACTAAGTAACCAGATTCCAAAGCAGAGATTATTATCCTCATATTCAGTGTGACCTAACCAATCCATCTTGACATTATTTCTGATAATATCGTGCATATCTTTATATATCAATCAAGGTTTTATGAAACGCAGTAAAACATTAAAATGGCTAAGAGCATAGACTCTGGAGCCAGACTGTCTGAGATTTAATTCCTAGCTCTACAATTTAGTAGCTGTGTGATCTTAGGCAAGTTACTTAATCTATCTGTGCCTTAGTTTTCTCATCATAATTTGAAGATAATAATAGTTCTTTTCTTTATAGTTGTCATGAAGAGTAAGTGAGTTAAAACATATAAATTTCTAGGAACAATATCAGGCCCATAGTAAATGCTATATACAAATTTCCTACTATTATTATTTCGAGTTGCTAAGAATTAACTTTAGCAGAGGAAGTAACATTAGATAACACAAATATTTTAAAGCAATTGCTTGAGTTTTGGGAATAAAAGGAATGCTTTTTTTCAACTAGGATCCCAATAATATTTCGGTTCTGTCCTTGAAAAGTTTTTCTTTTTTTTATCATGATTGTACTCAGTAAACTTTTGGATCTCTCAGACATATTTGAAAGCAGTGTCTTATACTGGGGACAAGGACCATTAGCATTACCACCCATCTGATACTTTCCCCTTTACACTAAGGCATTATTCCCATAATCTTACAAATTTCCCATAATCTTACAACCCAGATATAACAATGACAATGACAACAAAAGGCATATTTCCTTTTAGGACTTTTTTTTTTTTGCCATAGCCTTTCTCTTAGATTCATCTGGATAAATCTCACTGATAGGTTGAGGTTATCAGAGTGTGTCTAGAATTTGACAGTACCGGTCCTAGAAAGGCCTGGTCAGATTCTTTGTGTGTGTGTATATATATATATATATATATATATGACTTTTGACAATGAACCATTTGAAATCTAATTCCACTGCATGATCCAGATGAATAAATAAGCTAAATGAAAAGCATCCAAGGAAAGGAACTACTCAAAGAAGCAGGAACTGCTTGAGCAGCAGAAATTGACATGACCATGGACATGAGGGTCTATAAACTCTGGGCTATCATGGATAATTGAAAGTCATAATTTTCCAAAGGGCTTAATTGAATATTTGAAAATTTGTATGAAAATAAACTGAGTCAACTAAATAATAATAAACACAGCTAAACTAAACAATATAAATCTTCAAAAGAAGAACCCTAATTAAAAAGATAGATTGCACTTCCTGGACTTTGCCATTCTGGTTGTTTTCAATATTATGCCACTGGGAAAATACAACTGTTTCTAATCAAATAATTTAAACTCCCATGCTGGGGCTTAAGTGTGTGTTCTCCCATTTTTCTCTTGCTACTTGTTTTGGGGATAAAGCAGCTCAAATTATTCAGACACCAATCAGATTTATCATCCTGTGCCTTTTGATGACATCCATCTGTTTATCTAAGAAGCCATTAAAGACTTATTGAGTTACAGTGCTATGGAGAAAATTGGGTTATCATCTATGGTTAAATCCAATTCTTGCATCTGCCATCTTTTCAGCTTATGTGGTATATTCTGAAATTACCGGGACTTGCAGACCTGCACTACAAGAATACATTTGCTTCCTAGCCTTTCTATGTCATTTCTAGAGAATTTCTAATGTATGCACAATTTGTGGTTCAGGAATATGTTGACAGAAAGATGTCAGTGCTTTCTGTTGTTAAAAGTTCAAAAGCCTAATAGAGACTATGCCAGCTTAAAAGTCTTATTCAGAAGTGGGTACTGTCCAATTCCAACGTTTGTGTTTAGACTAGCCTATTCAAAGGAAAATTTGACTCTAGGTCACAAAGGTAGAAGTGTGTTAATCAGAAGATAAAGATAAATTAATATCAAGTCAAAATTCAAACGGACAAAAAAAGTGAGAGCTCATCACAAAAGGTGTTAAATAAACACCAGCAAGTAAACTGATAAGACACAAAGGATCCAATCTTGCTAGGGAATGACTAGGTAGAAGTCCAGTGCTTATCTCACAAGTCAAGCAGCTTAAGCAAGGCTAAAAGTCATGTTTTCTGAGCTGGTGAAGAAGCAGTGGACTGTGTGGAGAAAACTAATTGAAATAAAGTGAATATTTGCAGTTTCCGGGAGATACTGTTATATCCTGACTGCAGGAGCCCCAGAGAAAGAGCAACTGTAAATCAGGCAGATGCTTCAGTTTGCCAATTTTTCTAGCATTTGTCAGAGAAATAATGAGGAACCCATCAGGAAAACATTTCCTTGATTTGTTTATGTAAATCAGGCCAGAATTCTGGGAAACCCAGGTTTTCTGGGAATCTTCAAGAATTACAGCATAGCTGCTCCTCCTGAAATTCTAGCTGAACACACTATTTATTGAGCATTTAAGAAGATCTTTCCGATCATATTTCAGTTTCCTTTCTTTGTTTTCCTCATAGTAAGGTAAGTACCCTGAAATGGGAGACGATAGCCGTGCGATAGCTGAGCATAATCAGTTGAGATCTACATGCCAGATATGGCTGGTTTCAGAAAGATATTCATTTGTCTGTCTACCTGTTTGCTTCCTGTGACCTTCATATAACTTCTACCTGTACTGTCAGCAGAGATGCTGTTTTTGTGTCACTGGTGATGCCACAGTGAAAGAAAAATCTTGCCAAGGCAAGGATGACAAGGAACCAGGACCTAGACCCTAAAGTAGCAAATATTGTGGGGAAGAGTCTCCTGGGAGTACTCTTTCACAACCTACTAAATTCATCCAAAAGTAAATTTTAGTAGGATTGAAAAATACTCAGCCTCTTGTTCAGAGTGAGAAGCTATATACTGTATGATTTTAAGAGTTATGCCTTTTTGTCTTTACCACCCTAGTCAACGCACAAAATACTTGCTCTAACTTGCTGAAATTCTATGATTAACAATTCATTTATTTGTCTTAAGCTTTGTTAACCTTTTAACATATAGGTATATGTAGATTATCTGACCCTTTCTTTAAGGTAGTTTCTGGCTGCAGAAAGGGAGGAGTGAGGACCCTTTGGGCCAGAAGGAGAAGACACCTCGTTTCTCCAAAGCTTTTGTCTGTGATTTACTGTATTGATTGACTATTTAGGTTAGCATTTTGATTTTCAGTCAAAACGGCAGAGGGAAATATATTGGCCACTTTTCAGTCATTTATTCAAAGACCAATGAGACTGAGACAATACCTGTGGACTATTCTCTAATATTTTATTGAGTGACTTTATTAATTTTAGTGTTTAGATAGGAGAAATGATATTGAGAATTCTCTAAGAAGGCTTTCAATAATTGCATCGATCAGTTAAAGGTGTTGATCCAGATGCAAATAACTGCTGGAATGGCTAATGACAAGGTTCTGGAAATGTACTAGGAATTACTCAAGACAGAAGGTCTGAGAGGATCAAAATTGGTATCCAGAAATGGCACCACCACTCTCCCCTCTTTCACTGTTTCCATCTTCATGTCTCCTCCACAGCTCTTCATGCTTGTCAACTTGGGGAAAGTCATGGTTGATGCCCTTCTGACAGCCTGCTGGAGAAGATCTGTTGCCTTTTCTGGCAGTCAGTGACGTCTTCTGCCACAACTGGGCTTTACTCTATGGCTTTCTTAGAAAGCAGCATCCATAGCTGGAGGAGCCTTGAGCTCACTGGACTGAGTCCTTTCAGCTTGAAGCTGACCTCCCTGATTGCCCTGCCTCTCCATTGCAGTTTCCGTTCTCACACTGACCAATACTAATTGAAGGAGATAGCATCACCTACTGGTAATCAGGTCCCTGCCTTGTCTTAGGTTGCCATCCAATAACAACTTGAGAATTTATAAAATATTGTTTTTCTTTACAGGTGTTTCTTGAGTTTGTTTCTCAAGTACTAAGCACTATCAGAGAAAGAAATCAATGTTAATTATACACAAACTGTAGGAATACAAAAGAACATTTAGATAATCACTTCTCTGAAGGAAACTACAATCTCTTCAGGCAGATAATAGATAATATGGGTATCTTCCATTTCTACAAAAGATAAAAATGTAGGTGAGAGAGAAAGAGCACTTACTAAAAGTTAAATGGAGTCAGCAGAACCTGAGATTTCCAAGTGATAGAAACCTGGACAGGCAGCAGAGGTGGAGAAGCACAGTCTAAGTGGAGAGTCACATGAGCAAAGGAGACTCAGAAATCAGAGTTCTTTGGAAGTGGGAGGTTGCTAAGAAAGATCGAAAATGCCAGGAAGGCCCTTACTTCCAAGATGAGCTTGAATTTGATCTGGTAGGAATTGGGAAACCATTTTGGATTTCTGAGCAGGGATCCAAGCTTTAAATGCACAGTTTTGAGGACATTTACTTTTCTGGAGTATACAAACTCAGCTGTTAAAGAGTGGGATCAGAAGCTAAAGATCAGCTAGGAAAAATTACAGTAATCCAGGCAGGTGAGGGTCTAGATTGCAGCAGAAAAAGAGAGTCTCTGATGAATTCAAAAGTTATTGGAAAGTGGAAATTGATAGGACTTGGTGACAAATTGAATTAAATTGACTAATCATTTATTATTTTGTGCATCTCAGCATTCTACATCTCTACCAGTGAACTCATTAAAGAGATTTTTATGTTAATAGCGAAGTTTTTAATGTAAGTTGATTTGAGAGATCTTTTCTGGTTGAATACAGTTGGCAGGCTGTTGGATTTAGTAGGCAAGGCCACATTTATCTGGCATCATTAAAATTAGGTAACCTAAATAAATAAAATATTTAGACAATTGAAGCTTGCTGTCATTGCCCAATTTGGGGAGGCAGTCCAGAGGGACTGGCCAGATCAGATACCATTCTGTGGATAAGTTATCCTGAGGGACAAGTGGAGAAACAAATTCAGGGGCACTTTTTCTAAGAACGGGAAGGGGACTCCCAAAGAAATTCCCCAAACTAAGACATCAGTCTCTGAGACAAAATAGAACATGAAATGAGGATAGAGATTCAAGGATCTAAGTAGTCCATTCATTAATGAAATAATATTACTTATGTGCATTGAGTACCTACTTCCGTGCTGAAAGCTTTGCATAGGTCATTTGTTTTACTTGTATGTATTGAGCACTTACTAGGTGTTGGCTGAGCAAAGAACCTAACAGGTATGTTCCCAGCCCTTATAGAGCTTATAGTCTGGTGTGGGAGATAGTCATCAAACAAATAATTATACAAATACATACTTAGTTACAAATTGTGATCATTGCAGTAAAGGGAAATATAGAGTGGCATGGAGGTAAAACAAGGGTTCTCCACTTAGATTTCACAGTCAAAAATGGTGTTCCTGAGTAAATAATATTCTAGCAGAAACTTTGAAGGATGACTGGGAATTAGCCAGGCAAAGACTAAAAGGATGAGTGTCAAGGACACTGAAAGGCAAAGTAGGAGATCAAATACTGGGAATCTTGAAGTCGGAAGTAGGTATTTGGTTTAAGCTTTGGAGCAAGGTGAAACTGGAACCTGGAATGGCTGTAATTACAAATTGTCCTCAGATTACCCAGCTCAGAATCTACAGACACACGCTAAATGAAAAAGGCAGCATATTTAATGGTCAGAACATCACAACATACAATTTGCAGTCAGATGAATGTGGACCACTTCTTGGGTGTTTTATCCTGGGAAGACACTTACCCTTTCTCAGCTTTAATTTTTCATTCTGTACAATGGGGCTAATACTACTTATCTCTTGGGGATTGTGAAAGGCTCAAATGAGATAATGTCTGTAATATACTTAATTCAGTACCTGACAGACAATATATGCTCTTCCTTCATGTCACCAAGTCTTTTGTTATTCTATTTAATTCATATTTATTTTGATAACAACATGAAGATACCCACATACCTAGCAAAATGTAGGAACTTTATAACAGGCATTTTCTTTGCTGCTCAGAAGCTTATCTGAGTCTTTTCCACCTATTCCCTGATCTGTAATTGTGTTTCATATTTTTGAGGCTCTCTGAAGTGAAATCTCCAGATTGGGAAAGGGTTAAGGGATTCATATGTAAATAGACATAGAATTCAGTGTGTGCTCAATTAAGATTTGATGAATGAATGATTACTGTATAATTATAGAGATCTGACAGTGATAACCATAGTTAATTCATTGCTAAGGTCGTGTACATTGAAAAATAATTTTAAAGCATTTTTTAGTAATTTGTGTTTTTAAGTTGTTAGTAAACTAAATTGCAACCTTTTGTTCTCTGAATATTCTCTTAACTATAAATCTACCATGTTTTAATCAGAGAAATGTTGTGACAGTTCCAGGAAAGGAAACATTTTTTCTGTTTAAAACATTTCTAGCATTTCAGCCAAACAATTTATCTAGAATGGTTTTCCCTTTAAAAGGAATAGTAGACAATTAGAAGCATAGTACAGTACATTTTCTGCCTTATGGTTCCAAGCCAAAAACCAGAGAACTTTTGTGCTTTATAAGCAATTGTAAACTAAAATGAGTAACTGGTATATGGTAATAGACTAGGCTTTGAGCTGCTATTACCATAGAATACTTTTCCGGCTTTCTTAGAAGCACGAGAACAAAATTGGGAAGAAGGCATTTATCTGATTGAAGCTAGGATGCTACTTGCATTGTACTTCACTTTAGGTAGAAAGGCAGTCATTTTATTTGCTGTTAATGTGAAAAGAGATATCACTTCTCTTTAGAATGTAGCCAGCAAATCAGTATCTAAAGCCTATACACATGGCTAGAAACAAAGCTACCCATATAGCCTTAGACCTCCCTGAACCTGATCAGGCCCCAGGATACTGTTCTGCTCATCACAGTGGGAAGCTACAGGTTTGCTCAAACCAAGTCCATCTATGGGAGTTACTAAAACCTCTCCTTAGCACTTCTCCAGAATATGGAAGTTTGGGAAAGCCCACTCCAGGGGGTCCCTACATATACCTACATAAAAGCTTCATTTATTTGTATAAACAGGCAGATCAGAAATAGGTTAGTGACAATAAATGGGTAAAGTACACTGATGTTTAAATATTTCCCTTGCAATAATACCTGGATGAGATTATTTTATTTGGACTTTGGGAACAAAAGCATTGTTTGGCAATATTTAAATCCTAGTAAATATAAACAGTAAGCAAATTTTACAATTAATTTAAATAGTTCAGCCAACCACATAACTATATAAATCCTATGTTAGTTTAATCTCTCTAGGGACTTGGCAATATTTTTTTCTTGATAGGCAGATTTCACATATATTTTATTCATTTATTCAAAAATATTAACTAAGTCCAAGAAAATTCCTAAGCACCGTGCTAGGCACTAATGCCAAACGGCCCTGCACTAAATGGACACTTAGAGTCTTGTGTGGGATTCAGACAGGAAGCAAATAGTGTCTCAGTATTCTCTCTGCAGTATCCTTCCCTCTTAAGACGACTCCCAGATCAGAGGGGAGCAGCTCCTGTAGAAGTGGCCCAGGGCTAGGAGACCTGCCACTCCCCTTCTCCCCACTGCCCTCTCAGCGCTCCTCTGTAGGGCTCTGCAGATCTAGTTTGAAGATTGCTTTACATATGGTTCTGATGTGCAGAAAAATGGAAGAATCTTTGCTGAATCTATTTCATTTGGACTAAATCTGTTTCAGATCTTACTGGCCAGCCTCACCATACTGGCCACACACATGCAAGAAAAAGCCTTCATTCCAACCAACCTAAAGCCACACTATTTGCTCATTACAATGAAAGACATAATTTACTTATTGCATGGCTTAGGCCAGAGAGAATGCCAGTAGGAAGACTCTTCTCCCAGGAAATAAATAGATTATAAGAAACAATAAGAAATAAATAGATGTGGACAAGAAGCCTCAATATGCTTACCTGTCTACACACACACACACGTTATTGAACCTGATGAAGGGTTCTGAACTTGCAGAATACCAGATAATTGACATATCAGTGCATCTCTAGTCTGGGTAGATTAATCTGGGGTACAAGTATATTTTCTCTGTTTTTTATGTTGTTGTTGTTTCTACAAGCAGTTTCCTTTTGCATTTCCTCTGTGCAAAACAAGGACCTGGGGATCTGCTTCATTTATAATTAGAGCAAGAAAGTCCTGCTTGACATTGTATTGGAGCCTTACAGTTTCAAGACTCTCGGTTGCATAATGCATGTGTTTTGTTAATACCGTTAATACCATGTAATACTAGTGCCCCTGATACTGTGTATAAATGAGGCATACAAGTAGCTCCTTCGCCCAGCAGCAACATGGTCTGTACTTGTAGAAAAATTTACCTCCTGACCCCCTAAATATTGATTGTTTGATTGGAGAATTGAGAGATTCCAGTGGTAGGGATCAGAAAAGATGAAAAAGATGAAAATGTGTAGGCATAAAAATAGTATGAGGAAGAGAAAAATTATAATGGCATCACATATATGTTGCATATTCTATGCCAGGTAGTGTTAAAAAGGTTTATGTATGTGCATTCACATACTCATTTAAATATTACAGCACCCCCCCAGGGGATACACATACTTACTGAAATTTTAGTCTGTGTAACATAGCAAGATCCTGTTTCTACTAAAAATTACATTTAAAAAAATAGCTGGGCATGGTGATACATGCCTGTAGTCCCAGCTACTCAAGAGGCTGAAGTTAGAGAATTGCTTGAGCCCAGGACCTCCATGTTGCAGTGAACCATGATCGTGCCACTGCAGTCCAGCCTGGGTGACGTGCAACTCTCTATCTCAAAAAAAAAAGAAAGAAAGAAAGAAATTTTATAGATTGGGGAAACCAAAGTAAAATGCCTTGGCCAAGATGACATGGCAAACAAGTGACAGAGTGAGGATTTGAACCCAGACAGTCCAGCTGTCAAGTCAATGCTCAAAGCATGATGCTATGTAGCCATAGGAGAGCCCTATATGCAGGTAGAGGAAAGATTTCTTTATAAACCAAAAGATGGGTGTAGACTCAGTGAGTCTGTATAACGGGGTAAAGGGAGTTGTGAGAAAGGGAACCGAGAATTTTGAAAGGAATAGAGGGCTGAACTGAAGCTGAACTGGGGAAGCCCCTGACTGTGGTAAATAAACAGAAAATAAAAACAATAGTAGTCACTTAGCTGCTTTAAATCCCCTTTTTAGCAATAGATTGTAAATGATAATCACTGTGAGTTTTTTTTAAGGGAATACTAGAGATTCTGGTCCAACTGTGGTTCGAGTGGCTGCAAGGAAAGCATTTTCAACCAGCAGCGGAGGCTGCAGTCATTCACGAGCATCAGGAAATCAGGGGAGCCTCGGAGAGGCTGTGGGTGATGGATGGGAACAAGTTGAAAGAATAGTATGCAGAAGCCTGGGGTCAGGGTGGGGCAGTAAAAGCTGAGCTCAGGAGCCAGGAAATTGTTCAGAAGCTAGAAATCAAAAGTCATCAGATGGTAAAAGCCAACACAGCAGAGATGATGCCAAAAGCACCTGGAAACAAGGCAAAAACAGCTTCAGACAGGAGAAAGCAGCTTATATTGCTGGACTAGGAACTGAAATTATTTCCCAGGATAAAGTCATCCTGCTGGAGGCTTTCAGTAGAGTGCTTCACCTCAACTGGCAGTGGCTGTCAGCCAAGGAGAAACAGATGCAATCTGTAGCTCTAACTGAAAAGCCTGCTGTCGCAAGGACCCAGAGATCTGAGACAGTGGGGTCAACCTGAGCCTGGCCATGGGAGAGGGTGAACTATGGAGAAAAGTGAAGGAATCCCAGGCTTCGGCTAGAGAAGACCTGTGATAAATAGAAAGGGGCCAGGTACGGTGGCTCACGCCTGTAATCCTAACACTTGGAGAGGCCAAGGCAGGTGGATCACCTGGGGTCAGGAGTTCGAGACCAGCCTGGCCAACATGGTGAAACCCAGTCTCTACTAATAAAAATTTTAAAAATTAGCCAGGAGTGCTGATGGGTACCTGTAATCTCAGCTACTTGGGAGGCTGAGGAGAATCGCTTGAACCCAGTGGGCGGAGGTTGCAGTGAGCCAAGATCTCACCACTGCACTCCAGCCTGGGCAACAGAGTGAGACTCCATCTCAAAGACAAAAACAAAAAAGAAAGGGAGTGGTACTGTGGAACTGGAAGGGCCTGGAAGAATTTGATGGATGTTGTAGAACATCTAGGCCAATTGTGTCCCTGTCATTTACCTAATCAGTATTGGATTTTTCATCCTGAGTCTTTTGTGCATGTACGAGTAGTTAAACCCTTTATGCTCTTAAGTATTTATCTTGCTGCAATGTATGGTAATCAATGAGGTTTGAAAGGACTGCTTTAGAAGAGAAAGAGAGGAAGCAGGTAATCATAAGAGTTGTTTTCCCCTTGAGAAACCAAAAAGAACAAGCTCTGAATAGAGGTGTGAGGCCCCTTCCCACTTTAACATTCTGTGAGTGTCTGAATGTCCTAATCCCCCCGGGGTGAAAATGACTCAGAGGCAGGTGGTACCTACTGTATTTTTGTGGAGCTGTCCTGGGGCCTGTGCCCTCAATGCGTGGCCTGTCTTTTCTGGGACTTCAGGCTCTCTCTATGAAGGGCTTTCCCTGTTTTATGCTCAGGGCATTGCCTAGCTAACATGAGCCTATCTCTGGGTATTTCCACTGAGGGTAGGCTGCGTATCCAGCTATACATGGGAGTACCGTAGTTCCAGGGCCACCACTAGCTTTCATTGCCTTTGAGCAAATGCTGTCCTGCTCCAGAGTTTATGGCTTGGCACAGAGTGGAATCTGCATTTCAGCCGGTGCCCAGCCCTTAGCCAGGAGTCTTGTGCAGTGATGAACTCGCACAGCCATTTGCAGTTTGCAGCGCCCCTATGGATTGCTTCTGTTTCTGCCGGATGGTGATGAAGGAGTGCTCCAACACATCAACTCTGTAGCACAATAGCTTTCACCCACAAAGCTTTGTTTCCTATATTCTCTCTGGCTTACCTAACCAAAATATTGAAGTCATCTTTGACTCCTCCCTCAACCTTTACATTCAGTTAAATACTAGTGTTGATCCCACCTCTGATTTCTCAAAGACTATTTCTGTAGTTCAAAAACCAAAAGAACTAACATTGACAGAGCCCTGCCATATGCTGGGTACTTTAGGTCTCTTTTACTCATTATAGGCTATCTTCTTCTTCCATTATGTTCATTTCGTAAATGTGGAAAGCGAGACTTGGAGAGTTTCACTATCATGGCCTCAAGCTAGTAAGTGCTGCCTACCCAGGTCTGTCTGCTTCTAAATTCCAAGCTCACCTGCCCTGCATTACACTGTGCTCATCAATCTGCTCCAGGACCTACCATTAAATAGCTTTGCCAACCCCACACTTGCCCTCCACCAGCCTATCTTCCACACTGGTGCTGGAGGTAACTCCCCTAAATGCATACCACCTATCCTGTCACCTGCAGATTTTTGAGGACCAGCCATTTCTGACAGGTAAAGTTCACCCTTCCCAGCCTGTCATATGCAGTCTTTACTTATTTCCCCAGCCTTGGTTCCTAACACTCATGCCCCATCTCCAACACCATCAGACTGAGACCAACACGTCCAGGCCCTGGGGATAAATGGTAAAGGGAAGATGTTGCAGGATTGGCACTCAGCATTCAAAAACAGTTGTTGTCTCTGGGGAAGAGCCACAAAAGGCCTTGAATAAACACTGAGAGCTGAGCAAATAAGCACATGCATTAGAATGCCTGCAGGGTGCCCACACTAGTTAGGGGTGTGGCGGGCTTTGGGAGAAAGGCTGGTGGTCAGGTCTGCCCCACTGAGGGCTGCTGGGAAGATATTCACCGAACTGCCTAAATAAGTGGCCTTAAGACGCCCCTAACCCAGGTTCTGACACCCACATTGTACTTCCTAGTCACACTGAGTTAGTTGTTCTTTCCCATAGGTACCCTGTATTTTCATACTTCATTCACATGTGCTATTTCGTACTTCATTCACATGTGCTATTTTTTCAGCCTGTAAGACTTGCTGTCATCTGGAAAAATTTTCCACTCTCCAGGGTCACACATTATTGTCATCTTCTCTATGAAGCCTTCCAGACTCCTTGTAGGCAGTGTTACAACTCTCCTTTGTGGTTTTATAGAGGAAGGGAGAATGTTTTGGTAAGGAAGGGGTCTGAGTTGGAGAATGAGAAGAGGATGAGGAGTAGAATGGCGTCTCTTCCCCGCAGAGCTCTTAGGTCTTTGCTCATTCTGGTGCAGTGGCATTAGCCACTTTGTATGGTGAATAGTTTTGTAAAATAGACAGATGTCTACAGGTACTTCACCCTTGCCATATAGCAAGCTTTTAGTGCTCCCTGCCTCCCAATGGGCCGCCAGTTATTTATGGAAGGAATAAACCAGTTACAATACATCATAGCTCCGGCTGTTTGAACTTTCTGGCTCTAGCCATCCTTGCCCATGTTCTCTGCCCATAAAGCCTTTACAGATGCCTCACCACTGTCATGGTCTATCAGGGGAACAGATGCCAGTAGCTATCCAAGCTGCGACCTCTTGATAATCCCAAACTCCTGTTCTCTAAGGCACCAGCGCTGGGCAGGGCTTTGCGCAGATGGTAGGAGTGCATCTTCTGGACCCTGGACAACTCTATACCCATCCAAGAACAACATCCATGCAAGAAACTCTTTACCCCTCCTGCACATCCAGTCTGCAAGCTCCAATGGAGAATAAGTTATATTTCTTCCCCCACTATCCTTCCCACTCCATCTAAGACCTGTCCTCAATAAAACTCTCTTCTATTAGGAAAACAAAGCTCTTGTGCATATGAGTGAATGAGCTACAGCTGTTGGGAGTGAGGACAATCCTATCTTTAGATAAACACCCCACAGAAATGGGTGGATATGTGTACCAAAGGACTTATACAGGAATGTTCACAGCAGCATAATTTTTGTAGCTAAAAACTGGAAACAATCTAAATAACCATCAATAACAACATGGATAAATGAAGTGTAGTATATTCATACATGGGTATGGTATACCGTAATGGAATAAACTACTGCTACATGCAGCAATGCAGATGGATCCTGTGTGCATAAGGTTGAGCTAAAACACCCAGCCACAAAAGGGTGTGAACTATATGGTTTCATATGAAGTTTTTTAAAAGGACAACTAATTAATAGTGCTGGGAGTCAGGAGGAGAGTTATATTTCAGGAGGAGAGAGCAGAGGGGATCTTCTAGAGCTTTGGTATAGAAAGAACTGATTTAGGGGTGAACGTTCTGCCTAAGGCCTGGGCCTTCTGCCTGGGTAAGAATCTCTGACCAGTTCAGAAATGGCCTACATTCATCAGATGCAGAGGCAGTCTTTTCAAACTGTCCATTCAGCCTGCAGTGGGGGCATTTGGAATGGATATGAAGAATGACATTTTGAGTAGCTTGGTGTCCACTCTGCTCATGGGACAGAACCTAATGATTGATTCAGTAAGTAAAATTCCAGGAAAGAATTGCGTGCATTTAGATATGGGCTTCTGTGGCAACAATGCTAGAGCTGAGGAAAAATGGAACAAGCTGTCATAAACAGGCAAAAGAAAATAGCAGTTTCCATCTGGACCTTACCTTTACATGGCTGTTTTAGCCGTGATCATTCCAAAATGAATTTGAAATCACATTTTACCTCATTTCTCTTTATATCTGGCCCAATATTTCTTTTGGTAATCCATGGCTATGAAGCCCTTATAAACAGAATCCTGGCCTATTTTCAAGGATGGGAGATATGACACACCAATTAACTCTAGGAAGGTTTGAATTTAGGGTGGTTTTATTTCACCATGCAGAATGTTTAAGCCATATCTCAACATAGCCAGCTACTGCAAATTCCAATCCCAGAATCACATTGCTCCCATAGTGGATCATCTGGCTGTCAGGAGATTCTCAGCAAACAACAACAACAACAAAAAGCATTAGGCCGCTTCTTCCTAATTATGTCTCTCTCTAAATATCTAATTATCATTGAGAACAAATTGCATGTTACAGAGATAATATTATGGGGAATCGTTAATCTGTTGGGCTTCTGCTTTTGAATTCCTGAGTCGGTACTGCAGCTGCTGAAGCAAAAAATTCTGCCACCTGGACACTTCATTATGATTTCATATTTAAATGCAAAAAAACTGCCGAAGAGAGGTTCTATTTGATGGACTTGGCTTCTTCAGGCATTTCGTACTTAGCTACGCATCACATGTACAGGTCTTCCAAATATCCCAGGTACCTGGGAATAGTGAATAATTGAGCATTTACAGGGACAGAATTACAAGGGAACAATGGGAATATAGTAATACCAATAAGGTGACAGTGGAATTGACTTCTCTAATTATACTTTCTTTTTATCCATGCACAAAGGTCTGCAGCTTTTTGTAACATTCCTCAGTAACTGCATAGGACTTCCTTAATAAATGCTGATCCAAAAAGTACACATTCCCAAAGATTACCTGATAATTGCACCTACCATAATATGCTTAAAGCTAATTAACATTCAGACTTCACTTTAGAGAATAGAAATTACCAGGTACTTATCCCATAATTACATCTTTGTGCACTCACTATTGTAATCCCTGGCATTAGCTATGTAATTAAATGATGAACAGTGACTGTGTAAGTAGAGAGTACTTATGTAAAATTTGTGTCTTATCAAAAATAAATAAATAAACAGATTCAAAGACTCAGGTCTCATTTGAAATTCCATTGTTCTCAGGGAGATTGTATAGCATGTCAAGAATTGATAATAATACTGTTAGCTCCTTGAAGGTGGGAAGATGATAGTACTGCCACTCTGTCAGGAAGATGCCCACTGTGGTTCATCTTACCACCAGGGATGAGCGGCGCCAAGCAAGTCTCACGGTTTTTTTCTTGGCATGCCTCAAATAACAAGTACTTAGACACTGTCTTACTAAATCTGACCTGTCTCTAAGCTATGAAATCCAGTAGTTTTTTGTCAGATGCTTTGTGCAAGAATTCTTTTAAAAAAATAATGTTTTCATCTGATCACAATGCTAACATATATTCATCGTGGAAAGTTTGTAAAATATTGAAAACCCACAGAAGAAAATAGAAATCACTTATAATTCCTTATCAATGTTAACTTTTTTCCGTATATGCTTTCAGTCTCTCTTGTAGATGAATCTCACTGTATCTACATATATATGTATACTTCTTGCGACCTGCATTTTAGAAGCGGTATATTGTGAACATTCCAATGAAGTATTATTGTCTTTTATCATATTTCTCATGACTCCATTATAATCTGTAATATTGGTAGTCCCTAAATTATTTAACCAGTTTTGATGGACGTTTAGGCTAGTTTTTCAACATTAATTTCTATCATTTTACTATTCACCATGTGAGGGTTCTCTAAAAGAAGTTTTAAATGTTGTGTTTTCATGAAAACATGTTAAAGGTCATTCATTCTAAGTTATTACCTTGTGACAATGTCAGTGCCTGCGTTTGCATCTGTATTCACAGTGTGCTGTGCTGCGTGTCACTTTCATTGTTGTGAGCTGATGAGAAAGGACAGAGGTCTGCTTAATAAGTAAATGATCATATAGTTGGTTCCACCGAGTGAAACCAAAGGACCTCATAGTATGCAGGACAAATGGAAGTTCAAATAGCAAAAAGCAGTGGCAGGATTGAGCCATCACATGGAGGTAGCAGAGATACATCAAACTCAAAACTAAAAAAGAAAATAGAAACCCAAGAAGTTGATACCATATTCACAGCAGACAGCAATCAAGGCTCTCATAAAAATCATTAGTTTCGAGACCAGCCTGACTAACATGGAGAAACCCCGTCTCTACTAAAAATACAAAATTAGCCGGGTGTGGTGGCGCATGCCTGTAATCCCAGCTACTCGGGAGGCAGAGGCAGGAGAATCGCTTGAACCCGTGAGGCGGAGGTTGCAGTGAGCCAAGATCGCACCATTGCACTCCAGCCTGGGCAACAAGAGCGAAACTGTCTCAAAAACAAAAACAAAAACAAGAACAAAAACATTAGTAACTCTAAATTAATGTTGTTGTTTTGAATGTCATGTGATTTGTAAGTATTGTATTTAATTTGTAGATTTGTTTTACATTTGTTTGGATTGTATAGTTGTATAAGAACCATAATCCTAAAGAGCCACTATGTAATTTCATATTTTCATACATCTAAGTAACAGTAAAATTAATTTAAGTCAACAGTGAGAGTCTGTAAGAAGTTTCCATTTTTAAAACAGATCCATACATTTTCTCAATTTGGGTTACATTGTCCTCATAGCTACATCATTATGCATATCCTTAGAATAAATTATTTCCTCAGGGAAATTTCTTAAACATAAAATTATTGTCAAATGTTATAAACATTCTAAGGCTTTTGATGTTTCTGTCAAATTTGAGTACAGACTGTTCAAGTTACTTTTCTCCCTTTAGTTTACCCTTCATTTTTAATACTTTCTGCAGTAGTACATTCGTTCTAGTTTGCCAAATATTTATTGAGTGCTAACCATGTGCAGGCATCATGTATTGGCATTGACTAGTGAACATGTTAAAAATGCATCATCATGGACCCCACACCAGACCAACTGAATCAGAATCTGCATTTTCAAAAGATCCCTAGGTGATACGATTGCATATTCAAGTTTGAGATGCATTGTTCTAAGAACTAGACCTGGAGGTCGACTGTCTCTCTGACACTTCCTCTTGACCATCTCGAAGGTGCCCCAAACACAATATGTTTGTCTTAGTTTTGGGAGCTGCTATTACAAAATATTACAAAATATCATAAACTGGGTAGCTTATAAGCAACAAACATTTATTACCCTCAGTTCTGAAGTTAGGAAGTGCAAGATCAAGGCACCAGCAGATTTGCTGTCTAGTGAGGGGCAGCTTCCTTCCTAGGTGGATGTCTTCTCACTGTAACAACACACAGTAGAAGGTGCAGGACAGCTTTCTGGGCTCTCTTTTATAAGGGCACTGGTCCATTCATGAGGGCTCTGCCCTTGTGACCTAATCATCTCCTAAAGGCCTCATCTCCTAATACCATCACACTGGTGATTAGGTTTCACTACGTGAATTTAGGGGGCGGGGAGAGGCACAAACATTCAGGCTGTAACAATGCTCAACATAGAGCTCTTTTTTTTTTTTTCACCATGCCTAGTTCTTTTTCCAGTTTTCCTCTTCTCAGTGAGTGGCATCACCATCCACTCTCTCATGCAAACCAGAAACCTTCCTCTACTTTACCCCCCATATCTAATTTATCACCGAGTTCACTATCTCTCACATCCCTCCTATTTTTTCACTCTCTCTCCACTGCCACCCTCCTTGTCTAAGCTACTCTTGTGTGTTGCCTGGATATTTTGCAGTATCTTCTGAACTGGCCCCCCTGCTTCCATTCTTATCCCCTCTAGTTTATTTTCCACAGTAAGTTGTGGAAAAGAGTAATCTTTTGGATAGGCATATTGGAACTTATCACCAGCTTGCTTAAAACGTCCAAAGGACCTTCCATTGCTCTCATGATAAAGACAGAAATCTGTAAGGTGGTCCCACGAGATTGAGTCTTGCTTGCTCTCTAGACTTGTTCTGTGCCGAGTTCTCTAAGGTAGCAGTCCTCTCTCACTTTGCTTTCTCCTTACCCTTCAGTTTAGCTAGTGAACTTCTATTGTTCCTTAGATTGTAGCTCAATCATTTCTTCCTCAGAAAACCTTCCCTGACCTCCCTAATTAGATTCTTTCCTCTTGTTCTGTGATCTCAAATTACACAACTTATTCCCCTGCGTTTTTATCACTGTTGTAACTCAACATTCATTTTTGATGTCTTTGATTAATATCTGGCACCCCATTAGAGTGCAAGCTCCATTAGGGCAGAGACCACATCTGTTTTTTCAGGGCCAGAAGATGATAGGTGATGTCTTACAGGTCCTTACCGCTCTGGCTCTCTTCATGAGTGGTTCTTCCAGATGGAATGCCCTTCTCCTCCACTGTCACTTAAATAAATAATACCTGTCTTTCAAGATTGAATTAAAGGAACAACCCCTCAATATGATCTTCCTGGCGGAAGTCCTCTTCAAATCCTCTTATAAGGTACTTATTACCTTCTACAATAATTACTATGCATTTTTCTCTCTCTGTATTAATCAACGTAAGTAACCATTAGTTGCTGCAAAAGATAAACAGAAGTTGAATTTCACCCATACCCAGTTCAGCTTGGGCTAACTGAAGCACTTCTTCATCCAGTGACTTGACGATTTAGGCCCCCTTCATCTTATCAGGCCATTTTCCTAGCATGTGGCTCACAAGGCAGCCACAAAGCATGGAGAGGCCTCCCAGTCTCTTAAATGACAAGGCACAGAAATGGCATGTCACTTGTGCTGACATTTCGTTGGCTGGAACTAGTAATCTGACTCCTCCTAAATGAATGGTGCAGTGGAATATAGTCCCCTACATACCCAGGAGGATGCATAGAGCTAGATATGAGTGAAAACTAGTCATCTCTACCAAGCTGTAGTAAACTCTTGAAAGAGGACAAGATCTAAGCCCAAATCACTTTCAGAACACTAAAGTATTCAACCTCTCCCATATTTGCCAATTAATACAAGTTGCTGATTCAATGAATGGCTGAGGATTTCAGAAGAGGGAGACAAAAGCAGAGAGAAGCAGAAAGGCAGATACAGAGCAGCACTAGAAGACAGCATCTCTCTCTTAGTCCATTACTATTTGTTTCAGCTACTTACACACTTTTGGGCAGTGCTAACTAAATTGATAAACAGCCTGCCCCACCCCCACCCCCACCTCCCAAAGTCAGTTTTTTGGGGTTTTTGTTTGTTTTTGAGACAGAGTCTTGCTCTGTCACCCAGGCTGGAGGGCAGTGGTGCTCACTGCAACCTCAGCCTCCTAGGTTCAAGCAATTCTCATGCCTCAGCCACCTGAGTAGCTAGGATAACAGGCATGCGCCACCACGCACCACCCGCAGTCAGTTTTTGTTATAATAGCTTGGCTTCCTATATGTGATATTATTGAAAAGTTTCAGAATAACGCCCATGTGCTGGACAGTGTGCAAGGTGTTTTACATAGACTGCTATACAGTCATTCTTTCAGCAATTCTGCAGTACAGGCATTCTTATCACAGAACTCACAATTTTCTGCCTTAGAATGTGCATTGAACTCTGTCTGCCTCTAAAACCTGTGTTCTTAACCACGACACCACATTGAAGTTTATTAAACATCCGAATATTTATCAACCCTGAGAATGAGCGCATATAAGTAATGTGATTAATCTACCCATTATAATCCCTGTGACTTAGCCTTGGGAAATAGACTCTAAGGAAACACTTGTAGAATTTTGCCAAGACAGTAGCCAAATTCCAAGGAATATATGTGTATTTAATTAAGTTACATATTCTAAAGCCAGGGTGATGAGCAATTTGGATAATGTTTCTGGTGTGTGTGCATTGGGGGAGTGGTGGTTTCCAGATGAGACAACAGCCACAAAGTACCTTGTCATTTCTTCCATTGATATATATACTCATATATGTTTGCACAGATAAGACTAGCTTTTGGCTTTATGCTTAGTTTTATGTACAGTACAAACATTAAATCGTGAAGGTGTTCATCACAGGAAAACCAGAGAAGCCCTCGTAAGCCTTATAAATCATTGTCCTTATACCCAGCTCACTGTGGGTGGTGGACCGTTAGAGCACATGGGGACAGAGTGGCAGTCTGTGTGATGTTAAGAATGCAACCTATTAAGCAGAGAATGAGAAGTTGAAGGATTCCATTTTTCACCAGCTCTAACATGGTTAATCTTTAAAGCTATTTATTGAACACAAAGACATTTGACTGAGCACTTTGTAGTATGCATCTTTCTCTACCACTCTCATTCATCACCTATTTTCACCGAATCTTTGTTAAGATTTGCAGTAATGGTGCTGTATAAAAGGGCCTTTATGTGACTCACAGTCCCTATAAAATATGATTTTTTTTCTTCAGATCATCTTTTGAAAATTGCTGCTGCTTGTTATTTCACATATTTTTTTCCAAGTGCATTAAGTTTACCTGCAACGGGAAAAGATTATTTAGAGAAACGTACACTTTCTATTTCCTTTAATAGCTTGTGTTATGATATGTTTGATAGTTCATGAAGGACACTGTCAGATTTGGAGAATGAGCCAATAAACTTTAGGTCCTAAGAAATATAGCCCCGTAATGATGCCTACTCATATGCAGAGATATTTTATCAGCTTAATGGTACCTTTTAGTGTCTGACACCTTCGGTTTACAGGTTTGCTCGATGGCCTGTTTGCTTCTGTGCCAAATTAGTGTTGAGGGAGGTTTCTGATGAGAAGAATATTCAGTTTGGATATTAGAGTTATGGCCGTCAAGTTGGAGGCGGTCAGCCTGGTTTAATCTCAGATGGTACCTTTTACTGCAGATGCCGACTGGGGACTCATGAAATGCCCAAGCAACTCTTGTTTGGCTGTAAGGGTGCAAATCAAGGTGTGTGGGCAGGGGAGAGCATCTCTTGCCTACAGCATTAACAGACATTTTATTTTGTAAAATATGTTCTATCTTCCCCAGGTTAAAAAAAAAATCATATGCTCATCTTATTTTAAACAGATTCTTTTAGTGGTAAATGAAAGCTTGTAACCTGTAAGGTAGCATTTATCTTTATATTCAAAGCTTGGGCAGCCATGGAAGAACATTGGGAGTGAGGACACTTATAAAAGGAGGAGAATGTGGGGTCAGGAAGCAGAGAATGCAAAGAATAGTGTTCTGGAAGAAAAAGGGAGGCCAACTGTTATCTCTAAACTGCCTATGCCTGTGAACTTCATCCAAGAACAGAACATCCAAAAACCAGGCTTACTAGCCTTGTCTTTCTTTTTGGAAATACAGAGTTTCGCAAATAAATAAGGGGATACTTAATTATCTCCAAGCAAACATTTCATGTGAACAGTATAGCAAATTATATTGTGCATATATAATGCCAATGTTTGGAGCAGATGAAGATGACTGAGTTGCAAGGTGGAATGATGATCGTGAATCTTCTGTCAGTTACTCCTCTGTCCTGGATCTAGTCATTATACATTTATTTTTCAACGTCTTCTGTTTTAAAATGACTCTTCTCCAAATACTAGATCACTTAGTTCCTTTTTGTAGATAATTTGTATCCTTGAAATGGACAGGTACTTCAAATATCACAAGAAAGGGTAGCTTTAGTTTTCTTTTGTTTTACCGGTTAGATTATCTGGCTGAGGTTGATTTAACTCAGTCAGGTAAGCTAGTAAAAGTTTGTCTTTCCTTAATAAGACTGATTTTTTTTGTTGCATTTATCCAACAATCTTGTATATTCTAAATTTTGTGCAGTTTAAATAGGACATTGTTAATTCAGTTCATCAATTCATTACAAATGTGCAGTACGGATGCTCACACATTTACTTCCTGAATGGTAGATGCAGGGTAAGAAAAGCAAAACCAGCTTCATGATATCTGTGATCAAGATACATATTAAGGTGAATACGGACAAGATTCTACTGAGTCTGCTGAAACCGTTTCAAATATTTTGGGGTTTTGTTGTTGTTGTTATATTACTCTGTTTACTCTAAAATCAGGCACTTGAGGCTTTTTTTCTCGCCTCAGAAAGATATTTCTGAAATTCATGACATTGTAATGGTGATTTTTATTAAAGCAAAATTTGATGGCTTTTGTTTATGAGACCTGCCAAACAGTGCAAACACAATCAGTTAACTATTTCCTTTGGAAGGAGTATGGTAAATTTTTGTGTAAGAGACTGTTTACCCAATAAGGGGGGATTTATAGTTTCCAAAAGTGTAATATAAAAACAATCTTCAGTTTCCCCATGTTATATATACATCTAGTAATATACTTTCTGTCCTGTGTAGCTACCAGCAATTTTAATATATATAGTTACTCTTAAAAACTTTTATATGATACACCACTTTTTTGTTACCTTCTAATAAGAATAGTGGATTCTAGGCTAGCAATATTTCATGCTGATGATACATATCTTGTAAGACTATGAACTTTTTGAAAGCAGGCATAGCAAGCATATAATTTAAACTCTACTGTATGCATTAGAGATTACAGAGGGCCTGAGTTTCCTCAAGCCACCCATCTTATTAAGTCATAGCACTGCATACTACATAATGGATTTGAATTCCGATTGAAATCATTCATGATCAGGGAATATTTACTCTAGATATAGAAAATTCAGGCAGCTGGGAAAAAAGAAGGGATCGAGTTGTTTCACAAGCCTGCTTATGCGCCTGTGTTTGTGATTGTAACTCTAATTATATTTGTACTGTATTATAATGAAGTAATTTAATTAAATGTTCCATAAGTTGATAAAATATTTGCTCAAAAGTTGTTTATATTAAAATTATATTAATACTTTAGAGAGACTCAAGACAAGTTGCTTTTAAAAATTGCTATTGAATTCTTTATAAACATATATGTCATGGAAACCTAGGGAGGAGAGAATTTCCATAAACAGACTATGCTTCATTGTGTGCCAATGCCTCAATAATAGGAGGAAAATAAAGAATGTGTAGAGGCCATGGGCTTGGCATCTCAGGAACCACTGCTGACAATGCAGGTTCGAGTTTCATCATATAGATAACGGCAAAAGCTGGATTTCAATATCTTAGGCATGAGGTTGAGGGAAATGGGGGCAGAACATGGAGATCATGATTGTGTGGCATCATTCAGCAGCCAGGTGAAGTGGAGAGGCGGGAGTTATGGAGAAGTTGATAGTCTATCGCTGGGAAGGACTTTAAAAGAGTATGTATGAGAGAAAAAGACTTTAAAAGAGTAAGGTGTTTAATGAGTATGATGCAGAGGAAAGAGCAAGGTTTCGGATTTGCAATCTGTGTGCCTTTTATTAATGTATTTAACCTCTGAGCATCTAGCTGCTCCTTCTATAAAACTGAAATAATATATGACTCAACAGATTTTGGGCGAATAAAGTTATATGTAGATGATATAGCATAATTCGTTCTTTTTCTTTATATCTTGCCTTCTTCTGTTGGAAGACTGTATTCTACTGAGCATGTTGATGGGTTAGCATAAGCACTTTGGGTGCAGGCCTGGGGAAAGCTGAATAGCCCTGGATTCAGAAAACAGAGTTCCAGCCACTCCTGCAGATGATTCAGGAGGCTGCGGCTGGGCAGCAGAGGTGGCAGTGGGCAGTGAAGGGCTAGCAAATGAGACAGATGCCTGGCATGAAACGCGACTACTTCCATAGGACCCCCACGCAAACAATAATTTCTGTCATATCTGTTGAACTCACAGATGTTTGGTGTGGATATAGTGTGAACCAAATAAGGACCTTTGTTTCATGCCAGGGTCAGTAGGGCAAAGGAAAGTTTCTCAGGGAAGACAAAATTCAAAAGACCATCACAACTTGATATTCAAGAATGGACCAAAAAAAAAAAATCTTAGGAAAGACTTTGTACTTCTACAGGATGAGGAAAGAGACAAGGGGAATAGATGGAAATTTCAGTAAGACTTCAGTTGGCAAGGAAGCCCTGAGCTGACTCCTGGGCCACATATAAAGCCAGGTGTCTTCAACATAACTGACATGGAATCAGTGATGCTAATTAGCATAATATTAGATCAAAGATGCACCAAAGGGCATTGTTGAAGGTCCACTGTCCACAAAGTGGTTGGAGGAATGGGACTGAGATGATGGCTGAGTTTCTTTTCTTTATAGGACATGCAATTAATGACTGCAGCCGAATTTCGGCTCTTGTGTTCCGTCTTCCTAATTCCTGAGCATTGGTCATGAACTTGCTAGCCTTGCCACAATTTATCCAGTAAACAATGTTTTACTCTCACCTTTACAGAAATCTAAGAGCTTTGAAATTGGCTACATATAGATGTAATGTATGTAGGGCAGGGAGCACCCAAGAGAATTTTTTTTTCTCTAAGATTACAAGATATTTACCAGACCTCTGAAAAAAATTGCTGGAGTTATAAATGTGCTGGGAACCACCTAAAAATCCCAAGGAATATTAGTTTTTGAAATTGGTGCCAAGATATTGACCATTGTTGCATTCTTATAAAGATCTAGAATATGTTCTTATGAAAGAAATTTTTATCATAATTGTTTAAGTCAGCAGCAAAATCGCGGGGTGTCTGTTATGCTACCCACAATAATACTCCTGGACAGAGAGAATGACAATATCAGTTCTTTAAAAATCCAACACAAATATCTCCTTCCTTCTGTTTGTACAAAGGCAACCATAATGGCTTTTGCTTCCGGCAGACTGAAGTAACATGTGGGGTCTCTGTAGAAACACTTGGAGTCTACAAAATGAGCTTTTAGCTTATCCCCTGGTAGTTAATTACTATACCTCTAGGTCAATTAGATGGCTCTCAATTGCTCAGTTGTAACTGTGGTTTCACTCACAAGCTGTGTGTGGTAATTCTAGTTTACTTGTTTTCTTAAGTAAAACTCAAATTGCCGTGTGCATGAGATCCAGAATAATGATCAAAACTGAAGTATGCTGAAGTGGGCTATGTAATTAAAACAATTTCATCAAAAGCTTCGTATTTTAAGTTGCCATTATATTGGTAATGCTCTCTTGGTTCCTCCAAAGACCATTTCTAAAAGTAAAAAATAAAATAAAAAGAGCATTTTACCTTCATAACTAGCACTAATAATCAGATATTTGCATGATCTGAAATGAAACAAGAGGTACACAGTCCAAGGTGGTCGTGTGTATTGAAGGAACAACACTGCACTGGTCCACCGGGGATACAGCTGAATAACCTGGAGGTATTTGTTGTCATTCAGTATTCCCGGGTGCAGTGCCTTTTCAGCTGCCGCAAGGTTAGGCATACAGGAGCGTGTTGCACACGGCTGTGCTCATCCTGCCGTTCTAATGTGAATGCATTATTTCCAGCTTTGTGGAAGCTCCAGCACATTTATAATCACTTTCTACTCACTCTTGACTATGACTCCTTCATCTGACAAACCCTCAGTGAAACATCTTCTGCCTGTCACTGTCCCCCTCCACTCAGGAAAGCCACAGACCTTGTTTGTGCATTCAGCAAACACTTACTGAACATCCACTGAATACCGGACACTGCTGAATTCCAGGGATATAAAAGCGAGTAAGACTCGGACCCGGTGGTCAAAGATGCTAATGTCTTGTGAAGAAGACAGACATTTAGACAAGTAATTACAATAAAGTGTAAGAACTCTTACTCAAAGAGGGAACACCTAATTGTATCCAAGAGTGATGTGCAGAAGAGGAATCAGGGAGGCCTTCCCAACGGAGCTGATGCTTGAACTGGGTCTAGAAAGATGCAAGGAATTTGCCAAGTGGTTCAAATGAGAAGTCAAGATATTAGCAGACAGGGGAAAGAACATATATGAATGTGGAAAGGATGGCTTTGTGTTTACTAATTCGATCTACCAGGTGGATGAGGTTGCCATAATCCAAGAAAAGGAATATAAAAGGAGAGAAGGGGATGTGTACAAGGAGCCCAGTTAGCGTCTTCTGTGTTATTGTCACTGTCATTATCATCATCATCATCATCAAACCATGTTTGTAAAATTCTTCTAACACGTTCAGCAGACTGATTTTTTTAAAAACCCATAAAAACATATTGCCCATTCTATAAAGATTCAGTAGTATGCTGTCTTCCTAATATGTATTCTGAGATTATGGTTCTGCCTGTACTATTAAATTATAAAGTAAGTAATGACTCACAAGTTGGAAAGCTGAAATTGACCAATAACCACAAAATGATTTAAAGATATCACTTTTTTATATTTCAAAGAAATCAGTAATTCCTGTGCTAATTAAACTGTTTCACAGCATAAAGAAAAAACTGAATTTTTTCCGAAGCAAGTGTAAATAGTTATCCTTTTATTATAGAATGCAAAACCTGACAAAGATAGCGCAGTAAAAGGATGCCTTGAAAAACTGATGATGTAATTTATTCAAGACAATAAAGGTATAAAAAGATCTGGTAAAAGTCTGGAAAAAATAACAATGAAAAGTCTAATGGAGTGTGAATAATTATCCCAGATATTAAAACATAAAACTATAGAGATTAAAACAATGTGGGCTTTGGCCTCACTACACAAATTAGTTAAAAAGAAAAAGAATACAGAAATAGATTCAAATATATGTGGTAATTTAGTGCCATAATAAAGAATATAAAATAAATGAAGGAAGGATGACTTTTCAATAGTAGTATAGGGAGAGTTGGCTGGAAGCTGTTCAAAAAATATGAATTCAACCATTCCTCTTTATATTAATTTTTAAGTTCCAGATAGATAAAATAGTGTACTATAAAAAGGCATACATAAATACATAAGATCGAAATATGAGTAAACATTTTTACAAACTTGTAATAGGGAGGACCCACAAAGAAAAAGACTAATCGCTGGTGACTGCAACACTGACACATAAATTCTATAACCAAACCTCAGTGAAAGACTAAATCAAACTAGCAAATTATTTATATCACTTAGAATAAGTATCCCTAACATAAAGAGTCCTGATTAACTAATTTTCTTAATGTGCTAATAGGAAACTAGGCAAAGGAAGTGAATGGGCAATTATACATACATACATACATACATACATCCCAAAGAAAGAAATAGGAATGGCCTATATGAACATGAAAATATATTCAATCTTGCTAATAATTAAGGAAATGCAAGTTATGACTATACTGAATTATCATTTATGATTTATTAGATAAAGATGAAACAAATCATAATATCATCTGTTGGCAGTATCTGAAGAAATGGGCATGCTCATGCGTTGTTGGAGGGAGTGGGGCAATTTTTAATCAAAATTGGAAGGTACTTTATCTAGCAACCCCTCTTAGGAATTAAAGATATTTGAAGAAGTATTCAAGGGTATTGATTTCAGCTTTTTCGATCCTAATGAAAATTGAAATATTTTAAATGTTAATCGGAAGGAGATACAGTTGATCTATGCAGACATACAAAGCTTAAATGCTTAGAGGGATCATGGAGCTAGTTAAATGAAGGAGTGGTTCAGGTGGAAGACAATAGGGAGTGATGGGATCATAGAGAATGGGAGAGTGTCCTCACAAAGGGACAGGCACTCTCGGCTCCAGCTATTTGTCACCATCAGGGAATGCTGAGCCCAGGCTGCCAGATTTTTGTGGAAGAGAAGTTGAAAATCGAAATTTGAGAATGCAGTCCCCGGATTTTTAAACTAAAATGTAAAAGAAAACACAGTGCGGATCATAACCAACACTTTCGCCAACTCTGGATGTCATAAATTTGTTTCTTCTTTGTTTATCTAATAGGTCATAAGTGATCATTCATGTTAGTCGTAACTTGCATTTCTTTAAAATTATTAGCAACATTAAATATATTCTCGTATAGGTCATCCTTATTTTTTTTTTTTGAGACAGGGTCTCACTCTGTTACCAGGCTGGAGTGCAATGGTGTGGTCTCAGCTCACTGCAACCTCCCGTCTTCCCGGGTTCAAGCAATTCTCCTGCCTCAGCCTCCCGAGTAGCTGGGACTATAGGCATGCACCACCACGCCCAGCTAATTTTTGTATTTTTAGCAGAGACGGGGTTCACCATGTTGGCCAGGATGGTCTCAATCTCTTGACCTCATGATCTGCCCACCTTGGCTTCCCAAAGTGATGGGATTACAGGCATGAGCCACTATGCCCGGTCCCCTTTTATTTCTTTGATAGGTAGGTATGTATGTATGCATGTGAATTGTCTATTCACTTCCTTTTCCTAGTTTCCTATTGACAAATTTACTTTAAAATTAATTAATCAAATACCAAATTTAGCTTTCAAAATCCAGTTTGCACCATGTGATTTGTGCAGTGAAAGACTTCCAGGCCATCATTGTGGCAGGCTGTTCTGCTGCCCCCACGTGGGCTGTCCCATCTCCAAGACAGGATTGTCTACCCCATGCTCTACTGTGTGCCTGGCAGTGCTACTGTGTGCCTGGCAGTGCTGCTGTATGAGCAGTGCACTGGCCCAGCCCGTTAATGTGGGGCCAAGCATGTGTCTCCTTTTGGCCAAACACATACGAGTGGAGGTGACACACACCTTGTCTAGGAGACCTTAAGGCCATAACAGGTCTCCACTCCACTGTTCCACACTCTGCATCTGTCCTAAACAGGGACCACCTGAATCCTGGAATGAGATGGCACATGAAGCAGAACCGTAATGAATGACGAACCCCTGATATGTTGTGTAGTTATAAGTCACCAAAACTGTTGGGTTCATTTTTGTAGCAAAGCTGACTAATTTTTAAAATTGTTTAAAATATGGCAGTTTTCACTGACATGAAAAGATCTCTACACTATATGGCTGAGTGGAGGAAAACAGCAGCAAAACAGAATACATAATATGAAACTTTTTTTGTTTCTTTACTTTTTTCTTCTCCTTTTTTTTCTTTTTTTTTTATTATACTTTAAGTTCTAGGGTACATGTGCACAATGTGCAGGTTTGTTACACATGTATACATGTGCCATGTTGGTGTGCTGCACCCATTAACTCGTCATTTACATTAGGTATATCTCCTAATGCTATCCTTCCCCCATCCCCCACCCCACGACAGGCCCTGGTGTGTGATGTTCCCATTCCTGTGTCCAGGTGTTCTCATTGTTCAATTCCCATCTATGGTGTTCTCATTGTTCAATTCCCATCTATGAGTGAGAACATGCGGTGTTTGGTTTTTTGTCCTTGCGATAGTTTGCTGAGAATGATGGTTTCCAGCTTCATCCATGTCCCTATTTTTTTGTTGTTGTTGTTGTTTTTGAGACGGAGTTTCGCTCTTATTGCCCAGACTGGAAGGCAATGGCATGATCTCGGCTCACCGCAACCTCCACCTCCCAGGTTCAAGCGATTCTCCTGCCTCAGCCTACCGAGCAGCTGGGATTACAGGCATGTGCCACCACGCCCTGCTAATTTTGTATTTTTAGTAGAGATGGGGTTCCTCCATGTTGGCCAGGCTGGTCTCAAACTCCCAACCTCAGGTGATCTGCCCACCTCAGCCTCCCAAAGTGCCGGGATTACAGGCCTGAACCACTGTGCCAGGCCCATTATATGAAATTTTTAAGTAAAATGTTGCATATTAATATACCTCCATATAGCTATATGTATTTTTAAAAAAGCCTGTTAGATATGCAGAATTGGTAATAGTGATTGTCTTGAGACGCTGGACTTGGGACAGCTTTTACTGTAGTTTTTCCACTTTCCTGTATTCTTGATTTCCTGTAACAAATCATCTTTGTAAAAAGAAATTAATATTTCTACATGACTGATGGTTAAAAGAATCTCAAGAGCCATATAGAACATAAAATGATTCCACCAGAATAATTTTTCACCCTCAAAAAAGTAAATATCTTCATCTCATAAAAACTTGATTATAGAGCCAAGACTAGCCAAGGCACTCCTGAAAATGAAGATCAAAGAGAAAAGATTTGCTTATCAGGATTTCAGGAATTATTATAAAGCTATACTAATTAAGACAATATGCTACTGGCATAATACAAGTATGTGAACCAATTTTAAAAAGTGGAGAGTCTACACATATCCAGAAACTTGATTCATGACATAGTTGGCATTGTAGACAAGTTGGAAAGAAACAGAGTTTCCAATAAATTGTGCTGGAAAACTGGTTGTCCATATTTTTTTATAAAAAGATAAATTGGGCCCATACCTCCTATTATAACTCAAAAATTAATGCCTCTTGGCTTAAAATTTTAATATGAAAGGTAATATCATAAAACATTTAGAAGACAGTCTACAAAAGATCTTAATGACTTTAAAGGAAGAGAAAGATTTCTTTAATATAAATCTCAAACGATGAAAAAATTAATTCAGCTACATTGAAGTTGAGAACTTCTGTTCATCAAAAGATTTCATTTAAAAAAATTAGAAGATAAGCTACAAAACAGGAGATAATATTTTTAAAACCTGCAAAAGGCAAAAAATAATATGTAGTTATTTTTCAGTGCTTATGATGTGCCAGATGCTTATACTAAGGCTTTACATGTATTAATGCAGCTAATTTCACAACAACCCCATGAGACAAGTAGTATTGTCATCCCCATTTTGTAGATAGCACTGAGGCACAAAGAAGTTAGGGAACTTGCTCATGCCCACGTAGTTAGGAAGTAGCAGAGCTGGAATTTGAACCCAGGCTGACTTGCTTTGAAGTCTGTTATTTTAATCACTCCAACATGACGTTATACTGCCTCAGCTATATTAAAGGATGATAATTCAAAATATATGAAGAGCACCTATAATCAATAATAAAAAAGACTAGCAGTACAGTGCAAAAAGGGCAAAAGATTAAAGGGTCATTTTACGGAAGAAGAAAAATAAATGATCAGTAAATATGTGAATAGTAGTCAATTTCACTAGTAATCAGTGAAATGCAAATTATAGCTACTTTACATCCACCTGATTCTACAATGTAGAAGAGTCCACATCCTTGCCAGCATGAAATAATGGTATAGAGGAGTTCATATCCTTGCCAGTGTGAAATAGTGGCACAGATATGGACTCTTCTACACTGCTGGAGGGAGCATAGATTGACAAATATATTAATGTCATCATTCTCTTAAGAGTTAATTAATTGATATTTTGGTCCTACTATGTAAAAATTTTATGGAAAAAGTCATCTCTTTAGGTCACATTTTTCTCCCACATGGACACATGAGACAGTTCTATTAAAAATAGAAGCAAATATGTCTCAATTGATAAAATATGTATATGGAGTTTATTAAGTGGTTTGTAAAATATAAAATTCATCTTTAAAACTTGAAGGGAAGTATGAGCCTCACTCAAGTCTATTTTGATTAAAAAGATAGTACATATTTGAGTGAAAAAAATTCTTTAACTTATTCTTAAGGGCCTATTTAAGACAGATTTTTATCCCAACTTGGAGGCGTTGACAAACCAAAATGGTAACTGTTAATTGATGGCAGGTTTTTAGGCAGTGGGTTTTTTGTTTTTTGTTTTTGTTTTTGTTGCACTTAATATGGTGCCCTTTGTCTCATTTCTCACTGTCCCTTTTATGCTTTTGTCTTAAAATATTAAATCAGCAAGGAAAGTGTCAGAAGATTACAGTTTAGTTCATTGCAAACCACAGCTTATCTTTACACTGACCTGCAGAACAGTCTTAGTGATGTTATTAGAAAAACACCAGAGAGGAACAGAACTGAGAAGAAAAAAAAAAAAAAAAAAAAAGCTTTGCTTTTCTAGAACAGTTTCTAACAGTGCTAAAAAACATCATGTTTTGAACTATCATTTTTTGACTCGGTAATCATGATAGCGAGCAAATGCCCTCTATCCCCTCAGTTCAGTCCTACAGAATTAAGTCCTGGAAACAGCGGCTGTCCAGTTTGTTAAAGATTGACCTAGGAAAGATCTCAATGCTACCAGCACCTTATAGGGCGCAAAATGTAATAATAGGGTAAATTATGTTTTCTTTTTCACATTTGCACGCTGAGATTGTTTTGGAGATCTTTTAACTTAGCTCGTTATAATCAAGTTGTACAGCCTTTGTTTTAATAAGATTCTAATCCTGAGGTCTATCCTTCGCATCAATGACTTTACACTGTTAATTGCTTTCTTGTCCTCCATTAAATTGCGGTTGCAGTTGCTTCATCTTAAAAGGCGCCTTGTGCTTTGTATTCTGCCCCATGCTCTGCAGACACACTTAGTAACATCATCTTCCTAAAGAACAAAATTACCTATTATCCCTTTAATCTTGATGTACTTTTTTATGTGTTTGGTTCCTAGCTAGTGTCCAACCAGGAAGCTACATATTATCTTCTTTTAAAAAAAAATGTTTTTTTAAAAGCCGCATAGTGTGGATGGCCAAAATTTATTTCTCAATAGAACTCACATAGTGCATTCATTTATTTTTTATAGGACTAATTAAAAAGACAAAGGGATCTATTCTCCCCTTGATACACCAGAGTGACTTCCATTAACATTAATGGAAGGGAAATACTTGCATGGAGATGAGTGGAGACCTCATATTAGAAAGTGAAAACAGCAGAGTCTGGAGTGAATGTCCCCACGTTTTTGATGAGAGAAGCTACACAAAAAGCAAATAGCTCAATTCACAAATGTGTTTTCCCCCTATGCTTTCTGTTTGTTTGTATATTGAGGAAAATCAGCGAATATTTGGAGGCAGTTCCTTCCTTCAGAAATCAATTGGATGTGAATTTGTAATTTTAACACGAATGACACAACTTACAGGAGGAACTCAGCAATGAGAAGCAACGGGGGGATCTGACAGGTCTTTGCTGCAGTGGAGTCCTGTGAGACCTGCTTCTGGAGGCAGAGGTGAGAGTAGAAATTGGATACCTGAAGAACTCTGTACACAGAAACTTAATTTTCAAGGAAGCCCAGCTGTCCGTGTCAAGCTGATCTTTTGACACATCTTTCCAGAAATCTATCAAAATCTGGAGACTGCTTCTGACTTTTCAGTGTAGCCTCTGAATCTGTGATCCTCTTGGCCCCCTTGTATACCTTATGAAAGTTTTAAATTTTAAATGTACATAATCTGACACACACTGGGGAAGTTTCTCTTTTATCATGTCATTCTTAGGTTAATTACCAGGGAATTAATTATTTAAAGTGTGACTAGCTCTCCATGCTGTATATTGTTTTAAAATATTGATACATTCATTTTGCATCTGGTGGGTGCTAAGTTCAAACTGCTTTTTACCCTTTGAAAATGTACTTCAAAAATACAAGCAGTCTTCTGAGTAACAAACCTCTCCGTGGTATCTTGCCACTGCCCTCCATTTCCCTGGCCTGGACTTTGCTTTAGCTGCTTAAATCAGGCTCAGGAGCATTATATTTTGCCTCCAGTCTCTCCCTCCCCCTGTCTGGTTAGCACTATCTCTGGAATTTTGTTACTATTCATACTGACCTGGAAAATGCTTCTAAGATACTTTCTTACTTTAATTGCTTCCTTTCTTAACTATGACAAACTCCCTGCTTCAGAACCTTACCTGGAACTTTCTTTGGAGCTAAAAGAGATTCAAATCCTTTAGCCAGAGTTCTTTGTTCAGCTTAAAGTGTGACTTTCCCTGTCTTATATTTATCACCTTTAATACCTTCTCCTGTCTTGGGATCCAATTCAGCCTTCATCTGCTCTCGTCAGAATTTCCTAAAGAATCATCTATATTTTTCTTCTCACAGTAAAACCACATTTTCCTCCATACTTCCTATGTTGTGAAGTGGTTTGCAAAATGTATCCAGAGGAACTTGGGCTGGAGGAGAAGGAGAAGGCAGTGGCAAGGAGATCCCATAAGCATTTCATTTTAACTTTGCATTTTAAAAATCCTTTCATTCCCCTAAGATTTTTTAGTGCGTTAGTTCAGGACCTCTGAGAAGCTGACACCAAGACGAGGTGAAATGTGCAAGAGCTTTACTGGGGGACATGCCTATGAAGGGTACAGGGAGGAAGCATGAGTAAGTAAGGACGGCCTCAGACCAAGAGGTAAGTCTGGCACCTGTGGGAGGCAGTGTGGGGAAGGCTAAAGGAAGGAACAATGATTGGGTAGCATGGTGCAGTTCTAAGAAAGTTTTGAAAAGACCAATGGAAAGTCCTCAAGCCAATCACCTGCCAGCAAAGTTTCACATCAGGCAGGAATGGACCCTGTACCACTACTCCCACCAGGCTCAGCATTGGTTGGCTGGGACCATCCTGGAAGAATTTGGCAGCACCGCACATGGTGCTGGATCCAGAGGGGTGGCATTTGGGGTTTTGAGTCAACTGTGCTCCCCTCCACAGGAAATCTGACTAGCACCTTTTTAGGCCACCACTCTCAGCTGTTTGTTTTCCTCCTGCAGTGTGGCTGTTGCCCTCAGAAGAGATCAGCAACCTGTCAAGACAGTCTTACTCCTACTGGCCATTCTCCCAGGGCCAACTAATGCTGCTTTGGCAGTCACCATGGGATCACTATAGACAGTGTGGATTTCCCCCTCACAAGCTCTGAGATTAATGACACCTGTACATCCATGAAATTAGCTCCAAGACTATACTGTAGCCAAGGCTCAAAATCTATTTCCTATTCCCCATTTCAAATTATATATAGTCATGTTTCTAAAAGACAGCATAACAGGTTGTAGAGATCAAACAACCTGATTAAGATATTTAATCGACTGTCAACATAAAGATGCCCTAAGTTTGAATACAAACTCCCTACCATTTTCAAATTCCTGGAGAGAAATTTAAGTCCAAATATTCAATCACTTTACAAATTAAAGTCCAAAGAACATAAAGTCTGCAATCAGATTCTCTTATCCTAGTGAGCTAAATTTTAAAAATATATATCCACAGTTTATTCTCTCCAATTTTTGATATTGCTCAGTGCCAGGTACTGGGGTTATTGATACATAAGACGAGTTAGGATTGCTTGAACAGCTTCAGCCTGGAGTTTCTATCACTCGGATGGATGTAGTCCCTTCAGTGCTTCATAAATTACAGCTGAAGTCTGAAAGAGTTCAAAATAAATCCTTAAAAATCTCAAGATTATTATTGGCCTGGCACTTACCCAAACGAGAAAGTGAGCTAGTCCCCAGCTACTAAAGTAATTAGTCTAGTGCCCAGGGTTACTAAAACTGTAGCAGAGATTGAGTGCTAAGTGAGTAAAGGAGAGTAGTTGGAGAAAATATTGGTTTTAGTCTTTTTTTCCTTTGAAGACAGGGTCCTACTCTGTCACCCAGGATAGAGTACAGTGGTGCAATCATGGCTCACTGCAACCTCAACCTGCCAGGCTCAAGCGATCCTCGTACCTCAGCCTCCCGAGTAGCTGGGACCATATGCCTATACCACCACACCCAGCTAATTTTTTTTTTTTTTTTAAGTTTTGTAGAGGCAGGGTCTTCCTATGTTGCCCAGGTTGGTCTTGAACTCCTGGGCTCAAGTGATCCACCCACCTCGGCCTCCCAAAGTACTGGGACTACAGGCGTGAGCCACTGTGCCTGGCTGGTTTTAGTCTTCCAACAATTCCAGTCAGGCTATATCTGATGCCCAGAATCTATGACCTGTGAATATAAATTCAACGGAAAGAAATCTTTCCATAAGAGGTTAACTAGACCCTATACATTTGTATTTATGGGAAAAAGTCATCCGTGTAAATGGTCAACTCCAGTAAATGTTCTTGAAAATGGTCTACTCCAGTAAATGTTCTTAACCTGGTTATTCCCCTTTCAAAGCACTCATCTGGAGGCCAAGAATCACATCTGTCATGAGCACCATGGAATCCCTGGCATCCAGCCCCATGCCTAACATAAAGGAGGGACTTGATAAATAATTGTTTTTATGAAAAGAACTTAAGAGAAGTTAATTCCTCCTCATGTCATTCAAGCTTCTATATCAGCTTAGTTGAAGAATAGCCTGGTTTATAGGGTGAACTGTTAAAACTCTTTTAAAATTTACAACTGTGCAATGCAGGGTTTTCTTAATACTATGTAACAATAACAAAAAAATAAATCAAGCTCTGAGACTAGCATAACTGTGACTAACTTCCATAAGCTTTGATTTCCAAATTCTATGTTAATCACTATACCCACATTATTCTCATTGATTGACTTTACAACAAGTAAATATTTACTGTTATGACTGTGTTTTAAAAATTATAATTATAACTTATATTTACCCTAATAAAATAATACATTTAACATGCATGATTTTGTTTTAAAGCTAGGTTTCTGCTAATAAAGTTTGAAAACTACTGGCTTGGCGAAAGTAAAATTGGCTTTGAGGGTGAGAATTTGATCTGGATTCAGATTTCTCTCTGCCTTAACATATTTTAGACTCAGGTAACTATTTTGTAAAATGGGAATGATTATATATACCTCAAAATTTGTTTCAGGATTGAGAAAGTTCAGTAAGAAAATCTTAAAAGGCCCTGGCACAGAGCAGGCTCTGTGTCTTGTTTTCCTCCTCTCTTAACAAATGCCTTTATTCAAAACAATCACAGTAGATTATACAGGCCTACAGACAAAATAGGCATTTAGTAAATCTGCTGATTAATTTCATTTTTCAATATTTGAAGATATTTTCATTAAACAATTTTAACTGTAAGTGGGTTAAACAGTTTTCATTATTAGAATTGACTACTTTCTTCAAAGTTTTCGTATTACTTTATTCATACCTGGGTTCCAGTACATGCCTCCCCCTAGAATTTCAGCACCTAGAGTACAGGATTATATCCTAGACTTCATCTTTACAGTGAAGGCCATATAATTGAACTTCGTAAATTTTGAACAAATACTTTTTTTAAAAAAAAATCAGAAACCTATATATAAAACTACTTATGTACCAGCGCTTTGTAAATATTAATTCACTTAATCTTTATAATCCCCTGAGGTTGGTACAGGTTATCCGAAATGCTTCAATGAGCATTTCCTTTAAATATGATGTTTGAGTGTCAACTCAGTGCTGAAAGAGTTTTAGATTTTGAAGCATTTTGGATTTTGAATTTTCAGATTAGGGATGCTCAACCTGTACTGTTATTATCCCCATTTCCTAGATGAGGAATTTGAGGTCTAGAAAGTCCAAGTGACCTGGCCACAGTTACACGTCTTCTAAGTGGTAGAGTCCAGCTTGGAGCTCATCATTGCTTTGCTTTAATGTCCATTCTCTTGATCCTTGTACCATTCTGCCTCCCATTAATGACAATGCTTATCATCATCAAAAAGGAAGCTGCGGTAGCAAGCTGATGAGATTGGTAATAATTTAGCTCCAGAATTTTTGTATTACAGTTTCTATGGTAACCTTAACTCTTCCCTTTCGGTATGTGCTCATTCATACAGTTGAGCTCAGTTAGTTGCAGGTGCTATTTTGCTATTTCGTCTCACAGGACTACTTTATCCATCAAGCACTATGAGCAAAAGGCCATGGGCCTTATGAACATGTTTGAGAATGAAAACAAAGTTTTTACTCCAAAATAAGAAAGCTGCAAAATTAAAATTAAGAAATCCCTTAATTTAATAGCTACAACATGTAATATAATGCCCACATTATTGTTAAATGTAGTTTTCATACACATTTCAATACACTTGCAGTCTGTAGGTTTAATTGCTCACTTCATTAGAATTCCCAAGTAAGCAGGATCATTGCAGAATAATCATAACCAGTCATACATTATATAAGATACTTATAGCAAATATTTTAAAATAAAATTATAAAAAAATTTTAAAATATTTTATAATAAAATGTTATATTTAATGTGAGTACCTTTTACTCTGACATGACATGTAGAGGATCTGATGAAGGTCTTAAAGGCCTTGTTAGGACTTACTTCATTTTAATCCTTGACAAACTAACCAGCAAGCTGCCTACCTACTTCTCTGTACACACTAGCTATACTGAATAAGGCAAAGAAGAAAGCATACACCGTCTTATTGATGAGTTTTATAAGTAATCCACTTTTTAAAAGTAATAGCTATTTTTCCTATCCATTACCATGCAAATTCCTGAATTATTTCTAATTCTCATTTTTCTGATTTGGTCATTTTGAGATCTACTTCCTACAAGAAACAGCAGAGAACAGAAAATGTAGATTCCGTGAACACATAAGACCTCTCAGAACCCTTCGGCTGCTTGCTTGATTTTGAATATTCCATGACTCCTTCTCTGCATGGAGTACAATTCTGAGCTTTTAGGAGGCCCTAGCAAATTACCACGACCTAGGCAGCTTTAAACATAACACAAATGTATTACCTTACAGTTCTGGAGGTCGGAAGTCTAAAATGGATCTGCAAAGCTTCATTTTTTTTTCTGGGGGCTCTGGGAAAGAATCTGTTTCCTTGCCTTTTTCCAGCTTTTCGAGGCTGCCTGCATTCCTTAGTTCATGCCCACCTTCCTGCATCTTCAAAACTAGCAGGATCTGGTTGGTGGATTTCTCACCCTGCACCCCTCTGACCTCCTCTTCTGCCTCCCTCTTCCCCTTTGAAGAATGCTTATGATGACATTGGTCCCACCCAGGTTGTCCAGGATAATCTCTCCATCTGAAGGTCCTTCGTTTAATCACTTCTGTAAAGTCCCTGTTGCCATGTAGAATTCCAAGGCTTAGTACATGTGCATCCTTGAGGGGCCATTATTTTGCCTGCCACAGAGGCACAAGGCAAAATCTAGAAGAACAGATTTCTCAGGGCACCTAAGCTGCTGCCCAGCACACACTGTTAGTTATTCTCAGAGGTATATTCGGTTCATCTCACTCTGCTCCTGCTACTGGTTCCCTAATGCACCTTACATTCTGCTTCTAAAGTTGCTGCTGCCTCTCTTCCTACTCATTACTTTTTTCTTAAACCTAATAACATGGAATATATGATTCACTACCTCCCTTTGATTCTGTTGGTAATAATGCCCTGTGCAGTAGACCCTTGGTGGGCAGAGCAGTGTATGTAGGCACATGTGCACGTCATGCCTGCACACCCCCATCATTTTTATTTCCCATCTTTACCTCTGGGTTTTCACTACTGTTTATTCAGAAAATATACATATATTCTTTAGA
The DNA here is from genome assembly GCF_000001405.40 of Homo sapiens. Classification (NCBI taxonomy): domain Eukaryota; kingdom Metazoa; phylum Chordata; class Mammalia; order Primates; family Hominidae; genus Homo; species Homo sapiens. Next base: position 115,909,063 of record NC_000010.11, read on the forward strand.
GAATTGCCACATGCAAGGAATTCATTCAAGACTTTGTGTGAAATAATAATGTACACAGCTGTAGTGAACTTGTTTTCTCTCTCCCCCTAGGCGCAATCCCCCTCCCCTTCCTCTTCATGCCCAGTCAGTTAAAGGTACCAGAAGCAACAGTGGCGTAGACTTGTCAGACTCAGACCTGCCACTTAGCAGCTGTGATATCCTCCTCCGCATATTCCTTAATCTCTGTATGCGTCAGTTTCTTTATAGATTAAATGCAAATAGTGGCAGCTTTTCCACTTCAGACTGCGCTCAGGAATCAGTATTTCATTTGATTTTTAAACTGCCATCAAGGCTAAGACAAAGCCCTTATGAGATAAAGGCCAAACTCCTCAGGATAGCTCTACAGGGCTCTTCCAAATCAGATCCCATCCTGACCTTCCAGCTTCACCTTCCATTGCTTCTACTGCATCTCACCCTCCCCAAACCAGATCTGCTTGCCAGGCGCCAGACATACTGAAGACAGGACATGACTTCAGGTTAGCTTCATGGTTTTTTTTCTTTTTTCCACTTTGATAATGTTAAAAAAAAAAAAAAAAAAAAAAAAGACGAAGTGAGGTGGGAGGACAAATGCCAGCCAGTGTTAGAGAGAGATTTTCTAGAACTCCCAAGGAGAATTATCATGCCTTGAGAAAGGGGAGGACATATACTGAATATGTTTAAATTTAGATTAAATGTATGTTTCCTTTTACAACATACAGTTAATCAGAGATAACTTTGTAGCGATCAGTGATTCCTAGCCAGAAGGCTAGGAATTTGGCATTATTAAATCTTATCTTCCCTAAATAAAGTAAATGGGATACCCACAAATAACTGAGTCCTCATTTTACTCAATGGGCATTAGAAGTAACTAAATAAATTGAAAGTTGGCTGTTACTGAGGATGTTGCAACCTGATTTGGGGAGGAGTGGAGGAGGAGAAGACCATGAGAACTCTCACCTCTGGACAGGGCTTGGCACTCCGGAAGAGTTCCACTTTTTATGCACCTGATCCCTTAGCACCACTAGGTGGTAAGAAAGCAACTGAAACCAACCTGAGAAGGGCCATTGACATTACATCCTCCCCAAGTCACCTCCATATGGAGGAAGAATGACTAGACCCACAGGAGTGAAAGCCACAAGGTCAGAGGAAAGGGGCTGCTGCTACCACATTCTCAGCTGCACTCTTGGTCTTGATACCCTTTACATAGACCTCTTTTACTTCTTAAATGCTGTGTCAAGGGCACTCAATTTGACTATTCTGAGTGGATGAATTTTTAATAAGTGGTGTTTGTCAACACCTGTCTCCCCATCGGGGAGAAGCCTTCTGGGACCCAGGCCATGCCCTGTCACCCTGTCACACCTCCTGACCACTATACATGCTGCTCCAGTAACTGAGCCACCCCCCACCCTCCTTACATGCTCATCAGGCAGTCCGTGCTCAGCAGCCCATCTGTGAAGCATTTCCTAGCCGGCTGCCACACCCAACACAAGCAAGGAAAGGCCATTCATTAATATTTTATGCTAACCTTTAATGCACTATACAGGATATATATGTGTGTAGAACAGAATTTTCCTACAGACTTCTCATGAAAACATTTCACTCACTGGGCTGGGCTGGTCACCATAGAAATCAAGTTAAATGACTACAGTGCCTGCCTGTTAGAGGCATTTGAATGTACACCATAGCAGGGACAGGGGCACACAAAGAAATGAGAGTAACCCTCTGAGAAAAATCCTAACTTCTCATCCCGCCTGCCAATATTTTTTTCCTATAAGATAGTAAATAACTACAGCAAAACTTCTACTAAAATGCATGACTGACATTTCGTTTTTTGCTTTCTAGTTTGCAAGTTGTTTTCATGTTCGTTATCTCAGTGGATCTTGGCAACAACCCAGTGTAAAACTCGTTGTATTTTTCATTATTTATTTATTTATTTATTTTGGAAACAGAGTCTCACTTTGTCGCCCAGGCTGGAGTGCAATAGTGCGATCTTAGCTCCCTGCAACCTCCGCCTCCCAGGTTCTAACGATTCTCATGGCTCAGCCTTTGCTGGGACTACAGGCAGGCACCACCGTGCTCAGCTAATTTTTTGTATTTATAGTAGATAGAGGGCTCTGCCATGTTGCCCAGGCTGTTCTCAAACTCCTGAGCTCAGGCAATCCAACTGCCTCAGCCTCCCAAAGTGCTAGGATTACAGACATGAGCCACCACGCCCGGCCTAAAACCTATTTTATTTATTTATTTATTTATTTTCAAGATGGAGTTTCACTCTTGTTGCCCAGGCTGGAGGGCAATGGTGCAATCTTGGCTCACTGCAACCTCCACCTCCTGTGTTCAAGCGATTCTCCTGCCTCAGCCTCCCGAGCAGCTGGGATTACAGGTGCCCACCACCATGCCCAGCTAATTTTTTGTATTTTTAGTAAAGATAGGATTTCACCATGTTGGACAGGCTGGTCCCGAACTCCTCAGGTGGTCCACCCACCTCAGCTTCCCAAAGTGCTGGGATTAAAGCCGTGAGCCACCGTGCCTGGCTAAAACCCATTTTATAGATCATGAAATTGAGGCCCGATTTCATCAGTTGAGGCAATTGACTTATCTAAAGTTACAGAGCCGGTGGGCGTGGCAGTCAGGAGAGAAGAGTGTGGTCATCCATCTATTCATCCTCCACCAAGCCCTTAGCAGGCAGCTGCCATGGGAAGAGCACAAGGAAGAGCACAAGGGAGATGCTGATAAATGAACTCCACTTTCTCCCCTCAAGCCGCTGCTGCCTTGCTTTTCCCATGCACCATCCCGTGTTTCTCCCCGTTCCTCCTTGTTTCATCTGCCTATTATTTCAGTAACTCATTCTGTGCTCAAAGGAAGCCCCCGTATGGTGTGCTTCCTTTATGTACTATGTTTCTCACCACTACACCATGCGCTAACACAAGACTATTCAATGATTGAATCTCAGGCTTGTGACTTAAACAGTTTCCCACACATTGGGACATCGGGAAGCATTTGGGGGGAAGAACTACAGGAGACAGGGCAGCCTAGTTCTAGAAGTCATCATCAATAATGAAGATACAACAAGGCCACCAAAGCAAGGGGGAAATCCAGGGAAATTTTACAAACAAATGATAAACCATTGATTGTTGATTATAGGAAAAGCTCACAGAAATCAATTAAGGAAATTAACATATCCATACAATGAAGGGACAAAATATACAAAGGAGCACTTGATAAACAAACTAATGACTAATAAAAATGACTGTAGTCTAACTAGTAGTCAATAAAGTAGATATTAAAACAATAATCTTCACCTGTCAAATTAGTGAAATACATATATATATATATATTTGTGTGTGTGTGTGTGTGTGTGTGCATATGATGAAACAGGCACATTTTAAAAATACTGCTGGTGGAAGAACAGTGTGATAGGTCTTTCAGTAAAAGTAACTGGAGCTATGTATCAAGAGCTTCAAAAGAGTTCATATTCAGGTTCAGTAATTTCATTTTTAGGAATCTACCTTAAGGAAATAATTAGAAATTTGGTCAAATACTCAAAACAGAAATGCTCAACACAACATGATTTATAAAAGTAGAAAATTGACAGCTTAGATGAATGGTAAAAAAAAAAAATTCCATGAATTATCACAAAGCTCTGTGCTGTATCATAATAATGCAAAGAATATTTAAGGATGTCACAAAATGTCAACCACAATTAATTCTCCTGAAATCTTGGAAGAATGTCATCACTCTTCATATGGTAGAAATGGTGGGTGACAAGGGGCTTCCTCCACACAAGGCAGGGAGGGAGCATGGGGCTGAGGACCAGACCTGGCTGCCACCACTTACTAACCGTGTGGCCATGGCAAAGTTGCTAGACTGCCCAGAGCTCCCAATTCCCCACAGTGTCCCTTACACCTACCTTAGCAGACAAATTGTGAGATAATGTGTATGAAAACGTTGATGTGGTAAAGAAGCTAGGGCAGCTGCTGCTGGTAGCATAGAATGCAGGCACTGGAGAGAAAAAACTATTAGTGGGATGGATAACAGGCTGCAAAAGTACTTTATGAACTAAATTGCAGTATGTGTCTAAAGTAATATTTTAACTGATTACAAATTTTCATTCTTTTTCACATACAGAACATTCATATCCCCAGCTGCCCTCAGTATCTTAAACATTCCAATTGCCTAATTATTCAGATGTCCTCCACCAACACAGTCCTGAGTCCTTTGATCATCCCCATCCACACCAGCCCCCAAAGGTGGCTCCAAAAATCACCCAGACCCCTGCAGGGTAGCCCTATGTCAAAGGACTAGCTCTAGGGCCAGAAGACCTGATTCAAAGCCCAGTTTTGTCACATGCCAGTTGCAAACCCCAAGCCAAAGTGCTTAACTACTGTAAAGCCACAGTTTCCTCAACTATAAAATGGGGATAGCAGCTTCTACCTCATAGGGATGGTGAGCTTTTATTTGGATTATTTCATTTAATCATCTGTGCAATACCTGGCAGAGAGGAAACAGTACATGGTAGGTTTTATTACTACTACTGCCTCTAACTCATAGATGGCTTTCAGCTTCCAGTTACACAATGCTGTTCCTCCCAGCACTGCTCACATGTTCTAGTTAAGGACAATAGAAGCAGCCTCCAGAGTGTAGGACAATGTCAGCCTGTGCAGAAAGCATAGATGGAGTCACAATGCGTGGCCCACAGCCTTTGGGGCTATCCAGACTGCTCATGGATGCCCCCAAACTGTGACTGGGGACATCTCAACCTACCCTGATGTAGGTTTTGGGAATAGGTACAAATTGAACATGTGGTTAGCATTTGTAACACTTCATGAAGATATTGGGAGGGGTGGGTGATATGACCTAGCCCTGTGTCCCCACCCAAATTTCATCTTGAATTGTAACACAAATTCTAATCCCCACGTTTTGGGGGAGGGACCTCATGGGAGGTGATTAGATCATGGGGTAGTTCCCCCATGCTGTTCTCATGATAGTAAGTGAGTTCTCAGGAGATCTGATGGTTTTATAAGGGGTTTTCCCTGCTTCACTTGGCACTTCTCTCTCCTGCCACCATGTGAAGAAGAACGTGTTTGCTTCCCCTTCCACCATGATTGTAAGTTTCTTGAAGCCTCCCCAGCCATGTAGAACTGTGAGTCAATTAAACCTCTTTTCTTTGTAATTTACCCAATCTCAGATATTTCTTCATAGTGGTGTGAAAATGACCTAATACAGGTGGTATATCAGGGAAGACAAAAGTCACTGGGGAAGGATAGGATAGAGAGGAAGAAATCTGGTGTTGTCTATTACACCTGTGGAAATGATAGGATTCTGAGGTCATGTTGACCAAAGAGCAGGGATTTGGGGGTATGGAATAGGCCACCAATTGAGTCAAGGCAGATGGAGACTGGTTTATGCCACATGCGTACCCAGCTTGAGTGGTCCTGCCCTGAGCAGTGAGCAAGTGACCAGCAAGGACTTCCAGGTGCCTGGTGTATTTCTGCTGGTGAGGCAGTCCCAGACCTTTCCTTCCTGTCACTTCATTGCCTTTCAGCTTATCTGGACACCTACTTGGTACTTCCCCATGCTGAAGGCTACATCATAGTCATCACTGTTTCTTACGGTTGACTGGTGGAGACCTTTCCATTTTATGTTTCTTTTCCCGATTGTTCAACTGTTAGGAAGTGAGATAAGGGAAATGAGTATGGGCTTTGCAGTCAGAAGAGGATTCACACTTCTACTGTGCCCCTTCCTAGTTCTGTGTCCTTGGCAAAGTTGTTTAATTTCTCTAAGCCTCCATTTCTAAACTATTTGTAACAAAAATATAAAAATATGACATCACACTCCACTGTTGTAAAAATTTATTGAGAAAGAAAAGTATTTGGAAAAAAACTAGAATACAATATATGGTTAGTAAGTGATACTGTTTTTCTCTTTGGACAAAAAACATTTAAGAGAATTACTGAAATATTATTCTTGTGGCATTACGAATATCTAGTCAAATATGTTTGTAAATGTCTTGATGATCAAAAATATTTGACAGTTATGGCTGGGTGCGGTGGCTCACACCTGTAATCCCAGCACTTTGGGAGGCCGAGGCAGGCGGATCACGAAGTCAGGAGATGAAGATCATCCTGGCGAACACTGTGAAAGCCCGTCTCTACTAAAAATACAAAAAAATTAGCCAGGCGTGGTGGCGGGCGCCTGTAGTCCCAGCTACTCGGGAGGCTGAGGCAGGAGAATGGCATGAACCTGGGGGGCGGAGCTTGCAGTGAGCGGAGATCGCGCCACTGCACTCCAGCCTAGGCAACAGAGCGAGACTCCATCTCAAAAAAAAAAAAAATTTTTTTTGACAGTTACAATGAAGCCAAGTGCTAAGGATATAATGATTAAATAAGACAAAGTTCTTGTCAGTTGGAACTTTGATTCTAGTTGGGAAAGACATCAGATAATTAACATACATAGGTATATATAAATATATGTATTGGTATATATATAGATAAGATGCATAAACTAATGTATGTATAGAAAAATAATATATCCATATGTGCTTAGCTGTGCACTTTTAAATGAACATCTTGCCTTTTGATTGATTATCTTAGCTGGTGATAAGGACATGTGAATGAAATCCCAGACTCCAAAGTATCAGGTTCTAAAGAGATTAGAGTGAGGAGGTAGATTTTGAGCTAAGAAGGATCATGCGTTAATGTCTAAGAATATGCATGCTATAAATTGTGACACCTCTGAAAGTGAAGTCAGCTGGCTTTCCTAGGCCAGCAAATTGCTGGTGACCCTGGAGAATTGTATAAGGCCACAATTTAATTGCACAGGCTTTAAGAGATCTGCACTCCTTTATCCCATTAATTCAACCTGCAACTTTGTTCTCTGGTCCCTTTTGAATATTCAGTTCTCATTGATTTCAATGGGAGTTACAGACTCAGAGAAAGGGAAGAATTGGGCCAGTGATCTGTTCAAAGCAAAGCATCATTTAAAGTATAGTTTTAAAGTATTTGCAGGCACATAGGTGAGTCAGCTCCTTCTCACGAATTTGTCTAGAATGCTTTCCAGTTTAAATGGACCATCTTAAAGGGCAGTCACCTTCCCTAAAATTGCAGCATCATACTCATGCACCACATATTGGATTGTGACTGCTGGGAGGCAATGACTCCATGTTGTGGTCTCAACTTTACTGCGGAATTGCTTCAGATTTAAGCTATAGCCTAATCGTAATTAGCAGCCCAAAGTAACATTATAAATTCCTACAATGCCTATTGGGCTCTGTCTGCTGTTCCACACATCAAGTCAAGTCAATATAGCCTTGCCCTCAGAGACCTTTTGTTTGAAATAGTCTCGGTCTATTGGTCATGCACCAACACAGAGGCAAAGAAGCAAAATGGCTGTAAATACAACGCTTAAAGCAAGTGAACTTGCACAGACAGGGAACATGGTGCTATGATTTCAGCTCTCCCTCGCCTCATGGACTATATAGGTTATAGCACTTGGCTGCACGATAAATTTCTGTAAAGCACATCCTATTTTTGTACTCATTTCCATTGTGTAATCCCACGTGCATTAGAATTCATGAAAGTCTTATTTGAATATTTCTTTAGGAGAGAGATCCCGACAGTGTAGACTGCCAGACATCCAACTCCCCAACTACTCTGTGTCTGTCCAGACTTCTCAGTGCTGATACAAGCTGCAGCCTTGGGAGCTCAGGGCCTTCTGTTTACTGGGAGCTCTTTCTCTGACCAAGAGAAAGTTATCTGTATCCCACTTTGAGATACCCAGAATCCGTGCTTCCAACACCTCCCTGTTCCTTCTGTCTGGGTATTTATATTGCTTAGGAGGACCAGGCTCAGGACTGGCCCCCTGTCAGGAACTGCCTCTAGGCGTGGCGCAAAAAATTAAGTTCCCAGTTTTCACTTTTGCAATACAAGTGAAGAGAGCTGCTATATACAGCCTTACAGGTCGTACAGTCCAAATCAGAAATGTGGCGACACTGCCAATGCTGAACCTTGTCAGCGCTTTGAGATGGCGTCTAACTCTGACTGCCACTTTAGTGGCTGTGCTACCTTGGGCACTCTCTGGATCCTGACTTTCTCCCTCTCTAAAACGGGGCCGGCTGGGAGCGGTGGCTCGCGCCTGTAATCCCAGCGCTTTGGGAGGCTGAGGTGGATCACGAGGTCAGGAGATCGAGACCATCCTGGCTAACACAGTGAAACCCCGTCTCTGTGTTGTAAAAATACAAAAAATTAGCCGGGCATGGCGGCGGGCACCTGTAGTTCCAGCTACTCGGGAGGCTGAGGCAGGAGAATGGCGTGAACCCAGGAGGCAGAGCTTGCAGTGAGCTGAGATCGCACCGCTGCACTCCAGCCTGGGCAACAGAGCAAGACTCTGTCTCAAAAAAAAAAAAAAAAGAAAAAAAAAACGGGGCCATGATATTCACCTTTTAGAGTGATCATGTGGACTACATTAGACAAAGCGAGCAAAACGTCTGCTCACTATGTAGTGGTTTTTGGTTTTTTGTTTGTGTTGTTTTCAACGAGAGAGGTTATTTAAATGGATAACATCCTTACCATGGAGTAAAAGCTCATATGTGATTAATATTTTGAAGGAAAAATTCTTGTTTACTTTTCTCAGATATTGAAGATATTCATGCTAACCACATTTTGTTCATAATAATGCTCCAAGGAAAATTTTCTGCAGGGCTTGATTCTTACTACAGTATTTCAGGCCGGCTCAGCACTCCCTCACCTGGTATTTTCCATGTAAACAAGTAACAAAATAAATAGGGGCAACAAAAGTCACTGCTATTGTAATTATTAACAAGTATTCTTTGGTTGATTGGCTTTTCTTATGTAAAATTCTGTTTCTAATAATTGTTAAAATAGTAAATAAGAGGTCCCAGAAATAAGATTTGTATCATGTTTAAACTCCATTTCAAAATGTTTATTGCCTTGCTGCAAAATAAAAAAAAATCTCAGATTTGTGTGATGTGTCCTAGCTTACAGCAATCTATTTTTTAGTGTCTTTTTTTTTTTTTTTTTTTTTAAGACCAAGTCTTGCTCTGTAGCCCAGGCTGGAGTGTATTACACGATCTCAGCTCACCGCAACCTCCGCCTCCCAGGTTCAAGAGGTTCTCTTGCCTCAGCCCCCCGAGTAACTGGGATTACAAGCGTGCACCACTGTAGCTGGCTAATTGTTTTGTATTTGTAGTAGAGACGGGGTTTCACCATGTTGGCCGGGCTGGTCTTGAACTCCTGACCAAAGGTAATCCGCCCACCTTGGCCTCGCAAAGTCCTAGGATTACAGGCATGAGCCACCGCGTCCGGCCTTTTTAGCGTCTTTTCTTTGCCTTCTAAGTAGTTGTACAGATCTAGAAGTAGTGCTAGCTACATTACTTGTGGAATATAAGGTTAAGAAATTCCCAGGAAAAGTTTAAATAATTTCAAGGCAATTATTTCAGTAACTTTAAAGAAATAATTAGAATTTTTAGAATTCACCAATAAGTGTTTATATAGTAGAGATGTAGTGGGGTTAGGGATTTGGGAATGGCAAAAGGGGATAAAACACACAGCCAGAACCTCTTCAGTGGTAACTGCTAAAACAGCAATAAACAACAAAACCACCAGTGGTCAAATTGTGTAGTATGGGCTTTAGGTGCTAAAGAAGTTCAGAAGGAGAGAAATTTTAGTGTAGTCTTTGATAATCAGAGAAGTTTGCTGGTGAAGCTGGGTCTTGATCTAGGTCTGAAGGGATGAACAGAATTTGGATAGGCAGAGGTAATAACTGTTCCTTAGTGTTTAATACCGCTGATCTGCAGTGGGAATCTGCAAATTCTTTCACATTATAAGGATGTAAAATATTTCCAAATAACTAGCAAACCTAAGAACTTGACTGTGAATGCCTAAGATGATTCAGCAATAAAACTTCTAGACATAAATAAAACCCATCTCAAAGCCCTGACTCAGCAATAAAACTTCGCAGACATAACCCCATAGGAAGAAGAAATACCACCACTGAGGTCCACAGTTCCAGTTGGGAACCAGCATTGCCCTGAGTTTGTGCATCAGATCTTCAAAAGATAAGGGGTCAACAGATTGTGATTATGCAAAAGAGGTGTTCCAATTCTACTGATTGTGATTATGCAAAAGAGGTGTTCCAATTCTACTTGGGCACACAAGTAAGTAAGTTAACAAGAGAACCTGAAAGTTAGCTAAATTGGAAAGCTGGCTGAAATGCTAAATAAAACATACTCAGTAAGAAACGGCGTGTTCACTCAGCCCGGAGGAAGTGCAGCAGAATGGAGAATGTTTTCTAATACAGCTCTACTCATTATAATCTCAGCTCAGAGCTCCTCAGTGATAGGTACAGAAGGCATATTGGAAACTTCCCACATGTCTATTTCCTACTAAGTCTATCATCAAAAACTGCAAAATTTAAAAATCACAGTGAATGTTGACTGGTTTTCTTCAGATAAAATGATGATGAAGGTATTAACATTCTGTGCTATAGATGCCATACTGAATGTGTATATATAATTAATATTATGTATACATATATGTATACATATGTACATATGCATACACATATATATATAGTCTTAGTCCATGGGCTGTTACAACAAAAACATCATTGGGTGGCTTAAACAGCAAACATTTATTTCTCACAATTCTGGAGGCTGAGGCTTCGAAGATCAAGGTGCTAGAAGATTTGGTGACTGGTGAGGGCCTTCTTGCTGATTCATGGATACTGTCTTCTCACTGTGTTCTCACGTGGTGGAAAGGAGTGAGAAAGCTCTCTAGAATCTCTTTTATAAGGGCACAAATCCTATTCATGAGGGCTCCACCCTCACGACCTAATCACCGCCAAAAGGCACCACCTACTAATATCATCACATTGTGGGCTAAGATTTCAACACGTGGATTTGGGGGAGACATATTCACTCAATAACCCTGTAAATTGAAATTTATAGTTGTTTTAAGAGTCTGCTCACCTGCCTGTGTACCCCAGTATCCTCTTCTCATTGAAGTCCAGTCTCATCCTTCCTAACAACTCAAAATCTAGACTCATGGACAGCATTCTTGTCACATTATTCCCCACTACTCCATGCCCATGTTATGTTAGACTCGTGGTTTTGTAAACAAACACATTTTGAACTCTCTTTATTTTCACCTTCACGGATATCCAGCAGGTCACTCTAAACTCTGCCTTACCAGTTTATTCTGATCTTATCAGGCACGTGAAGTTGTGGTAAAATGTGTTCTGTCCTCACCTCTGTCATCATTGCTGCTACTCATGGAACTCAGACCAGGAAAGCCAGAGCTAGTACAAACACCTCCAAAGAAGTAGCAAATGACTGGTTGTGGGCAAGAGTAACATGAAGACTGTAATTCTGAGACACTCACCCATTCCCTGCCAGGGAATAATATAATTGTTTACCTGTGTTATAGACACCCAGAATCTAAGAGAGGCACAAGAATCCATCTAGCCAGATCTGGCATGAGACTCATTTGCTAAAGGTCCCCAGGGGGAATTTGTATAAGAAGAGGAGCCCAAAAGTGCATGGAATAGATTTAAGCTGTCCCTTGAAATGACCTTGCCTGGTTAACCAAAATCTGGATTCATTTTTACTGTGTCTTTTACAACAATCACCTTCACAGCATTAGACGGAACCATTAATGAAAGCAGGAGCTCTTCTAGTCAGTACACATAAAAAGAAGTCGTTTAAACCCAGTATTACGTAGATATTAACACTAAAATTGCAAAAAACAGTTTTTAAGAGAAAGAAGAAGTTAAGAAGTATCAAAATATCAGCACTTATTTCTATAACTAATGTATATATAGAAGACATTTAAATGGAAATTATCTGTGAACTAAAATGAGAAGTTAGAAATAGTACAATAACAGAAATGGTTATTGAAATCATCTGAAATTTCCTTCCCTTCTACAGTATCAAATAATGATATGACAGTCTAAGTTGCTCACAGAATAAGATAGCATTAGGAAGATTTTAGAAGACATTTTTGGAGTTTCACGAAAGGAGGTCCCTGAAGAATAGAAGATGGTTTAGATAATGCTATTATTTAATCAAAAATGTCAAATACCAGCAATCACACCACCTGCTTTTGAAAGTAAAGGAAGCTAGGGACTAAAAGGGGTGGTTTAAAAAGAGACAGAGGAAGAATAAATGACAAAAAGAGAAAAAAATAATTATAGATAGTCTAAAGGATATGGATATAGGTTGTATTTAAGCAGTGTTTTTTTGTCTCAGAAGTTTATATGTGAACTAAAATGTATTAAAGGATAAAAAAGCAATATGTACAACTTTTTGTATGTCAGTCATGCCTCTATAAAGCAGTTTTCTTAAAAAGATAAAGAAGAAAACTCTAGGAATTAGCACCTTTTTTAAAGGATGAGAAAAGAGAGTCCAGTTACAATAACTGTTAAGGTTCTTAAATTCTTTTACACCTCTTACCCCCATATTTCTGGTTTTCACTGTATGATAGTTTGATAATACAGCCCAAATTTACCTTTTAGCTGTAGCTCTTCTTCTTTGTTAGGGCTTGATTCTTAAGGAGATTGCTCAGGTGTTGAGAACAAGTAGTAGAGACACCTAAGTATACCCAGTATTAATCCCAGAAGAAATACCATGTTAGTCACTTTCACTTCATGCAGTAGCTAATCTTTTTTTAAAATTGTGTTAGCGTAAAGTGTTGGTGAACCCACTCATTTTTACATGGGATTATCCCAATTTACATAACCTTTTTGTAACACCACATTTTCAAGTGTTGGAAAATAAAAACAGATTAACTTAATATTGTGACTAATCGAGAGTTAACCAAAAATAATTGTATTTCAAACCTATGACTGAAAATGTTTCTTAAACATTAGTCAGCTTCCCTGCCTTAGGGATTGTTGACTCACCTCCAGTTGTAGGGTGAAGGATAGCTCAGCCATTGAGACTGCTGCCAGCCTCGTCACCCAGGGCTGTAGGTCAAGGAGGTGCCAGACCAGGGCCTGAAACTACTCTGAACCCTGCCCCCACGTTCACTGGTTTTCAGCACTAAGATTTGCTTGAAGTGAAGAAATTGTCTAGATGCGTATGGACAGTTTGACATTGTCTGAGTAAGGGAAAATATTTTTATTTTAATACTTGTCTTTTAGGAAAACTATCATTTGTCAACAGGGATCTGTATGTTTTAATAAAGCAGAGGAAGGGTGGTTTGCATGTAGTCACTTAGCTAAAATTTCATGTCATTTAAATTTTCTGATCATGAGTAACCCAGAAAAATTAAATATACTTAAGATAAAATAATAAAATCCTTTCATATATATAAATAAGCAACCAGGATAGTTTTCATTCTATCTATCTAGCTAGCTATTTATTTATTATGTTTTAATTTCTTTTTTTACAGACAGGTTTTTGCTCTGTCACCCAGGATAGAGTGCAGTGGTGCAGTCATAAGCTCACTGCAGCCTCAAACTCTGGGCTCAAGTGATCCTCTCACCTTGGACTCCCAAAGTGTTGGGATTACAGGCATGAATCACTGTACTCAGCCTGGGAAGCGTGGGATAGTTTTCGTTTTCAAAAGTCAGTTAAGATTATCTTTAGCAGAAATACTCCATCAGTGCTGACTTTTCCAATCTGACATATGTAGTAGCGTAAGAACATGTTTTAAATTTTAAAAACTAATAAGAAAATAAGTAAGGCAAGTTCTTCATATAACAACAATGTATAGAGGAAAGAGCAATATGTTAAGAGGAGAAGAAATAAATTTATTTCTATAGAAACAAAGACCCAGTGGGATCAAAAGAATTTAGAATTTTTAACACAAGGAAAATACCCATGCATGGTGAGGTAGTAGATGGCTTATTCTCTTCCTATTCCTAAGATATCAGTGTTACTTTAGCCCACCGTAAAGGAATATGAATAATTTCCATGAATCAACGTAATGTATGCATCTCAAAAAGATTTTTAATTTTTAAAAGATTATTCTGTAGTCTCTTACAGTATTTTCTTGTCCAAGCCTTAGCTGAAGGATTGCAGTGTTTCTAATGATAGTGAAGTGGCTCTAATGAGGTGGTCTCCTGATTTAAATTATTGTATCAACATCTTCATGTAACCCAGTAACAAAATATATGTACATACACATATATACACAAAACATGTATGTATATATGTATGTAGTAGATCAAAAATTAGAATTCTATTTTTCTTAAATTTTACTTTAAGTTCTGGGACACAGGTATAGAATGTACAGGTTTATTACATAGATATACCTGTGCCATGGTGGTTTGCTGCACCTATTGACCCATCTCTAAGTTCCCTCCCTTCGCGCCCAACCCCTCACAACAGGCCCTGGTGTGTGTTGTTCCCCACTTTGTGTCCATGTGTTCTCACTGTTCAACTCCCACTTATGGGTGGGAACATGTGTCGTTTGGTTTTCTGTTCCTGTGTTAGTTTGCTGAGGATGATGGCTTCCACCTCCATCCATGTCCCTGCAAAGGACATGATCTCGTTTTTATGGCTGTGTAGTATTCCATGGTGTATATGTACCACATTTTCTTTATCCGGTCTATCATTAATAGGCATTTGGGTTGGTTCCATGACTTTGCTGTTGTAAATAGTGCCACAATAAACATACATGTGCATGTGTCTTTATAGTAGAATGATATATATTACTTTGGGTATATACCCAGTAATGGGATTGTTGGGTCAAATGGCATATCTGGTTCTAGATCCTTGAGGAATCGCCTACTGTCTTCCACAATGGTTGAACTAATGTACATTCCCACCAACAGTGTAAAAGCGTTCCTGTTTCTCCACAGCCTCACCAGCATCTATTGTTTCTTGACTTTTTAACAATCACCATTCTGACTGGTGTGAGGTGGTATCTCATTGTGGTTTTGATTTGCATTTCTTTAATGATCAGTGATGTTGAGCTTTTTTCACATATTTGTTGGCTGTGCAAATGTCTTCTTTTGAGAAGTGTTTGTTCATACACTTTGCCACTTTTTTATGGGGTTGTTTTTTTCTTGTAAATTTGCTTAAGTTCCTTGTAAAATCTGGATATTAGACCTTTGTCAGATGGGTAGATTGCAAAACATTTCTCCCATTCTGTAGGTTGACTGTTCACCCTGATGATAGTTTCTTTTGCTGTGCAGAAGCTCTTTAGTTTAATAAGATCCCATTTGTCAATTTTGGCTTTTGTTACAATTGCTTTTGACATTTCTGTCATGAAGTTTTTTCCCATGCCTATGACCTGAATGTTATTGCCTAGGTTTTCTAGGGTTTTTTTAATGGATTGGGGTTTTACATTTAACTTTTTAATCATTCTTGAATTAATTTTTGTATAAGGTGTAAGGAAGGGGTCCTGTTTCAGTTTTCTGCATATGGCTAACCAGTTTTTCCAGCACCATTTATTGAATAGGAGAGCCTTTCCCCATTGCCTGTTTTTGTCAGGTTTGTGGCAGATCAGATGGTTGTAGATGTGTGGCGTTATTTCTGAGGTCTCTGTTCTGTTCTATTGGTCTATATGTCTATTTTGGTACCAGTACCATGCTGTTTTGATTACTGTAGCCTTGTAAGATAGTTTGAAGTCAGGTAGTCTGATGCCTCCAGCGTTGTTCTTTTTGCTTAGGATTGTCTTGGCTCTACAGGGTCTTCTTTGATTCCATGTGAAATCTAAAGTAGTTTTTTCTAATTCTGTGAAAATGTCAATGGTAGTTTGATGGAATAGCGTTGGATCTATAAATTACTTTGGGCAGTATGGCCATTTTCACGATATTGATTCTTCCTATCCATGAACATGGAATGTTTTTCCATTTGTTTATGTCCTCTCTTATTTCCTTGAGCAGTGGTTTGTACTTCCCCTTGAAGAGATCCCTCACATCCCTTGTTAGCTGTATTCCTAGGTGTTTGATTCTCTTTGTAGCAATTGTGAATGGGAGTACATTCATGATTTGGCCCCCTGCTTGTCTGTTGTTGGTGTAAAGGAATGCTTGTGATTTTTGCACATTTATTTTGTATGCTGAGACTTTGCTGAAGTTGCTTATCAGTTTAAGACGTTTTGGGGCTGAGATGATGGGGCTTTCTAAATATAAAATCATGTCCTCTGCAAACAGAGACAATTTTACTTCCTCTCTTCCTATTTGAATACCCTTTATTTCTTTCTCTTGCCTGATTGCCCTGGCCAGAACTTCCAATACTATGTTGCATAAGAATGGTGAGAGAGGGCAAAATATAAAGACCAATGACACTATGAAGAAACTGAATCAACTAGTGTGCAAAATAACCAGATAGCATCAGGATGACAGGATCAGGTTCACACATAACAATACTAACCTTAAATGTAAATGGGCTAAATGCCCCAATTAAAAGACACAGACTGGTAAATTGGATAAAGAGTCAAGAACCATCAGCGTGCTGTATTCAGGAGACCCATCTCATGTGCAAAGACACACATAGGCTCAAAATAAAGTCATGCAGGAAAATTTACCAAGCACATGGAAAGAAAGAAAAAAAAAAGCAGGGGTTGCAATCCTAGTATCTGACGAAACAGACTTTAAACCAACAATGATCAAAAAAGACAAAGAAGGGCATTACATAACGGTAGAGGGAACAATTCAACAAGAAGAGCTAACTATTCTAAGTATACACGCACCCAATACAGGAGCAGCCAGATTCATAAAACAAGCTCTCAGAAACCTATAAAGAGACTTAGACTCCCACACAATAATAGTAGGAGATTTTAACACACTTTCAATATTAGACGGATCAATGAGACAGAAAATTAGCAAGGATATTCAGGACCTGAATTCAGCTCTGGATCATGTGGACCTAATAGACATCTACAGAACTCTCCACCCCAAATCAACAGAATATACATTCTTCTCAGTGCCACATGGCACTTATTCTAAAATTGACCACATAATTGGAAGTAAAACACTCTTCAGAAAATGCAAAAGAACTAAAATCATAACAGTCTCTCAGACCATAGTGCAATCAAATTAGAACTCAGGATTAAGAAATCCACTCAAAACTGCACAACTACATGGAAACTAAACAACCTGCTCCTGAATGACTGCTGGGTAAATAATGAAATTAAGGCAGAAATCAAGAAGTTCTTTGAAACCAATGAGAACAAAGAGACATCATACCAGAATCTCTGAGACACAGCTAAAGTGGTGTTAACAGAGAAATTCATAGCACTAAATGCCCACATCAGAAAGCTAGAAAGACCTCAAATCGGACACCCTAATATCACAATTAAAAGAGCTAGAGAGGCAAGAGCAAACTAATCCAAAAGCTAGCAAAAGACAAGAAATAACTAAGATCAGAGCAGAATTGAAGGAGATAGAGACACAAAAAAAACCCTCCAAAAAATCAATGAATCTAGGTGCTGGTTTTTTGAAAAAATTAACAAAATAGATAGACCATAACTAAACCAATAAACAAGAAAAGAGAGAAGAATCTAATAGACACAATAAAAATGATAAAGGGAATATCACCACTGACCTCACAGACATACAAACTACCATCAGAGAATACTATAAACACCTCTATGCAAATAAACTAGAAAATCTAGAAGAAATGGATAAATTCCTGGACACATACACCTTCCCAAGACTAAACCAGGAAGAAGTTGAATCCCTGAATAGACCAATAACAAGTTCTGAAATTGAGGCAGTAATTAATAGCCTACCAACCAAAAAAAAGTCTAGGACCAGAAGGATTCACAGCCAAATTCTACCAGAGGTACAAAGAGGGTTTCAGAAGATACCATTCCTTCTGAAACTATTCCAAACAATCGAAAAGGAGGGACTCTTCCCTAACTCATTTTATGAAGCCAGCATCATCCTGATACCAAAGTCAGACAGAGACACAACAAAAAAAGAAAAATTTAGGCCAATATCACTGATGAACATCGATGCAAAAATCCTTAATAAAATACTGGCACACCAAATCCAGCAGCACATCAGAAAAGGTATCCACCACGATCAAGTCAGCTTCATCCCTGGGATGCAAGCTGGTTCAACATACACAAATCAATAAATATAATCCATCACATAAACAGAACTAAAGACAAAAACCACATGATTATCTCAATAGATGCAGAAAAGGCCTTTGATAAAATTCAACATCCCTTCATGTTAAAAGCTCTCAGGTATTGATGGAACATATCTCAAAATCATGAGAGCTATTTATGACAAATCCACAGCCAATATCATATTGAATGGGCAAAACCTGGAAGCATTCCCTTTGAAAACTGGTAGAATTCTATTTCATTCAAAAATGATTAATAATGTTTGAACATTTGCTAAGAATACTGTGATTACTGTTGCTTTCAGTAACTTCCTTTGAATTTTCTTCATAATACCAAAAGATTAAATTTTAAAAAACCATTAGAAGAGAACATGGGAGAATCTTGCTATGATCTAAGAGTAGGGAAGTCCTTTCCAAACACCATATAAACATTAAGATGATCTTTAGCTTCAACTATATATAAAAGCAAAAGTTTGAAGCTTAATAAATAAGCATGAAATGACAACTAGCAAATAAGAGAAATATTTGCAATACAGTATATTACTGTTAAATGCTTCTTTATCCAAACCTTTTCACAGAGATACAAACTTGTAAATGTGTTTGACAATATTTTATTGACTTGTCAAGAGAATCAGTGCACAGTGTAGGTGTTGGGAATCGTTTTAGTGCTGTTTTCATGCTATTTGTTAAAAAACCTAAATTTTCATGTTATGATTTAGCATAATCTCTGAGCTCAAACTGTGCTCTCAAAACCTTAGGGACAGGAAGTAGTATGGTTCAGGAAGAACCAAAGTAATTTCAAAGCCAAACTAGTCAGTACTTGAAAAAGTCTAATTTTTGTGGTGGTTTCCAATGGAGAAAATGAAAATAATCCCTCTTCAGAATTTGGCTCTATGGACTGTTTGGGAGACTGAATTGCTCTTTTCCCATTTGTTAAACCAGGAAATTTCTAAGGCTCCTTCCAGCTCTCCAATTCTCTAGTGCTATGAATATCCTCATTATTATCATTACATCTCATTTTGCTTAAAGAATGCTAAATCAGTAGTCTCGTATCTTACATCTATCTTTGTGAGAAAGAGTAAAGAAAACTGAGTTTGGTTTCTTTATGATTAATGCATTTGTCAAATTTGTTCCAAGTAGCAAATTAATTTATTGTGTTTTTTCATGAATGCAAATTAAAGCTGTGCAAACTATTGTGGTAAAACTTAGCAGTCCTTTTTTATAAATTAAAGCTAACTGATTTAATGTTAATGAAAGGAACTATATTCAAACACAGATTTTAATAACTTGGGTGGAAAGAAAATCTTAGACTTCATAAGCTTTTCCTTACATAAAATTCATGTAATTTGAACAGAAAGTCATTAAAATGTAATTGTCTATAGTGAAGCTTGTATTAATTACCTTGTATGAAAATCTGAAAAGTTCCTGAATAAATGTCTGTTTCTATGCATTCCCTGAAGAGAAGAATTGTCTATTGATTAGTTAATTATCTCAAACCAAGGGTCCCAGGTTCAGTTTTTGGTGATCACTTTCTTATCTTTTTCCTGTTTGAATATTCTGATCAAAACCAGAAGTAAAACAGATTTTTTTTAAATAGAGAAGTATTTTGCTTCTGTTCATATTGATAATACAAAGAGTACCAGTATACATATGATAAAATATTTTTCAACTTCTTGGTTCATAGGACTTAATCAGTGTTTCATGTATCTGTGTTTGTGGGTGTGAAAAGCACCTTTATTACTGGGAATAAGATTTTAAGAATGATTTTAGAAACATGTCCTTTAAATTTGATTCTCTCATACTTTTAAGATTATTTAAATTCACTTCAATGTGATTGTCCAAAACAAAGTTATTTTCAAACTCACTGAATCCTTATGTTCTTCTTTAGTGTTCACTATTCACAAAGCCCATTTTGAATACTGATCCTGAAAAACATGAGAGAATCAAAATCTGTGTTTTCTTTTGATTTTTGCATCATAATTGCATTTTTACTCATTTCAACAAGGGGAAATTTCAACTTTTTATATTGACTAAATAAACAAAGTGTAGGGGCTAATTTATGTTTTTAAAAAGGAAAAATTTATAGATGCTATGTTTGATTACACTTATTTCTTAACTGGTATTTAGGAATTTGTGTAATAATAAACACTTCTCATTTTTAACATCAAAATTTGCAAGGTTCATCAAATTCTGAAGGTAATGCCTGATTGGAGTTAATGTTCACTTAATTCTGGGTCTAATCATTTCAGCTGAAAAAGAGAAAACTAAAGCATAAATCCTTTGACTCATCCTATCTTATATTTATGTCATATTAAAAGTCATAAAAATGGACAAAACAATAAAATTTAAACTGAAACATATCCAAAATGTTTTTGGCTTATCTACCTACAAACCAGAGACATGCCAGGTATGAAGGAACCCAAGGCTGGAGTAGGTCAGAGGGTCCAATGAGTTTATCCATCCTCCAGACATGGTCACTTTCAGATTGTACTTTAAGAAAAAATAACTTCACGGAGGACCATTATAATTTTTGTGATGAACATGTGTAATATTTTTGCACCCACTTTTTAGTTTTTATCTTGGCTGCCTTAACATCTTCTTTCAAAATGTCAGCAGTGATTAGGCTACATTATGGGATAATTAGTATGAACTTTTATCTCAAAGCTAATTTTGACTAATACTAGAACAAAACATATGTCAATATGTTAAAGATGGGAAGTTGAACAGATTGCTTTCCTATATAAACATGTTTTTTTCTAAGTTCACCTTACTTTTTAAATACTAATCCAATCTAAATGTTTGAGGAAGGTTAAGCAACCTGTGAAAGAAGCACCATTTGAAATTTGATGGTGCAGTTCCTAAAATCTTTCCAAAGAATGTGGTATAGATGCTTACATATTAAAATATTGACCTTCTAGGAAGTTTAGGAAATATTTCCTCTGAACTTGAACTCTGGGGCTGTAGCTATGGTTGATAAGCTACACCCAATTCACACTTTAATGCCGGTGCTTTGTATTTTAACATTATCTTAATGTGACATTGTATGCCTTGTTTATTTCTTCTAAGCAGGCCTTTTCCCAAATTACTTAAAATTACCAAACAATGTGTTTTTAACCACAGTCATTCTAGAGATTTATTTGGTTTTTTTCCTTCCCCAGAAGTTGCTTCTGTCATGTTTGATTGCACATCTGAATACAGACCATGCTCAGAGTTGTAGTGTAAACCTCTTCAGGTCGGATCATAAGCCTCAGAACGTGTCATACATCCCATAAACTTCAGAACTAGCCATACACAAGCTTCAGAACTAGTCATACATCCCATGAAGGGCATCATAACTGATACTGATCTGAACAGTTCAGTCCAACAGCCAGGCAATTCAGCCACCTACAATTCAACTATTGGTTTTATTTGAATGAAAATCAAATTTGGGGTATAATTGGCTTAGCTAAAATATTCAACTGGGTCAATTTTGGTCACATGAGTGATTCTGCACAAAGATATAGCCACATTTTATCTCAGGCATCTCACTCAACATTTTTAAAGATAACATTTTTTAAAATCTCGTACAAAGACTGCAGTAAATATACAACTAAGAGTCATACTGGTGGATGGTAAACATCTGGGCATGAGCATTATGAGTTAATGTGTTTTTGTACACTGACTTTCCATCTTTGCAGATTATTCTAACTCTCTAGAAATAATGGGTAGCCCTTTGGCACTGAGGCTCACTGGCTCAGGGTCAGTATTTTTACTTCTCCATCTTCTCTCAGTTAGCACTTGAACAAACAAAGAAAAACAACTGGTCTGCTATTTCCAACTCCTGAAAGTGAAATAGGGAAATAGGGACAAAATATAATTAATTAAAATATGCAGTTATTCATACAGGATTTGCTTTTGTTCTGATAATTAGGATCCCAATTTGTCAAATGCTTTAAAAACATAGTCTTACAGCCTTTTACTAAGGGAGCGGGAAGGGGTGAATATCCAGGTTGATTATAAGCCATATATTTGTCTTTTCAAGATTTGCTTTTACATTGCTTTAGGGAAAATGATAAATATATTTGCAAATAAAAATTGTAATCTGTATTTCTCCAATTTTAGTAATCCCAAATTACTAAACTAAGTAATTTAATTTAGGATTTCGGATTAAGAGACTACGAAACTAAATCTGATTAAATTATACTTTTTGAAACCTGATAGTACCGTACTTCTGCTGCACTGCACTTTCTTAGATTTAATGCCTCTAAAGTATAATGATATTATAAGTTTCTTTTCTTTATTTAAAAATAAAATGATTACTCTAATTATGGGAACTCATGTACCATTGGGCTGAAAGTCAGAGACAGCTGGATGGTGAACTGGCCCCTTGCCCAGACCTCAGAGGAAGATTAATTTGAAAACTCTTTACAGAACACAGCCCAGAGCCTACTGCTCAGAAGATCTTGCTTTAATCAGCCATTGATCATCAGAGATTCCCTTTATTGACCTGAAAGCAAGTTTTTTTCATCTTCATGCCAGCTAAGGCACTTACTGAAAGTAAGTAGACAGCATCCAAAGTGAATATGCCTAACGAAGAAAACAAAGTTTTCCATCTCTCCCCGCAAATGACATTCTGTAATGACATGTGCTAATAGTTTCTATCTCCATCCATCCCTTAACCCATCACGTTGCCATCCTGTGAGGAACCTGTGGTTAACAAGGGGCCCCTTCTGCAGATACACACGTCAAATGATCTAGGAAACATGTCGGCAGGGATTGTGGAACCGGTCTATGAGAATTCTCTTTGTATCTGAAAAATACCATGGAGTGGATGCAGGGCAGTGTTTACCCCCCTGGATATAACATCAGAAAATTCCAGATCACTCTGAAGTCTGTTCTCTCTCTGATTTACCTGCCTGTGGAGTTTGAAAGGTCCCCACTAGTGCTGACTCTTTCTGACACTTCTCAATCTATAGTAGCTTGGAGGCCACTTTGATTGCTCCCAAAGGCAAAATGGGGCACCATGATACTTTTTTCACTCAAAAGGGCCAGCATTTATGGGATATACTCAGTCAGATTCTCAAAATTGCTTCAGAGAATCCTCTGTTAGATTAAAGGAGGTCATTTAATCAAACGACTTTCCAAAAGTCCCTGTTTTGAATTACTGGAGAGAATGTGTACTATCAGGGTCCTGGATCACTTAGCAAACATCAGAGGAAAGGTTTCAAGTCTGTTTTGAGAAATGTACTGTCCAACTCTACTGCTTTTTCCTTCAGCAAAGGAGATTTATCAAGGATAAATTTGGTTACAGACATACCTGTTTTCGTTAAAATGCCTTTGGCCATTACATTATCTGTAATAACTTTCAGTAAGGTCTAAGCAATTTAGAATAATATTAATAGAAAAAAATCATGATTCTCTACACCATTTTCCCTTCCATTTTATCTAAATGGCTAGAAGTGAGTGTTTGCATAATTTTTTCTAGTGTTTTTCTCCCATTTTGCCATGATCTAGTTTTATATGGAAGTCATAAATTTGTTCTACCAATGGAGTTTGTTAAAACAATATTTTGACTTTGCAGAGATCATTGTATATTTTCTATTTATTTTAATGCCAAACTTTTAAAAATATTGACTGCTAGGAACTTAAGAGAGCAGAAATATCACTTTGAAAAATACAAAAATTCATTTTTTTCTAGTTGATAGCTTGTCTTTTAATATTCATTGTGGTATATCTGTGCTATGTAATATTATAAGCCTTGTATCTGTCTCCTATACTTTCCTATACCCTCACATAAATACTATGGAAAATTATTATGTGCATCACTACCCAACACTTTAGCCTTGACTTAAAACGGTAAGATAATTTCTTGTAAACAGGTATCTGAGCTTTAAAAAACAAACAAAAACACATTCCTGTTAGCTCTAACTTTGCTCAGATCCCTTGAGAGAGATCAGAACTCATATGAAAGGTGAACAGATTCTTCCCTTTGGCAAGCAATTCCTTCAGGAACTGAGTTATGCTTATGGTGGGACTTCCAATTAGAAAAGTAAATTTTAAAACAAACAAACAACCAGGCTGTTCAGAGATTGCTAGACACAAGATCAAGTCCCAGCCAGGTGTTTGACATTGCCCAGTCTCTTTACTCTTGTAATGTGAAACTTAGAGTCAGCTTCTTCACTAGTGTTTTTGGCATCATAGAAACCACACACCTAACCATAAATACAAACCATAGCTGGTACTACCAGTGCAGTTCTCACTCTTGTAGAAGCATGTCCAGTCCTTCTCAAGTCATCAACTAACAAGACCAAATGCACATTTCTAGCAAGGGAGTCCTTGAGCCCATCCAGTCCCCTGACTTCACAGCGATGCTGTGGCAGCCCACTCTGCTGCCGCCCACAAGCACACATGGAGGGGAAGCCAGCAGGGATGTCCAGGTCTTTGCCCATGGCCTGATGAAGAAAGGCAGCTGCAGTCATGAATTCATAGAACCAGAAGTGACATTAGCAGCCACCTACTCCAACTGCTTTCCAAGAGAAATTTCTCAAGAGACATGCTGAATTTCAAGTCAAGAACAACTTGGAAGCCACAAACTCAGCTGGCTTACAGTTGCCATGGAATTTTGGGACTTTTGCTGCAAACAGAAACAGGATCCACAGGTTATAACTAGCTACTGACCAGTGTTACAGAGCCTGTGGACAATCTCATTCCTGGTTTCTCCTACCTCTCTTCATTTTCCTGTGTTCCCCACCATCAGCCCTCCTCTGGGTCTTCTCCCTTTCTTACTCTGTTCTTTTTACCAGGGAAGCCTCATCCACTCTAATGGCAGAGTGCTAGTTTTCCACCGAAGATTTGCACACACACCCCAGCCCCAGCTGAGTAGTGGAGAGGTGTTGCCCGGCAGCTGTACTTGCTAATGGCATGGGAACAAAGTGTTTTAGAGTGGAGGTACCTTTTCCACCTGCTCATCTTCTGCCTACCATCTAGATGCCAATGCTCAAGGCAATGGTGGATGCCCTGGATTGAAGATGACAGAAGTGTCATCGGTCTGAGGCCCTAAATAATGCCATAGACCAGAGCTAAGCTGTGTTCCTCTCCATCCCCTTCCAGACAGCCTGCCACCAATCAGGAACACTTTACATAGTGAGAAACAAACTTCGATTTTGTTAAACCCTTGAGATTTCAGGCTTTAACTATTGCAACAGCTAACATTCCCCACCTATATAATTATAAAATCTTCAGATTCCATCTATGCTAATTACTCCCAATTCTGCATCTCTGGCATAGACTTTATTCCTGAGTTTCACAACTGCATATCCAAGTAGACAGGTCCACTATAATGACCTGCAGGTCACCAAATTCACTATGTCTGAAGCCAGACAAATGATCCACTGCTTTCCCACACACCCTGGCCATTCCTGTTCCATCATATGCTTGTGAATACCAATTGTATGCACCCAGGTACTCAAGAGTGCCCTATTTTATCTCCCATACTACTCTCTCCTAAATATCTATCCTGTCCATCCCGTTTATCTCTCCTTATTGCCACATTCTTATCTGGTTTCAATAATAGTAGCCTCACCCCCTACTCCAGTCTGTCCTCCATGCTACACTAGAGGTGTCTCTTTGAAATAAAAATCTGATTATGCCTCTCTACTCCTTAAAATCCTTCCATGGCTCTTTCTGCCTTGCAGATTAAAAATCAAAGTCCTAGTGTAACACCTAAGGCCACTTTATGGACCCTTTGCTGCTGACCTCCTGTATTCTCTCTTACCATTCTCCCATTGTTCCATTTACAATGTATGTCCTGAAGTTTCTCAAATATCCCTTCCCTCCATGCTGCTGATTTTGTAGTTTCCAGTATCCAGAACACACCACACCCCTCCTGCCAGTGTACTTCTTCCTCTTCATCATTCAAATCTCAGTTCAGAGATCATCTCTCTTGGGAATCTTCAACCTCCACATTCCCCTTAGAGATCACGCCTCTATCTTTCTTTTCCTCATGGCTTCTGCCTGCTTCATAGAGTTGGCATCTGCACAATTGTTAGCAAATCTAGGAGCTCTTGAATCTTTGCCCTAGTTTGATGTTCTTTGAGAACAGCCAGCTACAACACTGCCTGCAACATGCCCTCAATACATGTTTCTCAATTTAACCTGTATTGTCATCCACTCCTAACTGCATATCCTGATAAAATGATGCATATGTAGAGCTGAGGGTAATGCCTGGCTTATTGTAAGCATTCAGTTGATGTTAACAGAATCAATCATAGTTTTTTTGTATTATTATCATTATTGCTTTTATTACTATCAGCAATTACTCAATATTTTTGACCATAGCTGATTTCACATCTCTACTAAGTTTTGTTTTTCTTTTTCTTCTGGTTCACAATCATATGGGAGACATTTGCACCAAAGTAGCGGCTTCCTTCTTATGGCTGCAAATGAGCGGAGTGAAGGTCAAGGGATCTGGAGTCGTGGGTTCAGGTGCCACCACTGTCACCAGCTGTGTGGGCATAAACTAGTCATTTAACCGCTCCGTGCCTCATTTTGGCCATCTGTGACATCAGGACAAAAATAGCTTCCTGACCCACTTCAACAGAATAGTTTTGAGAAACAACCTAGATAATGAATGTAAAAGCATTTTGTAACTCTGAAAATGATAAAAGTCAATTATTAGTAGTATTTCCAATGACATAGGCAATATTAGTATAAACAATGCTTTCTCTGTTGAATATTGTCATTCCTCTATTTTGCCATTATCACTTTCGGTTATTTTTGCATTTCCTAGTGAGTGGACAACACATGTAAGTCATGTGTTTCCTCATGGGCAAATTCTCAATTTCATCATCCCAGGCATCACATAAATTCTGCTTTGAGGACTGCACACAGAATCCCCTCACTGATGATGTTGCTCTAAATTGACATTGTCTGTTTGTCTTTGAATCTATCTTTCTAATAATTGTTTCCTTACACGGCATTTCAACCCATGGTAGACATACTGATTTTTGCATGAATGAATGCTTTTGCAGATACAGGCAAAATCTTTGCGTGCCCAGAGTTTTGTCTACTATTTCCTATTTGACTTCAAGCTTCTCACTTGATGTTAATGAGGATGACGGTGATGATGATGAAGACTGACATTTTTGAACTCTTATATACCAGGCGTTTTTTAAGCCCTTTACATTTAATCCTCACGATGACTTGGTCAAAAGAATTCGTGTGCTAGATCCACTAAAACGTAAACTCCATGAGGTACAGAATCTTTCATATATCATCAGTTTTGTTCACTGCTAAATCCTTGGGGACTAAAGCAGTGCCTGGCATATAGTAGGCGCTCAAGAAACACTTGTTGAGTGAAGTTATTTGCTTCTCAAATGATTTTTTAATTATCAAGGCTTTGGAGTTTTCTGAGCATCTATAGTTTGACGGTGATTTCTTATTGGTAGTAACAGATTATTATTGAAATTATTAACTAAATTTATATAATACATTATAGTTTATAAAACACTTTCACATACATAACCTCACTTAAGGCAGTCAGTGACATTTTTCCACTAGAAATACTGAAATACAATGTCTCTACCAAATGAAAAATAAAATACAGCCATTATTACAATACTACCATTGTTCCATTTCTTCAATGAGCAGTAAGCATTTAAATTAAGAATGACTAGGGTTTCTAATAAGGATTGTCAAGTATCAGAATTGTTGGGGGTTTTTTTAATTGAAAGAAGAAAATACTAGAAAATATTTCTCCAGTTGGCTTAGAAAGAAGGAATTTCCATTTGAGTTCCAAATTTACTTAACAATCTGGAAAGGTAGCTGCAAGTCTGATTCTGGTAAGTGTTTGTGTCTCCGAAATCAGTGGCAACAAAATATTTTAAATAAACCAAGTAAAGTTTTTGAGTATGTAATTAAAAATAGAACTGATGAGATCACTTGCCAAGAACCGTGAGGATTTGCATTAAAAACAATGATTTGAGACAGTCATGATTTATTCAGCACATTCTACCCAATGAGAGAACAATTCGTATGAAAGTCAGGGAGTGCTCAGCTATGTTATAGAAAGTGTTGCGTGAGGTGTCTGTGGTGCTGGAGTAGGATAACATTTTCTATAACTTGAGCAGTGTGTCTCTAAATGAAATTGTAAAATATTATGATATGTTAAAGGCCAGGCAAAATTTTATAACCAGAATACAATGATCATTTGCACTGAAACATTGGCATCTGTAGTTGTCACTGGTTTTTAGTAGGTGAGGGGAAATATCTCTTCAAATGATCAGACAAGTATGACTAGTGCATTTGTCATTCCAGTGTCTTCGGCACTTGAAGTTTTTCCATTTTTGTTCAACAATGTAACCTTTGGAGTTTTGCCTAATAATGACTTCACTTGTGCTGGCCTTCCAACAGATAAATTAAAATGGAAATGCATATTTTCTAATTATGCATCGAGCCTTAGTTGCATATTGGCGAGGGTGGCCACACCGAATGTTAAATTAAGTCTGCACAATAGTTAGAGTCTATGTAACATCAAAGTTTCCCAAAGTCACTTTCTTAATCATGTGAAGGATAGCCAAGACTTTGATCAGTAGTATGTAGCTATATACGATCAGAGGAAAAACATTTAAACATCCCAGCATGGTATTTCCATTTAAATCTGATTACAGTGAAATAAAACTGTAGCCATTAAAGGTTTAAAAGAACTACAAATACAGCAGTAAAAGAAGACAGATAGTAAATGAGGTAGTAAAACATTTCGGCAGGGCAAACAGTTTACAGCACTCATTCAGTCGTCCTGAAGCAGACTGTGCAATTCACTACAGACCTGGCACCGTTCCCTGAACTCCACTTAAACCTACAATTAACCTTTCACACCTAATGAAGCTGTTTTCCTGGAAAATTAAAATATATAATGGTGCCTGCTTTTACACAGACTTCAGAGGAGAGCATTTCAAAGTGAATGACTTTTCTGAGGCTTTTGTTCAAATGTAAAATGGAAGTGCTATGTTTGTATATAAAGCGGGAATGTTCTTTCCAAGGCAATTTCATTTGATGTGCAGTATTTTATTACTGTACTTATTAATTGTTCTGCATAATTGTAAAAAACACACATCAGTAATTTTATGATTAGATTGTTACTGCTGAAGTCTGCTATTACCATTTCACTTCCATTAGGGAAAACTAGAGTTTTGCTAACAATAACTAAATTCCTGATGTTTCTCCTTGGTGGTTTTCATTGCAAATTTAGTGGTTTAAAAAGACATGTTTACCATTTAATTATTTAGCTGTTATTTACATTGCTGTCTCTTCAGGTCATGTTTTCACATGTTTCAAGAGAAATAAAATTCTTAAATTTCAGGAGGCATATATTGTTTTTTTCTAAGGTTGCAGGTGAAGGTCTGATTTTGGTGTATGTTCTACTTATTTACAAAATAGCTGTGGGGTACTCCCACATTCATTTCAGCATTATTCACAATAGTCAAGATATAGAAGCAGCTATGTGTCCATCAACGGATAAAGGGAAAAATCAATAAAGAGAATGTGGTCTTTATAAACAATGGAATATTATACAGCCTTAAAAAGAAGGAAATTCAGTCATTTGCAACACATGAATGGAACTGGAGCATATTATGTTAAGTGAAATAAGCCAGGCACAGAAAGACAAATACTGTATGACTTCACTTATATGTAGAATCTAAAAAAGGTGATCTCAGAAATTGAGAGTTGAAAGCTGATTACCAGAGGCTAGGGGAAGGGGGAGGGATGGGGAAAGGGAAGGTTTTGATCTAAGGGTACAAAGTTTCAGTTAGACTGGAGGAATAAGTTTTAATGATCTATTGCACTACATGGTGACCACAGTTAATAATAATGTATTATATATTTCAAAACAACTAAAAGAATAGATTTTTAACATTCTCACCACAAAAAAAGATGGTAAGTTGGAGAGGTGATGGATATGTTAATTAGCTTGATTGACTCTTTCCACAATGTATACATAGGTCAAAACACCACATTGTATCTCATAAATATCCACAGTTATTTGTCAATTAAAAATAAGCTTTAAAAATAGCTGTGGTAACTCTTGGCCTCCAGCCCAGGGACCACTGAGTCGTGCCCATTTTCTGAGGGAATTTCCTATGGTCTCAAAGGAGCCTGTTTCCTTTAGGGCTTGTCCTGCCCTAGGTGAACCAGAGCAGCCACTGGGCCTGCTCTCTGTTAGCAAGGACCAGTTTGAAAACACCAAGAGACCATGGAAAATTGAACAGGAAACAGAGGATGGTATGTTCCTTCCTATGCGGTTTATACTTCCTATTTAAATAATCTAAATGTCATAGTGTCTGGTGTTTAAGAACTAAAAGTACAAAAAGGTAAAGCTTATAATAACTATTGAAACCCCAGCATTTTTGTTGAATCTACTGGTATATTTTTATGTAAATCCTGCTAGCCTGCAGCATCTGTGCATCATCTTTACGTGGTAAATGAAATTCCTTTGGACCATCAGTCTAAAATAATGAATTGTTCCCCCAGTTAATTGTATTGCTTTGATAACAAGGAACTATGCTAGGCCTAGAGAACACAATAAGTGAATTTCATCAGATGATTTGTGTGACGTCTTGAAAAATGATCTTCTGGAGTGACCTGATTTTAATGGAACTCTAGCGGCGTGCAGCATGGGCCCAGCATCCAACTAGGAGGAAGCACTTCCTCCTATGGCACAAGAAGTGCGGGATCATCCCCAGAAGACCTCTCACCAGGAAAAATTCTCAGGAAAGTCATGAGAAAGTGTGTGCCAAAAATGGCAACACAAAGAACCTATTTCTAGGTTGCTTTTCTTTTATTGATACATACCTTTTTTAAAACCCAGAAAAGATCGCAAACGACCTTTATGTCTTTGTTGCCAGCGTGAAAATAAACCAAGACCAAGCAAATGAAAATAAGCAAAAGCTATGTATTCTGAGCTTGCTATAGCAAGGGAGTCAGCCACTTTCACTTGTGTTTTGGCGGAGACTCAAGGACAGGCAGGAATGGGAAATCTTTATAGTGAAAAAAGGGAAGCTTCAGGTGTGCCCTGATGAGAGGCCGTTAGCTTGTGGGAGCTGTAGACAGACTAACTAGAAGTGGGGCATCCTATGTGGTTAGGGGTACATATTTGGTTTCCTCTGGCTGGAAGTGAGGACATAAATTAGGGAAGCTGTTTATTAATCAAGTCCTGGCCATTTGGGGCCAGTCGTGACAGGGATTACAGTTTAACTTCATGGGTTATTAGTAGAGATAGCAGTCTGACTTCTTACAAGTCTGACATAGCAGGCTGGCTTCCTGGGCTGGTTATTGCAGATTATAGCTCGGTTTCCTGAGCACGTTGCCACAAGTTGTGGGTCAGAATTCTATTTATACATGGTCTGGGCATTATCTACATGTTCAGTATCTTACCAGAATATAACTGCTACATTTAGGGGACGGGGGAGGTAATACAGTCTTTTTAAAAAAGCTATTGACTTGGCTTCTCTTTTCATCAGTTAAGAAAATTAGATTCCTTACAATAACAAAGTGTGCTGAAAGGCAATGACAGAGATTACTCTCTCTCTCTCTCTCTCTCTCTCTTCTCTCTCTCTCTCTTTTAGTGAGTCTTCCATACACACTATCGAATTCAATAAGATAGGGGCTTTGTCTCTTTTTTTCATTCTTGTATCTAGGTTCTCTTGTAGGTTGAAAGAGAACGTAGCAACTTCTGATGTTTTTAAGGTTCACCTTATATTTAACATGAAGAAATGCAAAAGTAGTAATAACTTGATATTTAAGGCACACACACATATAAATGCAGTTATTATGATTATTATCCTGTTCATAATTAAACTACAAGGTTTATAAAGAAGAATAACTCATGATGGGCCACAAGCCGTGGGGTCCAGTAAAGGACCTAAGCCAAATGAAACATTGTTTGGCCCATCAAATGGGCAGATAAGACTTTGGGCAAATGGCCCTGAGTGTTCTCTGTGAGTGCACCACGGCGAACACTTAAATATCTCTGCCTAGAGAAGTGCAAGCCTTTCTACATACACATTGCCATTTATGCAGATCTGAAAATGCAGTTGATTGTTACATTTTAATAAGAAATGACAAAAAGCTGTCAAATTAAAAATAAGCATGATTTGCAATTTTATTTGTAAATTAAGAACTGAAATATTTATGATTTTCAACTGAATGTGTTTCCAAGTTTCAGAATCATTAGTAAACCCAGGACATGTTGTCAGAGACATTGCTTCAGTTAGGTTCTGGACTTCATGAAATACAGCGATACAGTGGCAGTTTTGGATTAGCGTAGAATTTCCTGTTTTGGCAACTCAAGCTGCTTACTCCTCTCCCGATGCTATATCTTCTGTAATGAAAACATTTGCATTCACATGTAAATGGAAAGTATTATTTTTTCAGAGCTTCTTTGGACTACATCATGCAGTAGTTTAATGAATAACATGATTTCATATTTGGATGTTGTGATCATTGAAATTAGTGTAAGTGGTCTCTGTCCACATTAAAGGAGACATGTATTATTTGTCATATTTGGCTGTCTCTGGATTAGTTGGTGCCAGGAATAAAATAGCAGGAAGTTGTAAATAATGACAGAAGTATGCCAGAAGATCAGTGGAAACTTACAGTCAGCTTGAACTTTTAGTTAGCACCACCAAAATCTGCAATTTTAAAAATAATAACAAGGTCCTTCAGCTCCATTAATTAAACAAATAATGAAATAATTATTTACTACTGCAGAATAAGTGTTTAAAACATCTATGTTGGACTCTTCAGAAGTTCCCACGTGCTCTTCAAAGGTCAAGAAAACAGCTTTTATGTAAACTTTGAACTTGTAATAACTCTAAAACATTCAGGATGATATTTAATATCCTGAAAGAGCAAATTACTTAAGAGCAACCCTTAAAAGGTAAATCTGTAAATTTATCAGCTTAGCCAGAGCTTATTATAATTTTGTAATTTCTTTCCTTGCTAACACCATAAATTTCTCCTTCTCCACAAATCTCTTCTGTTTTCAAATGTATCCAAGGCTCCCTTTTCCTTTAAATAATGCACTTACATAATTCCATGCATCCACATAAATTCCATCTGACCCTGCTAATTCTGTTATGTAGATAAGCTTCCTTATCTCTTCCCATTGCTAAACATCTTAAACATGGAACTTATGTCTGCTGGCCGTACTTCCTGTCACTCCATTCGTTGTTTAACTTTCAG
Organism: Homo sapiens; assembly: GCF_000001405.40. Lineage (NCBI taxonomy): Eukaryota > Metazoa > Chordata > Mammalia > Primates > Hominidae > Homo > Homo sapiens. The sequence continues at coordinate 115,942,337 of NC_000010.11, forward strand.
GCTTCCATCCTCAGTTAGATACCGAAATGACTCAAAGATCATCAGAATCTTCTTGGAGGAAGTCTAATGGCCTTTGCCACAGGCCTTACCCTGCTGGCCCATTTGCCACTTTTTACAGACTCCTTGGGCTTGGCCCTCCCTTGACTCCCGCAACACTGCACTAGGCTAGTTTGCTTTCCTCTTACAGTGCTCACATCCCTTTACTGTCATTTCTTTCTGTCCATAAATCTCTGAATTCAGTTCCTGCCAGGAAATATGTGAAGCTTACCCAGAATTAACTGACCCACAGGAATAAAATAATGATATTCTACGTAGGATAAGATCTGAAAATGATCTTCCTCTAAGAGCAACATGTGGAGAAGAGGTCAGCTCAATTCAAAGTCAAGTCTTCAAGACCTTGTAGAAAGGAAAATGAGCCAAAAGTCCTTTTGTGGCCTTTTCTTAAGCAAGGCCAATCTGGCCTCATGGTTTAGTATGGTGATTTGATACATTTGGTTTTACTCAAGAGTTATATGGGACTCAACAGATATGAAAATGACTCATATGTAGCTATGATAAGCCAAATTATCTGGTTGAGCCATGGCTCCTATAAATTTAATGAAATCTTTACTATCCCTGAGCATCTTACCAAGTGTTCCTGTCCATCATTGGACAAACAATGTAACAAAGCAGATCAACATAATTAAACAATATGCTTCTTAAATTACCTATGATAGCTACAGCTCCGCATTTGTGGTCACATTCGGTCAATAATACTCAAGGTCCTTTTCTAGTACTTAAGACGCTTGTCAGCTAAATGTCAAGTGGTCTTTCTTCCATGTCCATTTGTACATAGCATAACTCTATCCATGGAGTGCTTTTGTAATTTTTAAAACAGTTTATGAGAATGAAAAGTCAAGCCATAGACTGGGAAAAAAATATTTACAAAACACATATCTGATAAAGAACTGATATCCAAAATCTTCAAAGAACTCTTAAAACTCAACAGTAAGACAACAAACAACCCAATTAAAAACAGGCAAAATATCTGAACAGACACCTCACTAAAGAAGGTATACATGTGGCAAAGAAGTATATCAAGAGGTGCTCAGCATCATATGTCATTAGAGAATTGCAAATTTAAACAACTGCAAGATACTGCCACACACCTATTAGAATGGCTAACACCTAAAACACTGACAACAACAAATGCTGGTGAGGTTGTGAAGCAACAAGAACTCTCATTCATTGCTGGTGGAAATACAAAATGGCACAGCCACTGTGAAATACAGTTTGGCTTTTTTTTTTTTTAACTAAACTAAAACATAAGCTTACCATATTATCCAGCAATCAGGCTCCTAGGTACTTATGAATTGAAATGTTATGTTCACATAAAAACCTGCACACAGATGTTTTTAACAGCTTTATTCACAATTACCAAAAATTGGAAGCAAGGACAATCAAGATGTCCTTCAGTAGTGAATGCGTAAACAAACTATGGCACATCCGCACAATGGAATATAATTCAGCAATAAAAGGAAACGAGTTATCAAGCCAAAAAGAAAAAAAGAGATGGAGGTACGTTAAATACATATTTCTAAGTGAAAGGAGACCGTCTGAAAGGCTACGTACTGTGTGATTCCAACCATACAACATTCTGGAAAAGGCTGAACTACAGAGACATTAAAGAAAGATCAGTGGTTGCCAGAGACTTGGGGAAAGGGGGATAGATTGGTGAAGTGCGGGGGTATTTTAGGGCAGTGAAACTATTTTGTATGATACTGTAATGGTGGATACCCTGCATTATGCATTTGTCAAAACCAATGGAACTATGCAACAGAAAAAGTAAACCCTAATGTAAATTATGGACTTCAGTTGGTAATTTTATCTCAATATTGGTTCAATTTTTCTGTAAATCTAAAACTGCTTGAAATGTTTTTAAAAATCTTAACATGACTAGTTTTGTTCCTAAAAAAAAAAAAAAAAAATAGTAACATTTAAAATTTCTAGTACCTCCACAGCAAACTCGTGTTCAGACATGGAGAGGAAGGTTTAGGGTCATATGCACAACTAAATGTGATCATTTGTCAAACACTGATTTGATTGTTCCAAGTCAGAGTCAGTTAACTTTCTTAGATCTTTCTTCTTCTTCCTTGGTGAAGTTCACATGCCCAAGTCAAGAAACATTTTAGGTAAAGGGCAAACTACTTGAAAACTTCCATTAACAGCCAAACGTGTGATGACTAAATGAAAAGCAATAAAAAGCAGGGCCCTTCACCACCACTGTTGCCATCCCAGAAATGTCTAAGCAAGCATTTAAATGCTTTTCTCTTTCCTTCCAGGCCTTGCAATTGCCAGTGCCCTAATAGATATTTCACAACAGAAAGCTTCAGATAGTAAAGATAAGACTTCTGGAGTCCGGAATCGAAAACACCTTTCAACACGTCAAGGAACTTGTGTCTGAGAAATGGAAACCGCTCCTGTATATTCTGTACTGTTTTACTTCGGGCTTCTGTTAAAGCTGTTCTATGGCCTTGGATTTTATGGAGGCAGATCTCTGTATCATCCAGAGCCTGAGTACAGTTTCCTTCCAAATGGACAATGACCCAGGTGGCCAAAGAATGTTCATGAGTTTTATAAAAGTATTGATGGTCACAGGTGATAAAGTCAGTTTTTACCACTATCTTAGGCTTATTATAGCTAACATTAAATTACTCTGGAAAAAGATGTATATTGTTTCTTAATGAAGATGAAAAATATGTAATTCATATAAATCAACTGTTTATATCCCAAGACTTGAAAGAAAGACATTTTTTAATGCCTGAATGATGAGAATTGTACAGTTTTTGCCTCATAAGCAAACTTGAATCACCTGTGTATGAACAGGGAATGAACACATTGCAATGGCTTTAAATGCTCTTTTATCTCGTTGTAAAGGTAAGGCAAGATTTTGATGTAGTAGGATGTAGGTAATGTATTTAAATATTTCATATGACCATATCGTGTCCAAACTCAGTCTGAGAATGTGACAGCTTTCCGCCTAACTAGAATGCAGACCAGAATGAGTTCAACTCATTCTGTGCAACTTCACAGGGGGTTTATTAGAATGCTCAGTGTAGAGGACATTCCTGTCATCCATGCCAACTACCTAACTCGTTATCAGAGCTGATAGAGCATGGAAAAGTCTGTCCAGCGATCAGTTGTTCCCCTCCTTCCAAAAACAGCCTCCAATACCACAACCTGAAAAGAGCCGAAATGGTTATTTTACAGCATACAAGCTTCTGCTCCAGTATGATAATTTTTAATTGCCTAAGAATCATTGGATCAGACCTAAATGATCCATCTGCATTTTTATAAGAATGGATCTTTCTTTGCCCTTCCTCTCCTAGCTGCTAGATTTTAACTACCTTTTACAAATGTTACAAAATGTATTTTAGAGGCGACATCTCTCAAGATGACCTGAGTTCCTTCCTGCCAACTGTTCCACCTAGAATACAAGTAGAGAAGAGCACTGGCTGGCAAGCATCAACAGGAGTCTTCTTCCCAACACGAGCGCATCCATGTCCTGAGAAAAAGTCTGTGGTTTAGAAAATATGTCCATGGTTGCCCACAGTCAGCACACTCTTAGTGACTCAAAATTCTGAATTATGGCAGAAAGGAAAAATAAAACATACTTCACATTAGAACACAGAATCATTTACATCCTAATACTGACCACAGTTCACTAAAGCTCAGTAGCATTAACAGATATAGTTTGGAATTGCAGTTTCCTCACTTCAGGGTGACAAGATATGTATAACAGTGACAGAAATCTCCAAAGCTGCTGTATATGATATAGCTTTGTTAAATATGAAGGTCCTTTAAATACAATTGATGTTTAGTACTATATATGTACTTTTCACATTCTTTGGATTTCTGGAAGGTTATGACACTTTACTGTTTACAGCTAATGCATAGTTACTTGCATGCCATGGTTGTACAGTAGCAGACTATGACCCTATTGTGATATTAAGTGTTTATTTCATAATGCCATTTATACATAGCTGAATTTGATGAGGATTGAATGTCATATATAAGAGGAATGATCATACAATATGTAGTTGCATCTTATATAAGATTTCTAGGTTGCATCTAACCATGACTATGTCATTATTTTGATAATTAGGCATTTATGAATTATAGTATATATTCCTCATGTTGGCATGATAATTTTGCTATTTTCCATGCATTAAAAATAAGACAAATTCTTAGAGTAATTTTAGTAATTTTATCTATAATCTGTGGGGTTTTTTTGGAGGGGGAGGCCACTGGTTGTTTCTACTTCCCTGTGATATTTTCTCTCTCATTAAAGGAATGAGCTAAGTTTGTAAATATCTCCTAAAAACAATCAAGTAATTTTATTAGCTTCTTTTGGACCCTCTAAATATTGACTTCTCTCATGAAAAAATAAATTGATGAAACTAATGATTACAAAGATATAATCATTTTTTAAAAAGTGATTGCCCAATGTATTTCTCTAACAATTGTCACAAGAGAAAGCATAACAATAAAAATACAAAAACATACAGATTTAGATGTAAAATCTATATAAGCTATATTTTTAGGGAGGCTAAGCAGATAGTATTACTGTGGAAGAATTATCAAGTTTTATTCACCTCAAATCCCACTGGGTTCTTAAAACTTGAAAATTCAAATTGTAGAGAATTATGAGACACAATGTGATGTTTAGTTAAAGTCATGCTATACCTTTCTGGGCCACATATTGCTAACTCTGTGGCTAATTATGCAATTAATTCTCAACGTATCAAAGCTTTTCACTGGCAGTAAATTCTTTGCCCTCAGGTGAAGTGGATTGAAAAGACATCAAGGATCAAGGATAATCACTTTGAATCTGTTGGTTTTTCCCCCTACATTCCAGACACTTTAAATTTGGATGCTTTCATTTTTTTTAAATCAAACCACACAAATATGCAGATACTTTCCCAGAATTTCGCAGTTAAATGGCTGATCCTCTTGAAAACTAACCTTAATGGAATTCTAAACATTTCAGTTTAGAATGACTTTGAAAAATTCCTTAGATTTTTAGGATGTTTTATTCTGCCAAGTATGAAAAAAAAATGGTTAAATACAATGGAGTTTTAAAAATTAACCTGGGGATTCTATTTGAACTAGAAAATTCCTATTGGAAAAGAATTTGCACATACTTACAGATTCAGCTAATAAATTTTAAGAGGATTAGGATTCTCATAATTCTTTAAATGAAAATTTGTTTTAGTGATACACAGAGATGCCGTATACTATAGTGTTATGTTCAGTAGGAAAACTTCAAATAGTTCGTATTTAAAAAGGTAATTGATCCTTGCTGTACTTCCCAACATCTCATCTTCTTTTAGCTGCAGTAAGATAGAGGTGACTGTATGGCTACAGTTCATGGTATAAGGTCATTTAGGGTGCACACTGGCACACAGGCTGGAAAACGGGCACTGGACCCAGCTTTCAGGTGTGTGGTGCTGGGTAAGTTTCACCTTTGAAGCCTCAGCCTTCCATCTGTAAAGGGCGGTAATGGTGCCCACCTTTCGAGGCATTGCGAGGCTAGATGGTAACACACAGAAAGCTCCCACAGTGGGACCTTGATGCAGCGTAGCTGGTATTAACAACCGTGGGGACACCAGGCCACTCTTTTTCTACCAGTTGTTTTATGAATCCACCTATTAATTTTCATCCATCTTTTGGTCGTAGGTAAAGGTCAATCAGGTTTTTCAAAAAGACTCCCTGAATAACTTAAGTTCCTGTATTTCTAAGATATAGGGATTTCTACAAAACGACTTTGACATTTAGTCAATAAAGACTTAAACTCTTCTTAAATCTATAGTTTTAGGAGAGTTTTTCTTAAAATTACTGACTGATGACATTGAGACAAGAGCATCAATGATCACCTTTCACGTACAAACTAGGCAAGACAGGGTCAGTGCTTACATTTTGTGGTTATACATGATACATCTTTTCTCAGTGAACATAAAACTATGATTTGAAAGGTGTCTTATATTTAAAAAAGATTGTAAAATGAAAACTGACCAAATGAACTAATTCTACCCACCTATGGTCTTTTTAAATGTCGAGTTTCAAAACCCATTTGCCGTATACTAGAGTGAGCTTGGAAACTTACCTGATTACAGGAATTGCTTGGGTTCAGGCAGATTCCCACTTTCACCTCTAGAGATTTAGATTCAGAAACACTGGGGTAGGCCCTGGAGAGCAGTACTCTTAACAAGCTCCTCAGTGCTTCTTACCATTAGGCAAATTAGGGAAACACTGCATTGGGTCAAAGTGCTGCCTTTAATCGACCATTAGAGGGAGTTCTCTAAATAACAAAGTTATTACTCTAATTCAAAATGCTTTAAAGAATTTTCCAAGGAATACAAGCCATCTGGTTGGTGTTAGTTATAGCAGTGATTTCATTAGAGTGTACATTTAACATTTTAGTTTTATCAAAATTTTTTGAAATTAAGAATTAGAACCAGAGCTCCTATCAGTATATATGTACACAGGTGTGCATGCCAGTGTTCAAAAGATTGTGTAAAAGTTCAAGCCCGTTTTAGAAAGCCAACATTTTATGTTATAATATGCTGTTAATCAGGACTTTATTAAATAAAAACATTGGCTCTTCCAACCCCCACTGCCAAATGCAGTTTTGTTTTGTTTTTGTTTGTGTTTTATCCTTTCGTGGTCACACAGGAAAAAGCACTCTGAGAACTTGAAAAAGCCCCTCTCCATCGAAGAGGTGATTATATAGTTTGTTATTGAATTTTGACATTCAAAATACATTTCCCCCTCTTTTTCTCTTCACCAGATTTGCATTGACCTTTCCTGTACGTTCTCTGTGAGGGGCTTGCTGAGCACTTGGAATGTTCCTGAGAATTAAAGGCAAAACTCACAAGGCCCAGCAGCTAAGAATCTAGCTATAATGAGGGTCTACGCCACAGGACATGTGTTATAGAAATTGCTCTTACTTAGAATAAAAGTCAGCTATCTGAGACCAGGGCAGCTCTGGCATAGCTGACTCTTCTGGGAAAAGCCTGCAGGTTCTCTGGTAAGCTCTGGGCTTGGTCCTTATGTGGCCATCTGGGGCCCAGCCTTCTTTCAGTGGCACTGCTCTGCTAGGCCTCTGTAAGGTCTCACCGAGAAGAAAACCAAGGAGGATCTAAACTTCTCTCTTCTCTCCAACCCCCTCCCCCCACACCACCTGGGCCCAGCACCTGGGATACCTTCTGGGCTCAGGGCCTCAAGCAGGCTCTTCCAGGACCCTGACCTGAGGCCTAACCCTGAGGCCGGCCCTGCCTGTGCTCCAGAGGTTGGAATGGTGGTCTCCTCCCCGTCGCACCTCCAAGAGGCCAGGCCAGGAAGGGGCTGGGAAGAAGAGGACCACCGAACCTTGAGAAACATGCCCAGCCTGGCTGCCGCCTCCCAGGAACATCAGAGAAGAAAGAGAAGCTTTTCGAGGGTCCTGGATGAAGATGCGCCCAAAGTAGGTAGAGGGCTGTTGGGTGGACTCTCGCCACAGACAGCAGCAGCTGCTCTGTGAATATCTAAGCCTTGCACACTCTCCTTTTCAGCTTTTTGATGGTGGATCAGTGGCTGTAAGGAGATTTGGAAAGTTTAGCTTAAAACTGACTTTTCTCTGGCCTAAAAGGATTTGCTCAGAGAAATCACCTGTGAGTGGCGGATGTGCGTGATAGGCGTTCTTTCAGCTCCAACCTATAACCCTTTTGGTAAACACACAATTCCTGCTCCAGATTCTTACATGCTTCCTCGCTTGTTTAGAATCAGGGTACCTGGCATGGCCATGGCAGCCAAGAGATTATCAAGCTTTACCTTCTCCAGCCCTACTATGAAAATAGCTACTATTGTTTTGTTTTCCAAATATGAAACAACAGTATAATTTTAAATGAGCTTCTGTAAACTACACCCCCCACCCCCCACCCCCATTCTAACCTTCTCCCACTTCAGGGATTGGGTGCAGAGTAGTTTTAATTGAACAAGAAACCAAACCCCTGAAAGACCATTGCAGAAACACTATATTCTCACCGTCAAAAGCTTTAACCCGTGTTATTTTTGGCAGAAGTGGTATTTTCTGGTTACTTTTGGCAGAAGTGGTATTTTCTGGTTATTTTTGGCAGAAGTGGCATTTTCTGGTTATTTTTGGCAGAAGTAGTATCTGGCCTGAGTGGTATTCACTCAGGGAAGATAGTTGTTTAAACATGAGTTTCTTTAGCCTGGCTGTGTGCACAGTCAGGAAATCTCACTCTAGAAAATCTGCCTAGGAAAATAGCATTACCGAGCAAATTCTTTTATAATTCTTTGTGTTTCTATAGCCTCTATTGCCCAAAGATATTTTAAATTTTGTTCTTTCCAGTGACATACAAGTTTTCTTAGAACAGGTCCTGTGTGAAGAAATACTCGAATTTTAACTCAAATGCCGAGTTGTTTTTTTTTTTCTTTTTTTTAATGCCATGGGCCGGTTATCTAAATTTCTGAGTAAGCGGGGATAAAAATGCTAACTCATGTAGGTTTTGTGATGAGTTTTTGTTGTTGTTGAAATAAGTAGATCATAGTTAAATGTTCTCTCCTTTTACTATGAAAAGGTCCAGGTTTAAATTCAGTGAATCATGAGCGTTGATTTTTTCCTTGATTTTTTATTGTTGTTGGGGTAATACTAAAGTGCTTCTATGTGCCACAGTTCCCAAATAATTAAACTGCAATCGGAACCAATGCTATGTGTTGCCTGGTGATTTAGAGTTGTGCTTTTCAAGATTTTTTACAATATCTATTACATATTTTTAAAATTACCTTCCTCAACTTTAAGTGACAGTTTTATAGCAAATACTAACAAATTGTGTTAGATGTTCTTTCTCATCTTCACCCACCTCTCCTAACCCTTCGCTGACTAGTCAGCTCATTCCCTCAGTGGCAGACTAGTTCTCTCATACCTCTACCAATATTTAAAATATAAATAAATAACATAAAATAGGTCTTGCACATCTTCATTCCCTTGTTACAATGCACGTTGGCAGCAGTAAATCTTTTCCTTTAGATCAGCTTGTTTGAAATACGATGGCACTTAAAAGGGAAGGCCAGCTGGAAGGACACCAATAAAAACAGCAGCTCAGCTTAAAGCAATTTGATTTCAACCTGAAATGAATTACCTTGCAACACAAATAGATAATGGCAAACAGGATATGCTACTTATCAAGACTATTCCCTTCTGAGAGTCAGATCTCCAAGTTCCTTTGAAACTTGTTTCCATGGGAGGATAGAAGAATATGGCCTCCCCAAACATTTAGGGGCAGGTGAACTAATTAGAAGAGGGAAAAACTCTGAGAATCCAGTGTTCACTCCTTGTTGATTTCTGAAGTGACAACTCCAATATGACCTTCCAAAGCCAAAAACAAAACAAAAAATGCTACCAGTGTGGGCTGTTAACTAAAGCAGTGTTTCTAGAAGGGAGAACTACAGAATAGCATCATTTTGTTTCTCAGGAGGCTGTGTCTATGATGAGCTTTACAAACTAGAAATCTGTAACGACGTAGAAGGATGCCTTGGTTGTGTTTTTATACATAATGTGCAATGTTTAAATTACATGATTTTATGAACAATGTCTGGAAGACAGTTATGTGATGGCCTTTTTTTTTTCTTTTAGTAATTCTTGTAAGTGATAATATATCTGAACTATTTTCATTTTGCACATTACTGGATTGATCATTATTGTGGATATCCCAAAAAGCATATACCTTCCTGGGAACCCTTTGAGAAAAAACAATTTTCCTACTGTTTCAAAATATTATGACCATGTTTATAGTCCTCTATACTGCATTAAGACAGTTAATAACATGCTGGTTTTTGGTGCAAATTACTTTGTGTACATATTCTTGATGGAGTCTTGATAATTGCCCTTATAATGTAGGCACTAAGGGACTATTTGCGGTATTAGCAAAGATTGTAGCAGCATCAAGTTTATTATCTTGGTGGGATGCAAGACAAAGAATAGTGATTAATAATCTCTACAAAGTTTGAAATCTACTAAGACTGTTGGTAAAAAGCGTAATTCAACTCGTAAAACATGTCACTTCATGCCACTAAAAATTAAATGCAAATTCCCCAAATTGGGTCTTAATCACATTAATATAGATCTTATATGGCAGTATTGTTTGGGAAGTTTTGCACTTTATTTTATCTGAATTGGTCTGTAAACTGTATGGTGAACCAAAATATCCAAAAAATAGAGATAGTTGAATCAATTCTGTCAATTTTTTCAAAGACTGCTGAGGAAGCATGCATGATCTAGTGGTTAAAACGGAGGCCTGGGAAAACTAGAATAAAACCAAAATTCTACCCTCAGCAGAATAACTATACTTTACTACGCTTTATTTATCCCATGTAGAAAAATGAGAACATTGCTTTCTGCCAGGGTGCTTGGGAGGAATGTGCTTCTAGAATCTTTAGAACCTCACACTCAGTGCCATGCCCCTCTTCTCAGAGGGCTTTCCATATGGCGCTGCGTACAAGCATTTGGCAACATTCTTTACATTGTCATAATATCTATAACAATTTGATTTTCCATTGACATTCCCATGGGGTCTTATGAAAGGTTTACCAGATTTTAAAGGTGGGGGGATGCATCATTTATCGCTGACCTACCTAAGCTGTCATAATCATTGTATTGGTATATAAAGGAAGGAAGAACTATGGTGCCCTATCATAATTTGAATTTCCATCTGTAGCTGGATTTTGTACAGTTTAACACTTTGGAGCTTTCCATTCCACTGTGAAATGATAAAGTTTACACATCTGTACCTAAGAATCTGAAATCTTATCAGGTAATTGCATAAATGAAGTGTTTTACACAAAGCATTAAAATTTGTATCAGAAAGAGCAGCTCACATTCTTTCTCAATCAATATTGGCATATGTAAAACCCTTTTAAAGCTCTCGTCAAAATAAAAGACTAAAACGTTTTCCTCTCTTCCGGTTAGTCATTACCTAGATATTTTTCTTTTAGATAAACAATCTACAGTGTGTTTACTGAAGCTTGCATTGATATTCCCCAATAGTGTTTGCTACTTGAGTTTTATTCCAGCAGCTACACGAAATGAGTTCACGGTGCAGAGCAGGCAGGGCCCTCTGGAACCTGAGATTATTTGTTCTCTCACTGTTCTAAAAGTAATTAAGGAGCATTGCATGTTTCTCAATTAATGATTTCTCATTCAACAGGGGATCTTTGATGCTAATTTGTTTTAATCAGGGCAGAGGCTGCTCAAAAACTCTAAACAATTCAGTGAAGAGGAACTAGGAATTTTTAATCAAGTGGAAGAGATTTAAATGCTATGAGGGACGCATCTATCATGCACCTTCAATTCCTGTTCATTTAACTGTGTTGAGTTTTCGAAACCAATGCGAGAATTCATAAATAGAGTATATTGTATTCCATAGTACACTTTTTCCTTACATATTTGTGTGTAAATATAATGGACTTCAATTTCTCCCATTTTTAAAGCCTGCTTACATTCAACCTTTACTTCTCTCTGTATATAGAATATATTTATACGTACATCTTAATACCCTTAATTATTATATACACTAGGAAAAGTAGGAAACGTGTATGTAAGAGTATACTCATATATATGTAGCAAAAGAATGCTGGAGGATACATTACAAATAAGCATTAAATTTAAAACATTCTCTTTATCCCTTGGACAATTGTCACTAAGTGGCTGTTCATACTTTGAGCAGCTAAAATCAAACCGCACAATGTTCACAGAAACATTCACAAGCTCTGCAGCCGTCGTGCCTTGAAGAGGCATTGCAGCCTGATTAGATCCTCGTTTGTGTGAAAAATGACTTCACCGGGTGACTTTGCCCTTACGAAAGTAAATACTCAAAGTGGTGAAATTAGAATAACTGCTTTTCTCTTCTAATGATCAGCTTTTGTCTCACTCTGATGTTTTCAAATCATAACTACTTTACAGAATGTCAATCGTGTGAAAATGATGTTTGTTTTTTTACCTTCCTCTAACTGAATGTAGAAAAATCTCAACAAATATTTGGGAGGCCTAACTAGTTACAAACTTTGGGTCGCTGTATTGAAATAAGTGGGGAAACGGCCTGGTTTTTTGTTTGTTTGTCTGTTTTTTGTTTTTGTTTTGAGTCAGAGTCTTGCTCTGTCGCCCAGGTTGGGGTGCAATGGCGCGGTCTCAGCTCACTGCAACCTCCACCTCCCAGGTTCAAGCAATTCTCCTGCCTCAGCCTACCCAGTAGCTGGGATTACAAGCGCCCGCCACCACACCTATCTAATTTTTTTCTTTGTTTGTTTGTTTGTTTTTTAGTGGAGACAGTGAAACCATGTTTACCAGGCTGGTCTCGAACTCCTGACCTCAAATGATCTGCTTGCCTCAGCCTCCCAAAGTGCTAGGATTATAGGCGTGAGCCACCACGCCCCGGCCTGTTTTTCTGTTTTTTAACCAGCGGCTCTCAAACTTTAGAGTACGTTAGAATCTTCTGAAAGTGTACTAAAACTGATTGCTGGGGCCCACTCCCAGAGTTTCTCATTCAGTAGGTCTGGGGTGGGACCAGAATGTTTATTTCCAACAAATTCTCAAGTAATGCTGGAACTCGAGGATCGCCATGTGAGAACTGTTAGAAACAAATAAAAAATAAGGCGGGCATGGTTTGAATGCAGCACTGAGCAAAGAATCTGCCTTCCTCATATATTTCAGCATATTTTCCACAGGGTCTCTGCCAGAAAGTAGGCAGTCCTCGTATGTCTCTGAAGTGGCCTCCAGGGTGAATTTCTGGGCAGGGGCTAAGTGGTGGACTTGGGTAAGTGGGATGACGTTATTGTCTGTATTTTAATTCATGGGGTTTTCCTTGGAGGGCTTTGCTGGAATTACAAACACCTGAAAACAAGCTTTTAACTGGAAATAGTGTCGTGGTACACCTGTGCAAATGGGCAATGCTAGCACCAAACTGGCTTGTGAAAAGCTAGACCAGGGAGACATTTCTCAGCTCTGCTCTTAATAAGAATGATCTACTGTTCTGTTGGACATGAGTATTTTAAATAAGGCTGCAATTGATTCTTAACAGACAAGTTTGGGGAGCTCTACTTAAGGACGCAATCCGTTTTCCTTAGAACTATTCTTCACAGAGTTGCTAACGTTGCCCATATAGAGCTTCAGGGAGAAGGCCATTCACAGAAAGCCTCTGTCTGGGGCAGGTGACCCCCTTGCTGCCCACACTGACCTCCTCTGCTGGGGCTTTCCCTGACGTGTGGCATAATTTCCTTGGTGGATGTGAATTGGCCCAGTGTGCCTCTCAGTTGTATAATCTTCATGCACAGTGTGATACATTCAATTATGATTTGTTTTTGTTCTGTCAATGCTGGTTTATTTTTTTCTGACTCTCATATTGTAAGGTAGTTTTAGGAGGGTGAGAAGTGAGAAGGTCCTCATACTGGTTTACATTGATTATTTAATTGCATTTACATTTTCCCTTAAAATTCATTAGTGGACATAGAATTAATTAGTAGACATGCAATCAAGTCAAAAGATGACCCTGTGGTGAAATGCATCTTCTGAAAGTTCAAGTATTTGGTAGCACCTACTATGGGCTACACACCATGCCATGTTATTTAATCCTCCCACAGCCAGTAAGAGAAGAATATTAGAGTCCCCATTTTACTGAGACTTAGAGCATTGACCTGTCTAAGCTCACGTGGCTAGCAAGTGCAGACGGGAATAAAATCTACCACAACATGCTGCTTCCCCCAAACCTGCTGTGATTAACACACAACCTTCATACAATGTCAGAAAAAATGATGTCAGAAACTCTGACCATCATTCCTTTATCATACTTTCCAATGACAGAAACCTTTTTAATCCAAGACATAGTCTCCCTTTTCTAATGGGCAATCTTCGTTTTTCAAGTTGTTCTCGATCTCCCATGTAAAGTAAATGAGCTCTAGCTCTCTCCAGCTCCAGGAAGTCTTAGACTTTCAGTTGCCCATGACCCACCATGCCTGTGAGTCAGCCTAGTTAATCACACAATCATCATTGTGCGTGTTCCTGGGCTGGCTTCAGATGTAATCATGTCACATCATTGGGTCACAAAAGTGCTAGTGATCTAATCAAAAGTGACTTGCTATTACAAGTTATATCTTGATGCCATCATTTTGTCCGTATTCCACGTTGCTGGTATTTTCAGATCTCTAGGCTGTGGTTGCAATGCTTGTTTCAGTCCAGTGCAAAAAGTCATCAGCACATTAGTCCAATCTAGTGACACTTGTGCTTTGTTAGTAGTTACCTTGGATAGGGTGAAGCACATCTCCCTTCTCTACTCCTTGGGCTTACTGAACAGTGGACTGTGTCTTGTGCTGTCATTTACCCAGTTTTTCCCTGACTCTAAGCCTTGGAGAAACAAAGCACCAGTTATGAGTCCTCTAGATAGTATTTGTATCAGGTCAAGCTACAGTACAAATTGTTATGAAAGGCATTGAAATTCCTTTCTAGAACTCTAGTGTTGCTATCATAAACACTATCTAAGCATGGAGGTCATCTTTATACAGATTGCATACTAACAGGAATTGACACACAGCACTTTTCAGTTAAAGCATGCTTGTGGGACTAGGCAGGTTACTTCTTTTTTTTTTTTTTTTTTTTTGTCCCAACCTTGGTTTCCTCATTTGTCTAACAAGGGCCTTTTTCAGGACATACTGGCTGATTCTGTCTGAATTCTCAGCTGGTGACAATGCTATTGTGCTTACCTACATTGTCATGCTTTTTATGAAATAGCTCTGAGAAGACTGTGAGGACCTGTCAGTTTCATTCAACTCCACAAGAAATATATGTTCTTAAAATGGCACACGAGTCATCCTAGGAGTGTGATGTGCAAAGTCAAAAGGTTTCCTTCTGTAATAATTTTGGACTCCTTTGGTTATGCTTGACTTGGCATCCCAGCATATTGAAAGAACATGGGTATTGCAGACTCTTCTCATAGACTTTATCTTTTCTAATACAGATCCTCTGCACCGTACATACTTTAAATATTCTTTATCCACCAGTGAAGCTTAATTTCTACCCAAAGGACAATATATTATAACTTCATCATCTCAGCTTTGTGTAAAAACTTCATTACCTCTAAAGGGACTTTATGAAACATATTCTTTCTACACAGAAGATAAAATGAGATGTGGAGGATTCATAAATTATTTGGGCATCAAACGATTCTGTATAAAAATTGCCAGTTAGCAGAGACAGAAATGTTGATGCCCTTTAGAAACAGTCTTCTAAAAAAGTCATTGGAAATATTCTGCGGTGGCCAACTTTCAGAAGAAATACCACAATTACTTTATGGTTATATTGAACAGGAACAGCCATTTTTCCATCTGGGGCCAAAATAAAGGGTAATTCTCCATCAAGCATGGCCCTAACAGCCTAGAAACATGCAAATACTAGGTAACTAGCTGGTGTGTTTGTATGCAACATGCAGATAGATGTGTGACCTAGATACATCTCTAAAATTAATTTAACGGCGCTGCACTGGGCCTGGCTAATACTCTAACAAGTTTTTTTTTCTTTAATGATGAGCA
Organism: Homo sapiens; assembly: GCF_000001405.40. Taxonomy (NCBI): domain Eukaryota; kingdom Metazoa; phylum Chordata; class Mammalia; order Primates; family Hominidae; genus Homo; species Homo sapiens. The sequence continues at coordinate 115,957,952 of NC_000010.11, forward strand.
TAAACCCTGAGGGCATTGTGTTTGATAGAAGTGACAGCTCTGCAAGATGCAGGCTTCTCTAAGAGTGAGTGTGCTGACTCAGAAAAAAGAAGGACAGAGCCGAATGGTCAGGGAGTTGTCAGACAAATTAGTAACCTCCTAGATTAAAAGTTATGTAGCTAATCAGTGGTACAGGCATACTTTAACTGTGTCCCAAAGGAGGTGGTGACTTTTTAAAGATGTATTCCTTAAAAGAAAAGTCAGTAGAGGACCTAGAATCTGCATTGTGAAATGAGCCAATGTCTTCCTCCTTGGAATTCAAACTATGTCGAATAATCTATTTCACCTGAATAAGGGAGTTTGGTTTATTTCTTCTTCTTTTTTTCCCCCACCTCAGCCTCTGTAAGATCCATCATGTTCCTGAAACCACACAGGGCATTTAAATCTTTGTCTTTCAAATACACTCTGAAATAAAATCGCAGATGTTTGTGTATTTCTGAGATATTGCATAATTAAGTCTGATATCAATGAGGGAATTCAAACAAGCAATTCAGCAAGAAAGATAGGTATTTTATATCTGTTTGCCTGGAATTTTCTTTAAAGTAGCTTAAGTTACACTCAGGATTAATTAATCATGTGGTTGATCGCTGCGATGTGTGGAGCTGAGGGGCATCCGTCCGATTTGGAAGGTACGTGCAGGAGATGTGATATAACCAGCCTGAAATAAGTATACCAAAAAGGACACACCTGAGTATCTCTAAATGGAGGGGCTGAGGAAATGAGACTTATCTAGTTTAGCAGTTCAATGTAAGCATCAGAGTCCTAACTGTTATCGATAGCATCTACCACTTCAGGTATCATGGTACTTGAAGGGAATGTTGAGTTTGTGACGTATGAAGATGCTTAAAGGTTGCTCGAGATTCTGTTACAAACTCAGGAGTGAGTGCTCTAGGCATATCACCATATAGTAACTCCTCAGGAAGATGCTTAGTGATATGCTGCCATGCACTGGAGTTCAAACAGCAATGTAAGGTTGCTCTTCGCTGGGAAGAATGGGTGGATCTTTAGTATCCGGGAGGCTGCATCTGAACTCCAGTTTTCTGTGCCTTGTCTCTGTTCTGTTCCTTCTGAGGACCTTATGTTTGTTTTATCACTTAGGGTGCATTGAGCTCCAAATAAGAGACAATTTGAGTAACAGTGGAATGAGCCATAAGGAATTTATAGTTCACTTAAAAAGACAACATGGCAGTGGGCAGTCCTGAGGTTGTTTTGATGTTTCAAAGGTGTTCCCCTACTTCTCGCCCTCAGTGGATTGGCTTTTATCCACCAATGTGTCCATCTCAGTCACAAGATGGCCACCACAGCTCTGGGCCTTACCTCCTCACATGACTGTGCAAAGCAAGAAGGCAGGGAAGGGGCGATCTTGCTTTCTCTTTAAAACCCTCTTGTCTTTCATCAGGAAAGGAAATCTTCAGAAGCCCACCTGCCCTTCAGCGTATCCTCTCTTAGCCTTCATGGGCTGAGACTGAGCCACATACTTACCCTAGACCAATCAATCTTCTGGCAAGGGGGAATGGGATCTGCCTAGACCCTCTCTATTCAAAGTGTGATCCAAAGGAATTGTTTCCTGGGCTGAGCACACTGCAACTTGGGAAAATCAAGATTATGTTAGCAAGAAAGGTGGAAATGGCTTTAGGGTGGGCAACCATCAGTGTCTTTGCAATCTTCAAATTCCTCATCACTTAGACTGGGATTGTCACCTGTTTTGGTGACCACTACTTTTCTCTCCAAAATGATCTGCAAAATACTGGCTGTTTATGGTACTGCTAACCCAGGGAATGGTTTTGATGTACTTGGGTGGCCCTGCAGCTCTCTCCCCTGTCTACTGGCACTTTGACCATTTCAGTATTCTCCCTGGGTGCTGAGACAAAGGGCACGTGAGTCTTCCACTCCCTTTGGCAGGAAGCATCACTTTCTGAATAGAGTCCAAGCTGAAACTGGCCCCTCACCATGACAGATGGAATATTAGGACAAATATCCATGTCCTAATCCCAGGAACCTGGGAGAATGTATGGAGAATGTTAGCAGATATGGGAGAAGAGACTTTGCAAATGTGATTAAGGTAAGGATATGAGGATGGGAAGATTACCCTGGGTTATCCACTTGGGCCCTAAATGTGATCACAAGTGTCTTTGTGAGTGAAGCAGAGGAAGATTTGACTGACTACAGAGGAGGAGAAGGCAATGTGACAACAGAGGCAAAGACTGGAGTGAGGACACCATGAGCCAAGAAATGTCATCAGCCACCAGAGAGGCTGCAGGATGGATTCTCCTCTGGAGTTTCTAGAAGGAACCAGAATCGATTTTCCTCTGGAGTTTCTAGAAGGAACAAGTCCTGCCAGCAACTTGATTTTAGCCATGTACCACTCATTTTGGACCTCTGGCCTCCAGAGCTATAAAAGAACACATTTCTATTGTTTTATGCCACTAGGTTTGTGGTAATTTGTTACAGCAGCCACCAAGAAACGAACGTGCCCATCTTGCAGCCCATGACATTCCCTGTTTGACAACTTTAAACCCAGCAACGTTATGTTTAATTATTTTAGTATAAATACAAATGACATTATAGATAGATTTTTTTTGACGAGACATTCAAAAACTGTTAGAATACAATCCCAGTTGGGTTAGGATAAGGTTTAGACTCCAGGAAGCTCACAGAGGCAGTTATCCTGTGCCATCTTACTTGCAGGTCATTGGTTACCATTATCACCTTGCCCACCTGCAAGACATGGTAACGGGAGGGTGGGCCTGAGATTAGCACCCCTCCTCCCTCACACACACACAGCTTCCCTTGACTTCAGCTGCTCATAGAATAGAAAGGAAGGAGCACAATTAGACAACCAACTTTACAGATGTTTTTCTGATTCCTTTCTACAGTGATTTGGGTAAATTGTACTTTGCTCCACCAAAACCATTTGACAGGACAATAAAGACAGAGAAAGATCAAGGTGCCAGCTCTGAGGAGACTAAACATGCCGCCAGAGTGAATAAAGGGCGACCATTAGCAACCTTGAAGGGACGCTAGCTGACTTGGGGAAAGACTCAGAGAGGACGTGAAGGTCTCATGCAGAGCCGTGGCCATGGGCAGAGGCCACAACTCAGGCCAGCCCGGGGAAGGCCATAATTCTGCAGATGGGAAGGCCTGGCCTCCAACAAGGAGAAGAAGCCATTCCTGGCGTTGGCACATTTGTGCTGATGGAGGCTTTTAAAGAAGCTCTTTGGACAGTGTTCATCTCAGGCCATTTGGATAGAGATGGATGAGGGTCTGAACTGAGGGAGACTAATGTAAAGAATAATTGTTTTCACTGCTGGGAAGGAGGGGGAAGAAGCTGTCACAATCTTGCAAGCACAGCTTATTCTCAGAAATGTGCTCGCAGACCTGCCGTCTGCTCCTAAGCTCATGTTCTTCTAAATGGTGCTCATTGCAATGCAGCCACCTTCATGGCTCTTTCCACTGCTGGTGGGCCACCATGCTGCACAGTCATCTTTTCCATCTCCAGGTCTGCTGAGTACAGAGCCTGATCCCCTGGCCCTTGACTTCTTTTTTTGGAAATAAAGGAACATTCAGCACTCCCTCACTGGTACATCTGAGCCTTGTGGTGCAACCTTTTGCCAATGGCAAGGACTGATATATGAAGTTTAGAGTGGCTGTGTGTGTGTGTGTGTGTGTGTGTGCACGTGCACACGTGCACTTTAATGTTCCCCTTATTTACATCGTCTTGGTGCTGCCCCTCTGAAAATAAAACACATCCTCAAGAAAACCACAGCTTGGCTCCTTATCTCAAAAGAAAGAAGCCCCAAGTTAAAATACAAAAAGAAATAATACAGAGTAATATTCAATTCTGGATTTTGAGGTTACAAAGGCCCAAAATAAACAATAGCATAAGCAATAGGTTGAACAGAATATTTAGCCAAAGGCCACTTCTCTTAGGCATGGACAGAGACGATGATAGATGACCAGATGGAGGCAGGAGAATGTATGGAAGGGAGTCCAGGCCCTGCCCCCTTGCCCCTCTCCTTGGACCAAGACCAAAGGGGATACATATGTGTCCGTGCATGATGTGTGTGTGCATGGTATATGTGCACGTGCAAGTTGGGGTGTCTTAAGGTCTTGGCTATTGGAAGTAGCCTGTAGATTCTGCAAGCCCATGGCCAGTGAAGGACCCACCTGTCTCAACAGATACCAAAGGGGATAGAGGCTGATTATCAGAGCAAAACCATGCAGTGGCCATCACCAGAGATGCCACCATGGACAAAAGGTGGTGGAGAACAGGAAACACTTTCCCAAATGAAGTAGAGGCTCAACCCCCATCTCTGCCATCACCCTGCCCCGCAAGAATGTAGATGCGGCTTAGGGAAGAGGCGAGGGCTGAAACGACTGGAAACCTTCAGGGAAACCTTCAAGTGGCTGAGTTTTCTTGACTTGCCTAATATTCTGCCACAGTTGGAGTGGAAGCTTGAGAAAAAAATAGGTTCAATTAGAGAATATTTTCTTTTCACACTTGGGTATGTGGATTGTGAAATATAGCCAATATGCCAAATTGACTCAGCCTGCCATGAACTAAAAATACACCTTCAGCTCTGGATTTCAGCTCATTGTTTGGAGGGATTTGGCTTGGCCATTTTATTTACTTCTACTTCCTTCTCTGTCATTCCCATTGGAACAGATGATGACTTCCTATGAATGGTCTCACTCATCCCACAGACTCATTGAATGTGGCTCATACATGACTAAAATTATTTATGATACAAATAAACACCATCCAAAAAGGACTACCACTTATTAAATACTTGCTATGGTGCGTTGTCCTAGTGATGTGATATGTAGAACCTTATTCAACTCAGTTCCCTCCACTCACCTGTGATGTGGCTGCCATATTCTCCACCTACAGAGGAGGAAGCAGAGATTTGGTGCCTCCCCACGGATGTACTGGTCATACTGAATTGCCTCATCAAATAAACAAAGAAATACACTGAATACAAGATCTGTAAGAGACCTAAGAGTTAGAAGGCAGAAAATGCTGGCTCTAAATGGATTTAACCTTTGGCTATCACTTTCCCTGTGCCTCAGTGTCCTCCCTAAAAACATAGCCTTCAAATTGCTTTGGCAAAGGCAGAGAGCTGATGATGAAAGGGCACACGGGCAGCAGACCCTGGAGGGTGCAGGGACCACAGTAGTCGGTCCTGGACCACCATTCTTCCTGGAGAAAAGAGGGTCTGGGCTTATTCCCTGGCACTGACATCCTTGGCAGTCCTCAGATGGCATAGAAGCCCAGAGTGCTGTGCTGAACCCACAGATTTGTCCAATCTGGGTCACTTAACCTGTGCCCTTTGAGGCACTGGAAGGTAGTGTGGCCCAGGAGCTGCACTCGTGACCTCTGGAGCCAAGTAGTCTGGGTTCATGTCCTGGACTGACCCTGGGCAAGTGATTTAGCCTCTCTGTGCTTCAGTTGCTTGATCTGCAAAACACAGATAATAGTGGTATCTACTTCAAGGCTTCTCTACAGTTGGAGATGAGCACATGAGTTACAGGCATAAAGTACTCAGGACAGGCCTGGCACATGGTGGTGCTGTGAAGACATTAGCTATCATCATTATCCAAGCTGGGAAAGTTTCCCCAAGGATCCAGTTCATAGTCTAACTCCAAACCTAGTTTCCCCATTACTCTGTGATGTCTGGTAGTGTAAGAAGGTCTCTTGAATAAAATGGGGCGTCTAATGCATCCCTGTTTTGCATCTTTGGAAATTGAGTATGGCAAGACCTCATTTGCTCTGACAAAGCCCATGAGATAATTATTCAAGAGGCTTTGGAGAACTGAGGCATTTTCCTGGCAATCAATCCACCTTCCAGGCTAATGGAGCCATGGCTGGTAAATGGTGTCATCTGCTTTAACAAGAAAGGCAGGGTGCCAACTCAGTGAAGCACCTACTACCTGCCGGGCACGGTTCTACTCACCCTCCTGACAACTCGGTGTGCAGAATCATTGGCCTCATTTGTATAAAGAAAGAAACAGAAACTTCAAAGGGGTTGAGTCACTCTCAAAGGCCACCTGCTGGTAAGTGGGGCTATATTCACACCCAGATCTGCCAGATGGCAAAGCGTCAGGCCTTCCTCTGACTCCACGGGTCTTTCTCCTTTCTCTGTCAGGGCTGCTTACGCCCCAGCCATTCCACACTCCACTGCCTGCCCCTCTTTCCAGCTCTATTCCTCCTTCATTGTTCAGGAGAGTCTCTCAGTTGTGCCTGGTGGTATTTGAGATCCCACTGTTAGCCAGCTTCTTTTCTTCCCACTCCTGAGAAAGCCGCTTCAAAAAACTAACAGTCACTCACAATAGTGTATGCAAGTAGGTAAAATATTAGACTCCCCAGAGACATTCGATATGCCTCCACCCAGGGAACTGCCTCTCCAGGGGCTTGAATTCAGTCTGGTAGATGGCAGTGGAGAAAATGATTTTAAATGAGGCATAATCAGTAAATAGCAGGTTCCAGGGCACTGAATAGTCTGATTGAATGGATGTCACATGGAAAATCATAAGCCCACAGATAGTCAAGTAATCTAGTATTCTACTATGCATCTTATTCTTTGACTACGAACCCAGAAATCCCAAAGAGGTGCTGTTTGCAAGAGAAAGAACCAGCCATGGCCCAAGTGCCACTGAGAGCTAACTTTCCTAACTGTAGCCATTAAGGGATGCTGCGAGGGAAGGGGGTTGCAAGGGGAGGGGGTTTGCGGGGCGAGGGGCGAGGCGGGAGAGCATCTTTCCTTCAAATGAATCTTCCCTCACCCTGGTGGCCATTATTTGCACACACACATTTGAACCACCTGGTATAGTTCTCAGGGTGCCAGCAACTAGCTGTGTAATCATAAATTAGGTACTTCTCAGCAACTAGCTATGTGATTAGGGATCAGTTTCATCTCCTCTCCTATCCTCCTCTGAAGGGGAGAGCTGGGGCCACTCTCAGTCCTGATACACTGTGATTCTTTGATTATAGCAAAGGGGGTTTATCCCCAGCAAGGAGAAGATTGTGACGTCACTCTTGTGGAAATGCAATCAGTCTACAGCGTTTGTTAGAGCCAGGCCTGCTTAGAAGAAATAGAATGCTCCATATCTATGTTCTTCCTATGACTCCCCAACCCCTGGGCGTAGTAAGAAGAGAAACTGACGTTTATTGCAAACCTAGTATATCCCAGACCCTGTTCGCATCCACCATCATAATCTCAGAAAAAGTGCTTGATCATCTTGTCCGCCATAGGATGGGTGGCAGAGAAAGTTCCTTGAGTTGCTTTTACCTGGGGTTGGCTCATTTGCAACCCATTTGCAACCCATTTGCTCAGATTTTGCCCTCCTTGACTCTGCACCCAGTCCTCTGCCCTGTCTGCCAAAATGCAGCCGGTCTTTTAGGATCCCCTCAAAGGCCCCATGATGCATGTCCTGACAACATCCCCGTGGCCATCGCTTTGGTTCTTTGGTCTGTGCTTTTGTGATTTGGTTTAAACACTCACGTCCTGATGAGCTCTGGCTGAAGTCTCATCCCTCACTGGAGAAAGCAGAGTGCAGGCTGGAGCCCAGCAGGCTAGTGCAGACCCCTGTTCTACCACTTCCTGGCGCCGATAAATTGGGGAAGTCACTTAACCTCAGAAAGGCTCTTTGTAAAATTAGGATATAAAATTAGGAGATAGTAGTTTCTTGTGATGGTTTCGGTGATGATGTTCTGAGATAATGCCAGTAATGCTTAAGCCTTAAAAATGATTCTTATCCTTCAGCATCTTTCATCCTGGTGCCACTTAACCAGGGATCCTGCAACCAGCACAGCCTAGCGCATAGTAGGTGCACCGGTATTGTTTAGCGTGAATGAAAGAGTGAGCTGGCGCACCCAAATAAGAATGCAGGGAGACTGAAGGCAGGGAATATTCAGGGAAATAATCCTTTCCCCCTTTCTTTAGTCCTGATCTGACTTTAAACTTGGCTTGAGGAATTCCTACAACTGAGTTTTATTGACCTGGATGTTGCCTGCATTTCTAGTTTGCTTCACACCATATGGGATTCAAAGCGAGTTTTGTAAATTCATTAATTCCTTCACCCTTGCGTTCTTGGAATACTAAGTTTCTGCTACCTGCCAAGTCCTTTTCTAGGCACTAAGGACATAAGCAGTGAACAAAATAGACAAAAATTCATTTATTCATGGAGTTTACATTCTAATGGAAAGAGATAATATAAGTAACTAAATAATATAGTGTAATGAAAGGTAAGTGCCATGAGGAGGAAAAGCAGAGGAGGGTGGGGATGGCTGGTGGTCAGGAAGGGACTCACAGAGACAGTGACTTGTATGGTTTGGCTCTGTGTCCCCACCCAAATCTCATCTCGAATTATAATCCCCACGTGTTGAGGGAGGGAGGGGATTGGATCATGGGGGTGGTTTCCCCCATGCTGTTCTCATGATAGTGAGTGAGTCCTCACCAAATCTGATGGTTTTATAAAGCAGTTTTCCCTGCTCTTGCTGGCTGTCTCTCACCTGCCACCAAGTATAATAAGGCGTGCCTACTTCCCCTTTTGCCATGATTGTAAGTTTCCTGAGGCCTCCCCAGCCATGTGGAACTGTGAGTCAATTAAACCTCTTTTCTTTATAAATTACCCAGTCTCAGGTATGTCTTTATAGTGTGTGAAAATGAACTAATATAGTGACATTTAAACAAAAACGGAAAGAGGTGAGGAAACAAAGCTTGCCTTCATCTGGAAGAACGTTCAGAAGGAGAGCCAGAAGACAAGGCAACCGGTACAAAGGCCCTGGGGTTACTGTATGCCTGGCTTGCTGGAGTCTACTGTGCCCAAAGCCCAGTAAATAAGGGGAGGGCATGACGGCCAAGCAGAGCTTTGTGGGCCTTGGGGCCACTTTGCACTTAACTTTTGACTGTGAGTGAGGTGGGACCATTGAAAGGTTTGGAAGATAGCAGTTGTATCATCTGACTTGCTCGCCACTGTACCTGTGATATTTGGGATAAAGATATCAATAAGTTGGTCTTACTATACCCTCAATCAAATAGTATAAAACAGCCTCAAAAACTTACATTAAAAACATTATCTAGAATAAAAGTACCAAATACCTTTGCTGAAAAAAATGGTGTGGAGATGGTAATGTCAGTACCAATTTTCTTTTATAACTTTTAATGGCTGTAATTTAACAGTAATTCTTTCATATCACCAATACAAAGTACTCGAAATTTGCACTAAATATTCTATGCCCATAGCATAGAAAACAGTTCTCATGATCTTCATTACTGTCCATTTTTAAATCTCATTTTATGCAACTATCTGAAATGTTTTACACTTTACTAAAGTATAGCATAGAGAGAGAAAAGCATGCCAATAGTTAGGGTACAGCTAGATGAAATTTCTCTTTAGCCAGGACCAGAGCAAGAATCACAGCATTTCGGCCTCCCCAGAGCAACCCTGTGACTTCTTCCTCCTTGTCTGCCTCCCACCCAAGGGTAACTGCTTTCTTGACCTCTATCTCCATAGTCTAAACTGGCTTACTTGTAAACTTCATGTAAATGGATGATGACATATTTTCTCTTTCCTGTCTGACTTCTTTTGCTCAACATTATGTTTGTGAGATTCACCTATGTTGTGGCGAGTAGTGGTTTGTTCTCTCTGCTGTGTCATCGTGCGGAAGGACTATAGTGTGTGTATTAGTCCGTTCCCACACTGCTAATAAAGACATACTTGAGACTGGGTGATTTATAAAGGAAAGAGATTTAATTGACTCACAGTTTAGCATGGCTGGGGAGGTCTCAGGAAACTTACAATCAGAGCAGAAGGGGAAGCAAACATGTCCTTCACATGGCAGCAGCAAGGAGAAGTGCAGAGCAAAGGAGGGGAAAAGCCCCTTATAAAACCGTCAGATCTGGTGAGCATTCACTCACTGGCACGAGAACAGCATGGCGGAAACCGTCCCCATGATTCAGTTACCTCCCACTAGGTCCCTCCCATGACATGTGGGGATTATGGGAACTACAATTCAAGATGAGATGTGGGTGGGGACAGCAAAACCATTATCAGTGTGTATCCATTCTGTTGTTAATGGGCTCTGTTGAACGCTCTCGAATAGTGCTGCCATAAGCATCCTTACACAGGTCTTCGGGGGACCGTGCACACATTTCCAAGTGGTATCAAGAGGTGTGCTGTTTAGCTTGAGTTCCGTTACATGTTTTAAGAGAACCACTCTGGCTTGCTAAGTATGGATTAAAAAGTGCCAAGGGACAGGAATAGATAAAGGACATGAATGACAAGTCTTGGGGACAATCTGGGGGAGGTGAGGGTTGATTGGATCAGAATGGAAGCAGTCTGGATGGTAAAGGGCGGTTAGGTCTGGATGGATTTTGAAAAGTCCCCTGTGGTCATGCTGGGGGGAAGTCACCCAGCATTTGACCTGTGACATCAGGAGTGGTGCCTCCAGTGGTGAAGGAGTGCAGGAACCTGTCAGGAGGGCACAGAAAAACATTCATGTGCAAGGCCCACTCCTTGACATGGTAGCCGCAATGACTGCAGCCGTCACCCTCTGGCCAAACAGGAAAATTCCCCTGGAAGGCTCCAGAGAGAGAGAGAAGATTGGAGAGTAGCTTTTTAAATGGTTTTCTTCCAAGAGAGCCTACTGCTCATGTGCCACGACTGCCTTTCATAGTTACACATTTGTTTGTAAGATTATCTGCTCATGTCTGAGGAACCGACTTATAACTCTGTCCACGTGTAGCTCCTTGTCCTAGAGTTTTGTAAGCAACCAGAAATCCATTGTTCCCTAAAATACCTGACTGTTTAGAAGACGCCCTGGTTTTCCTCAAGCATGCTCCCTCTTTTATGCACACTAACATATCTCTTTGCCTGAGGATAACAAGCCATCTTTCTGGTTGAATCTCCAACTCCCTCCCCGTGTTCCTGACAAGGTTTCAAATCTTCAGGCATCAAACACAAAACACATGGACCATTCTCTCTCTAGCTCCCTGACCACCCATTACTTCCAGGCGCTTGGGTTCATTTTTCTCCACCTCTGGGTTTTATGAGAACATCTCCCCCTCTTTGCAAACCATCATTTTGACATAATATTCCAGATTCGTCTGAATTGACTGAGAGCTTAGACAGTACTGGGTTTTGTTATTCTACTCCAACTTTCTAATTTATGTTAACAGAACTCTTTTTTAACCCATACACAGTTTCTTTCTCATAGGAAGACCTCTTTTTCTTCCAAGTAAACAAGGTTACCTACACCTGCTTAACTAAATCAATAAACAAATGGATCATCAAGCATCCTTCAGATAAATAGCCCATACCACTTGACTGCCAATGCGAGTGGTATCTTTGAACTAAATCTAATAGAGAAAGACTGGAATAACTGATTCCTGTTGGTTTCTTCCCCCCTTGAAATGAGATGAAACCTGAGTTTTCAGACAACCCTGCCATTGATTTTTAGTCTTTTATCCTCCGTGAAAGAAGCCCCCTTGTTCCAGCTTTAGCAAAATAGCAAACAGCTTTTGGTTCTATTTAAAGCTCCATGCGCTCTTTTTCCTTTCTTTTGGGGTAGGGGGTTTACGTGGTCCATGGTGATATGGGACTGTCAAGACGCCAGGCTCTGAACTGGCCAGATCCACCTGACACCTCGTAACCCACTAAGACACAATAGGCTTGGGGAGGCAGAAGTTGCTAGGAAATGCTCCCGAGTTCTGCTCACTCCGGCTCACTGGCACAGGCTGCTGAAGAGCAGAGCAGCCAAGCGTGGTGTTCAATGGGAGTTTAACACGTATACAAGATGTGCCAGGAGATGGGGAAACACTCAATTACTAAAGACCGATGACAGGAGATTCCCACTAATGAGTTCACAGTACACCCAGCCACAACACTTGGAAGAGGAGTCAGAAGAGGTGACGGCTCTGTCGCCTGGGCTGGAGTGATCCTGCGAGACTTTTCATCCAAGCCTGCATCAGCTGGGCCGCCCCTTCTCCCCAGGCCTTCCTAGGAGCTTGGCTCCTCCCAGGGACCCTTGCAAAGGAGTAGCTAACTACTCTGCTTGGCCCTGGAGCGTGCCTCTCAATTGTTCAGATGCCGGTCTTCTTTGCTCGTCCTCCAGTGTTGTCCATTATTCAGATGTTTTTTGAGCACTTGCTGAGAAGTCAGGACTTTACCCAGGGCCGTAGAGAAGAGGAAACCATAACTTTATGCTTCTTCTCTTCTTTTTTTTTTTTTTTTTTTTTGAGACAGAGTCTTGCTCTGTTGCCCAGGCTGGAATGCAGTAGTGCAATCTTGGCTCACTGCAACCTCTGTCTCCTGGGTTCAAGCGATTCTCATGCCTCAGCCTTCCCAGTAGCTAGGATTATAGAAGCGCACCACCATACCCGGCTAATTTTTTTGTTTGTTCGTTTGAGTCGGAGTCTTGCTCTGTCACCAGGCTGGAGTGCAGTGGCATGATCTCGGCTCACTGCAACCTCCACCTCCCATGTTCAAGCGATTCTCCTGCCTCAGCCTCCCAAGTAGCTGGGATTACAGGCACCGGCCACCATGCCTGGCTAATTTTTTTGTATTTTAGTAGGGATGGGGTTTCATCATGTTGGCCAGGATGGTCTCAATCTCCTGACCTTGTGATCCCCCTGCCTCAGCCTCCCAAAGTGCTGGGATTACAGATGTAAGCCACCACGCCCGGCCTTTCTTTTAATTTTATTTTTAGTAAAGATGGTGTTTTGCCACGTTGGCCAGGCTGGTCTCAAACTTCTGACCTCAAGTGATCTGCTCAACTGGGCCTCCCAAAGTGCTGGGATTATAGGCATGAGCCACTGTGCCTGGCCACTTCTTACTTTTTAATGAGGGAAGCTGCTATCTACAGCACCGTGAGAAAACAATCAGATTGAGGACCCAAATGCTCCCATCCATCAGGCACAGCACCCCGTGACTCCCTCGTACCCCTTATTCAGTGCCCACAGCAGCCTAGATGAGAAAGGCACGTGTACTGCAGTTATACCCATTTCATGGATTTGGAAACTGAGATGAATCTTATGGGGATTGCTCAAGGTTGCCGCTTTGTCTGTTGGTCTTCAGGGCTGGAACGCTCACCAGTGTGGAGCCAGAGGGAGCAGGATGGATTTTGAGGGCACTCTGACAGTTTTCCCAGACTTTTCCAGACAAGTGGGGAGAGAGCTGGGTCTGAGTGAGAAGTGAGGTTGAATTTGGCTGGGGAGAAAGAATGTCACTTCAAACAAAAGGAAAAACACGGCCCATGGGCACCAAGGCTGGCCTGAGCTTTCACTGGTCTGATGAGATGACCCTGTGAGCATCATGATGGGGCTAGACGTGGGAGACAAGGCTGCAGATGAGGCCACAGCCAGGAGCCCACATGTCCCAATGCATGCCCATTGTCACAGCATGACTTCTAATAGTGCCCTCTGTGCTCAGAAGTGGCCTGGTTTAGATGATAAATTCCAGATCACCCCATGCCAGAAAGAGTCTGGGGTGGCAGTGGGTGCTTTCCAAAGAACAAGGCTTTGGTCCTGTAGGTGGGGATGGCTGGAGCTTATAAGGAAGGCCCTAATAGCGAGTAAGCTTTGGAAAGGTTGTCCCAGTAGCATGGAGGAGGGGGATGGAGAAGAAAATAAGGAGCCAGAGAGACTCCAGTGGGGGCAGAGGAGGTCACAGCCGGAGTCCAGGCAATGACAGTGGGAATGGCAGGGAGGAGCCAGGCTCTAGACCAGAGATGCCCGAAGGCCAGTTGAGGTGACACTGGAACTTTTCGGTGCAAGAGTGCAGGGGAGGCGCGAGGTGTCTAGTGTGGGTTGAGTGGACGCCCGTCACAGAGAGGGACACCAGAAAAGACAACTGGCTTGGCTTTCGAACTCTTAAATGAGAGGCTCCAAGGAGCACCTTACAGGCAGAAGGAAATGCAAGGCAGCTGATAGGCAAGAAGCCAGACCAGTTTGAGAGTGGCCAAAGGAGAGACAGACATTTGAAATGGAAGGAAGGCATGGAATAGCGGAGGGACAGAACAGCCAGAACAGAGGCCAGGCCGGGACGCTGGACAAAGCCCTTGGAGAGGCTCCAGTGTTAGGGGTGTGGAAGCCACGGGACAGAAAGCTGGCAGTGCAGTCAGAGGTGGTCTATGGCTAAGGGCTGGACAGGAACCGCAGGCTGTGGGTGAGCCGTGGGAGGAGGCAGAGGCAGAGGTGGAGACCTGGGGACAGAGGGGTTCCAAGCTTCCTTAAGGATTTTCAAGGGAATGGGGCTGTGGAGCCAGGAGCCTGGGAATCCAGAGGCTTTCACTGGGCTGGTGCAAAGGTAATTGTGGTACTTGCCCTTACTTTCAATGGCAAAAACCAGTTACTTTTGTACAAATCTAATATCTCACAGCCGCTTCTCTGACTGTTTCTGACACCCAGCTGGGCCCACCTGCCTCACTATTTAATTCACCCCAGACCCCCTTCTCTTGTATTTTCTCACAACTCACCGAGAATCAAAGAGTAAATACTCACCGTATCACCCAAGGTGCCCCAAATGGAATTGCACCTCAGCCCTTCACAGTCACCTGCTGAGTGAGGCCAACATCACCCGCCGCCTGTACGCGGGCCTTGGGCACCTGCTGGCCTCCCCGCTTGCCCCTACGCTCCACACTCCACACTTCAGCCAGGGCCAGGCTTGGCAGGTATCAGTGAGATCAAGTCCTTCTCTTGCATAAAACCCTCTGGCGCTCCCCAGCCACCTACAAATCTAAAGCGTGTGCTGGGTTTCAGGCCCCATGATCTGCCTGCAGCACTGGTGTCCCGTCTCTCATTCACCTCCCTACAGCACCTGTCCCCACCTCTATCCTGTGCGCCTCAGCCCAGAACAGTCTCCACTAGGAAGTCCCATCTTCCCCAAATCAAATGTCTCTGAACTAATGTCACTTCCCAGTTCCTCTCTGGAAACTGACCTAAACTGCACCCACTGTATCTCTCTCCTCCTCTTTCCCCTGCATTGTTTTCACTTTTTTTTTTTTTTCCTGAGACAGTCAGCTCATTGCAACCTCCATCTGCCAGGTTCAAGTGATTCTCCTGTCTCAGCCTCCTGAGTAGCTGGATTACAGGCAACCACCACCTCACCCAGCTAATTTTTGTATTTTTAGTAGAGACGGGGGTTTTACCATGTTGGCCAGGCTGGTCTCAAACTCCTGACCTCAAGCGATCTGCCCACCTTGGCCTCCCAAAATGCTGGGATTACAGGCATAAGCCACCGAGCCCGGCCTCTGCATTATTTTTTTCTTCAGGGCAGTTATAACTTCCCATAATTATATTTTTTCCATATTTTTATATAACCTAGGTACAATAAAATTTACTCTGGGTGTTGACAAAAATACATGGCCCTATAAGCACCACCACAATCAAGACAGAGAACAATTCCATCACCCTCAAAATGCACTTGCCCCCCTTTGGACTCAGCCTCTTCCCAGCCCTTCGTTAATAGCCACTCTCTTTTCAGATTGCTTTTCTGTCCTTACAGTTTTGCCTTTTCCATAATATCATATAAATGGAATTATATGGTATGTGGCATTTTGAGTCTACCTTCTTTCACTTAGAATAATGCATTTGGGAAGTCAGGTGTGGTGGTGCATGCCTGTCATCCCAGCTACTCAGGAGGCTGAGGTGGGAGTATCACTTGAGCCCAGGAGTTTGAGCCAGCCTGGGCAACACAGCAAGATTCCCATCTCCTTTTAAAAAGTTATAATAATACGTTCAGGATTCACATTGCTGGGTATCAGTAGTTCATTCCTTTTGATTGCTGCATAGTATTCTGTTACATACATATACCACAGTTTGTATATCCATTCTCTATTGAGGATATTTGGGTTGTTTCTAGTTTTGTGTGAATATGAATAAGGCTGCTATAACCCCTTGTGATCAAGTTTTTGTGTACACATACGTCCTCATTTCTCTTGGGTAGATATCTAGGAGTGGGATAGTTGGGTTCTTATGATCTGTTTTCCAGAGTGGTTATACCATTTGACATTCCCGCCAGCAGTAGATGTGAGCTGCAGTTGCTCCACCTGCTCATCAGCCCTTGATGTTGTCACTTTTTGTTTCATTTTGTTTAGCCGTTCTGTCCAGTGTGTAGTAGCATCGTATCCATGGTCTCATCATTAGACATTGATTCCTAAGAGACCGAATATACAAATGGACAGTGGCCAGACTATACATGACAATAGCACTCTGACCCACAGCCTCTGCAGCAACCTACCCAGGTTGGGCAGGACTTGGTCTGTGAGTGCAAACTTCAACTCAGGACCAACCATAGACAGCCCAACATACACCCCTAATCAGTTGCATAGGATGCCTCTTTTCTAGGTACCTCCAGCTTCCCCATACCAATAGCCTCCAAGCATGCCTGAAGCCTTCCTCTTTTCTGCTGTAAAGCCGTCCCACTCCCCTGCCTGCCTTGGAGCCTCTGCCAAACACTAGTGTCAGCGGCTGACTCCCTTGCTATATAGCAAGCTCTGCATGCCTCTGACTGTTCTCATTTAAATGGTCTTCATTTATCTTACAAGTTTAAGTATTCAGTCTTATTCCGTCAGGACAGGGTGTCTGGAAAGATCCCTGACATGCTAGCGGGTGCTCCAAAAGTGCTTGTTGATGGACTGCAGGAGACTCCAGCCCTCAGTTCTTGCCCTTGACTAATTTCTTGTTAAGTCAGGCAGCTGCATGGGCAGTGGGAGGCCTGGGGTTCTGGCAGGTTCCTGGGCTCCCCATCTCTGCTGGAGGAGGGGGCTTAGCTCTGCTTCCTCTCCAAACTGACCCTCGCTGCCTCCTGGTTCCCTGGTTCCCTGCCTGGTCTAAGTGGCCTCCCTCCACTCTGTAGAGAGAAGATCAGAGGGCTTGGGGCCACCATGGGGGCTGTAGGGTAAGGGCCTTCCAGTTCTTTCTAAGGATCCTGTCTACTGTGGAAGAATGTGGAGCCCAGGGGAGAGAAAGCCTACAGCAGGCCCTTTTAGAGGCAGCCAGAATCTTCCCTACTTTTGGAAGCGGACTCGTGAGAAGCGGGGCCTGTTAGACTAAACATTGCACTGTCCCAAATTGCACCAATTTTGGAAACACTTCTCAGGCTGTGCCTCTCTCTGGGAAAAGGGCTTTATAAACCCTTACTGGGAAGCAGTCTCAAGCGACTCTGAGTGCATCTCAGCTCAAGGGCTTTCAAAGGCCCTTCTGGAAGCCAACCTTCAGACACTGGGCCTGCGGTAGCACAAAAGCAGCTTCCCTAGACCTAGGCAGGCTGGGGGCTCGGCCTTGGCCTTGGCGGGGAGGGGGGCGTTGAATCTCGGGAAGGTTGGTGGGGGGCAGGGATTAGGGCTACAGGGAGACCCCCCCCAAAGCCCTGGAGACACCCACAAGGGCTGTGCTTTCTATCTAGTAAATCAAACATTAAAAACAAACAGCAGAATACAATGTCCTCTCCATGCGTGAGGGTATCTTGTTGTCACTATGGAGTCAGATTTATTTTTTCGAAAATGTCTGACTGTTGCTTTATTTGTTTAGAACATCTCCAATTCACCCCAGATTAAGTATTTAATGATCTGCAAACAGAGATTTGAAGATGCAGCAATGTGATCAATTTCACCCTCTGTGTTGGAAACCAGCTGTGAGGTGCTATTGTTAAGGATGTGTTAAGTAGGTGCTACTGGGAAAGAGAAAAGAATCCACCCCCAGCCTGACACTCCTCCATCCCTATAAGATGACTTTGCTCAGGGAGGCCAGAGCATTTGTGGGGCAGAGGGACCGCTGCAAAACCAGCTGTGAATCTGGGCTGCTGACTTCCTCACGGCAGGTGAGGTAGTGAATCTTCACATTTTGCTCGTCCTGTTTCCCCATCAGTAACTGGCAGGCAACTCACAGGGCTTGGGGATCCATAGCTCGGGCAGCACGCGACAAACAGAAGCACTTCTTATTCTTTTTATGCTCAGCAACATATTTATTTCAGATACACAAAAAAGACAGGCTGAAGTCAGAAAAGAATTAGGGAGAATGGCGAAGTTTGAAGCAACCTCATCTATTGCCTAAGATTTTGGGTGTGTTTTGGGAGGGAGGGTTTTGTATATGGTTTGGTTTATTCCTAGTTGATTAGTTTTCTATCAATTGAACTTTTTTATTTGGCACCTTTGTGTGTAGAATGCACTGCAGGGTTCTATGAGTGAAATAAAGATGGTTAAGTTATTGACAAGGAATGAATGTATGAACTGATGGACATTGAATTCCTGGAAGGGACAGGTATTGGGTCAAGGGCCTTCGCATTTCCTCTTTTCATCTGCCCAGCAGAGATTCCTTGTAAGGAATCTTAACAGATAAAGAAACAGAGGTTTACAGAGCTTCTGGGCTCTCTCAGGTTTCCTAAGTGTGTACCTAGGATGGCGTCTGATCCCTGGCTGGTAGGGCTCTTGTGGACATGAGCTCCCCTGACTTGGGTGGAACCAGCGACTTCACTGCAGACTTCAGTGTGTGCATCTTGCCCTTGGGCTGCCCCTCACAGTGGAAGAAGCCCTCCCCTTGCACAGCTGGGCTGCTGAGCTACACCCACACCCAACGCCACAGGAGAGATGGAGAAAGGCAGGGGTGTGTGCCAATGAATGGATCACACACCCTCTTTCCCTCTGAGATTTTCCCAAGCTGTTCAAATGATATTCTGATCCCTGACACCTTCCATCTCCTGCCTCAGTAATGACCAGCAGCCTCCCAGCAGCTCTGCTGCTTCTCAGCCGCGTTTCCCTGATCCAGCACTTTTTCCTTGGTGCATTATTTTCCCCTGATTTCGAAATTCCCCTTGGATGAGAATCAGACACTGAGCTCTACAAACTTCGCAAATTATGAATTATAAAAAAAAAAAAAACATGCTCCTGTGACAACTTTTTTTTTCTTTCCCCATGAATTCTCCTAAAAAATGCAGTTTTCTCTTAACTCTGGCTTTTTCTTGAATTTCGTTTCTTAAAGCTGACTCTGTGTCCCCAGATTTTTTCTGCTTTCATGGGCTTGGAGCCTGCTGTGTGGCTCTGGCTTTGACAGTCCCAGATCCTGGGAAAGACTTGCATTATGTCCCTTCTGATTTTCAGTCCTAATAGTCCTAATGGGTCCTCCGCAATTTAGAACATTGACGGTAAATGGAAAAAGAAAGAAGAAATGAGCCCGGCCTGCACTAGGGCTGCCCCAGCCAGGCTCTGTGTATAAACACTTTAATGTCCTAAGCAATAAAACCACAATAAAACCTTATGCCACCGTGGAGAACCGTGGGTGCAACAGGCCAGCTCAAAAGTCAATCGATCCCAATTCTGCCCTGGGGTCTCCTTTGGGAGGGGCCACTCCCTGTCGCTGTGACACAGATGCAGGGAAGATGAAGGTCCCAGAGGAGAGGTGACCCTTTAAACTCAGTCCTTCCCCCACATCCAAGCTAATGCAAGGAGCCAAAAGAGATTTCTTCCTTCTCTTCAGCCTGTCTCACTCCCAGCACTGGAGATGAGCATCAGGGAGGCAGTAAAAGAGTGGTGATTAAGAGGTAGCAAGAAGGGACACAGACCTTGGATTGCCCACCTGTGTGTTGAGAATTCACTAGGTGTGGGGACATGACACAGGTCGGGGGCAGATGACACTTGGAGAAAGGCCCAGAATCCTATCAACTATCATGAACTGGAGTCTAGAAAGAGAAACCAGAAGCACATTGAAATTGGGGGAATGTAGGGGGCACCAGGAGACTGAGAGTTCAGGCAGCTTCTGCTCTCACTAGCTTGTGACCACAGCACATTTCTTAACCTCTCTGGGCCTCAGTTTCCACTTGTGTATAAGGGAGACTGCATCTACTGCTCAGGTTTGTTCTAAGGACGACATGAAAGAACACGTGTTTAACACTGAGCTTGGTGAATAGTGACTGTTGGCAGGTCCTGGCTGCTATTTATTTTTTACTATCATTCATTTTGATGCAGGAGGGTTGAAGGTTACTGTGACAGCAGAGACAGCATTCAGGAGCCCTGCCTCGGGGCTGAGATGGCTGTGTGTCTTCAGACAAGTGATTGAGCTCTCCAGGCCTCAGTTTTCTCTTCTGTGAAATGGGTATATCCATAATACTCCACAGGACTGCAGCAAAGATGAAATGAGGTGATGCTGTGAGTGCTCACAGTGGTCCTGACACACAGCAAAGGCTCTGTAAATATCAGCTCCTAGGGTGGCTCTTTAACGATGCTCACAGGGTCTAAGTCAAGGAACAGCCTTAGAATTATAAAGGCAAGTGGATGCGAACACCAACGATTACCTGAGGACACATAGTGGGTAAGGAAGGGACCCTCTTTGTTTGAGTTGGTCGGGGGGGTGAGGTAGCCTTTGAAAAGGGACCCTATCATCCACCCCAGGTTCTGAAGGGTCATGTGTGCACTGCTCAGCGCCAGAGCTGGGCAGGGCCAGAAGTTGGGGGCACAGGTGTACATTTGGACTGAATGTGAGGAAGAACTTGTTAACATTACATTTAATTTTTTGGAGAAAGTGATATATTCACAGGGTTCAAAAAATCAAAGAGGACATAAGGAAGGATACACAGACAAATTGTGCTCACACCTGTTTTGTCTGTCACACGGGGTCTACTACACCCACATTGACTTTTATTAATTTATTGAGAATTCTCACAGTGCTACCTCATGCAAACATACACAAATACAAATATGTATTATTTTCCCCCTTTTAATGCAAAATGTAGCATGCATTATGCACTGTTCTACACATTTTTTTCTTTAATTTCTTAAAATATATCTGGAGATCTCTCCATGTGAGATTCTTGATTCTTCCTTAGCAATGTGGTAGATGCACTGGGCAGATGTGCCGTGATTCCATTATTCTCTATAGACGAATTCTTTAGCTATTTCCAGTCTTTTATGACTACAAATAATGCTTCATTGCCCACCCTTGACTTGCCATGGACCCATTGCCTTGACTGTATCTGTGTGATTTTGTATATGTTTGGAGCGGGTGGAGATTAGAAAGATTCGGACCCAAAAGTGGGGTTGCTGGCTGAATCACAAGTTAAAACAATATTGTGATTATAATAGATGTTGTCAGATTGACTGCACATGGGTTATGCCATTTTGTACTCTCATAAAAAATGCACTCAGGATGGGCATGGTGGCTCATGCCTGTAATCGCGGCACTTTGGGAGGCTGAGGTGAGAGGATTGCTTGAAGCCAAAAGTTCAAGACCAGCCTCGGCACCATAGTGAGACCCTGTCTCTACAAAAAATGAAAACATTAGCTAAGTGTGGTGCATACCGGTAATCACAGCTACTGGGGAGGTTAAGGCAGGAGGATCACTTGAAGCCAAGATTTTGAGGCTGCAGTGAGTTATGATTGCACCAATGCACTCCAGCCTGAGCAACAGAGCAAACCCTGTCTAAAAAAAAAAAAAAAAAAAAAAAAAATGCCCTCAAATGTCTCTTTTGCTACAGGTTCCCCAACTGCTTTCAGGGTCTGGGATTTTTCCTGGCCTATTAAGTAAGAAGAGGTTTCCCCAGCATGATGTCAATCTTTCTCTTATTCATAAGTGTACAGGTGCACAAGTCATTAGCATTTCTTTCTCTGTGATTTGGGTGTTCATGTATTTTGTCCATTTTCTAGTTGAGTGGTTGTTTTTGGTTTCCTTCTTGATTTCCAGAAGGTGTTTTTCTATTAAGAAGATTATCTCTGTCTAATCAGAGGAAGAGGGAGGGAGAGAGCCACCTGTCAGCAGAGGTGTTGGCAGGGATGTGGGGGAGGGGAATTCCGACAGAGGCTGGGGGCTGGTCAGGCAGGTGTTGTTAGTGATAACAACTTGTTATTATCACTGCCCATGTGACAAGGCTCAGCTCAGATCCCACCTCTGCCAAGAAACATTCCCAGATCTGCCCAGTTGGAATGATTGTTATCCATGGCCAGGGCACACCTCCATGGACATCATAATCTTCCTGATGACCAGTGAGTGGCCAGAAGGTACAGGAGAAAGAGCATTGCTGGGGATGCTGGGAGCTGTGGATTCCTCATCCCAGCAGGGCTGCGGTTCACTCCAGGCATGGTCCTTCCCTAATCTGGGCCTCAGTTTCATCAGGACAGTGGGAGAATTAGACTAGACTGGCTTCCAGCCAATTCACCTGGGGAGCTTTTTAACAACACACGTGTCTGGTACCAGCCTCAGACCAATTTGGTTGGATCCAATGTGGTTGGATCAGAGGGAGAGGCAGCCTGTGTATTATTATTATTATTATTATTGTTATTATTAGTAGTAGTATTTTGAGACAGAGTCTCACTCTGTCACCCAGGCTGGAGTACAGAGGCATGATCTCGGCTCACGGCAACCTCCTCCTCCTGGGTTCAAGTTATTCTCCTGCCTCAGCCTCCCGAGTAGTTGGGATTACAGGTGTGCACCACCACACCCAGGTAGGTTTTGTATTTTTAGTAGAGATGGGGTTTCGCCATGTTGGCCAAGCTGGTCTCAAACTCCTGGGCTCAAGTGATCCACCTGCCTCAGCCTCCCAAAGTGCTGGGATTACAGGCATGAACCACCACACCCAGCCAGTCTGTGTGTTTTGGTGTGCAACCCTTAGTCTAGACAGTGATGACTGTTAGGATCCCTCTGACCCAGACACTTGGTCACTGTATATCTCCTGCCCAAGGGGCAAACCCCTAGGAGATTGTATCTTCCTGGGGGTAGACATATTCCTCGTCAGCATGTAGCAGGCACTCAGAAAACATCTGTGGAATCCAGCAGATGAAGTTGTCTCCTTCTTAAGTCTCATTTTCTTATTTCTGAGTATGAAAATGCACGGCAGGGAAGGGACAATTTTGTAACCTCTAAACTGTGTGGATTTGATCCATTTATAACACAAAGTTAATCTAGCCCAAATTAATCATCCTGAAGCTATTAGCCATTTAGAATGTCTCCCCAATGGGACGAGGGGTCGTGCATTTACAACGTGTGGACTTTATGAATAATTGTTTCCTCTTCAATGCTGAGCTTGTATTTTCTTGATGAAAAATCCATGGTTTTTTCCCCACCTGATTTGAGGCTGCTGTTCATACTGGAAGCCTTCTCAGCCCTTGCTTTAATAACTCTGGCTTCTCTGACCTTTCATCTCTGCTCCTCTACCCATGCCCCTAGATTCGATAGAAAAATCCAGAGTGTGTATCCAGCAAAT
The DNA here is from genome assembly GCF_000001405.40 of Homo sapiens. Taxonomy (NCBI): domain Eukaryota; kingdom Metazoa; phylum Chordata; class Mammalia; order Primates; family Hominidae; genus Homo; species Homo sapiens. The sequence goes on from NC_000010.11 coordinate 115,981,178, forward strand.
GGCTTCCGGGGAAGTGAAGGGGGGCAGGCTTGTGGGCTCCCTGACTGCATTTTCTAGCACTTTCACTTTTAAAGGCTCCTAAACAAACAGCCAGCACCACTGGTCATTAGGGAGGCCTTTGACGGAGCTGGTGCATCAACCCAATTACTGGGGCGCATCCAGGCTTTACACTGTAGGTTGGAGTCCACGGCACTTCAAGTGTAATCTGTGCTCTGGCAGCCTAAGAATTTGTTTTAGGCTTAATTGGCCCGAGGCTGGTACATGGTCCCCAGCTTTGTCCCCTAAAGCGACGCATGCTGCAATTCAGTCTGAGAGTGGATGAGCGGCTTCCACAAGGCCCCTTTACAGTGGGAATAAAGCTGCATCAAAAGCACTCAGCAGAGACCACCCGCCCACCATGCACCTCAGGCTTGCTGGGCAATGTGGCATGCCCGAGTACCTGAAATCACAAAAAATGTGATTCTCTTTCATTCTCAGCTGTAACCATATGCTTTCCCATGATGTTTTTCTCCCATAAATCAGCCTCAAGAATAAAGCATGTGTACACAAACATTTCTTACCAGTCAGCCTTTCCTTTATTACTTTGTAGCAAAATAAATGAAAGAATTGTCCTCACCTCACTGCCTTGTTAGTGTTTAAGATGAGCCCTGGATGGGGGATCTCAAAGGAGGGTCTATGGCCCTGGCTCTGCTCCCTGTGACCTTGGGGTTGACATTGAACCTCTTCCAGCCTCAATTTGTGCATGAGAATAATGGGAATGCTACTCCCTCTCCAGACTATCTCACTGGGTAATTTTAAAAATTGAGTGAAAGCATCTCTGAGAAGTGCAAAATTATTCAAATTCATAGTGTTCCTAGTTTCACGACTTGAACTAGGTGTTTTTTTTCCCTGCCTTTAAATCTTTGGTGGGCGATTTTTCATCCACTACGGGACGTTTTTCAGAGCTGGTGTATCTGGCAACAGAAGTACAGCTCACCTTCCTCATCTGTCACCATTTGTCACATTTTCTAAAGAAGATCTCTGCAGATCATATGCCAATTTGTTGGGGGCAGCTATCCATCAAGGCAGAACCCGGATCATTCATCTTCAGACCTGGCTGCTGCCGCCGACACAAAGCAGATGCTGCCCTGAAGGGCTAAGAAATGACAGAAACAGCTCCTCTGAGAGTGAGCCACAGCACCCTGTGACTTGTGATGTGTGTTCCAAGAAGAAATTGCAAAAAGAAGGCACATTTGAAATTATTGCAAACCTCCACTCTGGTTCTATGTATTTCTTGCCCAAATCTAACACCCAAGAAGGAAAGAAAGGTCTCCACAGACTCTGGTCCCATTCCCAGATATCTTATAGTGCCAACATTATAGTTCCTATCTGGCTCACAGAATTTATGGAAAGCTCAGGTAAGGCTTAGTGTGACCACTCAAACCTTGGGGAATTACACATCATTTGTGCAGTGAATATTTGAGCATGTGCTCCGCTCTGAGAGTATGATGGTGAACAAGCAAGACAGAACCTTTGTTCCAGGGATCTGACAGCCTCGGGGAGAGGACAAATGGCAGATAGCCATCACTGCAGAATGTGACAAGGAGATGTATAGGGGCTTTAGGAGCACCTAGGAGGAGGCAACTAACCTGGTTATGAAGAATTGAATAAGTTGATGAAATACTAACCAGGGCTGGGTGGCTGTGGGGGTAGAGGAGGGTTCAAGATAGAGGGGAGCAGGTGTAAGACTCAAAGTGAAGGCAGAGCCTGCTGCTTGAGAGCAGTGCTTCTCAAAGGGCAATTCCCAGACCAGCATCACAAGCAAATCAAATTCAGCGAACCAGAAGCTCTAAGGGTAGGGCCCAGCAGTTGGTTTGAGCAAGCCCTCAAGTGATTCTGATTCCCACCTTAGTCTGAGAACCTCTGTATTAGAGAAAGTTAGCGAAGAGGTCAGCCCATCTGAGCATCTTTCCTTCTGGAAGAGACATTCCCTCTATCCTGGCCACTGTAACAGGGCCCCTTCTTGTACTTTGGATTCCCATTTTTTTTCTCAAACTGCTTCCCTTCTCTGCTATGTTCAACTGTGATGCTTTGTTCTTAGCTCTTGGCCAGGGGTAGTGCTCAGCCTCCTGACCTCCATACTCCCCCTACTCCAAAGAACTGCAAAGAGAAATAGACACATCCACAGTTATTGGCAGAGATTTCATCAACCCTCTCTCAATAATTGTTAGAAGAAGGAAAAAATCCAGAAAATTAATGAAGATATAAAAGACAACAATATCATCCAACTTGACCCAGTTGACATTTATAGGACAGTTGAGCCTAAAATAGGAATATACAAATTATTTTCAAATATGCATGGAACATTTACCAAGATAGATTACATTCTGGGTTACAAAACAAGTCTCAATAAATACAAAATGATTCAAGCCACACAAAGTATTTCTCTGATCACAATGGAATTAAATTAGAAATTGATTATAAAAAGAAATTTGGAAAATTCCCAAATATTTGGAAACTAATACACCTCTAAATATCATACAGATCAAAGAAGAAATCAAATAGAAGCTAGAAAATACTTTGAACAGAATAAAAATGCAAACAAAATCTGTGGAATGCAACTAAAGCATTATTGAGAGGGACATTTGTAGCATGAAATACATAAAAAAAGAGAAAAGTCTAAAATAAATGAGCTCAGTTTCCACCTTAAGAAACTAGAAAAATAACAGCAAACTGAACAAAAAATAAGCAGAAGAAATGAAATAATAAAGATCAGAGTGGAAATCAATGAGATAGGAAACAGATAAACAATAAAGCCAATAAAATAAAAATCTAGTTATTTGAGATCATCAATAAAATGAATATACTTCCAGCTGGACTATTTAGGTAAAAGAGGGAGAGAGAGAGAGAGAGAACACAAATTACCAATATTGGGAATGAGAGAGATGATATCACCACAGATCCTACAAGATACTGCAAAGATAAGTAAGAGAATATTAAGAACAAATTTATGCCAATAAATGTAAAACCTTGGATGAACAGAAAAATTTCTTGAAAGACACAAACTACCAATGCTCACTCAAGAAGAAATAGATATTTCAAATAGTCCTATATCTATTAAATAAAGTTATTGTAATAAAAAATCAAAAGCTTCAGGCCCAGATGGCTTCACTAGTGAATTATAACTGAACATTTAAGGAACAAATGGTATTAATTCTACGCAAACTCTTCCAGGTAGTAAAAGAGGAGGAACTACTTACCAAATCATTGTGTAAGACCACCGTTACTCTGATACCAAAATTAGACAAAGACATTGCCAGCAAACTACTGACCAATATCCCTCATGAACATGTAAGTAAAAGCTCTTAACAAAACTTTAACAAATAGAATTAAACAATATATCAAAAGAATAATACATCAAAGCAAGTGGGATTTATACTAGGAATACAAGATAGGTTTAACATTTGAAAATCAATTTAATTCATCATATTAACAGACTTAAAAAGAAAACTAATCCTCTCAGTGGATGCAAGAAAAGAGAAATGTGTCAAAATCCAGTATTCTTACTAAAAGATGTCAACGAACTAAGAATAACAGGCATCTACAAAAAACCTGTAGGTAACATCACACTAAATGGTGAACAGAATGTTTTACCCCTAACACCTCAACAAGGCAAAGATGGCTGATCTAATTACTTTTACTCAACATTATACTGGAAGTTCTAGCCAGTGCAATAACACAAGACAGGTAGAATATAAAAGGTATTCAGATTAGAAATGAAGCACTGAAACTGTCTTTATTCACAGTAGATATGATTATCTCCTTAAGAAATCTACCAAAACAAAAACAAAAAATCCTGCTAGAATTAATAAGTAAGTATAGCAAGTTTGCAAGAGGCAAGGTCAATATAAAGTATTGATTACATTTTTATTACTAGGAACAAATCATTAAAATTACAATAAAAATACCACTTACAACACCATCAAAACATGAAACACTTAGGGATAAATCTTACCAAAAGATGTGTGAGACCTGTATACTGAAAATATAAACATCGATGGGACAAATTAAAGAAATCCTAAATAAATGGAGAATGATACTTTGTTAACGAATCAGATGACTCAATGTCATTAAGAAGTCAATGCTCCCCAAATTGAAACAAGATTCAAAGCAATCTTAATCAAAATCTTAGCAGGCTTTTTTTTTAATTGAGTGGGCAGAATAGCTCCTCAACAATGCCCATATCCCTGGATGAATATGTTATGTTGCATGCCAATGGGGATTTTTTACATGTAATTAAGGTTATGGGACTTAACATAGGGAAGTTATCACGGATTATTCAGGTAGACCTCTTGCCAGTGGAGGGTGTCCAGGTTCTTGACGTCTTGAACAAAGAATTGGGAAAAATGCACAAACAAAGCAAAGAAAGAATTAAGCAACAAAAGCAGAGATTCATTGAAAATGAAAGTCCACTCCACAGGGTGGGAGCAGGCCTGAGCACAGGGGCTCAAGAGCCCCGTTACAGAATTTTTGGGGGTTTAGACATCCTCTACGGTTTCCATTGGTTACATGGTGTATGCCTTATGTAAATGAAGAGGATGAAGTAAAGTTACAAAGTCATTTACTTGGCAGACACCCTATATAAACGGAGATGATATTTCCTGTTATTGCTGAAGTGTTTCCATTTGATTTAGTTCTAGGAAGTTCTTATATTCCATGTCTCCAAACCCTCTTCTCCAGCTGCAGGCCCATCTAAGCTAATCACATGTGTTCTTAAGAGGAAATGACTGTCTTGAACTGAAAGAAGAGGCAGCAGTAGAAAGAGGTGGCAAAAGGAAAAGTCAGAGAGATTCCAGACATGAGAAAGCTTCAATGTACTGTTGCTGGCTCTGAGATGTAGAGGCCCATGTGGAAAGAATGAGAGAGGCATAAAGAAGCTAAGGGCAGCCTCCAGATGACAGCCAACAAGCCAATGGGGAGCTTTGTCCTAATGCAAGGAACTGGATTCCACCAGCAGCTTGCATGATCTTAGAAGCAGAGCATTCCCTAGAGCCTCCAGCAAGTAACACAGCCTGGCTGACACTTTGATTTTAGCCCAGTAAGATGCATGTCAAGCTTTGGCAGAACTGTGAGATAATAAACTTATGTTGTTGTAAGCTGCTAAGTTTGTGGTAATTTGTTATAGAAACAATAGAAAACTAATACAATTGGCAAGCTGATTCTAAAATACACATGGAAATCCAAACGACCTTAGAATTGGAAAAAGGAAAAAACAAAACCCTAAAAAATAACAAAGAAGACATATACTGTCTGTGTTCAAGACTTCACCAAGATGGTATGGTATTGATGTAAAGATAGATAAATGGATTGATGAAACAGAAAAAGGAGTCCAGGAAAAGACCCACATATATATGGTCAATTGATTTTTGATAAAGATACAAAGGCAATTCAGTGGAAAAAGAATAGTCTTTTTAACAAATGTTGGAGAAACCATTTGATAGGCCCTTCCAAAAAATAAACTTTGATCCCTACCTCACACTATATAAAAAAATTAACTCGTGTTGGGTCACAGACCAAACTGTAAAGCCTGAAACTATAAAACTTCCAGAATGAAATGCAGAAGCAAATAGTTGTTACTTTGGTTAGACAGAGTTATATGGATCACTGAAAAGATGAGCCATAAAAGCAAAAATTGATAAGTAAGACTTCATAAAAATTAAGAACTACTGCTCTTCAAAAGACACTGTAAAGAGAATGAACAGACAAGTCATAGAGTAGTAGAAAATAGTATATCTGTGTTAAAGGACTTTCATCCAGAATATATAAAGTCATGTTACAACTCAATACAAAAAGCAAATAACCCAATTAAAAGGGCAAAAGACTTAAACGGACGCTTCACCAAAGATGACATACAGTTGGCAGATAAAGATTAAAAGATGTTCAACATTATTAGTCAATAGGAAAATGCAAATTGAGCCTCAGTGAGATCCCACTTGTATTACTCCATTTTCACACTGTTATAAAGAATACCTGAGACTGGGTCATTTATAAAGAAAAGAGATTTAATTGACTCATAGTTCCACAGGCTTAACAGGAAGCATAGCTAAGAGGCCTCAGAAAACTTACAATCATGGCAGAAGGAGAAGGGGAAGCAAGCACATCTTACATGGCAGCAGGTGAGAGAGAGAGAGCGAGCGAGCAAGCAAGCACAGGGGAAACTGTACTTTATAAAACCATCAGATCTCATGAGAAAAGCATCCAGAAAACCGCTCCCATGATCCTATCACCTCCCACCAGGTCCCTCCGTTGTTCCCTTGATATGTAGGGATTACAATTGAGATTACAATTCAAGTTGAGATTTGGGTGGGACACAGAGCCAAACCATATCACCACTGCACACCTACTGAAAAGGCCTAAATTTAAAAGATCACCCAATGCAAGTGTTGGTAAGGATGTGGAGCAATTGGAACTTTCATGCCTTGATGGAAATGTTAAATGATGCAATCACTTAAAAAATAGTTTGACTATTTCTGAAAATGTGAAACATACACCTATCATGTGATCCAGCTACTCCACTCATAGCTATTTACCTCAGAGAAGTGAAAGCACATGTCCACAGGAAGACTTGTACATGCACATTCATAGCAGCTCTATTTATAATAAACACTAGAAATAACCCAAATGGCCTTCAACGGTGAATGCATGAAGAAATTGTGATATAGTTATATAATGGAAAACTACTCAACAATCAAAAGGAATGGGTAAACCCAAGAGCATGCACGCACCTCAAAATAAGTACACTGAGTGAAAGAAGACAAGAAAGTACATACTGTATGATTCCGCTTATTTAAAATTCTTGAAAATGCAAACTAACCTATAGTGACAAGGTAGATCAGCAGTTGCCTGGGAATGGGGGTTGAGGGGCTGAAGGGTGGAATTTCATAAGGACACAAATAACGGTTCCTTAATTCCATGTCTGGATATATGCCTAAAATAATTGAAAGCACGGTTGCAAACATGTATTTGTATAGCCATCTTCACAGAAGCATTATTTACAGTAGTCAAATGGTGGAAGCAGCCCAAATATCCGTTGACAGGTGAATGGATAAAGAAAATGTGGTATATACATAAGATGAAATATTACTCAGCCATAAAAAGGAAGGACATTCTGACACATACTAAAACATGAATAAACCCTGAAGACGTTATACTAAGTGAAACAAGCCAGTCACAAAAGGTCAAATATTGTATGCTTCTATGTATATGAAGTATGTATGGTAGTCAAGCTCATAGTGACAGAAGGTAGAATGGTGATTACTGGAGGCTAGAGGGGAGTAGGATGGAAGTTACTGTTTAATGGGAACCGAGTTTCCATTTTGGAAGATGAAAAAGTTCTGGAGACGGATGGCAGCAGTTATTGCACAACAGTGTGAATGTACTTAATGTCACTGAACTAGACACTGAAAAATGGTTAAGATGGTAAATATTATACAAATTTTATCACAATTTGTAAAATGGGCACAAGGAAACTTATGGGGAAATTGTTCACTATCTTGATTATGGTGATAATTTCATGGCTGTATACAAATGTCAAAACATCGATTTGTACACTTTAAACATGTACAGTTTGGTTGGGCATGGTGGCTTACACCTATAATCTCAGCCCTTTGGGAGGCTGAGGTGGGTGAATGACTTGAGCGCAGGAGTTCAAGACCAGCCTGGGCGACATGGCAAAACCCTATCTCTACTAAAAATACAAAAAATATCTCTACTAAAAAAAAAGAAAAAACCAGGGTGTGGTTGGGTGCCCCAGTAGTCCAAGCTACTCAGAAGGCTAGGATGGGAGAATCACCTGAGCCTGGGAAGTCAAGGCTGCAGTGAACTGTGATCATGCCACCCCACTGCAGCCTGGGAAAAGGAAGTGGGGCCCTGTCTTAAAAAAAATAAAAAGTACAGTTTATATGTTAATTGTATCTCAAAGCTGTTTAGAAACATTTAATAAAAAGAATACTTGAATACATAATGTAAAGACAGGAATTCTTATGAAGTCCTCATGTATTTTTTTATGAGTTTGAAAAAATTATCTTAAAGTTCACCTGGAAGAATAAACAAATGGGCATAGCCCTCCCCAACTTGCAAACTGCCTCACAAATATGCCATTCCCTTTGCCACAGAAAGAAGCCTGGTACAAACTTTTGTCAAGGAGTACATTCACTAATTCATTCTTTCCATCTTTCCCTTAACATGTGAGATCCCACCATAGCCCATGGCCTATTGCATTGGGTGGCAGAGCACCAAAGAGGAAGAGCACCAGGTTACGGTTGTCTGATTCCCAGTCTAGGGGGAGACAGCTTGGAAAACCATCATGCAAAGTACTCGTGAGAAAAGTAGGCACAGAATCCCTTCCAGGCCTTGTAAGGCTGTTTATGGTAACTTATCAGTTGAATTCCTAGAAATCTACAGATGTCAAAGGACAAGAGGTGAGAGAAGGGTTTTTTGGAAACGTGGACCGAAGCATGGAGATGGGACAACAGAGAGTAGTTTGTGGAAAGGCCCTATGTTGGTTTCCTTGGGCATGCCATGACATAAACTAACTGACTTGAAATAGTAGCAATTTAGCCTAGAACACTAGTCTCATAGTTCTGGAATTTAGATGTGCAAAATCAAGGTGTTGGCAGGGCTGTAATCTCTCTGAAGCCTGTGGGGGAGGATTCTTTCTCGCTTATTCTAGCTTCTGGTGGTTTTCAGCAGTCCTTAGTGTTCTTTGGCTTGTGGAAGCATAACTTTGACTTCTGCCCCCATTTGCACACAGTGTTTCCCTCTGTGTGTATCTGTGTCTCCACATGGCTTTTGTATAAAGACACCAGTCTTTGGATTAAGACCCACTGTAATCCAGTGTGACCTCATCTTAACTAATTACATTTTCAAAGACCTATTTTCAAATAAGGGAACATTCTGAGGTTCTAGGTAGAAACAAATTTTGGGGGGATACAATTTAACCCAATCCAAGTTCTGTAAAATATGCATCAAGAAAACAGGAGTATAGCAAGTAATAAGGCTGAAAGTTGAATTTAGTGCTATATCATGCTGATCCATGGGCCAAAGTTGTGTAATTATTCTAAAGGCTATCAGTTGCCTTTTCATCTTTCTGAGCAGAGGGCAGAGGGAGTTAAATCAGTACCTTTAGAAATTGTGTGATATCCACACGGTAGACCAATTCAGAGGAAAGAGACTGTACAAAGCACCTGGGATCTGGAGCTAATATAATTATCCTCCTTATACTCAAGGAGGCAGATCCCACAGGTAGGGGCAGGAGCAAGACTGAATTATGAGAAAGGGCACTGGTTGGATAACTGGTTGGTTGTGGTAGAATAAAGGAAAGGCAGAATTGAAGGTAAACCTGAGGTTTGCATCCTGGTTACAGGATGAATACTGATGATATTAACCAACAGAGTTGGTAGGCAGGAGGAGCAACTAATTGCTTTAGGGGCTCAGGGCTCAGAAGGCTGGAGTCAAATTTGGTTGTAAAAATTGAATCTTGCCTAGCATGAGTCATGTGGAACAACCCAATAAGTAAGCAATTGTAGAGGTCAGGGAACAACAGTTCTCCTGAATGCCTACCCAGGGCTTTGCTCATGGCACTCCACCACACTGGGATTCCCATGGGCAGCTGGATACAGGGAGTTGGAGCTCAGGAAAGAAACAGATTAAAAATGTAGATTTGGGGGGGATATCTTGGCTGACCAGGTGGAAACTTGGATGAATGTAGGGAAGAAACTGCTTCTTTCTAAGGCTGTCTCTTCCCCTCAAATTTTGTTGTCTCTGATTGGGCTGCAAACCTGTTCTTGAACCAGTCAATAGCAAAGGGAATGAATTAGCTTGACTTCCTTGGACCAATCATCTGGAAGGGGGATTGAGGCAGGGATGGAACAAATGTCTGGAAGCCAACCAATCTACCCAGAGCATGTATGTGCTGATGAATCTGGTGGGTCACAAAGAGAAAGCACAGAGATCTTCACTCTGATTTAAATACAGAATGATTTTTGTACACTCAGTTTTAGGCAGCATCTCAGTCCATATGGGTTGCTATAACAAAATACTTCACACTGGGTGATTTCTAAACAACAGAAATTTCTTGCTCACTGCTTTGGAGGCTGGGAAGTCCAAGATGAAGGTGGCAGCAGATTTGGTGTCAGATAAGGGCTGTCAAAGATGGCATCTTCTAGGCTCATCCTCACAAAGTGGAAAGGGGCACCTTTAAACCCCTTTTATAAGGGCACTAATCTGATTTATAAGGGCAGAGCCCTTGTGACTTAATCACTCCCCCAAAGGTTCTACTTCTTAATATCACCACAAAGGGGACATGAATTCTGGAGGGACACATTCAGACTATAGTGGATAAGCTGTGCTACCAAGGCGGTAACAAGTGAGTCTTCAGATAAAAATTGAGAAGGAATGGCTAGCGAGATAGAAGAACAGGTGCCCACAACCACAGGCACATTAGTCCCAAAGAAGTTAAGGAGGTGAACACTTCCTCTAAATACTTTATTTTAACCTTCATCTAAAAGGTAATTTGCATGTGTTGGCCTCAAGTAATGAGCATCCACATTTCGAAAAGCCTGCTTCTTTTCCCCTCCTCTCACCTATGCCCTGTATGTTTTGCTCTTAAGATTCCACAAGCCAAGAGATTCCACTTAGAGCATCATCTAGAAGGAGACCAGCACCCACAAACCAGGAAAGCAGATGTGCCTAAAATGGTTTGGCTGTGTCCCCACCCAAATCTCATCTTGAATTGTGGTTCCTATAATCCCCACGTGTTGTGGGAGGGGCCCAGTGGGAGGTAACTGGATCATGGGGTTGGTTTCCCCCATGGTATTCTCATGATAATGAGTAAGTTCTCACGAGATCTGATGGTTTGATAAGGGGCTTCCCCCTTTGCTCAGTTCTTTCTTCTCCTTCCTGCCACTATCTGAGGAGAGACATGTTTGCTTCCCCTTCTGTCATGATTGTGAATTTCCTAAGGCCTCTCCAACCCTGTGGAACTGTGAGGCAATTAAACCTCTTTTCTTTATAATTTACCCAGTCTTGGGCAGTTCTTTCTAGCGGTGTGAGAATGGACTAATACAGTGTCCAAAGCACTGAGAACCAAGTTCTGGATTAGGGCCATGTGTGCTTGTACTTCCCATCACATATATAATTCTGCAGAACAGCAGAGAGTAGAAATTGCCAACAAGAAAGTTAATGGCCAAGCCTGGTGCTATTCCCAGCCCCCATGGAGGGTGCCAGAACTCAGCAAAGTTCACAGATGGAGCCCACTTAAGGAAAATGGCACCTCCTAAAAACCAGTATGGCATTAGTGTTAATTGCCAATAGGGAGGGGGAAACAGAGGCCATTACATGCAGGAGGGAGCTGTGGTCGCCTGCTCCTGAAAAGAGGCTGCTCGTTATACCACTCCACTCAACTGCAGACACTTGCTGAGGAGGAAAGTGCTCCCTGGGGCTGCCATTCAGCAGAAAGCCCTTAGACCTGATGCATCCCAATCATTGCTCACTGACCCGGTGTCCTCCCCCAGGCCACACCAAGTGGCTCAGTTGCCATCCACAGGCTCATTTGTTTGCTCACCCTGCTGTCTGGTTTTAGAAACCTGAAGAGTTAATGATGGAAAAATAAACTTGGTGTAATGTCTGCTGCCTGCAGATACACAAGCTGCACTGTCGCTAGCTGGGTTTTTCTCCCAGTGAGACAGAGATTAATTATAAGAGGTAAGCATAAAACCCCATTCATGAATTTGGGACCATGCAGTGGCAAAGACAGAGACAAATTAGGAGTGTCTCCACCCGTGATGCCTATCAGAGGACTCCAACAGATGGGCTTTCAATGCATGCACTTTAGAGAAGTGCTTCTTCCTCCATGGCAGGAAAAGCAAATCCACCAGGCTCTCTAAGGAGAGAATCTGGATGCAGAACAATAATGTCCACCATCTGCATTTCAAAGTCACTGCAGACATGGCTCAGGAATTGGAAGAGAAGTTTGAATAAATATCTCATGGAAGTCACTTTCACTCATTGCTCTTACAGGCTGGCTAATCAGTCAAAGCAACAACTGTTACTGACACGCAGCATTCATAAATTTGGTACTAAAGCATAGCCAAGAGACCCCTATCCCTTTGAACTTATGTCAGCCCATTAAGCTACTCCCAGTGAGTGGAAACTGGTGACCTTGAGAAAGGAGAACGATGAAGCTAATAAAAGAGCTGTGCTGACCTAGTAAAATGTGGGACACTGAGGCTTTGGGGTTACAGGATCTTTCTGAGAGAACGCTCCTCTTTGAACAGATGAATGGGCATTCACAAAGCTCTACTCTTTTCCGAGGTGTGTGTCTCTGAAATGTTCTAGTATTCTGGAGTCTGAGATTCCTGTTTACCCCAATGCCCACAGTAAGATGATGGAGGGTCTGAAGGGCTCTGCACACCCTCTGCTCCCTCCCCTGAGCAGGGTCTTAGCTCCAAGGGGCCATACATGCCAGGTCTAGCCCTATAGCTCAGGAAGGCAGATCAGCTGTCATCTGGGGAGGAAGGATCCTAAAATAAGAATAGATGGGGTAAGCGAGGAGAGGAAGAGTGTGTGGGAGTTAAGCGGAAAAGAGGAAACCTCTCCATTAAAGTTTAAGGTCTACATCTGGTTTGTTTGTCACTGTTTGCCCAGCACCTAGAACAGAGACTGGCCCATAGCAAGTTGTTGCCTGAGCAGTCTTGTATGTCTTCCTGAAATCTTTTGTAGAGTAGTAGTTCTTATACCTTAGTACTCATTCAGGAGCCTTACCACAGAGCTATCACATTGCAATCTGAGAGTGGAGTTTGGATGGGACTAAAATCTTCATTTTCACAGCTCCGCAGGCTGGTCTGCAGACCCTACCTTTAGGAACATTGCATAGGATCTTAGGATGGGCTTTATTTCTGGAATGCAAATGTAATGAAACACTCAGGAGCTGGAACCTTCAGAGTCCTGCAAAGCATAGCATCTTGTTCTTGGTTTTGATCTGTCTCATCTGTAAGCCAGTCAATCGTTATTTACTCATCAAAACAGACAGTTAGAAGGAAGGGAGGCATTCGGCTGTCTTTCTGCCTTGTATTATGAATAAGCTCTTGTATATTCTATTTTTGACAGTGAAATAGAAATTAATCAAAGACAGAATGTCCTATTTGATTATAGGAGCCATCCTTGAGTGAGCCCTTGCATGAAACGTTAACTTCAAACAATGTTGTGTCTGAGCTACCTCATACTGGCCAATTGTGTGCATTTCTTCTCAGCTCCCTGTTCAGTGAAGCCACATTGGTAGCTTGAAATTAACCATGATGGGAATATTTACACTATAGCAATTGGCAAGTGTTATAAACCAGAGCTTTTGTTAATCCTCTAGCAAAACACTACTGGCTTTGGCCTGACCAGTCACATCTGTTCTGAAGGTGCAGAATCTTACTTTGCAGTTCCAGGGAGTGAGAGCAGAAAGCTGCCAGAACAAGGCCACATCATCACTGGGGCCAGGGCTAAATGCACAACCATATGGTCCCTGCAGGATGCCATGCTGGCAGGGCTAATGTGACCTTCTGTGCTATACTGCAGAGCCTTCTGGGCACCCCTGGACACTTTTCTGCCTACAGTCTTCCTCTCCTCTGACCTCATCTACATTTATCCTTTTATTTAGTTTGTTGATCAACCAACATACATTTCCTGAACACTTACGTGCCTATCCTTGTGCCTGGCACTGAAGGGCTTGCAGAGGTGTTTGAGGCTTGTCTCTAATGGAATTGGGATGGGGGAAAATAGAGCTAATGCCTATGAACACATTCATGAACAATAAAGTGAAAACTGGCAGCAACCTGATGTTCATAAATGACAGAAACCAGGGTATACTGGAGGCCTCCAAGGGAATTCCTTGCTCTTCTGTGATCCTGCAGATGCCTGCCTTCCCTTCATTCCACCAGCAACTTCACTGTATTCTAATGTCCTGTTCACACTGTGTCTCCCCTGCACCTGCCCCTGGAGCTCCACAGGATAGCACTGTGGTCTGATCATCTTTACAGCCACACTTTGTACATCACACTTTCCAGCAGATGTCTGGTGGAGGGGTAAGTGGACGGATGGAAGATTTGAGCCTGAAAAGTGGAAAGGACTCAAAACTCAAGAAAGAGTTGGGAACGTAGAGCTGGTGGAGCTGGGGTAGTAACAGAGTAAACAAAACACTTGAAAAAGACTTAACACTGAACTTGAACCAGGAGCCTTGAGAAGTTGGTCTGCCTGAAGCTAGACGTGCCTGCTGCATGTTGGAGGAGCAAAAGAGAATGAGGTGGAAGGGGATGGTAAGACGCAGAGGAGCTTGGATCTGGCTGACTAGGTCAGAGATATTCTAATTATGTTCTTCCAAAGAAGACCAGAGCACCACAGAGGCGCTTCAGGAGTTCTGTAAATAATTTAAATTTAATTTTCCAAATTACATATTTTAAACAGTAATACAATTACATTGGCACACACAAATTTGATTTACACTAAATTCTAACACATTGTTGACCTCCAGTGGGTTAACTTGTGCTACTAGATCAACTCTTTGAATAAAACTCTGGCCATAGCTGTTTAATGGAAGGCACTTCTGAGATTGTAGTATGTGCTATTGAACTGTAAATTGTCCCAGTTTTACTGGACCAAATCAAGATTTTTTCCATTTTGTACAATTTAAACCACATATACAAATAAACTTGATGTTAAGGCTGATATCAGATTGCCATTTTCTTCCATAGGCACAGATTTCAAAGTTTTAGGTTCATTTTTCTCATTGACTGACTTCGTTATATTCACAAACATTTAATCATTTGAACTCATGAAATAAATGTATATTAATATTACACAGTACCTAAGCAGAAACACAGACGTTAAAATTTTTGAAATCTTATTGGGCTAAAGCTAAAAAGCAATGAAGGAAACCCAATTTGCCTTTAAAAAGCCAAAACTTGCCATCTTATAAGAAGTGGTGATGGGCTAAATGGTTTCTTTGTTTTTGGAAAAACACCAAACTGGAGCCTTTAGTTATGGAAATGTCAAGACAAAACTCTCTTCTGAAATGGAGATGCTTGAGATTCAAGCTGTGGCTTTAAGAAGCTTTAAGAAGCTTAAAACTGCTTTGGGAGCATAGAGGGAAGTTGGCCTGGGTTGGGGGGCAGACACAAAGATGCTTCTGGGTAGATATTATGGATTAAATCATGTCTCCCAAAAGATATGTTGAATTCCTAACCTCCTGTACTTTCAAATAGGGCCTAATTTGGAAATAGGGTCTTTACAGAGGTGTTACCAGACCCCACCACTTACCAAAGTTAGCCTTTGGGTTGGGGGTTTTCTCAGTATTGTCCCTTTTGTGGTCACCAGAAAGATGTTACTGGAAAGGGGTCCTAATCCAGACCCCAAGAGAGGGTTCTTGGATCTTGTGCAAGAAAGAATTTGAGGCAAATCCATAAAGTAAAGTGAAGGCAAATTTATTAGGAAAGTAAAGGAATAAAGAATGGCTACTCCATAGGCAGAGCAGCCCCAAGGACTGCTGGTTGCCCATTTTTGTAGGTTTTTGATTATATGCTAAACAAGGAGTGGATTATTTATGCCTCCCCTTTTTAGACCATGTAGGGTAACTTCCTGATGTTGCCATGGCATTTGTAAACTCTCCGTGGTGCTGGTGGGAGTATAGCAGTGAGGATGACCAGAAGTCACTCTCATTGCCATTTTGGTTTTAGTGGGTTTTGGCTGGCTTCTTTACTGCAACCCATTTTATCAGCAAGGTCTTTATGACCTTTTATCTTGTGCTGACCTCCTATCTCATCCTGTGACTTAGAATCCCTTAACCTAGGAATGCAGCCCAGCAGGTCTTAGCCTTGTTTTACCCAGCCCCTATTCAAGATGGAGTTGCTCTGGTTTAAACACCTCTGACAGAGGTAATCAAGTAAAGATGAGATTGTTAGGGTAGGTTCCATTCCAATATGATTGGCTTCTTCCTGAAAAGGGGAAATGTGGAGATGGAAATAAGACATACGCACAGGGAGAACACCATGTAGAGATTACAATTATGTTGCCACAAGCTAAGGAACTATCAGAAACTAGGACAGATACTATCCAAGAGCCTTCAGAGGAAGCATCGCCCTGTTGATACTTCAATTCAGGCTGCTGGCCTCCAACACATTTCTGTTAACTTAATCAGTTTGTGGTGCTTGTTACAATAGCCCCAGGACACAAAAGAGTAGGCCCGGGCCGATTTTGTACTGATAGAGGTGTCATGGCGTCTGTTGCTCAGCTAGTCCATTAGATAGGGTCTGAGGCCCTGTGGCTAGGAGAGGGTCAGCCCATGAGGGAAAGTTCCGAGGGACTTAGCACAAGGCTGGAGATTCAAGGTCCAAGTCCATCATCTATTGGGATTCTACAGGAAGTTGTTTGAAAAAGGAATTCTAATATTTAAAATAACTCTTATGGTAGAACAAAGGAAAAATCTGAACTTCATAGTGGCAAAACAAAAGTATTTTAGGAAATCCATTTGTTGGTATTATACAGTGTGTTTAGGATGAGAAGAGGTGGGGCAGAAATGAGCTCAGAAGCTCTGAGGATACAATCCTGAGCTCCCCATGGTTGATGTCCAGTGAATGCTCTTGGGTTGGACAGTCAATGCATAGGATGAGTCAGGGAGGGTGAGAAGGACTGGGTTTCATAGTGGTTTAGGAGTTGCAGGGTAGACGTGGTAGACATGCCAGGCAGCTCAAGTCACCCAACCTGGGCCAGAGCAGCCATACATCCAGTCACTCAGGAGCCTGCCCTTGCTTAGAGCACAAAATTTCCTGGAAAAGTGATTTGGCCTCTGAGCAGGGATCTCTCAGGGGCCCTGGGTTATCATCATCTGGAGTCTAGCCTGCACCTTGCTGCTGAGCTCTTGAGGCCACTCTGCACTCACCAGTGAGATGAGGTGGTGACTGGACAGCATTTCTACTCAGGGCTCCTCTGGTTTTTCTGTTCAATCTGTTGACCTTGTCAAAAGGAGACCTCACTGATCTGAATGCCTTATTCCTGACTTTCCTGACTTAGTCTCTTCCCTTTAATTGACAAATAGAGAAGGGAAGAGAAGGGAGGGTGGGGTAGTCCTGGAGATCTGTCAGAAGGGGCCTTTTGAAGACCTCTCCCCAAGAATTTGGGTCTGTCTGAGCTTCTCGCAATGGTTACCTTGACCTTGGCTCAGGAGAATCACCTTTTAACAACTTCATCTATCCCCAGTTATGAGATCACCTGACTCTTGGTGCTACTTGCTGGGCTGATGAGTCAGGCAGATGGTTATCCACTGCCCTGTGGCATCCTGAACTGGTCTTACTGCATGGCTATTATAGGAAAGTCCTGATTTTAGGTTATTTTCGCTCTTCAATAAAACTTATTATATGTATCATTCAATATAATTACACATGTATACTTTGTAGGGCTTTGCATAAAAATTCATATACTAACATCCTTTGTCAGACCTGGTGTCCCAAATCTGACTCAAAAAAAAGAAAAAAAAAAAAATCGGGTCGTGTTTGACTCATGGCTAGAGGATTGGAAGTCAGAGCCAGAAGACATGGGAGTTAAAAAGGTCCTCATATTACCTGCTCCGTTGTCAAACAAAGTGTTTGTGAGGCTCAAATAAAACCTGTTGCAATTTATAAAATGCTGTGCATGTATAAGGACTTGGTGGTTGGCAGAATACACCCTTACCAGGTAGCATCATAAACGGTCTACACTCTCTTCTTGTGCTGGCTGTCTCTTCACATTTGCCTGGTCTTTGTAGTTGGTTGCTGGTAAGGCATCATTATCTGTTCAGAACTTACAGGAATTCAAGAGAGCATTGACCCCCATTGAAGGTGGTGCTTAACCTTCCAGGTATGGAGCGAGATGCCTGCCTGCTGACCTACCTGGGCCTCTCAGAGTAGCAAACCATGGGACAGGATTATAGCCTCTTCCTTACCCCAGACATATCACCCACAGATTTGTAATAGGGACAGGATTCTCACTAACATGGTGAGATTTGGGGTTAATTAATGGGCCGTCATGTTTGTGGAGAGGGAAAATATATGTTCTTATATTTGGGATAGTTGCTGAAGTCGTTGGTCCTTTGCCATACAGTGCCAAGGCATGCCCCAGTATGAGGCTGGGATAGGTGAGTTTTGATGAAAGGAAAATCCATGTGCTCTCAACATAAGTGACTTTTCCCAGCACAGCCTGCCCCTCTCCTCATGCCTCAAGGGTGAAATTTTCCAGAGTCTTACAGCCCTATCTGACCTTACCCTTTCTGACTTACAGCCCTAAGCCTTTGACCAAGCACTTAATGAACTGATTGTTTCATACATGGAGATCATTGGCCCTGGCTATTTTTGCTTCCTTAAGTTAGTCCCTTCCCCTGTCTAGCTCTATTTTTTTTCATCTTTAATGAATTTTCTGTGATACTTTAACTCCTATGATCAGCTAATCTGCAAGTTTCCTGGAGGCAGGAATGATGGATTTATTGGTTATGGGTATATTTCACCCTGTAAGACCTAGCCAGGTGCAAAGCACATTAGATATGCCACATGAAGCCTTGCTGGCTGACTTGTGAACGAACGAGCTTTAACTCAGTGCAGCCATGATGGAAGAAAGGTCTGACTTCCTCAGCTACATTTTTCTAAGCAGATGTGTTATTAACAGTCATAGTGACCAGCATTTGCTGAAGGTTCCCTATGCATCTGGGCTTGTGCTGACTTATTTAACCCCCAGAGCTGAGCTATCCAATATGGTAGCCACTAACCACTTGTGACTACTGGTGAATCTGAATTGAGATGCACTTTCAGTATAAAATAGACACTGGATTTCAAAGACTTGGAAGGCTACATTCTGGATCTATCGGGTTAGATGCGAATGTAATTTAATTCACCTGTTTTATTTTTACCTTCTAAAATATTGTTACTAGAAAATTTAAAATTACATACATGGTTTACATTGGTGGCTTTCAGTCTATTCCTGTTGGATAGCTCTGCAGTATAGCAATAATCACAGGTGTTAGTTTCATTTTGCAGGTGAGGACAATTGAGCTCAGAGAGGTTAACAAATTACTTGAGGTCACGTGGTCAGTATCTGCAGGAGCTAGCATTTGACCTTAGGCCTCTCTGGCTCTGGACACTATACACATGACCGCTGCATTTTACTGTCACTCAAATTTATGACTAAGTGTACTTTTATTCCAAACGAGAGAGTAGAGCCACACACGGGCTGATAGAGGAGGGTGTGTGTGTGTGTGTGTCTACCAGGATCACGTATGTTGTAAAAACCTCAGCACTCCTTGGCCCAGCCTGAGCTGGGAGCTCTTGGTGTCCAAGTTCAACCCCCGGGGCCCTAGCCTGCACACCCTGCACAGCCCACCCTACCACAGGAGGTTGGCTGGCTTGTTCAGTGTCTTCTTCCAGGAGCACAGTACACAGTTGTCACTCCGTGTGAGTTTGTTGATTGATGGAGGATGGAGCTGAGCGAATTTTGCTCTGATATATTCTTGAGGTCAGACAGAGGTCAGAACGACAACCTTCCTGAGCTGACAGAATGACCGGGCCGGGGACACACTCTGACTTGCGCATCTCATCAAGACCTTCCAATCTGTCACTTCTATTTATCAGCTTTTAATAAAAGGCATTTCCCTCTCCCCGGTGGCTGGAACAGCAATATTATATATCTGTGGTTTGGGATGTGACGGGAAATTAGTAATTAACTCAGGGAAGCTGAGCAGGGGAAGGGAAGAGAGAACAGAAGCACCACCTGGAATTTGGGAGCATTTTCTAGACATGTTTTTGAGAACACCTTTATTTTCAGAAACGGCAGGAACAAACCAGTCTTTGAAGACAGAGCCTTTATTGCTTGTCTCAAAAATATCCAAACACAGTGGGGTTGTACAAGTGTCACACAAGAAATTAGGTTTCTCTTTTTCCCTGCAAGAACAAATGTTTACAAGTGTGTCACTGGCTCGGTCTCATGGTGAGAAACATAAATAAACGATTTTGCTTTGCTTTGCATCCAGAGCAAAAACGAGTGAAAACTGTGTCTATGTTTTGGGGATTGGTGCCTGGAGGCTGAAAGTTGCTTACAGCAGAACATTAGACAAAAAAGCCTCTCCCCACCCCGCCTACTCCCCATTTCCCCCTTTGTCTCCCTGGCTAAAAAACCAATTAAAACTTTCCTGGCCATTTGTAGGGCTGCTGACAACAGGTTCCATGTCACTGAACTTTGGCTGCCGTCCTGTTCCTGGAATAACAATGTGAGACTTCTAAACTGGCCTCGATGTTAATCGTGGCCGCCGGGGACAGAGCTGTACAGATTGCTAGAGGCTCTGATCCAGTATGTTCATTCATTTATCTTGCTTTTCCCCGACATGGTTGCTGTCAGCTGCAGAGCTAAATACTGAGGCATTCTGAGGTGGTTAACTTCTGCTGAAGCTGAGAAAATAGCTTTCGGAGCCCCTTATCACCAAATCAATCTATCTGGTAAACCCCTGAAACAAGAATAATATGTTTTCACAAATTCTCTTCTGGTGTTTGACGGCCCCGAGAAGTTATTTTTTTTCAATTTAGTTTAATTTGACTCTCTCTTTTTTTTATTTTTGAAAATTGAGTTTTTATTTCCCTTGTTCATTATTCAAAATTCCTTCGGAGACAAAGTTTGTGAGAGCCTCATGGGGATTTTTCTGATTTTTAACCAGATGCTGCCCTGCCCCTCGCTCCCCTCTGGCTCTGAGCGCTGAGAAAACAGCTTCCAGGGGGACCTTAAGCCAAGCGGACCTGGAAGCTGCCCCTTAAAAGTGCTTTAGGTTAACTTCTTGGCCCTAGGGACCTGTCACCCTGAGCTGTCTGTCCCCTTGAGCTCCCAGGGTAGACGGCAAGGCTGTGACCACTGAGTCAGGTCTTCAAACACTCACCTGGCAGGAACTGGGAGCCAGGGCCGGCAGGGGGATGGTGGAGATGCCAAAGATAAAGTCACAGCTGCCCTGTTGAAAATTAATGTCAACCACATATGAAATTAGCATTTTTCACAGCTACATAAAAAGGTAAAAAAGAAATCTGTGACATTATTTTAATAACATATGCAACACGATATATTCAACATATTATTTCAACATGGAATAAATATAAATACATTATTAATGAGATATTTTAATTTTTTTTGTAGGAACTTCAGTGCATTTATTACTGATAGCACTTCTCAAGTCAGCCTAGCCACATGTGGCCAGTGGCTACCATGTTGGGCAGCCCATGTCTAAGTTAACAGGCCTGATATGGTTTGGCTGTGTGTCCCCACCCACATCTCATCTTGAATTGTAATCCCCATGTGTCGAGGGAGGGAGGTGATTGGGTCATGGGGGTGGTTTCCTCCATGCTGTTCTCGTGATATGAGTGAGTTCTCACCATATCTGATGGTTTTATAAGGCAGTTTTCCCTGCTCTCTCTCTCTCTCGCCTGCCACCATATAATACATGCCTGCCACCATGTAAGATGTGCCTGCTGCCATGTAAGATGTGCCTGCTTCCCCTTCCACCATGATTTTAAGTTTCCTAAACCTCCCCCGCCATGAGGAACTGTGAGTCAATTACACCTCTTTGCTTTATAAATTACCCAGTCTCAGATATTTGTTTATAGCAATGTGAAAACAGACTAATACAAGGCCCCACCTGCTCAGTGTCCAGAACAGCCATGTGAGGGTTGAAGGAGGATTGTGCTGAGTCAGCATGGGATGTAGACAACACATTCCTGGATTGAATTACTAGGGAGAAATGGATAAGGCAATAGGGGTTGGTGACTAGAGTTGCCAAAATAGTTCCAGAGAAGACAGGACATAGAAGATGCCATGATTTAATCACAGACAGAGCACAGAGGAAACTATAATCTAGGCTGGAAGCAGTAGCATCTCCAGTGCCAGAGAAATTGAGGCAGGACTCCCTCCCTCCCATACACTCCCAACCCTGAGGCAACTTCCCTGCAGCCCAGGGAATGCCTTAGGCACATGACATGTAGTTGGGGGCAACCTCTCCATACAGGGAGATGCTGAGGACTTGGCCAGTGTGACCACGGCCCTTGGAGACATTGCTTGCATGCAGCACAGCATAGGGGTTACAGGCAGGGGCTTCACCTCTAGTCATCTTTGGTATAAATTCTGGCTTTGCCACTTAGCATGTGTGGACTTTGGGTAAATGGTTTAACTTCTCTGAGTAAGTTTGTCTCATCTGAAAGATGAGGACAATAGTGATACCTACCTCCTAGGGCAGTTGGCAGGATTCCATGGAGTCCTTGGCCCCCTAACTGTTCTTTATTGTTCAGAACTGGAAAAAAGAAGTCAAGAATTGGTTTCTGTTATGGGCAGCATTAGCAAGGTACAGCATGTGCTTCTTTCTGGTCGCGGTCAGATGTTTTCAAACCTGAATTATATTAGAGAAGAGGAGAGAGCCAGGTCAGAGGTGGCTCCTGTTTGTTTGGGTGGAAAGGGTCGCTTGGTCTATTCAGCTGATACATGGCTTTCTTCCTTGCAGGCTTGTCCATTTTTTACCTCCACCACATTTCTGATCACCTCAGTCCTGATCAGGCCCTCCCTTTGTCATACTGCTGTCTTCAAAAATCAATAACCCAGCTAGAGAAATGTACGGCCTGCAATTCTTCTTTACTGAAAGGAAAAGGGGTGTTGGGAATGATCATTCTGGTATAATCACTGTGTGTGTGTGTGTGTATCTTTATTTTTTACAGGGTCTCTCTCTGTCACCAGGTTGGAGTGCAGTGGCGTGATCTCGGCTCACTGCAACCTCTGCCTCCTGGGTTCAAATGAGTCTCCTGCCTCAGCCTCCCAAGTAGCTGAGAATACACCAAGCCCAGCTAATTTTTTTTTTTTTTTTTTTTAGTAGAAATAGGGTTTCACTGTGTCGGCCAGGATGGTCTTGATCTCTTGACCTCATGATCCGCCCACCTCAGCCTCCCAAAGTGCTGGGATTACAGGCGTGAGCGACCACGCCCAGCCGTGTTTATGTATCTAAGACAGAAGCCGAGCCCAGGGGGTTACAATATTTTTCACAATATTTGTATTTCTTTGAATTTAATTTTCCATTCGTTTGTGTGGGCTATAACTGCATTGCAAGCTTGGTCCAGCCTCCATGTCTCCATCTACCATGGCGCCTACATGCAGTCCTGGGTGGGAGGGAGGAGGATTGAGGCAGACCCCCTCTCCCTATGGAAGATCCTTTCTATAGCTTGGCCCCTGCCCCAGGACATGAGGAAGGCCTGGCCAAACCCTTCAGAGCCAAGACAGCTGGCACATTTCTACAAGGTCTCAGGCCACAAAGGCCCTTACCACTCCTTTGCAAAGTCCCTATAATCCTCATTGTCATTATCATCACCACCATTTATTAAGCTTCTACCATATGCCAAGCAGCTATGTTCATTTTCTCTAGTCTTTATAATAGTTGCACAGGATTGTTATACCCATGACATAGGTCTTTGACTACAGGAATGATCCGTTATATTCTGGGGCCACTCGCTTCCAGCCTGAGTTACACTTATCCACAGAGAAATAAGCTCTGTTAAGACTCAATTCTGTAGGGGAATTGACTGCTTCCCTGTGTTTATCTGCTCTGGGCACTATAATTTTTACTGCAAAGAGTCAGGCAGGGTCTACTCAGTTCAGATACTTATCTGTAACAGCAAGTAGAAATGTTCTTTCACTGGAGGCTTTATAAAGACAGCCCAACAAATTAGTTGAGAACAACTGAAACCACAGTGTGGAGGAAAAACTATATATATTTTATCATAGTCAATTATAATATTTATTAGAACTGCTATTTTTGATGTCTTCCCCCCTCCATCTCCTTCTCCTCCTGTTTCTTTCCCTCTCCCTTCCCCTTCCTCCTCCTCCTCTTTCTCTTCCTTCTTTTTTATATTTCTCCTCCTCTTTCTCCTTCTCCTCCTCCTTATTATTGTTACTAGCAGTAGTATTTAGCGAGGGTCTGATTAATTTCTAGTTCTTTTACACTAAAGAACTAGTAAATTTTTTTTAACAAAAATGGCCAAAAACAGAAGAGAGTTTATGGTCAAAGCCTGGTACATCTTTTCAGGCACTGTCTGAGTTCTCAGATTCTCTCTTTATGCATTAATCTGTGCTTATGTTTTCCTACCTAGCACTCAGATTTTACTTCATCATACTAAGCAGCTTACGCTCAGCCTCTGTGTTTGAACTTGCTCAAATTTAAGTACAGAATGATCAACTCCATTGCACAAGAAACTGGGTTTTCCTCCCTTCCAAAGTGCCACTGCCTGCTTATCTCATTACCCCAGGGCACAGCTTCTCACTCTGTTTGCTAGATACACAACTCTAACTAAGTGCCCTTAAGTTGCCTTTGTTTTCTTTACATGGCCCAATGACACGATTGGTGGGACATGTTCAATAAATTTTGGGGTTTAGACTGAAAGAGAAATCTTCCACTGAACAAAAACATGAAGACCATGTGTGATACTATACAATATTTTTCCTCATGGATATGAAAGCTCAGGCAAGTCTTCTCGTATTATCAGCTCATGCTCATTTGAATATCACAGTGGCCAGTGTGAATGGAGAAGTGAGCATATAGTCTCACTGTTGTCATCTGGTCACTTTGCTGCTGTCTTGTAACCATGCTCTGGGTATGGGTGAGGCATAAGATGAGCTGGAGATAGAGACAAGAAAACAGTACTCTTGATACTCAAGAATACTTTGAAAAAAGTATTCTTGATCAAGAGCTCACCATCTAGAGAGGGGATCTAGACAAACCCATAGGACACCATTCTTCAAGAGCACTTTCATTGAGCACCAGAGTAAGATAAGCACTGCAGATGGAGTCTCCAGGGAACTGAGTCAAGGAAAGCACTGTTGACCATCAGTGAAGCTTCCAGAAGAAGGTGTGATAAGGATTGGACATGGAGAAGGTTTGATAGGTGAAAGAGAGCAAGAAGGGATATAGAGGAAAGGAATAAGCAAAGAACGAAAATCTTCAGTGACATAACCCATTCCAAAGAGAAAGAAGAGACCAGCAAAGGGAGTTCACACTGAAGACAAGTGGGAGAAAAGATTAGAAGGAAAGACCAGTGTTCCTCAGATTGTCTAGGACTGTGCTGTCCAAAATGAGAGTCAGAACGCACGTGTCGTTATTTAAAGTCTTCTTAATTAAAACTAACTAAATAAAAATGCAGTTTCTTGATTGCACTAGTCACATTGCAAGTGCTCAATAGTCACATGTATCTAAGTGCCTGCCCTATTGGGCGCTGCAGTTATAGAGCATTTCCATCACAGCAGAAAGTTCTAATGGACATCCCAGGATGCTGAATTCCAATCTGAGGAATATGGACTTTTTCATGAGGGTGTTGAAGAATCATTCACAGTACTTTACACAGGTTGTATGAGGGTAAAGTAGCTTAATTTTTTAATGAATACCTGTTCAAGATTTTATTTACTCATTAATTAATGAGGGAACTAGTAAGATGGTACAATGGTTCAGTAATTGATTTTTTTAAATTAAAGTGAATTCACATAACAGAGTTAACCACTTTTAAGTGAGTAGCTTAATTTTTAGTTGTGGCTGAGAAAGTTTTTAAAGTAGTAATCTGATGGCTGTGTGAAGGATGTATTGATAAGGCAAGAAATAGGAGACAGGACAGCCAGTTGGAAGTCTGCTGTAGGGCACTGGGTTTGAGAGTGTGAAGCTTGTATCAGGGATGCGGCAGTGGGGTGAGGTGGGTGAGGAAAGGGCAGCCACATTTCTAGGAAGAGCCAGTCAGCCTTATCAACTGCATAGAAGAATAAGTGAGAATTAACAATCACAAATTGCTGAAAAGTGGAGTGACCAGTTTGGAGGAGCAGATGAGTTCAGACAAGCTCCTGACTTGAATTGGTGGTATGCGTTCCAAGGAATGTTTTCTACAAAGCCTTGGAGGTAGGAGTTAGAGGGGAAGCAACATATGGGACTATCGTGTCAATGGCCGAGTGGGGGAAAGGTGTACGTTGTGTCAACAGAGAGAAGAGCAGAAAGGCAAAGTGTGAGCATTGAGGAATGTGCACAGTTAGGGAGAAAGAGAAGAGTCGGTGGAAGAAAAGGAGTAGGTGGACAAGTAGGAGAGGGAGGAGGGCCAGTTCATTCAGGAAACATGCATTAAGCTCCTGGTGTGCGCCAGGTGTTGTGTATACCAAGGATAGCGCGGTGGTGATCAAGCAGCTCTTAGACTCATGGTGTTATGGTTCAGGGAGGGAAGAAGATAGAATCTGGGGACAGGGAATTGGTCAGCATTACTGAATACTGCCAGGAAGTCAGTGAGGAAAAGCAGCAGTGAGGAAAGCATTTGAGTTAGGCAAGAAGGCAGCAGTTGCAGGGCGTGGAGTGACAGCAGCTAGGGAGAGCGAGAGGGCAGAAGACTGAGGAGTGATTGGCAGGTGAGGAAGCATAGATGGCAGGCATCACCACCATTTCCAGAGGCTTATCAGGAAGAGGAAGAAGGGAGAAAGGATCTCTAGAGGAGACAGCAGATTCGGAGGCAGCAGATTTGAGGAGAGGCTTTGAAATGAGGAATAAGCTGGATAAGTTACTGAAGAGGGAGGAGCTCGGTGTGGGAGTGATGTTCCCTGGAAGCTGCAAAAGGATGAAATCTTCTAGTGCGTAGGTGACCAGTTGTTTTAACAACTTTTTAAAATGAAAAAGTTATGCATGCTCATGGTAAAAATTCAGAGAATAAAAAGGTGTCTCTCTCACCCTTTCCAGAGGCAACTGTTGATGCCAGTTCTTTATATATCTTTCCAGAAATACCCTATGCATATGCAACTGTGTGTGTCTGGATGTGTGTGCATAATCCTAGCCCCTTCCTTCTTGCTTTTTATTTATGCACTTGGGAGCACACACTGTTCTGTGTCTTGCTTATGTCTATTTTACAAATAAGCTTTGGGGATCATCTCCTATGTATAGGCAACCATCTAATTATTTTTAATGGCTACATTTTTAAAATGTGCTATAATTTTTATACCAGCCCCCAATCCACAGGTACTTAGATTGTTTTTGGTCGTTTTTCTATTACACACAACACTGCAAGGGATATCTTATATGAATAGCTTTTTCCTTTTCTTATTGTGGTGAAACATACAGGCATTTTATATACTCATCTTATACTCATTTTATTGTCCTTTGCTGTATTGCACATCACAGATATTGCATTTTCTAAAAATTAAAGGTTTGTAGTAATATTGCATTGAACACATCTATGGGTGACATTTTTTTCCAACAGCATGTACTCACTTTGTGTCTCTGAGTCATATTTTGGTAATTCTTGCAATATTTCAAACATTTTCACGATTATTATATCTGCCATGGTTATTTGTGATCAGTTATCTTTAATTTTACTATTGTAATAGTTTTAGGGTGCCACAAACCATGCCCTATAAAATGACAAACTTAATAGATAAATGTTGCATGTGTTCTGGCTGCTGTACTGACCAGCCGTTTCCCTGTCTCTCTCCCTCTCCTCAGACCTCCCTATTCCCTGTGACACAACAATATTGAAATTGGGTCAACTAACAATGCACAAATGCTTCTAAGTATTCAAGTGAAGGGAAGAGTCACATATCTCTCACTTCAAATCAAAAGCTAGAAATGATTAAGCTTAGTGAGGAAGGTATGTTGAATGCTGAGGTAAGCCAAATACTAGGCCTCTTGCAGCAGATAGCCAAGTTGTAAATTCAAAGTAAAAATTCTTGAAGGAAATTAGAAGTGCTACTCCAGTGAACACATGAATGATAAGAAAGTAAAATGGCTTAATTGCTGATATAAAGTGGTCTGGAAAGGAGATCAAACCAGCCACAACATTCCCTTAAGCCGAAGCCTAATCCAGAGCAAGGCTCTAACTCTTTTCAATTCTGTGAAGGCTAAGACAGGTGATAAAGATGCAGAATAAAAGTTTTAAGCTAGCAGAGGTTGGTTTATGTGGTTTAAGGAAAGAAGTCATCTTCATAACATTAAAGGGCAAGGTGAAGCAGCAAGTGCTAATGTAGAAGATATATCAAGTCATCTGGAAGACCTAACTAAGATAATTGAAGAGGGTAACTACACCAAACAATAGATTTTTCAGTGCAAACAAAACAGCCTTCTATTGGAGGAAGATGCCATTTAAGACTTTCATAGTTAGAGAGGAGAAGTCAATGTCTAGCTTCAAACTTCAAAGGACAAGCTAGCTCTCTTGTTAGAAGCAAATGCAGCTGGTGACTTTAAGTTGAAGCCAGTGCTCATCCACCATTCCAAAACTACTAGGACCCTTACCAATTATACTAAATCTACTCTGTCTGTGCTCTATAATGGGAACAACAAAGTCTGGATAGGAACACATCTGTTTATAGCATTGTTTACTGAATAATTTGAGCCTGCTGTTGAGAACTACTGCTCAGAAAGAAGGTTGCCTTTCAAAATATTAGTGTTCATTGACAATGCACCCAACCACCCAAGAACTCTGATGGAGATGTACAAGGAAATTAATATTGTTTTTATGCCTGTTAACACAACATTCATTCTACAGCTCATGGATCAAGGAGTAACTTTGACTTTCAGGTTTTGTTATTTAAGAAGTAGATATTGGCAGGGCATGGTTGCACATACCTGTAACCCTATCACTTTGGGAGGCTGAGGCAGGAGGATTGCTTGAGGCCAGGAGCTCAAGAGCAGCCTCAGCAACATAGTGAGAACTTCTCTCTAAAAAAATATAAGGACAAACTTTAAAAATCAGCCAGACATGGTGGTGTGAGCCTATAGTCCCAGATACTTGGGAGGCTGAGGCAGGAGGAGCATTTGAGCCCAGAAGTTTGAGGCTGCCGCAAGCCATGATTTTGCCACTGTACTCCAGCATGGGTAATGGAACCAGACCTTATCTCTAAAAAAAAACAAAAAAGAAAGAAATACATTTCATATGGCTATAGCTGCCATAGCTAGTGATTCCTCTGATGAATCTGGGTAAATTTAAAACCTTCTAGAAAGGATTCACTATTCTAGATGCCATTGATAAAATTTGTGATTCATAAGAAGAGGTTGAAATATCAACATTAGCAGGAGTTTGCAAGATGTTAATTCCAACCTTTATGAATGACCTGAGGAGTTCAAAACTTAGAAGTAATTGCAGATGTAGTGGAAATAGCAGCAAGGTAACTAGAATTAGAAGTGAAGCCTGATGTGACTGAGTTGCTTCAATCTCATGATAAAACTTTAGTGGATGAGGACATGCTTCTTATAAATGAGCAAAAAATAAGTTTTCTTGAAATTGACTCCTACTGAAGATGCTATAAATATTGTTGAAATGACAATAAAAAATTTGGAATATTACATAAACTTAGTTGATAATGGAGCAGAGTTTGAAAGGATTGATGCGAACTTTCAAAGAAGTTCTACAGTGGGTGAAATCCTATCAAATAGCATGGCATGCTAAAGAGAAAAATTTTCTGAAGGGAAGAGTCAATCGATGCAGCAAACTTCACTGCTGTCTTATTTTAAAAAGTTGTCGGCCGGGCATGGTGGCTCATGCCTGTAATCCCAACACTTTGGGAGGCCAGCAGCAGGTGGATCACCTGAGGTCGGGAGTTCGAGATCAGCCTGACCAACATGGAGAAACTCCATCTCTACTGAAAATACAAAAAATTAGCCAGGTGTGGTGGCACATGCCTGTAATCCCAGCTACTCTGGAGGCTGAGGCAGGAGAATCGCTTGAACCTGGGAGGCAGAGGTTGTGGTGAGCTGAGATAGCACCATTGCACTCCAGCCTGGGCAACAAGAGTGAAACTCTGTCTCAAAGAAAAAAAAAATTAGAAGTTGTCATAGCCATTCCATCCTTCAGCAACTACTACCTTGATCAGTCAGCAGCCCTCAACATCGAGGCAAGATCCTCCACCAGCAAAAAGATTATATAACTCCTTGAAGGTTGACACGATTGTTAGATTTTTTTTTTTAGCAATAAAGTATTTTTTAATTAAACTGTATCCTGTTACATTAATCTATATTTCCATTTTACACCAGTACTGAAGCAATGTAATTGTCTGGGTTACATGCCTGAGGTTTGTCATCTCACACCAAGAAAATCAAGGATGCAGACACACAAGAAGTGAGTTTAAGAGCAGAGGTTTAATAGAGAGAGAGTTTTAATAGAGAGAAAGAGAAAAGCTCTCTCTCTGCAAGGGGTTCCCAAGTGGATCTTCTGGTCCTGTGATGAAGTGCATGGGATTTTATAGACTGGCTTGAGGAGGTGGTGTCTGATTTACATAGAGCCCAAAGATTGGTTGGACCAGGTGTGATGTTTACATAGCATGTGAAGAAGCTGGCCACCCCACCCTAATCTTTTATTATGCGAATGAGTTTTGTACCTGGCTGGCACCATGTTGTGTGCTTCTTGTACACATTGTTGCAAAAAATTTCCTTTAATTTCCTTTAGTTGACAAAGAAAAGGGAAGATGGGGCCGCCATGTTGAACATGCCCCCATGTAGCCTTCTCCTATGGTCATACCTACAGGCATTCACCCTTGCAGGCTTCCAGCTTGCTTATCAATGTCTGCAGCTTGATTTTACAGGCTGCTTTTTGTTAGAAAAGAAATAATTTGGGGGCCACTTTTTATTAAAAGGGAAACCTTACCAAGGACTTCCTTACCCTCACTATCTGCCTAGATAATTTCTTTTTAACTGTTATATCAGTACCACACTGTTGTAATTATTGTAACTTTATAATAAGCCTTGAAATAATTTAGTGTGTCTTCCTACTTTGTTCTTGTTCAAAGTCATTTTGATTATTCTAGGTCCTTAGCATTTCTATATAAATTTTACAATCAACTTGTCAATTCTGGACAACCAAATTAAATTTATGAAGCCAGAAGATGTGAGATGAAAAGCTGACTCAGCTTCTCATCCTTATTTATGAATGATATTTTTGATGGCCATAGAATTCTAGGTTGGGTGCTTCCTTCCACCCATCCTCACCCAGGACCTTAAAGATGTGAATCCACTATCTTCTGTCTTGCATTACTTAGACAAGAAATTTGCTATCAGTCTTATTTTTGTTCCTCTGTATATAACATATTTTTTCCTCTGACTGATTTTAAGATTTTTCTTGTTGTAACTTATTATTTATTTATTTATTTATTATTTTTTGAGACGGAGTCTCACTTTGTCGCCCAGGCTGGAGTGCAGTGGTGCGATCTTGGCTCACTGCAAGCTCCGCCTCCCGGGTTCACACCATTCTCTGCCTCAGTCTCCCGTGTAGCTGGGACTACAGGCGCCCACCACCATGCCTGGCTAATTTTTTGTATTTTTAGTAGAGATGGGGTTTCACCATGTTAGCCAGGATGGTCTCGATGTCCCGACCTCGTGATCCACCTGCCTTGGCCTCCCAAAGTGCTGGGATTACAGGCGTGATAACTTATTTTAAACAATCTGATTATGAAATGTGTTGATATATATTTTTATGTACAGATGGGTCCCTGACTTATGCTGGATTGACTTATGATTTTTCAGCTTCATGGCAGTGCAAAAGCAATACACATTTAGTTGAAACCATACTTTGAGAACCCAGACAACCATTCTGTTTTTCACTTTCAGTATGGTATTCAATAAATTACATGAGATATTCAATACTTTATTATAAAATAGGCTTTGTGTTAGATGATTTTGCCCACCTGTAAGCTAATGTACATGTTCTGAGCATGTTTAAGTTTGGCTAGGCTAAGCCGTGATGTTCAGTAGATTAGGTGTATTAAGTGCATTTTTTTACTTACAATATTTTCAACTTGGGATGGGTTTATCAAGACATACCCCCACTGTAAGTCAAAGATCATCTGCATATTTCTTGGGCTTGGGGTTTCCTGAGCATCTTGGATCTGTGGATTTATAGTTGTCATCACATTCAGGAAAAATTGGTTATTAGTTTTTCAAATATTTTGTCCATCTCCCTCCACCCAGAGAATTTGATGTTCCACAGATCACTGCTTTTTGTTTTGTTTTTAATCTTTTTTCTCTCTCTGTGCTTCATTTTGTGTATTTCCAATTGTTCTATCTTCAAGTGCGTGTAATCTGTTGTTAATACTATCTAGTATGTTTTCCATCTTATGGTAGTTTTCATCTCTAGAAGCTTAGTTTGGGTCTTTTCTTTTTCCTTCCATGTCTTGCCTTGGCAAGGAATATAATTATAGCTGTTTTGATGCTATTGGCTTTTAACTCAATTATCTGTGTCACTTCTGAGTCTGTTTTAATTGTTAGTGTTTTTCCTCATTATGGGCTACTTTTTCTAATTCTTT
The DNA here is from genome assembly GCF_000001405.40 of Homo sapiens. Lineage (NCBI taxonomy): Eukaryota > Metazoa > Chordata > Mammalia > Primates > Hominidae > Homo > Homo sapiens. The sequence goes on from NC_000010.11 coordinate 116,013,530, forward strand.
ATGTGCTTGGTAATTTGTGAGTGGATGCCAGGCATTGTGCATTTTACAAATGGTTTGGGGCTGAATATTTTGTATCCCAATCACAGCATCCTGGCCCTAACCCTTTATGCCACCCATCATGGCTATAATTCCTTGTTTGAAGGTCATTGTTGTCTCTGATGCTGGAGGCTCCAAAGGAGAAAAACCCAGATATGTCATTTTCCTGCTGATTTCCTAGCAACTAGCAGAGTGCCTGGTCTATTGCAGAGACTCAGGCAAGTATTTGTCAAATGGACAAATAGATGAATAAATCAATACATGGATGAAAATACGTTCAGATGCTTTTGTGTTTTAGTTATTCACTGTTATATAACCAATTACCCCAGAGTATAGCTGTTTAAAACGACAAACATTTTCTTATATTGCACAGTTCTGTGGTTAGACTAGGTTTAACCTGGAAGGTATTTTGATCTTACTTGGGTCTTTCTGCTGGTTGTAGTAAAATAGGGTGGGAGTTGTCTGGAGGCCACCTGAGATGTTGGGATGCCTGGGCCTCTCTCCCTCTCTGTGTGGTCTCAGTGCCTCTCTCTCTGCACAGTCTTTCTGCATGTTCTCTCCAGCTCGGTAGCTGGGCTACGTACATGGAGGCCCAGCTTCTCTGAAGCACACACATTGCAGGAGGAAAGAATCTGAAGACACCAGCCCTATTGAAGGCTAGAAAGGGCTCAGGAGCTTCACCTCCATGCCTTCTGTTGATTAAGCAGTCACAGGGTCCCAGTTCAGGGAGGAAAACTGAACTCCACCTCTCAATGCAGCACCTTAAATGCACCTACTCTGTGAAGAGGTTTTGATGTCAGATGTGCTTTTCTTTTGAAGGACTCGCCTGCCTTAGATTTAACTACAGTCTTGGTGGGAAGGCCAGGCGAACCTCTGGTCTCAGGTCTTACCCTTTCCTGTTGAAGGAATGTCCATAGCAAAGGCTTCAGGTCTAGACATGGAGTTCCAGCTCAACATTCCAAACTGGTGCTGATGTCACCCAGTATTTTAGGTGGAGTGCAGGTTTGCTACAAACCCTGGACAGTGATTAGTTTGCATGCCACCTTTTTGGTTCCATACCAACACTTTTTAGAGTTCCTGGTACTTGCAACTAACTTCTTTCTTTCTTTTTTGACCTTTAAGCTGGCTCATGAACCTGCCTTGAATCTGGAATAGTACTCATGTTTGCCAAAAATGGTCTTGTTTTTCTTGACTACTGCTTGCTTCTTAGATCCTGACATGATTTGGATAGTTGGCCAGCCAATTAAAAACAAACAAACAAAAACAAAGAGATAATATAGGAAGTCTGAGAAAAAAGTCCTTCCCTAGCTCTTTGTGGAATCTTAATTCAGGGAAAAACAAACCACCAACAAAAACCTCAGTACATTTTTCTCTAACACTATAATCACCAAGAGGGCAAAGATAAAAGCCGTGAAGTTCAGTTTTCACGGCACCTCCTACCGCAGGCATTTAAGAACTTGAGACCTGCTTGTCAGAGCTGATGTTAAACAGAAGCTTGACAACCTCCAGGAGTTTAGAGTCTTTGGTTTCATTTCCTCATGGCTGCCCCTGAAGACCACGGTTCCCTTAGACCTGGATGTTATGATGATCTGAGCCTGCTAGCTCTCTCTCTGAGGTCACCAGAAGTTCAACTAAACGGACTTAAAAATCACACATTTCCAAGTTTTAGATTCCACAGAAGATATTCTCAGGAGGAGGCGGACCTTTCATGTTGCATTTCTCTACCTGGGACTTCAGAGTCCATATGTCAGTTATGGAAATGCATGCTTCTTTTCCATTACAAAGAAAAAGCAAGCTGCTTGTTGACATGTGCAGATTTACACACCGTCAGTCAAGCCCTCTTCCCTGGAGACTATGTGATAAATAAATGAGTCTTCTATAAATATATGTTGCAAGCACTCTTGTACCATTCAGAGCCATTATTATAATTCATCAAAGCCAGTATGTAAATGGGACAACCGCATCAAGGAGGGAACAATTGGGAAATAAAGATTTACCCACATGGGCTCCATCCTTGCCTTCAATTTGGTGCTCTTGGTACTTGGACTTTACCTGTGTCCTTGGTAAACATGGCAGCCCCATACCTGGCCACCTTCCCATTTTCTTAACCTTTTTGTCTGGGATACAACACATTGCATACATGTTCTGATATTTTCTGCCAGATAACGCTCTGGGCTATTTTTTAAACCAAGCACTTAAGCTGATAAGAGTCATATTTTTCCCATCTGGATTTCCAACATATTGCCAGAGGTTCTGGGCCATAGATATGTTTTTGAGTAAATAGAATACGAAATCGAGGCAATGGATCATAAGTTTAAGGCAACGAGGCTCTCCCTTCACCATCTAATAACAAAGGTCACTAGACTATGAGAAAGAAACGGAATGGTGAGGGATAGAAAGTTTTAATAATGCAGACCTCAGAAAGATCAGTCAAGCTTTTCTTCCTCCTCCTGGACCTGAGAAGATAAAGTCCTCATCAGAGCACAGGAAATATGCCCATTTCCATCCCACACGGTGTGTGGTTCTGGGGGATTGATCACAGCAGCTCCTGCTCTCATCTGAAAATCCATCAAACTTGCCTCTCCCAGCTTCAGGGCTTGAGTCATTGCCCTGAGGAGGTACGGGGAGGTGTCCATTGATTGACCTTTCTATGCACATTTTGAAAAAACAGGAGATGCTTAATCTTTCCCAGGCAGGCCAAGCTTTCCATCACCTGTGGAACCCTCACTTCCAGGTGTCCTTGTTCTGTTGCTGGGGCAGTGGTGCACAACAGGGAATAAGTACCCACACCTTGACTAGCTGATTACAAAAGAGTCTGTAGGATTAAAGGAAGAGACTAGAAAACTTGGCCAGGCGTGGTGGCTCACGCCTGTAATCCCAGCACTCTGGGAGGCTGAGGCGGGTGGATTGCGAGGTCAGGAGTTCGAGACCAGTCTGGCCAACATGGTGAAACCCTGTCTCTACTGAAAATACAAAAAAAAAATTAGCTGGGTGTGGTGATGGGTGCCTGTAATCCCAGCTACTTGGGAGGCTGAGGGAGGAGAATCGTTTGAACCCGGGAGGCAGAGGTTGCAGTGAGCAGAGATCACGCCACTGCACTCCAGCCTGGGCAACAGAGCGAGACTCCATCTCAAAAAGAAAAAAAAGAGAACTTCCCCCGCTTCCATCTGCACCCATGCCACTGTCTTGGGGATGGTGTGCATTTAGCCTGCCAGGGTGGGCTTGGATTAGGTAAACTCTGGCAGAAGAAGCCAATGAATTCGAAGTGGGGGATTAAAGCAAGGGCTCTTTCCTTCCTGACTAATTCTCTCCGAGCTTTCATGATCACCCCACCTCACAAGCTGGAAATTCTGAACCCCAGCCTTGTTTTCTCAGAAGAAGCTGACAAAAGTTGATATTTTTGAAATTTGTAATAAATTCAGCAATGGTGCCAAGCGATGTTGATGGTGAATTACCTCTTGCAGCGCAGATGCTGCTGTTAGAGAGTTCTGTTGATCAAATAAACAAATCACTTTTTCCTATAATAGTTCCTAGCTCTATGGTGGATTAATTCCACTTGTTTATGCATTCGTTTTTAGAAGCAACAGGCTATAACACAGTGTCTTGGGAAGTTAGCTTCCGTCTTGGGTTTCACTGGCATCTGTGACTCTGGTAAATTTTTGCAAACTTTGTTCCCATCTATCCTATTGCTTCTAAGCTTTATGTGATGTTTTATTTAATATGGCATGCAAGATATTGGTCTTCAGTTCAAATTGCAATTTTACATCAAAACTGATTCTCCTGACAGTTGGACGTGGATGGTCCATTTTTGAAGTATACATGTTACGCTGGTTCTTGAGGGAAAAATGAAAGAGCTCACCTACCCTGAGACTTTTTCCACAACAACAAAAACAAAATTTCCCCAACCAATGTGATGTCATTTACTAGTCTCCTTCAAGTGCTTTAGTGCAATAGGGCTGTGTGAGAATTCTTCAGACATTTCCCAACAAAACAAGCCCATCAGCACTTTAAATCTACATTGGCATGCATCCCTAACATAAGCAAGACTCTGGGGTTACTGAAGTAATTATCTGTGAATTTTTGAGTTTCTCCTTCAGGAGATCGAGGCTCTGCCTGGCCTCCCATCTCTTTGTGAAAAATGCAACTTGATGACGTGCTTTTATAGACCAGTCTTGTTAATGTCAGGCTCACTGGTGCCAAAGCCAGTGAAAGAAAAATTTAAACTTATGTACTATATATCTTCTTAGCTCCATCTAAGCTAAGCCAATGTATTCCAAAGTGGTTGATTATGAAAAATGAGGTTGCAATTTACAGAGCACATTTATAATTGTTCTTAAGATAGGAATGAACACAAACAAGTGAATTCTTTTTTTAAAAATTTATTTTAAGTTCTGGGGCACATGTGCAGGTTTGCTACATAAGTAAATGTGTGTCATGGTGGTTTGCTGCACCTATCAACCTATCACCTAGGTATTAAGTCCTGCATGCATTAGCTATTTTTCCTGATGCTCCCCCACCCCCACAACCCTTCAGACAGGCCTCAGTGTGTGTTGTTTCCCTCCCTGTGTCCACGTGTTCTCATTGTTCAGCTCCCACTTATAAGCGAGAACATGCGGGAAACACACTAATTCTCTATGAAGTACTATAGGGTGGTGTTCAGCTCTTTCTAAGGTATGATCTCAAGTAGCCTTCCATTTTTACCTCCCACTGCCTCCTTATTCGTTGATAATTTATTGCCTGTGTAAACAGGATTCACTGAATATCTGCTATGTGCCCAGCACTGTGCTGTGGGGTAAATAATCCTCCACTCTTTCCCTCCCTTTTTGAATTCTGCCATTCTTGAAGGCCAAGAGACATTTGCACCTCTTATGCCTTCTCAGACGCTCCCAGGCCACAGAGATCTCTCCTGACTCTTCGACATTCCCCTTGCAGCTCATTTGGCTTCATTCTCTCTTGTTCTCCAAGTAATTCTTTCAGGTTTCTGTATCCTGAATCACCCATGGGATTATTACCTCCTTGAAGGCTGGGATTGCTTCTTCGTGTCTCTGCCAGGCCCAGCATCTCAGAGTGGGTTCTCAGTGTGTGTTCCACTAAATGAGTGGTCGTCAGATTCCCACTGCTCCCTCTCCGCTAAACCCAGCTGTTCTTTCCTGATGTTCCTCCAAGCACACCCGTGCTCAGTGGCTTCCCTCACTGTCCCCACTGTCTAGAATACTCTGCTCTCGGTGGTCTGCGTGATTCTTTCCCTTGCTTCCTTCAGGTCTCTACTCAGTCCTCTCATCAGAGAGGACTTCCCTGACCATTTTGTATGAAATAACACCCTTCCAACACACACACTCTGTTTCATTCTTCCCTAATACTAGCCACCGAAGTTCCTATTTGTTTATGGGTATGTCTGCCTCATAGAATATAAGCTCCTATTTGTTTATGGGTATGTCTGCCTCACTAGAATATAAGCTCCTTAACTTACACAGTTGACCTCTTTTGTTCACTGCTTTATTGGAGTGTCCAAAACAGGTCTGGATCATGGGAGGTGCTCATATATTTGCCAAATTAATGAACGAAAAGGCATGCTTTTCAGGGTAGCTTTACCCTTAGTGGGTCCCTCTCAAGGGACTTGTGCAGCGGAGTGGTGGTTGTCAGCATCAACTTCAGAGGCCCAGCTTCAGCTGGACTTGAACTAGCCAGGATAGACAGCATGAGCTGTGGAGTCTGCAACCTCACCCAGGGGCCAGGGCTGGTCTATCTATGTGTCTTTCAGCCAGGTGGACCTCTCCCAGCCTGTTTTTTTCACCTGTAAAATGAGAATCTTCACTGTCCAAAAGAAGACATAGCAGAGTTGCAAACACTGTGCCTGGCACACAGTAAGTGCCCAGTCACCGTTAGTCATTCCTGAAGTGGATGGGATGGCTCTGGTAAGCTCTCAGCGTGCAGTGTACACAGGGGGTTAGTGATAGCTCTTTGAATATTCTAGTTCGTGACTTGGAGAATGTGGATGCCCATGGTTTTTGTTGTTCTGAAACTCCAGTGTGAATGGGATGGGAGATTTTAATGACTGGTCTATAGGGTGTCAGTCAGGATTAGAGACATGAATGTGGCTATGCCCTTCACTCGGGCCTACCCTATAGCTGATTGTGCCCCAAATCCCAGTTGGAGTTGGAGATGGTGGTTCTGGGTTTGCCATTAGTTGGTGCTGGCCTAATATGGAGATAATAGAAGAGAAAGAAAAAATGACAGTGTCAAAAGCTGCTTGGTTGAATTTTTGAGTGGTTTCATTTTGGGGATGTCCCTGTTAGGTTGTTTAACTACACAGTTTTCTTTTTTCAAGTGTTAAGTGTTCTTTTCTTGCCTTTGTTCAGACGTGAAGAAGGAGCTGGCACTTCCAGTGTTTGATGGTTTTCTGTCTTGTTCCCATGCTAGGTACACATGTGTCTCTTGCAACCTAACTTAACAGGGTTTATTGGAACCAGAAAACACACTCAGGGTCTTTGACCTAGCAGCTTCCCCACATGCACGTCAGAAATTTGGCATTAAGTAGCATCAGCACAAAAGCAGAAGAAACTCCACACCCGCACCCTGCCCATCTCAAATAATGTGTGTCTCTCTTCACACAGTGCATATTTTTCTCATTTTCTGAGTTTAGCATTTGATTAATTCTCATAATAACCCTAAAAGGGATTGGAGTTCTTTTGCTTTTGCCTATCATTATGATGCCTAAAAGTAATTCTCCTTCAGTGATCCCAAATATTCTTCAAAGACGAATTTGACCTTGAGAAGAGGAGTTGTTCTCATAGGCAATTTGACAGTAGATTTGAAAAATCACCTCTGTGCATCCTAACAGGTGCTCTCTTTGGGAAAAACCAAGGAAGGCTGAGAAATGATGAGTAGACTGTCTTCAATCATGTTTTCTCATAAGGCATATCTGATCTTGAATTGGTGGAGCCTGGGAAAGAAAATCAAGTTTGAAAAAAGAGAAGGCTAAAAGTGGTTCATTTCTCTGATCAAGTTGAGACGTAGTGATCAGACTTTTTTCTGCTGGCTATCACCAAACATTACATTTCTTTCCTACCAGAAATTTAAGGAAAAATGAAAGAAAACAATTACCTATCAATTTCTTGCAAGCATCTCACTTTATAATGACAACAACTTTACTCTTTTCTCAAAAATAGATGGCAAGCTAGGGCCACAACCTTCAGGAGAGGGAGCAAGCAATTGGGTGAAGAGGTGATATTACAGCAACCTCCATGTTCCTGGCTCAGTCTCTCTGGACTTGTTCTTTGTTGTGACTCTTCATAGTCCAGAGCGTTCGGTGATGGGAGTGCATTGAGTGATAGAAAGTTTGAGGCAGTATAATATTTGTAACAGTTAAGAGGTCAGCCTCTGGACCTGGGCCCAAATCTAGGTTCTTCTTGTGCTAGCTGTTAGTTCTTCACATCTCAGTTGCTTCATTTATAAAATGGGGATAATAATTCATCCCCCAGGAGTGTTAGAGACTGAAATGGGATAATTTGGGTCAAGATCTTGGAACAGCACCTGACCATGGACAATGCAGATGTTGTTGTGTTGGTTGTTGCAGATCCCAGTGGTTTCTCTAATTCCAAGTCTTTGGATCTGAGAGAACAGGTGTATTTGTCCATTTTCACACTATGAATAAAGACACATCCAAGACTGGGTAATTTATAAAGAAAAAGAGGTTTAATGGACTGACAGTTCCATGTGACTGGGAGGCCTCACAATCATGGTGGAAAGCAAAAGGCACATCTTACATGGCGGCAGGCAAGAGAGAATGAAAGACGAACAAAAGGAGAAACCCCTTATAAAACCATCAGATCTCATGAGACTTACTACCATGAGAACAGTATGGGGGAAACTGCCCCCATGATTCGTTTATCTCCCACCAGGTCCCTCCCACAACACATGGGAATTATGGGAGCTACATTTCAAGATGAGATTTGGATGGGGACCATATCACCCAAACCATATCAGCAGGATTCTTAAAAGCAGGGCTTGGGAGACTTTTAAGGCGTAGAATTCAGAGATGTGCACATTGTTTAGCTTCTACCTTTCTTATTTCTGTGCCAAAACGGAAGGCTGGATTGTAATTTTGAGGACCACATGTGGAGAACCCTGGAAACATGAACTCGTGTTGTTTTTAAACCCACTAGAGAGCATTGCTGTATCTGAATTCAATTTTAGTGCTGGACATATGCAGTCAAAACCCCCTGCCCTCATTCTGGACCTTTCTTCCAGTGAAAAGAGTCAGGGTTTCTGTCTTTTCTGTGTAGGTGGAGATAAAATTTCACAGCCTGGTTTCCAAACCTCAGTCATTTTCAAACCATGTTCATGTGTCCTGCCATGTCAGAGCAATGCCTGCACTATAATTTACAGTTGACTTCTGAACAACGTGGGTTTCAACTGCACAGGTCCACTTATGCATGGATTTTTTTTCAAATACAATAATCAGGCAAGGCAAAATCCATATATACTGAAGGCCAACTTTTGCATATGCGGGCTCCACAGGGCTGACTGCAGGACTTGAGTACGCACAGATTTGGGTATTCATGTGGGACCTGGAACCAATACCCCACGTATACCAAGGGCAACTGTACTTATTGTTATTCTTTCCATGTACCTAAATACACTGACTTCTGTTACTTTGCTTCATTCTAAGTAATCCTACCTCTGAAATTACATTTGGATGTGCTAATAATATTTTGAATAATACACAAGAAAGTAACTACATAGTGATTAAAATAAATTACACATCTATCTCACCTAAAATGAACTTGCCTGCCACCTTTAGGATACAAAGCACCCTTTGGGGGATCACAGCCCTATGTCTGGTGGGAGATTGAATTTCTTTAGAAGGATTGATCTATTTGAGGCAGAACCATGACCAAACACCCTTACAAAACCACAGCCCTGAGCTTTTTACTTCTCCTATACTGTCAACCCAGCCTAGGACTCCAGAAGGACAGACTCGGAGGGGCCATTTTCCATCAGTGATAAGAGACTGTGTCTCAGACAGCTGTCACTGAACAATTAATCTCCAAAATGAGAGCTCCATTACCAAACATGTGTTCTCACGAGCAAGGCCCTATTCTCATCATTCAGAGATGCTATTAGACACAAATAATATATATTTTTTCCATTCATAATTATCTCATCTTAATGCAGTCTTGATGATTATGATGTATGCTGGAACTATTGACTCCTCACTGTTGGAATTGTTAACATCTTGTGAAAATATGCACAAAATCATTCTTTCCAAGCTGACTTTTGCTGTTAAAATTAGAAAGACTAATATGAGTTTGAACAGCATGAATAGGAAAAGTAGATGATCAATTCTTGTGCTTGGAAATGCAATTGCCTCCCTGGAACCAGGGTTTCTTGCTTTCGCATCTTCTATCTTCCGGTGCTTATTATAATAAAGACAATAAAGTAGAATGGAAAGGGGGTGAGGCTGAGAGAAAATAATGGAATCTTTTGGTATATAATGATTTTTATTTTAATATTTTTCTGTTTGTATTAGCAAATAGATTTAGTTATTAGAGAGTTGACAAAAATTAAATGCATTCAGTTTTTCAAGGGGTTTTGTAGTGAATTTTTGATTCTAATATCTCTTGATTTTGTGCTCATTCTGAGGATAGAAAAAGCATTGAAAATTAAAAGGAAAATCCGGACAGTATACATATTTTTTTAAAAATTGTCACTAAAGTTAATCACATGTCAGTTGAAATGATGAAGACCAAACCCTTTTGTTCAGATCTGAAACATGGCAATTGTGCCTTTCCAGAGGCCAACGAATCCTTTGATTTTTAATAACAATTAGGTTGTCTGTTTTATCAATCATAACTGGATGAAAAATACTTTCTTGCCCCATTAGGAAAATAACCAATTTCTGTTCTTTCCCTCAACTCTTTGAGATTCTCACTGGTTTCCTGCTCAGAATTAGTTTTCTTTCTGCCACTGTTCCATGGGCATTTTGTTCCCATGGAACCATTAGGAGAATGGGTCGGTTATTCACAGAAGCTGCAGATACCTGTGTTTCTGGCTCTTCACTTAGGCAACATTTTGTGATCCACAAGTCCCAGAACTGGGGTTCAAAAGCCACTCCCCAGCCTCTCCCCTGCCACCATAGTGACTCAGGTCATTTCTCCATGACCCACAGCACTTCTCCATGACCCTAAGAAGACCTTCCCTTATAAGGATGTCATCAGTCCTACTGGGGTCCCATGGTTTGTAGCAGAGCACCTCGTTGTGAGGGCCTATTGGATCTAGCATCTGGAGATTGAAAGTCTGCCTTGGCAAACCCCCACAACTTGTTTTGAAATGTCTACATGTTCCTTGTTTTTAATTGTAAGCAAAGATTTGATACAGATCAGCAAAGAGCTGTCTGTCCTCCTTCCTCAAAGGGGTATTTTAAAACTTAAGTATTTTACTCATACCCAACATTAATGAAAACTGGAAGGTTATGGGAAGGGAAGACATTCCCATATGCACATTTTATAAAAAGTTAATGTCATCCCAAATCAGACCACACAGACAGAAAAATGCCTCCTGTACTAAATGAGGGGTGGAGGAGACACTTCTAATTAAAGTTTCAGTACTCCATCCAGATCTGTGTTAAGGATTTGATTACTTTTTTTAACACTTGGTTTCACAATGGGTGTTTTGTAAAGATAACATAATACCAGCATCTCCTTCAATATTTATTTCCACAAGGTCTAGGTTCAAGGGCCTGGAGCTCTTTATGAGAAAGGAGCTACCAAAATCCCAGCTACAATCATTCTCTAAGGATGACTTTTTAAATTGTACGTAAGAGGATATGATCTAAATTGCACATACTGTCTTAAGGAAACATGTTTTCCAGCTTAGGATACCTGATTACAAACATCTGTAAAACTGCACAATTTTTTTAAAAAAGAAAACATACTTTTAAGGTTAAAACAACCTGATTATAAACACCTGTTTCTGTGTTTCATCAGAAATCTCCAGGAGTTCAGGATTTTAGGGAGTTAGAGAAGTGAAGCTTTGGAACATTCTTGAGCAAGGCTTGCTCTGAGGTTGGAGCGTAAGCCTTCTTTGCTTAAGTACTTCCCTTGCTGGGGTATTGATCAGAAACTGCAAACATGGTTTTATTTGATGTCCTGACTGTTCCAATGAATTACCTGTATTTCAAATAGATAAGCTAGAAGATGAGTTTCTAAATATGCAGAACAACAAAGCAGGAAGTCCATATGGCAGAGAATAAATACACACACACTTCTGAAAACTTAAAAGGCTGTCATCCGCTAAGCCTGCCTGTAATAGCCACTCTCAAAGATAATTGCCACCCCTGTGTCCTTGATGAAAAGTGCATCATGCTGCCCAAGAAATTGGCTTAAACTGCAACAAGAAAGATTGAGATTAGCTGAAGCAGAACTTCCTGCCTGAGCAACTCTTGGTGGTGAGGGTGAGGGGCTGGGGGTGCACTCTGAACTGGGCCTCTGTGTCTTCAGATTTTCATCCCTTCTTCTTCTCTTTGGGCCTTGAACTTCTCCCTGAGCTATAGAGTAGATGGGTGGTTACTGTCTCCAGCATAATTGGACATGTGGGAAAATGAATTTGAAGGAGCTTGGCTTGCTTCCTCACTTCCTATTTGTGCAACTGCGATGGATTCTGAAGGAGTGACTGAGACCTTCTCCATGATGCTGGGCACTGGTCTGGGTACTGTGTGTCTGCCCTCAACATCTGGCCAAGGGGCCAAGCCATGGGCAGCAACAGCAACCTCACCCCCAAGGCAGAGCTGCAGGAAAGCATAGAGAAGGGGAAGGGCAGGTGGTGGGAACCAGCCAGGAAGAGATTTCACCCGCAGAGTAGGACATCTTCAAAGACAGTTAGGCAGAGGACCAAGGAGTACCTGGAGCAAAGGGATGGGTGAGTGAATAACCAGACTGCAGTTTAGAAGTTCCCAGTCCATGTTTGCAGGATGGAGGTCAGGAGACAGGAAGAGTCAATGAGGGAAGCCGCCCACGTAGGAAGACTTACATCCTGAGCATGGCGGGGCATGCAGCCATATGCGGGCCTAGGGAGACTGGGTTTACTAGGGAAACCAGCAATTTGCATTCTCAGGTCAAAACTTTGGACTCTTCAGTGTTTTCTCAAATCTCTTGAAACTCTGTAGTCAAGAACATCTCGGCCACCCGTGGCCAGTTCTCTACACAGCTAATGTGCTATGAAACCTATTTCATTTCATTTCTTTTCTTTTTTAGAGAGGCAGGGTCTTGCTCTGTTGCCCAGGTTGGAGTGCAGTGGCATGATCATAGCTCACTGCAGCCTTGAACTACTGGACTCAAGCAATCCTCTCACCTCAGCCTCCTGAGTAGCTGAGACTACAGGCACACACCAACACATCTGGCTAATTTTAAAAATTTTTTGTAGAAATTGGGTCTCACTATATTGCCCAGGCTGGTCTTGAACTCCTGGTCTCAAGCGATACTCTCGCCTTGGCCCCCAGCGATACTCTCACCTTGGCCTCCCAAAGCACTGGAATTCCAGGTATGAGCCACTGCACCCAGCCCCTGTAAACCTGTTCTGGGATCCCTTAAATATGGGGCAAGTGCTGCTGACTTTGGTTGATGCTTCAGAGTCCAGGTCTATGAAGTGGCTTCAGACCCTAGAGCACTTTCTTCTGACCCTGGAGCACTATGATTGTCTCTGGCAGCTCACAGAGGGCTGAGAGGAGTGTCTGGGGGAGGGAGAGAAGTCCAGCACCCAAATTTGGAGGTCTAGAGCAGTTACAGAGGCCTGGCCTTCTCACCTGAGCCACCTGGGTTTCTCATGCTGAGTGTTCCTTGGTGCCAGCCCAGGTCTTCCAGGGTGAGGGTAGCCAGGGCAGCCACAGGATTTACCCCTCCCCAGCCCAGGCAGGGAATGCAGATGGAGTCTGGGCAGTCTCTGGCCAGCAGGTGTCAGGATTCATGGTGCCATACCTCCCTCTGTCTCTGTGTGGGGCTGGGTGCTGTTTGGGCATCCCTGGCAAATGCCCTTGAGCTGCTTAATTTGCACGCCTGCTTCAGAGACCACAATATTAGAATTATCAGCACTCCTTTCTATGGATTCTGGGTTATTTTGGCTATTTGGGGTAATAATTCTCATTATGCTTTGTGGTCTTTTTTAATAAAAATGACATTCCCCTTATCTTTAAAGGTTGAAATCTCAGCCTAATGTATGAGCTGCACTATCCTTGGAGAGTTATAAAAATTACATTATATAACCTCACATTTCCCGTTAATGAACATGGTGATGCTTCGGCCCAATGAGAGGGAGACAAGCGATAGGGATTTATGCTTTAATAATCCTGCTTAGATTGGTGTGTGTGGCCATGGGCAGCGGGCCCCCAACGGGTACAGCAGGCACTGCGGCTTTCCTGGCCAGCAGGGCAATATTTTTTATGGCAGTAAATCTCTCTTGGGTGAGCATGTCTTACACTGCACCAGAGAATGGCTGTGGCAGTGGCTTAGTGTATGAAATTGCTCTGAATGTAGGACTATTTGTATCACCTAAGAGAATACCACCTGGTACTGATATTCTTTGGGTCCTGATGTATAGATGCTGCTCTGGACACCTACTGATGCCAGGCATGATGCTGGTTGCCACGCATGCATTATTTTTCCATTTATTCCTCATGGTCTGCCAGTGAGGTGGGCACTGTCAGTGTCCCCATTTTACACTATGACCTTCCTGAGGGTAGGGGCCATGTCTCCATTTCAATATCCCCAGTGCCTGGGGCAGTTCACAGTAAGGGGTTCATTGTTGTTGCTTCGTAATCAGTAAGTGACCTGTATTGGTTAATTTCATGTGTCAGCTTGTCTGGGCCACAGTGCCCAGATGTTTGGTCAAACACTAATCTAGATGTCTCTGTGAAGGTGTTGTTTGGATGATACTAATTTAATTGGTGGCCTTTGAGTAAAGCAGATTACTCTCCATAATGTGGGTGGGCCTCGTCTAATCAGTTGAAGTACTTAATAGAATAAGACTGACTTCTTCAAGCCAAAATTAACGTATAAGCAGATGGCCTTTGGACTGAAATTGAAACTCTTCCCTAGGACTCTGGCCTGCTGGCCTACTCTGCAGATTTTAAACTTGCAAAGCCTCCAAAATCACATGTGCTCTGTGTGTGTGTGCGTGTGTGTGCGCGCATGTGTGTAAACAACACAAATGTCCATCAACTGATGAAGGGATAAGTAAAACGTGGTATATCCACATGTGGTACATCCAACTATTCTTTAGCAATAAAGATGGTCGCAGTACTGATCCATGCTATAATATGGATGCATCTTTGAAAACATGCTAAGTGAAAGAAGCAAAACAGAAAGGACACATATTATATTACTCATTTATGTGAAGTGTCCAGAAGAGGAAAATCTGTAGAGACAGAACGTAGATTAGTGACTACCAAGGCCTGAAAGAAAATTGGAAGGAGGTGTTTGAACAAAAAGAGTAGTTTTATTTTGGGGGTGCACCAGGGGATGGCTGTGGCAGTGGCTTAGCACATGAAATTGCTCTGAATGTAAGACTATTTGTATCATCTAGACAAACACCACCTGGTACTGATATTCTCTGGGTCTTGATGTGTAGATGCAAGCACCAGGTGGGATTTGTCAGGTGTTCTGGGAAGCCCTGATGAGTAGGGGGCAGGCCAGGCCAGGCTCCTCATTTGTCCCCAGACAATGGCAGCTGGGGATGGGGCATGGAGGGGGCTTAGCCAACCTTCATGGGTACCAGCTTCAGCTTCCCAGTTCTTCCGATCCCCCTGTGGACAGCAGGCCCACAGGACTTCACACCTCTCCTTTATAACTCTGCCCACTCCCAGACACCAAGAAACCCACATCAACAAAATTAACCCAATATTCACCCATCCAGTGTAGTCAGACAGACTGGATTAGAATCTTGGCCCAACCAAAGATTGGCTCTAAAATTAGTTATGGTGATGGTTGCACAACGGTGAATCTACTAAAAACTATTGAATCATAAACTTTAAATGGATGAATGGCATAATATATCTCTTTGTACATACTATATGTAAATTATGCCCCAATAAACCTGTTAAAAAAAGTTTCTCAGGTGATTCTCTTGTGGCCTGGATTAGATAAACACTTGCTACTCAAAGGGTGGTCCACAGAGCTGCAGTACTGGCCTCACAGGGGAGTCTGTTAGAAATGCAGGTTCTCTGGCACTGCCCCAGACCTACTGGATCAGCCGCTGCATTTTAACAAGAGCTCCAGGTGCTTCCTGAGCACATTCACGTTTGAGAACCAGCTTCTCTAACAGACCCCCACCAGGCCTCTGGAATTTTCTGTTGCCTCTGTCTGCCCTAAGAGCCTCATCCTCAGCAGCTGAATCTTCTGGATGTTTTGGGAAGCTTCCTCCCTCTTGGATGCTTCTCCAAGAGGAAGGAAGTCCGGCTTGGACCTGCTTCCGTGACTATAATGTGCAGGAAACTTTATATTATACTTGGGCAACTTTAATTTGTAGAGATGATGCTTCCGCGAGTTTTCAACTCTTGGGGGATGACCAGTGAGAGGGCAGGGGAGAGACAGAGATGGCCTCATAGAAAGGCTCCATCTGCTCTTTGTGCTCCAGGAATTAGGGGAGCCCCTTACCTGGTCACCATTCTGGGGTTTTCTGAATTAGGGGAGCCCCTTGCCTGGTCACCATTCTGGGGTTTTATGACGGTAAGGTGCTCTTGTCTGCTTTGTAAATCATTAATTCATTCTGTTGAGTTCTTCAGGAGTAGGAACCACCTCTGATGCACTGGCCCTCTGCAGATGTTCATGACTGTTTGAATGATGACAGTGACAAAGATACTTACTACGGGTGGGTTTACTCCGTGCCGGACCCTGTGCTGAGTATGTCACCTCCTCACCACAGCCCCAGAAGGTGGAGGGACTGCCATCTTCCAAGTCCTTTGGTGGATAAGGGAAACGGAACCTGAGAAGTAACCTGCCCAGTGTCACTCAGTTAATATCTGGTTGGGTCAAGATTCTAATCCAGTCTGTCTGACTCCAGGATGGGTGAATATTGCGTTAATTTTGTTGATGTGGATTTCTTGGTGTCTAGGAATAAGCAGAGTTATAAAGGAGAGAAGTGAAGCCCTAGAGGGCTTGCTGTCCACAGGAGGATTTGGGAGAACTGGGAAGTTGAGGCTGGTACCCGTGAAGGTTGGCTAAGCCCACCCTCTATCCCCCATCCCGAGCTGCCATTGTCTGGGGACAAACGAGAAGCCTGGCCTGTCCTTCCCCCTGCTCCTCAGGGCTTCCCAGAACTCCTGACAGACCCCACCTGCTGTTTGCATTAGATCATAAACATGTTGCAAGTTCCATTTCTTCTTTGCAGTCCTTTCTGTTGGAATGCTGTGTCTTGATAAGAGAAGCCAGGGCCAACAGATGGCTCTTCAGAAGAGCACCTGCACAGGGCAGACCTCCTTCTTTGATCTTGCTGATTGTTAGTAGCACTTTTCCATTCCACTAGTTTCAGGAAAAGCACCCTTGAATGAGTGACTGGTGGTGTCCCTGGCCCCTGGATCTCTGCAGCCTCCACTTAGCATATCCAGCGGGTCCTCCACCCAGGGTTGGAGCGGGGGAGGTTAATCTGATATGAGTCTGCCTGCGGCACATCTGGAAAGTAGGAGTTGCTTCAGTCTTTGCCCGTCCATCCGCTTCTGGCCTCCCATCTATTTCCTGAAGATTCCAGACCAGCATGAGTGCTGTTCTTGTGCACCTTGGAGAGGCTCTCAGATCCTTGCAGTCCATCCATTTGGAAGAAAAGTGATCCCAGACCCTGGGATTTTTCCCTCCTAATGCTTCCCATTGCACCTCACATTGCAGGGGCTGGGTCCTCAGCCTCCCATAGGGCCTCAGCCTGTGCCTCACTTCCTGTTCTGTTCCTGCATATGCCCACTTCCAAACCTTGCTCCTCGCCAGTGGGTTCAAATAAATGTTGCTGTATTACAAACCATACCCTACATGATTGCAGATTACCAATTAGCAGTTGGTAATTTAGGCTGGTCTCAACTGGATACTTCTTGTGGTGTTGGGTGGGCTCACTCATGCAGTCAGCTGATAGGCCAGCTGGGGTCTTGCTGGTCTAGAATGGCCACAGCCGGAACAACTGAGCTCTACTCTACATGATCTCTCATCCCCCATCAGGCCAGCTGACCGTGTTTGTGGGGCAGTTGGCAGGGATCCAGGAGAGTGCTGAGGTGTTTGAGGCCACTGGAATCCTGGGCTCAGAACTTTGAGCCATGGAGCTCTATTGGCTAACATGCGTCACAAGACCAGCTCTTGTGAAGAAGTAGATGCCATTTCTTGATGAAGGAGCTACAAAATCACTTTACAAAGGACATACATGGGAGACATGGCAAACTGGGGCCATGTTTGCAATTAATCTACCCCACTAAACCATAGGCTGAGGCTGCCCTAGCCTTTAAAGCTCAGAACTGATACAACCTTTCGGACCGCTGCCTGCCCCCTAAAGACTGAATTTTATAATTACTCTCTGGCTCAGTTCACCTTAAGATGCCACTAACTGTGCCAGGGGTCCCTTGCCCACACTCTTCCTGGGCCTCCTTGAGTGACATGGTCCTTGAAAAACAAAAATAAGTAAATCTGGCCTGGGCACGGTGGCTCACGCCTGTAATCCCAGCACTTTGGGAGGCTAAAGTAGGTGAATCCCTTGGCGTCAGGAGTTCGAGACCAGCCTGGCCAATGTGGTGAAACCCGATCTCTATGAAAAATACAAAAATTAGCTGGGTATGGTGGTGCGTGCCTGTAATCCCCACTACTCTGGAGGCTGAGACAGGAGAATTGCTTCAATCCCAGAGGCAGAGGTTGCAGTGAGCTGAGATTGTACCACTGCACTCCAGCCTGGGTGACAGAGCGAGACTCCATCTCAAAAAAGAAAAGAAAGAAAGAGAAAAAGAAGTAAACCTGAATAGGTAACAATTTAATATGTTAGTCTTTAGGAACATTGCTAAGAGTAAAAAAACAAACCCTAGGCAGAGGAATCTGAAAACACAATCTTACATAGTAAAATTGCAGGCACTGTAAAGAAGTGAAAAACATGGGCCCCAGAGTTAGTGTGTCTAGGTTTAGATCTTACATTTCTTATATTCACCACTTCTTAGCTATGGGCATGTTATTTTTCCTCTTTGTGCCTCAATTTCCTCATGCATAAATGGGATAAGAATGATATCTAGCTCTTAGAGTTGTTTTGAGGATTGCATGAGTTGATATTTACAAATCTCCTAAGATAGTATGGAGCACGTAGCATGTGTTCAAATGTGAGCTATGGTGAGGCTCAGGTTGGAAAGTTATTAGGGAAGGTCTGTCTGTGTAGGGGGAGGCAGTTTCCCCAGGAATCCTCAAATCTAACCTGGCATTGCATTCATTTGGTAATTATTTCAACTAGCCACAATGAGGAATACACTGGTGAAGAACCAGACCTGCCCAATGGGACCTTTACTTACAG
Organism: Homo sapiens; assembly: GCF_000001405.40. Classification (NCBI taxonomy): domain Eukaryota; kingdom Metazoa; phylum Chordata; class Mammalia; order Primates; family Hominidae; genus Homo; species Homo sapiens. The sequence continues at coordinate 116,032,079 of NC_000010.11, forward strand.
GAAGGTCAGACGCCTCCTGAAGTATACCCAATGTGGGCATCCCCTCTATGCAACGCCTGAAGACAGTGCACTGAGAACAGGTGAAGGAGACTTATGGCTCTCCAGCTAGTCATCTGCTGGCAGTTCATCCCTGTGGACTGTGTGGCTCTGTTCTGGGTCTGCTGCCACATCCCTCATTATACACATTCACTCATTTAAAGTGTATAATTCAGTGACTTTTAGTGTGTTCACAAAGTTGTTCAACCACCATCACAATCACTTGTAGAATATTTTGTTATCTCCCAAAAGAAATTCTGTACCCATTAGCAATCACTCCTCATTTCTTCAGAGATTATACTTAACCACTATACTTCAATATACAGTATCTGAAAGGTGGCTCGTAACTCACTCAGGATGGTTGAGTCCCAGGATAAAAATGGGGAGTGATGGGAGATAATGTTGGTGAGGTCAGCAAAGGTCAGATTCCGAAGAGATTTGAATGACCTGGGAGTTTGGATTTTATCCTAAAAGCACTGAGGAGACACAGAAAGGCTTTAAACAGAGAAGTAACTCCATAATATTTTTTTTTTTTTGAGACGGAGTCTCGCTCTGTTGCCCAGGCTGGAGTGCAGTGGCGGGATCTCGGCTCACTGCAAGCTCCGCCTCCCGGGTTCACGCCATTCTCCTGCCTCAGCCTCCCAAGTAGCTGGGACTACAGGCGCCCGCCACTACGCCCGGCTAATTTTTTGTATTTTTAGTAGAGACGGGGTTTCACTGTTTTAGCCGAGATGGTCTCGATCTCCTGACCTCATGATCCGCCCGCCTCGGCCTCCCAAAGTGCTGGGATTACAGGCGTGAGCCACTGCGCCCGGCCTCATAATATTTTATTAATTTTCACTCTAATCTTTATTGTTTCTTTCCTCTTGTTTGCTAGCAGTTTATTTGGCTCTTTTTCTAGTGTCTTAGGGTGGTTAGTTAGATAACTGATTTGAAGTCTTTCTCCTTTTTTTAATATAGGCTTTTTACAGCTATAAATTTTCCTCTAAGTACTGATTTAGCTGCATCCCATAAATTTCAGTATGTTGTGTTTCCATTTTCATTCATTTCAAAGTATTTTCAAATTTCTTTTGTGATTTATTTCTTTGATCAATTGGTTGTTTAGGAGTTTGTGGTTTGATTTATGCATACTTTTGAATTTCCTGAATTTATTTTTATCATTGCTTTTAAATTTCATTCCATTGTGGTCAGAGAACTTACTTTGTGTGATTGCAATCATTTTAAATTAATTGAGGTTTGTTTTGTATCAGGGCTTGTGATCTATCCTGAAGAATGTTCTTATGTGCATTTGTGAAAAAAATGTATGTTCTGCTATTTTTGGGTAGAATATTCTACAGATGCCTTTTATATCTAGTTTATTTATAGTGTTGTTCAAATCTTCTGTTTCCTCACTGATACCGTGCCTAGATGTTATCCATTATTGAAAATGGGGTAGTAAAGTCTCCAGCTATTGTTGTTGAACTGTCTTTTCTCCCCTCATTATTGTCAATTTTTGCTTCAGGTATTTTGGTGTTTTGTTGTCAAGTGCATATGTATTTATAATTCTTATATCTTCCTGATGGATTGACTTTTTTACATTATAAAATGCCCCTCTTTATTACTAGTAACTTTTTTTTGTCTTAAATTCTACTTTGCCTGCTACGTAGTCTAGCAACTCCAGCTTTCCTGGAATTGTTGTTTGCATGATATATTTTTTTGCCATCCTTTAACTTTCCATCTCTGTGTCTTTGAACCTAAAATGTGTCTTCTGTAGATAGACAGCAAATAGATCTTGTTTGTTTTATCCAGTCTGACAACCTCTGCCTTTTGATTAGATTGTTTTGTCTATTTTCATTTAATGTTACTGTTGATATAATAGGATATATGTCTGCCATTTAGATTTCTGTTCCTATATGTCTTATGCCTTTTTTATTCCCTGTTCCACATTTCTGATTTCTTTTTCATTAAGTGAATATTTTCTAGTGTATAATCTTAACTCTTTTTATGATTTATTTTACCATATTTCAAAGGTTATTTTATTAGCAGTTGTTCCAGGTCTTGCAATATACATCTTTTTATAATCTATGTCATAATTATACTAACTAAATTCCAATGAGATACACAAATGTTGCTCCTAGATAGCTCTATTCATTCCTCTGCTTTTTTGTACTATTATTATTATGCATATTATGTCTATCTATGTTACAAACCCAGCAATATACTGTAATAATTTTATAATTTTATAATGTGTCCTTAAAAATAAGAGTGGAACACAAATATATATTTACAGAGTTGGTTATATTAACCTTCTTACTTACTGTTTCTGGTTCTCTTTCTTTTTTCCTGTGGATTTGACTAACTGCTGTCATTTTCTTACTCTGATGCGGCTTTGTTTCCACCCGCTTCTTTGAGCTGTTATTGTCAAATATTTTGTATTTCTTTATGTTGTAGCCCCAACAATGCAATTATGTACATGTTTTATACAAGTACATTTTATGTTAGTCAATAATAGAATGGAGAAAGTATATACAATTATACTGTCTTTTATAATTACATACATAATCACCTTTATTGACACTCTTTATTTTTTTCACATAGATTCTAATTACCATCTGAGGTCACTCGCTCTCAGCAAAGTTGAAGAACTAACTTCAGCATTTCTTACAAGGCAGTTCTGCTAGCAACAAATTATCTCCATTTTTATCTAGGAATGCATTTCACCTTCATTTTTGCTAGATAATTTTGCTAAACATAAAATCTTTGGTTGACAATTAAAAATTTTTTTCAGCCTATTTTTTAAATTATACTTTAAGTTCTAGGGTACATGTGCACAATGTGCAGGTTTGTTTCATATGTATACATGTGCCATGTTGGTGTGCTGCACCCACTAACTCGTCATTTATATTAGGTATACCTCCTAATGCTATCCCTCCCCGCTCCCCCCACCCTACAACAGGCCCTGGTGTGTGATGTCCCCCTTCCTGTGTCCAAGTGTTCCCATTGTTCAATTCCCACCTATGAGTGAGAACATGCGATGTTTGGTTTTTTTGTCCTTGCAATAGTTTGCTGAGAATGATGGTTTCCAGCTTCATCCATGTCCCCAAAAAGGACATGAACTCATCATTTTTTATGGCTGTGTAGTATTCCATGGTGTATATGTGCCACATTTTCTTAATCCAATCTATCATTGTTGGACATTTGGGTTGGTTCCAGGTCTTTGCTACTGTGAATAGTGCCGCAATAAACATATGTGTGCGTGTGTCTTTATAGCAGCATGATTTATAATCCTTTGGGTATATACCCAGTAAAGGGATGGCTGGGTCAAATGGTATTTCTGGTTCTAGATCCCTGAGGAATTGCCATACTGTATTCCACAATGGTTGAACCACTTTACAGTCCCACCAACAGTGTAAAAGTGTTCCTATTTCTCCACATCCTCTCCAGCACCTGTTGTTTCCTGACTTTTTAATGATTGCCATTCTAACTGGTGTGAGATGGTATCTCATTGTGGTTTTGATTTGCATTTCTCTGATGGCCAGTGATGATGAGCATTTTTTCATGTGTCTGTTGGCTGTATAAGTGTCTTCTTTTGGGAAGTTTCTGTTCATATCCTTTGCCCACTTGTTGATGGGGTTGTTTGTTTTTTTCTTGTAAATTTGTTTGAGTTCTTTGTAGATTCTGGATATTAGCCCTTTGTCAGATGGATAGATTGCAGAAATTTTCTCCAGTTCTGTAGGTTGCCTTTTCAGTCTGATGGTAGTTTCTTTTGCTGTGCAGAAGCTCTTTAGTTTAATTATATCCCATTTGTCAATTTTGGCTTTTGTTGCCATTGCTTTTGGTGTTTGAGACATGAAGTCCTTGCCCATGCCTATGTCCTGAATGGTATTGCCTAGGTTTTTTTCTAGGGTTTTTATGGTTTTAGGTCCAACATTTAAGTCTTTAATCCACCTTGAATTAATTTTTGTGTAAGGTGTAAGGAAGGGATCCAGTTTCAGCTTTCTACATATGGCTAACCAGTTTTCCCAGCACCATTTATTAAATAGGGAATCGTTTCCTCATTTCTTGTTTTTGTCCAGTTTGTCAAAGATCAGATGGTTGTAGATGTGTAGTATTATTACTGAGGTCTCTGTTCTGTTCCATTGGTCTATATCTCTGTTTTGGTACCAGTACCATGCTGTTTTGGTTACTGTAGCCTTGTAGTATGGTTTGAAGTCAGGTAGTGTGATGCCTCCAGCTTTGTTCTTTTGGCTTAGGATTGACTTGGCAATGCGGGCTCTTTTTTGGTTTCATATGAACTTTAAAGTAGTTTTTTCCAATTCTGTGAAGAAAGTCATTGGTAGCTTGATGGGGATGGCATTGAATCTATAAATTACGTTGGGCAGTATGGCCATTTTCACGATATTGATTCTTCCTATCCATGAGCATGGAATGTTCTTCCATGTGTTTGTATCCTCTTTTATTTCATTGAGCAGTGGTTTGTAGTTCTCCTTGAAGAGGTCATTCACATCCCTTGTAAGTTGGATTCCTAGGTATTTTATTCTCTTTGAAGCAATTGTGAATGGGAGTTCACTCATGATTTGGCTCTCTGTTTGTCTGTTATTGGAGTATAAGAATGCTTGTGATTTTTGCACATTGATTTTGTATCCTGAGATTTTGCTGAAGTTGCTTATCAGCTTAAGGAGATTTTGGGCTGAGATGATGGGGTTTTCTAGATATACAACCATGTCATCTGCAAACAGGGACAATTTGACTTCCTCTTTTCCTAATTGAATACCCTTTATTTCTTTCTCCTGCCTGATTGCCCTGGCCAGAACTTCCAACGCTGTGTTGAATAGGAGTGGTGAGAGAGGGCATCCCTGTCTTTTGCCACTTTTCAAAGGAATGCTTCCAGTTTTTGCCCATTCGGTATGATATTGGCTGTGGGTTTGTCATAAATACCTCTTATTATTTTGAGATACGTCCCATCAATACCTAATTTATTGAGAGGTTTTAGCATGAAGGGCTGTTGAATTTTGTCAAAGGCCTTTTTTGCATCTATTGAGATAATCATGTGGTTTTTGTCATTGGTTCTGTTTATATGCTGGATTACATTTATTGATTTGTGTATGTTGAACCAGTCTTGCATCCCAGGGATGAAGCCCACGTGATCATGGTAGATAAGCTTTTTGATGTGTTGCTGGATTCGGTTTGCCAGTATTTTATTGAGGATTTTTGTATCGATGTTAATCCTGGCAGAGACACAACAAAGCAAGAGAATTTTAGACCAATTTTTCAGCCTTTCGAATATGTCATACCACAGACTTCTGACCCCCATTGTTTCTGATGAGAAATTAGCCATTCATCTCATTGAGTTTCCTTTATATGTAAAGAGTCTCTTTTCTCTTTCTGCTTTTAAGATTTGCCTTTGTGTTTTTATTTTAACATTTTATCTATGATGTGTTTTTGGATCTCTTGGTCTTTGGATTGCTATCTATGATAACAGAGAGATGTTAAGGCAAGAGATGTGAATTAATACTGTCTTGAAACTACAATGTATCTTACCCTATTTGTGGCTGAGTGTGTGATCAAATTTTTAAATGTTTCACGTGCATTTGAAAAGAATACATATTATGCATGTGCCTGGTGCAATGCTTTATACACAAGCTTTCTTCAAGTGAATATTTGGTGACAGTTTAACTCTCAGGGCATTCTTATTATTATTTTGAATAATCAATTTTTTTCTGTCTATTTCTTCTTGGGTCTCAGGCCTTCTATGTGGAATCTCTTTCCTTCTTCCTTAAGTATATCCCTCAGAATTTCCTTTATTGAAGGTCTGTAGTAAAAAAAACTCCATTTTTGTTTATCTGGAAGTGCTTTTTCCCCTCAATCTTGAAATTTATTTTCACTAGGTATAAAATTATAGTTGACAATAATCTTTCTCTGAGTACATTGACAATATCGTTGTGTTTTAGTTTTCATTTTTGCTGTTGAAAAGTCAGCTATCAGTTTTTTAAAGGTGGTCTGTTTTTGTTCTTTGGCTGGTCTTGTAAAACAATTTTTAACTTCTTAATATGGAAAATTTTAAAGAATATAGAATAGTATAATGACCCCTAATGTACTCTGGTTCTTAAAACATTTGCTCTTTCCCTTTGATGTATTAAAGTTTTATATGTGTATTTTTTATATATATCTTATGGGGGGGAAATTCATTGGAATTGATTCTTTTAACCTCTTCAGATGTTACTTTTTGCCCCATTTTCACTATACTTTAATACCAGAACTCCATGTGGACCACAATTTTTCAACCTCAGCACTGTTGACATAACTTGTGTTTGTGCAGGGCTGTCCAAAACATTGCAGGATGTTTCGCAACATTCCTGGCCTCTATTCACTGGATGCTAGTAGCACACACTCACCACCCCTGCCAGTTGTGACAACCAAAAATGTCTCCAGACATTGCCAAATGTCCCCTGGAAGGCAAAGTTGCCCGTGGTTGAGCACCATTAATTTAGACATATGTTAAACTTTTTAATCTGCATTTCCTGTTTCTTCATGTTTCATTCGTGTATTCCAAACCTTTGTCATCTCTGAACTGCAATTTGGATAATTTCTTCACTACTTCTCTCTTCAGCTTAATTAGTTTATTTTTATAGTTTTTATATTTACAAAGTGTTATAGTTGTATATTTTTATCAGTTTCTTTGTCTCTGCTTATATTCAAGTTTATCTTTAATTTCTATGAACAATGATTTTATGTTCTGTAGCTAATTTCAGGATCTGAAGTCATAGTTAACTGATTTTTGCTTTTGCTGATTCTTATTTACGGTCCTTTATTTCCCTTTGTGCTGAGCAAGACTTGCTCATTTTCCTTGGAACTTTGTGTGTGGCAGTTCTTTATGTGTGAGATGAAGATGGTTTTCTTCAGAGAGGATTTCATTTAGCTTCTGCTGGATGCCTGGGATCACTACTACTGTAGGACCACTTAAATTGTTGGTTTCAGGGTTTTCAGACTCCCAGATCATAAGAATTTAGGCTGCAAACCTGAGTGAGGGCCAGCTTGTGGGTATCAATTCTCAGGGACTATTTTCCATTTTTCCTCTGTTTTGAGGTTCAAGAGTGGTAACATTTGTTGTAGTCCCATTGGTGGTAAGGAGGTAGTGGACTTACATCTAATCCATTCTATTCCGAAAATCCTGCTTGTAGGATCCTGATTTTACTAGTTAAGTTCTCTTATTTGACTTTCTCTTCCCAGGTGGGCTTGTATTTTGTCTCTGGTGCCTCATGAGGCTGTGAAACTCTAAGCTTGGTTCTGCAAATGCCCCCAGGGTGAAAGCTGGTCAATTTTCTGCCTAATTCTTGGGTTCAGACCTTCACTTCACTTTTTTCCTTAGTGTTTCTTATTTCCTTGCCAGCTCATCAATGCACTTCAGGAGGTATTTACCATTTTTGCCAGCATTTTTAGTTATTTTCAGTGAGAAAATTGGTCAAGGTACCTAGTTTGTTATTTTGCTGGCATAAATATTGAGTTACCTTTTTGTTCTCTTCCCAGTTACAAACAAATTAGTTTATTTGGTGTGCCATTTAAGACTCTATCTGTCTTATCCTCAGTACACAGCTAGCCTGAATTTCTTAGGTCAGTGTTTTATAGGAGTTGCAGATGGAGAAATAAACTAGAAGCACTATTAGATTGCTGTTTTCACAGACCTTTCCTTCGCCTTTGACTCTCTGGCTGGAACCAATTATAGGCCAACGTGTGTGAACATAATATAGTCCCCCAGTTACTGAGGCTTGCACTGGGATAACCCCGCGTAAATCACTGTCTCAGCACAAATCGTTACTGGGCTGATCAGTTAATGATTTTGAAAATTGAGGAAACAATTGTTAACTTGTTTCTTGGTGATTGCATGCTACTTTTGAATGAGCTTCAACCTGCGATGAAGAATATAAAAATATGCCACAGAGATAGTTTGCTGTTACTAGCTGGGAATGGCCAGTAACAACAATAATAATAATCATAATAAGGATGATGACAGTGGTGTTCATGTACTCCGTACCATTCACCATGCTCAGCACTTACTTGGATTAATGGATTCAGATGATCTCATCTAATTAATCTCATAAACAACTGCCCCTGCTATTTAATTATTGCCAGAATCAAAACTCATTAATAATTTCTTTATAGCTAATAAACCACTTCAGCAATTCACCTCATTCAGTCCTCTTGGCATCAGTTTTGGCAAGTAGCTCATGTAGGTGGGATCATCAGCCTTGTATTCCATGGGCCTTCCAATGGTGTGCTCCTATGGATAAGGTGGGTATATAGTTCTCTTACTACAAAAATGTTCTAAGATAAAATGATCACAATTATGCTCTATGACATGAAACTCATCAATCTCTATATGTCCATAAGAGAAGATCTTTTGGGGTGCACTCTAAGGAATTCTTCATTCTGCAATATGTCCACTCAGATGGTCATCTCTGAGTAGAGATGGGGTGACCTCCCCTTGTAGGTTTGGGACCTTGACGTGTATCTTATCTGTTCTGCTACCTCAGTGATTTTCAAATATTTTTGTGAACCAATTTCAAGCCTACTGAAAAGTTTGGCAAATACATTGTTTTGGTCCTGAAGAGTTGAGAATAAGTTGCTGACATGAATACCCCATCACTCCTAGATACCATTTTCGTGCACCTCCTACACATCAGGACATTCTTCCACATTATTACAATATAACCAACAAGATCAGAAAGTTGGTGTTGCTAAATTCCTACCATCTAATCTTCAGGCCTCATTCACATTTTGTGAACTCTCCCAATAATGTCTTTTATGTAAAAAGATTCAGTTCGGGAACACACGTTGCATTTTGTTGTCCTGTCTTTTTAGTGTCTTTTTCCTTAGTCTTTCTGAAACTTTTATGACCATGAAGCTTCTGAAAATTACAGGTCAGATATCCTGTGGAATGTATCTCAATTTGGGTTTGTTTGACTTTCCTTATGATTAGATTTAGGTGATGCATCTTCAGTGGGAATGTTACAGAATCGACAATGAGTTCTTCCTAAGCCTCCCATCAGGTGACACCCAATGTTGACTCCTCCTATTTCTAATGATATTAAATTTAATCACTAGATTAAGGTATCTGTCAACCTTCTCTACTATAAAGTTACTCTCTTGACTCTTGCTTGTAATTAAAAAGTATTAATTTATGGAGACATTCTCTGAGACTATGTAAACACCCCACTCCTTATCAAACTTTGAATTTATTCCTGTAGTTATATCAGTATGGGCCCATAGTTTCCTATTTTATTCCCATGTATATATTTCGATATACAAATTTTCCCAGATGTGACCAGTGGTTGCCCTTTCATTTGACACATTCCCATTATTCTTTGACTATTTCCTTTCCCATTATTCTTTGACTATTTCCTTACTTTTGACTTGACAAAATATTCCAGGCTCCTCACATTTCCAGCCTTAGAATCAGCTGTTTCTCGAGGGATCCCTGGTTTCTTTTAATGGAGGATGGTATTTCAAAACCAAAGTCTGGCCAGTAGGTGTATTCACGGCTGTTGGGACATCGCTGTTCCCAGCCTTCTCATGGACAGAGCAAGGGATTATATGTATGCATAATACACATGCATATTTACATTTTTATTTATTTCAATATTGTATGTTGAAAAACAAGAGTTTACAGTAATACTTCCAATTCTGATGTAATACCACAAAATTCCTTCTAATTTTCTCCCTTTGTTTATTTGTAGCTCTATGACAATAAGAAACTTGACTCTTTTTATCCTTAGTATATCAGCTTATTTGACCAGTAACCTGTATGCATCCAGTCTCCTGTCACTGGTGCCTACTGCACCCCATCCCAAACATGGCCTCCTCTCCAACTGGCCTTATCCTCCTCTCCAACTGCCCCCTTGCCATGGTGCCCTGCTATACAAAATTCTTCTACTGGGGTGCCCCTGCTCACCCTATGTAGGCTCTGACTCCCCACGCTGGCTGCACCCTTACACAGAAGCTCTCCTCGCTCTGTTTGGGCTCTGCTTCCCCACACCAGGGTGCACCCCCATCCTGCCTACTTGCATGGACGCCTTGCTCAACTGTCTTGAGCATTGACTCTCCATGCTAAGCCACCTCTGCACGTGGAAGCTCCCCTTGCTCCTCTCAGTTCTGACATTCTGCATTGGGTAGCCTTTCTTCCCCACTTGGTCCTGAATCCATGCACAAAGCTGCCCCCCTGTGTGGACATCCTCCTTACTCCAGTTGGCATTTGACACCCTGCCCATGTCCTGCACCACCCAGGCTCCCCCCACCACACTGGCGAGTTCACCTTCCTTGCTCAATTCCCTCTAATGTCTTTTGGACTAAATTATTGGTAAAGGGGAAGGACAATTTAACAAATTTATACCACAGAATCTTTTCTTCAAATCAAATCTTATATGGATCATTAATATATAAAACAGAGTCACGTGGCATTGTAATATATTATGTAACCATGTTGTTAACTCAAATGTATAATATGCTTTAACAAAGTTAATAAATGAAAACAATGAGATTGTTTAAATTTTTTAAACTCTTTTTATTTTGCAATAATTTTAGATTTGCAAAGCTTGTATAGAGGGAAGCATATTCTTTACTCAGTTCTTTCAATGTTGACATCTTATATAACTGGTACACTTTCAAAACTGACGTTAATATTATTATAATATAATTAACTAAACTACAGACTTTCTTTAGATTTTACTAGTATTTCCATTAATATTCTTTTTTGGTTCCAGGATCCAAGAACCACATAGCATTTAGTTACTATGTCTTCCCAGTCAAAGAGGTTGTTTTAATGGCTCCAAAACTGAAATTGAGAGTTAAGGGGACAGCTGCGTTCTAACATCCACCTTTCCATCTAATTTGTAACTACACTAGGTTTTGTTCATGTGGGTTAAGAATGTCACAATTCACATAGATAAGAGGGTACACTTGTCAATATTTATTTCTTCCACAGCGTACCTGGCCATCTCAGAAAATTTTCAATTAAATCAGTATGGTAAGGGCTTCATTGTCAGGGCTACAAAAGAACACATCAACCCAGATGCATGATTCATCAATTTAGTGGTTTCCAAAATGTTAGAATTTACTATACAGCATATTTGGGTGGAGGTGATTTGATTATATTTATGATATGATTTGAAAGATGTATGATATTTAAAAGGTATTGAAGGTAAAATTTAAAATAAACAATTGCATAACTCCTGGGGCACCATTGCTCAAGATACCCTAAAACCTGCATTAGTTCAGACTATTAGTGAATAAAGGTCTTGGACCCAATTGCACAGCCCCTTAGAATTTCCTTTCCTGAACAGTGTTTTGGAGCGATGCCTTTGGTCTGTTTTGGTAAGAGAATTCCCCTGAGAAGCATGGCTGACTTGGAGTGGGGATGTTGTTGAGCACATTGATCATTCTTATGTCACCAAGTGTCATTTTTACCAGGTACTCTGCAACAAATACTTTCCCATCATAGTCTCGGGAATAGTCATGCCCCTTCTAAGAAGCTTTTTCTTGATCTCACGAGTGCTCTCCATCAGTGTAACTGTAATTAGTGTTCCTTTCTTTACTGTTGTCAGCTGCAGCCATGTTTACAGCCCAGTTGAAAGTGGCCGGGTCTTGCGTGGCCCATGGGCTGGGTCCACCTGCTGTTTCACTTTGTCTCTTGTTTCTCACTCACTTCAAGTTTTTATCTGACTAAATTGCATGGAAGCTGTCAATATCCTTTTGGGAACCGATATGGTTTGGCTCGGTGTCCCACACAAATGTCGTCTCGAATTGTAATCTCCATGTGTCAAGGGAGGGACCTGGTAGAATGTGATTGGATCATGGGGGTGGTTTCCCCCATGCTGCTCTCATGATAGCAAGTGACTTCTCACGAGATCTGATGGTTTAAAAGTGTGGCACTTCCTCCCTCACTCTCTCTCTCTCCTGCTCTGACATGCGAAGACTGCGCCTGCTTCCCCTTTGCCTTCTGTCGTGATTTTAAGTTTCCTGAGGCCTCCTAGCCATGTGGAACTGTGAGTCAATTAAATTTTTTTCATCATAAATTACCAGGTCTCAGGAAGTTCTTCATAGCAGTGTGAAAACAGACTAATACAGGAACCAAGCAAGCATTAACTAAATAAATAGGACAATAGACCGACAGATGGAATAGGAAAGTAGCTGAAAGAGAACTCAACAACTCCTGAGTGATTGTTCCAGGCTGTGCTGGAAGACCTAGGCCCTTTTCTTAGTAGTTGTTCAGTGGTTCACGTTGCTAGCAAAGCCTTATTCTCCTTATTATACCTGACAAATTAATAGATTGGCACACTTTTGAAAAGTAGAGTTTGATATGCTTTTCATGGTGTAAACTAATTGTTCCATATTGAACATTTAAAATTTATGAAAAAGTAGAGAGAAATCGCCCATGGTCCTGCCATCTGGAAAGAATCACTGTTAATGTTGTGCCCTGGAGCCCTGGAGACTTCCAGGACTGACAAACCCAGCAGAGGCTTTGACAATGAGACCTGTGCAGCCTTCTCATTCTGAGAAACGTGGATCTACCTGGGTCCTGCTGGTGCACCTTGCCTCAGGGAAGAGGTACCCAGGAACACTGAGCAGAGTTCTTGGTACACAGTTAGTGCTCAACAAAAATTAGATATTCATTCTTGTTTTCACCATTTAAAATGAAACCAGTGGCTATTCTAGGATAATCCCTAGGGGGTGAGTTGTTACATACTTGAACCAAGCTGTCCTGTGGCCAGAGAGGGGCAATTCCCACATCACAGGCAGTCCTACCCTGGAATCTGGGCAATGGGCCATCTCAGCTTCTCTCTCTCTCTTTGGAAACATGGTTCCCTGGAGCTATTTACAGATTACTGCATCTTTATTTTTGTTTCCACATTGGCCCTACCTTGTCTTCAAGTCACTTATCAGTGTTTGCCTCCTGCCTGAGTAAAGACGGATAAAAACTTAATAAAGTAAGGCTAAATGACACTAGTGTTGCTAAAAATAAGGGTGATAACCCTATGTGTGAAGAACACAGACAGTAGCATTTGCCACTGTGGCTTGGCTCTTACACTGATCTTGGCAAACCAGGACAAGCCTTCGGATGGGGCACTAATGGGGCAGAGGCACTGTGGTTCCGGTTGTGAGGTCTGAGACTGGTTAGTGAGGAGCTTGACAGAAAATTCTTGGAAGACTCGTGCTTCACATTGACAATTGCAATGGTTAAGGGAAAGAAATCTTTCCCACATAACCTATTCAGTGTAATAAGGTGTTTGATGGGTAATAGGAAATGCCTTATCCAGTTTCTGACATATTTTGTATCCCTTCCCTCTTACTTGGCCACCTTGGGTGGGAGTTCTGCTTCTTGGACCCTTTTCGCCTATTTTTGTATTTAGACAAACTGCCTCTCCTTGCAGGAGGGGTGACCCCAAGCTGGGGCTGGCTTTGAAAAGTGTTTGCAAGGCTCAGCTGCGTAGTTGTGAATTAGCATAACTGGCAGGTCCCATCTGTCTGGGTTATAGTGTATAACGGAAGCTGCCCTGTCTTTTGTTGTTTAATTCTTAAGATAGAAGCTGGTCTTATCAATATCATCACAGGTGGAGAGAAAAGAACACAAGCTTTGGAATCTCACTTACCCACATGCGATACGTTTATTAGTCTCATCTTTAAAACAGAGGAAATAACGGTGTCTTCCTCCTGGGCTTTCCCGAGGAGTAAATGAGATGATATTTAAGTGCTTTGGCATGTGTGAGTGCTCAGTGAGGGTAGCTGCTGTGTCGATGGTGCAGCCTTCTCTGCTGCAACTCAGTAAGCCTTCTCTGCCAGGTGGGCACAGCATCCGCCCTAGGAGTGCAGACCTCCTAGGGCTAGTGATAGATGTTTACCGTCCCTGGCACGGTACCCAGAACAGAACAGGCACTTGGGTCCTTCTCAGCCTCACTCAGAAACTGGCTGGCTGTGTTCCTTCTAGAATAAATTCCCTGGCCACAGATGACTCCAAAATAAATATCAAATCTTCCATCCCCAAACTCTGGACTTGTCTCTTGACTTCCAGATGAACTGTCTCACCAAGCCCTGTGCCAGCAGGTTAAACAACCCGGGCCCAACTTCCAACTCAGTCTCATGGCTCCCACCTGTCCCATCCTGGAAGCATTTCTGAGCCTGCACTTCTACCTTCTGCCCCTTTCTTGCGTGCCTCAAGCCAGGGGTTTTCAGACATTTTGTCACATGATAGCATTCTCCAACAGCAGATATAAAATGTGAATGGGGGTGTCAAGGGGACAGCAAAAGGATAAGGAACTCTACTTAAACCTCCACCTCAGCATCCAGCCTTGGACACACCCCAAAACCTCCAAGGCTCTGGGGAGCAGTTCGCAAACCACTGCCCTGGACAACTGAAACTGCTACCCAGGGGGCTCACCTGCGTCCACCCCAGTCCCTGCTTCACAGCGCTGTCCCAGGAGACATTCCTAAGCCCTCTGGTTGTGTTTCTCCCCTATCTAAACATGTTCGGTTGCTGCCTACTGCCTGCCTAATAGAGCCCACTTCTTAGCTTGACACTTGCTGGCTGTGTGACCTTGGGCAAGTTATGTAATCTCTCTGTGACTCAGTTTCCAGATTTGAAGAATGGGGTTGTGTTGAGGTCAAATCTGATTGTACATATAAAATACTCAGCTCTGTGTGTGGCACATTATAAGCAAATGCTCAGGAAATCTTAGATGATGATATATTTGTTATTTATATACATATCCCTTTCTTACTTGATTGTAAACAATGTAGAAAATTTATGATCTTGTGCTTAATATGGGGCTTGGTACATTAGTGTTTGCGGTGAGGATTTTGACTCCTATATAGTTTTGAAGAATTGTGGTTTAGGCCTTCTAGATTATTACTTCTCAAAGTGTGTGCCAGAGACCACCTGTATCAGAATTGTCCTGCGTGTATGCAGACACCTAGGCCCTATTCCAGACTCACTGAACCAACATTTCTGGGGGCAGTGCCCAGGAATCTTCATTGTGACATAATCCTTTAGGGACCGCGATGTGTTCTGCAACGAACTCTCAATGTAGGTGGTAAATCCTTGAGGACTCTGTGTCTCTCCCAGGCTCACAGGAGCTCTCTCAGTCTTGAGATGCTAATTCTTTGGTACCATTCCCATCAATCCATCTGCATCAACATTTAATTTTATTTCAAAATCCTCCTCCTGCCCCATACTGTTATACAATCAGCCCCATGCCAGAAAAATGGACTTCAACCCAAAAGAATTCTTGCAGATATTTCTCCTCCAGCTCCAGTCAAAATGTCATTTTTGAGGGATCAGGCCTTTTTGAGTGCCCAGGTCTCACTGTGTAACAGTTCACTAATAACAACAAAAGGCTCTTCATTTTTCATTCATTTGCTTTCATAGTGAAGCCTTATTTTGGTGCCATGGCAGCAACTAATTAATTATTTGCGGTTCTTTTGTATTTTACCAACACTGGGCCAAATTTACATCGTGGAACAAGCCATCCATACAGTATGTGTCATAATTACTGTTTTGTAATTTCACACCAGCAAAAATTTATTAAAACTTCACGACTCATTAATAGTAAGTGATCTTAATCGCTTAATAGAAAAGGAAACTGTGTTAATGACAGTGGCTTTGATTAACGTATTTGACCTTAAGTCATGAAGTTGAGTGAAATTAATATCGCTGAATGTTGAACATAAGGTTATTTACAGTGCACATCATTTCCATCATCATAAAAGGCAAATAAACTGGTTTTGAATTTGACTAGATTTGAAAGCCTTTTAACTCTTCATAGCAAATTAAGGGAATGTTAATGAACTCCTATACAATGACAATTAAGTGACAGGATTGAGTAGATGCAGAAATGGCTCTTCTCTACCAAATGCTGAAACAATGTCATTTAACTGGGTAAACATGCTGAGGCGTTATGAATTACTAAAGCCCTGTCTTGCAAGAATTTAGTAGATGGTAGCAGGCACTTGGCAATCTTTTGGAGACTTCAGTCTCTCCTAACAAAATCAATGAACGAGGGCATATGAGGCACTGTAACTCAGGAGAATCTTATTGTGTATTAGAAGAACCAGCTGTCTTTTGGGATGTCATAGGTTCTGTCGTACGTCCCAGAGGCAGAACAGATGGAATGACCTCCCTAGAGTGAGAGGCTCCCTCCATTCCCTCAAAAGTCTGAATTCTTCAAGGTCTGAACAGAGGGAAGAGAGAAAAGTAAATAAACTTCCATGAGGGCAGGAATCATATTTCCCTGTTTCCCAAAGATAGCGTCCATCACATGATAGGCCTCCAGTGAACTTTCTAATAGAGGAAGGAATGAGCCTGAGGGAAACCCAGTTCATCTATTCTTTCAAGAATAAGTCAGTGGCCAGGCGCAGTAGCTCACACCTGTAAACCCAGCACTTTGGGAGGCTGAGGCGGGTGGATCGCTTGAGCCCAGGAGTTCAAGACCAGCCTGGCCAACATGGCGAAACCCTGTCTCTACAAAATATACAAAAATTAACTGTGTGTGTGGCATGCACTTGTAGTCTCAGCTCAGGAGGCTGAGGCAGGAGGATCGCTTGAGCCTGGGAGGTGGGGATTGCAGTGAGCAGAGATAGTGCCACTGCACTCCAGCCTGGAAGACAGTCTCAAAAATGAAAAAGTGCACATTCAGACTCCTACTAAATGACCTAAATGCCCTCCTGGGTCCCAGCATCACCTTCAGTTTTACTGTTAGCGTCACCATCAGTTTTTGTTGTCATCTTCTTTACAACAGCAGCTGTTACCAACACAGTAACTTCACAGCAACTCCCTGAGGCAGGTTGTATTATTTACTCCATTGGACAAAACGGGGGAAACTGAGGCTCAGAGAAGTCAAGCCACTTCATCTCCAGAGTCTGTATATTCAGAGTCTGTGTATTGGGAACACACAGAGAAGTCTGTCCTCTCTTTCCGGGGGTGTCTCTGAGGCAGGGGAATAGGGTCTGGAGGGCAGGGAACCTAAGGCCTATTCATACTGACTTCCTAGAACCAAATTAAAAGGAAAACTCCAACTTTCCACACCCAAGTAACAAAAGGACCAGAGGCTACTCCCTTTGCAACCCCCCTCTTTTTCTGCAGGGCAGATGAAAAATTGAAAGTACCTCTGATTGGTTCCCTCCTGCAACCAGTGAGGTTGGTTGCAGGCCGAGTCTTCATTTGCATAGGAGTGTCTTTGTAACTTCACTTTAGCCTCTGATTGGTCGCTTTTCCCAACCAACCAGACTGATTGCATGCCACGACTTCACTTACATAGAGTTCACACCAAGAAACCAATAGGAAACCACCAGAGAGTATTTAAACCCTGGAAAATTCTGTAACTGGGTGCTTGAGCTGCTTGCTCAGGCCTGTTCTCACCCTGTGGAGTGTGTTTTCATTTTCAATAAATCTCTGCTTTTGTTGCTTCATTCTTTCTTTGCTTCGTTTGTGTGTTTTGTCCAATTCTTTGTTCAAAGTGCCGAAAACCTGGACACCCTCCACTAGTAACATTTCCAGCCTTGCTGGGGCGGGGAGGCTCATGTTCACAGAACCACCAGGTCACATGGGAGCATAGGAGTGAGCCCATGAGAGTTGGGCTCCCCAAAGATGGAAAACTCGTTGTCAACTGGAGTGACTTGGAAGGCTTCCCAGAGAGGAGCTGAGGGATGGGTCGGTGAGCGGGGGAGATGGAGGGATGGGGGCGGTGGAGAAAGTGGTGAGGAGATCTGCTTATTTGGGTGCAAGGAGAAAGTGGGAGTGAAAGTAGAGAGGTAGCTTGGAGTCAGAACCTGGGAAGCCTTGAGAGCCTGGTGACAGTGGACTTTGAGAAAATCAGTGTGGAGAGGAAAGGACAGATGCGGTCGCAGGGGAGAGCCCACAGGTGGAGGTGCAGGGACAGAAGGGAGGGCGGAGGCTTGCTGGCTAATGGGATACAGGCAGGGAGGGAGAGGAACAAGTCAACCTGAATTATGGAACCTGAAGCTGGTGACTGGGGAGGTCATAGGCATCCTGAACTTAACAAGGCCACCGTGGGATCCTCTCCACCCTCCTGGGATCTGCTGCTCCCTCGGTGTAGCCTTCCCCTGCAAAGGAGCACTTGACTGCTGGAGTCCTGCCTGGGAGTGACTGTTGTTCACTTTTCACCTTCTGGCAGTGGAGCTGAATATGAGACTTACAGGCTGAGTCTGGAGTCAGACTTTTAAAACGTCGTCCATGAAATGACCACTTAAGGAAGTTCTGTTTCACTCTCGGTAAATCCCAAATTAAGAAGAAATCCAAGCACATGCATTGGTTATTCACCATCCTAAAGGATGACCAATGTAACACCTCATGTTTCCTTAAAGATCTTTTCCTTTCGTGGCTTTGAAAATGATGCGATTTGCAGGAAACCTCTTCAGGCTGTCGCAGGATGACACAGAGGTTACAAAGCAGACCCTTGAATCAGGCTGCCTGGATTCAGACTCCACGGTCCTCTCTGATTTGTGGGACTTTGCCAAGTTACTTAACCTCTATTTCCTATTGGCAAAAGAGAGACTGCAGCTCCTGCCTCGTAGGCTCCCCTGAAGACCCAATGTAATCATCATGCTTAGAAGAGGAACCACCGATGAAAGGAGAGGGCCCTCTGGAAACAAGTCTTTCACTCCAGATGTGAAGAGAGAGAGACCAAGCAGAGACCCAAACAGAAAAGGACTGTATGGTGGGGAGGTGCGCTGGAGGAGGGCAGGAGCCTGTGAACAGATCTGGAGGTGCCAGTGTCTGAGAAACCTGGGCTTTGTTGGCTTGGTGCTAGTTCTGGGGGTGAAGTGCAAATGGATGCAGGGGCTCCCTGCTCGCACAGGTCATTGGCTCCACTGGGGCCAGTACTGGCAGCCCACCTCATTGCCCTGGCCCCCACACCTGGGTTTGCAACCTTGAGTCATTTAAGTGTCCGGTGAGGAAGATACCACCCCCGCCCCCGCTCTCTTTGGTGATCCACCAGGGCTGAGGCCCCTGAGCAAGTGAACACCACACAGTGAGATCTCTGGCAACCCCAGGCTAGGCACATGAAGTTGGCTATTTTCTGAATGATAGCAGGGGTTATTCAAAGAACTCTTAATACCACATAAAAACTGCCTTGAAACGTGAACCCGGGAGGCGGAACTTGCAGTGAGCTGAGATCGCGTCACTGCACTCCAGCCTGGGCAACAGAGCAAGACTCCGTCTCAAAAAAAACAAAACAAACAAACAAACAAAAAACCGCCTTGAAAAACTCAGTAGAAGAGAAAAATACAGTAGACTGTACAAGCGTGCTCTGCAGAAGCAGATAGTGGTTTAAAATATTTTGCAATTCTGGCATGAGTGGGAAGACGTCAGAAAAGAAGACAGGGAGCTGGAGGGGAGGCCATGCCACAGGGGAAGGGGGCTGGGAGAAGGACTCCTGGACTGCGGGGTCCCCTCTGCCACTGGTCAGACAGACACATCCTGGAATGGGGATGATCAACCAGCTCCCCACCCACCAGCGGGGGTGTCCAGGGAGAACATGCCTGCCTGTGAAGGAGCTCTGTGGACTCTAAAATGCTCCCAAGTTTGGTGACATCATCTGAGCACCTGAAGCATCCTTCAGTGACAGAAATGTTTGGAAGAAGGAAAATAAACCAGGTTTGTATCAGAGTGTGGCTGCTCTCCTATTCTGATATTGGACCTTCCCAGCTGATGGGGCTGGGGATTCACTTTCCATTATCTGGAAGGGAAGCAAACTTAAGACCAGAACAGCACATCCCAAGAGCCACGTTTTTCTTATTGCCTGGTTTACAATTTCCTCTCAGTTTGGGTCCTGTTTTTTGAAGCTCCATTCCGAAAGCTGAATTTCTTGATCTGCTCCCTTCAAAGGGAGATGCCCTTGTCCTGAGGTGCTAAGACAAAGGAAGCTGCTTCTGCCATTCTGTGGTGGACCTCAAGGTGAGGACCGTCAAGCCCAGTGCTTTCTCCCCTGCGGGTTGTCTAGGTGTGGGCAGGAGTGGGAGAGGTCAAGATCTAGAACCAGACAGGGACTAGGAACCAAAAGATTTTCCTGAGCCAGCCACCGTTTCAGGGGTCAGAAATTTAAGCCCTGCCCCCACCACCTCCCCTTGTCTGCTGTCCCCAGACTGAAGACAGAAGAGGCACAGAGGGTGACAGCTGGAGGTGGATTCTGAGGAGGGCAGCTGAGCACCCCCAGCAGTCAGAGCTGGGTCACGCACTTCCTAAGTTGTAGGATACCAGGCCAGCTAGGTTTCTCCAGGCACAGCCTGTGGGTAAATGAGATTTTTTTTTTTTTAATTATACTTTAAGTTGGGTACATGTGCACGACATGCAGGTTTGTTACATACATATATATGTGCCATGTTGGTGTGCTGCACCCATTAACTCGTCATTTAACATTAGGTATATCTCCTAATGCTATCCCTCCCCCTCCCCCTACCCCACAACAGGCCCCAGTGTGTGATGTTCCCCTTCCTGTGTCCATGTGTTCTCATTGTTCAATTCCCACCTATGAGTGAGAACATGCGGTGTTTGGTTTTTTGTCCTTGCTACAGTTTGCTCAGAATGATGGTTTCCAGCTTCATCCATGTCCCTACAAAGGACATGAACTCTTCATTTTTTATGGCTGCATAGTATTCCATGGTGTATATGTGCCACATTTTCTTAATCCAGTCTATCATTGTTGGACATTTGGGTTGGTTCCAAGTCTTTGCTATTGTGAATAGCGCTGCAATAAACATACGTGTGCATGTGTCTTTATAGCAGCATGATTTATAATCCTTTGGGTATATACCCAGTAATGGGATGGCTGGGTCAAATGGTATTTCTAGTTCTAGATCCCTGAGGAATCGCCACACTGACTTCCACAATGGTTGAAGTAGTTTACAGTCCCACCAACAATGTAAAAGTGTTCCTATTTCTCCACATCCTCTCCAGCACCTGTTGTTTCCTGATTTTTTAATGATTGCCATTCTAACTGGTGTGAGATGGTATCTCATTGTGGTTTTGATTTGCATTTCTCTGATGGCCAGTGATGGTGAGCATTTTTTCATGTGTCTTTTGGCTGCATAAATGTCTTCTTTTGAGAAGTGTCTGTTCATATCCTTCAGCCACTTGTTGATGGGGTTGTTTTTTCTTGTAAATTTGTTTGAGTTCATTGTAGATTCTGGATATTAGCCCTTTGTCAGATGAGTAGATTGCAAAAATTTTCTCCCATTCTGTAAGTTGCCTGTTCACTCTGATGGTAGTTTCTTTTGCTGTGCAGAAGCTCTTTGGTTTATGAGATTCTTTAAAACACTTAGGCAGGCTTTTGTCACTTGGTGTTAACTGTGTATGTTTCCACTACTTTAATTGGTTTCATGTCTGGAATGAGGGACTGAAATGGAAGTGAGTCTCAGGGGAGCAGTCCTGGCACTCAGATGGCTTGTCATATTTCTTTTTTAATCTGCTGTTCTTTTCCTTAAGGCAAGGGAGGTAATCTAATTATCTTTTGAAGACAACCTCATGCGGCATTATGTTGACTTGCGCAGCTCTCACAACATAGCCCCAAGTGTGGATGGAGGGCAATGTGGTGGGGCCGTGGGATGTGGGTGTACCTGCAAGCTCTCCTGCTCCGAATCCAGGAGACTTCCTCCCCATAGGCCTGAGAGCAAAGGAGGATGTCTAAATGGGACCTGACATCAGAAAACAGAATTCGAGTCCCACCCTGGCTGTGTGACTTTGCATCAGTCATTTGCTCTCTCTGAGCCTGTCTCCTCAGTTGCAAAATGAAATTAATTTTATCTGAGTTGCTGTGAGGACTGAATGAGATCATGTGCACAGAGCCCATCCATCCCCAGGCTTGGTGCATGGTGAGCTCCCACTAACTGACAGCTGTTACTATCATGAGCTTTCTGAGACTACCATCCGCAGGGCGGGGTTCATTCTTGGAAGAGCAGACCCAAACTCCCCTTGGGCTGGGAAGGCCCTGCATGGATATGACTCACCCTTATGTTGTGAACCACAGAGAGAGGAGTTATTTTAAAACCCTCCCATACAACACAATGCACAGCAGGTGCCCCTAAGGTGCCTCTTCTCTAAATCGTGGCAATTAATCTTGCAGGAGGTGCTGCTGGGGGCAGCCACTCACTGCTTCTTGGGCTGTGCAGGGCTTGGCTGGCTGCAGTAGGGAACTCTGCAGAGCCCCGGGAGCACTCTGAGCCAGGGCTACCTCAACCTCTTTCCTCCAAAGAGCAAGGCTCAGAATCTGAGCTGGGTTCCAGAAGTTGCACAGCTTGTCCTTCCTTTACTTTTTATTCTCTAAAAACAATGGGTACAAATAATATATGGATAGAGTAAAAACTACGTAAAAACTATATCCAGGGAATATTCATGTCTATCTATTATCTTTCTAGCTATCATCTATTTATGATCAATTACCTATCTATAGAAATTTATCATCTATCATCTATTAATATCTCTATCTCTACCTATTTATGTCTGCATCAATTATCTATCCATCATCTATTATTTATCTATAGCTATTTATACCTATCTACCTCTCTATTGTCTACCTAGCATCTATTGTCTACCCATATCATCTATATATCTATTGATCTATCTACATCTAGCTGTCATCTATTTACCATCTATCAATCTATCTATACCTGTCTACCTATAGCTATACCTGTCTACCTATATGTAGACTGTATCATCCCTCTCTCTGTTAATCGTCTATCTATGATCTATTTGTCTACCATCTATCTTTCTAAACTCTATACAAGTAGGACAATATTTTTCACCATCCTGTACCTTGCCATTTCACTTAATACACTATAGACCCCTTTTGGTTTAGTGGATGTACATCTACTTTTTAAAAATAGTTGCTTAATATTCCCTCATCTAGCTGCACTATGAATTCTTTAACCAGGTCACTATTGATGGGCATTCAGGTTGTTTCAAGTACTTTGTTATTACAAATTATCCTGTCGTAAAAATACTACTGCATGCATCTTGACACCCTGTATAAGAATGAAGGGCAAATTCCTTGCAGTGGAATTGTTGGTTCAAAGGAGATGTGGATTTTAAATTCTGATACACATTGTCAAACAGTTTTTGCTTTTTTTCTTAAAGACTGTCCTGATTTATAGAACCACCCAAAGTATTCTCAGGCCAAATGCTCACCTTATCTTTTAAACGTGGTGAATTCTCTGTCTACCAGCCTGGATGGCAGACATCTCCGTGAGGCTAAACCCCATCAGGGCAGCCAGCACTGCCGGTTTATGAGACTTTTATGGACACCCCTGCTCATATTTTCACATCACTGTGTTCTCGTTTATGTTTTATGTCACCAAACACAAGCAGTCTTGTATCTTGTTTCTGTCACAGATTTTATTCACTTTCTTGGCATTTCTCTCAGGGTTTTATTAGTCATTTCTTGTTCCAGCTCCTAAATTTTCTATCACCTGCATCCCAGGGATTTGGTTGCATTCCGAAGATGATTAGAATATGAACGGACGGTGGTAGGAGGACCCTGCAGGTCCCCAGGGCGCTCGCTGCGGCTCTGTCTCCCACTTCCGCTTGATGATTCTGGGAATGTTCTAGTCCTGCCCCTCCCCACGGGCCCCGCACCATCTGTGCTGACAGCTGGGGTTCATTTCTCCGGGAATGAACTTGGGGATTTCTGCAAAGGCTGTCCTGAGAAGCCCAGAGCCAGGTGAGCTGCTGAAATCTAGGCTTTTGTTATACCTTTAAAACACCAGGCCAAGGTCCAAATGTTCACACAAACTTTTCATCCAAACCAACTTGGGGATTCTGTGGAATCATTCTAAACTTGGTCATTTGAAAGCAGAGCCAGGAAGCAAGACAATAGGAAAGCCCAGCTAAAAGAAAAATCACAAGAGAACAAAAGCGTGTCCTGCAGAATCGCAAGTGAAACACAGGCTTCTGTCTTAGAGCAAGCAAGTTCCTCTTGCTGTTTCAGGGACTGTTAGTTGCATACTGAAGCAAACAACAGTGGCAATATTAATTACTATGTTTTATGTCTTAACATTTTCCCTTAAAAGTTCCTGGCGGTGACAAGGATGCCAGAGATGGTAACTTCCTCAGGGAAATGGGGGAGTCTTATTTTGAGCAGCCACCTTCACCATTCTAATTCATGGCCTCATGTGATGTTAAGTGATTCTTCTTGGCCAGGCACTGAGCTAGATGCTGGAAACAAGAAAAACCACCTCATTCTAAGTCTTTATCTTTTATCAAAATACTATTTATAAGTCTATAGAAATCATTCAATACAAATATGATGGTAACTAGGAGTCCACCAACCCTATCCTCTAATTATAACACTGCATTTTGAGAACATAATATAAATGTCAGGTGTGGGGTGAAGCCCAGTGCTGTCTCCTCCGCAGGCTCCTACACTACACCCTGCTGCCTTTTACTGCTCATAAATGAGCAAAAGGTTGAGTCTGAAATACTGGCTCTCAAGCAAGGGTGATTTTGCCTAGGCTCGGAGGACCCTTGGCAATGTCTAGAGATAGCTTTGACCACAAAGTGTAGATGGGGGGCTACCAAAGGATGCTACTAAACATCAACAATGTATAAGATCTGACAAGCCCATCCACCCAAAATATAATTATCTGGCCCCGAGTGTCAATAGTACCAAGGTTCGGAAGCCATGGTCTGAAAGTATTTGTGGCAGCCACACTTAGTCCTTATGATCTGCTGTCAAGAAAACCCAATGTTTTGACACTGGGGATTTCTACGTGTTTGCAGATTTCAGGAGGGTTTTCCGGTGAATGGGATAAAAGAAAAAGACACCACAATGATTTTTTTTAAAAAAGAAAACAATGTTTATTAGGATATTCTGGGGTGAGAGGATGGCCAAAGGGACTATGTACATTCTGTAGTGCTTGAGCAATAGGCTAACAGAAAATTCGAACATCACAAAACCACTTCCAAAGTCCATATTGCAAAACTTGTACTTCTACAGGAGATGTTCTTCCAAGGGTGTTGGCAATAAAGGCTGTTGCAAAACAGCTATGTGAGGCAGCCATGTGGGAGTGACCCCAGGAGAATGCTCCGGTGTCCTCTGGAAAGCAGATACACAGGACGATGGACAAATGTGTCATCTTCTACCAGTGGGAAGCTCAGTAAACACACAATATAACATGGAGACCCGCCCGAAGCCTAACTGGAGGCTTCTCAACAAAGCTCAGTCGACCCCTCACCCCTGTTCCGAGGAGACTGGGTGTCTGAACCCCTCACTCAGGAATGAATTCTAAAAATACCCTAAAAATCAGAAGCCGCCTTCTACTCTACCGTGCTATAAACCTGCATGAAACAGAACGAACATAAGCTGAAACACACCCTCGGGTTAAGAGTGAAAAATGCAACACCATCCAAAAGAGTACAAGAAAAAAACCCCACAGCCTAAATCTCACACAGCTTCTCAGCAGGAGTTGGATTAAACTGAGAAAATAATTTTAATATCAAGGGATAATGCACGCAAGATGGGAAAACTTTAAAGCAAACTCTGCAGTGAAAAGTGTTTCCCCCACTCCCTTGGGCGAGGGAAGGGAGAAGAAGATAGATAATGAGGAGAACTATAAGGCCCTGGATTCAGGTTTCTGAAACTGTTTTTTTTTTTTCAACCCTCGGAGGACAATCAGCTCTTCCTGAATCCAGAAAAGCACATCAGAAATGCCCAATGACAGACCACAGCCAAATATGGCAGGGCAAACTGATTTGGTTCTGCGATTTCCATTCTCCTCTCCACATCCGAGAAATGCCTTCAGCTACAGCTAAAAAATAATAATAATAAAAAAAAATTCCCGATCAAGCATGCTTGGCACACCAGGAAGCTAATGCTGGATCATATAGCCCTCCAATCATTGTGTGTGTGTGTGTGTGTGTGTGTGTGTGTGTGTGTGTGTGTGTGTGTGTGACAGAGAGAACCACGCTTTATTGGCGGAGCCTTATGTGCCAGCGAACTGAGAAGGTCCAGGGTACCTTCACCTGCACTGCCACAGTCACCCGGTCTCGCCCCAGGTAATCAACCTTTACTGATTTTCAACGGCCCTGGTTCCCTATACTCAGGACATCCACTGGATTTTCTAATTCTTCTTCCTACTTCACTCTAGTCTTAGGATCTGTGTTATGCTTGCAGGTGTCAGGGGTCAATGTGCACATTCGAAGTTTTGCTCCTTTGAGCACTGCTGACTGTTTGCTTTCCTCAGCTAAAGCAGCTCTGGCATCTCCTATTCCCACCTGCACCATGGCCGGTACCTGACAGCTGTGACTTCCCCGCCGCTGTGCCTACCTGGCCAAGCTCATGGCCCTCTGAGGCCCAGAGGAGTGGCTGCCCAAGTGCTCAGAGGTGGCCTTTTAGGCTCAGGATGAAGGTGGGTGTGTTTGCCTTCTCTATCATGGAAGAGCTGGATTTGCCATTGTTTGCACGTGGCCCAGGACTTACCCCTGGGAGACTGAGTCTCAGTTTCATGAATGATTTGTAAAGAGAATACAGCGTCTCCGAAGGACATGAAATGGAAGGATTCTGCCAATCTGGAAGGGATGGGTGTTTCCCTAAGCTGCTGTCAGAGGGCCCTGTGTTCTCAAGTTCAGCTCCAAATGCTGGTTTATTCCGTCAGAGTACTCACTCAGTAAACGTGCTGACTTGGTAAGCATTTGATGTTGCTTCTCAGGATACTGATGGAGAAGTTGTCACCCCTGGGGTTTGTCTGGGATCGGGGGAGTGGTCTACCTTTCTTGTCAGCATCCTGTGCTTGAGGCAGATTAAAATCTCAGCGGACTAACTGGCGAATTTCCCACAAAGTCTACCCCCGTTTTGGGCTCTGTCCTTCCTGGCGGATGTGAGCCTGTTGGGAGAGATGCTAGTTTCTCGCCTCTCAGCAGGAAATGCCACGGGCAGATTTAAAGTCACTTGGATCCCAGTGCTTTTTCAGACCCTTTCTCCTAGGTCACCCTCAAAAACCTCAGGAGGACACATTCAGGGTCAATACAGCTCAATGCCAGGAATACGATGCCAATAGGCCAGTTCTTGCTACCGTATGACAGAATAAAGCCCTTAAATGTCAAGGCTTTTCATTCAACCAGTTTCTGAGTACCTACTATGGGTCATGCTTTCTGCTGAAGAAGCCTGGGTGTGAGCAGCAAGAGATGTTCAAACTAAGTAAGAGTCTAAAGATCTCTGGCCAGTCTCCTGGCGCCCTACAGAAGAAAATTGGGGATTGGTAAGAAAGCCTAGCCTGAGAGGAAGAGAAGAAAATCAGAGAAAACCTTCTATTGATGCCGGTGCTGGGCTTGGCAGCTGCCCTGGAGCAAAAATTAACTCCCCATGGCAGTGGGACAAGATGCTGATATTGGCACCTGCCAGAGGCAGACAGCCGAAGTCGCAGCTGCGCTGGTCAAATGAGCTTGGAGACCTTAGGGGGCTGAGACCTCAACGACTATTAGCAGGCTGTGGTTCTCTGCAGGCAGTTTATTGGAATAGGGTTTGTGCGCCTTCTCCACCCCTCTGGGCTGGGTCTCAGAACAATCAGAAGTGCAGGTGGCACATTCTGCTGAAAACCACCCCTGCATTGTCTCTGGGAGGGAGGAGAAGCTCATCAGAGACACTGGGAGCAACAAAGGGATTCCTGGCAAGGATGAGACCATCCCCAATCCCAAAGCTAAGAAGAGGGAGCTCAGAGGAGAGTTAGCTGGAGGAACTTCGTATTTGGGGATTAGCATCATCTTCAGATCATCTGGCTCCTGAGAGAGGCTTCTCTGTCTTAAAATATATCTGTTGGAACAAAAATTAATTTGGGTCAAACTAAATTTAGAGCTATTACGATGAAGAATTGGGGAGGGCAATACTTAGGCAATAAAGAACAAGGTGGTGGAGGGAGGCCTGAATAATAACGATGAAAGAGAGCTGAATCAGCCAATATCCTGATATAAATGAAATGTCCTACCGAATACATCCCAGGACGGAGGGAGTGGAAAAAAACACAGATTTAAAGCCTCTGCAGTGAGAATCTTTTTCAGAGGTCCAGCCCCCACAAAGAATTCTAGACAACAGACTTAAAACAAATGGTCACTTGAGAAGCAGAGCCGTGTCAAAGCCAAGAGGTGTCAGATATACACTTGAGATATCTATCTTAGGGATGAGAGAAAAATGTAGCTTCTAAGGGTATCCAACCAAATCCCCACTTGTTTTATTTTAGAATTTCTAATAAGAAATTCCTTCCTCTGTCGTTCGGATATTATCAATAGCTCTGGCTTCCTGTCTCTAAAGAACTTCTGCCTGATTCAAGGAACTCTGGCTGTTTCGTTAGAAGGTCCCTGTTCTGATCAGTAAGGAACATCAGCGGACTCTCAGATCCATTCACCCTTGGAACATGGCCCACTGTTGCACCTTGATTTTGCCTTATCTCGCCAACTCTCCAAGCTCAGGTGGGCCTTCTGCTGTCACTGTGCCCAGGCCAGTGGTAATTCTCTCCTGCCTGTTGTCATTGCTTTTAGGTCGTTCTTGAAAAGATGGGTGTCACATAGTCTGATGTGCTTTATCAAAGAACAGAGGCAAGAGCAAGACAGATCATGGGGGTATGAATCCAGGAGGTCATCAACAGCCTCGAAAGAGAATTAGAACACGTGAATTCATTTAAGCAGCCCTTTTCTGGTCCACAGTTTATTGATTCAAGTACATCGTGCATGTCTAACTAACTGCATGAATGAAAACTTATTTTCCAAAAGACAGCTCCTCTGAGGCCACAATTTTGTAAATAATAACAACAGAAATACATTTCCGCTGAATTCTGAGAAAAGAATTCGCTAATTATATAAACTCCCACTGCTCTTACATCTCTTTTCCCAGGCACTTTACATGGACTCCAAAATGCTTTGGCTCTCCCACTCTCCTAGTATAGCAGATGGAGTGCTTGGGAGTGTCTGATTTAGAGACAAGAAGGCAAGAGGGAGACGGGCGGCAGCTAGAAGCGGCCCATCCTCAGAGTGTATGCAAGACAGGAAGTGTCTGAATATGGACCAAATCAAAGGCTGAGGCAGCTCTGGGGGAGCCCTGTCCGGTGTTTGAGGAACTCGAAGACACAACTTCTAAGACATTCTTACTACAGCACAAAAGTCTGTTAAAAAAAAAAAAAAAGAAATGGAAACCACACTCCTATCACATTCTAGATCGTTTGCTATACTTCATGAAAAATAACCTATGTTAATCTCAACTTATACTTTTTTTATTACAGACTTGAAAAAAATCAGGTATGGAAAAATAAATATGTAATTGGCATTCTCAATTCCTTCTCTATATTGTGTGCTTCTTCCTTCATGTGCTCTATTAAAAAGATACTCAAGCATGTATCGGTCAAAAATATTCAACATCAAAGTGGAATGAATGTGCTTCTAATCAGTGTGGCAATACTGCCTTTATTCCCCCTCTCTTTCTCTCTGAAATAAGTAGGGCATGGCTAGATGTAATCAGGGAGTCACGGTCTGCATGGACCCTAGTTACTGTTTGGTTTCATCAAAATCAACTGCAATGAGATACTTCCTGCAAGACACCCAAACCTCAGCAGATAACCCCTGTCTTCAGTGGCACCCCAAATGCCCGGACTGAAGGACAGGAAGTAGCGAATCATTTTTGCTTTTAAGCACGCCAAGAAGAAGTGAGACAGGTAAATGATTTAACTTATTGTGCTCCAGTTCTGGGGCAAATGATGGTGTTTTAGGGTCACCGTGTCAAACTAAGATCACACTGAATGGCGGAAACCTTGCTTGGCTTGCTTTGATAAGAATCTCTCTAACGTGTTGTCCCTGAACAAGATGCTTCCCCCTATTTATTTAATCAGCAACTGATTTTCAAATTGAGGAGCTGGTAACTTGAATATGCTTTTATCACTGAAGAAAAATGAGATATTTGTTGGTGACAGATGAGGCTTTTCAAAATGTAATTTATATATTGCCTACCCATGCATTCTTCAATGAAGGCTGCCCTTGTTAGCGCTGAAACTCCCATTTCCGCTTTGGTCATCTGATGCTAATTAGAGCTGCTGTTACTGCAGAAGTAATCAGTAGCTTTCTACAGTGGATCACATAGAATCAGATCCCTATGAAATTAGTCCAGTGTAGATACACAGAGATACCTTAATGAAAACAAAATACACTCTGTAAGAGATATGCGCTCATAGATAACTGGCATTCCAAATATTTTGACACACTTACTTAATGTGTTTATTCAAAGTAAGAGTCTTTATAGATCTTTTCACTAATTAAATACAGTTGGGTGTCTGCTGAATTTCCCTTGAAAACATTTTGAAGTGAAAAAAGTCAGTACTGAGTACTGTACATTTGTGTTGATTAACATTTGGACACAAATATACTTTTAACACCAATAGAGCTGAAAGACTATGCCTTTATCTTGGATTTCATAGATTTCCCCTTCCCCCCAGTGACTTATCTTACAAGGCAAACACCAGCAGGCAAAGGGGATCTGTAGAAATGTGCACCCTGGTTTCCTCCTCCATCTCTTCTACCAATGTGGGAAGAAAGCCAATGCTTCCCAGCACTTTCTGAAGGTGGAATCTCCTCCTCTTTACTTAATGTTGGAGAAAAGTGGCCACCAGTACTCGATCATTGTAGATTCGGAATCTCGCCATCTAAACCAGACTTCAAAAGTGCACTTTCGGGTCTACTTAGTTAAGAAAGAGAATAATGGAAGATGATAAGTGGTTAGCAAAGCCAGATGCCTTATCACCAGGGTCCTGTTCTGCTGATCTGTGCCAAGCAACTCATCTCACCAAACCTAATGTCAACCCTCTTGATCCACAAACCTTCCTTCTCTTCTAACATGGTCTGCAGTCTGTCACGGAGGACATGAAACAAGATGCAAGCAGATCCTTAATGACCTTCAGACCAAACTGCTCCAAACAGTGGCCAAGACGTTGCAGTCAGGAGTAAACACAATCCTTAGGAAAAGAACTGTGCATCCCAGCATGGATGTGTTTCCAAAGAAAGGAGAACCTGCCCATGCCTCCATGTCCCAATCAAAGCTGCCTTTGTCAGATAACCTGAAAACCAAGGTACTGGATTGTGTCATGACAAGTGTGTCAAGAGATGCTGCAGAACATTTACAAGCAGCCACCAGTTCCCTCCACAGGTATGCACGCTTGCACTTCGAGCAATGACAAAAGACAATGCTTGTCTGTTCTGTTTCCTCCTGCCTGTCCACAGTCACATGATGCAGAACTTTCTGCTACAGCACGAGGCTTCTCAGAGTCTGCTTTTGATGAGCTGTATTTGTGAAGTTCATATCAGAGCGAACACTACTTATGAGGGGAAAGAAGCTCTGTGTATTTTGTATTAAACCATCAGTAAAAAAATGAGACAATATCATTACTTTCAAAATATAGAAAGCCAATAGTTGAAATCATTTAGTAGTAAAATTTTTTTCTACATATAACCTCATATGTGTAAAGAGTATTAGAGCGACATTTCAGCTATATTGGACTTTTGTTAGGTAAAGGGCTTCTCACTCAGGTAAGGCTTAGGATTAGGAGAGTGTCGTTCAGGGATTGAGGTATTGAATCGGCACACTCATTCCCCACTCTCTATTTTGACGAAAAGACAGATACTATATTTGGATGTGACAGGTGTTTTTTCTTTTGTACAAGAGTGCAGAACTGTTTACAGTACATAAACATCAGCGTGGAAAATGCTAGTACATATATAAAGGTGAACATCAGTACCAGCTGTTTCCACAAAGCCCACTCTTGGTAAGAATCTTCTTTGTGGCAAAAAAGCTTGGCATCAATGTAGGCTGAAATTTATATCATTAGAAATCAATGTCATTAAAGGAGATATGGGAGTTACCTTAGAAATATTAACTCCTTCTCTAGCTAGGAAAGGCCAGAAGTAAAACTGTTAAAATCATCATCATGATCATGATGATCATCATCATGATCATGATGATCATCATCATGATCATCATCATCATCGAAAACACAGCCCCAGTTTGCTTTACAGCCCAAGTTACAAACTGTCCCTTTAAAATACAGCATATCCCAAAGCCTTCTGAGTTTGGATGGAGCACTGCATCAGGTTTTTCACAGAAGCCCCAAAGGATCACAAGAAGCTTTCTTAAAAGGAAAAAAAAAAAATGTTCCAGTTGAATGGAACTGTTTCTCAACTGAGCTCCTAAACTGGAATTTCAGCTATACAAGAGAACAGGAAACAGATAACTTGGTTT
The DNA here is from genome assembly GCF_000001405.40 of Homo sapiens. Taxonomy (NCBI): domain Eukaryota; kingdom Metazoa; phylum Chordata; class Mammalia; order Primates; family Hominidae; genus Homo; species Homo sapiens. The sequence goes on from NC_000010.11 coordinate 116,064,358, forward strand.
TTGTCTTTTTACATGTCCATATTGTATTTTTTTAATGCAGCTATGATGTTTCTGTTAAAGATAATAGGGTGGACAGAGCGGTTACCACCAGGACCAGCAGTGGGCTCAGACCACAGCTTGGAGGAGCAGCCATTGATTTTGTGGTTATGTGGCTGGAAGCACCGAGACCTTCTTTTTCATAATTACCCTGTAAGGAAGAATGGTTTCATTATCATCCACTGCATGTCTTCATTCTACCACAGTATACTTTACACTCTCTCTCCCCCCGACTCCCCACTGGCTGACCCACTCACCAAAGCTGACCAAGATTTTACCACTGAGACTTACATTCACTGACTTGTAGTTTTATGGGAAGAAACCATGAACCTGGGTTAGAACCAGATACTTTTGATAAAGCGTCTGGCCAATGCTTACTGCTTGCTCTTCCATTAGGAATTATTAAATTCATTTTGGGGGAAGATATCTGAGTTCAGGTACCCCTGTCATTCTTTGTCCCTCTCTCCAGGGTTCCACGTTGCACAGGTAACTGACAGCGTTGGAGACAGGCAGAGCAGCCTCTCCCTGCATGAGCCAGTTCAATCCCAGATTTTATAGATGAGGAGTTGGAGAGAGCAAGAGCTTGCCCTGCTTGTTGCTGGGAGAACTAAACCAGAACTCTGGCTTCTGGATTCCCAGCCAGCACAGCTGTCCTTCCCCAGGATAGAGTCCTCCATCCCTGTCACCAGCACCTGCTTAATCCCATAATGCCACCCTCCTACACAAGAAACCAGGGCCCACACACAGCAGAATTTTCGGTCTCCTCACCTGTAAACTGGAGAGAGGAATGTATCTGCTCTAATCTACCCATGGGGGCCTGTGGAGGTCAGAGGCACCACAGATGATAGAGAACATCTGGTAAGCAGTGAGATTTGCTATGTATCGTCTCTGTGCTGGATGATTTTACATGACTGTGATCACAGAGAGGCTCAGGGCCCTGGAACACTTGTATTAATCCTTGGACAAAGATTCCAGGTCCCATGCTTACTTCCAACTTTGTGAACTGGAATTCAAAGTCTTCACCTTGCTCAAAGGGCAGACGGTCATGGAGGGTGGCTTAGATTTCTTGTGGACTGGATACCTTCTTGTCTTTGAATGCTTTATATGATACCCTGCCCCCAGGGGCCCAAAGGCTATGTTTCTATAAATGCACGAAGCCTCCAAAAGAAACATACTTACATTGGAAATACAGAGGTGTGTATTGCCCGACACATTGGATTTCAGCTTCTGTGCCTGGAGAGGGACAAGAAAAAAAATGCTCAAACATAATACAGAAGAGTAATTACTGATGATCCATCAGTCAGCTGTCTAGGGCAATGCTCTCTGATAAATATGTGAGACACAGCTGTGAGCTCCATATATAATTGAACATTTTCTAGTAGCCATGTAATAAAGAGATATCAGGTGAAGTTAATTTTAATAATATATATTATTTAACCCAATATATTACCATTTCAAAACGTACTCAATATTAATAAGATACTTTACATTCTTTTTATCCATACTAAGTGTTCAAAATCTGGTGTGTTTGGCATGGAACATCTCAATTCAGACTTACCCCATTTCAAAGCCAAGTGGCTCCTGAAGGAGCAGCCCAGGACTAGGTTACTAAAGAAAACGTTTTGAAGTAATCCCTCATTTCTTAAAGTTAATTTTTGGGAAGTACCTCCTTCTAGGTAAAAACGTTGCAATAAACATCTGCATTTATTAGTGATACAGACAGAGACCTTCCTGGGCTTGTTTGTTTGTTCATTCATTGCTTCAGTCAACAAACCCTTACTGAGCACCTACTGTTTACCAATGCTGGGTATATAGTGATGAACAAAAAAGGACCTGGTCCCTGGGTTCTTGGGGCTCCTCTCTAGTGAGGAAACCACTCACTAGTCACTGTTTAGGATCACATAGAATCCGGGGCTAAGGCACAGGACAGGGACCCTTTCAGATGGGCATCCTCAAAGAATCACACAGAGCAGTACAGATACTCAATCCAGCCATTTGAAAATGGCTTCCCGAGCAGTTGCAAGGGGACTGAGCTGTGAAAGCATTGAACTCCCTGTTTCTCCTCAACTGGAACAACCCTCCACTGGGCTTCTACTGATAATTTCATTATAGGAAAGGTCCCATTGCTCAAATAATTACAGTGAAAATGCGTGTGAAAACTGACCTGGTACAACCCTCCCACTTTACAAAGGAAAACAGAGCCCAGAGAAGTTAAGTGACTAATTCAAGGTCACACAACAATTTACTTACAGAGTCAGGATGCAGACCCAGTCTCTTCAATTCCTAAATGAAAATGTGCTACCTCCTGCATCACAGTGGTTCTCCCCAAAATCCACACAAAGAACTCCCACAATGCTCCTTCCTCATCCCCAGCAACAGGAGCCGTTTGGCACTGACAGACAGAGAGCTTATTTGTCAACGGGCTGAGCCCTGGTTAAGCGTTACACTTGAATCAAGGAGGACCTGGGCAACCCAGCTCTGTGTGGATGGCACTGGCAGGCTGCCTGTTGTGACTTCTGCAACTCCTGGAAGACACGCTAAGCTAAAATGATAGCATGTTCACCCAAGGAGTAATTTATTGACCATAATGCTACTTGGGAGGCATCATAATCTTTACCTATATTTGCATATGCCAGCTGTGAATATGAAATAGAAACCTTTAAACAAGCATCAAGAATAAGACACTGTGAAGCATCCCTGGGCTGTTCAAAGGTCACTAAATGTTATGTATAAGAAGATCAGAGGGGAAATTGGAAGAGGAATTGAACCTGATTCAAAAGCCTACTTTTAATCTATATTAATAGCAAATCTGGTCCACTGCATTGTCACCTACAGAGAGTAATGTGTAGTGCTTTACATGTTTTATTTCTGTTCAAGTTTGGAATTGTGCCCAGATACCAAAATGGCCCTAAAACATCACATTCTGCCTTTTCTAGGCCATAATCTACAAAAGACATAAGCCCTTGCTAAGGGCCTTTGCATAACTAACAAATTTACTGAATTGCACAGGGAAGGCAGCGTGGTTTCTAGACTGGGATGCATTATGTCCTCAAGTTCTTCCTATGCTCGTGGTCACAGCCAAGTTGCGCCTGAGTGTCCTAGACCACAGTAGCTTCTAAGAGTTCCAAGGGCTGGGAAGGCCTCCTTTCTACTTTGTTCAGTATGATTAGCACTAGCAGACAGTGTTTTATTCATTGTATACTCAATCTGTGACACTCATTAGCTATACTGCAGGAGTATAATCCTACCATTATTAAATGATTAGAAAGGAGCTTTCATCAATGGACTAGAAAAGGCCTCTATCTTAACAGGTTTTCTTAAGTGGACTCGGCCTGCATAGGTAGATTTCTGACCCTCATTAGTCACGGAGGGTTTCACACTACATTCAGAATTTATAAGCTTTCAACCAGGGAGACACACACAGGTGTAAACTCCAAGGATCTTGTCTTCTACCTGGAAATGGCAGGCATAACTTCAATTTCACAGGAAAATGCATTTCGATCAGCTCCAAGTCTGTGCAGTCGCCAAGTTCTTGTTCCCCCAAAGCGGGTATCCCATTGGCCTCTGTATAAAGGAAAAGCTCAGTTTCTGGCCTTGTCTCCGTGTAGTCCCATTGGCTAAAGCTGGAAGCAGCACCTCTCAAGCTCATCTTGCCTGGGGGACCACTCCGATTGGCATAACTGGAAGAACTGCTGAGTCCAAGTAAGAATACGCAGCCAGATCCCTACAGGGGATGCTCTGAGAAAATGCCTTCTCTCCCGTTAAACATCTTCCCAACCCACAGAGGCACTCAGCACTCCAGAGGCTTAGCAGTCCACACACAGGACTCTAAAGACACTGCTTACATTGTGTGTTAACAAGCTTCCTACAGAGCGGTCTGGGTGCTCGGGAAAGCCCTACAGCAGCAGAGGTTGAGCAGAGAGGCTCTGGAGGAGTTCCACCTAAACCTGGCACGGGCCACTGTCAGCTCTGTGAGTCTGATTAGCAGAATCAAAGGATTGCATATAGGTTTGAGATCTCTTTAAATCTCACACCAAATGAGATGAGGGCCAGAGTGTGTCGGCTGTCTAGACTGGATGGGGTCAACAACAGACATCATCAGGCTGGGAGTCCAGGACCTCTCACAGTGGGCATGCTGCAGAGAGAGGGTCAGAGCCTGGGATGTAGACCTGTGAACTTCTGGCTAGTTGCATGCTTATGAGTCCTGTAGGCAGTGTGAACTTCCTGTGACTACTGAGGGTCAGAAATCTACCTCTGCAGATCCAGAGTCTACTTAAGAAAATCTGCGTCTTAAAACCCACTTTGGAACCTGAGAAACCTGTTATTTCCACATTTTAAAGGCTTTTATCCCAAGCATTTCTGAAAACATCATCAAGCTATCACTGTCTTGCTAGTCAGGTATGATAAATGCAAACAGATAAAATTGCAGGGCGTCTCCCGCTTTCAGCTATCACAAAAAGTACTTACACACTTTAAATGCTGTCTCAGTTGCTGCAAATTGGGACGTCCCAGGAAAATTAGAAGGAAAAAATAAACCCCAAACTCCTGAGACTTTGTAAGGTATAAGGTAAATTAGAAACTAGAAAAGCACCTTTTATTCCTGAGTTACCAACTGGTAAAACCAAGGGTGCAATAATAGAAGGGCTGGCACAGTGTTCAGGGGCCCTTCAGTGAGCCTCACAGCCCTGATGATTATGAGAAATGCAGAGAGCCGAAAAAGAGCTCAGCCAGCCGGTACCTATGCAGACACCATGCCTTACAGTTTGTGGTTTTAACATGATATGTCTTTTAACAAGAGATGAAGAAGAGAAGATGCGTTTTATTTTTTGAAAAATCAATTCGAACTATTCTTACAGTATGTTGAAAAATGAATTATTTAATCCTTTTTAAGAAAGGGTGTTTCTTAACTCTAATTTATAGCTATAAGGTTTAGGGGAAGCTGCCTGACTCTAAGTTGGGGGAAACACCACCACTGAAATATAGTACCTTGAGGTTTTCATCTTGAGAACGGGAAGATGAAAATTATACTAGAGAGGCCTGTCCCCAAACCAAACGCCTTCCCTACATTCTGGAAAACCAGGGAAACCTGTTTTTTAGGCACGTAAAGCTTTGTCTCTCCAGCAGCTGTTGCTCTCATATTATAAAAGTGTCACTGGTGGTAATCCCCAAGTCCAGGCACGTCGCATAAATGAATTTTCAGGGCACTGTAATTGTGGGGGGACAGACCTTGCCAGTCCCTGGCACCAGAGGGTTAATAAATGCATTAGAGGCTGTTAACCTCTGTTACCTGGAGTCAGAGCAGTGCCTCTCCTGCTTTTTACCCCAGTGATTAGCATTTGGAAAGCCTGCCGTGGTGCCAGCAGCTTTCCTGTGCAGAACGCAGAGATGCACACATCATTTATAGCTCTCAGCCCAGTCCCTACGTGGGTTCTGCCCACAGCAGGCTCTCCCCAAGCTCTGGGGACAGGTCAGGCTTGCGAGCAGCATGCTCACTCTGATTATGGAATTGGAGACTTAAAAGTGCACTCGCCCGGAGCCTGGCCTTGCTGCCCCAGGACTCCATTTCTGTAGAGAAGCCAGTATTTAAGCTCCAGATTTTAGGCAGCCGTCAGCCAGCAGGGATGGAACATTTCTCTCTCCTCCTCCACGCATAAGAAAAGCCAGTTTCTGCTCTACCTCCAGAAAATAAAACCAGGGGAAGTTGCCCAATCCAATAGCAACAGACTGTCCAGTCTGCAGCCAAATAGTCATAATTAATGATGCTCTGGTTCTTTTCTTCCTTGCTTTACTGATTAGAGAGATTTGCTATATTAGGAACCTGTTTGCTTAATGACAGAATACAAGCAATAAACAGAGAAATACACAGACTGTAAAATGCAATCAACTTTGCTCTCCAGCACTCACTAAGTACCTAGCTGCATCTATCACACTTGTCAATACCCGTTTATTAGCATACAAGTCTCTTCTGCAGCACAAACTGGACCTTTGCTAGGGAAAACCACTGTATGAGTTCGTCCCAAAACAGTCCAGAAGCAGAAGTCCAGAACTCAAAGCCATTTCTCAGTTTAAATCTACATATTTTATGTTCCGTTGTAAGACAAGCCATGGGAAGAAGAGTATGTACCTAATTGAGGTTAACTGAGCAGAGGAACCTGCTTCCAAGTAAGCATCATTCACACTGTATTTTAATAGATAGACTCACCTGCTTAAAGACTTCAATAGGTAATACTATATAACAATTCTATTGTGTACGTGATACCAATTTGCCCAAATTAATTTCTGTATATAAAAAGAAGACAGAAAAAAGAAGCTCCTTGTTAGTGAATCCAAGCTAAGTAACGGTGGCCCACCTAGAAGTCTGGAGCCTTTTTTTTTTTTTTTTTTTTTTGGCTTTGGATTTTGCCTATTGACATCTGGGATTGCTGGGAGAAGTTTTATCGCTGGTCTGGTCCCAAGCAGTTGGCCAGCCTTTCGAAAACATCTGCCACTCTCTATTTTGAAACTCACCTTCCTGGAGGTTTGCTTTTCCTACAAACTTGGTAACAATCACTTGCAACCACTGGTCTGAATAATGTCCAGTAAAGTCAGCTGCGTAAAACAAGTGGACACATAAATAAAACCTGCTCTGAGCCTGTGGGCTGGGGTGTTTTTCTTCCAGAGCCTGAGCTCAGCAATGAAGGGATCCATTTCCTCCAAGCTTAATTTTGCCAAGCCCCACGGACCCTGGCCCAGGCCAGGAAGAAAACCAGGGGCTGTGAGGCCAGCCAGGGTGAGGCTGGGCAAGCGTGCTTCTGAGAAGGGGCTGGAGTAGCCCTGGGTGACTCTTCTACCACTGAGCCTGGGACTGTCTGGTCTCCTCTACCTGCTCCCCCTGAAGATGCTTTGTCTCTGTGTTGCCTGAACCTCAGCCAGAGGCTTTCATTACATTAAACTCTTAGAAGGCCTTGTAAAGGTATTTCACTCAGCACAGGTTTCAGAAAGGCCCAGGGGTGCCAAATTTCATTAGTCTGGGCAGGTAGAGTCACAGGATGAGGGACCTGCAGTCATACTTCCTTATTTGGAGGAGGCATAGCTCAGACAGGTTGGGCTACATTTAGGTGAAGCCTCCAATAATGGGTGCATAGTGAGTTGAAATAAAGCCAGATTCCAGATGTCTGTGTTTGAGTGTGGGGATCCTAGCCTTGAAGCTGACAGACAGGCTCCAGCAGTGAAGGTCTTAGATTCCTGGCACCAATGGGACAGTCAGAGTTGAACTGTGCAATTTAGTTTGAGCTTAGTGCCAAGCCTAGATCAGAAACCCTCTTCTTTGACCTGACTGGGGACTGGGCCCATAGGTGGTCAATTGGGAAATTAAATTAAAGGGCAAAATCACTTAGAAATGGTATGTCTATACGAAACTTTACCAACTAAATATCACTCCTTTACTGATTTTTGGATTATGTGACCAGGACCATCTTTATTCTATTTTTTTTTTAAAGAGTCTATTGATTGGAGTTCCCTGGCTTATGTTTTGCATAAGCCACGCCTATAATTCCTGGTCTACAGTTCCTGGTTTCAGTTTCCTAAAAACAGGAGTGACGTTTGACACCCGCAGAAGAATCTCAGTACACAATATTCCTGTGTTTGTATAATTGCACTCGGTCCTTTATAGTCATCTCACCCACACCTAATCCAAAGGCTTTTTTTTTTTTCAGGAATTTGCCTTTTCAGATATATTCAACTTAGTTTGCATTGAAGCAATTGTCCTTTTTTTGTGCTCCTATTTCAGTGATTTATGTAATATTTAGCAAATGATGTAAGCAAAAATACCAACTACAACCAGCACAAAATATATTTGATGACTGTTAAGCCTGCATCCCAACTGGAGAGAGTGAGGGGCACTTGTGGGTAGAAGAAGCGAAGTCCACTAGTGTGGCCCGTGGAGTGGGTCTTGTGCAGTAGCCAGTATGTTTGCAGGGAAAGGGACAGGTTGGCTTCTATGGCGAGCTGGCTAAATGAGTGTCAGTTAAGAGAACTTCTGCTACAATTTAGAACTTGCTCCTGGTACTGGCTTGACTGATATGCCACGGTAAAAAGAGCACAGGTTGGCCAAGCACGGTGGCTCACTACTGTAATCCCAGCACTTTGGAAGGCCAAGGTGGGTGGATCATGAGGTCAGGAGTTCGAGACCAGCCTAGCCAGCATGGTGAAAACCCATCTCTCCTAAAAATACAAAAAATTAGCCGGGCATGTTGGCGCGCACCTGTAATCCCAGCTACTCAGGAGGCTGAGGCAGGAGAATTGCTTGAACCCGGGAGGGGGAGGTTGCAGTGAGTTGAGATCACACCACTGCACTCCAGCCTGGGTGACAGAGATAGACTCCATCTCAAAACAAAACAAAACAAAACAAAAAAATAAAAGAGCACAGGTTACAAGGTTCCTAGTCCTAGCTTTCCAACCATCATCCATGATTCCAGTCATTCCTGCCCTACTGTCCAAATCACAGGGTTGTGAAAATCTAATGTGATACTCTAGATGGAAGTCCTTTCAAAATTCAAGTTGCTGTGGACAATCTCTTAGCCTCTCTGTGGTTGATGGTCATTCTTTGATCGAGGCAAAAGTGGGAAATGCAAAACCTCACGCTAATTGGGCCTGCGAACTTTGTATGGAAGAGAACTGGCTTGTGATCATCTGTGATTCCTCAGATTCAAAAATGAATGCAATGAAAGAGACACAGTCCAGTAAGATATATCAACAGTCCTCCATTAGCTAAGCATTCCCTCGGGCTTCCCTGTCAGTCTCCAGCACACCATAAAAGGATGCCTGCAGCTTTGTACTTGTAATTTAACACTAATGGCAAGATGGCAAGGAGTGCTGCGTGCAGACTCTGTCTACAGCATAGAGCTTCACAGGGTGCCCTGGCTGGGCTTACTTCTTCTTTTCATACCTTCACAGGATCACCTTACATCTTTTTTGCTTTTCCCCACGCTGAGGCAGACACAGGTTGCAGAAATATATTAGAGAACTGTTTGTTTTCATTCATGGTTAACTTGCTTGATTAGCAAAATATTCAGACAAGAAGCAATTATGAGCTGTATTTTAGAAAATTATGCACAATTAACAATAAGATAATGACAAAAATGTGTGAAAGACATTTTGAAGACGTTTTGGTTTGGGGTGAGGGCGGCTGTTTTGTATAGCGAACATTCAGCATTAATGGTATAAAGGCAGCTAGGAGGGATGGCCCTAAAATGAAACATTTGTTTTCTCAGAATGTGCAGTTGGGAATGCAAATGTGCAAGAGCAACAGAAAAGATTCATTGTTGTCCCTGATGAGAAGTGCATGAAGCCTATCTCATCAGACATGCATCCTCATCACCATCAGATAATATTTATTAAGCCTCTCATTCTCCTGTGCATTTATGTGCAGCTGAGTGCGGCCCCGTAATGGCTCTGTGACTTATGGTGGTAACTAAGGTTTGATATAAAACACCACGGTTTGGAGACATAACGGACCAGGGGCTTTTGTTCATCCTCTGGTTCAGAAGACAGAACATGGTTGGTGTTGCAAAAAAACAAGGTAAAAGCAGAAAACCTTTAAAAGTTTTTTAGAATACGTGCTTTTAGAGAAAAATATTCTAGAAAGTATAGGAAAACCAAGTAGATGAATAGTGATGATGACTGTGATCATTACTGTCACAAATAGCCTTCACCCGATGATGATCCCATCTGCCTTTTACCAAATACACCCATCGCTGAAACTACTTTCTGAGGGGTGTGCTCCCCTTTCGTATGGGTCAGAAACAGGGGTTCCGAGAGGTGATGACTTGCTCAGGTTTCCACAGCTTGAAGAGGCTGCGCTGAGATTTGAACCCAGTCACTCTGACTCTAAAAATCAATGCATATTGACTCCATGCTAGACAGGCTGTCCATTATCTCCTATATCTTACATCAACCCTCAGAAACAGCTCATTATCCTGGTGACAGCTAAGGAAGGTTCTGAGAGGTGCAGTCATAAGCCCAGGCTCACACAGCCAGCATGGACAGAGACAGCTCAGGCAGCACAGAATCAACAGTCTGAAAAGGAATACAGAGCCCAAGGGTGTCCTCCCAAGCTTCACCCCAGAAACCAGGAGCAACTTCTGCAAATGCAGCTTCTGTAGGAAGTCAGAGGTCAAGCCAGGCCAGGAGGTTTCTGCTCCTCCAAGATGCCAGTGGTGAGTGCCTCTCTGAGGTCCCTGCAGCAAAGGGGCAGGCAGGGGACAGCCACCCTGGGGAAAACTCCCAAAATGTCGACTCAGTGCCCACTGTCTTGAGTTTCCTCTCCAGAGAGTCTCATTTTCTTGGGTTTGAAATATAAGGGGCAGAGAGGAGGGATGCTCTTGGTTGAATTTTACCCAATAAGAGAACCAGGGCTGTTTGCTTCCACATAAGGGAGTTCCATGGTTCAAGAACATGCAGAACCTATTATTCAGGGGAACATGGTTGGCTAGAAGTCCTAAGGATAAAAGGTCAGTAGGGGATATAAGAAATTGGATTTATTTATAGTATGTGATCTAAGTGTGCTCAGAGGTATTCTCACAGGTTACCCAGAACAAGAGAGCATATTTATAGCCAAGATGGTGCAGACGTCCTATTCCTTTTTATTAAGCATGTTTATTACCCAGCAATTGGGTTAAGCAATTGTCCAAGGGCTGAATTACTGTCCTTCTGATGGGCTGGCCTTACTGCCCTCTGGACCACAGGTGCAGGTGGCCTAATGGCTTTTCCCATAATGCACTGAGGAGGACCTTATCTTCCCATCCTCTCTCTAAGTCTTTCTCATTTTTTGAGAATAGTGGTTTAAAAAAAAAAGTGCTTAGGAGAAGACATCATAAATGAGTGATCAAACAATTGGTCTATTTTTGCAAGGTAGCACACCTATATGATGCTCAAGTTCACTTCTCAGATGAATTTTGGGGTAAAGGTCACCGGATGCCGCCTCGGCACAGGCTCCTCCTATGTCATCATCAGCAAAGACCACCCAGGAGAATAAAATAATGGTATAAATGTTACTGTCCTGGAGGCTGAGTTACTGTGATGAAGGATTTAATTTGTTTAATAATTATAACACTCCTGGGCAGTAGCATTTATCATTCTCATATTTTAGATGATAAATCCAAGGACCAAAGAGATTAAGCTACTCTCCATCTTAGCCTGCAGAGGGTTTGAATTTTATTGTATCAAGAGGCCTGGCCCTTCAGCATCTTCTCCTAAGTATGATAGTCTCCTTTTCTTAAAAAAAAATCAACACTGGAAACTAACCACCCTGCACTTGTTTGCATGATCACTTGTCAGGCATCAGTACAATTGATGCTGTGTTTTGCTTGAGATCTATTATCTTTTTTTTTGAGACGGAGTCTTGCTCTTTCACCCAGGCTGGACTGCAGTGGTGCTATCTCGGCTCACTGCAAGATCCGCCTCCCGGGTTCACGCCATTCTCCTGCCTCAGCCTCCCAAGTAGCTGGGACTACAGGTGCCCACCACTGTGCCCGGCTAATTTTTTGTATTTTTAGTAGAGACGGGGTTTCACCATGTTAGCCAAGATGGTCTCGATCTCCTGAACTCGTGATCCACCCACCTCGGCCTCCCAAAGTGCTGGGATTACAGGCGTGACCACCGTGCCCGGCCAAGCTCTATTATCTTAAAGTGAGTGTCGGACTGGAGCAAAACAAAGGACGGTATTGCCTCCATTCTCCATGGGACCACAGAATCACTAAGTGCTGTCCACTACATAGTACTAACATAGTACTGGGGTACTATAACATAGTACTGGGGTGTTCTGGGATGAGGAATAAGAGGAGACAACAGCTGAAGCCCAGAGCTAATGCCTGTCTGAAGGCAGCAAGAATGTCTTCCAGCTGTGGCATCTTTGCTGAGATGACTGAAACCTGCCAAAAGATATCCAAATGGCAGGCACGGACAGCCTTACATTGTTCCCAAGGAACACCAAATTTCCACAGAAACACCCTGGAGCCAAGCTGACAAAGATGGGTCAGACAACTAGAGAACTGAATGAGAAACAAAAAAAAAGGAAGCCTGTGTCATTTCAGGGTGATAGAAGAAAGGGGTTCTAGGCGCTGCAGGTGACCTCTTCCCAAAGTATTTACCGGGTGGAGGGTTCAAAATCAGCCTGCCCTTTGTTCACATAAAGGTACCACACTGCTTATAGCACAGAGTGGTAATGGGCCGTGAACCCCAGGTCACCAGACTGCACCTCAGAGGGGAAACAGCCCAGCCACATGGGACTTCCTTTGACCTTTTCCATTTCTGTGTAGCAGAAACATGGCTCTGAGCCAGAGCTGGTTCGCTCAATAATCACACTTGTTTTCAAGGGTCCTGGGACCTAATTCCCCATGGTGTGCTCCCTAAGCTATGTGATAACTGTGTTTGTATCCCTGGGCCACCGCTTTTACTGGCTTTTGTTGCCTCAAAACATACCCATGGCAAATTCCAGAAATATAAATAACATGAACCATAATTCCAATGACAATGAGATCATGCCTTCTCCCAGATGCTATAATATATGATAACACTTGTATTACTCGTAATGAGAATATATAATTAAATTATCAGGTAGGGATCCCTTTCTGCCATTCACTTTATAGAATAGTAAACTATGAGTTATTTGGAGGTATTCATAAGAGACTTTATAAGAGTTAGGAGCTGGGGTTCAGGCAGTGTGATCAAGAGGCCATCTGTAAAATGAAAATCTTCTCTGGAGAGAACCAATTTATCGCCTGTTTAAGCTGGAGTTCTCCTGGCCTCACTGGTGTTCACCTAGTGCTTGGAAAATAGGCTTATTCTAGCTATAGGAGATTAGGGATAAAAGAGTTTTTAAAAAGAGAAAAATTATTATAATTTAGAGATACAGCACTGTATGTGCTTAATTGAGAGGGCATCTGGCTACATTGTTGCTGAGAAAAATAGATCCCATGACCTGCCTTTGTTGAAAAGGTGACATCTGGGTTCATTAAAGGTGTGCAATAGATTTTGATAAAAGCTATTTTTCTAAGTCATTAAATTGGTTTTTAGGAACTTTACACTCTCCTTCATTTGAACAATTATTAAACTATAAAATAGAATTGCACAATTGCTAAAACCGTAATCTGAAATTTTACAGCCAGCTATAAAATGCCGTATTATTAAACTATACTGAAGATGCTCAAGCCCATTACAACTTTTAAAATGAATTATAAAACCCTTTACTGCTGATAAAATAATCTTAAATTACAGTATTATGTATTCTAACAATATGTTGAACCAAAGTTTGCTACAATGCAAACATGCCAATCACAAAGAAATCATTTTTTGAATTAAGTTTGCAGAAGCTGGCAATATGATAACAGCTGCTTCAGCAAGGCAGCCCAGCACCTGATGTCGGCAGGCTGGGGGGGACAGCTTGTCCTCCATGGCAGCTGCCTTTTGCCAAGTTCCTGCAACCACAGAACTAAGAGTCAGCTTCCTATGTTAAAGTCTGCACAAGCGACACTTAGTAGGGCCCCGGAGATTAAGAAAAGTCTTGCAGGAACAGCACTGTTTTCCCTTAACGTCTCCCCATGAGTGAGATTTTGTAAATGCAAAATGCTTAGTTACGGAATAGCTGCCACTTACATGTATGATACCTAGGATGTAGGGTGCCACACATATGTACCTATCAATCATAAGGCCTGGCCCCCAAGATTAAATTCCTATTTTTTGTACCAGTTAGTTATACCCTGCATGTGTCCATTTCCAATCGAGTTGAATACACAATTGAAAATGTAGTTGAGCATGCTGGCTTGTATGGCAGCCTTAACAGGGTAATACCCAATTTTGAGCTCTGAATTCAAGCACTTTCTTGGCTGAAGGGCTTTGAAAATGCTCTATAAGCAGTTATTATAAAAGGTGTTTTTACAACAGCCTCTTTTCTCCCAAGGCTGACGTGGGTGGATTCTGGGATGCAGCTTCCCTCTAAGCTCCTCTGCTGGCACTTGGAGCCAAGAAGATGAAGTCCAAGGAGGTCACTGGTAGCCTGTCCATGCTGGGAGAAGCAGGTTCACCACACAGGGCCTGGAACCACTTGGCAGCCTGGTCCAGAGCTCTGTGATAAAGCTTCCAGGAGGGCCCAGAAGGATGTAGTCTAGGTGAGGGGCCTTGCAGCTTAACACTTCTGCTAAGGGAAGATCCCCCTCCAACAGCTCATTCCTCCTAGAGTGGGGAAATAAACTCAGCCAGAGCAGGAGACCATTACGCAGAGAAAACGCTGGGTATAGCCAAGGTTAGATATAGCCAAGGTTTGGATTTTTTTCTATGTGACAAAAATAACAGCGGGTGCTAGAAAACAGTCTGTATCACACAGAGACGATGAAAACGTCACAAAGACCATAAACCAAACACCACAAATAACACGCAGCCCCAAGACCATTCTCTTAGATAAAAGGCCCAGGCAATGGTATCCACGTTGCTACCGTCATTTAGATTCTATGCCTGTGCTATGGGCTCAGCGTTGACATGTCTGGTGCTAGTTTTCTAATCCCATTCAATCCCACCCCTCCTAAAGCTCCTCCGTCCTCAAAGCCATGTGTGAGAAGCCTGACCATGGTTTGGCACAACACTTCCATCCACTATGGTCGTTGGGCAAAAGTCTCCTTTGAGATGTTCTCTGCAGGGTAATCATCCAGCGCGCTGGATGCGTAAAAACACCAGAAGGTGATGGTGTGAGGATGAGACACCAGAGGTCTCTCTCTCCTCCATGTGAGGATACAGTAGGAAGGCGGCCATCTGCAACCTGGAAGAGAGCGCTCACTGGGAACCCAATCTGCCCACACCTTGACCTTGAACTTTCCAGCCTCCAGAGCTATGAGAAATAAATTTCTGTTGCTTAAGCCGCCCAGTCTACAGTATTTTGTTATGACAGCCCAAATGGACTAAGACAAGTAGTAACCACAGCTTCCTTTCCTTGTCCCTGCCTGCACTACCTAGGAAAGATTTGGTCCAGTGCACCAGTTTACACTTATATCTCCCTATGCTCCTTGCTACAGAAGGAGGAAGAAACACGAGGATTCTCAAAAGCCCCCATTTTCCTTGTTAGTATAAAGGAAAAGGGGGGTCTCTGAGGCACCCTTCGCTTCGGGCAGTGATTGTCAAGCAGGTGCGCTTCTGCCCCCTGGAGACATTTGGCAGTGCTGAAAGGACATTTTTGGCTGCCATAGTTGAGGAAAGGTGCTACTGGTATCCGGACGGTAGAGGCCAGGGACGCTGCTAAATACCCTACAATGCACAGGACAGCCCCCCGTAACAATTTTGCAGACCAAAATGTCAATAGTGCCAATGTCGAGGAAGCCTGGCCTGGAAGAACCATTCAACTCACAGCCAAGAGGTTACTGGACAATCCTCACTGAAATCGACAGGGTTGGCACAGGGGGGTGTGCAGCCCACCCTCAGCAGAGAATACCAGGGGAAGCAAGTGACTTCTCATGAAGAAGCACCTATCTCCAAACTCCATTTCAAAACCCCCACTCTAACAAGACCTCATCCTTTGTCTTATCCATAACAAGTTCCACTCCACACACTGGAGCTCCACAGGCCACGAAGACCAGAAAGCCTGCTGGGAAAAAGGCCCCATAAAGCAATGCCTCCTGAGTCCCATAACCCAGCCTGATCCTTAAGGGCACTTCTCTGACACTGAAGGTGGGACGAAGGGGGACAGTGATATCCAATTGCTGGGCCGAAAGCCCCTTGAAACTTACAACTAATAAAAACTTACATAGTACCATTTTTGAGCTGGGCACCATTCTGAGCATGCTTTACACTCACAAACACATTTAATCCGCAAACACCCCAGGAAGCTCTTCTACTGTCATCTGCACGTTAAAGATGAGGAAATTGAGGCAGAAAAGATAAGTAATTTGCCCAAAGTTTAATGGCTACTAAGTGGTGGAGTGCACAGTTTCAACTCCGGCTTCCTTATGAGAAGTTTCACAGTGCTACAAATTGGGTGCAGTGTATACTGCCTGGGTGATGGGTGCACCAAAAATCTCACAAATCACCATTAAAGTACTTGTGTAACCAAATATGACCTGTTCCCCAGTAACCTATGGAAATAAAACATTTAAAAAATAAAAGAAGTTTCACGGTGCATCTCTAGAATTAAAATTATATTTTAAAACAACCAACTCTGATGAGGCGTTGTTGTATAATTAAGAATTTGACTGGCCTTTGTCCTTGGTTCCTGAGAGATAACCTCTAAATCCTTGGAATTTCTTGAGTGCCTGTTATTCATGAATTCTTTGGATCACACCTGAGTGTCCGAGTAATGGGATGACTCAGGATTAGGTCAGGTTACCACAAAGACCAACCATGGGTCACAGGGTTGGGACTTGAGCCACAGTAGGTCAGCCTGACTTCCTGATCCCCATGGTGTGGGGAGGAGGGCTGAAGACAGCCAGTCACGTGGTCAATGATTCAATCAATAGTGCCTACTTAATAAAACTCTAACAAAACTTTGGAGACTGAGCTCCGGGAGCTTCCTGGGCAGCAAATACATTAATGCAGCAAGGGGGCGACATGCCCTAATTCCATGGGGAGAAGGCAGAGAAGCTCTCCATTGGAAACCCCCCCAGACCTTGCCCTAGGCATCTCTTTGTCTAGCTGGTTCTGATCTGTACCCTGATAATAAAGTTGTAATCTTAGGTCTTGTAGCACTTTCCTGATTTCTGTGAATCATTCCAGTGAAATGAACTTGAGGGGGTCATAGGAACCCCTGGATTTGTAACTAGTTGGTCAGAAGTGCAGGTGGCCTGGGAACCCCAAAGTGTGACTGGCATCTGAAGCAAGGGCCGTCTTGTTGGGGACCACGGCCATAACCTGTGGAGTCTGACACCCTGAGTGGTTAGCTCGGAATTGAGTTGTACTGCGGTCTACCAGTTGGTGTCAGAATAGGCATCATTACTTTTCTTTATGCTCATTTATGAACCAATCTGACACTTCAGTCTGCCAGATGTTCAACAAGAATTTAGGGACTGATTTAATCTATAGCGATGAAAAATGTTACCCAGAAACGCAATGTTTAAAGTGCTCTGGTTTCGGTAATACAGTGTAGCCATTTATAATGGGGGCAGGGAGGAACACTGCTTTGCCCTTGCTCCTCTCCTGATCAAGTATCTGTGTGCCTCGGGTCTCTTGTCTGAAAAATGGGAATGATAACAGTACTGACCTTCTGAGGTTACTGTGAGGATTACTCAGGGGAGGCACTGCGTATGCATTTGTTTTATTAATGCCTGGCCATAAAAAGCTAGGGTGACCTAAGTTATCAAAGCAAATTGTTCTGGGATCTGTCATAGAATGAGATGGTTTATAATGTTTTCCAAAGTGGGGCTTGGGGACTACTGGTGGTATACGACATCATTTTAGGTAGCACGCAAACTTTTTTATGGTTTTAATTTTAATATTTATATATTGATTTTAATATAGAGAAAGCACATTGAACTCATGCTTTCACATATGTTAGTAACAGCTTCAGATGAGTCTCAAAGGCAGTAGTGTGCATATAAATAAGTATAGCTCATAATTGAATTTAAAGACAAAGATGAAGCAAATAATAGGATCAGTGGAGTGCAGATATGGCAAAGACTGCAAAGTCCTGGGATTTGAGGCTAAGAGGCAGGACTAGTTCTCAAATACCGTCTTTTCTGCAACCAAGAATGTTTCATGTTAACAACTGCATCACCTCTTCCTAATGTCAGCATTGGTTAAAGAGATGTGGCGGGGACCGTGGCAGCTAGTTCCACTCTGGTCACCAGGCTGGACCAAGATCTGACCAGAGTGGCAGCTCCAAGTCACAGCTCCAAGAGGCAGGTAAGTCAGATGAAGCTCCCAGGAGATGTGCGGAGAGATGGAATTTGGATCAGTTCTAATCCCTGAAGACCTAGTCCTTTTATTGCCTTTGGTTTCCCTTCCTTCTTGGCCTGGTGTCCAAAGAACATTCTCCCTCTTCCCCTCCTCCCTGGGACTTTCCACCAAGACCACATCTTAGAACTGGCAGGATATCATTCAGCTCAAACCGCCCCTTGCTTTTGTTTTTTTTGTTTTTTTTTTGAGACGGACTTTTGCTCTTGCTGCCCAGGCTAGAGTGCAAGAGCGTAATGGTGCGATCTTGGCTCACCACAACCTCCGCCTCCCGGATTCAAGCGATTCTCCTGCTTCAGCCTCCTGAGTAGCTGGGATTACAGGCATGTGCCACCATGCTGGCTAATTTTGTATTTTTAGTAGAGATGGGGTTTCTCCATGTTGGTCAGGCAGGTCTCAAACTCCTGACTTCAGGTGATCTGCCGCCTTGGCTTCCCAAAGTGCTGGGATTACAGGTGTGAGCCACCACACCCAGCCTCAAACCCTTCTTATTAATTAAGAAGACACAATACAATCTAAAGAGCTCCATCGTTCTTCCTCTGTGGCCCCCCTGCTCCTGAGAGCAGCTCTTCCTTTCTGGCCCCAGCCTCCTGTGTCAAAATCTCTAATGCATCTCACCAACCATGCCAATAGTGGAGGCCACTTCCCCCAGTCCAAGGGTCAGCCTGTTGTTGTGCCTGGCTCTTTGCATACTTGCACTGTTCTTTATCCCTCACAAAAAACCAAGAGCTCAGTGGTGTTTTACAGCAGAGATTCAGGGTAAAAACCAAGCAATAGTCATGGAGCCACAGGAGGCGAGCCAGGATTCTCACTCAGGTCCAACTAACTCCAAAGCTCAAGCTTTTCCCGGAAAACCAACTCTTAAACTGTTAACCATGGGTGAAAAGGAAAGTGCGGAAGAACTGCTCTCAGGGTTACTTCACCCTACTTGGAGGGGTGGGGTAAGGACAGGGGGTGAACCCCCTTCCCGGAGCCAGGAGTCTGGTGTGGAAATAAGCACCTCTCTTTCCTCGCTTCTATCTTCCCAGGCCTCCTCTCCTCCCAGTCTATCATCCTGTGCAAAATCCCAGCACCCTGGACTGGCTCTCAAGCGCCTCTTCTCTGGTGGAAGATTAACGGGCCGCCAAAGCATCCCATTGCTCTGCTAGCATAAATTGCAAGAAAAACATTTAGAATATTGATTAAGTGCTCCGTGCTAGAAGATTGAAATTTACCTCCTGTATTTCCAGGATTAGCTGACATAATGGGGTCAGTCTGCTGGCACAAATGATTTACAGAACACCCATTGGCAGCTTTCCTTTTAAAACTCGACACTTAAAATTTTCACTTGGTCACAGCCAGTGGAGTCCTGGGTATTTGGTAGGCTTGGATAATTGCCTTCCCACCGCATCTAGACTTTGGGGGTTTGCCCCCACAAAGAAGAGTTTTGAAATCATTTCTGGTCTGGTCTGGCCCCATCTGGAACAAATGGACTTTGGATCTGAGGAGATACTGGGGCCGTGGGGAGAGGGTGGAAGGGACCATCTAAATATAGATTATTTTCAATATTCAAATGCAGAAGATGTAGGAGTTAAACAGATTAGGTCTGCCCTCCATCCCTCCTGCCACTCTGCAAACATTAGGCTGCATCCTACAAGTACCTGTTTTCTAAGCTTGACACGACTCTGGGGAGATAAGGAAATGTATTGAGGCTTTGTTGGGAGGCTGGCAAGGTGTGAACCTAGGCTGAAATCCAGTGAATGTGGCAGGTTCTCTGCTCCAGGCAGATGCCCACCCCAAGGCCTCTGCCCCCACCCCACACAAAGAGGGGCCCACGGTGTCTCTACTGTGAACCCCTTAGGGCTAGCATGGTCTGATGGCCAGAGAAGACCAGGCAGCTACTGGTGGAGTGGTTGGGGGCAGGACGGCTGCCCTCTGCATGGTTGATTTTAACAGGAAGCATGCTTTCGAAGATTATCCACATGGACCCTTCATCTCTTTCATGACTAGGCAAGCTGCTTTGTGGTTTCCTTCTAGAATGCTGTTTTAAAAGTCCCACCAGGATGAGATCTGTCACACTGGTCCTCCATGTCTCACCCACAGATGTGTTTTATGTGACTCACAAAAGTAATCTCTAACTTTGAATGTGGCTTGTGCTGTTTACTGGAGCCTGTGCCAACTGCCCACAGCTATCCTCACCTACCCTGCTCGCCCTGGGGCTGAGCGTGTGCCCCACGGTCTGTCACGCATTTCCAGGGGCAAGGGGCTGAAGGAAGGCAGAGGCAGTGAAACCTTCTCAGGAGGCCTGAGTCCCAAGGCTATAGCTCCCAATCCTTGTTACTCTATTTGACCACAGAAATCAGAGGTCGACAAACACCACATTAAGATGTCTTCACTGTAAGACACCAGAGTTAAGCAGTGTACAATGATGCAAAATAGAGAATTTTTCTAACGTTCCAAAGATATTTACTTTAAATAAGTAACACACACACACACACACACACACACACACACACACACACACACACACACAGTCCATTTGGTTTAAATATCCTGAGCTTTTTCCAGCTACCAGACCACTCCAGTGCACGGAAGATGAAGTAATTGATAGGATTATTAATGTTTCTTTGTTTTCCATATGACCATTTCATATAAGTAAGTCGAAGGAATAGGCCAACAATAGCACAGCCTGTGCCATGCTTGTCACTAATATGACTGCCAATTAATCCTGAAATGGGAGCTTGGCGGGTAACCCAAAACCCGGTATTTTATCACCTCAGGGGGTTAGCACTTGGACATTTCTGTAACATTTTACACTAATCAATCAACTTTCCTTTTTTAAAGCAAAGCCTTTCATAGGAACCATGGATGCGTCCTATATTCACCATATCCATAGCCACCTAGTTCCCCAAACAGAACTGCGTTTGGTTTGTTGATAATTACACTTCGGAGCAGACTTTGGAAAATGTTTATTCGTGTTTCTTCCCTTCCAAGGGGGAAATCTATCTCAAATGTTAAGACTGAAACTCAAGTCCCCAAGAGTTTTCTCATATTATTGTATATTTTAAAATATTACAAGAGGGCGCTTCTCAAGGGAAGTGAACTTTAGAGCTGCCAAAGATAGTTGACTTTCTCTGAATCTGTTACCAATGGATCCCAAGCTGGTTAAAGTCAGTTCTATTCTGAGTCATGACACATGTGGCTGGGACAAACGCCATTCTAAGATATTTCTAGGACCCCCATCCTCCTCCCCGGCAAATGATAATTCATCTGGAGACAGCCATGCAGGCAGAGGAGGGTCAGATGGGGAGAATTAGTCTCCTGGGAGCCCTCCGCCCAGGCAAGAATCCTAAATCAGCTGGAGGGACCACATTCTTGGGATGAAGGCCCTTCACTCATCACTCTCTCATCCCCCCCATCCTCTAGCCTCAGATGATCCTTTCAACCATTCTTCATAGAGGTCACCCTAGAAAATCAGCAAGCTGCAAAAATATTACTGGCAAACTGTCAGTCCTTCCCCTATGTTGTCTCCTGGAATTGAGGCATGAAGAAAGAAACCCAGTCTGAAGTCGGAGCTTTGCCTCTGTACCCCTTATTTGCATCAGTGAACCTCACGAGGAACTAAGACATGCGGCTCTCTCAAAACCAGCTTCTCCTTTCTTATTCTTTCCTTCTTCCTCACTGTCTATTCTTCATCCAGAGAAAGAATCCCAGCTGTCCAAGGGTCATGGAACAAGGCAAAAGTGCCTTGGCCTCAAAGTTAGAAATCTTAGTCTGCTAGAGAATTACTGTGTGATTCTGGATATGTCACAAGGCTCTCCCTGGCTCAGTTGCTCCATTTGTAAAAGGCAAGGATGTCTGCCACACCTGAGTCATGGGGCTGCTGTGAGGAGTGCAGAGGGCAAAGCACACAGAAGGTTTTGAAAAATAAAACTACACACCTGTTAGTGTAACCTCCCACCAATGTTCCCTAGCACACACCCAACACCCCACCCCCAAGGAAGCATAGCACCACCTTCCATCTGTTGTAAAGGAACCAAGTGGCTACTGACTTGGGATCAGACACCAAACTGCATGTGACATTCATAAAGCACCATTCTGGAACGTTTACTCTGCTCCATTTAATCCTCTCAACTCCGGCAGCTAAGCCATATATGTGCTTTGTAGGTGAGGAAGCTGAGGCTTAGAGAAGTTAGCATGCTTGCAGAGGCCACCATACTGGTGAGGACAAGAGCAGGGTCTGAAATGGGCTTGGCTGCCTCCCCTGCCCTTATCCCTTATTCCCTGCCTCATTTGTGCAAAAAGGGGCTCATGCAGGTCGTCATCTTAGGAGTCAAAGTGAGGTTCCATGGAACCCTAAGGGCTCCCTGGGAGTCAAATGCTGTTTAGCTCCAGGATATGTGGAGACTGTGCATATCACAGGGAAGAGAGGTGTGGCTAGAGCCACTTTTTGTTCCTCCACAGCCCCACGCCTTCATGTCCCCCTCTGCCAAGGAGTTAAACAGCAGCCCAGAGATAAACGTCATGCTTTACTTTTTGTTTTCTGTTTTTGTTTTGAGACAGAGTCTTGCTCTGTCACCCAGGCCAGAGTGCAGTGGTGCAATCACGGCTCACTGCAACCTCCGCCTCCAGGGTTCAAGGGATTCTCTTGCCTCAGCTTCCCAAGTAGCTGGGATTACAGGCGTGCACCACCACGCCCAGCTAATTTTTGTATTTTTAGTAGAGACAGGATTTTACCATGTTGGCCAGGCGGTCACAAACTCCTAATTTTACTTTTGTCCTTCTGTTTAGGAAGCAGAGTTCCTATCACTAACAGGAAAGGAAAGACATGGTTTCTGGGGAATAGAGCGCCTGTGTTCCCTGATGTTGCCGGGACAACCCTGAGGCAGTACAGATCCTCCTTGCAGGGAAAGGTGTTTGGACAGATCTGTGTTGGGGGCAAAGCCACATACTGCACTGTACCACGGGGAGCCCAAGTCAGGATTTGGGCGGGGGGCGGAGGGACAGGGGGCGGTGTGGAAGAGAACACCTCCTGTGGCTGACAGACCCCTCTCCTCTCATGGGGGAAACTCCAATTTCATGGGGTTTCCAATGATGACTATTCTGAGATGTCACCTATTAACTTCCAAAAATGTTGACAAGTTGCATCTTGCCCAGTATTCTAGGTTTACTGACAAGGCAACTTTTGTTTTTGAATGCCCATCTCCACAAAGTTTCTAAAACAGAGAAGGGACTTAATAAACAGGCTGAACACTGAACGCTGCCTCTGCAGTCACCCTCTGTGCACTGAGACACGTGCAGAAAAGAAGCTGGTTTTGCTGTAGCCAGAACTTGCCTTTTCTTTCCAGAAACCACCACTGGCTTCCCGTGATCACCTTATGATAATAGGATCCTGCCCCTCACCTGACCACTTGTCTTTACCGACACCAGAATCTGAATGGGCCCAAGAAGCTTGGAAGGCTGACCTAGGAGGAAGCAGGGTGCAGAGCACCCGCTGGAGATGGAAAAAAGACCCTGTTCCCTGCCTGGCTCTAGGCCTGCTTTCAACTCGCTGGAGGACTCTGAACACATCATTTCCCTGCTCTGAAACTCGGCCTCGCTGCAGGATGGAGCAGTTCCACGCCATAGTATTTCCCAGAGCTCCTCCTGGCTCTGGCTTTCTCTGCACAGTGCTTTGGAGAGAGTAAATGCCCGGGAAATGCTTTAGAAGTATGAAGCACATCTGTTTGACCTTGGGCTGTGCCATTTCGTTATCAGCCTCTCCTTAGTGTTTTCTGTGTGTGAGTGTCTCTGAAGACTGTGTGTCTGGGATGGAGAACCAGAAGGACAAAGGACAGAGACATAAGCTCAGATGAATGGCGTGGAGGACACCCAAGATGAAGAGGGGTCTCGAGATACCAAGCAAATCAAAACAAGTTTCTGAAACTTTCTAGGGAATGAAGTGGGTTGTGGGTCAAGCTAGTATTTGGTGAAAGAAGGCATCTTGTGAGAATTCTAGTGAGGCTGACCCTTGATGGGGGCTGGGGGGCCTCGATGTGCTCCAGTGATAAGCATGAGGCGACAGCACAGTGCTTGGCACATAGGCCACCAAACATCCCCTTCTCCAGCATAGCGGGAGGCAGAAGCTACCATGTGGTCACCATTTCCCTCAAAATACAGGAAAAATCACAGAAAGAACGAGGCTCCTGGGTTCCCAGTGCTGACTCTGTGACCCATTAGCTCTGCAGACTTGAGCAAGAGTGATCCTTCTCTGAGCCCCCGTGTCCTCAAACGAAAGAAGCTACGATACTATAGTGACAGCATCTCTCCTGCAGGCATCAGGAGGATAACACCCAAAGGGGTAAAGAATGTGAGGGTACCACTGGGCGCGGTGGCACAAGCCTGTAATCCCAGCACTTTGGGAGGCTGAGGCGGGCAGATCACAAGGTCGGGAGATCGAGACCATCCTGGCTAACATGGTGAAACCACGTCTCTACCAAAAAATACAAAAAATTAGCCAGGCGTGGTGGTGGGCGCCTGTAGTCCCAGCTACGCGGGAGGCTAAGGCAGGAGAATGGCGTGAACCCGGGAGGCGGAGCTTGCAGTGAGCCGAGATTGCACCACTGCACTCCAGCCTGGGTGACACAGCGAGACTCTGTCTCAAAAAAAAAAAAAAAAAAAAAAAAAAAAAGAATGTGAACATACCCTGTGAACATACAAATAGGAGATGTCCTGCCAAATAGCTGAGTACTTATTACTATGAAAAATCAATAAAAAAGCAGGATAAAGACTCTGCTTTCGACTGAAGACAGGAAATCACCACTTCTATCTTGCTGTGGTTCTGCCCTCGCAGACCTGGATTAACCCCAGAGAATGTTCTTGACCGTTCTCACTGGACTGTATCCACATGCGGGGGTTTGCAGGGCAGCTTGTGCCTCCTCACGGCTCCTCCTACTGCCAAAGAGCACTTGCTTTTGCTTCTGAAGAACCAACCCGTCAAGCAGTCTGCATGGGAATTAACCAGCAACACTGTCTCTGGTTTACCTTTAGAGACAGTTAAATACTCCATGCCATGTGATGATGACAAACTCAAGAGCTCCTTTCCTTTCATTATGCTGCTGCTTTGCAGAGAACACAGAATCAGCATAATAAATATGTAACCAAGCCAACTTGACAACCCCACGCACAGAAAACTTCAGAGATGCATCTCCCCAGAACCCTCATTGTATAGGTAAAGAAAGTAGGGCCAGAAACAAGCCACACTCCCAGTAAACGACAGAGTCAGTTCCATAGTCGGACTTTCTCTGCACTATACGACAGGTCACAATCTTCACTGGTTGTGTTTAAAATGCAGTTTTGAGACTCAAACCCGAGCAGCATTCGTCATCTCTCTCTGCATACATTTCAGAAAATGGGTCTGCCCGTGTTTCACCCCCCCACCAGGAAGGGAGCCCCAGCAAGGAATCTGGACGCAGTTCTCACCTGTAAATTTGCACACGGTGGCAAAACATGAGTGGGAATTTCATTCTCAGACCCTGCTGGCCCCAGGGGCTTGTTCTTAACCCGGAGGGCAGTGGTGGTAGTGGCAGTGGTGGTCTGTACTGGGAAGGCTGGCTGCCACACGGTCACATCGGAGCCATTGCCAAAGGCTTGAATTGCATTTTCTGCAGTAAAACAGGAGGAAATCCAATTTCAAAGTCAAGCAGCAAACGTAACAGACAGGATATACACAGCCAGAGAGGCACACTAGAAATTCTGATTATAGCATTGGACTTCTCTGAACAAAACGCATCCATCCATTTGCCCTATACATGCTGAGAGCCAGTCTTTGGGGTCAGTTGCTCAAAAATCAATTCAGTCATTACACCCTGAGCTGGACACTTAGCTATGCTCAGAATGCAACAAATATTTATTGTGTTCCTGTTTACGTGCCAGGTGCTGAGCAAGATCCTTGCCCTAAAATATCCATCAGTCAAGCCCTTTGAAACCCAGCATCAGTACTGTTACTTGGGATCATAACTGTCCCATTTTCCAAGAAAATTCTTGTGCTCTGTCAATATTCTATATTAAAAGGAAACTAATTAGTGCTTTTTAAAAAAAATCCTAATCATGAGACTGAGGCAATTCCGTGGCATTCACATTAATATGGCAGGCAAAATGGAACCAGTTTCTTTAAAAAAAAAAAAAAAAAAAAAACTACCCCAAATCTCATCAGTATCTAGTGAAAATTTAAGTAAGATTATTTTTTTTCTTTCTGCTCCAGTCTTCCAAGCAAAATCTGCATAATTAGGTAGGAGCAGCCCTGCTTAAATGAAAAGTTTAAAATGTAAAACTTCAAAAGCTTATTACAATTTCATAGGATTAGATTGTTTTTATGGCAAGATTAAATTGGTTGTGTGTTGTTCCCCTCCCCAAAATGAATAAAAAACAGTTTCTAATCAGGTCTTCGGGGATTTGGCCTGGATTTAGGGTTTTTTTTTATTTCATATTCATTGTATAAAAAACCAAACTCCTCCATTTGGGACCTGAATGTGCAAATTGTTAATATATGACTCTTAGTTGGCATTTTTCTATATACAAGACAGAATAATTTAAGCCTAATCTTCCTCTTAGAAGTGACATTTTGTTCTAAAATTGTTATCCTTTAAGTTCAGTAAATTGGAAGCTTGTTTTCTGCACCTTTACATTTTTGGGGGCTGTAAGAAACAGCTTCAAATTAATATAAATGCTTTTTATGCTCCCAGCTATGTTCCATGGCTTAACTGGTGAGTGTGAGGCAGAGAAAGAGGCACACAGGGACCAGTTCCCTTAAATGCCCAGAAGAACCACCACTGCTACCCTTGCTTTTGCTTAAAACATGTAGATTCAAGAGACTCACAGTTTCTTGCAACTACCTGTGCTTTTCCCAGTGTGTTTGCCTTGCCACATCAGCGGTTCAGTTGTTCACTTGCTCATTCATTCATTCATTCAAATGTTAATAGAATATCTACTAAGTGCCAGGCACTGAACTATGCATGGGGCACACAGTAGTGAACAACAACATCAACAAAAGATAAAAGTCCATGCCCTCATGGAGGTCACATTGTGGTTTTGCAGGCAAATAAGTGAAATATATAATACACTAGGCAGTGAGAAATGCTTGGAGAAAATTAAGCAAGGGAGCGCCAGAGGCATTGACTGGGGAGAGGGAGTTGGTACTTAGATAAACGGATCCAGGAAGGCCTCCTGGTGAAGGTGCCATCTGAATAAAGACCTGAGTGAAAGCCACTGATATCTAACCTCACCTCCATCCCATTTGTCTCTTCCCCATGCATCTGTCATGCACATGGCTTAAAAACAACTGTTTCCTCCCCCAAACTAGAAATAAACAATTGGCTAGAGTTGTGTTCATGAAAGGAGAATCTGGGAGAGGTTTGGCTTAATCTGAACGGAGCAGAATTAAGTTTCTACATTTGGGCTGGAATCTACAAATTGCAATTCCTTCTAGTTACAAGAGATTGAACTGATGGCCCTGTGTCTTTGGGGCTCTGTGCCCCATCTAGTCATAGTGGAAATGGAATGACTGTGAAAAATTCTGGCTGGCTTTGGCCCCTGATGCAGACAAAATGCATTTATTTTTATTGAAAAGTCATTAACAATGAGACACCAGACTATTCTCTCCTTCACCAAAAAGGTTATAAAGCAGGAACAACTTTAATTTCCCTGTGAGGGAGAAGTTTTCCAGCCAGCATGAGCAAAATCTTTTCTTGCACTGACCTCCATCGTCATTGCTTTATCTTCGTTAAAACTTGCATTCTGCCAGATGGATGTGAAAAAGAGGAAATATACATACATACGTACACACACACACACACACACACACACACACACACACACACACATTTTCAGTCGAGACCAAATAAGAGGTCCAAGTTGTGATTCCTTGGTATGCCCCAATGTCGTAGTGAAGGTCTCCTTACTTGACACTACTTTTGTGGGTGTGAATTTCACTTAAGAATCCAAAAGCTTGTTTTATTTTTAAGAGGCCCAAAGCAATTGACTACAGCCACATTATTTGAAGTGTCTGGTAAGCAAATGACTTCAATTTTTCCTATCAACAAAGTAAATGATGAGGAAGTTTTAGAGTAACACACAAAAGCTTTTGTGTGTGTGTGCGTGTGTGTGCGTGTGTATGCATAGTAAACTATTAGCTACCAACCAAGCATCATGGAGAAATTGGCACTTGAAGACAGGGCTCTCAGAGGGGTGGGTGGCTGAGCCTTGATTCCCAGAAACTTAGTGCACCCCTCCCACCAGGAAGTCAGACTGACATGGTTCCTGAAGTTCAGGCCTATGTTCTCATCCAACAGGCTCCTCAACATCGGGGTGAACAAAGCTCTTAGGACACAGGGGGCCGCAAAAGGATTCACACTTCAGATCCTAACTCTGGCATGCGAGGCTTATGTGAATTACCAGGCTTTACTCAGCTGTATGGCAGGATAAAACCACCTATGTCTATGAGGACTCTTGTGTAGATTACAGTAAATGAGAATGTATATTTTACACTCGCTATAGAGTGAGTTTGAACACACAGAAGATACCCAATAAATGGCGGCTGCCACAGAGTGGGTTGCAATTTTCAAGTATCTCAGCTGGATCGTCATCTAGGGTGTGCATATCTGGGTGGATATACGTGAGTCCTGGCACCGTGCTTTTGGAGTCTGATGAATGCCCATTGTTCACATCCGTCCATTTCTCTCTATCCCTGTCCCTTTGGGAAACGTGTTTCCAAACTGCCTTAAGGACACTGCAGTAAGAACGGATTCTGCTTTCAAGCAGGAGCCCCCTCCCTCCTCCCCAGTGCTTATCTCGCCTCCAGAGATAACGGGCATCCCGAGCCTCCTGCCTGCATCGCCAGTTTATCCCCCTCAAGAATTGTTGCTTCTCCTCTGAGCCAGCCCTGAGCATCCAAGGGGCTATTGATGTTAACATTCTAATTTTTCTCAGAGAGTCCTTGGAGGCCTATCCCCATCTAATTTGTCTGAGCTTCTCACATTGTATATTCCGCCCAGGTTTCAAGAACCTTTGGAACAGACTCTCCGCAGGCTGCCAAGATCAAAATTTGATCTGCGGGTAGAAGCGTTCTTTCCCACATAATGTACCCTTAGTTATTTGAATCTCTTGCTCTCTCAGGCCTTTGGATTCACAGTCTTAGCAGCACCCAGTTCATCACTTGCTGGGTTCCCTGCTGCATTACACGGGGTGGCCCACAAAAGGAGCTGGATTTACCATCAGTGACTAAGCAGAAAGGGAGAAAGACAGACAGAGAGAGGAAGCAGGCACAAGGTACAAGAGGTACAGGCACAAGGTACAAGAGGTACAGGCACAAGGTACAAGAGGTACAGCTGGAGCTCGGAGAAGAAAATGCGTTTGCTCCTTTGTTTCTTATTTTTTACAAACTCACTAAGACATGTATTGTCCTTGAAGAAATTCAAAAATTTCAAGCACTCTTCTAGGTCGTTCCCACTGTTGCTGCAGTCACACCATGGGGCCACACTGAGGCTACTGGAGTCTATGTAGTTGGGGGTCATGACTGTGCCTAAAAGAATAAAAACAAGGCATTTTATTGTTGTATGATGATACTTTTCCATGGCCTAAAAAGAAACCAATATTCCTCTGACGGCGGATGCACCGTGGATAATTACAGACATTGTATTTGCTGAGTGGGAAATTATGTTAAGCAGTGCATTTTCTCGGCAATTTATCTTGAGCACATAAAATAATTTACACATTTACTTTAAAAATTATAACAGAACTCCTTGAGCTGCACTTAGGGTATTCCTTCCTGCACAAATGGTATGGATGTCGTGGAGTAGGAAAGAATTAACTTAGAGAACGCATGAGTTGCCAAATCCCTTGCATTTTCTTGAAAATGTCATTAATCTTCATAAATAGATAGAGCCGGGTTTACATATCTTAAACAATTTTGTTTAGGACTTTGAATCCACTTCCCCCAGAAGCAAATGGTTTCTTTAGAGTGACATAGGGAAGCTAGAAGCTTCCTAGCGGTTAGCCTGCACCCTGAGTGTATATACATATATATGGGGTCTTCTCAACTGATCTAAATAAAGTCTTCCACGTAGTGAAAGAACTGGAAACAAACAGTGGAAATTCTCTAAGTCAACGGCTCCTAGAGTATTGCCTGTGGACTCTCAATGGTGCTCAAAGAAATGCTGGGTGGTCCTTCCTGCCTACATCTTGTCGTGATATTTCTGATGAGTTCTAAACTGGCACAAACACACAAATTATTTATACTTAATCCAAACCAAATGTCTTCTCCTGGGTGGCCGACACCAGGCAATGCCCGCTGATGACAAGAAGGCTTTTGTTTTTATATATTTTCTGGATGTAAGAAGTAATAGGTGGTCAGTAGTCCGCAGGGTGTATTTGGATCACAAACAGAAAAATAATTTTGTTCTAAACTTCTCTGAGTCAAGGGCA
This sequence comes from Homo sapiens, assembly GCF_000001405.40. Lineage (NCBI taxonomy): Eukaryota > Metazoa > Chordata > Mammalia > Primates > Hominidae > Homo > Homo sapiens. Next base: position 116,094,739 of record NC_000010.11, read on the forward strand.
TACTGTCTTTGCCCTATATTCTTTACTGACATGAACTAAATAACATCGCATTATACCTTGGGATGAACATTTTAACCTACTGCATAGAGGGAACTCCTAACTTTGGTTGAGAAAGGAACAGGCACCCTGAACACTAGGGGAGGAGGTTAAGGCCATTGGATATGCCTGGTGCCACGGTGGGCCCCTGGCATACATGGAAGAAGTAGGAATAAGCCTTGTCCAGAAAGAAGTTGGGGAGGAGATCCAGACCCAACAGAGAAAGACATTTTGGTCTCTGCAATGCATTGCCTCTGCCATTGGGCCCTCCATTCATCATCCTTAGGTGCGTAAGGGTTTAAGGTTTGCCAAGCCTAGGAAAAACTTCATGGAAATGCTGGCAGTACCTGGCCTTGGCCCCTCATAAAGAGGTTAAGGAGCAGGTACACCTGGGAAGGGCACTGACTGAAGTGTTAACAGGGACTACATCCATTGACTTAGAGGAGCTTGGAAAAAAACTGCTTTTCTGTTTGTGAACCAAATACTTGCTGTGGATTACTGACCACCTATTACATCTCACGTCCATAAGATGTAGACACTGTTAGCAGATGCAGCTAGAGTTGAGTTGGAGATACTCAACATTTTCTTCTGTGGGCTTCTCTGTATTTTTAAAACACTTTTTACAATGAGAATGCCTTGACTACTTTTGTTATTTCTGCAATTCCATAGTTGATACATCATCCCTAGCAGAGATTAACTTACTCGGGAAAAGGAGAGAGTGAATGCAAGTTTGGAGTATTGGCTTAAGGAAGGTACACTCATTGGCCCAATCAATAAAAATAGAAAATACTTGGGGATCTGGGGAAAGCTATTACCCACAGCAGGGCAGGTATCCTTCCAAAAAGTTGGGAGTAAAGAATGTACCAGGAACCTGTCCATCCCTGCATTAAGTACCATTATTGATTTTCCCAAAGCCGCCTGCTGAAGATGCTCTGGTGACAAAGAATGTAGTCTGTGCTGTCATTCTCCGGGAGAGGTTCTTCCTAGTGGTGACGTGTGTGACCCTGACACAGACAGCCGGCAGGAACACACACCCTGGCTGAGCCATCGTGCTTCTGACAACTGTGATTTTCCTCACCCTTCCACAGCTTTCACTGCATATTCCTTCCCAAATGCCAGTTGAGATGAGCCCTGCCACCAAGGCTTCTGCTGTCCCTGGTACCTGGGACACCTGCCTTTCCCCCTGACAGCCCCTGGTATCCAGGGGTCCAAGTTTGCTTCCCTTCTGACTCTCACGGCAGTCATGCGTAATCACACTGCTCAGAATGCTGAGAACATGGTTCTTCTAAAGCCTTGGGTCTTGAAAGACAGAAAATACGGTTACTGCTATGTCTGTTTTCAGGAAAAAAAATTTAGCCTAAATCACCCACTGCACACTGGGAGTTGAATTACCAAGAACATTAACAGCAAGCAGGGCCCCTGTATTTAGGGTTTTTATTTCCAAAGGGCCATTTCTGGGAAGCAGCCTTTTTGATTTCCCCAGCCTGAATGACTTCCCTTTCTCCAAAGTTCCCTAATTCAATTAACTTTGTTTGACTCGCTTTCTTCTTCCATAACCAAACATTTTTTCTCTCTGCTTTTGTTCTGCGTGGTCAGTTTCCCAACTGAGACGCCTTACCCGTCTGCGCACTTGCAGCCTCCCCACTCCTTAGTAATCCCCGCTTCCTGCCTCTGCCTTTCACGCATCCATTATCCCATTTTTTTCTTCTTTTTTTTTTCTTTTTTTTTACAGGCATGTCCTCAAGGATTTAACATCCAAACCCCAGCCCAGAGGTTACTGTGAGATTTTCACTTCTGCAGACATCAGCAAGGCGCAATGGAAAGAACGCAGGTATATGCAAACCACACTCTTCTCCCATCCTGCTTCTCTCGGATCTTACCAATAAGCCCCGAGTAGGCGAGGAGGCAGTCAGCGTAGTTTTCCTTTAGACAGCTGCTGACAGACCTTGACTCTGGCTGGCAGTTGGTAAAAAAATCCGCAAGGCGAGATCTACAATAGGAAAAAAGGGGTGGGGGGTGGAAATGTGCTTTAAAACATCCTAAGCCTCCGGACAGACATGTTTTCTTTATTCCTTTGTTGATATGCCTTTTTCTGCACACGCACACGCACACACACACACACACACATACACACAAAATACGTAGAAAACGTGAGCTAAGAAACTGTTGGCATCCTTTCTCATTCAACCCCCTCATGTCCCTTTCCCCAGCCCTCGCCCACCTGTGTGTCTCTGTTTATTCAGAGAGAAGTCTTCAGGGCCTATAACTGGAGGAATCTAGAGGCTTTGAAGTTTCCATTCAATATTTATTTCTGACTAGACTTATTTGCATCTTTAGGAAATATGCTTCTCCACACACTCACCGGAGATCCACACTGGGAAAATATTTACTTTATACAGAAACGTGTCCCTGGCATCAAAATAGGATCCTACAGCCCATCTGCTCCTGTAATTCCTACTGGCTTTAAGAATGTGTGTTTCTGTCTTGTAAGTCACCTCTCATCCACCAGCCCAGGGGTAGTGATTTATTCCAGCCGAGTGGCACTGGGGAGGAGCCTGCCTTTGGGGAACAGAAGGGGAAGCCAAGAGGGACAGAGAGGCTTGCTCTAGGCGGGTGGGCCTGTGGTCAAGGCTGTGCCTGGAGAGGCTGCTGCAAGATGAGACAGCTGCCTGCAGGTTGGAATCTCTCCAGGGGCCGGTGCAGTCCACCCAGAAGCCCTGGGTGGCAGTGAAGATGCAGCAGCCCAGAAGGGGACAGAAGCCGCAGACACGCTGGTCTGCGGAGAAGAGGGCCCTTTGTGGCCAACTGGCTGTTTTTCCATCTGAAGAGGATACTGTTGGAGAAATCCTGAATGAGAGCTGGGCCACCTCTGAGGTCATCTCGGCAGACAACTGCTCTGTTTCTATGGAAGAACACAATGGACTTCACAAGAATTTAAATTATCTGGCAATTATGGGAGACAATGGGAGGCTGTCTCAGTTCTCTTCTGTCTTTAGCTCACCCCAGAATTGGCTGTTGACATAACCAGAGCTGTTTTACTTCTTTCCACCTAAGAGACTGTATTTTCTTGGCACACTTTATGATATAAACGAGTTTGGTTTGGTGGAACCAAGACGGATAGGATGTGTGGGGATCACAAAGGTTTCTAAGGAAGCGCATTATGCATCCCTTTCCTGCAATTTTAACTAGAAAGGGCATTCAAAGACCTGATGGAATTATCCAAGACCGCAGTTCGCTGCAAAGGCATGTTTGTGTGGGGTTCTCTCCTTGAACCCTTGTAAACAAGGCTTGCCCAGGCTTCCCTATCTGATCCCATCTTGTGTGCTCTCTATGTTCTGGGGACCTGACTCCATTGCAGTGAATGCCCGGAGCAGATGCTGGAGATCTGCTTTATTTCCTTTGCACAGCACCTGACACTCCTCAGAGAGCTCCTGTATAAGTCTCCCCAGACAGGGCCATGTGCCGAAGCTAAGTGCTTTGGCAAAATCCTGCGAATGTGGCTGGGGTGTGCGCGTGTGTACGCACCTGAGTGGCAACCACGGTCCGTGCCTTGCTGGTGTTTCCTGACTTTAATTGAACACACTGAAAGATATAAAACCTGCCTATTTTCTGTAGCCTGGCTAAAGGATTCGTTTTTCAGAGGAAATCCCTAAAGATGGCTCGGGCTTACTCAACTGGCTCCAATGGCATCCAGCTTGGATTGAGTGTTAATTTCAAAAGAATTTTCCTGGTCATGAAAGTTAATGATCTAGTGACACTGGGTTTCTAACTTTGCAAAGGCCAACTGCAAGTTCAGGCAGCTGGGGCTCCGGTTCTGCACACAACCTGGCTGCTGAACAGCTCTCTGACCTGGCAGCCCAATGCTCCCGGCCTGTCCCCCAGAGACAAGACAAAAGGTCGCTCCCTCTCCACATCTCCTGTTTCTCACAGTCTCTCCAGCAGACTATTAACTGAACAACACTGTGATGAGGATTACTGTCCTTCAGCGAGAGACTAATGCCACCAGACTCATTTTGCTTAACAACCTCGGAATTGACTCACAATTGGACTCTGGAATGAAAGGCTAATTGAGTCAGTCTGCTGTAGAAAGCATAGCCCCGATTGGGAGGATAAAACAAAATATACTGCTCTGAGCAGAACTCTGGACAGGCTGCTTTTTGAGAGATCATCGGCACATATCCTGGCCCTATGACCCACAGCCAGTGGATGGGAAGAGAGTTTTGATGTAAGGGTGAGCACATGAGGCACTGTTAAAACACTAACATTTCCACGTTTTATCACATTTGACCACCTCCCCCTGGCAGCTATACTTGGAGACAGGATACTCACATTATAGGATTCACATGTTACGGATGGAAACACTGAAGTAAGAAGTTTATACAGCGCTATGCTGGGGCCAGCTCATCACTGGTGAGTTGGTACAATTTCAGGAATTTTGCAGGTTGGTTAATAACATTGCAGTGGTAGTTTGAAAGTGGCCATGGTGGAGGGATTTACACCACGGTAACCAGCAAACACTATAAATCAGGGCTTTGTGTTGTTCTTGGAGCACTGGTTGTTAAATATTTACTGGCACGTCTCTATTTAAGAACCAGTATGATGTTAGTAAATCCCACTGATAAAGCATGCATCATGTCTCCAGTTGAGTCCCAACCCTTCTGGGACAGGCTTCCTCTCCCATCCCCAGTCACCCTTGTGCCAAATGAAATGGGGCAATAGCAATTAACCTCTGGTCTTCAGTACTTTCCAAAGAAAGAAAAGAGCTCCACTCCCCCATCCCACTAAAACATCCTTCCTGCCCAACATCTCCTTCTCCTACCATCACAATCCTCTAACATCTCCTAAATTATGCATGCAAATGGTCACATGTATTGACACAACAGCTGGATTCCTGTCCATCCCACTGACTGATGTGTCAAGTGCCATGATATAATGATGAAAAAGACCCTGTCCTTGAACTTATATAACCCACAATCTAGGTGCCAAGAAAAACAAGTAAAAAGATTATTATAATACAGTGATTTGTTCTTGATAAAAGGTAAGAATGAATGGCCGCTAAAACAATACCTAGCATGAATGAAGTGTTCAGTACATGTTAGGTATATCTTTACAAACTTTTACTTTGTATGACAGCAAAATAATTGTTATTGTTATTTTATTATCCTAATTCTGTAGTCAAGGAAACCAAGGCTTAGTGAGGTTAGACTAGAATAAAAGAGTCAGTAGCAGAACGAGGATTTAAAGTCATACATTCTGACTCTACCACTTAAGGTTTTACTATTACACAGCTGCAGAAGCTGGTTTCCAAGAGGCTGTGATATTGGGACTGAGACTTAAAGGATGGGTAGAATTGGTTAGGTACAGGTAGAGCAGGGTATTCCAGACAGAAGGAAGCAGCAAAGTATAAAGTAATCACACTCACAGTAAGACCTGCATAACAACTACGAAGTATTTGTACATGCCAGGTACTGATTTAACGACTTAACATGTATTCATACATTGGATTCTCACAACAACCTTATTAGGTGATACTTCCAATCAAGCCCATTTTACAGATGAGGAAACCGAGGCACGGAGCCTTTAAGCAACTCCTTCTAGGTTGCAGAACTCTGTGATGGAGCTAGAACATGACCACATTCAATCTGATGCCAGAGCCGGAGATCATTCTCAACTGCTGCACTTAACAGGTGCATCGCCCAGAACATCACTGGTCACTCACTCAGGATGCCCAGGCCACAAGATCAAATGAGTAGTGATGGGAAAATATGCTGATGAGGTCTTGAAAGCCTTTGAATGATCCAAGGGTTTAGGTTTTTATCTTAAAAGCAGTGGAAGCCACTGAAGGATTTTAAACCCGAGAAGTAACATGATCAGATTTGCATATTAGGAAGACTCTTCGATCTCACCATTGTTCGGCAAAGATATGCTTCAGACCTACTGTGTGCCCTCACTGTTCCAGCAGCAATGGGAAGAGCAAGAAATTTGCCAGGAGGGGAAGGGGTGGTTCCCTAGGAGACCGTGGCCATGAACCAGAGCAAAGAACCGAGGGCCGGAAGAGGAGAAAGAAAGGAGGATGCCCGGAAATGTGGATATCAATAGAATGAAAGTCAAAACTTCGGACTGGAGGGGTGAGAACAGAATCGAGAGGAGGACAGCTCAGCAGACAGTGGGGCCCTGGTGGGAAAGATGGGGGAGGACAGGTTTACCAGGAAGATAATGAGGCTGGCGGTGGCTGTGTTGAGTTCCTGATGCTGTGGACAGCCAAGATGCTGACATGTTGTTAGAGCTCTGGCTGCTGCTTCTGTCCAGTCACCAACTGCAGCCTGAGCACCTACTGTATGCACAGCTCCAGTGCCCCAGGACAGCTCCTTCTGCACACACTTTCCCCTGCCCACCCTGGGTTATGAATCACACTGTAATCAATGTCAATGGCTTCCCTGCCTGGGCTGCTGGGATACAAACAAGAAAGCTTGAATGTCCAGTATGGGATTAACAAAGAAACTCCTCAACTGGATTTCTTCTGGAGACATGAAATCTCCATGACGACAGCAATGATGAGCTCTGATTGTTTTTCTCCGAGAAAATGAAAAGGAAATGAATAGGTACTAATGTAGAAATGTATCGCTCTCAGTAAGAGAAAATCTCCCACCCTTAAAGAAGAGGAAAAGGCAGACAAAATACCAAGATGGCCTTAGGAAATCTGCAGAAACCATGGTTTATGCAGAAAGCATCATATTAAAGGAAGTACGCTGCTAATTGGAAATAGAAAAATTATAATAATAATAATATCTAGGAGAATTGTCTCAAACAGCAGATGGTCTTCTGACAGTGGGGAGAAAATTATTTACCTACTTTCTCTGCAACAGTTTTAGGAAAGTAGTGTGATGGAAAACAGGTAAAAACATACCAGTAATGCCCAATTTAACCCATCCTGGATTACCATAATCCTTTAAATATTCTTCCAGAACAAATCCCATACTTGGACATAAGACACGTGGTTGGTGGAATTGAGCCTTGGACTGAGAATTGTAAGATGTTGAATGGGATCCAGGCTCCGACTCATGAACCAAAGTTCCTGAGTGCGTTGCTTCATGTTTAAGCTCCTAGCTTTCCCTTCCACCTCAGAAATACAGTCTATGGAATGCTCAAAGCAATCAATGTAGAGGGGTGGAAAACCCACTTGTTTTCATAGCATTATTATTCTTACCCATATTCCATCCTACTGTTATGATTTCAGTGTCAAGGGACTTGGTTTTCTTCGAGTCTTGAGAATAAGATTCTTCTAGTGGATCCCTTGTCTCACATACAAGACAGCTGAGGGCCAAAGAGATTAAGCCTTGCTCAGAGTCACATGGCAGGTGGCCACAGATGGCATTCACAGGAACAGGAACTGCCAACCGCCCATAATGGCTCTGAAGGGTAGAAGTGTGGGGGCTGACTTTAATTTCTCTGGGATTGTATTACAGTCATCAAGTGTATACCTGCTTTCCCCTGCCACCATTGACTACATTGTTCTTCCTAATGTTCCACAGGCCTTAGAGACATGACGGGTACTTTGAATGTATTGCAAGAGCACAGCAGGCGCCAGAGGATGCAGATGGGACAAGAGGGTAGTGAGTCTATCAGTGAATTAGGCCCCCCTTTATAAAGGAGTCTGTTGTACCCCACCAGGGACTGCACAGCACTGCAGGGCTTGACCACTGTATTAGTCCGTTTTTATGCTGCTGAAAAAGACATACCTGAGACTGGATAATCTATAAAGAAAAAGAGGTTTAATGCATTCACAGTTCCACATGGTGCGGAGGTCTCACAATCATGGCAGAAGGTGAAAGCCACATCTTACATGGTGGCAGGCAAGAGAAGAATGAGAACCAAGCAAAAGGGGTTTCCCCTTATGAAACCATCAGATCTCATGAGACTTATTCACTACCATGAGAAGAGTACGGGGGAAACTGCCCCCATGATTCAATTATCTCCCACTGGGTCCTTCCCACAACACATGGGAATTATGGAAGCTACAATTCAAGATGAGATTTGGGTGGGGACACAGCCAGACCATATCGACCACTCAGGAGAAACCCAGAACTTTGGGACAGGATCCCCTTATCAATCTACTTGTATAAGTCGCTGGAGTGTTTCTCTAAACCCAACGTGGACATTAGAGATTCAAAGTCTTGGCTTTCACTTCAAACCATTTAGTTTCTGAAAGCTTTCTCAGTGGGTCAGTTAGAGGAAAGAAAGTATGGTAGATAAGAAGATGCACAGGCTTGGGAGTGACACAATCTTGTGTCTAATCCCAGCTCCACTTTTCACGCAGCCTCTCACATCTTAGCAAATTATTCAACTTCTCCAAGTCTCAGTTTCCTTACCTGGAAAATGGCACCAGTGCTGTGGTGCCATACCAGTTGCTATGTACAGTCACTTTAAATGTCTGCTGTGAGACTTAAATGACAATTATATAAAGCTCCTCACCCAGAACCCAGAATACACCAGTTGCCCCCAAAATTTTTACTTCTATCCCTTCATATGTTCTCCCCAATTCCTGGTTCATTCTAATGTTCAGCCTTTGCTGGAAAAACACACAACAAGCTCAATAAAGAGAAACATACACTGTGTCTTAGTCTATCTTTGGTGGCCCTTATATTACATACTTTCAACATGCTACATCTATGTAACTAAAGGCATCAACTTTGACCAAAACAAATTTGAGAAGTCTGAAGTGAGGAATCTGTGGTGTTACTTAAAGCCTCTCTGTTACATGAACTCATAAAATAAAGGCACTTTAAGAAAAGCTACTTTTTCCCAGGGACTTAGAGCAAAGGGATATATTTTTAAAAGGACTAAATATCAGTAAGTTTGTTAAAACTGCTAATACCTTTTGCAGAATAAAAACAATTAGAAAAACATGCTGCTAATATTAGACCAGGAATGAAAAGGCTAAAACACTGGAAAGGTAATTGTCTGGTATAGTGACACAAAACAGATTTTTCCTCTTTCTGTTTTTAGAAAATTACCTTAGCCCCTATTCTCCCTCAGTCTGCTGTAACACACATCTGGAAAGCATCCTTCAGGAAACCAGGGCCTGTATTAAATACATTTTGCAGGGGGTGTTATTTTGTGTTGCTATTGCTGTCTGGGCTGTGCATCTGGCTTCCTGGAGCAAAGGCCTAGTATTTGCCTAGGAGTAGGCTACGGAGCTGCGGAGCTGGGGAGCTGAGGAGCTGAGCTGCGATTCTCTCCCCACCTAGGACTGAGTGTGGAGACGCAAAGGGTCTGGGGAGGTCCACATGCCCCAGGTGCAGATGCGCAAAGCTCTGTGCATCTTGCATTCATCAGCCCCTTAACACAGGTTCCCACTGGTAGTGGGATTATTAAAGCCTCGCCAACTGATGTGCGTATGGCAGTTTAGCAAGACAGCGGCCACATGTTGGTGAGAAACAATACCATAAGGTCTAAGCAGCCTTCAAGCCTTTCCTAATGCCTTTGTTTCCTGGGACAGAAAGGCCCCTGTGGCCAAGTACAGATCATTTCCTGCTCCCCTCAAATCCCTGCTCAGCCTCATCCTGATACATGGGGCTTCCCCGATCACTGTTGCTCCTCTGGCTCCTTGGCAGCTCTTGGCTGCGAGGGTTCTCCTTGTGGTTTGCCCAGCACATGGGCCATGGAGGCTGCTGTCACTGCACTCTGAGCCTGACTCACAGGGGCTCTGGCAAAGCTTCATGGGCTGAGAATGGAGTTCCGGCGATGCAGATGGAATCCCCCATTATTTCAGTCCCTGCGTCCTGCCTTGGGTATCTCTGCAGGTTGAGGGTTCAGCAAAAGCAGGCTGCAGGGCACAGAGGTGATGCTTCCTTAGCCTTTCTGATTGCATCAAACTGCAGTAGCCCCCCGAGGGAAGTCTAGGTTGGCATCTGATCAATTTTGGCATCCCTCCCGAAGCCACCTTGCATGAACATTGACAGCCATCAGTCAACATTGACAGAGCAGTTGACAGGGCTTGACAGGTACTCTCTACCTGGCAAATTTGAAAAGCAAGTCATGGTAGTTGGCAAGAAAATCCATTCCAACTTGCAAGGGGCTTTCAGCAGCCTTAGATCAGATGTCCCTGAACTGCCCTTTTGCCAGGAATCCACTGCCCTCCACCTATTTATCCCAATGCGCAAACTGATGGTCATGGTACAAGAAAACTCTAAGTAGTAATGGGAGCACAGAAAGATCTCCAACAACCCTGTGCTGCATCACGAAATCAAATAAAATTGTTTTATATTACCCATACTATGCTATGTCCATTCACACAGAAAACCTAGCTTTAGCTTTGGTAGTACTTGTTTTTAAGGGAAGAAATTGAAGAAGAAAAGAAATGGAAAGTTTTGTGGATGATGAAAGGATCATAAAGCTCTCAGATATTCAGTGGGATAACTGCAGGTGACAAATATGTTAAAACTCTTTAAGAGTAAACCTTATCCAATAAGTCTTTTATATTTCTGCAGGCAAACTTTAGAAATCAGTTTTGTGGCTTTTGGCCACAAGAAAAAATGGAAATCTAGATGTTCAATGAATCTTTCACCAGCAGAACCACACCTTAAAACTCTAGACCAACACAGTGTGAGCTTGCTTCATGGAGAATTCAGCAGCACCTCCACCTTCGGAAGTAAATGCCTGAAGTCGCCTGGTATTTATTCTGGAACGCTAAGAGGCTCCATGTCAACTGCTCAGGAATCCTGGGCAGCAAAGGTCATCCACCATGGCTTCATTTAATTATTTACGCACACCCTGTCTTCAGAAGGAATTTTGAAGTGCCTTCAGATGTAGCTGTGATGTGGCAGAATATAAAAATTAGTGAGAGAATTGGGGACCACAGAAAGGTAAGATAGAGGCAGTGGTTTAGCTAGTACAAAATGTACACATGCCCCTGGCTGGATGAAAACTACATATTTGGTTCAGAGATTTCCAGCAACCACTGGGAAGGGGGTTAAGATATTCATAACTAATTCCACAACTAGCTCATGATACCCCCAAATTAAAAACAAGATAGATGCTCAGAAGAAAAACTGCTTGCGGCAGGCAGAATGCCTACCTTTGGGTAGGCTCTCAAAGGCATCTGGACCTGAATTCCTAAAACCTGAGACCATTACAGTTCATGGCAAAATGGACTTTGCAGATATAATTATGGTCATGGATCTTGAGGTAGGGAGAGTATCCCGGATTTTCCCGGTAGGACCAATAGAATCACAGGAGTCTTTAAAAGTGGAATAGGGAGGCAAGTGAGGGTGTCATCGTGATGTCATGTGAGACTCCACCTGGCCCTTGCTGGTTCTGAAAATGGAGGAAGGGGCCATGAGCCTGCGTGGGGAAAGGCAAAGAAATGGATTCTCCTCTGCAGCCTCCAGAAAGAACTCAGCCCTGCTGACACCTTGATTTCAGCCCAGTGAGACCCGAGTCAGACTTCTGACCCTATAGATCAGTAAGAGAATAAATGTGTGTTGTTTGAAGTTTGTGGTAATTTGTTAACAGCACCAATAGAAAACTAAAAGACTACTAAAAAGCAGTAAACAGTAGGGGGTTTTCATACAGAACTTGAACATGTACTAGGACTTAAATTTCAGCTCAATCGCTTACTAGCCATGACATTCTGGGCAAGTATCTTAGCTTCTCTGAAGCCTAGTGATATAGTTCGGACGTGTGTCCCCACCCAAATCTCACGCTGAAACGTGATCCCCAGTGTTGGAGGTGGGGCCTGGTGGGAGGTGATTGGATCCTGGGGGCAGACTTCTCATGAATGGTTTAGCACCACCCTCTTGGGTAGCGAGTAGGTTCTTGTGAGATCTGATCTTTTACAAGTGTGTGGCACCTCCCTCCACTTTCTCTTGGTTCTGCTCCGATCATGTGACATGTCTGCATGAGGAATACTTTCGGACTCTCAAAGGAATTATCTCGTTCCTGTCTTCCATCTTTCACCACTTGATATAGTTTGGACATCCCCTCCAAATCTCATGTTGAGATGGAACTCCCAGTGTTGGAGGTGGGGCCTGGTGGGAGGTGTCTGGGACACAGGGACAGATCCCTCATGGCTTGGTGCTGTCCTTGTGATAGTGTTCTTGGGAGGTCAGTTATTTAAAAGTGTGTGGCACCTCTTCCTTCCTCCACTCTCTCTCTTGCTCTGGCTCTTGCCATGTGAGACACCGGCAATCGCTTTGCCTACTGCCATGATTATAAGGTTCCTGAGGCCTCTGCAGAAGCTGAGCAAATGCCAGCACCATGCTTCCTGTACAGCCTGTAGAACCATGAGCCAATTAAACCCCTTTTCTTTATAAATTACCCAGCCTCAGGTTATCTCTTTATAGCAATGCAAGAATGTCCTAACACACCTAATATACTCAGGCTGAATGATAATAAGTCCCTCAAAATGTTCCTGGTAGGGTTAAATATACCTGGCACCTTAGCACCTGTTGACATCTATTCCTGATTCCTAGAGGAACAGTACCTCATCACAGCTGGTGTCTTCTCTTCTTCTCTGGACCAGCCCAGGGGGTCCACACTGACCCTGAGACCTTATGAAATCCTAGGGAGAGATGACCATGCTGGATGAATTCCCTTAGAATTCATCAAATAACTTGGCATATGAAATGCTTTGTCCTAAGGACAATTGATCCCCTTTTTTAAGGTCTTCATGTGTTCAGGAAAGTCATGATGAATATCAGCTTTATTCCCACCATTAAGACCAAAGAGAAATTACTCCTGTGAGTCTTCAAACATCCTCAAGTTTTTATAGGCCAATGAAATCATACTCCCTTTTTTTTATAGACCAATGAAATCATACTCCCTAAACAGGTCTAAGCAATTCTACAGGCCACTACCTGTGGACCCTCTACTGGTCTGGCAATTGAAGCATCAAGCCTGTGTTCATTTAAGAAGGTGCTGTCTGTACCCTCAGAAGGAAGTGTTGAGGTAAGTATCACAGCATCTTGATGTTTATAGTCAGAGGAACTGAACTCTAATGAGCTTAGGAAAAAACACAGGTAAATTATTATAGAAATTATCCCTAATGCTACCTGGTCTTCCTCAGTCAAACTTTGCTTCTTTGGAGGTTCCCAGAATATGCAGAATTAAAATGGCATGGGTTCTCTTGACTTTAATAATTTGTGAAACCCCCTACTTTCTCCAGTCCCCAAACGACAAGAGCTAAATATCTCTGGGTGCATAAGCCCCAAGTTCCGTGCCTTGGAATATTAATTTACCTTCCACTCATTAAAGGAGCCTAGTTTCTGAGAGCCCTGGGAGGGGGTGGGGAAAGGGGGTGGTGAATGGATTTCTGAATGGCTAACAACCTACACTTGCACAAGTTCGCTTTAAACAGAAACACATGAAAATGAGATTCCCTATTAATCTTTAATAGGCTTGCAGACTTCCTAAGGAAAATTATATTCAATAGTAAATATACACTAGGTCATTTTTCTTTCAGGAAAGTTGTAGTAAGGTCAACAGAGACTTTGAGCTTAGCAAACAACTAGTTCCTAATATCTTCCTTCTTAGATAGGGCATTGAGAATATCACTATTGCTCAGGAGACAGGGAATTGTGGCATTAGACGTCAAATGAATAAATCACTCCATTGTCACCAGATGGCAATTTCCCCTTTTGGGGAAATTCCGTAACTCCTATTAGCAACCCATTCTCACACTCAGCATCCTCTTGTCAACAGCACCTCAGCCCCAACCCCATTTTCTACATTTTAACTAAAGCTCTTAGTGCTGCATTTAATGTTTCTCCTTTTTTTATTTCTTTAGGGCAAAGAAGCTGATTTCCAGGGTCCACATAAGCCATTTTCTAATAAACTGACCCCTCCACATCTCCTCCCAGCCGAGTGATCCCAAGGCTTATTTTAACCCATTCACGGTGATCTCAAAGCTCTCCCAGAGCCCTCCCACCAAGTCCCCTCACTGGCTCTGCGCCCCGAGCAGGGTGCCAGCTTCAGCCTTGCTGCCCACACCTCATCTCCGTCACTTTCTATTCTATATCTTCACGTTGCTGATGGTCTTGCCTACACCAGGCAGAGAAGGAGAGCACCTAGAATTATGCCTTGCACAGAGCAGGTATTCTTTAAATAACTGTTGAATAAATGAGTTAATGAATGAACGAATCTGACTGCCATAGAGTAAGGCTCCAATCACCTACAGCTCAACACTCATCACGGACACTTGGTGCTGAAGGTTCAGCAACATTAACAGGTGCAGAGGAGAAACAGCAGCAGCCCAACTCTAAATGCTCCAACTACATTCACATAGAACCTGTCACTGTGCCCAGTGCTTTCAAACCTGTGTCATTTTTGAGCAGTAACCGTACTAGCCAGGTTTGCCTTATTTTACAGTTGAGGACACGAGGTCCCAGAGAGGTCCACGACCAGCCCAAAGTCATGGAGCAGGCCAGAGTCAGAGCCAGGTTTTGGAAAGAAGCCGCAGCTTCTTGAGCTCATACGCACCCGCACAGCACTGAAAAAGAATTAATGTTCCCTCTTTTCATTTTAGTTCTTGGACTTTGGCTGCCATTTTAATGTGAAGTATGTGCTGCAGAAGCCCAAATCTGATTTAGGTGGATATGTGATCTTTACTAGGCCCAATAAAAGAATGACAGAATTAGTGGGCATTCTTTTTGGTTAATAGCGCTTGTAGCTTAAAAACATAAAAAAAATAATATCTGTTGTTACTGTTCAGTAGGGCTCAAATGCAGTCCTGCGACACAGCTAGGAGGGGAAATCATCTGGGCCTAGGCCTTGCCTCTCTGGGCACCCCTTCCCCGGGCTGTGTTCCCCCAGAGGGCACCCAGAAGTCAAGAAGTGAGGACACAAAAGTCTTCCCCATACACTGAGAAGTAGGGCTCCCCGGGCCCACGGGGAGAAACCCGCATCCCCAAGCAGCCTTCCTTCACCGCAGGGACCACTCCTGAGGCTGGAGACAGAGTGACCCAGTAGGGGCTGGCCTGGCCGGGACGACCATCATGGGGACCTGCCCTGGAAGAGCAGACATATGTGCAGAACCTTCCCAGAGCTGGTGGGCATGAGTGCCAATGTCAGGCCAAATCCCAACTGCCCTGCAGGGGTGTCTGGTCTCTCTGCATCTCAGTCTCCCCCTGTATAAAACACAGACACTTCCAGTATCTCCTCCACAGGCAGGGGTGAGGATTAGAGCCCATATCCCAGTGTCTGGCACAGAGTTCAGTGCTCAGTGAAGTGCTAGCTGTGAATATTGCTGTTACCACACTCAAGGTGCTCCCTGTGCCCGCTGCCTCTCTCCAACCACAGCCCTGAGAGGCAGGGATGCAGCAGGTGTCGCCTCCTTCCCAAGAGGGGTCAAGTGCAGAGGAATCAGGCAGACTTTGGAATCCTCAGCCTGGGAACCTGACCTGGCAGGGGGATGAGACTTCAGCTAAGTTCTGGATGCATCTGAGGTCAGTACCCTCTGCTGCCCATGATGACAAGGGATTTCACTGAGCATTAAACTCTGTGCCAGGCACTGGGCTATGGGCTTTAATCCTCACCACTGCCTGTGGAGGAGGTGCTGGTAGTGTCTGTGTTTTACATGCAGGGAGACTGAGATGCAGAGAGAAGAAACACGCCTGCAGGGCAGCTGGGGTTTAGTCTGACATCAGGGTTCCTGCCCACCAGTAGGAGAGGACACTCTCCCTCATGGGTTGGTAATAAAATCCCATGCACAGGCAGTATTTGGTGGCATCTCTTATACACCAGAACACACCCCTTCCGGCTTTCTCTAAGCCTAGGAATACTGGGGAGCCACCTAGAGAGAGTTCTCAGCCCAAGGCTTCCAGGATGGACTCATAAAATACCTCAGCATGCAGGAACCCAGGACAGAGACTGTTCATCTTCAGCTTTGTAGCCTGGCACCTAGCACATGCCTGGCCCAGGGTTCAAAAGGCAACAAACCGTTCAATTACCATGATCACTAAGCACCCACAATGTAAGATGCTGTGTAAAAGGTGGTGGCCATGGTGGGACAGGAACAAAGAAGGAGAAGGTGCAGTCCCTTTAGGATATGGAATCCAACCTCCTACCACCTGCATCTACCACCTGCCCTTGCCTATGACCCATCTGTGGACTGAGGGGTGAGATGTACCATGTACTTGTACAGGCAAGGGTTCATAGCAACCTTGGTTCACAGAATCACAGCACTTTTGGATCTTGAACACACGTGTGTTTGCTTGAGTCATCTGCATCCTAGCTCCACCGCAGGCACTGAGGATAGACCCTGTCCATCCCACGTTCCCTCCTGACAACCAAGGGTGCTTCTACATGCAAAAAGTGACAAGAAGAGTGGAGCAAACATGGCAGCTTCCTTATTCGAATAGCCCAGGCCAAAGACTGCTCCAAAGGCCATTTTAGGAAGAAGATTTAATTACCTTAAAACCCTGTGTTTTGCTTTGCATTTTCAGGTATAACCCAGCCAAACGGATTCCAATCTGAGGCCAAGGTCAACTTAGAGACAACAGACTGTCTACTTCTTCATGTGCAGTGAGGGCAAGGTCCCAACTGCAGTGGGGCCAGCCCAGGCAGTGACTAGAGATACCATCAGCTTGTCTCAGTATCCTTTGTGTCTGAAGAACTATCAGCAGGCAATAGAGCCCTTCCAGTGGTCCCCACAGCCTTCCAAATAAAGCCCAACCTTAATGCAGCATGGAAGCTTTCCATGTGTTGTCCCTGCCCGCAGCTATGAATTCCTGGGCTGCGATGCGCCCTCTGTGCCCCATATCCGACCTGGGCTGCCAGCCCACACCCAGCCACAGCAGGGGCTCCCTCTCCTGTGTCCTCCCCTAAGCCTACTCCCATCTGGTGCCTACTCCTCATTTTCAGCTTTGCAGACCCAGTTGAGAGGAGGGTGAAGCCATCAGCCTAGATCACCTGGCCAACATTCTCTAAGGCAGCAGGGAATGGTAAGCCCAGACCAGCAGCAGCAGCACTGGGAATGCTTTAGAAATGCAAATTCTCAGGCCTCACCCTAGACCTCATGAATAGAAAACAAATCCCAACACAGGCAAAAGCTGGAGATCCACGGCCCCAGAGCAAAGGCGCCTCTGAGAAGTCCCTGAGCCCACCCTTCCCCACGAGGCTGGGCTGGCACAGCACCGGTGACTGTCCCTGCATGTGCGCTCTGTGGGCACAGGCGCCTCCCTCATCTCTGGCCCTCGGGGCCCTACAGAGCACCTGGAAGTCTGGTCCTACTGAACCAGTGAACAAACCAATCTCCAGCAATGACAAAACACCAGCTGGTCCAATAGGAAAAAAGCAAATGTTCTCAAGCCATAATACTGTATTTGTAGCTAAACATGTTTGAGCTTGAATTTTTGAGTGTGAAAGATTTTGTCTTATTTCCATTCGATTTTGTCCATTCGATTTTGCCTTATTTCCACTGAAAGGTTTCCTGGGACAGTGTCAAGCTCCTTTGCTGGAGTGAACGTTCTTGGAGAGGTGGCATTCCCTCTCCAAGCTGTTAGATGAAGCCAGCTAACTCTCCAATAGGAATTCCGACTGCTGGGTGCTTCCCGGGACCTGAAACTTCCAGCTTGCCGGCTTTTCCGATTCTAAGGGTTAGCCCAGGGACACTGTCATTGTCATCATTTAGTTCTCCCTGTGGCAAATGATTACATATCAGAAAGAGCAGAGGGGGGCTGCCCCTGAGATGGCCCACATCAAGGCACCAGCCAGCATTCTAAGCACCAGAGGTTGCCCTGTGGCACTCTCCCCAAGCCCCTACTTGGTAAGAGAAAAGCTCCACTGAACCCTTCTGGACACAAAGGGTTTTTACACAGCAGCCCAGAGTTCTGCCTGACTGAGCTGAATATGATGGTGAAATCCTTTGGCATGCTAGAAAAGAGAGGAACCATCTACAAAGGAGCTGTCAGGAGGGCATCTCTCAGAGCAAGAAACCAAGCTGGGCTCAGTGCTCCAGCCTGCCAAGCAGCCCCGGAGCGACCGCACAGCTGACGGTAGATGCTCCAAGGTTCTCTAATTACTCAACCCATTTCCACCTGGAGGGGCTCCAGCGCTTGGCTGGGGCAGACATCCCACAGCCTCAGCATCCTGACCCACTGTGGCTAAACGAGCTGGGCGCAAGGCAGGCGCACACCCCAGACTGTCTTGGTTCAACGAGACCTCAGGAGCGCTGGTGCACACACAAGTCTTCCAGCCCAAGATTACTCTGGTCCATCTAGCACAGCAGTTCTCAAAGCGAGGTCTAGGGATCCTGGCAGTCTCAGGGAACCTCGTAGGGGGTCAGTGAGACCATAACTATTTTCTTAGTCATACTAAGACCTTAATGACTTTTCTCTCTCTCTCTCCCAGCCACCTTCCAGCCAGATGCTAAATTTGTAAAAATGTAAAAACAATGCCACACTTCTCCCTAATTTTTTTTTTTTTGGAAAATATAGTGATTGTTAATAAAAGTATGTTCTGTTATTTATGGTAACATGTAATGAGCTGCTCGATGTTATTTTTAAATGAAGTAATAAATATGTAAACCTCTTTTCACCTGCAATCCAGTGTGGTAAGTACCTATAGATTTAGCCCACATAAACAAAAGCCCATTGAGATCCTCAGTAATTTTCTAAGAGCATAAAGGAGTCCAGAAACCAAAAAGTTTGAAACCCGCGGTTTTAATGATAAATGAACTATGTTTGCCAAAGAGCACTTAAGCCCTATCTTGACAAGATCCAAAGGTCCCTTACTTTAAAATTTTTGTTTTAACATAAATAAGAAGTAAAGTCACCACCGGTATCCAATTCCACTCTCCCTGGGTGTCTCTGGAAGTTCTGTGGGTGGTTTACAAGACAGGCACATTGTGTACAGAAATGGGCAGTGCGGCATTCGGCAACATGAGCTCCGCAGCCCCACAGACCCTCTGGGTTCCTTGACTATGGAGTGGGACAGCAGAGAGGGGCTGCACCTGCTGCATAATTCATTGCCTTTGGTTCCAGCGGCACCACTTGGGTGATGTGGAAGTTGTTCAAGATCTCACCTCCTCATCCAGTGACAGGGAGGGTAACGACAGCTCCCACTTCCAAGGTTGCTGCAAAGAGCTCAGCCCAGGGCCTGGCACAAAGTAAATGCCAAGTACGTGTTGCTCGCCTCATCATCACCCGCACCACCGTCACCGCCATCCACTCGTTCCTACAACCATGTCCCCGGCTCTGTGCATTCTAAGCTCCCTGAGTCCTATATGACGAGCAACTCTGCCCCCGGGTGTGGCTTTGCTTCCTAAGGGGAAGATGGGGTGATTCACAACATGGAAACATCCAGAGGGAGGGGGCCATGGATTCAGTCTCACTGAGTCAGTGGCTGCCCTTTGCTGGATCCCTCACATCACTGACTCAGACATAAGCACCTCTGAGAGCCCCTTATTCACAGTTACTCCAGGTCACAGAAGAAGCACGTGGCCAAGAGGCTGCCAGAGGGCTCCCACTGCCTATTCAGTCCAGACAATAGTGAATCTCCCCACTCTGTGCCCAGCAGTCTCAGAGCCAGCTCTGCTCACATCTTACTGTGTATCTGTGTGCCAATAATTGTATATTCTTGACAAAAATGTTCTTGAGATGACACATGCTCCAAACACCTCTAGACTCTGCCTCCGCCTCCGCCCCTCCGTTTTCCCTAATGGTACAAAGGCTGAAAGAGGATGACTATCAAGCTTAGCCATGTGGCATTTCCACATGACGTTTAGTGCTGTGGGTGCAGAGAAGTGTAGAGTAATGGGAATCTGCCCCCTCACAAATCCTACTTTAATTTTTATTTTTAATTTTTTTAGAGAGAGGGTCTTGCTGTGTAGTCCAGGCTGGACTTGAACTCCTGGACACAAGTGATCCTCCCACCTCTCAGCCTCCTGAGCAGCTGAGACTACAGGCACATACCACCACACCAGCTCACAAGTTCTACTTCAAAGATCTCTCTCTGTTCTGGGGGGTATCACATTTAAAATCTTAAGCTTTGTCCTCCCTGATAAAAACTGGTTGGAAAAGTGAAAGAGAAAGAAGGACATATTTATTGAGAATTTTCTGGGTTAGATGGCAGGCACATGCTGAGGTACTTGCACAAAAATATCTCATTTAGTCCTCACTGCATCCCTGTGAAGATGGAGTCATTATCTCCATTTATGGATGGGAAACTGAGGCCTCCAGTGGCTGGTGTCATAAGAACTAACAAAACCATAATGCAAGCCCAGGTCTGCCTAACTCGCAAACGCTTACACTGACAACTACTGGGGAAGGGAAAACAATCCCAAGACTCCAGCATGGTATGGTACTTTTTCACATTGATGGTTCTTTTAAATTCTTGTTTTTCTTGGATGCAAAATTTCCTGCATAATTAATTGCCTTTGGAAATGACGAGCAATTTCCCATTCACTGAGTTGGAAATGCCCTGTAGAAATGTAAATGCCAATGTGACTGCAGGATCCTCACTTGGGGTAATGCCTGGGATGGGTGTGGGGGAGTGTGGAGTCTCCCTGGGTGGAGCAGGACTCTAAGCCTGGCTGTGAGACCCAGGCCCACACTGGCCTGGGAGGTGGGGAGGCCGAGGGAAGAGGTGACTGCCAGAGGACCCTCCTGGCAGCATGGAAGAGGGTCCTGGCAGGTTCCCAGAGTCAGGTTCCTGGGGTGAGATGAGCCCATGCATGGGAGGAGGTTCTCTGATGTCGCACTTCCCTTCCCAGCCCAGCCCAGCCCTGCCCTGCCCTCCAGGGAGCCCTCCTTAAGTCACTGAATGCTAATTAAACACAGGACATGCTCCTCTCCTTAAATACAGCCAGCCTGTAACTAAGGGGACAGATTTCCCCACGCGAAGATGAGACTGCTCTGGGTCACAGGCTATTGACGTCTTCCTTCTCCCCATTCTTTTGCACCCCATTTGTTGCTCCGTGGATGAAACATCTTTGAAAACAGCTGTAGGAAACGGAAACACCCCCTTCCCTGGGAATTAGAAAAAAAAATGATCATGAAATTTATCCAGTTGGGTTAGTTCAGGCCTGGGCTTGAGGGGCTTGCAGCTGGTGTAGTATGCCTGTGCACTTCACGAGTGCTAGCAGGAGGTGGCTGGTGGACAGAGCAGAAGGGTTCTCTTTGAAGAGAGACAAGCTGCACAGAGCAGTAGAGGAGATCAGCTGAGGTCTCCCTCAGCCACCTGCAGTTGAACAAGGTGGTCTGAAGTCCAGGGACCCATAGACCCCCTTTGAGTACCCCCGCCCACCTCCTCTTCTTCACGTCTGGTAAAGATCCAGAGGTCTTGCTTCCATCACACCTTTCACCAGCACTGTACTCTCTCTCTCTCTTTTTTCTTTTTTGAGATTGAGTTTCACGCTTGTTGCCCAGGCTGGAGGGCAATGGTGCGATCTCCACTCACTGCAGCCTCCACCTCCCAGGTTCAAGCGATTCTCCTACCTCAGCCTCTGGAGTAGTTGGGATTACAGGTGCAGCAATGTACTCTCAAGATGCAATCCACAAAATGGAGGGCTTCCTGATGATTAACATAATGGCCACAAGCCAGGGAGAAGGCAGGAAGGTGAAACACCTGGATGACCCCAAACTGGTGACACCATGGATTATTTAGAGCTGGTTGTTGCTCTGCGACAGCAAAGAATTCATCTGCTCTGTGAGACACAGCCAGATCCCTGATGTCCACTGCCTTCAGGTAGGTGAGGGTTGAGGACACTGACTGCCAGTGATGGTTCAGCAGGGAGTTAAGGAATCCAAATCAGGTGAGTGTGCATGCCTGGGAGGGGGTGCACCACCCACACATGCAGGACCCTCACTGTCCAGCAGATTGTGCCCAATAAATATGCCTGGACTGAATAATTGAGCTAATAATATTAATAGTAAAGCCAGCGTGGCCTGGAAGGGTATTTTTTTCCTATTTGTAGAAACGACTCTTTTGAAATCAGTAAGCTGTCACAGAGAAAGCACTCTATTATAAGCAACGAGTGTTCAAAAGGAAATTTGATAAAGAACTTAATGAGCTTGTATTACCTGAGTAGCTTTTGTTTTATTTTTTAAACGATGCTAAGAGGCTCTTATGGACATGATGGTCTACCTCTCTTTAAAAACTGTCTTTAACACTGATGCTGTCTTAGTTGCTGAGCCATAAAGAGTGTCTGGATTCAGAGGCTGGCCAGAATTATCATTCTGGCTGTCTGGAACTAAAGGTAGTAAAGGCTGAACGGTGTAAGAACATTGTATTCCTATCATGAAAGACAGTCATCTGGAAATAGTGACAGAAACCAGGTTTCAGAGTTAGGAAGACTGAGCTGATTCCTACGTCCTCTGTGTGGAAGCAGGGTGACCCTTGGGCTGGCCACTCCACTGATCATCCCCTTGCAGGGTGGCTGGTCTGATGAGAGATCACGTTTGTGTGGGTGTACCTCAGCAGTGATCATCATCAGCACCCAGTGAATGCGTTGTTGTTGTTTTGTTTTCTTTTTTTACTTCCTATGCCTTCCTCAAACCCACAGTCCTGGGCCTTTGTCTTGTGACTCTCTTCCATGCCAGTCATTGGCCAGTCCAGCTCAGATGGCAGCTTCTCCAGGAAGCCTTGCTAACAGCCACTCTAAGCTGGCTGTTCTCACCTCCCATAGCACTTTGTCCCTTCCTGCCAGAGACTGCCACACCATGCTGTCATGACTGTGTGTGTGCTTGCCTTCCTCTCTGCACTGTAGGTGAAATATCAGGTTGTTATTCCTGGCACAGTAAGTGCAGGCCAGATGGATGGATGGGTGGGTGGGTGGGTGGGTGTGTGGATGGATGGATGGATGGATGGATGGATGGATGGATGGATGGGTGGATGGGTGGATGGATAGATAAATGGATGAGTGGATGGATTAATGGATGGATAGATGGTGGGATGGGGGATGGAAGTAGAGATAGATTGATGGAGAGAGGAACAAAGGTATGAATAGATGGATGATGGACAGATGGATGAATGGAAAACTGAATGGATAAATGGAAGGAGAGAGAAATGGGCGGAGAAACAGATGGACGGATATACTTCCTATGTACTAAATTGTGTCCCTCTGAGTTCTCCTCTGTTCTCTGAGTGATTGACACCAATGACCATCTCCCTTTTCTTCCTAAGACTCTGTTCCCCTTTGGCTTTTCAAGGCCCTTTGCTGGGTTCTCCAACTCTCCAACTTCTAAGTCCTCTTCAGACACCTCCACCACACACCTGGTGCTCCCGAGATTCAGCCTTTGGTCCATTTCTCTTCTCACCCACTTTCTCTAGAGGAACAAATCTTACCAAGCATCTTTAACAACAACCTCTATGTGAATGATTGTAACCCCACCCCTATATCCCAGCCCCTTCTCTGAGATTTAGTCATGTTTTAAATGTATTCATTCAGTAAAGATTTAGTCAGTACCCTCCATGGTGTCCAGTGGGTCTCCCAAATTCCTGTCCTGTTCTTGTGGGACTCTGCGCTCATCGCTTCTCATGGGTCAACTGCAAGAGCTTCCTAACTTGATCGCAGCCACTATCTCTACCACTCCAACTCTGCCTCCATGTTGCTCCCACCTGGGAGCTCTCTGATGCTCTCCTAAACCTTTGATGGATAAAATCCAGCACCCCTCTGACACAGGAGGCCCCAATATCTTGCCTTTCTATGGCACCGAGTTTTCTTCCTCTGACGCCATGACAGTCCCCAAGGCCCCTTCTTCCCACCTCAACCACTGTGTCCCCTCCAAACTAAGCTCCCCTTCTTCTGCTTCACTTCCCTGCTCCTTGTCCACCAAGGCCTGATCTGAACATGGCTCCTGAGACCCTCTGCTGTGACACTGCTTCCCCAAAGAAATACAGGCTCTCTGTTTGGGCCTCCTAGGTGGATTCCATTCCATTCCTTTTCCATCCGCATTCACACTCGAAGACGATAAAAGATGGTCTGGTGCCATGAGTCCATCTGTCCACAATGATCAACACAATATGCAAATGCAAAGACAAGGAGTCCCTGCTTTTTTCTCTCTCTGAGCCAAGAGTGGAAAAAGTGATTGGTAGGACTTGGGCAGGTGAAGAAAGACGTGCTGAGGAAAACGAGGCAGAGACCCTGAGCTTGGGCAGATGCAGGGAGGGGACCAGCTGGAGAGAGGGAGAACAGGGAGTAAAACTAGACAGGGACAGGCTCCAGCAGGGGCAGACAAATGGCTTCACACCCACCTCTGCCAACAGAGAGATAATGAATGAGAGAGAAGGCAGGTCATAGCTGGGCAGGTCATAGCTGGCTCCTGCCTGGTCCAGGGCTCAGGTTACCTCTGAGAGCCCGAGCTGATAGAGCTCTGCTGCTGCTGAGTGGAGCTGAAGGGCCACACATGCACATCAGGAGGTGGCGCAGGCAGAAGGGGCACTCTGGAAGAGCCAGCAGGAAGGTGCCCCTCCCCATGGGATGGAGTCAAAGAACACCAGGGTGGGCAGCAGCAGATGTCAGAGAACCTGCTTGCCCTTCTCTCAGGGTCTTGATGAATCTGCTGTAGGCACATAGGAGTCCAGCGGCCCCCAGAGCAGACAGGGTAGCAGGCAGCTCGTGCAGGTGGGGCATATTAAAAACGAGCCATTCAGCACTCCGAATGCATTGCTAAAGACACCCATGTAATCATTTGAAATGAAAACTGCTCAAATGAACTGGAAAATGTTTTACTTGTATTTTCTCATATTCTAGAAACTTTCTTTCCATGGTTCAAAAGTTTGCATTGTCTAATTGCTGATTTCCATTTGTGAATGAATCAGCGTAAAATAAAATTAAGTGCCAAATTAATCTACCCATCTAGTTTTAGGCATTAATTATCCTCTGAGCCATTTTCTCCTGCGCTTGCTGCATGTCAAGGCAAGCCCGGATATAGTGATGTGGGATCCAGTTTTTGACTCAGGAATTTAAGCCCAAACAGTAGAGGATGTCCTTGATCTCTAAGATCCACAGTTTATTGTGTGAAGGGGGTCTCATTCCAGGCAAACGAAACACATTTCTCACCTTTTAAAGGTGCACTAACACTGTCAGACCAAATAAATTATGGGAGCAGAAATTCGCTGCATGGTTTTATGACACGTTCCCCAGTTGCCTGATCGACCAACTAACAACATTACATTTCCTCTAAGTGTCACGGGGTCACCCCCAGTGTGGCAAATGTGGGGCTGACAAGGGCAGAATTTTGGAAATTGCATGTGCTGTTCTCCTGGAGCTGTGCCAAGGGAGGCCTTCTTGGTTCTGCTAAAAATCCCCCAGGCCTCCAAGATACAATGATAGGGTCCTTGATCCCTGGGGAATGGTAGAACCATATATGGTGATTTCATCAAAGCCACCACTCTTGGAGACTACGGGGACAGAGAGTTGGACACCAGGAAGAACAAGTGTATCATATCTCCAGCAGGGTCAAGAGAACCTTGGGGACTGAGGACATAGAGCCGCTGACCAATTTCCTTTTGAGGTTCAGCATTATCAGAATCTTTCTAAAAGGAGTGAGATACCCTTGACCCAGCACTGTTGGCAAAGAGGAATGCAAATGTAACATTCAATTTCCAACTCTTGGGAGGCTGAGGCAGGAGGATCACTCCAGGCCAGGAGCCCAAGAGCGGCCTGGGCAACATAGCAAGACCCTGTCTCTAAAAATAATTAATTAATTAATTAAAAGAAATTAGCCAGGCATGGTAGCATGCACCTGTAGTCCCAGCTACATGGGAGGCTGAGATGAGGGGATCGCTAGAGCCCAGGAGTTAGAGGCTACAGAGAGCCTCAACTGCAACACTGCACTCCAGCCTAGGTAACAGAATGAGACTCTGTCTCTAAAAAATAATAATTAAATAAAAGAAAAAAGAGAAGCATTCAATTCTACCTAGTAACATACTGCCAGAAAACGTAGAGCGTGGACTACTGGTGTTCAAGGTGGAGGGCTGGCCCTGATTGGAACCCCTTAGGATGTAGCTCCCCAGAGCAAAATGTCATGCTTTGGAAACAATGGCTGCATAGGTGAGTATAAACTAGGTGTTGTCACTCAGCCACCCAAGGATGCAGCAGCTCTGCTGCACGTGCTGAATGCCCCAGAAGGGCAAGGCCACTAAACCACCAAGCACACCCTGAGTTTTTTCTCAACAGCGACCCCATGTGGCAGCAGCTAAAGCTACCGGCAAGCGGGCGGCTTCGCAGGCTTGGGGGTCCCTCTTTGCTTGGCACTGGAAGCAGAAGGCGTTTTGGAGTCTACCTCTGTGGTTCTTCGATGGAAACATGAGGGAGCATGCCCAAGGGGAAGGTGCTGGACCGCCTGGTAATGAAGAATAGCTGAGGTACCTGAGCTGTTAATTAAAACAGTAAAGAGAGAGGAACATATTTGTGGCACCTGAGCCAGCGCTCAGACAGGAGGGAAAGTATAAGTTTAAATTACACAGATTTGCATCAGGCACAAAAGGTTATGCTTCCATTCGGCCCAAACCAGTCCTGACATCCTTCCAGGCACTAAGAAAAGCAACCAGAGGAAACCTGGCAGGGGAGGCACTGCTTCGGGGGAAGACTGTGAGGCTTTGAAATTCCATCACACCCTTCTAATAATACCTCTGCATTTGCTTTTCTGTAGACAAGCTTGGAGGCCCAAACAGTCAGGCTCTGACTCTCCCCAACTACCTCAAGGGGAAAGGAATCTGTCAGCTTCCCTAAAATGGAAAAGGAAAAAGGAAAACAAAGTCAAACGGAAAAGCTAATGTTGCTTCCCATCTGTTTGAAGGCATGAGGCGGAAGAGAGACAGGTTCTGTGCAGAGGCACTGTCGGACCCTGGGGAAGGAAACCTGTAGGCCCTGAGTTGGAAAATATTAAATTCAGGGAGCTTTTAATGAGCTTGAACAGCTCTTTGATGGTTGCTGATGTTAAGATGGAAATGGAGCATTTGAAAGTGTGAGCTTTCGAAGAATATGGTTTTTAGGAAGCAAGTTTCCCTCTTGCCATCCCTTCCCTTTGGGGCTATTCAAATGAGACCTCAAGTCATCACATCAGTGGTGAGGTTAGGGTTATAGCAACTGTAATGTGAGACCCAAAGAACCTCCAGCTCCAGCTAGTACCAGCTGCTACTCTGGGTAGAACAACAACGGCCTCACAGAGATGGATTGAGAAGGGATGGGATAAAAGGCATAAAATTAAAGACAAGAGTAATAAAATCTGATGGAAGCAAACACTGCTAGCCAACCTAGCAGCTCAAATTATATTTAGCACCTCTGAGAGGGAGGGGGTAATCATGAGTAATAAATCCAGGCTCTGGAAAGAAATTATGGGCTAAATCACTTGACAATGGGTAACACCAGGGAAGTCACGGATTCACCTTCCCAGGAAAGGCTCAAGACAGTGTATAAAACCCATCAATCACACTGAGACAAATTTCACTGGGTAGGGCCCCAGGACAGTCTAGATCTGGATTCCTAAACAGCCTCTGAGCTTCTCCCAGAGCCAGAAACGTGGCAGCAGCACAGACACGCCACTAGTCCCACCATCCAGCCCAGGGATCCTTCACCCCACTGCATGGTGGCTGCTGTCCACTCCAGGAAGATCGGGCAAAGTCAATACATAGACAAGGGCTGTCTGCTTCCTGTTGTACATTTCTGTGCCGTCAGCTGAGTCCACTCCCTGCTATCAGGGATGTCACAAACAGTTCCTGAAACTTGTTCCTTCCTCAGCCTGAGGCCCTAGACATCACCTAAACCATCCTGTTATCTGCAGGTTCCTCCCATCGCCTCCCCCAGAGCCCTCTAAGTTCTCAACTCCCAGCTATTCTCACTACAGCTTAGCAGGAAAGCAATTTGATCTAATGAATTCTCACCAACCCTCAAAGGATACTCTCTTTTTAGAAGAACAAGCCAGAGAATGCAAATTATCTGCTCAATATGGGCTTTCTCAATATGTGTGGGGGAGGTCTCAGACCTTCTCTGGCCATCTTGTGTAAGATAAACCTGGGAGAACAGGAAGGAAAGGCTCCATCACCACCACCTCTCCCACCTCCCAGCCATCGTTCAATAGATGGAAGACTCATCCACAGCTCCATTTCTACCCCATACAGCTTCCCATCTTGAGGCAGGAACAAAAGCCCAGGTCTCCTGGCTTGGACCCATCAGTGGACAAGATCACATCTTATTATAGAGACAGGGAGGAGCTGTCTGGCATTAAGCCAAGTAAGACCCTAGAAATCCAGTCCTACTCCCAGAATGGGGATCCCTTCTGCTTAGAGACTACAGGGGGCCAGGAATTGGAGTTTCACATCCAGAGATCTTCAGGATCTCTGCTCCATCCCATCGCTGGACCCCGAGCAAAGCTCCCTACAGCTTCTTGGCTGCATTCATTTTATTCATCTTCAGCAGAGGGTGCTTCGACACCCTAATTGATTGGCTTCCCCAGGTTCCTGGCTTGCTGAGGCTCTGCCTCTTTCTCAGGACCCTTCTGGCACACCCATCCCTGCTCCTAGCCCACAGCTAAGAGGGCCTCAATGAAACAGGGGCTTGGAAGTGAGGAAGGGTCCTTGTATTGCATTGCTGGAACACCTGTTTCTTCCCAAGATGCAAACTCAGTTCATAAGACGCTTGGTCATCCGAGTCCTTCCTCATACAGCAGGTCACTTGCTTCCAACTTTTTTTAGAAAGGAGGAGAAACATTACTCCCAAAAAGTCTTCAGCATGAGAGGGTTATACAGATGACAAGGACTTACAGTTTTCTTTGGTCATTATTACAGCTGGTTTAAGGAAAGAGTGGGTTCCCATTCTACCAGAATAAAACTTAAGTTGAACAGAAACTCAGAATCTTCAACATCACAGACATTATTTTTTCTGCTCTTGGCTTTTTAGAAACGGGGAACCAATAGGAAACAAGTACATGGTCATAAACCCATCTGCTTGTCCACTGGCTTAGCATATATTGAGGGCTTCTACCTGGGGACAAAGTACAGCTGTTTTTCAATATGATACCCCAAATCTACCTGCTTCGATCAGCAATTGAATTCAACACTAAGTTCTGGGAAGGACACACATGAAATGGTTAACAGTGACTGCCTGAAGCTTGGGGGTGAATGGGAGCAGAGTGAAGGGTAACTTTATCTTTTCACTCTACCTACGTCTATATTGCTGTTTGTGGTTTATGTTTGTTGGTTTGTTTGTTTTGAGACAGGGTCTCACTCACCCAGGCTGTAGGTCAGTGGCATGATCTCTGCTCACTGCAACCTTCACTTCCCAGGTTCAAGCAATTCTCCTGCCTCAGCCTCCTGAGTAGCTGGGACCAAAGGCATGCACTACCACGCCTGGCTATTGTTTGTATTTTTAGTAGAGGCAGGGTTTCACCATGTTGGCCAGGCAGGTCTCGAACTCCCGACCTCAAGCGATCTGCCTGCCTCAGCCTCCCAAAGCGTTGGGATTACAGGTGTGAGCCACCGCGCCAGGCCTGTGGTTTTTCTTTTCTTCTTCTTCTTCTTCTTTTTTTTTTTAAGACAGATTTTCACTCTTGTCGCCCAGGCTGGAGTGCAGTGGTGCCATCTCGCCTCACTGCAACCTCCACCTCCCAGGTTCAAGCGATTCTCCTGTCTCAGCCTCCTAAGTAGCTGGGATTACAGGCGCCTGCCACCATGCCCGGCTAATTTTTTGTATTTTTACTAGAGATGGGGTTTTGCCATGTTGGCCAGGCTGGTCTCAAACTCCTGACCTCAGGTGATCCACCCGCCTCAGCCTCCCAAAATGCTGAGATTTCAGGCGTGAGCCACCACACCCGGCCAGTTTTTTCTTTTTTAAACACAGAAAATGTATTCATGGACTCCTTCAGATATCAAAGTAAATTCAGAAATGGCCAAAAAGCAAAAAGAAGTGAATGCTTTCAACAACATCATCCAGGCTCAGCAGGTTTCTGGTGGAGGCTGAGATCTGGGAGATGAGCTAAGTGGGAAGGTGACCTCTTCACAGCGACAGAACAGTCCAGAACAGACCCAGGCATTCAAAGTTCTCCCCAAGGCTGGACACTGCTCAGTCCCTCTCACTGGTCTCTTCCAAGTTTCTGCCCCTGAAGGTCAAAAGCCTCCAAAGCTCCAGCCAGCTCCTCTCGACTTAATCACTGGCAGCCCTCAGGACTTGAGCAGCAGGTGTGTGCCTTAAGGTCACCTCACCCCAGGTGACCCTCTCACCTGAGAGGTATCCAGGAAAGGCAGTGGTATTTTACCTCATTCCAGCATCCCTCAAAGCATTCTCAGGTTAAAGATGGGAACTTTCCCCAGCAGGGAGGCCTGAATAGCTTCTGAAGAACCCCGTGGCAGACACAGAGGTCAGATTTTTGCCAATCCATTCAAATGGACTGGGCTCCCCTCCCTCCTCTACCTTGGTAGAAGCACAGAAAAGGGAGCTTGGCAGCCGAAGCAGCCGCCAAGACTTTCCCTGTCACCTCATTAATCACCAGCTGCCAGTGCCCACTTACCTGCAGATGTAATTCGTCTTGCAGGAGTCCTGCAAATTCAAACAGTTGGGCTTCTCCCTCTCTTCATAGGAGCACACAGGCACGATGGTCTGTCGCCTCCGCTCTGTGCAGGCGATGTCCCGGCAGGAGCAGAAGAGCATTCCGTAGCTGTGCTTGGCCGGGACCTTGTCAAAGAACTGCCGGAGGGCCTTGTGGCACTTGCGGCGGTTGCAGACATCGTTGGACACGCTGGTGGTGCACGGGGTGATGTACGCCGACCTGTACTTCTTGCAAATGTCGTCGAGGTTGCAGGCCTTCGCTGCATCCAGGCAGTTGTTCCCTTTGGGAATGTGCTCCACTGCAAATGCAGAGAAAGACAGGCATGGTCACAGTGCTCGGCTCTGTGTTCTCACCTACTCTGTTTTAATTGAGATCCTGCCATTTATCTGGCATTGCCAGCGGCTCTAGAACTTAATGAGTTTTGAAGCTAATAACTTAATGACTTCATGACAAGAGAAAGTGCTAGGAGTACAAATACCAGGAGTCTACGGCAGCACAAAAGCCCCTAATATTCCCACAGATGTAGAATTAGGAGGCGCTAGGTGAGGCCAAAACTCGGGCACCTGCCCCACTACATGCAAATGAGGCAACAGGAGAATAAGCTTCCAGCCCCTGGTTAGTAAACTGAAATTAGGATAAAAGAAAAAAACAACAAATTATATACTTGTTCATGATATGCTGAATGCAAGTATAATTGCCATACAATCCTCCAAGAATGTAATTATGTAATAAATGCATATAGTACATGCTAATTACTATATGATTACACAGTAATTACATGGTTATTTGAGCCCAGAAGACAAAATATTATGCCAGATTCTCTAAACAGGAAGAAGCCACCACAACGAAGCTGTATTTAAATTTTAGCTCGCAGGGCGTTGGAAGAAAACCAGGATAAATCACATAAAAATCTGCAAACCTCTCAATTACCACTTAACTCACCACAGACAACACGTGGGCTCTATGAGTACTGAGGTTCTAGATTAGAAAAATTCAGCTTGTATTTTGAATAGAATTTCAATGGGCTCCAGGAAGCTCACAGAGCATATGCTGCCTTCTGCCCAAGCCCTGTGCACTCATACCACCAGGGAAGCCAGTGCTGTCCACACTGCCTGCTCTGTGCTGTCCACACCGCCTGCCCTCTGCTGTCTGCAGCGAGAGCATGGTGGAGGCAGGGCCCACTCGGTGCCTGGGCAGGCAGGCCAAGGCCAAGCCCAACAGCAAGGTTAAAGGATGAATGGACAACAGGAATTCAGCCCTGTCCCCAATAGAGGAATGTTTCTGCAGGGAGAGGGAAGTGATGGAAAAAACCTTCCAGAAACAACATATAAGGTGGTCCATGGAGTAGTGATGATGAGGTGTAGTAGTGATTCTCTGGAGCGGGCAGGGAGGTGTTGGACAAGCACTGCACAGCTGTGGGATGAGACACCCCGGCAAGTTCCTCCTCAGGCCTTAGCCCCTTCATGGATTCTATGACCTCCTTTCATTCTGCTTATGTGCCCCCAGTTGATAGGGACCAGGAAGGCATTTAGGAAATGACAAAAGGCTAAAGAAGTGACAAGAGAGAAGGCACAGTTCGGTTAGGTAGGACTGAAAGATAGGGCAGTGCATTTGCTGCACGTCTAAAGGGCACACGGTATATTATTCAGCCTTAGAAAAAGAAGGAAATCCTACAATGCGTAACAACATGGATAAACCTCGAGGACATTATGCTACGTGAAATAAACCAGTCACAGGAGGACAAATACTGCCTGATTCCACGTATAGGAGGAATCTAAAATAGTCAAACTCAAAAGAAGCAGAGAGTGGAATGATGGTTGCCAGGGGCTGGAGAAGAAAATGAAAAAAAAAAAAATGGGGAGTTGCTCTTCAAAGGGAATAAAGTTTGAGTCATGCAAGATGAATAAGTTCTAGAGATCTGCTCTATAACACTGTGCCGATTGTTATCAATATTCTATTGTACACTTAAAACTTTGTTAAGAGGGTAGATTGCATGCAAAATGTTCTTGCTACGATTAAAAATATTGTACATAAATAGACAAAGGGCACACAAAGCAAGTCCAACATTTTAGGAAAAGAACAATTCTCCCTGTTCTACTGAAGATGCGTCTTGCTTTCAGAAAACCCATATGTAAATATCTGAAATCACACCATTATTCCCTGGCGCCATGAGTCATATTTTATTGTGCTCTAGGTTCATGTGTCTTCCTGTAACATCAGAGTCCAAGAAATTTGCTGTAGAAGGCAATAAGCAAGACAGGAGCCCTTCTTGGGTGTGGAGTACAGGAAGTTGGCAGCTGCACATCCATCCCGGCTTTAACAAGCACACCTGGTACTGTTTCTCCATCTCGCTCTTTCTATGCCTGCTCCTCTCTAGCTCCTCTATTTCCACACTCAGGCTTCTCAGGACTCAGGAGTGAAATAGTCGCCATGTGCCCTGAAAGGGCCACCAGGGCCTCTGGGCCTTGGTGACACTTCTAGCCTTCTCCTCTTTTGAGACTTCTAACATTTTGCTATTGAGCCCAGGGCAGTGATTTATATTCTTGAAAGTCAACAGTTCTCTAGATTTCTAAGTTATGCATTTTTGATGATAATCTAAAACAAATTAATATGACCATATTCTGGATCAGACTTTTAAGGCTGGGTACTGGTACACAATTTCACTACCTACACTTAACATTTGTATTGATGTTGAATGGCACTTTATAATCTCTGGCTAAAAGGGAAAGAACAGAGACACAGAGCTAGATTAATACTTCAAGGAAGTGGTCAGTGAGATAAGAACAAACAGTTCAAATGGA
This sequence comes from Homo sapiens, assembly GCF_000001405.40. Lineage (NCBI taxonomy): Eukaryota > Metazoa > Chordata > Mammalia > Primates > Hominidae > Homo > Homo sapiens. The sequence goes on from NC_000010.11 coordinate 116,128,061, forward strand.
GAAAAATGCCTGAAGAATCGAGTCAATACATGGCACTCAGTAATACAGGCCTGCCAAACTCAAAAGGACCCATGGAGAAGCCGAGCACTACATTCAGACTGTAAGCACCAATTTAGTTTCAGCAAAATAATATTATCTCTTACACTCAATTAATGTTATTAGCCTGCATTTCATTGTTTTCAAAGTTCTGTTTGTATTTATGTGTGTTGTTTTCATAGTTGTGTAAAAGCCAAGAATAAGAGCTTACAGTTTTATGTTTATAAGTTTCAAATAACATCATAATAAAAATAACGAAAGTCAACACGTAACATCTAGGAAATTTATTTTTCTCTGTAAGGAGTCCACAAGCTTATACACAGGCTTAAAAAAAAATTGGCCTAGTGTGCCAGGTGCGGCGGCTCATGCCTGTAATCCCAGCACTCTGAGAGGCCGAGGTGGACCGATCACAAGGTCAGGAGATCGAGACCACCCTGACTAACACAGTGAAACCCCGTCTCTACTAAAAATACAAAAACATTAGCCAGGCTTGGTGGCGGGCGCCTGTAGTCCCAGCTACTCGGGAGGCTGAGGCAGGAGAATGGCGTGAACCTGGGAGGCAGAGCTTGCAGTGAGCCAAGACTGCGCCACTGCACTCCAGCCTGGGGGACTGAGTGAGACTCTGTCTCAAAAAAAAAAAAAAAAAAAAAAAAAATTGGCCTAGGTTATACCTTCTTTGTTATAATAATACCTTTTTAAAGTTGTTAAAACTACATATGCTGTTAAGGTTTTCCTCTTAATGTTATTAGAAAAGCAATATTTTTTTTAAAAAGGCTTTGTACAAAGTTGGAACAGGGTGAATCATTTTATGTCTAAACCAATTGCTCAAAGTTTACTTCATATAGCAGTAGGTGTGACTTAGCCTCACTTTCTACTGATTCTATTTTCATCTATATATAACTCTTGCCAGAGCACCATCTCCTTACATTATTTCAGAGCCTGTGACAAATTCTAGAATCCGCAACCTGGAATATTCAAAGGGGAAAAAACTATTAATTCATAGCTCACAGGTGAACATCTGACTTCCTTTTTATTTCAGATTCTCATTCACACAAAATATTTTTATAACCTTTCCGAACTTGACATTTGAGGTCAGCATTACCCAAATACCAGAACTGAACAAAGACAAAAGAAGAAAATAATAGACTGATATTGCTTACGAATACAGATGCAACAATATTCCCCAAACTTTAGTAAACTGTATTTAGCAATATCTTAAAAGGCTAATGCATCGTGACCAACTTGGGTTTATCTCAAGAATGCAAGGTTAGTTTAATATTTAAAAATATATGTAATTCACTGCACTAACAGAATACAGTAGGAAAACCATATATTTCATTAGATAAAGAAAAAGCATTCAATAAATTTCAATACTCATCCATGATAGAAAAAAGTTCAGCAAATTAAGAATAGAAAAGAATCTCCTCAATCTGATACAGAGCAGCTATGAAAAACCTATAACTAAAGTCATATTTCATGGTCAAATACTAAGATCAAGAACAAAGGATTCCCCTTTTACTGCTTATAGTCAATGTTGTATTGGATGTCCTATACATCTCTAAAGAATCTACAAAACAACTACTAGAAATAATAAGTGAGTTTAGCAAAGTCACAGGGTACAAAGTTAATATACAAAAAGTAATTGTACTTTGAAAAATACATACTATTTTTATTGATACATAGTGTTTGTACACATTTATAAGGCATATGTGATTTTTCATTAATGCATAAAATGTGTAGTGATCAAGTCAGAGTATTTAGGATTTTTTTGAGTCTACAAGCTTCATTTTTAAGAGTTTTATTTGTAATTAGCAAATAATAATTATATATATTATGAAGTAAAATGTGATGCCTTGATATATGTTTAATGTTATGGAATGACGAAATCAAGCTAATTAACATAGCCATCACTTTCATATGTTAGCTGCAAAAAAATTAGAAAATGAAATTTTGAAAAATAATTTTATTTACAGCACGATCAATGAATAAAAAAAAAAAGCACTTAAAAGGAATATAACAAAAGACATGCAAGACCTCTACACTGAAAAATAAAAACACTGCTAATAAAAATTGAAGACCTGATAAATGGAAATATATACCATGTTCATGGATCAAAATACTCAATACTTTATGATTATTAAGGCTCAATATTATTAAAACTTAATAGCTTATATAGTTTTAACAACTTTAAAAAGACAACTAATATTATTACAACAAAGAAGGTATATACTAGGCCAATTTTTTAAACTCATATATAAGCTTATAGACAATTATCTCCAAATCATAAAATGTTTTGAAATTGTCAAGCAGATTCTAAAGCTTATATGGAAACGCAAAGGACACAGAATAACTAAAGCAACTGGAACAAGGAAAACAAAGTTGAAGGATTCACACTAACCTTTCTCAAGGTTTACTATAAAGCTTAAGTTATCAAGATAGTGTGGTACAGTATAGGCATAGACAAATTGAACAATGGAAAAGAAGAGAGAACTCATAAATATCCCACACATCTACAGTCACTTGATTTTTTTGAAAGCAACACTGAAGAAATCCAATGGGGGAAGAGAGTCTTTTCAACATATGGTACTAGAATAATTGGATAATAATTTTTAAAAAAGAAAAACCCAAATACAAACAAACAAAAAACCTCAATCCCTACTTCATACCATACACAAAAACTAATGTAATATGGATCACAGACTTAAACATAAAAGCTAAAATCATAAAGCTTTTAGAAGAAACATAAGATAATCTTGGAGCTAGACAAATATTTCTGAGACAAGACCACAGAAAGCAATAACCATAAAAGATAAAAAGTTGGTAAGGTAGAGTTCATCAAAATTAAAAACTTCTGGTCACAAAAGACACTGCTAAGAAAATGAATAGACAAACCACAGACTGGAGAAAATATTCACAAAACATACGTCTGACAAAGGACTGGTATCTAAAATATATTAAAAATGCCCAAATCTCAATATAAGAAAACAACCCAATTAAACATGGGCCAAATCTTTGAACAGACACTTCACAGAATAAGATAAATGAATGGCCAAGTAGCATCTGAAATGTGTTCAACATCATTAGTTATCAGAGAAATGCAAAATGAAACCACAATGAGATACACTCTACACTCACCACAATGGTTAAAATTTGACATCAAATGTTATTTAACAAAATGTGATGTTCCTAGAATTCTCATACATTGTTGGTGGGAATGGAAAATGGTTCAACCACTGTGGAAAAACATTCGGTAGCTTTTTATAAAACTAAACATACAATTACCCTATGGCCCAGAAATTCTACTTTTAGGTTTTTATCCAAGAGAACTTGAACATATGTCCACAAAAGACTTGAACAAGAATATTATACCAGCATATTGATAATAATCAAAACTGGAGACAGCCCATGTATCCATCAATAGGAAAATGGCTCAACAAACTGTGATCTATCCACAGTTATCCACGTGGACTGCTACTCAGAAATAAGAAGAGATGAACTGTTGATACACAAAATAGCATGGATGAATCTCAAAAAAATAAATAAAAGACTACACACAGAAGTACGCACAGTATGATTATATATATAGTTCGGGAATAGGCAAAACTAATTTATGATTTTTAAAATATTAAAAGACTGGCTGCTTCCAGGGAATGGGGGTGAGGATTGGCTAGGAAGGAATAAGAGATAACTTTCTGGGGGTGATGGTAATGTTCTCTACCTTGATAATGGCTTGTGTTGAACAGTTTGGGCCAAAACTCAGAGATAGTATGCTTAAGGTTTGTGCCTATGTAAACATTATCTCAAAAGGAAAAAAAAAAAAAAAAAAAAGGCCAGGCACAGTGGCTCATGCTTGTAATCCCAGCACTTTGGGAGGCTGACGTGGGAGGATTGCTTGAGACCAGAAGATCGAGACCAGCTTGAGCAATATAAGGAGGCACTGTCGCTACAAAAATATTTAAAAATCACCCAGGCATGGTGGCATGTGCCTGTAGTCCTAGCTACTCGGGAGGCTGAGGTGGGAGGATTACTTGAGCCCAGAAGGTCAAGGCTGCAGTGAGCCATGATCCACACCACTGCACTCCAGCCTGGGTGACAAGAGCGAAAGTGTGTCTCAAAGAACAAACAAACAAACAACAACAAAACACAAAAAGAAATAGCCTAAACAAATATTGAACACTGGTTAGTCATATGTGTGCTGAAGCGTTTAGGGGCAGTATATTCATAAATGAATTTTAAAAACTTAGAGGATGGACATATGGGCGCTCATACAGCACATTCAGATGTGAATATGGAATCCAGGTGCTGAGTATATATGCATTAACCATATTTTTTTTCCACTGTTCTGTATGTTCGAAAATGTTCATAATAAAATATTGGAAAAAATAAATTCATGCCTACCTTATTATTACTCTTTTCAAAAAGTTTCACATGGGCAATTGCGCACGGCACATGGGAAATCACTCTTGGCCCCTCCCCTCCTTTCGCCCGCTAACTTAGTCCCTCACAAATCCACCTCCAGCTCTCTCCGGGGCCCTGATACTGCGGATCCTACTGCAATGAAGTTAAAAATAAACACTGCTGAAATCACAGGATATATAAATTAGGGTTGAGTTTTCACCCGGTAAGAAGATTGATCCTCTATATCTATTGAATGGATCCCCCAGTGCACGAAAATACTACCTCAATGACTTGAGGGCACAGGGAGGAGAGGGGAGAATGATTCAATTTACACCCTTGGAGTCAAAGCCAGCCCTCCATCAGCTCACACACCGCACGGAGGATCAGGAGCCCGCCTGTGTTTTACGGTCTGGGCACAAGCGCCTTCTCGCCTGCGTGGGAAGGCTTCTGAACAGCTTTACTATAACTCTAACTGCCATCCTCTCCACAGCTCATTTTAGAGCTCAGCATTAAAATGTTGCTTTCCCCCCTCCCCTCCCCCTCTAATCTCTCCCTCCATCTGCTGTTATTCATTCTTTAACTTGGTAGAATGTCTGGGACGCTGTCTGAATGGGAAGTATTCTCAGAATGAACGCTGTTTACTAGAAATCCTTTTTTCTTGGGGGAGTGCATATGCGAGTGGGTTGTGCTCAGCTAATGTGCTCCTCTCCAGCCTCGGCTCTGTATTACCGAGAATGCCATTTAACCAGATTTTCACTTCAAATTCCACACAGCCATGTTGTCACTTTGCAGGTTACGTATTGCTTTCTTTACCATCATTCTAAGCCTCTCTGGCTGTGATCACATCTGGTGGTGACTTGTTTCTTGTTTTCTTGGCCATGGGAGGTATAACATTCATGGCAACCGAGGGTGAGATCCCAAAACCTAGGACAAAAAGGGTCAGGTGCTGCTGAAGGAGCCATGGATTAGGAGTGAGGAGCATCTGGGTTTTAAATGTGGTCCAATCATCTGAGCGTTTTCATACAAGTCAGCTTTCCCCCCATGGGCATCAGTTTCCCTATTTGTGAGATGATATATCTAAGGTCCCTTCAAGCCTTAAGGCTCTTTGATTTGATGGTTCTAATGTAATCTGCCTTTTCTGACTATAACGTCAAATATTTAGAATAAAATGTGGTGATGAGGGACAGAATGTAAAACCCCAGCCAGAGGGTCTATGCACTTGGAGGCGCTGGCCTCTCCGCGGTCTGCGGCTCCAAAGGAGTACATGGACCAATGATTTCAGCCCTGACCTGCAGGCAGAGCAAATGTAAAAGGTCCCTCCAACACAGCGAGATGTGGAAGTGTCAGGGATGAATTATGTCATGGGAGAAGCTTTCATATTCTAAATTCCTCTGGAGCAAGGAACTGCCTTTATCTCAAATACAATCCTCACACTGTCCCAAGTAAGAGGCTATCACTGTGGCCAGCAGCCCTGATTATTTACACTTAGAAAATGCCACCGTTATTGGCAAACACCAGGGCCAGCTAACCAGTTGAAACGATTCAGGATGAAACACAGATGCAAGCAACTAGAAATCTATTTCTATGGATTATGAGGTAGAATAAAACAGTAAATATATTAAAATCTGCATGGCCTGCAAGAGATATGATTTACGAAGCAAAAATTCACAAGACAATAAAAGAACGTTTGTTTGCACATGCTTGCCAATTTCTGGGTATCTTTCTGCCTTTCTTTTTAAGGCTGCAGAATTGAATTCACAACTTGTTTCCTCTTTTTCTTTCTGACTTGATTAATTACTATGTTAATATAACTACTGTTCTTCTTCTAATAGGCTCCCTCTAATGTGTTTTCCCAGAAAATTAAAAAATGGGTAAAAGATGCCAAATCTTCACAGGTGTAGGCAAACTTTTCTGCAAGCTCACAGTGACAGTCTGGGCTTCTGATATCCACACGGATCGTATGGCAAATTTGATCATACAGGTTGTGACCCTTGTAACTGATCCTTCAAGAGCTTGGCTTTTTCCAGCTAGGGTGCTAAAAATTACATTTAAAAAGCACATGTTGGCTGTTTGGAACCCATTTTGTCATTCGTACACTGTTTCAGACATATTGTATTACATGATGATGAAATTCCTCCTAGTTCTGTTTTTTCATACCTTACACAACTACATTAAGCTGCAAGCCATACCCAAGTTTTCTCTGGGGCTCACAGTGACTGAATTATTTTGAATACCTGTAAGTTTGGAAATAATTCTTTGGTCTGGTAAAGACAGTTCCCCTTGTTAACCACAAGTCATGGGCTAGCCTTATCCATTAGCGCTTCCATTTCCTTAACGCACATTCTGTCGCTTGCCTGCACCCTCTGCTGTGCAAACCTTAAAAAATTGGATATCTCCTGTAAGTGGTGTGCAAGTCACATGCTTGCTGCTGCGCAATGATTAATAGTGCTGTCCCAGAAAATGGGATCATTACATTTTTAATTAACCTTTCCAACCTCCTCCACCTTTTCCTTTTGTTATACATTGGATCTCTGAAGTTTTCTACTTGTTTGTGTTCAACTAGCTTTGAAACAAAGGCATGAAAAATGGTTGCAGGTGATACAGGAGTTGATGCTTCAGGTGAGGCGCCTGGTAAGGTGTAGTGCCTCATTGTACATCAGATGGAGGGACAGGCATTTGGAACTTGGTGGCTGGGTTCCCACCTAATTTTTGTTTTGGCAGCTTAGCGTTATTTAATGGCCTTGGCTACCAGGAAACTGGCTTTTTAAAATCTCTTTCAACCTAATTATAATTACGGTGTATAAATCATACAATGATCAACTATAAAAATCTCGGGTTCATAAATATTTAACTTAGCATTTAAATCCACACTGCAGGAGTGCATGAAATTTCTCAGCCTGTCTCTTCGCAAACAACTGCTTTATTACAGTTCCATTGCCAATTACTGAAAACCGAATCAAGTTTGTCTTACCACACACTCAGGCACATATTTGAGCATAATGCCTTTCTGTGTATTAAGATGGCACAATTTAGTTATTTCTAAAATATGCATGTCTCCCATTAAAAAGATATTTGCAAAGACTTCTATCGCCATCTTTTAATTCCTCAAGTATAGAGAGGCACAATTATAATATTAGACATAAAAACACTCATTAAAATATATTTTATCTAATGTAAGATTGATTCCAAGATAATTGAGGTCAGATTTGTTTGGAAAATGTATTGTGACATGTGCAAATGGTGATGCAAAGAGGAAATGATCTTCTAGGAGGACTCAAGCAAAACAGCTAAATATTTTTCAGCAAAATCATAAAACCATAATTGGATTTCAATTTAGTAATAGTCAGTCTAAGACAGGCCATTTTTAATAATCTAATTATGTGTTCAGGGCCTACCCAGAACTCTACAACGGCTACAGAACTATTAATTGTACTCAATCCTGTTGCATCTTCAACCATGAAATTTGCTATTACATGTAGTACTGGCTCTCAGTTATGGATACTTTTTTTCCCCCCAATCTCAGATAATCTTTATAACATCCCAAAATGCCTATTTGTTTAATTTTCTAAAAGTGAAATCTTTTAATGACTTTCTCTGGACCAGAAAAAATATCTCAGATTTGTGGTCCTTCTACAGACAAAATTCACAATGAGATCTACAAACATTTCCCGTTTTTATGAAGGCACAGAGAGCAGCCCTTGCTTTTGTCTGATTTTCATTAATTAAAGGTATTTAATTGCTAACATCTCATTAGCAGTAAAATTAATGAGCACTTCAACTACAGGAAAAGATCTGCATGATAATATAAACCTAATTCATTTTATGGGGTACAAACTGTAGCTCCACTAATATTTAGCCTGTGCGAGCTCCACTGATATTTAGCTATTTCAACAGTAAAAGGCTAAACATGTCTTTAAAACCGACGCTGCTTCTCCCCAGAGAAAACAACAAATGTGAGCCAGCCGAGTAACAAAGAATCCAAAACCCCCCTCTTCCCCCTCCACTTTGCACCAGTGTATTGCCATGGAGAAGACTAATTGGAAGAGAAATATGGAGTGATTTGTTTTTAACAATTTTCTAAGTTGCTATTAAATAAAAAGGTATCCTTAAAATAATGTGTATGTACTTGTCAACTAGCATACCCAGCTTTCAGATTATCTCTGTGTGTGCTGTGCTGAGTAGCTAGTCAACACTTGTCCCAAAGAGGCTGCCAGTGCTTGGGACATTTCACGGAACTCTTTCCTGGAAGCCTGAGGCATGTGTTCTTTGGAATCCCTGAGCAACATCCAGTCCCCTGCATTGAGGATGGGACTTTAAAAGCCAAATATCCTTTAGCACTAAGTGTGATGAATAAAGGAGGCCATGATGTTGGACAATGCTCAGGAGTAGAAAATAAGGAATGAATATATGTAAGGATTTTTTCCTGTGGGTGACTGAGACGTCAGCTCTGAAAATAATCATTGGCTTTCCCAAAAAGCCATTGCTCCAAAGATGGTCCAGGAATAAGTGTTTCGCTTCTCAAGGTGACTACTTTGAAGGAGAATATTCATTTGAATGTATGTGTTCTTCGTAGGCTCATTATCCATAGTCACACGGTACATTTGCTCTGTTCCTCCCAACAGCTAGAGCAAAAAGATGCCACCAGAAGGCAGGCTACAGGTCCGAATGTCACTTCTACTACACAATCTACAAACATTGTTCTGGCCTCGGTATGCATAGAGAGAAGGAAAAGCATACATTCTAAAGCCAAAGAATCAGCTGAAACAATGAAAAATGAAGAGGCTGAAGATCCTATTAAGTAGCCTAGATGATGCTGAGATAATAATGAATCATTGATGATGTCGGCGGTTGTCAGGGCCCTCACAGTGCGGATTTCAGCAAAGATAAGCTAAATATCAGGTCTTTATTTTTAGTTAAAGAGCATAAAATTCAATGCCTTTCCTCCCACGAGCCTATTTACATACCTGCTGTGCTACCTATTTGCCTTCACCTGCTTCCCAATTAATACCCCATTAAGCCACTCCACCTGCAGTGGCTTTTACCGTCACCACAGCCCTGCAACCATCACTCATCTGCTACAGCTCAATTGTTTCTTCTGGAAAGATAAACAAAAGCTGCATGAATAATAATTGCAGCGCTTCACATTTACAGGGTTCTTAAAAGACAGTAGCCAAAAGCTTGGCCAGTTTGTGAGAAGAGAGCCAGGAGCTGGGCAGAAAGTCTACAGTAAATGGAGCTGCACTCAAGAGGACCAAGGAAGAAGAAATGTCCATCTTAATAGTCAGATATGTGAATTCTGGGCTCTGTGTATTTATTATTATTTTTGAGATGGAGTCTCGCTCTGTTGCCCAGGCTAGAGTGCAATGGTACGATCTTGGCTCACTGCAACCTCCACTTCCAGGGTTCAAGCAATTCTCCTGCCTCAGCCTCCCCAGTAGCTGGGATTACGGATGCCCAACACTACACCTGGCTAATTTTTTGTATTTTTAGTAGAGATGGGGTTTCTCCACGTTGGTCAGGCTGGTCTCAAACTCGTGATCTCGTGATCTATCCGCCTCAGCCTCCCAAAGTGCTGGGATTACAGGCCTGAGTCACCGCGCCCGGCCTGTATGTATTTTTTAATGGTGTTTTGCTTCATTCATGGAGGTGCTTCCTGTCCCATTGGGTTAATAAAACTTTGCTTGGTTAAGGGCTTTTTGGTCACCTACTAGTACATTATTTCTCGTTCATGGAAACAGGTTTTAAGTGTTCCAAAACCAAAATTTGGTTCCTTCAGTGACCAAGCCTGGCCACCATCTGAAAATGTGTATTTTTACACAACTTCCAGGCACTTCCAATGATCAGACTTGGAATTCGCTGACTTTCTGTAGGTTAAACCTTTTTTTTATGCCCACCTGCACTCTTCCTTATTTTCCTACTAAATCCTGGCTTTCTATTTGATTTTCAGGAATGTGGTCCTTAAGAGCTGCCTGCTAGTGGACAGTATATTCCGTCCTCATTCCATGAAGATCTTGTTGACAGGAAGGTTTTCTTTGCCCATGTTTCACGTGTGACTTCATAATTAAGGCTAGACTAGATTTACCAGGGGGCCCTAGAACACATACTTCCAAGGTAGATTAAAACAAAGCAAGATGGTAGGAACCCCCCCCCGACCCACCCAACACACACCTTCACAACTGCCCCACCAACCCACCATGGTCTCTCATGAGCTTGAGACAAAGGAAGAACAAAAGAACTGACGGCTCAGCTGCATGCCTCAGTGAGCCTTCATGTTTTATTTTAATGGAGTGTTGGTGAGTCTTCCTGTTCATTTTGTTTTGAGCTTTAAATTGGTTCCAATACATTCACATGCTTGCTCTTCAAGCCCTGGTATAACTCTTGTTAGATTCCCATTGGAAGGACGACACCAGTTAGCTGAAGAATGAAGTTTAAGCCTCAGAATTTTTACATTAAAATTCCTTAGTCAGGACCTCCATTGCATCTCTGCAGCTTAATCTGCCACTCTGTCTCCCACAGGAATTGCGGAGTAAATTCAGCAGTATTCTCGTGGTGTTGGGCACCAAGCCACCTCTCCACAGGAGGTGCTCTTCCACCTGGCTCCTGTCCATCGACTGTGGCTGAGAGTTTGCTGAGGCAGGTAGAAGCAGGTGAGTAATCCAGCACTCTCAGGTTACTTCTATAGGATGGTGCAAAAGTACTTGTGGTTTTTGCCATTACTTTTGCACCAACCTAATAGAACGTGGCATTCCTGAGCTTTTCACACAAGCATGTTGGTTTTGGGGTTGTTGTGTCCCTGATTACATGAGCACTACATCAAATAAGATCCCAGGGCTAAATGAGAACAAGCCTAGCATCCAGAACTGACATTTCCACCTAGCTATTTGCTCAATAAAAAGTAGGTTTAGGTAAAATGCATGCATTCTACCAAGGACTCCAGGCTTCAAGTGTGCCTTTTCTAATAGAGATTTGGACTTGTACACTAGCTAGTTTTTGTGAGAAACGCTTGCTTGAATGGTTCCATTTAAGCATGTGTGAGGCTGAAGCTGAATGTGAGTGTTGGGGTCAAGATGATTCCCTCCGCTTTGTGCCTGGAGAGATCAGAATCACATTCAGCACAAGTGCCTGGGCTCAGTCCAGCTGCTAATGCTTCCTGCAGCACCCCGGGACATGCCAGAGGGCAAGGGTGCCCCTTTGGCTAGGGCATTCAGGGATGAGAGGAATGAGGACTACTGGCCTCAGAATGGCCAACCATGCTGCCCTTCAGTGGGGAAGCGATAGAGGGCTGACAGCAGCAGTGGATTCCTGCTCCATCGGAGCACAGCCTGGGTCCCTGCCCTTGCACTAAATGGATGAGGCTCTCTATTGCAGGAGGTCCCATTTTAAGACACACAAAGACTTATAGGAAGCCAGATTTCTGTGATTTAGCATTCTCACCATGATATTGCCAACACAGATACTAATTAGCCTTTTACCCTTTGGCCTTCAAAAAATGAATGATAAATGGGTCCTGAGAATTTCTCCTGGTGTGTCTAGAGCTGCCTCCAGTGCCAGGAAAGATTGGGCAATCTTCTTCCCGTGGCATTAGCTAATGAACTGACCCAAGAGAACCTAGAGAGTCCTAAGGTAGGAAATATGGTAGAATAGTTCCTAAGGTAGAAGTGTGAAGGTGGAAGAGGGGACTGGCTTGACTCAGGAAGGAAACCGGCATTTACAAGGACTATACTGAGCCTTCCGGGAAGTTCTTGAATAAAAACAAAATGGAAGTCCAGTGGCTTTTTGGTGGAGGGCAAGGCTTTCTCAGAGTTTCTGTTTGATCTATTATGTGAAACAGATGATCTCCAGTGGCAGATTTACGAGCTACTAGTTTAACAGAAAGGAAATCCATCCCTTAGAATCTTCTGCAAGCCTTCAAGTACTGCACATGAGAAGTTCTATTTGATAGTATAAGTGGGACCATATTTAGTGATGTTTGGGGATTGAAATGGTAGTGGTTGAAGTGTATGCGGTTCAAAGATTTGGCTTAGAAATATATTTGTAAAAAAATTGAAAATTAAATGTGGCATTAGGAAAGACAGGTGAAATAGCATAATTTCACAGAAAGCCAAAATTCTGGAAATCTAACATATACTCTGAAATTGGTAATTCATTTCTGGTATGAGGTCTGCATGTCAGAAAGAAAAAAAAAACAAATGTCTAAATCTATTTCTTGACACCAGCAAGTGGTCCTCTTTGTGTGCTAAAGACTTCTTTAAACTGTCAATAACTCAGGAGTGTTTCCGCATTTGAGAGAGAATAGAAAGGAAATTATAAATGTGATTACAAGCCCTACATGGTCTTCTAAGGAAAGGAATCACAATCACCTGCTGAAGCTGAACACTGCAGAGGGGGAAAAGATATCTACAGGAGATTAGTGTGTCAGTAAATGCATAAAGTTCAGAAGTCCCACATATTTGACATTTGAAGAACAAAGCTATGCATCAATGTCCTGGCACAGATCGATCAAACAGAATGCTACTGCTGAAAACCTAATAGTATGATGGTAATAATGTAGCCATAAAACCTCTAGTCTATAACTGACTGCTTCCACTTGAAGCTAACATGTCTAAAACAGTGACTAATGTTCACGTAAAGATTTCACTTGTGTTGAATGACAGTTACACCTCACACGATTCAGTAAATGGCTTGTGCTGGATAATGGCCCAGGGACAGACACCAAGGTGGAGAGGGAGAGTATATCCCAAAATGAACAATGCAGGTACGTGATGTTTAAATGTGGGTCTCGGGTATGTTTCTTCTTGGCCACCTCCTTTAGATGTGATGAGGCTGCCACTTTCTGACAAAGTAACTCAATTAGAAATGTAAGAGGCTGCAAAGTCCAGTACCATTATAGCAAGCTCCTCAGGGCATCCAGGTCTTAGTTGCGAGCTTTGTTTAGTGAGCCTAGTACTATTAATCACATTCCTGTACCTTGAGAGTATATGCTCTGCCTCCTGGCAATGAGTAACTAGAGGCAGGGAAACCGAGGGGGTTGGGGGAGAGATGGGGAAACAGCATTCACAGATTTTGGACCTATGTCCTCTTCTTTTTTTTGAGGGGGTGGTGGGCGGGGAGCAGAGTCTTGCTCTGTCACCCAGGCTGGAGTGCAGTGGTGCAATCTCGGCTCACTGCAACCTCCACCTCCCGGGTTCAAGTGAGTCTCCTGCCTCAGCCTCCTGAGTAGCTGGGATTACGGGCACCTGCCACCATGCCTGGCTAGTTTTTGTATTTTTAGTACAGACGGGGTTTTGCCAAGTTGTCCAGGCTGGTCTCAAACTCCTGACCTCAGGGGATCCACCCATCTCAGCCTCCCAAATTGCTGGGATTACAGGCATAAGCCACCATACCCGACCTCTTTTTTTTTAAGCTCTAAGAACATCTGTGAATGCTAGGTGCCAGGCTGGTAAATAAGTTGGTTAGGCAGATCTTCTTAGACAAGAGATGTGTAGCTGGGCTGTTAGCAGTGAGAATTGAAGTTTGAAAGGAAAGCTTATTGCTGTTGCTAGATGACCAAACAAAAGATTACTTACCTCTTGGCACAAATTCAGAGCTTTCCATTAGTACGAATGGTTGCTGAATGGACGTGGACCAAGCAGTGCAGGATTATTCATTGTGGGCATTTGTCACAAGTACATTGATCAACAATGCCCCGCCATGCAGCAGGAGGGAAAAGTGGTTGTGTTTGTTATACACATCTCGGTATTTTGGTGTGTTGTGTTTTAATCTCAAAGGAGGTTTTGCCTGCAGTCCTTGAAAGCCACTTCCACTCTGGTCATGTTTAATTCCAAAATATGAGAATTCTCATTTCCCCTTCAACAAATAGGAGAAAAGCCCTGTGCATCTTTCAGTTCACAGTCCTGAGTTGAAGCCCTTTTATAAGTTGGATTCAAGTAAAATAAAGTCATCTGTGGATTTCATTTTCACAAAAATCCCCAAGACCTTTCCGTGCTCCAAAATGTTATTTGCAAATTTCAGCGTTTCGGTTAGCCAGTAATTGTTTATTACCAAAAGTAGAAATGTGTCCCCACACTGTAAGGTTCATTGTAACTAAAAATTTGAATTAATATGTCTGGTAGCTTCTAATGGACTTTGCGTGTACGTCAGATTGCTTTGTGCCCTTTGATATATACTTAAAGGTAATTGGGTAGTCTAACTGATGTATTTTTAAAGAGCAAACTATTGATTAATAATGTTTCAGTATTAATATAACCACTTTGTGTGGATCAAGAAACATCAACAGTAGAAAACCCATATTTATCTACAAATTAACAACTCTATATAGATCTGTTACTTTAAGCTAAATGAGGTGCATCCACTCATTACATTCCAACAGGGACTAGACTCCTCATAATAAAGATTAAAGCTGAAATTGGCCTTATTTTTCCACTGCATGAAATGAATGCTATTCACGACTTCCTGCCCTATTGCAGCTGAAGAATAGTTGCAGTAAAGCACAGGTCCACTTCCCACTCTGACGGGCCAGTATTTTTAATGCTTTACTTGATGAAAACACTCCATATTTTGGGAGCTTTAATTGCTGCCAGTGCTGAACAGAATGAAATAAGAAATGATTGTGCCATACAGGATGGAGGTGGGGACGATCCCAGCTTTGTCCCTACTTAAAACCAGTTGTACGGTTCATATACTCCAAGTGTATATTCATTCAAAT
Organism: Homo sapiens; assembly: GCF_000001405.40. NCBI lineage: Eukaryota > Metazoa > Chordata > Mammalia > Primates > Hominidae > Homo > Homo sapiens. The sequence continues at coordinate 116,143,200 of NC_000010.11, forward strand.
TGAATTACTACAAAGAGGGAAAGCTGGAGTATTTCAGAGACTTGTGATGAACCATTTCCTGAGGCTGGGTTTTAGGATACTGGGCAGAGCACTTCTCAAACAAACTGGAACTGTCAGTTCAATTTTTTTTTAATTAAAAAAAAAAAAGGACCTAGAAGGCTTGAAGACTCTACTACAGAGGTGGTTGGTTTAAATAAAATTCCTTAGTTGTCTTTAGTATAGGATGACAGATACCCTAACCTCCAGGCAGTCTGCGTAAACAACTGTCTGAGTGCCCAAGACAATCTACAAACAGCAGCAATGGCAGTTGCCCAAGCCAAATTTCTGAAAGGGTCACTTTGCTCTGAGCCGATGACAAAATATCCATACGTTGCAACTGCTACCTGAATGTTATTTAGATTTATGGAGAGAGAAAAAGATACCAGCTGGCAGGGTTCCTTGTCCTAGTTTCATTCATTCTCTCTCTCTCTCTCTCTCTCTCCCATGCAATGAACATGGCGAATTTAACTCTAACTCTCTAACAAGCTGGAAGAGCCACAGATGGGAAATTAACATACAGAGAACTAAGAAATTTGCAGGAGGTCACATCATGAAATTATCAGTGACCTTAGAAGGGGGCTGTAATATAAGGCTCAAGTATCCTGGTCCTAGGCCAATGTTCTCTCCACTCTAATGTGTTATGACCTGCAAGTGTTGACGGCTTTGCTAAAAGAGGTGTGCTGGCCTAAATGTTCTTTGTCACTGCTCGGTTTGGTAGAACATCTGAATAGAGGCTCTGAATGACATCCCATTAAACTAGTGATGCTTAAATTTTTTTGAGCATAACAGTCCCCTGGGGAGCTTGCATCTGACTCCCACATAGACTGATTTAGTGAGTTGGTCTGAGGTGAGACCTTGAAATCTGCATTTTAACACACTTTGCACGTGATTCTGCTAGACCATGTTTTAAGAAATATTGTACTGCTAAAAGAAAATGACTTTCTAGAAAGCTAAGTTCATTAATGAGATAGAGATATATTTTCTGTATATAAAAGCACAGGATAACACAATAATAATCTAAGTTATAACAAGTATGTTTCAATAATTCTATCACATTAACTCACTCATTCATTCATTCATAGTGTTTACTAACATGCCAGGCCATATAAATTTTGACCCTATATTCCAAACTACACATTCAAATTCAATTCAAGCTAGTGAATATTAACTAAAAAAATGATATGGGATATAAATGCTGTGCTAGTTACCTATGAGGAATACGAGATAATGTCAGCTAAGCAAAACGTACTCCTTTCTTGTTTAAAACTAAAGAAGCAAATACACCCAAGGAATGATATAGATATCATAATATAATATTCATAATCTATATGTATGAATTGACAAATACTATCAGCTGGCAAAGAATGAACTACTTAAAAACAGCCCTGTGACAACTGAGTATTCCCTTGAAAAAAGATAAAATTAGATTCATAAGGTATCCGTACATGAAAATAAATTCTAAATAAATTAACAAATTAAAATGTGAAAAACAAAATGTTAAAACTTTTAGAAGAAAACATAGGAGATTATGATTTTGAGATAGTAAAGCAATTTTTAAACAAGACATATAATACCTCCACACCATAAAGAAAAGACTGATAAATTAATCACATTAAGGTTAAAATTTTGGCCAAGGTTGGTGGCACACACTTGTAATCCCAGCACTTTGGGAGGCTGAGGAGGGCGGATCATCTGAGGTCAGGAGTTCGAGACCAACCTGGTCAACATGACAAAACCCCATCTCTACTAAAAATACAAAAATTAGCCAGGCATGGTGGTGCGCACCTGTAGTCCCAGCTACTTGGGAGGCTGAGACAGGAGAATCACTTGAACCCGGGAGGTGGAGGTTGCAGTGAGTTGAGATCATGCCACTGCACTCCAGCCTGGGCGACAGAACGAGACTCTGTCTCAAAAAAAAAAAAAAAAAAAAAAAAGATTAAAAACTTACAACAACAACAACAAAAAATTCTAAAGACAAAGTAAAAAGATAAGCCACAGACTAGGAAAAGATAGATGGACTCACAAAGTGACAAAATAATGATTTCCAGAAATCACATAGAACTCCTATGAATCAATATGAAGGAGAGAAATAGGAGGAGGTAATCAATAAAAAAGACTGTCAAGCTTAAAAATATGTTGCACTAAGAGAAAATTCTGAGGACAGGAAAGAATAGAATTTCAATTTCAAAGAACAAAGGGAACTTAATTATTAAGGAAAAACTTAGCAGTGTATTATTTAAATGGATGCTAGTGAGAGTCGAATCATTACACTATTTTCACTGGTTGCATTGAGAAGGGTGATCTTTAGTTTTATCTTTAAATATCTGTATTACAATATCATGCAAATTACATCCTTTCCAACTACATAAACTTATGTTAAAATATTTTATAAGTTAATGTAAAAATGTATGAAAGGAGGCAGCTTTCCAAAATTCTCTTACAGAATACCTGAGCGAAAGAATTTAAAGACAACAGCTATAGAGAACTTCTCACACATATTAGTATGTACAAGATTTTTATTGTACATTATTTACTTCAAATTAGTCGCTATTATAACCCAAATGCCCAGTGATGGAAGACAGGATAAATAAACTATGGTATATTCACACAATGAAATACTACAAATGGCAATGAAAATGAATGAACAAGAGCTATAGTATATCAAGATGGATAAATCTCAAAACAATGTTTGGAAATGAGGCAAGTTGTAGAAGTATTTGTACTGAATGGTAACATTTATATAAAGAATAAAAACCTAGAAACAAAGTGTACACACACACACACCACTCACATTTGTGTATAAATAATATATAGTCACTATATATTTATATATTCACATATTTATATATTTATACACATATGTGAGTATATATGATAATTTTATCTTTTTCATACATACGAAGGTATTAAAACATGCAAGAGAATGATAAACACCAACAAATCAGGAGAGAAACAGAATTCACTATCTGAGCAGATCCCAGGTTTTGTGGGGATAGAAGCATTTACAATTTAGGGGACTCTCTTTAAGAAAAAGAATAGAGAAATTTAAACAGAAAAAAATATGATGTGTTTATAATTGTATATGCTACATCATCGAGTACATTCCTGATAGGAGAACCATATTAGTTTGAGTAATTGTCAATGAGACTAGAATCATTTGCTTATAATTTGACATGTTTAATGATTTGATTTATTATTTTCCGTAGACAAGCTAATGGCTCTACACATTTCAAACTCTGCTTCTCAAGCATCAAGTGTGGGCACCACAGGACACATTCACATCCCTGTATGACCTCTAATCCTGTTCCTCCATGTCATGTTGCTGGTGAGTCAGCACCATAGACAGTGGGAGTATTCCTGGAAGCCATCCACCACTCCACAGGGACATCTAGCAATAACTTAGCAATACACAGAAGTAACTGGGAACCCTACAATTCTATCCTGCTAAACCAAAGCCAAATGTATCCCCAAAATCAACTGCCCCTTAGCCAGATGCTCACATATCTGAGACCTGTCCAATCCTGCTGGACAGAAGGGAACGTGGAGGGAAGAAAGCTCAGAGTGAAAAGCGACAGTGATCTTCACCAATTGCAGTTAAATCTCTCACTTTTGCAAATTTTACAAATTTTTACAAAAACATATATTCATGTAAATGCACTACAAGGGCCTCTCCTAGGGCTTGTGGAAGGGAGGTGCCACAATCTTAAACTTCATTAGCTTCACAGGAAATACACCCCTGGGGATCATGGGATGAAAAAGGATCTGTAGTGAATTTATTTATTTATTTGTGTGTGTGTGTGTGTGTGAGAGAGAGAGAGAGATCAGATGCAAATATGTCAAAATGTTAACAATTTGATAAAGGTGGGCTTGTACATACATTTCTATTATTGTTGTTTACATTTGCTTGCATATTTGAAATGTTCCATTAAGAGGTAGAGATAGAAAAAGAGATAGAAACAGAGACAGAAACAGAGAACACGCTGAGTGCGCTTGTGTCCCGAAATCTCCTGGGGAACAGCTAATGGGAGTTCTGCAGAAATAGCTTTGAGAGAGCCCTTTGGCCCTAGGGGGAGGGGAGTAGTAGGAGGGGCAGCCTGACAGATCCTGTGGCAGCTGTCAGTCACCAAAGGTCAAGCGCATCTGCACAATTGGTTGGAGCTGGTGGTTCACACTGCACCATCTCATCTAAAAACACGCATGGTGATGAGTCCTTTTTTTTTCCTGGAAGACACTAGCTTATGCCCCAGCTCTTGACTCCCCACAGAAAGGGCTACCTGTTTTATCAAGAAAAAAGAAAGTGCTAGCGCCTAGTGTGACTCTGTCACCACAAGTCACTTCACGTCAGCTGGCACATGTCAAAGAATGACACAGAAAGCTGCCACCTGCCATCCTCACACAGAGCACATCAAACTTCTTTTTGTAGAACACTTCAACAGCAACCAAGAGAAAATTTCCTTTATGAACCACAGAGCCATCTCTGAATGAGAACGGAGGTGAAAGCTCCTTTCCTAGAACTGGAGACAACAGAAGAGGCAGCGACTCTGCAAAAGGTCTCAGGTTAAAAATAGACCCTCCGCTATTCTCACTCAAACCTCACGCACGCTCCTCCCCCAGATATCCGCTTCCGGGGGACCCCAGTGGAGGTGTCAGAAAGCCGCAGGTGGCTTTTTTTTGGAATACAAGTTGTAACATTTTCTGCCTAAAATGAAGTACAGTAGGATGTGATAGTTGAGATTCTTTTTACTGTGGTTTTATCTAGTGTGAAGGCAAAGAACGTGTGTGCGCGCATGCATGTGTGCATGTGCGTGTGTGCATGCATGTGTGCATGCGTGTGTGCATGTGTGTGTGTGCATGCGTGTGTGCATGCATGGGTGTGTGTGCATGTGTGTGGGGTGGGGGGTAGGGACTGTTGAGAATTTTGCCTTTTGTCTTCCGGTTTCACCTTACAACACTTTAAAATAGTTACTAAGAATTAAAAACTTCAGGGCCAAATGTGACCTCAGAGAGAATCTAGTCCAATATTCTAATTTAAAGGTGAGGCACAGCAGTTAGCTAGCTAATAGCAGAGTCAGGAGAAGAACCCAGAACTTCTTCCCATAGCTGGAAGCATGTGTGGTGTGCAGTGATTGAGGGTGAAGACTCTCAACAGGACTCCCAGGGCTGTACCCCACTTCTGACCCCTGTGATCATGCAAATGTGAGCAAGTCATTCACCTCTGTGCCTCCATTTCCTCATCTGTGAAGTGGGGATATGATAATAACAGTACAAACCTCAGGGGTTGTTTTAATGATTAAATGAGATAATATATGCCTAGCACATAGCAGACGCCAATAGTCTTGGCTGTTGTTAGTTTTATCATTCACCAGTCACTTGCTTCTTCCACCCTGCCAGGACTCCCACGCTCAAAAGATTGTTCCAGAATGAGCTTTACTAGGGGGTACATATGGACAGCCTCATAAATATAAAATGATCATTTCCATGTGATGGCTTTTTTGAAGTAATTGGCTTTGATCTTAAGAAGAATAATCATTAAATACAAGAAGAAGCTTATTCCAGGGCACGAAGAAAAGAGAAGAAGGATGAGAGAATGAAGAGCTGGCTGAACTAAAAATGGGACAAGTGAGAAAAATGCAGCTGTATTCTAATGGGATCAATTTTTAACTTGATTCAAATTAAATTTCAAGCACCTTATTTTTTAAAGAAAAGAAATTGTTTTAATAACAAGAGCACACTGGGTCTAAGGACTGTTGTACACATTCAGAAAAGGGACTGGCTGGACACTGTCACCTCCCATATGCCCCACAAGCCTGTTGGCAATGAGCAGTAAGTTCTCTGGATCAACTACCTCCAACATTAGACACATCTTTAAAATATGCTTCCAGGATGCTCCTGGAAAACAGGAGATGTTATAGCCAATTATTGAGGATCTCAACATGCTCGAGAATACTTAGGGTATAACAATGAAGTCATTACTCTTTATCTCCTTGAATTCCAAGAAAGCAAGAAATAGCAGCACAATAAAAAATCCTTCATAACAGTTGATTAGAAAATATGGCCTGCAGAAAATCAAGCTCTTTGCACATTAAAAATCCAAACATGTTAGAGAAACAGGGATTTTTAGCCCCCCACAGCTTTAACACAAAAGCTCACATTAATAAGATACAATTTGGATTTGCATTTTTTAATAAGCTAGGGATCAAAGGGAACACATAGCTGAAGGGGTGTTAAGCTGTGTTCACGAAAACTGCTCACTACACACTGGAGGAAGAAGATACATTCCCCCCTGTAGGAAGACACCTATAATTTTAGAAATATAAAACGTATTCTCTCGTTGATACATCATTACTGATGAACAATTTCCAAGCATTTTGAATAAGTTCAGGTAGATTTCACCTGCCTGTCTACCTAATGGACTCAGTCTATCTTAATGATACAGATTCCAATGATTTAATTGAGGACATCCATGAAGGAATTGATGTAGGACTTTCCCTCCTATGTACATTTTAGTTATATAAAAACAAGTACCAGTCCCTTAATTCCTCAGGCTGGGTAGGATATGAGTGTGGCTTCCTATTATCAAACCATTATGATTAAAAACAAGACCACTATTATTTTAAAGCTTGAAATCAGGGTACCAAGGGATGGGAGAGACTCATGCAGAAACGCTCCTTCTTAGTATGTTCCAAGCACTCCGCAAAGGATCCCTGGAAGGCAGATGCAGTTATATCCTTCTAGAGCTTAATTATTAATATTTGCTGATGGCTTACTATATGTCCAACATAGTACCAACTCACCACTCTTCATGGATTCTTCTTTCGACACTGTTCCTCCATTTTCAAAGCAAGGAAGTGGAGGCCCAGAAAGGCTAAGTGGTAGGGCTGCAGTTTGAATTCAGGCAGATGAACACCAGCACTAACCTCTGGGTCTGCTGCATTCCTGAAGGCCTAGTTACTCCTCCTCTCCCACTACCACCACCCTCCAAGCCATCCCAATAGTGGTCCTTGGAGTCCAGATGGTGCCTCCTCCTTCCACTTTGATAACCGAGCTTCCTCTAACTAATGTCCTTGCTGTCACATTGCTCTTCCTTAAAAAAAAACTCTGGCCCTACTTCATTTCCATCAGGAACATTCCCAGATCAGGCTGGTCAGCCTTTCCTGCTGCAGTTCCCGGTCAATATGTGATCTCTTAGGTGGGAGTCATGGAAATGCTTCTGAGGGGTCTCATAGGACATGCCCCTCTGGGTGTTTGAACAGCCCATGCCTTTCTAAGAACGGTTTCCCATGTAACTGTTTTCCTGTCTGCCCCAAGAATATTCACCAGTGGCACTTGTGGCTGCAGCGTTTACCCTGAGATAACTTTGCCATGAAATATCTTGCTTTTATTATTATTTTTGCATCACTCTAGTATATTGACTTTGGAAACAAAACATCGTTTTATTTATAGCATTCTGTTTTTAGTAGTGGAATTTCCACTTACAAAATATAGTAATTCTCAATTGCTGAAAAATGCCAAATCCTAGAAAATGTAGCATCCCTACACGTGATGTTAACATTGTTCCCGAACAGTTGTTGGCCAAAAATTCATTTGATGAATCTGATTTTTTTCTGAAATAGACGATTCAGATGATTCAGATGTTAGTTCTGTTTAGAAATAACTCCAGGAACAGTTTTTATATTTTATTTTCGCATCGAAAATCAGTCAGATTTGCTTCAGCCTCAAAGAGCATGTTTATGTAGGATTAAATGAGCACTGGCATTGAGCTGCACTTTTTTTTTTTTCTAAACGGGAAAAAGGGTTAAAGAACATCCCCTGGGAGTCCTTCCCATGAGCCACATCTGACTAAACTGGGCTCACCACCTGGATCAATGGAATACTTTTCTCCCAGAAACCTGGTACTGCTACTCTCTGTGGACTGCTTACTGTTGGAACAGATATCAAGGCAAGCATCTGTACAAGCTCCAGGCATGCTTTCTGCTCCTAGGTTTCCAGAGACATGCCTAGGTTCTTACTCCTCTCTGTGAATGAAGCAAGTTGGGTTGGCCTCTGTTAGCCACAATCAAGAAACCAGTGACTAAGAAACATTCCAAGGGGACACTCTGGCAGTTTATGTTACTGAATTGGTGACATGAGGAAACCCCTGGCAGAGATGTCAGTAACCCCCACACCTGTTAGAAGGCCAAATGGGGAAGGGGCACCCCACTACATCACCACCACTGACTCTTCTCTTGGGGGGATGTAGCCAATGATCATTAACTAGAGACTAGAGAAGTAACTTTAGTCATTGGATAAAATGGAATTTAAGGAGAGACTTGAATGAAAACATAGATCTGCTGGGGAGTTGAGGGGCTGTAAGCTCCAATGGGAAAATAGAGGGAAGAGGGAGAGCCCCTATGGAATTTGCAAATGACATAGAACGGGGCACCAGGAACTGATGGTTACCAAGGGGAGGAAGCAGGAGGATACGCACCACACAGTGAAGACCTGGCAGACCATTGGCCTTAAGGATAGCCAATGGCCATTCATTTCTTTGTTTATTGAGGATCGACTGTGTTCCTGAAATAAGGCATACAGTTTAGATACTAGTGGAAGAGAGAAGCCAGGCAAACAAGCAAATAAATGAACAAGATTCATTTTATGGAGGAAATAATATGATAAATGAGGAGTTGACTCTTCTACTCCACTTTAGGGAGAGTAATCAGGGAAGAGCTCCCTGAGAGGTGACTTGAGAGGTGGAGTGAGTTGAGGCAAGCCCTAGGGCAGGGAAAAGCTTGGTGATTTGAAGAAATGATTAAGGAGACTGCTGTGTCTGGAGCATAGCGTGTGAGTGGACAGTGGTAGGAAACCAGGTGGGAAAGGCTGATGGGGCAAGATTAGACACTGATTCATCTGTGTGGAAAGGAGTTTGGATATGATTCTAAGTGCAATGGGAAATCACGATTCGATTCATGTTTTAAAGAGATAATTTTAATGGATGGGCATGATGATGTAAGATGGACCAGAGAGGAAGCAGGAGCACCAGTTTGGAGGGTATTGCAATAAGCCAGTACCCCACGCTGTGGAATCACACATCACCGTCTTCACAACCTTTTAGAAACGTTCACCAGAAAGCACATGCACACTGTATCCATCTGTTCTTGTGTTGCTATAAAGAAGTACCTGAGGCTGGGCTCAGGAAGCTTACAGTCATGGTGGAAGGCAAAGGGGAGCAGGTGGTGTCACATGGTGGGAGTAGGGGCAAGAGGCCCAGCAGAGGGCAGGGACCAGAATCTTAAGCAACCAGATTTCATGTGTACTGAGTGACAACTCACTCATCACCAATGCGATGGTGTTAAACCATTCACGAGGGATCTGCCCGCCTGACCCAATCACCTCCCACCAGGCCCCACCTCCAATATTGGAAATCACATTTCAACATGCGATTCAGACGAACAAACATCCAAACCATATCACATGCCCTCAGCAGCAGTTGGGTATGCTCCGATTTAAATATCCAAGGAAGTGTCTTTTGTTTTGATGATGTTTCAAACTCACACACATTTGTGACCATGATCACAAGGCAAAGATGTGCTGTGAACTTCTTAAAAGAATTTGGGTTTCTTTTAGTATCTGCTACATTAGATTTGCTAAGCTGATGACATTTTAGTATTCAGCAAGTAATTACTGTTTATTAGGAAGACAGTAGATGACAAGTGCTTTTATTGAGCACTGAACTGTGTGTCAGAGCTGGACTAAGTGTGTTATAAACCTGATCTTATTTAATGGTTAGAGCAACGAACCATCCATCCATCCATGCATCCATCTATCCATCCATCCATTCATCCATCCAACAAATAAAAACTCCGAGGGGGCCTCCTTATTGTCCCAATTTTACAGATCAAGAAATAGGCTGAGGTAGTTAAGGGATTTGTTTAACACTACAAAGCCAGTCATCTATGAAGTTCTAGAGCCAGGAGACTGGGTTTAGAGGTTGGACACGAAGGTTCTCAAATGTTGCAGAGACAGAATGAGCTACACTCTGACTGATAAACAAAGAATGAAGCATTTCCCAGAGCACCCAGGGTTACCATTTCACCATCCTTCCTCCCTTTATACATCTTTCTGGAATTTCTAGAGCAAGAGTAGGTTTGTGCACGTGAGGACTAGGATACATGTGAAAAGTGATCAATCTCCCATGGTTACCTGGTCAGGGTCAAGCCTTTGCAGAGCAACAGGCTTTGTCAACTACATCCCACTTAAATGACCCCAGAGTTCCTGACAGGTTGAGTGCTGTCTGCTGGTTTAGAAATTAAACCACCACTGCCTTAAAACATTATTTTTTGGCTAGCTTCCATTTATTTGAGAATCCTTTAAAAAGTAGTGGCTTGACCAAGTGTGGACATAAACAATATAGCTTCTAAGAAATGAGAAACTATAAGAAATGAGAAACTATATTAATGACTTGGAGTAAGCAAAGATTTCTTCAATAAAATGCAAAGAATGCCTAGCATAAGGGAAAACTGATAAATTGGACTGCATTAAGTAAACTTCTGTTCATCAAATGATACCATTTGAAAAGTGAAAGGCAAGCTACCACATAGGAGGAGACATTTTTAATACATTTATCTGACAAAGGACTTATATCCAGATTTTATAAGCACTCTATAAATCAATCAGAAAAAGACAAGCAACCCAATAAAAAGAAATAATAATAAGGAAAGCACTCAAACATGCATTTCAAAAAGAGAACATTTAAATGGGCAAAGAAACATGCAGAAATGTGCTTAACATCATTACATCAGGGAAATGTAAAATAAAACCATAGTGAGATACCACTACACACCCACCAAGATGGCTAAAATGAAGAGACAAAAACAAACATGAGTGTGTCCATCCATCACTCTTACAATCTGCTGGTGGGAGTGCCAATTGGTAGGACCACTTCGGAAGTCTAAACTGTCTGGCAGTACTAAAGCTGAATATAAGCATTCTCTTACGACCTGGCAATTTTACTCAACAGGAATGTGTCTATACGTTCACCAAAAGACACAAATGAGAATTTTCATTGCTGCTTGATTTATAGCCCCAAACTGGATACGACCAAATATCCAACTGTAGAAAGGATAAACTGCAATGTAGTCATACGATAGAAAAACATACAGCAATTAAAATTAACAAATTATTGCTATATGCAACATCATGACTGAGTCCTATGAACTCATGTTGGGCAAAAGAAGCCAGTCTCAAAAAGTATATATTTTATTATTCCATTTATATAAAGTTCAAACAGGCAAACTTAATCCATGCTGACAGAAGGCAGAATGGTGGCTACCTTTGTGGGGAAAGTGACTAGAAGGAGTTAGGAGGGTGCTTCTGGATCCTGGTCATGCTTTATTTCTCCATTGGCTGGGCTTCAACAGCTGTGTTCACTTTGTAAAACTGCATCTAGCTGTATAGTTATGATTTGTTCACTATTCTGTGAATGGCAACTGAAGTTAACTTTAAAAATAGTGACTCCTAATGCCTTCATCACAAGCCCTTATTGAGCACCTACAGTATGCCAGGTCCTAGGCTGGCACAGAGAGGAATGGGTATCTGCCTGTATATTAGACCAGGTCCCGGCCAGAGTGAGCCTTCCAGCTTTGAGGTCTCTGTGCCTCTGTGCTCTTGGCCACTGCTGACTCATCAGTGGAGATGATTCCATGCACAGGGATCCCCTACTCAAAGGAACCCTGCTAGGGCTTCTTCAGAAAATACAACTGACTGCTTGAGACCTTACCTACTTTCTGGAAGAGGATATTTATGTGCCACATATATTAATAGTAAAGCAAAAATTCTTGCCATTTTTAGTCCCATTTAAAAATAATGACACTGTGAATAGCTTCCCAGAACTCTAATGTGTCAAGAACTTTATCTCATTTAATACTCATGACAATCCTATGGTTATGTATTATAATTCCCATATTAAAAATAGGGAAATAGATTTAAAACAGGCAAAATAACTTGCCAAGGTCACAAAGCTGATGACTGGCGGAGCACAATTACTTCATCCAGTCTCTTGGGCTCTCATAACCTGTTAGCAATTAACAGAGCCATGCCAAACACAGCCACATACCCTCCTTCTAAATCTTTCCCCCTCTAGCAGAGGGAAGGAAGAAGCAAGCAGCTGATGCCACCTGTCACCTGTTTTTCCTCATGGGGTGCTGACAGAAGGTCCCAAGATGAAAATGATTTGCTGCAAGTCACCTGCAAGCAGCTAGAGAAGGCCTCAAGGAAAACAAAGGCTTGTCTCCCACAACCCAGAACAGATACATATTAATGGAATTTTTTTAAATTATAAAAGATGATTGTACATATCACCACAAAATTCACCAATTTTTCCGAGCACATTTTATCCTTAAAGCATGGTCAGGTTCAGCAAAATATGGTAACAAAGGCAAAGCTTGGAAACCAATGCTGAGGAAAATGGGAAGGAGCACAATTATTTTCCTAGTGCCTCATGAAAAATGGAAGGTTTGGCTGTTGGGGTGTAAACAGCCCCTCTCTGTGCCACCAAATCATCATGCTGGACACACGCCGGAGCCACAGGCAGTGCCAGAGACATAGATGTTTATGGGCTTGGTAAAAAATAGATGGTTGTAAAACCAACTCTGCTTTATGAATCTGGCTAGTAAGGGAGGGAGAAGCCCTCTCCTGAACAGGCTCTCCAGCACACCCACCAAAAGCAAACGCTAGAAAACAAAGAAGGCCACGATCAGCCCCGTGCAGGCCTGAGTGGCCCATGTGAATCAGTCTTACTTGGAGCAGGTACTGAAGGAGACGATATTTCCATTCACAAATGGGCCTCTTTCGCCACTGAAAGCAGGCAACGCAAAGCTCCAATCAAACCAAGCAAAACTGTGTGTTCCTAAAGGCAGGGAACAGAGCCATCACTTTCTGAACTCTTCTTGGTTAGAGATTCTAGATGGTAGATTGGGAAGGACAACACAAGAGTATTCCTTTGAATGAGAATAATCTATCACCACTACATCAATCTGATTAATGTAATAGGATCATTTCAAAAGGAGGAAATGACAGGTCATTAGGAGGAATTTCAAACGAAGTTATGGGTTTAAACGATTTTCTTCAGTTTTGTGAAGAATTTAAACAGAATTTTATTTTGCATGTTTCATTCAGGGCACAAATGATATTTACATGCTTTTACAAACCTTTCACATACCCCAAACAGTGTGGAGGCCTGAATTCTGGAGTACAACTAGAACTGCTTCAAAAATCTGTTTTGCCCCAACATGGCCCATGCAATGTGTTTCTGGTTCAGCCAAACATGTTATCCATCCCCACTCATTCTTTATTTATCATATTCAGTGATAAAACAAACACCTCAATTCCAGGTTGTTTACAAAATAGCCTGATAATCTGATTCCAATTAAATGGTGAAGATCTACAATAAGAACAAAAATATAAATCATGTTAACCATCTGTTTTTGGCTGACAAAAGCAGCAAATGGAAAGGTTAAGTTGATACTCTGCATTTAATCTCTGCTATTGTGGAAGGAAAACCCAATTAGAGATGATATTTCATTGCAGGCTTTACACTGTTTCTCTTTTGTTCTTTAATTTTAGCTGTACCCATTGTGTTTCCAAACTAGGGGGAGGCTTCATTATCTCCTCCCCCAACGCATTGCAAGGGGGTGCCCTCATTTATAAATTTAACATTGCCAATGCCAGCTAATTATAACTAGCTACTCTCAACTGCCGAAATAACTCCTTTGCAGAGTCTAGCAACAGAGCTGTCTTCAAATGATCAGACAACAATGGACTCAGCTGCAACCCGCATTGCTCTCCCAGATACAAGGAATAAGGTAAGAACTCCGTGAAAAGGTGCTTTTAAACATTAAGAATTTAAAGGAAAGGTTAATCCAAACATTTCCTCTGGCATTAGCTCTCTGGGCGCCATTTGTGAGTGGACAGTGAAGTCTGGAAGTAGAATATTTGGAAGTCATTTATTGAGGAAATGCTGCTGGCTGACTTGAAATCAAATTGTCTTCAATGTCTATGCCAAAGTAGAATTTTAATGACTTCTTTTAAGGGCCTAATACTCAAAAGCTGCTAGATCTGGGTATCAGATGTCCAGAAGGGGCAGAAACACTGCTGATCGCACCCTGTGGAACCAGCTGCTTGGCAATGCTTGGGCATACCCAGCACACCAGCAGTCCGGTGACTGGCAGCTAAAAGCACCATCCTACCCACCACAATGCCCATGAATCTGTGCCTTCCAGCCCCTCAGAAGGGATAGAGCTCTCTGTTCATTCAAGCCTTCATGTTTCTGCATATGCTGTCCCCATGCCTTGAACATCTCCAAGTAATTTCCTATTCATCCTTGAAGAAAGAAGCATCTCCTGCCTATCCTCACCAATCCACCCTCTCCTCCCATGAGACTCCTCCTCCCCTCCTCCTGTGCACAACACCATCACATGGTCAGTGGTACTTGTCACAGTATCTGTTCACATGAATTGAATGTGAAACTGGGAGTTCCTTGCTATAGAACTACCTTAGTAAGCTTCCTATTTCCAGCACTGTATACAATGAATGACAGCCTGACAGAGGAATAAAGGAATGAACGAATGGACTGCCACTGTCCAATTTTTTGTCCTGAACCTCAGAGCTGGTGATGGGGTGAGAGAAGCATCTCTTAGATGCTCTGATGATCCCCTGGCTTTGCACAAACACTGCAACGTGAACACACAAAAGTCCTCCATTCCTTACTCTTTAAGCCTGGTGGGTCAGAAGCCTTCCTTGAAGGAAGGTTCCTGGTCTCTGGGTTAATCTCACTATCTAGTCCTAGTGGTACACGGCTTGTCATTCCTACTTCCTCAGGAATAGTCCCTGAACTGTGTTGATGCAGAACTCCCATCAGATCACTTCCCCTCACCAGCAAAGGAAGATGTTCTCTGCAAAGAGTAAATGGCCATGTGGCTGGAAAGCAGAATCATTATTCCTGGTTGGTAAGCTGCCCAGAAGGCAATTTAGCGAGAGAATCACCCCAGGATTGAAGGTTTCCCTGCTGCCAGGATCACCAAGTACACAGAGAAAATATACAACTATAAATAGATTGTAAACTCCATGAGGGCTGGCACTGTGGATGGGCATAGTGCCTAGCTCAAAAGATACTTGTTGAGTGAATGAATGAATGATTCAGGAAAAAACCTTAGGAAAGGGTAGAAAAGGTGGCTTCCCCATTTTATTCATGAGAAAACTCTGCAGGCCCAAAGAGATTGCTCTATGCAACCTAGAATTAAACTTCAAGCCTCCCATGGCAGGTCAGGAGGAGGGGGAAGGCCGTGGAATGTGGAGTAAGGCCAGACCACAGGAAGGGACACCATTATTCCAGAGAAAAAGCCAGCAGTGCTGGGAGGACAGGATCAGCCTGGGGACAGTGATGTCTAGCCACTGCTCAGCAGGATGCTGGAGGCCACCACAAACAAGGAAGTCCGGGAGATTCTCCCCACTGCAAGAGGTACTCACAGTGGGCAAAACAATGAGGTGCTCTGCAGAAAGCTGGAGCCCAGTACCAGAGGGGGTCATCCTGGCTGCAAAGGCAGTGGGTGCCAAGGCAAGCTTACAGGGGCACAGGGACAGCTCTGCCAGCAGCGCTGAGGCCTCAACACAGTCTCAGCCCCTATGAGCCATGCACATGGTCCTCCCAATCACAGCACACAGACTGGACCCCTGGTTCTCACCAAACGCATGGGCATCCCATCCTCCGCAGCAAACGCTTTGCATTTGAAGGAAACGGTGCTTTACCATCCTCTAAGTCATCAGGCGTGATACAGCCACATTTTTTTTAAAAAGTGCCAACATGCATCCTGGCTATATTCAACTATGGACAATCCAACTGAGAACCAAAATCAATGAGTAGGGACCAAAACACAAACCAGTTTCTCACCTGACTTCAGAGTTACTAAAGTCAGGATCCCTAGTAGACCACTTTAGTTACCTTCTGACCCTACCTCTCTGAGGAGGGCAGTGTCACCAGGACCCCACACTGGCCCAGCTCGTTCTAGTCTCATCTCTCCCCTAACCCAGCAGTTCCCAAGTGTGTCCCTTGGATCTGAATAAAGAGGTCACTGGGTCATACTGGTTTCAAGAAAGCTGAGCACTTTTCATCACTGCAGAACTTATCAGAGCCTTTATATGCTACCATGTAGTGGATCCTCGTGCAGGCCACACTATGCAGTCTGCTGTGTTCCCCACTCTTACTTCACAGGACATGTCATAGAACAGGGGAAGTACTGATCTGATGCCACACACAGAGCTTGGTGTCAGGGTGTCCCCACAGCAAGGCCCTCATTTCAAAGTGTAAGGTTCAGTGTTTCCTGGGCCCTGGGTCTGGATGTGAATGTGGAGGGCTGGCTGGAAACGAACACTCTGACCTTGCACTACACCCTGCACTGCTTTTGTTAGGTTCACAGCCCACCATGGACAAGTGAAGTGGGAGACTGCGGCTGCACGGAAGGCTGAGGTCAGAAGCCCTGTGGCGTGTGGGCCACAGGTGACCACACACAGAGGTTTGAAGGGATAGCACATCTCCCTTGTCTTCCCACCCACCAGAGCTGCTCTTAGGTCAATTCAGAAAACAAAACGTGAAGACCACCTATCACTCCACAGCTTATCAATCATATAAAATGGTCATTAATCCCACCTCCCACTGATAACTGAACCATAAGGATTCCAATATACAGAGGTTCTTTTCTTTACCAAAACAAAATCACGTGAAATTTACTTTTTCTTCACTAACCAGTATATCAGGGACATTTTTCCTGGCCAACATATAAAACTGCCTAATCCCTGCTATCAGCTTCATTCGAATCCATTGTGAGAACTGTCATTTATTCCCCAGTCTCCTATTGCAGGATATAAAAGCCTTTTGGTTTTTGTCTTTTGGTTTTTATTATTAGTTGTTACAAATAATGTGGCAGGAAACATTCTGGAATTTATGTCTTTATGTGCCACATTTCTGTACACTAAATTTCTAGAAACAGCACTACAGAGTCAAAGGAAAGATATTTTTAATTTCAAAAGATATTGTCAAATTATACTCCAAAACTCTTATAACTATTTTACATTCCCACCAACATGACAAAAGAAGGGTGTTTAGCACTTTCCCATAATAGTTATTTCGGTATATGTCTTGTTTCTGCAATCAGTCAGAAAATGCCCTGAAGGCAGCAAACATCACTTATCCATCTCTGTGTATTCACGTCCTTGGTATTTCATCTCACTCACAGTAGATGCTCAAGGAATATTTGCTGAATGAATGTCAGTAAGAAATCATTAGACATCATTCAAGTGCCTGGGATGAAACCATAATCCACAAGCAATAAAGTAAGACCCAGTGTTATACAACATGACAAAGGCATACAATTATCTGCAAGAATAACTGTCCTAAATGGGTTGGAGATCAATGACCAATTAATGGGCAATATACGTTTCACAAAAGGATGTATTGCCTTTAACAAATCATGCATTTAGACAACCCCCAAGTGGCAGGGACCACCAGGCACACAGCCATGAATACATCTGAATATCCACTCACATGCCACATCCAATTCTATGCAAGCCAGTGTGGGTTCCTCAACTACTTAGAAAGGAGGGCACCTGTCAATAACAACAATAAATTCTTAATTCTTGGGTTACACGATCTTAATTTACTGCTCAACTCCTCAAAGGAAATCCATGCAAAAGCAGAAACCAGGACATACTCCTTTCTCAGGAGAATTCTGGGCAAGATGGTCTCCTGCAGCCAGAGAGACCAGATGGCTTTCAACCTGGAGGAGGAGCCTGGGAGGCAGAACTCAGGAGTAGAAAACAGAGTTGGGATGCCAACCGGGAGGTGAGAGGTGAGCCCTGGTGCTGGGCTTCATCTTTGAGGGTGACTGGATAGACAGGAGGGGTAGGACAGGCATCTTGAAGCACAGTCTGGGAAACAGATGCTCCACAATTTTCTGAAACTCTAGACTTTCTCCGTGTGGTCACTGGAAGGTCAGTTCTCCAGCCCAGTGCTTCTGCCCCAACACACAGTATTTGATGTGCTATGTTTTTCCAAGATCCTCAGTTTCTAACTCCCAAATATGGAGATTCTCATTTATGATGAGGACCACCATGTTCTGCAAGAACCAATTTGGAAGCAGCAGCGTTTCCATAATAAAAAGAGCATGGGAAGCTTCTTGCATCAGAAAGGAAGTTGACGCCAACTTTGGCATGAAAATGTATACCCTATTGATATGGTTTGTCTGTGTCCCCACCCAAATTTCACCTTGAATTGTAATAACCCCCAAATGTCAAGGGTGGGGCCAGGTGGAGATAATTGAATCATGGGAGCAGTTTCCCCCATACTGTTCTCTTGGTAGTGAGTAAGTCTCATGAGATATGATGGTTTTTATATATGGGAGTTCCCCTGCACAAGTTCTCTTGCTTGCCGCCATGGAAGACGTCCCTTTGTTCTTCCTTCATCTGCCATGATTGTGAGGCTCCCTCAGCCATGTGGAACTGTGAGCCCATTAAACTTCTTTCCTTTATAAATTACTCAGTCTTGGCTATGTTTTATTAGCGTGTGAAAACAGACAAATACACCTATATACAATTTTACTGCCATTTGTGCAAAAGAAAAAATTATAGGCCAATGTTCAAATGGGCCACTTGGCCCTGTACAAACAAGAAGCACCATTTACAGCCATTTATAACATTGAGAATTATTTCAGGCTTCAATCTCAGATAATAACCCCCTTGCTGAGAAGAGGATAGTCTTCCAGAGTGTTTTCTATTTGCCAGCTCTTATTCAAGCTCAAGCTTTCTGAACAACATTCTCTTTCCTGACTTTGTTTGCTGGAATTTTCCCAAATGCAGCCCATATCATGTTTCATCAGCTCTCCCAGAATCTAAACGGCACCAAGACTGGGTTCACCAGCAGTAGTTGGACCTGGAGGCAGCGGAGCCAGGCCTGATTTGACCCATATCATGGATCTAAGCAGGCAGTGTCAAGCTGGAGAAGAGTCAGGGACTAGAGTCTAGGGAGAAAGAGACCAGAGATCCGAAAGGACCCACGAGAGCATTAACTAGTCTCAGAGTCCAGGGGATGTATCTCGCCACAGGCCAAAGCCATGTTAATGGTGGTCATGGGGTGGCTGGAGGACTGGGGCCTCCCCGACCACCTCTCCAAGCGGTACTCGCATCCTTGGCAGGACTTCCCACCCTCAACTGGCTCTGGGGTCCCTTCTTGCCAGGCTCCCATGATCAGGCCTCACAGTCCATTCCAAAGAGGTTGGTCTGCGGAGGCTCTGGAGCATGTGAGTGCACAGGGACGCGTGTGCACATACACATGCACTTGGACACTGTACTTAATGGAGGAGCTCACAGCGAAAAATCCGTGTTGAAAACTTTCCACTAACAGGATAGACTTTTTAAAAGACAATTATACATTGTTCCAAAGAACTTTGTGTTGTGATGGTTGCACAACCTTATGAATATACTTAAAAAACACTTTAAAGGGTGGGTTCTATGGTATGTAGATGATATCTCAGTATAAAAGAAAGAAAAAAAAAAGGACTATGACTTAGAACAAAGTCCTTGCAAGAGTTGTGCCTGCCTTTGACAGATGAGAAATATGACTTGAGTCACAAGGACAGATTTGGGCTTCCAGTCGCCTGTCTGAACATATACCTGCATGCAGAACAGGATGGGAAGATGGCACCTCATTCTCTGTAACAGTCACATGTGCTCCTGACCATTTTAATGTCACATGCTGCTGCTGGCAGGCAACCCCTGGTCCATAGCGTGGGAAAGGCCACCTGCCTCACTCTTAATCACCCCAGGCCTGGATGAGGAAAATCGATGTAATGACCCATAAGAGGAACCTGTTCATAAAGAAGGTCACTAAACACCTCTAGTTATTCTCTGGCTCTAAGGAAAGAAAATACCATAAAAATCTATGGGTAGGGCATAACCCCGTGCTCCATTAACACATATGATTTGGGGAGGAAAAAGACTCATGGGAGCTCAGGCCAACATTTTCTTCCTCATTCCTGTCCACACCAAGTGCCCACATGCCAGGCACTTACTCGAGAAACACAAGAAGCCAAAGCATAGCTCGACATTGCAGACAAGCCTTTTTGTTCTCAACCCATTGAATATGTTGTTGGGAAACAATTTATTCACAGACTCAGATTTCCAGCATCACCGTGGTGCCTTCAAGGCCCATTTCTTCTTGGGCTGTCAGTTGCTAAGTGCAAACTCCAAGCAGCATCTTGAAATTCATGCAAATTCATGAATAAATACAATTTGCTCATTGGAAGCATGCCTTCGCCTTTCCCACAAGGCCACCATCCCCGCGGGCTGTGCTGTGGTCACTCCCCCAGCATGGGGTGGCCTGCAGCAGGCCCACAGACCCAGAGAACACAGTCCCTTCTCGCACGGCCTGGTCTTCAGCTTCCCTTTTCAGAATGGAATGCACACGGTAAGTTTGTGAGCCACGGAGGCAGGGGATCTGGATGAGCCATAAGGTCACACTCTCCGCCAGTGCTGGCCACATATTTCCTCCCCATTGCTCCACTCATTGAGGGGTTCTAACTTGAGTGAACCTCCAAGGGTCTGTGTCCCCGAGTTTGATCTGTCTGTCCCAGCACCACGGAGATGTTAGACATGGGATGCCACCAGATCTTGCGCAATGTCAGCAAGTCCTTGCTGGACATGCTTCATAAATGGTCCCATCGAACCCCTTGGTGCTTCCTTTGCACTGACACCATTCCCACTCCCGAAGAGGCCTGTGGCAGCAGGAGGTCAGGAGCTCCCTAAGGGAACCAGCAAAGGACGGCCACTCTTCTCAGCCCTTCTCCAATGTCGCACAGGCCCTGCTTGCCACAGATGGAATGCTGGCTAACTCAAGCTGACAAGCCCACAGACTAGACTTTACTGGATGGCCTTCATACCCGAACTCCTCATTGCTGGATGTTTGAATGTTCTGTAAGAATTAACTGCAAGACATAACCTGCGGCATCCTACCATTCACCGGGCTTAAAAATTAGCAGTACTTGCCAAGTTCTGCATTTTCCTAAAAAAAAAAAAACCCAATCCAACACTAACCCCCAAAAACCTCATATTGTTTTGTTTTTCAGTAGTTACTATGTAACCAATTAGTCTCTTTTGTGCTCTTGGTCTTGCTTTGGTTTGGGTAAGAGTGAACAGCATTTGAAATGAAGGCATTGTTTATTCACAAATCAAATAAGCTCCGGGCAGCTGCCCCAGTGGCTTCCTCATTCAGTTAAATTAATGCCCAAGGCTTCAGGGTGAACGGTCTTCTGGAGAGAACGTGGGCATTTATTTTCGGATTCTCATTCAGTGTTGGGTCTTTTAATGCCAGATCCTATTTAATATACTTGCGTTATGTTAAACTGTGTGCAAATTTATTCTATGGACTACTTGACGGAATTCTTACTGTTAAAGTCACACATGATTTGCACTTGAAAAATAAGGTCTTTCCTTCACTTTAGCAGCAATCCAGTGTTGCCTTTAGCGGAGTTTGAGCCCTGCCAGACCCTGCCATCCCCCTGAAGCCGGCCCTCGTTTTCTTATTTTCTTTCCAGTTGCGGAGGTCACTGCAAAGTATCACAGGCATTTTGTCCTCCACCTGTGAAACCATTTATACGATTTTTAAAACAAGTTTTTCATAATAACTGTTGTTCTTTTTAAGTATGTAACCAGCACTCCTTTCCAATATTGTGCCTTCTCATTCCACCTTGCAAGGGACAGACAGTTCTTAATAACGTGTTATTGAATTTTAGAATTGTTCTTCAGACTTTGTATTCTCTGGAAACACGGAGCTCCTAAGAGCTTTGGGTCCTGAAATCTCTGAGTCTGAGGTGAATTTTGAATCAAGCAGAGCCTCAGTGTCTTCAGCAATTCTATCTTAAGTCTCATTCTGCCTTTAACACGTCCTAGTCCCCAAACACAGCTCAGGAATGCTCAAAATAGCAGACACATGGAGATGGTGTGGCGACATTTTGTCTCCATCTCTCAACTATCCTCCCCCTATTGTGGATAATAAGAAGTCACTTCCATATGTTTGAAATGTTGGGTCCATTTCTCTCCTTATAAAACTGAGGCTGTCCCAAGGGAAAAAACCCTTATTCAAGCACAGGGCCAGGATATAACTCACATGAAACTTACTTCCTGCTCTCTCACATGATAATGTAGATCAGCTACCCAATCATGGCCATAAACAGCATTTTCCTTGGTCCCTGAAATCACTTCCAATCAGGAATCAACCTGGTGAATTGCTGTTACTCTCCAAGCTCAAGAAACCTTGGCCCTCACTGTGTACTTATGAGGTTTCTAGTTGTTCTGCCTTGGTGTCTCTGTCTCTGTCTCTCTCTTTCATGTGCTCTTTCTCTCACTCTCACACACACACACACACACACACTCACAAGAGAGAAACTCACATTCTCTCTCATGAGGGAAAGAGAGAGACAGAGAGAGGGGCTTGAAGGGAGAGGAAAATAGGACCTTGTGGCGATTTATTTTTATTTTATTCTATTTTTTACTTTTAAGTTCAAGGGTACAAGTGCATGTTTGTTACACAGATAAACTTGTGTCATGGGGTTTGCTGTACAGATTATTTCATCACCCAGGTATTAAGCCTAGTATCCATTGGTTATTTTTTCTGATCTTCTCCCTCTTCTCACTCTCCACCCTCTAAAAGGTCTCATTGTGTGTTGTTCCCCTCTGTGTGTTTATGTGTTCTTTTCATTTAGCTCCCACTTACAAGTGAGAACATGCAGTATTTGGTTTTCTGTTCCTGCATTAGTTTGCTAAGGATAATGGCCTCCAGCTCCATCCATGCCCCTTCAAAGGACATGATCTCAGTCTTGTTTATGGGTGCATAATATTCCATGGTATATGTGTACAACATTTTCTTTATCCAGTCTATCTTTGACAGGCATTTGGGTTGATCCCATGTCTTTGCTATTGTGGGTAGTGTTGCAATGAACATACACATGCATGTGTCTTTATGGGAGAATGATTTATATTCCTTTGGGTACATACCCAGTAGTGGGAATGTTGAGTCAAATGGTATTTTTGTCTTTAGTTCTTTGAGGAGTCACCGCACTGTCTTCCACAATGGCTGAACTAATTTACCTTGTGGCTATTTAAATCCACCACACCACTGCTCCTGGGTCTACAACCGTTCCGTGGGACCACTTCACTTCTCTCTTGCATCTTCAACACATCTCTCTCCACAGTTTTCTTCTGGGCATAAACACATTCGGATCTCCTTTTCCCAACAACACCTTCCCCCGGCCGTGCAGCCTCTACTATGTGACCCTGACCCTCGGTCTTACTGTGAATGCCATCCCACCGCCAAGTGTCTTCTACCACACCCTAGAGACAAGAAGGGAGGAGGCTCCAGTGCACTTCAGTCTCCTTTCCTTCCCTGCCAGTTCCTCCCACTCCTTAAACTCTGATTCCAGCCAAAACATGGAATTTCCTCCCTTGAAGGATAGCAACAATCTTCTTTTTTTTTTTTTTTTTTTTTTTTTTTTTTTTTTGTTGAGACGGAGTCTCCCTCTGTGGCCCAGGCTGGAGTGCAGCGGTGCGATCTCGGCACACTGCAAGCTCCGCCTCCCGGGTTCACGCCATTCTCCTGCCTCAGCCTCCCGAGTAGCTGGGACTACAGGCGCCCGCCTCCACACCCGGCTAATTTTTTGTATTTTTAGTAGAGATGGGGTTTCATCGTGTTAGCCAGGATGGTCTCAATCTCCTGACCTCCTGATCCGCCCGTCTCGGCCTCCCAAAGTGCTGGGATTACAGGTGTGAGCCACCGTGCCCGGCCCACCACAATCTTCTTAATCTCAAATCCAACTGTGTCTTCTCAAGCCATATTTTCTTTAACCTTTAAATAGCAGAAGAACTTCCTCCCCAACATCAGACTTTCAAGGTTTTCCTAATTTGCCAACGGCTCCAAAAGTCTTTCCCAAATGAATACTTCCCAGGATTCAAACTTATCCTCCCATCGCCAATGATTTAAATCCCACCCAGCATTGCAGGTGGGGCTCCATTAGGCCTTCCCTTTGCCCCTCCGTATTTTCTCCTTGGAACAACTCTAACACGTGGTCTGGCATAAGCCTCTTACTTTCTCCTTGATGGCGATCCCTAGTTTCATCTCTCTCTGGCCAGATCCTAAGCTTACGGAGGGTGAAGACTATCTCAATCCTGTTAAAATCCCTGTGGATTGGGCCCAATGCCTGGCATGTAATGTCTGCAGAATGCTGAATGAGTTCATTTTCAAAATTAATTGTAACCAAAGTCCTTTTTTTTTTTTCCTTCCCAGTTTCTGCATTAGACTCATTTGGCACAAGCCTAAGACCAAAGCTCTCAGTTTTAACGTGCAGAACAGTCCAGAGAGCTTGACTTTTAAAATACAGGTCCCCGGGCTCCAACCTTAGATACTCTCAAGTTGCAGGTCTAGGGAGGATCCCAGGAGATAGCATTTTAATCAAGCATTCTAAGTGACCAGGACACAACCTGAGGAATGCTGCTTTACATCCATGATCCTCAAAGAAGCACTGCTATGAAATACTCATGAGAGTCAGCCTTCATGTCAAGTGCAAAATCCAGTCCTGATTCATGAAATTCTTAAAATGTTAAGAGTCCATATAATGGACTTTGGGGACTTGGTGGGGAAGATTGGGGGGAGGGTGAGGAATATAGACAACATATTGGGTACGGTGTACACTGCTTCCGTGATGACTGCACTAAAATCTCAGAATTCACTGCTATAAAATTCATCAATGCAACCAAAAACCACTTGTATCCTATTAAAATAATAAATAATACATAAATAAGAGTCAGTGGTTCAAACCTTCAAAAACCAGGGAATTTTTTTTTTTTTTTTTAGGTCAGACAGGCAAGTGTGATTGTCATTCAACAATCATTTATTGAGGACCTGCTAAGTACAAGGCACTGCTCTAGGTTCTTGGAATAGGGCAGTGAATAACACAGACAAAGCAGAAATGTCTGCCTTCCTGGGGTTTGCCTTCTGAAAGAGCTGCCCTCTCCCGCTACCATGTTATCATTAAGATAGGGTTCAAAAGAGGATTGAGCAAGGCAGGGAAAAATCAGCTCCTGAAGTTTCCCATGTGATCAAAACAGAGTTTCCATAGCATGTGTAAACCAGTTCCCATGCTGGGTGGCCCTGGCCCAGAGTCCTTCTGGGTCAGCTATTTCCTTCTGCAACTGTCTACCTACTGTTGTGTCACTCTGCAGGCCTGGGCTCACTCCACTTGCTCATCAGGCCACAGGAGGAAGTATCATGCTGGTCTGTTGAATTAAATGCTCAAGTTCCCTTCAGGTGGATCATGGCCAGTGGAGAGGAAGGGCCAACCTCGGGGGGTTAACAAGAAATTCTTTTAGGGCCCCCACAGAGCTTCCCCTTCCCACCGTCTGTCCAGCAGAGGCCATGGGCTCTGCTGAATATCTCATATATATTGTCTGCTGCTATGGTTGTTTTATTCATCATTAGTTTTATTTGATCCAACTGTTTCTTGAAGCCATCCACATCCAGCATGCAGATTATACTCGTATCAGATTTTCTTTCAAATATAAAACCCACAATGAACTCTGCTATGTAAACAATTTCTCAGTACTTCAGATAACTTTAATAGCTTCTCTTTGAAAACAAAACCCTTAGTGATATTTAGACATGGGTTCCAGACAGGGCAGTTAATTAAGTATACCTTGCCCCTGGGAAGTTTCTCTGCAGCAAGGGCAGTGGGCTGGGCCCCATCCCCTCTGTCACCTCCCACTGATTTCCCTCATCACCCCTGAATGCTGCCTCCAACTCCAGGACACAGGACTAACTCCAGGGTCACTTGTCAAGAGGGACCACTGTCTTTATGGGACAAGAATCTGACAAACTCATCCAGTGCCCCTGAGAACATCAAGATCCCCTGACTTGATGACTAGAGTTCACTTTTTGCCTTCCAAAGGCTATGCTAGATCTTAAATGTTAAAACATAAACTAAAAAGTACCTTCCCCAAAAGCTGATCCTAATCATTTTGATATGGACAGGAGGCAGGGAAATACTAGGTAGAAGATGGTGGGGTCCCTGGCGAGGGCTCCACCCTCAAGCTGGACCTGCGGACCTAAACGAAAACTTCACATCCCTGTTTTCCCGCCCGAATGTTGCCTTTTGGCCTACCATGGCCCATATCCTGTGCTCATAAAAATCCAAAGCTCCACTGGCAGAGGAGCAGAGCGCTGTGGCAGAAAAGGAGAGAAGAGAAGAAGTGTCCAAACATCAAGAGGAGAAGAGGCAGCTGGATGTCAGAGACTACGGTCACAGAATTTGGCCAAGGTCAGTTGGAGAAGAGTTCAGTCCCCAGCTGAACTCCAGGGAAGATTATCTTCCCACTCCATCCCCTTTCCAGCTCCACATCCCACTGAAAGCCACTTCCACCACTCAATAAAATCTCCACATTCACCATCCTTCAAGTCCATGTGACCTCATTCCTCTTGGGCACTAGACAAGGACCCAGGTGCGGGTGCAAGAAGCTGTCACAGTGACCCTCCACTGAGCTGTGTAACACTTAGCCATCCACAGACAGCACATACTAAAAGAGCACTGATTGTAACACACACCCTCTGGGGCTCCAGAGGTTGCTGGCAACCCCTAGACATTGCTGTGGGCTGGTATGGGGGTTTGTTCCTGCCAGTGCCCAAAGGCACTCGCCCCAGCTCCTGCACCCACTCACATGCATGCACCACCCACCATAAGGGGTTTGAGCACGTGGAAGCAGCTGAGCAAAGGAGCCACCCCTGCTGCAAGTCCCACCAGAGGGTAAAGGGAACTCTCCTGTCTCAATTGCTAATCAAAGGCCTCCATGAGCAACATGGAAGTATAGGACAGGAAGAGACTCACCACCATGGTTATCTGCTATGTGATGCTGAGCCTGTCTTGATAGGAATTCCACTAAAAGGACAAATCCAAGGAGAATTCTTAACATGTTTTAAGCATCTACTAGGTGTGTGTCATTGAAAAGGAAGTGGGGCAATGAACTCCATTCTCTCTCTGGGTTACACTACTCACAAATGTCTTCTCTTTACTTTCAAGTTCTCTATTGAGATAATTCATGTAAAATGCCTGTAATATGACCAGGTATCATACCTAGTCAACAGATGGTGTTTCAATTTGCTCTTCTAAATTTCTGTGTTTTGGACCAAACCAAAGGAAACCTGTACCCTATTTGTTACTAAGTAATGGAGCAGAAGTCTCTTTGGACTCCATTTTCCCCTCTAAGCATTTAAAATACAGGCTCCCTACCCCATGACTTTTCATGGAAATTTATTCACATTCATTAAGGCTTTGGGAATTTTGAATTAAAAACTCAGGGAAGCTCAGATTCAATTCTCCAATAAGCCTCCGCTTTTTTCAACCCGGTCTTAATAAATCAAATAAAATAACCCACACTGTTTATGTAAATGTAAACCTATTGGTTCATAAAAGTGGGCTCAGATAAGCAAGAAAACCCCAAGAGTTTAGACCAGACAAAGAACTTCCCCTAAAAGCTTATCTGTTCTCCAGGGGCCTTGACTTCAACAGCTGCTGTAACCTCCTGTCTAAAAATCCTGGTAGAATGCATTTGGAATTTTCAATATTCACAGGACACATCATCCTTTTGCTAACACATCCCAGCCAGGTCTCCAAAGTCACCCTCACAGTATTTGCAGGCTAATCTTTCTACGTTTACTTATAAAAGCTGTCAATTAGGAAAACCTCTCTCCCTGACAGTCAGGAACTGCATCCTATTTTCATGTACATAGACACACAATGAATCACAGGCTTTACTAATCCTTTAAGAGTGTTAGAGGTCCCAGGGGACTGTTAGAATGAAAGCAAAACCTGCCCTGGATTATGCTATTTCCGACTAATCCTAGGAAAATGAATGTTAATTTATCATGAAAAAGGGTTAATTATGCATTTATTTCCGACGTAGGTACATGAGATCAGGCTCAGAAATAATACGGAGTATAATTCTCTTTTAAATGAGGATTCCATTTTAAGCATTTTTATCAAACAGACGCTAAACTCGGAGCAACTGTACCAAAGAAAAAGAGTAGCTTGGTAATGACAAGACCCAACTATAATTTTAATTAACCTTCTGATCCGGCTTAAATATATTTTGCCTTGTAAAAATCTGTAATAACATCTATTTCAATCTCCTCTGCTATTAGTTATTAAATTGAAAATGGATGCCTAGACTGATTTGGCAAAGATATTCAAGAAATTTTTCTTTATTCTCTCTGGTTTATTAAAGTAATAATTTGTAGCATAAAATTTCTCTGATTAAGTAATTTCGTGTAATTAAATCACCAGATTTATTAGGCTTCCTGAAACAGCACATACACAGCTGGAATGATGGTGACTGTTAGCCGCTGCTGAGACAGAAGCACATGTTGGCAGCGGCTTTCCTTGAATTTTCCTTCTGCTCAGATCAAGGAGTCATCGGTTTCACCTGCCATCTCCCATGGTCTCTGAGGTTCTGAAGGCTACTACCTACTGAGTCACTCCTGCTCACAATTAAAGAGGAGTCCTCATGAGAGGTCACTCTGCTGGTATCAGTGTGGTATCAGCAGAGGGAGGCGCAGCAAAGGAACTCTGTTTAGCCCCGATACAATCATTGCATGCCCAGCTTGGTGGTTTTTCTTCTTCCCTGTCCTGTAATCACTCAGATCCCCAAAGCTCCATTCTGAATGCTTCCCTTGTCCCTAGAATACACGTCAAGTCCTTCCACGGTGTTTACCCTCAGCCCTGAGAACTCTTCAGAAGATGAGACCCGGTTAAATGTTCCCAATTCTATCATCTTTACAAAGCCTTTGGAGTTTTGCTGGAGGACGAGCAGGAGCCAGGATTACTTATGAGTATTAATAAAACATACAATTCCTAATCCCTCTGCTGTGCCGTTTGCTCACGACAACTGACACACTAGACATTAGAGGTAAGACAAGGGAGCTGACGTATACCCACCCATCCATCTGCCCACCTACTCGGGAAATATTTACCAAGAGCCTATGATCTGTTCCCCATTGAAGTGGTATGGGAGAGCAATGAAGGCCCAGGAACCCTACGCTCAATAGGGTCAGAGTCCATTAAGGAAGGCAGATATAGAGACTAAAAATTACTGTACAAATAGTAAGGCTGTCAATGAGAGATGAGGAGGAACTCCAGATTCAGTGGGAATAGGGGATGCAAAGGCTTCCAAGAGGAAACGGCACTTGAGTCCCTTCTTGAAGGAAGAATGGGTTGGGGGGCAGAGGGTTCAGAGAAGGAGGGCTAGGCTGAACGGGATGAATGCAGGAAGCGGCCAGGCAGGGCACATCTGGGGAATTCTAGTAGCTCCGACTGGCTGGGGGACGGGCATGTGTAAGTGGAAAGTGGAGGGTCAGCAGGACTCAGCAGATATATGGCTGTGTGTCCAGGCCGAGGTGTGGGGGCCTTATCCTCACTGAGTGGGGCAGTCGCCACCTGAGGGTGCCCACGCCCCAGCACCTCACAGTGGGAGCAGACCCGCTGGCTCAGTTTGCACTTTGGAACATCTCTGGCAGTCATGGGGAGGTAGGTCTAAGAAAATGCATAGTCAGAAGCCAAGAGCCCCTTGCGAGACTGCTGCAGACACCCAGAGGTATAAGAATATAAAACTGACATGAAATCATCCTGAATGGGCTTCGAGCGGAGGTCTGCTTTAAAGGAGACAACAGTAATCTGGATACAGAAATTCTCCTCTCATAACACACGCATTTGTGGAATATATTCTATGTGCCTGGTATTGAAAGCAAGTACTTCTTTTTTTAAATTGGAAATTGCTGTATGTTAAGTTTCTTACATCAATACACATTTAAAAGCACTTCCACATAGATGATTCCATCTCATCCTCACCTGAGCAGCCGTGGAGACTGGGCACACCTCAGAACCTGGGGACCAGTGCTGTGGGACCACTGCTTTTCCTGGTGGCTGAGCTCATGCTGTCTGCCGTCCCAGTATGGGAGAGGCTGAATGACAGTCCTAAGGCTGTGTTGATTGGAGGGTTGATGGGGGTATGATGTGGCTTTCATTTGACAGATAAAGACAATGAGGCACCAAGGGTCCAGTGTCACACCTGCCAAGGGGGCTGAGGCAACATGCCCCCTTCTAATTTTCCTAGTTCCGCCATTTCTCCTACACAACATTGCCTCTGGCATATGGTACACTTTATATTTTAACCCATATATGATGAAGAGTATACCTATTGCTTTCACCGTATGCCTTTCCAATAACTATTCATCGTTTTTAAGGGCACAAGATAGGACTATAACTCCCAAGGGATTCAGAAAGTCTCCTCTATTCTAAACGGAGGCCTAGAAACTGATTCAAAACCAAACAGAACAGAACCGCTGCCTTAAATACCAACTCAAACTGGAGAAAGTTTTCTGATATATATCTGTTTAGTTGGGCCGAACAGGTTTTTTTTCCCCGGTTAAAAAAAGTCAGTTGGCCCGGCGCGGTGGCTTACGCCTGTAATCCCAGCACTTTGAGAGGCCAAGGCGGGCGGATCACCTAAGGTCGGGAGTTCGATCGAGACCAGCCTGACCAACATAGAGAAACCCTGTCTCTACTAAAAATACAAAACTAGCCGGGCATGGTGGTGCATGCCTGTAATCCCAGCTACTTGGGAGGCTGAGGCAGGAGAATCTCTTGAACCTGGGAGGCAGAGGTTGTGGTGAGCCAAGATCGCACCATTGCACTCCAGCCTGGGCAACAAGAGCGAAACTCCATTTCAAAAAAAAAGTCAGTCAGTGGCTAGGTCTGCCAACCCTGGTCTTTTCAACAAATTAGGCCTTCTCAAAAAAAAAAAAAATTGCTTTGCCCTTTCTCTGCAAGCCTACAAAAAGTGATTGTGTCCTTGTGAGCTAAAATATGATTCCAGTATATTTTTGGTCTATATAAATTTGCCATGTAACCAAGTAACACTTTTCAGCTTCAGATATGTCTATATTTCAGAAAAGAGTGCTAAGTGGAATCTAACAGACAAAATGAGCTAATTTTGTGAATCTTCCAACTAGTCTTTTCCCTGCATTCTTCTCTTTAATAACCTATAAATTTTAGTCACGAGAATCATTCTTCAGCGTCTGGGGCAGTAAAACTCTTGCTAAAAATCAATAGTCTGCCTACTTTTAAGACTTCAATGTGTTGTTAGGCAGCAGAGGCCTTTCTTTATAAAACTCCATAATGACCTAAAACAGATTTGATTCTAGAAATCAGAATTCTCACACTAATAGGCTTCCATTTAAGAAGGCTCTCATAGCTGACAACAGACTACCAAATGGGTTAGATTTTTCAATTTTATACCTTAGTCCATAAGTGCTAATTTCTCAGTGGAACAGTCAGATAATATACTACTAGAGATTACTGAAACCTCTAGTCACAGCTCTGAATTATTAATTTAAAAGGTTATGCACCAGTGCTAATATAAATTATCTTTAAAAACTATCTATATGGGTAACATTTTAATAAGCTTTAAAACATGATTTTTCTCTCTCAACGTTGAAAGCAAAATATAATATAGAATTGGCTCTGAGTGAGCTATGGATTTATTGTATTTTTTCCAAAAGATTTGCACCACCGTTCCTTATAACTGATGAGAAAGGCCCCACCACGGATCCTGCCTGCAAATGCGCTGTCCTAATCAGTTTAAAGGGGCAGGTGCACAGTCCTTGCTCCCTCTTTCGTAGGACTCAAAATGAAATCTCACTCAGGCATACCCCGTGTGTTGCGGCTTCTTTCTTCCGCAACCTGTTAGAAACCCTGTACATGGCATTTAAGCTTCACCTGGGCACATCACCAGGAAGACGAAGGATGCAGTCAGGCCCCAAGGGAAGCAAATAAAATACCAACACTGCGGCAGCCGGCAGAAATGTCAGCTTTCCTCCAGGTTAATAGTGTCTGTTCTGTGCCTAGTGTGGAATGCTTTACCCTCAACATGGTGCCATATCCTTGGGAAAGAGGATAACTTGGAGGAAATATGTGACTTCTTAGCTGTCTAACTACGTCCCAGCTCCAAGAGATGGCTTGACATTTATCAGGAAGCCTGAGCAAGCAGGAGCTCAGCAGGCTGCCTTCCGCCAAGGACAGAAGGAGGAGGAAAAAATGCAATGTTAGATTACCATGCATAGATCATTAAAGGGCGAGATTAATGTTAGTTGATTTTATGCTCGTTACAATCCTCGCCTGGGAACCCCATCCAGAATTTTCTCGCTAGCTTTGCTTCGTAAGCTACATTCAAAGCTTCAGAAAAATCGGCAAGGTAGCCAGCCCAGACCTCTACCATCGTCAGGGTCCCTTTGTTTGGCATTGTCCTATCATGGGGAAAGGGTGACCTCCCACCCCTCACCAAGGGACTGCTCCATGACCATAGTTACAAAACGTAAACGTCAATATGGTAATAAAAGGAAACAAAGCATTCAGCAGCACTGCTTTTCAAATTCAGGAGGAAATGAAAGTCTTGGTTATTCTCCTTTTATGTGTATTGCCTTATTTTCCAAAGGGACCTACCCATTTCAACTTTGCAGGACCTAAGCATGAAGTCGAAAAGCAGGCCCACATGTGAGGTGGAGTTCCCAGCTGGTTACCAAATGATCTGTCTTCAGCTTTTTCCTAAGTGAATTAAAAAAAAAATAGGGGCTACTAATGTCTGATGCAGGCTGATCGTTTCCGCCACAAACAATGCAGCAAATGCAGTATTATTTGGAAAAGATGACAAACAGAATTGTTAATTTATCAGCAGAAAGAGTATGAACCTATGCTTTTATAGCCCAAGGATTTTAAAGCTATAAATGTCACATGTTTGTGAAAAATGTCGATCTGCCAATATTTACTAAGAGCCTACTACGTGTCGGCGCTCTGAAAAAAGTATGTGACATGTTTAGACCTTGGGAAGATGGAACAAAAGTGCCTGCATGAACACTTAAGGACTCTCAAAGGCATCCACTCATTCCTCTCTTCCATCTTTCACTTCTTGACATAGTTTGGACCTCCACTCCAAATCCCATTTTGAGATGTAAACCCCATGCTGGAGGTGCAGCCTGGTGGGAGGTGTTTGGGTCAAGGGGACAGATCCCTGATGGCTCGGTGCTGTCCTTGCAATGGTGTTCTCGGGAGATCTGGTTGTTTAAGAGTGTGTGGCACCTCCCCCCACCACTCTATCTCTTGCCACATCAAATGCTGCTCCCCCTTTACCTTCTGCCATGATTGAAAGCTTCCTGAGGCCTCACAGAAGCCGAGCCTATGCCTAGCACCATGCTTCCTGTACAGCCCCCAGAACCATGTAAATATCTTTTCTTTATAAATTACCCAGCCTCACATATTTCTTTATAGCAACACAAGAATGGCCTAACACACCCCTTTCTCCCTCCCTCCCTCCCTCCCTCCTTCCTTCCTTCCTTCCTTCCTTCCTCACAACCAGCAATGTTGGGCCTACCATGGCCAAGGCTTTGGAGTTAAAAAGATAAGACTCTGTGACAGTCCTCAGGAAGTTAACTTCCAGGAACAAATAGACAACCAAGAGATCACCATGCAGTGTGGCAGTGGCAGACGCTGCAGTGGAGCGGTGGTCCAGGCACATGACTTTGCAGAGAAGGAACTTTTAAGCTGGTCTTGAAGAATGAACTGGCCTTCATTAGGTAAACAAGGGAGACAGAGATCAATGGACAATGGGAACAAAAACAGAGAGGCTGTAATTTACCTGGCTTGTTTAGGGCCAGGTAAAAAGTCAAGTGTGTCTAGAACACAGAGGATGGGGCAGAAAGTGAGGCTGAAAAGAAAGGTGGAGGCCTGACTATGATGAATATCACAGGCTCTGATAAGAAATGCAGGCTCCCTACTCAGACAATGAGGAGTCATCCAGGGTCTTCTGACTAGACAATGACAGGAGCACATCTATGAATTAGAAAGGCGACCTGAGTGACGGTGTAGAAGACAGGATGCAGGAGACAGAGAGAAAATGGCCCATTAGGAGGCTTATGCAATGGTCTAGGCAAAATAATGAGGCCCTGGGCTAAGAGAACAGACACAGGAATGGCAGACAAGCTCAGGCCAAGGTGGCATCACTATCTGCAATAGGAAACACAGCAACAGGGCAGGCCTTGGGGTTAGGGGTGCTCATGAGCTTGGGAGGCTCAGAGAGAAGCATTAGAAATAAGGACCTGGAGCTTGGGAGGAGGGTCTTGGCTAGTGTTGGCTGTTGTCATAACACAGGTGGGTAACTGAAACCCTGGGAGCAGATGAGAGTATGAAGAATGGGGAAAGGAGGCACAAATTCTCCACTCCCATTCTCCAAAGGAGCAGGATGTACCATCGAGGAGATGGCAATTAGCTGGGAAAATGAAACACATGCAGAAGAAACGTAAACATACTTCCTGAATATCTGAGAAATATCCCTATAACTTAATAATCAACAACTTGCCCACTCCCTGCTATTTCTCCCTACTGACAAAGAAGTGTATGCACTTGCACACTTTGGCCCACTGAGGACAAAGCCAAGTGTCCCAGCACCTGAGCTGGAAAGGGAATGTGCCATGAAAGTGTCCACCAGAGAGCCAGGGCCATGGTACAAACTCAAAGCCAGAAGCAAACCCTCTAGAGACCCCAGGCCCCTGAGCTAATTCTGCCATATCCACTAACGGCAGAGTCCAACAGTTACTCCTTCAGTTGCATTTTCAAAATCTAGACTTTGGTATCTTTCTCTGAGTATGCGCAGTTGACATATAAAATTAGATGTATAAAATGCACACTTTGAAAAGCAGAGGACAGTTCTGCCTGTCGTGTTCCTAAGGCTGAACTACATGCAGATCTTGTTTGGGCTTGGCTTTTTCCCAACTGGGAAACTGGGAGGTTTTCAAATAAAGCTGAATTAGGAACTATTTGTTTTGCATCCCCTAAACACAAGGATGCTGGCTGTGCCAAGAGCCCTTCCCTGGAGCATGTGAGCCCACAAGGGGCCGGGGGGGCGTTTTACTCCCCTCAAACTCCTACAGTACGTCCTGTCTGTACTGTCTTGTACTGTTCATTAACTACGTCTTGAGTTTATTGTTATTTGAATGTCTCTTGGCCAGATGCCAAGCTTGTTGAGAACAGGCTGAGTTACACTTTTCTGTGTGTTACAAAGTAGGTACTCGGCGAGTGTACCACTTCAAAAATCGAATGTAGCAGTTTAGGGATGCAATCTATGCTTTCAAAATTGGGTGCAGAAAACACATTCATATCCAATGAACAACTTCACTAAGAGTTCTAGAAGAGGTGAATACCGTGCAGTGGATGCCCAGAAGAGGGCAGAGATGAATCCCCACTCTGATCTGACTGGGGTCACCCACGGTGTGTGTCTTCGCCAGCATCGGCAAATACACTCAAACCAAGGGAGCCCTGAGCGAGGCTGGAGAAACATACTCCAGAAGGAAGAGTGGTACTCTAACAGAACAATACCATCTGGTCTCTTCTAAAGACCAAGGGCCTTCTCTCTCATTCTCTTTAGGGTCCTTCTCTGATGGGATCATCTTCTCTGGGGCACTAAGAGAAGAATCTCAGTCGGTCCTCTGAAGGTCTGGTGTGCATCGAAGCACTCTGTCCTGTGGTGGAGAGCACCTGCTTCAGGAGCCTGGAGCTCTCCCCAAGCCAGGTACCTGCTACCTGGTTGGATCCCATCTGCTCCCCCGGTTACCGACTGCTGGTGCGCACGGTGTATGTTCATGCAGAGGAAGTTACACAGCAGAAGCAGAGGCTGGCCAGCCCCTCAGCAACGTATAGTCCAGACGAGAAGACCAAACACAACCCAAAACCCAGCCAATCACAGCCTCAGCACCAAATGGCTACATCTCTGGATTTTATTTCATACATTAAACCTGCTGTCTGGAAGGCACTGATCTAAGCACCTTGAAAATGGTAACTAATTAAGTCTTCATACAAACCCTACGAGGTAAGTACTTTCATCACTATTTTCATCACCATTGTCAGGGAGCATATATTCACAAAAGAAAATTTTACATTTGTGAGGACAGTATAAGTATTTGGCTTTTATTTATGTCCTCACCCACTACACAAATAAGTTTTCTGACCAGTGTGCCAGAATTTATGCTGCAGAGTTTTACTACAATAAGAAAACTGAAGTATGGAGATGAAGTGACTAGCCCAAGGTCTCATAGCTGGTAAGTGGTAGTGCCAGGATTTAAACCTGGGTGTTCTCGTTCCAGAATCCATGCTCTTCACCGTCTCAATATACTGCCTTTTGTTTACACAGACACCTGAGCTGGACACTGGAGACAGAAGATATGGTGGGCCTTTTGGGTTGAGTGCTTTGGGACACAGAGATCTGCTTTGGGCATAGAATGATAAATGAGTTTTTGATAGGAAGAGAGGGCTTGGAAAGGACACTCCACACAAAGACAGCACTAGGAAAACCTCTAAATAGTGGCTAGAGGTGAACTGTCCCATTCTTGAAGGTTCTGAAGAATCAGCAGGGCTTTGGAAGCGAGCAGATGCTGTATACAGAGATGCACGTTTTGTGCCTACAGAAAGACAAGGTGCAAATTCTAGAGTTTCCAGGGTCATTAGCCCAGAGAGGTTGGTCCTGCACACCATCCTCTGGAAATGAAACAGGGATGCTTGGTGTCACCCACCAAGCAAGACCTAGCAAAGGAGATATTTTGTTTCCCACACTGAGAATTTTGTATCTCCGGCAATCCGCAATTTGTCAAATGAATTAGATTCCTTAATAATCATTATTCCAAACCATGCCAGTCAGCAAATATTTCTTTCTGAACAAATATATAATTAATTCAGATACCACCTTTTTGACTCAAAGGTTTTAAAGTGCCTGGCTGAGGTGAACATTCAGAAAAAATAATGGTATTTCCAGAGGAAAATTCATACATAGCTCAATTTACAATATTGTAATAAGACTCTGCAGCATAAATTGTGGCACACTGGACAGAAAACCTATTTGTGTAGCGTGTGAGGACATAAATACAAGCCAAATACTTATACTGTCCTCACAAATATAAAATTTTCTTTTGTGAATCTATGCTCCCTGACACATATTCCAAGAAAGCTGGGTCCCATGATAAATACTGTGCCTTGAAGGTCTTCATCAATATCAACTCTCTTGCTCATTATTCAGTTACTAAATAAAAAGGATGGTAACAGAGTAACAAATAACAGAATGATATGATTAAAGTTATGTATCAACCTTCACTCAATATTCAGTCACTACCAATTCTGTCAGCAACTTCGTAACTTTTCTCTCTACAACTAATTATCCTATCCTCACTTCCTAGATTCTATACCCACCCACGGCCAATCATTGGCCTCTCTGCCTGTTTCTAGGTTCCTTCTATCCCTTTCTTTCATGGTTTCTTTTTAAGAGCTCTGTTTGGGTTTTGAATCTGGGGTTGGAGCTCTTCATTTCATTTGGACGTTCCATCCCCTCTGGGTTTCCACCACCCCTCCACCACCCCTCCAAATAACGTTCTTTCTAGACCCTTCTATAAGCTGTGTCTGCAGTCTCTTTTTCTAGAAAGCAACCTTTTCCTGAGATCTTTGTTCTATTTCTGAATACTTTCCATAAGCCTTTTATGGATCCATAATTTTAGCAAGAAAAGGGACTGGGTTCAGAAGCCCAATCTTCTCCATCCTTCTAAATCACCCCATGAAGTTACAGTCCATAAACAATGTTGTTCCTGGTAGAGAGTCAATTTTGATGACGCTCTTGAGGTGGATGACAATAATGAGCTTAAATAAGCCTACTGGACTCCATTTCTGGGAACCCAGGTACAAAGATGTTATTATTCTTATGCCTATAGGTATAATAAGGTGCTTGTGATATTACTTTCTGCTCTGGTGTGTGGGAGGTACTGCTATCTCTTGTTGAAAAGCAGACATCAGGAAATGGGGGTAGAAATGCTTGTAGGCAGTCATCTATACAGAATGAGAGAATGGGGCAAGGAGATGCCAAAGGCCCAGGTGCTCAGCCTCTGGCCCAAGAAGTTGAAAAAGATGCACCCACAGGACCACGAAGGCCAGACTCTTACAGACACAAGTCACCACTGCTGGCCTCACAACGGAAAGGACCCTGGGCCAGGAGTCAGGAGGAAGGCCCAGCTCTGCCATCCATCTCAACACCTGTCCTCATGCTGGAGGACTGAGCTTCTTAGTTTAGTTATCTATAAAATGGCCACAATAATATCTCGATGAGCTATTCATTTTTTCTTTTAAGAATTTATCAAAAACCTTCTGAAGCAGAGGCAGTGAGCTAGCTATATACACAAAAATATGAGGTTTTTTTTTGTTGTTTTTTTGTTTTTTTTTGAGACAGAGTCTCACTGTATCACCCAGGCTGGAGTACGGTGGCATGATCTCGGCTCACTGCAAGCTTCGCCTCCCAGGTTCACACCATTCTCTTGCCTCTGCCTCCTGAATAGCTGGGACTACAGGCGCCCGCGCCCGCTACTATGCCCGGCTAATTTTTTGTATTTTTAGTAGAGATAGGGTTTCGCTGTGTTAGCCAGGATGGTCTCGATCTCCTGACCTCGTGATCCACCCGCCTCGGCCTCCCAAAGTGCTGGGATTACAGGCGTGAGCCACTGGACCTGGCCAAGTTGATCTTTTTGTTTTGAGTAAAAATGGAAAGAAACTCAGCAAGCTCTGTAGTGAAATATCATTTGCATTTTTTCAAAGATGGGCACATGAGTATCTTGCTCAAGAATGCATATATGTTAAAGAACACAGATTTAACATATGTAACTGGGGGCTGGGGGTGGTGGGGAGGGCAGAGATGGGGAGGGCAAAGGTTGGGAGGGCAGAAATGGGGAGTGCAGGGAGAAAAATCCAGATAAACCAATGAAAAGGACTGTCCCTTGTACAGTGCAATGATGATAGTGTTCCATAAACCAAGGGGAATGACTAACTGACCTAATGATAACAATAATAGTAATTAATACAGCAACTAACTTGCTGGAACTATATTTTGTCCAGAAACCATACAAAGAAAACATGTATTGCATATTTAGTTAAGAGCAAATATTTTAAGTGGCAGAGCTTGGACTGAATATTACTCTTTTTGTAATCACTCTCTTCCATACCCCCAGCCCCCAG
Organism: Homo sapiens; assembly: GCF_000001405.40. NCBI lineage: Eukaryota > Metazoa > Chordata > Mammalia > Primates > Hominidae > Homo > Homo sapiens. The sequence continues at coordinate 116,182,442 of NC_000010.11, forward strand.
AAGTCAAAAGCCTAAACAAACACTTGTGAAAGTTGCAGAATGAGCAGATCTGGAGAGCCCTTGATACTGTGGCCAGTAACATTCACCAAACTACATTAAGGAACTCCCTAGATGCTAAGACTGGTTCCAACCAGATCAAGCTGTTCCCATCTTCTAAATCAGAAATGACCCAAAAAGCAGCTCAGTGACACAGGTGTCAACAAACTGCCATCTGCTTCATGTCAGATTTCTAGAAGCGCTAGAAATCCAGCTCATCCCATTCCCAAATATCAGCAAAGGAGATAAACGCAATGAACCTGACTCTCTTTGCCAGTTCCAAGAGATACCCAGGTCCCTTCTTAGATGGGCAGCAGGAAGTGAGCAAAGCCCAGGTCTGAAAGTTACAGTCACTAAGGTATCAAACAATGACATCCCCTTCAAGTATCAGCCAGAGCTGAGCGCTCCTGGAAGACATCTCCAGATGCTGGTTTCCCCATGCGTCCATCCAGCCAAAGGCAGTCCAGGTGTCTGTGATGACCTGGCACAGTGTAACTGACCTTTTGGAATCAAGGCTACCCAAGGGCCTTCCCAAATGTCTGGCTGGACAGACACATTTTGCCCTCTTCATTTCTCTTTGCCGCCTTGATGTTTCCCAAGTCTTGAGTATTGAAAGGAAACATGCATTCTTTTCCTCAGAGGGAACAAGTACAGCAAGTGTTGATCAATTTCCTTTCCTTTCATCTTTCCTCAGTGCACTCCAGAAGCATGAGGAAAGTTGTTTTACCCGCTGGGCCTGGGGTTCAAAGTTGATTCTCCTCAGTCAGACAAGACTTGGTGAGTAAAGACAGTACCCCACACTGGAAATCAACTCCCATTCAGGGAGCTTACCGCAATGGGTCCAACCCAATTCTAACAGCCTATCCTCACTGAGACTTTAAATGTGTTTGTCAGGGAATCATCTCCACAGCCCCATGAGCTTCCCTCTATTATATCCATTCCATGGGGAATCTCAGGCTCACAGAGGTTCACTTCCTCAAAATCAAGAGCAAGTTATGTGAATGTGAAACCTGGTTGGCCTGAAATCATGGCCCCACTCCCACCCCTGAGTAGTTTTAGGCACCAAGAGGGCAGAGCCTGATGGATGAAGACCAAGGCATGGCACAGGGAGGGTAGAGAACAGCACTGCTGGTTCTCCCTTTCCCCAGCCCTCTCCTCTCCAGAAAGGCCCTGGGCTCTGGCAGGTTGGGACACTTGGTCTTCTCTCTTCTTTTGCTTCCTCCTCCTTCTCTGCCTCTTGCTCACTCACCTACTCTTAACACTCAGCACCTTGCTCCCAGGCTCCTCTGTAACAGGGCAGGACAGCATCTCTGCCCACTTACTGATCCCAACTTCCGTCTAAGCTCCTGAAGGCTGAGAGAGTGTTTGGTCCCTCTCATTATCCCCAGGGAAATGCTTCAGTCTCACTATCAGGACCTGGGACAGGTCTCCAGTTCCCCAGATGAATCACTCCACTGCCTGCCTTGGAATTTACTAGGTGAAGGTCACTGACTCGGCCAGCTACCCTGCACAGCACTGCTTGGGAGCACTCCAGGGCACTGGCTGCTGGAAGTGCTTCCCGAGGCTGCATGGAACATTTTCACAAAATGTGGTACCCACTCCCTCTGGATGTCTTCTAAGAAAGTCATTTGTTTTTGCATCAGCCCAATTGTTCATGAAATGCATAGTAACAGACCCTGTGATTCTCCCTACACTGTAAAGACTGACTCAGACAGGCAGCTTTCCTGACCCTCTAGCAACTGGCTTATGAAATCTCCAGGCATCAGAGGAGCTGCCCACCAAAGCCTCCAGATGGCATAGGGGAGGCCTCAAATGTTATGGGCTGCCCAGGCCAGTTATCTCCTGGCCAGCTGCCAATGGAGAGGTCCACGCAGCTTGGAGGAGGGCAGGTGACAGCCTTATCCCTGGGCCCACATGCCAGCATCCATCAGTGTCCCATTCCCAGAGATTCCCTCACTCTCCATGCTAATGACGAATGACTGTGCTTCCCCAGTGGAGCAACACATCTTCCTTCATGAGGCCTGGCAGGGACCTGCGGCCCTGGGTACAGCCCCAAACCAACTCCCAGCAGGCCAGGGGTGACATCTGGCCACCAGAAAAAGCTGCTTTGCTCACCAGGCTCTGACCTCAAGAGGAGGTGGCACTACAGGTGGGCCTCCCGGCCAGCTGCTCAGGCTCTATTTAACATGTCTCATCAGAGGGTCACAGCAGAGATCTGGGGCCTGTCTCAGGGCAATTTCTCTGCCTGGACATAAGGCTAGTTCCAGTTCTTAAGGCAGGAGGTCCTGGGAAAATAGGTCACATTGGTCACCGGTGTTCCTGGCTGTTTAACCAGAGCCCTGGGTAGAGTCTCCCTGGTGGGACAGCTCTCACCAAGGGCCCACATGTCCCCAACAGACACAGTCCATCTGTAGGGCAGTGCAGGACACAGGCCTTTTTTAGGCCCTCATGTAGCTCCAGAGGTGGCATCATCAATCCAGCACCTCTGTTCCTCAAAATACAAGCTTTTTTGTGTGTGTTTTTCCATCGAAAAATATATTTTTTTCCTTGAGGCTTTTAAAGCCTGCAGAGCTTAGCTGTTCTGAATGTAAGGAGAGAATCTTGTTCTAGTGAAGGGCTGTAATTACTGCAATGTAACATACAGCATGGTGGTATGAGAATGCGTCGGCAAGGGAGGCAGACAGAGAGAGACTGAGAGGAGACAGGACCTGGGCTTAAATCCCAGCTCTGCTACTTCCTAACTTTGTGATATTGGATGCCTTACCTAACCTCTCATAGCCTCAGTTTCCTCACCTGCTTTATGAAATCTCCAGGCTTTGGAGGAGCTGTGTATTTGATGCACAGAGGTGCTCAGCTGATGATCTGTAAGACAGGCTATTAACAGTGCCACCCACATTAATTGTGATGCTACATAAGACAGCACCCCATCCCGGCGCACCTCCTTTGAACCCACTCACCAGCTTCCATGCGTGTTGCTGCTCAGAGCCTGCACCTGTGGCCCTCAAAGGAGCACCCCTGGCACCAAGCTGCCCAGCCTGTTTACACCTCCACTCCCCACTGAGGCCAGGTGCCCCATAATCAATGACTGACTAGTGTTGGATTCAGAAGCCCAGCTCTTTGCCTCTGGGCAGGATACATCTCAGGGATTATTTATGCTCTGGAGCCCCTCCTGGGATCAGACAGGGCCTCATTTGAATCTGCTCCCATGCGTGGCTTCTCCCCCTCCCTGTCCTGCTCCCCACCCCAACTCCGTTATTAGTTTCTTCAGAGAGCACTTCCTTAATAAATCATTTGCACGGGAATTCTAACCTCAGAGTCTGTGGAACACTAGCAGGGCAATAAAGCCTAAGTGCCATTATTATTGTCGCTGTTTTAATTATAATTGTGCTGCTCACAATGTCCCACAGGACTGGATTGATATCTAGGCATGGACTCTGCTGCACCCCAAGTGGATATCCAGACATGGAGTCTGGTATACCTCCAGGAAAGCTGCCCTTTTTATCTTTTAAATTTTATTTTACTTTATTATTTTTGGGAGGTAGGGGGGTAGTAGGTGGGAGAGCAAGAACCAAGGGGAATTTCTTCCCAGAGCTTTGGAACACAGGACCAGCTTGCGGCAGCTATTCTATAGCTTGCCCAGACCCTTAGTGCAGGGCCCAGAGTGGCAGCACAGGGAGGAGAGCCCCCAGCGCTCACCGGAGATGGCACCAGGCTTCACTGTACCAGTGACAGTCCTTGGGAAGGAGAGGTGCTTCTGAGGGTTCATGTGGTTAACACAGTCCCAGACAACCTTGCCTTTTCCAAACAGGTTTGTGTTTCACCAATGGTGAAATGTAACTCCCCGAAGCAACCTCCCCAAGGAACTAAGTGGCAAGAGAGAAAAGCCACGTTACTTCACACAGAGGTGGTGGCAGCTCCTAACGACTGATGTGCCACTGAGCACAGTTTTGCCAACAGTCAATTGAGCAGGCACACTTACAAAATGAGGGCATGGAGCAGGCACAACTGATTGGTTTCCACATATGTCTGGGACATTACACAATTCTGAAAGGCCGGTCTCTCTTTATCTGCATAAGGCAGAGGAAAGGCTCTTAAAAAAAAAAAAAAAAAAAAGGCAAGGTTTAAATGCCATACTGTTTCCCATCCAATTACCTCTGTTTTCTGTCTACACATGGGGGGCGGCGGGAGGTGCTGAATGTTCATTTTAAGTGCCATTTATCATCTGCTTAATTAATCACAAGCAAACTCCTACTGTATTTCAGGTGAACATAACATAAAAGAAATAAGATTCTCTTGACAAATGAGAATACCATATTTATAAGGACTAGGACTTTCTCCCCAAAGAAATGGAACAATTTTCACTGCAATTCATACCCCGGCCCTTGCGAGCTTGAAAGCAAACTTCAAGTGCTTCTTGCACCTCAGCTCAAGCTAGTGCCCCTCCATGCTGCTATGGTGAAAACTGGAAGGCGACCTGCTCACACAGGGTCACGTCTCGGTCCCTTTTTCAAGAACCACTAATGTTCCTGGGAATTTTAATGTTAAAACTCAATGAAGGAATAACGTGAGGTTTTTCACAGTTGTGTTCAGATAACTGTGCTATTTAAATGATCAAAGCATTACATTTGAATGGAAGACAGGGTTTTAAAGGCAACAAAGTAGAAAAAAATGATGAATGCAATACTTGCATCAGTTAATAAAAGCACCAAGTAGTCTAGAAAAAGGCTTAACTCCTCCTGAATGCAAATATTCTGTGAATACTTCGTATTTGTCTATTATTTTTTCATTCAAAAATGTCCATTTGAGGTCATGAGGCTGGAGCCCTAAGCTCCAGTGTCTGCTCGGCCAGCATCTCTGCAGGACCCTGTGTGGCCCCTGATGTCACCTGCCTGCAATTTTCTCCTTCATACAGTAAGTTGGACGAAGTGCTCAGTGACATCCCTTCTAAAACTAACAGTCTAAGACATCAGCCTTATTCAAGGAGTTACGTTCTAATTCTCCAGGCTTGAGAACTATCTTATTTTTAATATTAATAAAGCCAAATTAACATAATAATCTAGGAGTTAGTGGCACCGATAATCCAATGAAGGAACTCACCCAAAAGCCATTTTATCTGGCCCAAGAATGCAAGGGTTGACTTTTCTATGCAAGTTTTAGCTTTTAACTGTGTTTTCTTTAGGTTAATATTAAAATTCATTTATCTTCCCTGAGCACCCATCCACAGAAAGGCACAAAGAAAGCATCCAGACCCTTGTCAGGCTATGAAAGGGCAGCAGTTGAAATGTAACTGTTGAAATCTCAACATTGGCCATGGAAAATCTAGATGAAGGCAGTGAGGATTCTAGTAAAAAAGGCAGCAGTAAGTTTGCGTTGACCTCTGAGGCCCCCAGAGCAGAGCCCTGGCCAGGGCTGGAGACAGAGATGCATTCTTCACCCCTCCCCACGCCCTGCAAGTACTTACTGAGCACTGACTGGGTGGTAAGCACTGAGTGTAACTGGCAGATATGAATCTAGACAGTAGACATCCCAGGCCTCTCAGATCTTATAATCTGGTTGCCCAGTCAGCCAATCAGGAGGAAACCACAACCCTATATATAATACATACTGGGACAGAGGAAATGAAAGGGAGCAAGCAGGATGTAGGGGCCAGTAGAAGAGGGAAGCGGACTTGTTCAGGTGGAATGGTTGGGGGAGGGACCTCTCTGCAGCAGCAGTATTTAAGCTGAGACCTGTGGGATGGGGGGTCAACCCCATGCAGAGGTGCCCATGGGATCTGAGGGTTCGGAGGAATGAGGACCTGCGTCCCTGCTCTCTGGCATGCAGTCTCTTTATCTGTGATAAATCTGTCTTAAAAAGGTGGGCAATAGTGGAACAGGCTGGACACAAAAGGACAAATAGTTTATTATTCCACTTAGAAGAGGTATTTAGAACAGTCCAATTCTTGGAGCTAGAAAGTAGAACAGTGGTTGCCAGCGTTTGGGTGGAGGGGAGAATGAGGGCTCTCTGTTCAATGGGTATAGAGTTTCAGTTTGGGATGATGAAAAAGTCCTGGAGATGGATGGTGGTGATGGCTGCACAACAATGTGAATATACTTAATGCCACTGAATTGTCCACTCACGAGCGTATTAAAATGGTCAATGTTGGGCCGGGCACGGTGGCTCACACCTGTAATCCCAACACTTTGGGAGGCCGAGGCGGGCAGATCATTTGAGGTAAGGAGTTTGAGACCAGCTTGGCCAACATGGTGAAACCCTGCTAAAAATACAAAAAAAGTTAGCCGGGCGTGGTGGTGCATGCCTGTAATCCCAGCTACATGGAGGCTGAGGCACGAGAATCACTTGAACCTGGGAGGCAGAGGTTGCCGTGAGCTAAGATAGTGCCACTGCACTCCAGTCTGAGTGACAGAGTGAGACTCTGTTTAAAAAAAAAAAAAAAAGGTAAATGTTATGTTATCTACAGTATTTATTATCACAATTTAAAAAAAATAAGGGTGGGGGCAGGCATGGTGGCTCATGCCTCTAATCCCAGCACTTTGGGAGGCTGGGGCAGGAGGATTGCTTGAGGCCAGGAATTCCAGGCCATCCTGGCCAACACAGGGAGACCTTGTCTCTTAAAAAAAAAAAAAAAAAAAAAAGTAGGCAAGTGATCACAGCATTCTTCCTGGGCCAGAAAATGAATTACCTGCAAGCAGAAAAATGGTTATGCCTCTTCATAGACTTAAAGGTGGGATACACCTTCTTCCCCCACGAAGGGCAACTGTTTTGGGGGGCAGATCTTATCAGGTGGCACCTAATGCCACAGTGCCTTTGTTCATCCAAATCATAACTCCAGAAACACTATTTCCAAGGAAATTCCTTGACCAACACGTCCTGTTTACCCAAGGAGTAACGTCCCCTGAGCCCCAGCATGCTCTTTGGTGTATTCATGTATGTTTCTTTTCCCAAATGTCTTAGAGAAGTGACACTCATCCCTTCTTCCCTCTTTTTTTGATTCCCCCGCCACCTTCACTCCAGCTACGCTCCAAACACGTTTCACACTTTCGTGCAACATTTACATTTGTCACTAGATAAATGAACTATCTTAAGTTTAATTCTCTTTAAGTGTCCATCATAGCAGAATTATTACATAAACAGGTTCTGAAATTCATTCATTCATTCATTATTATTGAATGAAATCTCTTTTAAGCAATGGAAATAAGAGGAGGTTGAGAACCACTGACTTCCACTATTTTATTTAATGCTTTGAGTTTGATTTTCTATTACAGTTTATATTTCCAGTGTTATCCAGTAAAATGCTTTTTTTCTTAGCCAAAGACAGAATTTTCTTTGAACCATCGATATAGAATAGTTATCTATTTCTCCATTTATAACACTCATCATTATAGAAGGTCAAGGCAAATGCATTAGGCCAGGGTTTTTTTTTTAAGGTCTCTTTTCCTGATGAAGGTGAAGATGGTCAAAGCTCTCTATGAGAAGACAAATGCTCCCTAGGGAGGTATTTCCGGCCTGATGAGAGCCCCAGGCGAGGCAGAGAGCGGGACCAGAACTCAGGAGAAAACCAAAGCACAGCAACTGGGATGCAGCTGGGGAATGCTTCATGAGCCAAGCCTGCAGCCAACATGGCACTGGACACAACAGCATTCTCCCACCGAATGAGAAGCCATCATTCATTCAACACATTGACTGTACTTCTCTTCAATAAGCCCTGTGCCAACTGCTGGCAATTCCCCTGCACTCATAAAGCCAAACCTTTCAAGTGCTTGGTGCTCAACATGGCACAGAGCAGGTGTACTCAACACTTAGAGGGTGTTTGAAATCCAACTTCTAGAGGTCAGTAGTCACCAGATGGCTCCTCTCACTACCTGGACATGAGAGTGGATCAACGCACTCCACTTGCTGAAATTCACAAAGAGCAATGTGCTCTCAAGAAGTCGGCCTTTATCCCAAGCCAGTGCTCTACAGACAGGAGAAGGAAAGGGAGCCTGGGTACATGGCCTTCCCCAGAGCTCCCCTAAAGGTACAGGCCCAGAAACTAAAGGTCCTGCAGAAGCCTGAAGAATGCTGCCAGGATCCCACCCTCCACTCCATCTCCTCTTTGGGACAACCCCAGGACATTTGCTTCCTTCAAGTTCTTTCCCAGAAGCCTCAACAAATCCTTCCCAAAACCCCAGACTCGTGATCTACCAATCCCCCAAAGACATTTCAAGAGGTTCTGAAAGTGAAAGAAAGGAAAAGAAGAGAAGGAGAAAGAGAGACGAAAGCTAGATCTGTCTCTGTCTAAGAGGGGTGGGAAACAAAGCCCTTCCTTTTCTCTTTGTGCACCAATGTGCACCGTTTATCTGGTGACAAAGCTCCAAATGTTAACTGAATGCATTAAAGGCATAATAACACAATCCAGAGAATTATTTTGCTGTATTTTTAAACTTTCAATGTGCTTGGCTACCTACAGCTGAACAAGAACAGGTAAAAGATCTCCCTGAAATAAAAAACAAGAGAATCCGAGGGGAGGGGAGCAGGCATCTACTTGAGAGTTCACCGGGTTCCCATGGAGAAAAGGGCAATTGCCTGGTGCAAGGCAGTTTGGTATCAATGCAATAATTTCTGGATAGCTGCCATTGCTAAGGTTAAAAAGCAATATTACAAGCCTTCTATGATGACAGCCTACTGGGAGACATTTGTTGAAAATTGCTTTGCCTATCATTTAGTCAGCAAAAAAAACCCACAGTACTAGTTATGCTAGAACTGTGTTGAGTGTGCATCTATAAATGATTCAAATTGTAAGTACATAAAGCCCCCATACAGGTAGATGTAATCACCATAAAAGGCTAGAGCCTCGGCTCTGTTCTTTCACATTGATAGGCCGTATACATTTTCACCATATGTTGCCAAATAAGAAGCATAATTATAAAGAAACTAGATTCTGAGTTTTAAATTCAACTTTTGAAAATGAAATCAGAGTGACTTTTTTGTCACCAGGCAATAAACTTTTCAGCACATTGTGAAAAAATGACGCTCTACACAGCATCACACAGACTGACTTAATTGTAACTCTACCTTTTCTGTCTATAAGAAAGGGCAACTTACAAATTGCCAGGGGAAAAAAAAAGCACAAGCTTTTAACTAGACTGTCTCCTCAAGTCTCCAAATATCCTCAAAACATTTTAAAGCGAGCTAAAGCATGTAAAAGAAAAATAAAGACCTGATTATTCAGGGATCAGGGCAGTGTAAGCAAGTCTGAGTTAGTTTTCAGTTAAAGGTAGATTAGGTGGCTGGGCGCAGTGGCTCACGCCTGTAATCCCAGCACTTTGGGAGGCCAAGGCAGGCGGATCACCTGAGGTCAGGAGTTTGAGATCAGCCTGGCCAACATGGTGAAACCCCATCTCTACTAAAAATACAAAAATTAGCCGGGCGTGGTGGCAGCCACCTGTAATCCCAGCTACTATGGAGGCTGAGACACGAGAATAGCTTGAACCCGGGAGGCAGAGGTTGCAGTGAGCCGAGATCGCGCCATTGCACTCCAGCCTCGGGGACAAGAGTGAGACTTCATCTAAAAAATAAAATAAAATAAAAAGGTTAGGAGTTGCCTGGCTAACACTACATAGTCCAAATGAATCATTTCTTTCGTCCTTGTCTGTGACTTAAGAAGTAATTTAATTTCTTAGTGGTTTGGGGCTTTTTGCCTGCTCTGATATCAATGCCCCAGCTTTGAATGGGCACCCCCATCCCCATTCCTTGTCTCTATGGGCCAGGAGTATCTACCTGAATGCACACAAATAAATCTTCATTCCTACCAAAGACTAAGAGTTTAGGTTTGCCCGTTGGGTGTGCACAGGTGTGCATATGAGGCCTTTTGCCTGCAGAAAGGGGGTAGCATAGGCTGCTGGGGAACCTCAGGTGTCAGGGGCATTCCACAGACCTGCCCTCAGCATCACCACCAGCTCCAGAAAACCCATCTGAATGGTTCTCCCCAAGAGGCCCCACTTTCGGGGTCATTCCAAATCACATCAACACGATTCATGGCCTGGTGAAGGGTGAATGAATCGTCCAAGGCAAACACAGAGCTCGCTTTGTTTGGAGGCTGAATCCACAGAGTCAAACTGTAGACTCTGAGAATTGAAAGAGGCTGCCTAGTGCACCTTCGCCCCTGTAGCAACGCCCTATCTCAAAGCTGACCAGCTCCTGCCCATCTGGTGTGACCCTGAGCACATCCTCTTAAAAGTGTGGTTTCAGAAAAGCAAAGACAATTCCATGGGAGTGCGGGGCTGAACCCTCCACAGTGCTGGAAACCCCACCCGGCCAGTCCTGTAAGCAGTTATGGGCACCAAGGACAGAACAGGAATAAGAGATGATTCCCTTTCATTTTCAGCCAAGGCTGGGGAAACAGAGGCAGTCCCGGGGGAGTGTTGGAAAGTGCATTTTCTATACTTTATGCTTCCTTTGAAGTGGTCAAGAGAAGGCAGAAACAGCTGCCATCTAAGAATCAAATCCCCACCGGCTTTGTACAACTCCTACCCCCTCCATCTCTCCCAGGCCCCTCCACACACACAGCCAACCCCTCCAACAAACAACTGTTCCTTGGTCAAGCTGGGAAACTGTATTTGTCAGGCTAATTTTCAGAAGTTACTAAAGTGGCCTGGAAAAATGGAAGCCAAGGAGCCTCAAGATTACAAAATAAAAATAGATTTTTTTTATTATTGAGGCATTTTAAGAGCAATTATGTTGCTGCAGTCATAACAGCCATTTCTGCAAACAGCGGGTTTGGAAAATACAAAGGACCCCTGCCACCTCCACACCCACTCCAGGGGCTATTAAAGTTTGGGGAGGGAAAAGAAACAGAAAGCGTTTTTAAGACTTTGGGGTTTTTTGAGTTGATTCTTAAAAATCTATTAACATATCCTTTACCATTCAAAGGGAAATAAAACCAAACACACTTTGGGGAGATGAGGTGAACAAAACCACACTTTGGGAATAAAAGATAAAGGGTTTCATCAAGTCCCAAGTTCACGGAAATGTCACTAATCCCTCACCATCAATCACATCTGTGTTGTATTTTCTGATGTAGCCAGCAGAGAAGAACCGGTCTCCTAAGAGACACAAATCCTGCTTTTGTTGGGGAAATTCTGTGTCCTGTTACCTGAGAAGAGACAGAGAGGGATGCAGACCCTCTCTAACCCAACCTTGAAGGAGGTATTCTTGCATTTAGACCTGCTTCCAGACCAACCTGCCTCCCCAGATTACCTGTGCCAGCCCTGGACCTGAGCCAAGGAGAGTTAACCTTCTATAAAAAGGTGGCTCATGGGCCGGGCGCGGTGGCTCATGCCTGTAATCCCAGCACTTTGGGAGGCCTAGGCGGGTGGATCATGAGGTCAGGAGATGGAGACCATCCTGGCTCTCTAAAAATACAAAAAGAAATTAGCTGGGCGTGGTGGAGGGTGCCTGTAGTCCCAGCTACTCCGGAGACTGAGGCAAGAGAATGGTGTGAACCCGGGAGGCAGAGCTTGCAGTGAGCCGAGATCGCACCACTGTACTCCAGCCTGGGCCACAGAGGGAGACTCCGTCTCAATAAAAAAAAATAAATAAATAAAATTTAAAAAAAAAAAAAAAAGGTGGCTCATGATAAAACCTTAAATGAGGAGCCTCAGGATAGCTGGTGAGTTACTAATACTTTGCAGTCTCTTGACCTGCTGAATATGCAGAAAGTAGTTTCTAAATATCCCCTGAGTTTGTTTTACTATTTACAAATTGAGTCTCTTAGGTAAATCAATGTTGCCAAAGTGGACTGATAAATGAGAACACAATATCTAAAAATAACCCATGAATTCTTCCCCACCAGATAGGCAAGCAAACAAAGCCATTTCCAGTGAATCATTCCTGACCCCCACCCTCACCTTGCTGGGTCAACTATAAACTACCCCTGTCTGCAGATGAACCCAGTAGACACTCTGTTTTCTAATTTATCCTGAAGAAATCGAAAGGGAGTTTGAAAGGTTAATTAAAATTTCTGGTATAGATTTTGTCGATATGCAACTAAGTACACAATAGTTAGCCAGATCGAGAGCTGGGTTTCTGAATGATTAAGTATTCTGGTTGATACAGAATTACCCTACATCTGTGGATTACCAATGTTCAATAATTAGAAAAGAAACAAACCCACTGAGCAACTTTAATTTTTTTTTTGATGATTCAACCCTTGGCCTACTGATTCACACATAGCAGGACATCAATAAGTGTTTGCTACATGCCTGAATTAAGAAGATACATCAGCATTTAGGAGCATCTTTGCGCCATTGGTCAGCTCATTTCATCATCAATATCTTCATCTTAATTCCCCACACAGACTGAGAACCATTTCTGAAATTTCCACTCATTATGACTTCTGATTAAAAACTGCTATCAAGACACAGGAAAGAAGGCAGACAAGGAACAAGAGACATTTCCCTGGCATTTTCTGTAAAGAGCCAGGCAATAAATGTTTTCAGCGTTTATCGTGCAGGCCATACAGTCTTTGTGGAAACCATTCAACTCTGCCACAGTAGTGCAAAAGTAGCCAGAAACAATATGTAAATGAATGGGTGTGGCTGTGTTTCAGTAAAACTTTATTTACAAAAATAGGTGGTCAGCATTTGGGCCATAGTTTGCCAACCCCTGTGCTAAAGTAATGTTTTCTTTTCCTTCATGGCCAAGTATAGAAAAACCTCCCCCATTGAGCTTTCTTTAATACCTTCACAAAGAACTCCCTTTGTTTTAAATTGCCCTGTTAACTTAGCACTATCTTTTTTGTTATGCTTTCACAGCCAGACTGAGACACACAGCATGCCAGACTGCTAATTCTGTGTCCTTCAAACTCACAGCCTTTTAATATCTGCTTAACATTCTTGTAGAGCAGTGGTCACCAACCTTTTTGGCACCAGAGATAGGTTTCGTGGAAGACAACTTTTCCATGCAAGGGGCGGGGGTATTGCTTAAGGATGAAACTATTCCACCTCAGATAATCAGACAATTCTCATAAGGAGTGTGCAACCTAGATTCCTCACATGTGCAGTTCATAATCGGGTTCATGCTCTTATATGAATCTAATGCCACTGCTGATCTGACAGGAGGTGAAGCTCTGGCGGTAATGCTCTTTTGCCGGTCACTCACCTCCTGCTGCGCAGCCTGGTTTCTAACAGGCCATGGACCAGTACCAGTCCATGGCCCAGGGATCTCCAACTCCTGTTGTAGAGGACAAACTGATTGCTATATCAGGGAAAGGTAAGAGAAATCAGCATTTGGGCACTCAGATTTTCCTGCCTGGTTCCCAGCAATTCAGCTCAGGCCCAAACTTGCAAACCCTATTCAGTGAAACCTAAGAACAGAAAATCTGAGTTTGAATCTTGACTCTGTCCCCGTTTGATTTGGGGTGGGTTACTAAACTTCTCTGAATGTATGTTTCATCAGCCAGAGATGAAGACAACAAATCCTATCTCACAAGGTTAATTATTTTGACAAATATTTATTGAACACTCATAAGGTTCAATACACCTGATTCAATAACACCTGGCCCTGTTCTAGACACTGGGATGTGGGGATGAATATCACAGCCAGGGCCCTGCACTTCTGTAGCTTGTATTCTAGCAAGGAACAAGTAAAAAAAAATGAAAAGTAATTTCAGACAGTGTTGACTACTGTATTTGCTTAATAGGACTATTGCAACAAATTTACAAATTTGATGTCTTAAAAAAAAAAAAAACAGCTGGGCATGGTGGCTTACACCTGCAATCCCAGCACTTTGGGAGGCTGAGGTGAGTGGATCACAAGGTCAGGAGCTCGAGACCAACCTGGCCAACATAGTGAAACCTCATCTCTACTAAAAATACAAATAATTTGCCGGACGTGGTGGCAGGTGCCTGTAATCCCAGCTACTAGGGAGGCTGAGGCAGGAGAATCGCTTGAACCTGAGAGGTGGAGGTTGCAGTGAGATGAGACTGTGCCACTGTACTCCAGCCAGGGTGATGGTGCGAGACTCTGTCTCAAAAAATATATATATATAATATATATTTATAAATTTATATATTTATAAATTTATATATATTTTTATATATACTATATATAATATATATAATATATAGTACTATATATAATATATATATAGTACTATATATAATATATATAATATATAGTACTATATATAATATATATATAGTACTATATATAATATATATAATATATAGTACTATATATAATATATATTATATATAGTACTATATATAATATATAATACTATATATAATATATATTATATATTATATATATAATACTGTATATAATATAATATATAATACATATATAAATATATAAATATAAAAATACTTATAAATATATATATATATATTTTTTTTCCCTCCCACAGTTCTGGAGTCCAGAAGATCAAAATTAAGGTGTCAGGAGGGCCATGCTGAAGGTTTCTCTGAAGGTTCTAGGAAGTCACTCTTCTTTGCTTCTTCCTGCTTCTGCTGGCAGCACATCTCTAGTCTCTGCCTGTGTCTTCATGTGGCCTTCTCTCCATGTCCTCTCCTCTTAGAAGAACAACCAGTCCTTGGATTTGTGGCCTATCCTAAATCCTGGATGATTTCCTCTCAAGATCCTTCATTGCTAGGGTCTGAATGTTGGTGTCTCCCTGAAGTTCACAGGTTGAAACCTAATCACCGAGGCAACAGTATTAGGAGGTGGGGGCTTTGGGAGGTGATTAATTCATGGAAGCAGAGCCTTCAGGAATGAGATTAGGGCCCTTAGGACTCCAAAAAGGCACCAGAGACCTGCTTTACTCCTTCCACCACATAAGGACACAGCTAGAAGGTGCCACCTCTGAACCAGGTATTAAGCCCTTACCAAACACGGAATCTGCCAGCACCTTGATCTTAGACCTCCCAGCCTCTAGAACTGCCAGAAATAAAGCTCAGTTGTTTATAAGCTACCCAATTTATGGTATTTTATCGTAGTTTGGAATGTATGTGTGTATATTGTTTATGTATATATATGTGTCTGTCATTTATACATGTGTGTGCACGTGCATCTGCATATGTGTGTATATCTGTGTATTTTATATATAATACACGTGCACACACACAGACACACACACAGTTCCAGATGAACTAAGACATCGACTAACCCTATTTCCAAATGAGGTCACGTTCTGAGGTTCCAGGTGGACATGAATTTTGTGGGGGATACAACTAAACCCACTAGAAGTGCTACAAAGAAATTAAACAGGGACATGGGGTAGAGTTTCGGGGCAGTGTGTTGAGGTTATACTTTAGCCATGATGGCTACAGCAAGCATCTCTGAGGATGTGACTGCCTAATGAAGAGTGGCCAGCTACAGGCGGATTATTCCGGAGTGCTGAGGCATGCGTGGGCTTGGACAACAGGTCCCAGGGACCAGATGGAGGCCCGTGGAAGTGAGTGAGCAAGTGAGGGAGTCACACTGCAGGAAGGCCAGTGTGGTGACAGCAGTGGCAGGTCACGGAGCCAGATCCTATAAGCTGATGTGAGAACTAAATGTGGTAAAAGATCCCAAGAACTAGGATGCATTAACTCCTCCTCTGCAAGAGCTAAAAGGGCTGAACTTGTAATCCATCCACCAAAGAGAGTGGGTGGTCCAAGCCTAGGAAGCCCCAAACCACAGCAGGCTTCTGATCGGAGTCTGCATTAATTTATAGACCTCCCTCCCCAACGCCCCCACACGATACAGGTGGTTTCCTGATGCAGGATATTAACTTTCAACTGCTGGAGGTCCCAAACCTCCACGCTGGCCTAAAAGGTTTCATCAGGTTTGGATAAGCCTCAGATAAGGAGCTGAACTTTTGCGGGCTTATGAGAACTGCACCTGCAATCCTTCAGAGATTCACTCATCACGAACCTTAATCCATCTCAAATAAAACCTGTGCATACAGACGTGCTTTCCCACCCACGGCTGTTTAATAAGGAAAAAGAACAGCTTTGTCTGTTCTGTAAAAGCCTCCTCTATTTACACTGTACCCATGGATTTAATTTCCGATATTTACATTTTAATTCTTTAAGATATGCAGGAGATAAATGGATAGAGAGGCCCAGGTTGAGACACAGCCCTTTCCTGCAAAGCTACTCGCCGTGTTTTCCTCTCTCCCAAGCCCTGGTTTCCTTCTGTTGCCAAATGTAAACTGGTTTCCTTTTCTATCTTCCTCAGGGTGTCCTCCCTGTCCACCAGCCCTGGACTCTCTTTCTTGCCCCAGTCCTCCCTTGATGCTTCTCTTTTATTGTGGGCCACCCAGGTTGGCTGGTCATCCATCTGTAGTGGTTGAATAATTCTTTCCCAAAATTCTTCTCCCCTCGAACCTCAGCATGTGACCTTATTTGGAAATAGGGTTTTTGCCGAGGTAATTAAGTTAAAATGCGGTCACGATGGATTAGGGTAAGCCCTAAATCCCAAATGACTGGTGTCCTCATAAGAAAAGAAGATATCCAGAGACATACAGAGACAAAGACCATGTGATGATGGAGGCAGAGATGGGAGTGATGCAGCCACAGGCCAGGGAATACTACGGGCTGCTGAGAATCCCCAGTAGCTGGAAGCGGCCGGGACAGATCCTCTTCTAGAGCCTTCAGAGAGAGCATGGCCTGCTGACACCTTGATTTCAGACTTCCAATCTCCAGGACAGTGAGGGAATAGATTTCTGTTGCTTTACACCACCTCGTTTGTAATCCTTTATTATAGCATCCTAAGTAACTGCAGCATCCAAGTCCAGAGCCTACTCTGCAGCCATCCCTCAGGCATTTTGGCCCTAAGCCTTCTTCTCACCTGACGCGCTGCAGCCGGACCCCAAACCTGCCTCCTCCTCTGGGGTGGTCCACCTCTGACAGACCTCTGCATTTATCCCTATGGAGGCCACATAAGCTCTCTTTATGTAAAGGACTCCAACTGGGTGGGATCTCTTTTTCCTCAACATTTTATTATAAAGTTTTCAAATATGTAGCAAAGTTGAATTTTACAATGAACACTCATACTCCTACCCCCAGACTCTACCACTAATGTTGCTTTACCACAAATCTATACTTGCTTTACCACAAATGTATCCATCTATCCACCTCTCTATCCATCCAGCAGTAAATATAAATACATTTTATTTCATATGCATTTCAAAATAAATGGCAGATACCAGTACACTTGTCCCTAAATATTTCAGTGAACACATCATTGACCAGGGTTGGTATTTGTTTCATTTTTTTTCCTTTTAGAGTGAAATTTACATACAGTGAAATGCACAAATCTTAAGTGTATATTCGCTGAGTTTTGACAAATGTATACACCTGTATAGCCAAAACCCTACTAAGATAGAGAACACTACCATCATCCCAGAAGATTCCCTCTTGCCTTTCAAGTCAATCGCTACTTTCATTTCCCCAGAAGGAAACGATGTTGAGTTCTTTTCCATCATATTTTAGTTTTAAGAATTTCACATAAATGGAACCATATAGAATGTTGCCCTCTTTTGCGAAGGACTGCCTTCACTCAGTGTAATGTTTCTGAAATTCATCATGTTGTTGTGTGCAACCTTTTTTGCTTTTTATAGTTGAGTAGTGTTCCATTTGATGAGTATCACAGTTTGTCCTTTCTCCTACTGATGGACACCTGGACTATTTCCAGTTTGAGGCTATTATGAATAAAGCTGCTATGAAGATTTGTGTACAAGTCTCCTTCTTAGACACATGCTTTCATTTCTCTGGGGCCTGGGTGAGATCTCTGGCCCGATTATGGCACTGTCTATCTTGATCCAGTGGCAAGCCCCACTCAGTTTACTGTTCCCTTCAAGATGACTATGTAATGTACTCATAAAGAATTCAGACGAATTTCCTGGGTCTGAACTCAGATTCAGTCCTTCACTAGCTGTAAGACCTTCTGCAAGGTTTGACTTCTTAACTTCTACTTAAGTTTTGGGAATCTATTTCAGCATCTGAGACCTGGGGATAGAGACGGAGATTAGTGAGTATGTAACTCTTATGGGGTTTCTCTTAGTCAGCCTGATCTGCTATAGCTAAATATCTGAAACCACAAAGATTTATTTAGCGACAAATACTTATTTCTCACAGTTCTGGAGATTGGAAGTCCAAGATCCTGGTGCCAACGGGGTGGGGATCTTGGTGAGGACTCTCTTCCTGGCTTGCAGATGGAGGCTTTCTTCCTGTGTCCTCACATGGCAAAGAGCAGAAAGCTGAAGCTCTCTGGTCTTTTTTTATAAGGGTGCTAATCCCATTCATGAGAGCTCTACCCTATGACCTAATTATCCCCAAAGGCCCCACTTTCTAATGCACACATTGGGGTTAGGATTTTAACATATGACTTTGGGGGAAACAAAAACATTTAAGTTTATACCAGGATCATTCTGGGGAGAAAGCGAGTTAATGTATGTGGAACGCTCATTGACATGCCTGGCACACAGTAAGTCAGTTAGTTAGCAGAAACAACCATTATCTTCTGCCACCCCACAAACAATATGGACAGTTTTATGGTATGCTCACAGTGCATGCTATTTCTCTGCTTAAAGAGCTGCAATGACTTCCTTGGGCTTTCTAGAACAAGTCTAAACTCTGCTGCCTAGGTTTTTAAATAACCAAGAAAATCATTGTTCAAGCTATCTAAAATAACATTTTTTTTCTTCTTAAGGAGGTGGAATTCCATCCACTCAGGGGTATAATATTCATGCTGATTGGGAGTGCTGAGTCACTGACTAGTAGTCCTTGAGTAATGAAAGGAGTAATAAAAATGAGTAATATAAATGGGAAAACTCAATAGCCAATACTATTCACTTGGTAGACAAAAATCTCTTCAGTCACACTGAGAGTGTTAGGGGGCAGAAGAAAACAGAGGGTTTTTTGCAGTAAGCACATTGCAAAGGCTCCATAACTGGCTCCATCCAATCTCAACCCAGAGTCTGCCAGGTTTGCTGCCCTCTCAACATCCCATAAAAACAACACTATACTTGTTTTGGTCTCCACCTCCATTCAGACTGTCCTCCTCCCGCCCCTCACTCCCCGGAGTTGCCCTTATCCTGCCCAATTAGACATTCAGTTCCCTTCAAAACCACCTCCCAAACCATTCTTGTAGTAGCCTCTCCTTCAGGGGCACCTATCTGTAAAGCTTCCTCCTGCACTGGAAGAGGACAGCACCCACAGACCAACCAGGCTTGGGTCTCCAGTGAAACCGTTGGTGCTTAGAAAACAGAGGCAGTATCTGCTAAGTCCCCTGGGGTCCCTGACCATGCCTTGTACAAACCTGGGCAAGTAAATACTTGCTGATTCATTCTAAGTCCAAACACTGTCCCCACCCCCCTCACCTCTGCCACCTACTCCAAAGAATGGTAGTGAGGCAACAAAACAGAGAAAGATTTTTGGATCCAAGAATAAGGTAACATTTGGATTCACTGTCAACATGATCATTGATTACACTACCAGAGTTCTGCCTCAACCTCATAAAAGGACCTAGGCTATCAAATACGAACATACGAGAAGCATGTACATACACTCAGCCCACACAAAACACCGATTCCTCCGAGCTTTGTCCTCTTTTCCACTTTCATTCATCAAACATCTATTGAGCCCCTACTATGTGCTCAACACTGCACTGGGTGCCAGGGATTCAAAATAAAAGACAAGCTCCATCCTCTCTAGGAGCTCAATCGGGTGTGGGAAGCCAGATGTGTAGACAGATCATTCTGACAGTGGGAGAAAAGTGCTAACAGAAGGGTGGGCAGAACTCCCACTTGAGGGGTGGGGTGAGTCAGAGGCAACCTGACTTCCAGCAGAAAGGATTTGGGCTGAGTTTTGAAGAATAAGCAAAAGCAGCAGTATATCTATAAGGAGCATTGGGCGGCACCTTCTCAAAGATTTCAAAGGAAAATGTCACAGTGGCTGTGAATATGGTCATAATAAGACAGTAGAAGACTGTGTGGAAATGAGAGTCTGCCTCTCCCCACACACACCAGAGACAAGCACCTTGTATTGGTCCATTCTCACCCTGCTATAAAGAACTAACCGAGACTGGGTAATTCATAAAGAAAAGACTTTCACTGACCCACAGGCTTAACAGGAAGCATGGCTGGGAGGCTTTAGGAAACTTACAATCATGGTGGAAGGGGAAGCAAGCATGTCTTACCATGGTGGAGCAGGAGAGAGAGAGAGCTAAGGGGGACATGCCACACTCTTTTAAACCATTAGATCTCGTGAGAACTTACTCACTATCATGAGAACAGCAATGGGGAAATCCACCCTCATGATCTAATCACCTCCCACCAGGCCCCTCCTCCAATTTGATATGAGATTTGGGATTAAGGGGAGGACACAAATCCAAATCATGTTACATCCCCAGCTGGGCTAGCCCCCTTGATGGCAGACCCTGGCTACTTTTCTGAGGATGGGGTGCTGAAAAGAGGTAAAAGAACTCCAGGTAGAGGAATCAATCCATCCAAAGGCATAGGGGCAGCCGTGGATGAGCATTTTGAAGAACAGGGATCAATCTGGCCAAGCCTTATGGAGATGAATGGGGTGCGATGGGGGAGGGGTGCTAGAAATGAAGGCAGGTATCAGGGCTCGAGGAGGTCTGGCCCAGTATCCCCTAGAAGAAAGCCACTCGTCAATGAGTGGCCACACCCAGCCATCAGCAGAACATATTACCAAACCTACTGTCAAGTGTAAAGAACACATTTCTATGAACTCACAAATTGCATTCCAAAAGATCACTTCAGCTGCTAACAAAAAATTTGTATGAATCAACTACAATCGTATGTAATTCTCTGTGACTTCCAGCAAGCCAGACTCCAAAAACAATGCGAGTGGGGCTCTCAGACATCAGGGGTTCAAGCAGCCCCCACTCTCTGACTTCTGGGCTGAAGGGAACCAGGTGCATCAGAGGCTGCAGAAAGAATCAGAAAATAGGCTCCACATATCTCCACAGGCACCCATCAGCTGGCTGATAGATGCAGCCTTCACAGCAGGTCTCCAAATAATAACAGCTCTGGCTGGAGGGGACTGTGCACCAGCACAGGCATTTGGGAAGGGACATCAGAGAGAGGCAGCTGGGGGAAGGTGGCACATGGGCACCAGCCCAAACAGACAAACATGCTCAACCATTCATGAACACGACCACCCTCCTGCCCAAGCAGGAGATTCCCAGAAGCCTCATAATCTAGCCCGAGGACAAACTCATAGAGACTTAAAAGATGGCTCTATCCTGGTCCCCAGTGAGCAACAATCTCAACTGGGAAAAAGGTACAGAGGGTTTAAGCATTCAATCAATTAGGGAAGGTACAGAGGGTTTAAGCACTCAACAGCTGGAGTATTGTAAACAGTTCTGTTGTTTTGTCGCTGGCTTGCCTACGCTATGGGAAAAGCACAAATGCCTTTGCATAGAAACAAGACACTATGCAATTGGCCTCTGCTCTAGATAAGGCAAACCCACTGAGAAACTAGCAAAGCTAGAACTGGCTGAGAAGTCCTGAGAACAAGCCTGGGTCTGGCGTAGAAGCAGAAGGGCATGCAACAAACTTGTACTTCTACATCTGAGCAGTCATGTCTGGCCTTGGAAAGTGTCAAGGATCTGTGACTCTGTCCCACTGTGGGTAGATGAAAGCCCTTCTCTAGGTGTCAAGAAAGCAGACTGAACCCAGGTAGACTGACCTGAAGTCAAAATCCTGGTCCAGGTGTCTTACCATGGGAGTGGGAATTTACAAATAACCAGTGAGAGGAGGCTAGAATGATCCATGTGGTGATGGGTTAGAGTCGAACACATCAAGAGGAGCTCATGCTTAATTTAATATTTATACACCTGGTTATATATATAAATATTTACAGATATGTGCATATGCACAGGTCAGTGTACATGCATATACTTATTTGCTCTGTCAGCTAGGAGGGCCTAAAAGAAAGGACACCCTGGTAGCAATAAGCACACCTAACACCCAGATCTTGGTTTCTTGTATCATTCTTCAATGATCAGAACCAGGACTCCTTGGAGAAGTGATTGTACAATCCTATTGATTGTGGGATTACGGTGGGAAATATAAATGATGAGCCTGGAGCATCTTCTAGTGCCATAAGTATTACAGAAGTGCTCAAAAGGTTACTTTTGTTAAGGAATATGTCAAAGGGGCATAGAAGCCAGCTGAAAGAGCTCCAAGTGGCCAAAATGGGAACAATTTGAGCAACAAAATAAATAAAATAGTAATAGATTAGAACTCAAAGCATAACATAAATACCTATGAGTTCATATTGATGTAAGTTATTGAATAAATACATACATGAGGGATAAGTGGCAAGTCTCCAGTGCAGAAGAATAATTTATGTAGATAGGCAACCCTCAATGAGGTGGAGCATAACTCCCCACTCCTTAAAGGCAGGCTATGCATAGATTTCCTTCCAAAGAGTATAGTATGGAAAGGAGGAGGAAAGTAACCACACCAGTGGAGAAACTTGACACACACTATTTCAGCCAAATGATCAAGATCAACATCAGCTGTCATAAATCACATTGATAGAATGTGCCCTTGATATGATGTGACACAATGGTAAGAATCTAAGTATATATAAACATAGAAAATGCATTAAAAATCCAATATTATAATCTTATGGGACCACCATCATTTAATGCTGTCATTGACTGAACCACTGTCATGCAGCACATGACCGTACCTTATAAAGTTTGGGGGCAGATTCAGTGAGGAAATGTGTGCAAAATACTTAGCTCAATGTCTGGAATACAGGGGCACACAAATACTAGCATTATTATTATCCCAATAAAAATTTTAAAAGGGGCCGGGCACGGTGACTCACACCTGTAATCCCAACACTTTAGGAGGCCAAGGTGGGTGGATCACGAGGTCAGGAGATCAAGACCATCTCGCCAACAAGGTGAAACCCCATTTCTAGTAAAAATAAAAAAATTAGCTGGGCGTAGCGGCACGTGCCTGTAATCCCAGATACTCAGGAGGCTGAGGCAGGAGAATCACTTCAACCTGGGAGGCAGAGGTTGCAGTGAGCTGAGAACGCACCACTGCACTCTAGCCTGGCGACAGAGCTAGACTTCATCTCAAAAAAGAAAGGAAAAAAAAAAGATATATATATATATATATATATATATATATTCTTTAAAAGGACAAACTGCTCTTCTTTTATAGCCACGACTTCAACAAAAAAATCTAAAAGTTTCCTTCTTTCCTGATAAGGAATTTTGAAAGACAAGTTAGCGGTGGGAGACCCTTTAAAACCTCACCCCAAACTCATGCCCTCAGATGGGAGTGGGCACACAATGAATCTGTGACAAGGAAAGCTCCACCCCAAGGTCACCTGGCAGGGAAGAGGCAGCCTCGCACAGCCCCCGTAGAATGTGATACAACATCTCAGAGAAAGTGATTATTTAAATCTGGTTATCATTTTCCTCATATCACACACACACACACACACACACACACACACACACACACACACAAAGTGAATCTATGCAAAATTAAATGGTAATGTTGTTCTGTTTGTGCCAGAAAGATGGATGCATTTTCTACATGACTTCAAATATTTTACTGATTTTACTGAAACATTTGCACAGAGGAGTGTGACTGGGGAGCCAACCAGTTTCCACCATAAAAGTGTTCACGCATTTTTCTCATTTCCTAGTTTGCCATCACATAACAACTTGGAATGTTTACCTGGAAGTGGTAAAAATAGATTTCATTTATTCACTCAAATCCCACACTCATAAAGAAAACAATCTTTCATAATGTAAGACATTATCAGGGGGAGCATAATTCATGGCTAAGGGGTCGCAGCTTTATAATAGATGGGTTTTCAGAAGTGGCTGAGTAAACCTAAGACGAAGGCCGAGCAGTTTGACCCATAAGTTTGAAATACGCAAAAGAGCTCAAGTCAAGCTCCTGATAAATGGCAGTGGGCCCGTCACCACAAGCCCACCCCGACAATTAACAGGCTTGGCTCGGCTGCCAGAAACCAAACTATGATTTATTGTTCTCTTCAAATTAATAAAAGCAATGCCATCCATTGTGGATTCCAGTATTTATCCATATGGGAAAGAGCTGATGTTTCAAAATGGCCATGTGAACAGGTTACACTTCTGAAACCACATTCTCTTTTTTTTTTTTTTTTTTTTTTTGAGACGGAGCCTCACTCTGTCGCCCAGGCTGGGCTGGAGTGCAGCCGCGCGATCTCGGCTCACTGCAAGCTCCGCCTCCCGGGTTCACGCCATTCTCCTTCCTCAGCCTCCCGAGTAGCTGGGACTACAGGCGCCTGCCACGACGCCTGGCTAATTTTTTGTATTTTTAGTAGAGACGGGGTTTCACCGTGCTAGCCAGAATGGTCTCGATCTCCTGACCTCGTGATCCACCCGCCTCGGCCTCCCAAAGTCCTGGGATTACAGGCGTGAGCCACCGCACCCGGCCTGAAACCACATTCTTTTAACCTTAATTCACCACCATGAGAGAAGCCTCTGCTTTCACCCAGGTTATCTAGTGCATAGCCAAAACCTGCACAAGGGATATTACTGTACTTTATTAACTCAAGTCCACTTAAAACTTCTCCAGATAGAGCATCTACAGAAAGACAAACAGGGTCAGGTATTTTCTCATCTGTAAAATGTAAAACTGTAAAACAGTTTCCTCATCTGTAAAATTCTCTCATTTTACAGATGAGGAAACTGAGGCCAGAGGCCAAAGCACCTGGCCAAACTCCCCCTGCAAAGGTCGCAACCCTGCTGGAGAAACACTGAGGTTTCCTAATCACCTGTCACCAATCTGAGATCAGCGGCCATTCTGGCCATAGATGAGTTCAGTTTGTTTGTTTAACCTTTAACTAAAAGCTTAACATTGTAAGGTCTGGCACACCATTCCAGATTCCTGGCTTCTCTAGAAAATCCTGGCTATGTGGCAATTGTGGGTCCAAATTCCTGCCTGGCCTCACTCTGCAGAGCTGGGGAGTAGCCACCCATGGCAAATGGGCATGTGGTGTCGAAGGAGACACAGTCCTACAAAAACCCCCTTTCTTTGTTGCCAGTGGTCCTGGAGACCTTGGAATTTGGTGTCTTTCCTCTGCATCGTACTCAGCTGAGGCTTAAAAATATATGATTGATATATATATATCATATGCATGTAATACATATGATACACACATGTACGTATGTATTGCAGAAAAGTGGCTTTTTAAAATCTGAAGACACATATAGGAATATTTTAATAATGTCTTGATGAGCATAATTTGCCAGCCTTAAGGACAGCAGATGTAAGTCATGGGCACAAGACCCTCTTCAGGCAAAGCGAGCAGAAAGTGAGCACTCAGCAGAGGTGAGCTGGCTAGGAATGGGGCTACTCGTTCTCACTGCCCGAGACAGCAGAGACTCTTGAAGCACGGCAGTTAGAGCCGCCCACTCAGCCCTCAGCGCTGGTCCTGATCTGCACTTCTCATGTACTGTTCTGTGTGTTTTTGCAGCATCCAGAGTGGTTATTTTTAAATGTGAATAAGACCACGCCATTCTCCTGTTTAAAATTCACCTCTGACTCCCTTTCTCTCAGCTCCCTAGATGCCCTTTTCTCCTTGCTCATTTCACACAACTTTCTCCTTCACTCACGAGCTCCAGATACACCCCAGGCTTTCTTCTGAACCTGGAACATCGGGGTGTTCCTACCTTGTAAATCCTTCTGTCCTCCCCCAGATACTTCAGTAACTGGCCCTACTTGTCATTCTCTGGCCACTCCTTCTGCAGTGGTCCTAGTAGCCACTGGCACATCACCCTGAGATATTTTCTTCATTCATCCCTGTTTGAATTCACCTTATTTGTAAACTTGACTACAGAATGCCCCTCAAGCTAGACTATAAGTTCCACGAAAACAGGACCCTTTGCTGTCTTTTTCACTTATTCTCAAGGTCTAGAAAGTGCCCTGCGCACATGTACTGGCTGCAGAATAAACATGTCATGCCCTGTGTTTGAGGGGTATGGCAAATTACTGGAGCCAGAAGAAAAATCTCTCCATTAACAAGATCCTGGCTCCAGATAAGAACAAGGGAGGAGGAAAGGCTATACCTCTCTGGGCTCAGAGTCTTCAAGGGACTTCAGTTGACAGCGCAGGGAGAATTAACTAAATGGTGAAATCTTTATACCGCGCCCACTTACGCTTTAAAATGCTCTGCTGAGTGGTATTGTTGTGATTTCCAAGCGGCTTGCTCAGTTTCTGTTCGATTTCAGAATCAAGGTTGAGGCAACGGATGAGCATTCAAAACGTGCTTCAGTAACTTCAAATGAGGCGTGCATGTGTGTTTGTGTGGTCCTGACTTCATCATTAGTAAATGATTGGTATTAAAGTACCCTAAAACTCATGACCCTAGACACACATGCACATACAGAATTTTCAATTGCATTTGAAATTGTGAAGAGCAATTCTATGGCACTTTGGAATTCCTGAGAGCTACCCAATGTCTCTGTGGACAACAGGGAATGTAGGTCAATTAAGGCTCCTTGAAAACATGGCCCCGTGGCCCTGGAACTCGTATGTAGAAAGGCCCAGCTGCAAGCCCACCGGTCCTTAACTGTCCTCAGACTCTGTGGTCTAAGCATCACAGCAAGTGGCATTTACAGATGAAAGAACAGAAAGAAGCTATAAAATGACATGAGAGCAGGGTAGACGCACACTCTCACGTGCACATGCCACAGACACAGCAGAGAAAAACCCAGCAATAACTGCTGTGCTGTCACCTGCTATAACAAGATTGATCTGTAATGAAATATAAGATAATGCAATCCAGAGGAAATAACTTCTGTTTCCTCTGAGAACATCTGATGTTGTCAACTGCAAGCCTGCTTCCCTCTTCTGCCTGCCACAATGCACACAGCAGCCCAAACAGGCAGGGACTCCACTGGGCAGAGTCCTCCCTCCCTCACTGACAGAAGCACACATTTATCAAGTGGTGTTCCCCCAACTGCCCATGACTTCTTGGCCAAGTCAAAGCAAGCAGGGCCTGGATGCCCATGGCGTGTCCAGGAAGGCAGGGCCACTCAATGTTGCCATTGTGTGCATGGGCCCCAGACAACGCAGTGGCGTCTGTTCACTTGAAGCTAAGTCGTTTTCTGCTTGTTGATTTCTAGCACAATTTATCATCCCCATATTTCAACTAAATGGTACAATTCTGGCCCTGAGTTTTAACCACAGAAGACCTTGTGGAGATCACGGTTTTAGATTCCGTCTGTAAGACACAGAGCTGATGTAACTGTCACCAGTTGAACATTTTACGGAGCAATATTTTCATAAGCAGGATGGCCAGAAACAAAGGTAAGGAGTGGGTACCAGCGGGCGAGTTCTTTGCCATTATTTTAGAGAATGTGTCTCCATACGAAATGGTCCAATATGGCCAGAGCCATGTAAATAATTCACAAAAGCAAGTTCAGTTCCTTCCATTTGAAATCCGAGTAATACCTTATAAGGGAGCGGCCGCCCACTGACACACAGAGCAACGGGTAGCTTGCGGCTTCCATCTCTGGCAGATGTTATTAAGTCTCGATAGCCAGTGATTTGTAGATGATTATAACTTTTGCTCTGCATATCATTGTTACTGACAGGCAAATCCCATCAATCGAATGGCATGACTGATTAAAAAAGAAGGCAAACTTGACAGAGGCAGTCTGGTAAGCCATTTTTTTCTGCCAATTACAACCACCATGAACGCTCACCATTGTGTGTAGAAAAGCCAGATCTGACACCAGCCTCCCCTCTCCCCATTCTCCAGTAACCTCAACACACATGTTCCAGAAAGACTTTCCAAACTCAAATGTTTTGTGTTTCAAGAGGAAAAATGCAATTCAGTGTGGGGTTGCTTACATTCTAGTTCACAGAAAAAAAAATGATCTGCCTAGAGTGCCCCACTGACCCCCCAGTTTGTGAAGGAAGAAAACTCACTGCAGCAACAGGCCCTGACAGCAGCACTTTCATTACACGAACAGTCACGATACCTTTTCAATTTTGCTCATCTCTTAGTCTCTAGCCAAATGGAACTTATTACTTATAGCTTGTTGGGATTTATAAATTATTTATAAAAGTAAGTCTATGACTCCAGACTCTTAAAAGACAATACGACAGTACCCTCATTGTTATCCACAACTGCACTTCTATCAGAGAAGGCAGATATTCTCCATAACACACGCTGCCTGTTTGGGGTGAAATAACAGTTGTGAAAATACCAAGCCTGTAAGATTATTTGGAAGCTATTTATGGAATGCCTGGGTGTATTTTTAAACCAGTCTCTTTTATTGTAAAGCCAGCCTTAGATTCCAGAAAGACACAGCAGATGTGTGCTACCAACATATTTCCCAGCTTGACTACAAACAGTGATGCCCTGCTACTTTTACCCAGTAGTGTCAAGCTGTGATAAAAAGCCAATTCCCCCTTGACGTATATCCAGAAGGTTCGAGGAGGCCATGATCCATGAGTCTCCTGCTGCACCCCAGAGCACAATTGCTCTGCATCCTAAGTGGGGACTAAAACATGGGCCAATGTGGGGTTAGGATTTCACCTCCAGCTCCTCAGAGCACATGACCTTGCCTGGTAAAACAGATGACACTGCACACCCTCACCTGGGTGACACTATCTCAGTCAGACCCAGCTGGCGAGGTTGAAAAGCATGAAGTGACCAGCCAGCCATGGCCTTGCCACACCTCTACAACAGTGGCATGTTTGCTTGGCAAAGGAATCTCCACTGGCACTGGTATAAGGAGCAGCAGCTGAGCCGGATGCAGGAGCCCCAACGGACAGTGGCCTTCCCCCAGACTCCCCTCCAGAGTATCAGTCCTCACCAGGCCCACAGGATCCCTCTCTCCTTCCAGGGCCCAGCCACAGACCCCTCTCCAAGCGTCTCTGCCCAGCTGTCCAGTCTACATCCTACCCCCAAGCATGGTTCAGAGGAAGAAGCAGAGGTTGGACAGCAGAGGCCCAGGGAGGCTGATGGCACTTTAAGCCACTGTCCTCATGGTGTCCCTGAGGGCCTAAATGACATGTCCATAGAGAACGGGAAACCCCATAACCCTCTGTACACAGACCATACCCATGTTCCCCAAAGAGCACAGCCAGTGAAAAAGCAGGCAGGAAACAGTGAACTTACCTTGCTGAAAAACATCTGCCAAGAAAGAAGAAAAGTAGGGGAGGGGAGAGGGGAGAAAGAGAGGAGAAAAAATATTAATAATAATGTTGAAAAGGACAGTATGATGATGACATATGCTGACTTTGCTAAGCACTCTATGCATATTTCCTTTAACTCAGGAGGCAGTGCTTAAGAGCTCAAGCTCTGGAATGAGGCTGCTTGCATTTCAATCCTGGCCTCACACTTACTAACTCTGTGACTTACAGTTCCCTAAACCACAAAATAGATCTAAGTACGGGAAAAATTAAACAAATGATGTCATACATTTTAAGAGCTTAGACCAGTGCCCAGTACATAGTAAACATAGAAAAATCAGCAGCTATTATTTATATTAATACTACTTTCACAACAATCTTATAAAGTAAGTTTTATTATAGTTCTCATTTTATAGATGGGGAAACTGAGGCTCCAGAAAGTTAAATAACTCATTCAAGGCCACAGAGGAACAAGCATGGTCAAAGTGTGTTAGAAAGGTTAAAAAAATGAATGTATTTTTTTCAACAAATATTGAGAAGCTACTAAATACCCTAAATGCCAATTACACTGACACCAGGAAACACACATCTAGGGCCAGGCACGGTGGCTCATGCCTGTAATCCCAGCACTTTGAGAGGCTGAGGCAGGCGGATCACCTGAGGTCAGGAGTTCAAGACCAGCCTGGCTAACATGGTGAAACCCCATCTCTACTAAAAATACAAAAATTAGCCAGACGCAGTGGTGGGTGCCTGTAATCCCATCTACTCGGGAGGCTGAGGCAGGAGAATCACTTGAACCCAGGAGGAGGAGGTTGCAGTAAGCCGAGATCGCTCCATTGCACTCCAGCCTGGGCAACAAGAGCAAAATTCCGTCTCAAAACACACACACACACACACACACACACACACACACACACACACATCTAGTTAAAAAAATAAACAAACAAGCAGTCACTAACTACCACCCCCACCAGAAATTCAATGGCCTGGTTTTGAATTTTATGTAAATGGACTGATACAACATGAATCCTTTTCTTGGCTTCTTTTGGAGTCATCCATACTGTAGCACACGGTAGCTCATTCATTCTCACTGCCATGTAGTATTTCACTGTGGGGTTATACTACAGTTTATTTCTCCACTCGAATGTTGCTGGACATTGGGTTGTTCTCCACGTTTGGCAATTAGGAATTGTGATGAACATTTTCATACATATCTCTTCACAAACTTATGTACAAATGCCAAGTACTTTTTGACATCTCCCACATGGATTCAGGTTCACCCTGCTTATACCGCCTCCCACTCACTCCAAAAGTACGCTCATTTGCTCATGCTTTCTCACTCAGTAACTTAAAGACAAAAGAACACCAGCAGAGATACAGACAGTACCACTCAGATGTGAGCCAGTTTCTGCTCTGATGGTAGGATTGTAAAAAGGAATGAAACTTCTAGAAGATAGTTTGATGGTATATAAAAAAAGATTAAATATGCATTCCTTGGCCCAACAATACCACTTCTAGGACTCTAATCTAATGAAATAATGAAATGTATAAAAGAAATCTACACGAATGTTCATCATAGCATTGTTTATACTGGCAAAACACTGGATGTTGCCTGATTGTTTGGCAATAAGGAATCAAGCCAAATATAATATATCTCACACAGTGGATTATTGTGCAGCTGTTTTAAATGGCTATATAAAGACCTTGATTATTTTGAATGAAAATATCAGATAGCAAAATGGCACATATAATCCTGAGCCCATCTGTGCCCCCTGTATGAAGACAGAACTGTGACAATGGTCACAGAAATATTGCTTATTTTCAGGAGATGGAATTCAGGGTCACCTTTTTACATTTTATGCAAGCATTTCTGTATTAATTTTTAGCAATGAACACGCCTTACATTTACAACCCAAATTTTAAAACTAAAGTTATTTTCATCTTAAAAACTAAGTAGGAACTATATCATCAACATCTAATTTTGTTCTCTGTCATCACCAGAAACATCAGCTCCTACAAAACCACAAAGAACCAAGGGTCCATCAGTGGTGTGGCTGAGACATGCACCTCATAGGTTAACAGACTGCAAGAAGAGAAGATCTATGGTGGCAGTTTTCACTCCACTTGGGCACACATGACCCCACAGGGAGTCGTTCATACTCCCAAGGGCACACTGAGGCCAGTGGTTGTGGTGCAGGTAAAACAGATTGCAGGCTCATAATTCCCAGGGAATTGGCAAAAACATCACCATTTCTTTTACACTCAGCAAAGCCAACTGGGATGTAAATGGGTCCTATCAGTCCCACTACAGGAAACCTTGACTCTGCTCTAATTGATACACACTATACAGTAGTCTCTAACCTCAGTAATTCATCATTAGTACAAATTCTGATCCAGTAGTGTATGGGATGCCACTGCCCAGAGACTGTGAGAACCGTGTACAGCTCCCTAAATATACCACTTTCACCTGCGCTTGCTTCTGGAACCCATAGTCTGCACCAACCACCCTCTGACCAGCCGGCACACCTGGAGGAGCCCTCCTACTCAGCCTTCAAATGTCACAGCCACTGTGAAGTTTATTCCCACAGAGAGGGAATTCACTGTTTCCACTTCTGTGCTCCTGGAGTAATTTGTGCGTGTTGCAATTATAGCTCATATTATAATGAGTTATTTATATAGACCATGAGCTCCTGAGGACAAGAGCAGTGTCTCTTAATCACCTTTGTGGGTCCTACCTGCCTGGCCATGGCAAGCTCCTACCTACGAGGGAGGGAAAGAGGGCTGGTCTGTCCTAGCACTCATCTGATCCAACCCCCTCATTTTACAGGTGAGGAAACTGAGTCCCAGACAGTTCAGAGATTTTTCTCAAGATCACACATGGAGTTAAAGGCTGAGCCAGGACCACATGAGATTCATTTAACCTTAATGAAGCACAAAAGCTCATCACTATTATTAGCAAAGTACAAATTAGAGATTTATCATTCCCCTCTAATGAATACAGACAAAAATTTCCAACCCTGAAAACATTAGTGAAATAAGATTAGTCTTTGAAATACGGATTCAGTCTCGACATCCGTCCAGAATCCTCAACCTCCTCTGCGTGGTTTTGACAAGGAGCACTTCCTTCAAAATTCAGTACTGATTTGAATCACTCAAAAGTATCAGTGGACAGGGAGGATGGAAATTCGGGCAGGGATTTAGTGACTTTATTCTGTCCACTTCCATTGTATATTTCATGCTTTAGCAGACAAATATACATGGAGTAACTATTTGTATCTTCGATTCCAAAAACTCACAGTAGCTATTTTAGATTTTTCCAAAAACTCTTTTTCAGCTTTGTTTACATTTTGCACCGTTTTATTCAAATGTAAATTTTAATAAATACTAGTACAAATATTGCAACAATTTTGCACGTGAATTATCTTGGAATACTCAAAGTTTATGTCTTTTGTGGTCTGAGGTATATAAATCATTCCATTCTTACTATTATTTATCTTTTTGGTGTAATAATGGTTTGGGTACCTTCTTTAAAATTTCACTTTTCCAGAATGAAACAGCGATCATAGCTCAGGCACAAATGATTCATGGACAGACAAACGGGAAATAAAGGAGAAGAAGGCGGTTTCTGTTCTGTTGGCTACATTTTAACTTCCTCTCCCAAACTGTGGATGTCAAAGGATATTAGCCATTGAAATATTCCTACCATTCGCTACCCTGGTGTTCCTGTCCGCCACCTCCATCTCCTAAACTATAGGGAGTAGTCATTTACACAAATCAAAAGGCCTCGAATTTGAGTGTAATATTCTCCTTTCAATCTAACCAACCACAAAGTCAGGAGTCAATCTATTAGACCTGCTGAGCTTGAATTTCCTTGTTGAAAACCCAGGCATATTCTAATACCCCTGTCACGGGGCTGAGAAGGTAAAGTTAGATGATTTATACAAATGTTTTCCCATTCCATCGGTTGCTGTGGGGAATTACTCTGAGAATAAGACTCGGGGCCATCTTTTCTGCTCTTGCAGGAATTGGAAATCATGCCAGTATGGAGTGGGGAATTGCCAGTGGCCGCTCTAGCCACAATCAGGTTGAGCCCAAAGGGCACCAGAGACACTTGTAAAGAGGAAATGAACTCCTTCAGACAACGCTCTGCTCATACTCACTTCCCAAGGGAGAAAACCCCAACCCCAATCATTCACATGGACAAAGGAAAGCCTGTTCTCCTGCCCACCCCCGGCTCCCTCTCCCCACCAGCCCCTGGAGCCATTCTGGTCCTATAGATAGATGAAAGGGCGTGTATAAGTTGGTGATTCAGATGTGGGAGGAAGAAAATAAGAAAGAAGGAACTCAGATTGCCTTTCTTAGCCCTGCTGTCCAATTTCTTCAGTTAGGAATGAGCATCGAGGATATTTGCCCCTTCCCCCACAGCTACTAAGAGATTCACACCCTAGAGATCTTTAATGCACTGAGTCCTCCAGAGACAGGGGCCATAAAAAGACTCGATTATTTATTATTATTAATAAGTTATGGCAATTAGGCTGGGTGATTCCTAAATGTTGCTGATTAAACTTTCTTGAGTGCTACTCATCCACATGACTAGTGTTTACCTCGATTAAAAATGACTTAACTACACTCTGGGTGAACCCCTCTCTTGCGCCTGGGTTAGTAATTAGCAGTGCACAGAGCCACGCAGGTTAAGTGAGTTGGCTCTGCTTTATTTATCTATTGCTTTGTTTTATGAGGAGAACTGGATGGCAGTCTTATTGCCCATTCAGTCTGCTAGGAATAATTTACTATTTCAATCCATAGTCCATAACTATGGTTAGAGAAACCCTCACTATTATTACAATATCACACTTAGCCCACACCCCACAGTATTAAAGGTATGGCAAACAGTGAAACTGTGCGTGACTTCCATAAAACTGGGGGTGGTAAAGTTATTAGTTCTCAAACAATGTAATCATACTACTCTCTCAATTTTGCTTTCTTTTCTAGGTTAAATTATATATGAGGGGAGTTTAGTTTCTTGAAATGCATGCACTTAACTCCCATTTAAGAAGTCTCACCTGGGGAGACAGCTGTCTTGCGAGTCCTCCTGTGGTTTGAGCTACAGAAAGAAAATTCTCTTTCAAGTACAAGTGCTTTTACAGTAAAGCACTGCGAATTTTACTGGGACCTAACTAACCAGGGACAAGGAAGGGAACAGCTGGAATGAATGTGGTTTTCTTGAATGGAGTCAGTTCACCATTAACCAAAGTCAATTTCACAATCAGCTGAGCTGCCCCCTCACCAAGGTTAAAAAACCAGCAAGCTCTGTACATAGACATGAAGAGTAACAAGAATTCAGTCGGTACATTTCTTCTGCAAATCTCTGTGAATGCAGTGAATTTTTTCTTTTTATGTTGAAAAGTGGGGCCCATCAATGCCTCCCTACTTGTTGAGTACCCACGGCACTCCAGGGCAGTTCTGTTTTCAGTTGACAAAGCCCAGGTCCAGACCTGCAGGTGGGCTCTCCAAAGGTGACAGGATGCGTCCTTATATGATCCAGTGCTGTGGCACCAAAGGATTATGGCCACCGGATCTCAATGACCTGGGATCAAGTCCCAACCCCTTACCAAGTGGACACCCGGAGTAATCACTCAACATATTGTAGCTTACATTCCTATCTATAAAATGGCAACAGTAGGGATAAGCTTTTTCCCTACCATAGGAATATCATGAGGATCAAGTGGGATAATTTAATCGGCACAGGCCACAAGTACTTTGTAGTCAAATAATATTTGTTCAATCCTGGCAAAGGCCAGCATCCTAGCCATACTGGACTAGCTATTTAAACTCTATGAGTCTTCATTTCCTCACTTGTAAAATGAGGATAATAAAATTTATCTTGCAGAATGCCTAGGAGGACAGTCAAAAGCATATATGTAAAGCACTTAGCACATGGTGGCTGGTTTATGCTGCATGTTCAATAGGTGAAAGTCAATGGTATAATAATAAGCAATAGAAACAGGGTCATAAAAACTCAGGTTCTGAAGTCAGAGCTGGTCCTATGTCTGCCTGTGTGATCTTGGGCAAGTTATTTTATCTCCCCAAGCCTTGATTTTCTCATCAGCAACATGCCAGTAACAATAGGTAATTTTTGCGGAGACAAAATTTGCTATGAAGACTGAATGAGAGATTGCCTATAAGAGAACACGATAACTGGTACCCAGAAAGTCTTCTATAAATTATAGTATTATTATTCAAAAAACATTTATTGATTGTCTACTATTTGAAAAACCTCTGCGACTTGCATAGGACTGTAAAGGAATCATGAGAGGAAAATTCATGAAAATAAAATGATCCTTCTAATTCCTTCTTGTCATCCTGTAGCTATATGCCATTCAGAAGCCCCAAATCAATTTTCAGATATTACCTATGAATGGATTATTTTTAAGCCTTGACATCAGTGATCCAATGATATCCTACCTTCAAACACCAGCGATCTAAGAGGTTGCGGTTAGAACCCATAGGTGCCAGAAACCCAAGGCCTGACCTTTGTTTCGGGTACCACTCATTCCTTTAACACTGCCCGTCTCCTCTGGACCTGCCTTCGTTTCTCAAGACCACCATTTAGGGGGCTCAGCTAGCCCTTTCCTGGGCTTTGATCAGCATCTCAAGCCACACTCCCTGGTAGGTAAGGGTCAAAAGAGGTAGGAACTGTATGGGGACAGCTGAATTGGCAGCACTGCAAAGAGAGCTGTTCTGTTCTCTATAGCGGGGTTCTATGGAGAATCTGCCTGAGAAAAGAGTTCCATTGCTTTATTAAATAAAGTTTGAGCACAACAAACCACTGAAGCAGAGCCCCTTCCTGCCCAGGTGCAGGTCTGTATCTCCCGGAGCATGGCCAGAGTCCAGAGCTCCTCCAGAGTCCCCGCTCAGCCTCAGTGGCACCACATAGGGACTGTGATTAGTTTTCTGTGTCTCCAAAGCCAGACAGCTCAGGCAACCGTGTAGCCACACGGCCAATATTCATGACCCTCCTGCTTCCTCCAGGCACAATAAGGTTGCTCAAACTGAACAGAGCCCCGGTGAGCCTTGGTAATAGCTTTAAGGACTAACCGGAAGGCCTCACTCCGCATCTCCAGCCTTCTAAGCCAAAAATGACAACCGCTCTTTAATGCTGCAAGATCTTTTATCTCACTCTGCCTTTTCTTCTCTACCTGGGTTTGGATGTAGGCCGGAGAAAGTTCTCTCGTTTTCATTGCTGCTGGCCTCCCTTCACCTTTTATCATATTAGAAATGAAGACCAATACTTTGCCTGTCACTGTTGTACCTCTGAAGGCACACAGTGCTCACTAAATGTCTTTTATTTGTGGATAAGAAAAAAATAAAAAAAAAAGCCTCAAAGAATCTTCCTGCTACATTTACTAGGGAATGTGCTACCAACATCAATCTTGGGCTGTGTGCTTATAACCCATCGGCCTGCGCTGACTTGGAAAAGCAATGCAAGAGACATGAGCTGGTGAGCCCCTATCATTTTTATGACATCCTATCCCTAGTATATCTCATTCCTAGCACAGAGGGATAAAGCTCTTAACTACTGAAAGAACATAAAAAAATAGATTTAGGAATAATACTTTTTATGATTGCATTCTGTATACTATGAAAGTTATGTCCGAGTCTGCTAGTACTTTATAGAGCTGATAAAGTAGAACAGTATGGCTTCCCAGCTCACAGTGTATTTTATATCCATTTAAAATGTTTTCTCTTAAATTGAATTACTTTTTGAGTAATTATAATAAGACTAATCTGGGCTTAATGAATTCATGTACAAATATTTTAGATTGCATTATTAAAATCTCTATGATATGAAACTATATTAAAATCGATCCCTCTAGCAACCAGTGTTTTCCTTTGAAAAGAGCCGCATACATGACCTTCTCGGAATTCTTTTGAATCAGCTGAGAAATCAGAAGAAGCCACATTAAGAGCCTAAACAAAAGAAGCTGACAAGTAACATTGCTTTAATTTTCCTAAACTTCTATCATTGGATATTAATTGGAGTATTAATTAGGAGTCACAAAAAGTATTTGTATTAAGCATCCATATATGCAAAGGGCTGAAGAGATGGTCCATCTTCCAGAAGAAATTACGTTATAGCTGTGATTAGCAATGACGTAACACTACTACTGGTAAAATACTAAAAGTGAGCCCCTGGATATCAAGCTTTACATTTTAAAAAGTCTCCAAACACAGTTGTCTAAACATCTGGATTCTAGTTTGCAGTGCAGGCAAAGCCATTCACCTTCCCTGGGATTCCGTTCTTCCATTTGCAAAATGATTTCTACTAGATGATCTCTAAGGTCCCTTCCAGTTCTAAAGCACGATGTTTTTAAGTTTAAAATTACACACATTGTATCAAATGGACTCTTACTGCACATAGCTTATTTGTAATCTTATGCATGCTAAATTACATTCACAAAAAAATTTCATTCTTTGCAATTCACATACATCCACAAACACATCCATAATACAGCCTGTGATTTCAAATTTATTCCAAGATATTATCTCAGTTTTAAAGTATTTTTCCCATTACAGATAAATTATAAGCCATCTGAAATCTTTAAGTTTCTATTACCTTTTTGAATCAAGTTTTAATCCCCCAACGCACCCACCCAACATACACTTCCTGAAAGATGCTTTTTCATCTCCATTTCCAAGTCAAATGATACATTTTATCACACATGTATTCCTCAGCCAGCTCTGTGTGATCCAGGTTTTAATCAGGTTGGTTACCCAGTTTCCAAAATTCAAACTGGATGTTTACAAATGTCCAGCAGAATAAATCTCTCTCTTTACCAGGTGATCATTATCAGGATGGACAACTTCAAAGTAAACAGAAGACAATGATAATGATCATTACTTGATGCTTGCCACAAATAACCATCAGGACAGCTCCCAGGAGTCAGAGACAATTCAAGCTTGAATTCTAAGAAGCTGTTCTAAAATCAAGCATTGTTGATCATCATGAAATGGGCCCAAGGCTTCTAGGAGGAGCTTTGATGATGTAATACACTCTAGCTTGACCTCAGTTTTAGGAGGTACAGGTTCTGGCCTGGCTCTGCTATAAATCACCTGAAGGAACTTAAACAAATCATTTAAGCACTTTGGGTTTCAAAGGAGCGATTGACAAGAAAATAGCTGCAATCTTTTCCAGTTCTAAAACTATAATGAACACTACCAGGACCTTTCATTAGAACTCCCTGCTATATGCTCCCAAATCAACTGTACATCTCCTTGGTGCCCTAACATACACCTGTTATTTTCTTTCTCTCTCTTTCTCTCTAACTAAGCTGAAAGGACCATGATGTCAGGGACATTCTGTCCACTGTAGTCCCAAAGCCCAGGGCAGAATATTAGAGCATAAAAGATACTTATTAATATTAATAATAACTAATATGCTTTCAGAGTTTTCTGTACATCAGGCACTATTTTAAATACTTTACATAGACTGCCTGAATCCTCTCAGTCACCCTAAAAGGTAGCTATTCTCATTATCTTCATTTTACAGATAAAGAAACACAGGCCCACAAAGGTTAACTAAAGCTGCCAAAGGTCAAAGGGAAGCAAGTGAGCTGGAATTCAACCCAAGCAGTCTGGCTTCAGAATCCAAACTCTTAACCACTTTGCTACACTGTCTCTCAATGAATACACCATTGATAGACGTGTGGAAGGAAGAAGGAACAAATAAATATGCCTCGTCCCTTCTAAGACACCCCAGAGAGAGAAGAGAATTCACGTTCATACTACCTTTTTTTAAAGACAGAGTCTCACTCTGTTGCCTAGGCTGGAGTGCAGGGGTGCGATCTCGGCTCACTGCAACCTCTCTCTCCCAGGTTCAAGCA
This sequence comes from Homo sapiens, assembly GCF_000001405.40. Lineage (NCBI taxonomy): Eukaryota > Metazoa > Chordata > Mammalia > Primates > Hominidae > Homo > Homo sapiens. Next base: position 116,221,529 of record NC_000010.11, read on the forward strand.
ATTCTCATGTCTCAGCCTCCCAAGTAGCTGGCATTACAGGCAGGTGCCACCACGGCCAGCTAATTTTTGTGATTTTAGCAGAGATGTGGTTTCACTGTGTTGGCCAGGCTGGTCTCAAACTCCTGACCTCAGGTGATCTGCCCACCCTGGCCTCTCAAAGTGCTGGGATTACAGGCGTGAATCACCGCACCTGGTCTGTGTTCATAATACTTTTAATATAATAATCCCCATGTTTCTAGATCCCCAGCCACATTTTTTTCTGTAACTTTTCTATCTGTGGATTTTGGGTCCAATTGCAGAGACTGCCTAGATACACATTAACTTTTTTAAAACTTTACAAATTCTCTTTCTAAAATATTGCAACTGTTTCAATAGGTTTATGGCAATTGTTAAGGTAAGGTAAGGACATGGGGAAAGGACGTCCTGCTGGATTAAAAAATGAGAATTCCAAGAAGAGAGTAAGGAAGGGGAGAACAATACAATACAAGGAAATATGACTGAGCTGCAAAGATCTATGCAGCTGCCCTGATCCAGGGCCATCCTACTTGGGTTTATGAAAAGGATGGTATGAGAGGCGGTAGAAGGGGAAAGAGCCAGGTGGGAGGTAATGCAGTGCAGGCAATGCACATATGGGTGCAGCAGCCAGAGGGCTTTCTTTTCTTCTTTATTTATTTATTTATTTATTTTGGAGATAAAGTCTTGCCCTGTCGCCCAGGCTGGAGTGCAGCAGCGTGATCTCGGCTCACTGCAACCTCCGTCTTCTAGGTTCAAGCTATTCTCCTGCCTCAGCCTCCAAAGTAGCTGAGATTACAGGTGCCCGCCACCACACCTGGCTAATTTTTGTATTTTTAGTAGAGAGGGGATTTTGCCATGCTGGCCAGGCTGGTCAGGAACTCCTGACCTCAGGTGATCCGCCCCCTTCAGGCTCCCAAAGTGCTGGGATTACAGGCGTGAACCACCGTTCCCAGTCATGGATTGCATTTTGATCCTGGCTCTGCCACTGGGAAAGCAATCTTTCTGCTCTAAGCCTCAACATCTCCGTTTGATTGAGTGGGGCAACAGTGATATGGGGCTGTTGTGAAGATTACAGGAAATCAAGCTAATAAAGACTTCACACAGCGCCTGACACATAGAAGGCACTTCACAGAAGCAGGCAATTAGACAGAGATTTATAAGAAATCAAGTTGCAGGATATCATCAAGATCAACCAAATTCTTTGGCATGCTGGCAACTGTGCTTGTCCTGATGAATAAAATATACAGTCAGACCTCCATATCCACAAGTTTTGCATCCACAGATTCAACCAACCACGGATTGAAAATATTTGAAAAAATAAAAAGTAAAATTAATAATACTGTAATAAAAATAATACAAACTAAAAACAATAAAGTATAACAACATTTACATAGTATTTACACTGTATCATGTATTATAGGTAACCTATAGATTATTTAAATTAACTCTATACAGAAGGATGTGCATAAGCAAGTAATTAAATGCAAATCCCACACCATTTTATATAAGGGGTCCTGGAATCAATAGCCCGTGGATACTGAGGAATGACTATACTTGCCTGGATTCTAAAACTCAAAAATAAAAAATCAGAGGGTGCAGCAAAATATCACAGCCCACTCCCTCTACCCACTAGCCCCCCAGCACGGAATGACATCATCCAGGAAAAAAATGTGAGAGAACATCTCTAGCAATAGAACATTCATATTCTCCTAGTCATATTTGTTTCTCTGGAAGCAGGATCAATGTTTACCATGTGAACAAATACTAAAACCAGACATATTATCCTACACTCTATATCACATAAATGCTAGTATTTTCAGAGGTAATTGGAAGCAAGTAATTAAATGTGAACTACAGGTATTTCATCAGTCTTTCAGAGCACAGGCCTTTCTGCCAGAAGGTAGTACATTTTCTAGAGTCACCCACTTACAGGCTTAGATAGCCTATGTGGCTCCTCTCTCTCCATCGTCCCATGTCATGGCTGTGCATGGCAGGACCGCACACTGGGCTGGGCTCCTCTACATTGAAGCCAAGCATTTCAGAAATGGAGAGTAACCAGAGAGCTGAGAACACCTTGCAAAAACCTTGGCGGCTGTACACAGGGAGGACCACCAGCAAAAATGTTTCCCTCCTTGTGAAGAACAGTCAGCAAGCAGTAAATGTGATTACCACAGTTCATACCCCACTGAGTGCCTTTGCAAAATAGAAGGGAAAGTTCATCTGGCAGTTTAAGATTCTTTTAAATCTGTATGATATCATTCACTGACTCAACACAATCATGAAATATAAATGTCATTTTCATGAAGAATTTAGGTGGCAGGCTTGCCAGGAGTTCCCTGAAAAAAAGGGATTCCAGCATCTTACAGAGCTTAAAAAATGTTAATTGTCCTTTATATATATATATTTCTTCAAGCATCACAGTTGACACAGCATTCCTTCCCTCAGGAGAATATGGCAATAAAGGGTGCCATCTTGGAAACAGAGCATCGCTCACTAGGCAATCGAACCTGCTGGCTCCTCAATCTTGAACCTCTCAGCCTCCAGAACTGTGAGAAAATAAGTCTCTGTTCTTTGTAAATTACCCAGCCTTGGGTATTTTGTTATAGCCGCACAAACAAAGAGAGATGGCTATACTCAAAAAGATAATGACAAGTGCTGGTGATTATGTAGAGAAACTGGAAGCACATACACTGCTGATGGGACTGTCAAATGGTATAGCCACTTTGGAAAACAGTCTGGCAGGTCCTCAAATAGTTACGTATAGAGTTTATCATATGATCCAGCAATTCCACTCCTGGGTATATACCCGAGAGAAATGAAAACATGTCCATGCAAAAATCTGTACACAAGAGTTCATAGAAGCATTAGTCATAATAACCAAAAAGTGGAAATAATACGAATGTCCATCAACTGACGAATGGATAAATAAAATGTAGCACATCCACACAATGAAATAATATTTGGCAATAGGAAGACATGAAGTATTGATACATGCTACAACATGGATGAACCTTGAAAGCATGATCCTAAGTGAAAGAAGCCAGACACAAAGACCACGTATTGTGTGGTTCTATTTATATGAAATATCCAGAATTGGTAAATCAAGAGACAGAAAATAGAGTAATGGTTGCCTAGAGGTGAAGGGGATGAGGGGGTGACAGCTAAGGATGTACCAGATTTTTAAGGAGGTAATGAAAACACTCCAAAATTGACTGTATGATGAATAGAAAACTCTGAATATACTAAAATCCATTTAACTGTACACTTTAAATGGGTGAATTGTACAGTGTGTGAAGTCCTGGGTTGTGAATACATTTCAAATGACTAGGAATGACAACCCCTGCCTCTCTGAGCCACAGCTAGGCAAGTCAATCTCACAAATGCACCCAGCTGTTTATCCTATGAACACATCTGAAGAACACACTCAAATGCTAGACACTATAGCTAGAGAAAACTATGCTCAGATGAAAGACAGCATCTCCTCTCCTCAGGGGGTCACAGCCTGGTGCCTCTATGGACATCTGTGCTGTTCAATACAGTAGCCCCCAGCCACATGTACCCACTCAGCCCTTGAAAAGTGGTGAGTGGGAATTGTAATATGATCTAAGTAAAACTCAGACACCAGATTACAAAAACTTAGGTCACCAAAAAAGGTAAAATTGCTTGTTCATAATTTTTTATATTAAATTACATGCTAAAATGATATTTTGGGGCCAGGCGTGGTGGCTCACACCTGTAATCCCAGCACTTTGGGAGGCCAAGGCAGGCGGATCACGAGGTCATCAGATCGAGACCATCCTGGCCAACAAGGTGAAACACTGTCTCTACTAAAAACACAAAAATTAGCTGGGTGTGGTGGCACGCACTTATAGTCCCTGCTACTCGGGAGGCTGAGGCAGGAGAACTGCTTGAACCTGGGAGGGTGAGGTTGCAGAGAGCCAAGGTCATGCCACTGCACTCCAGCCTGGCGACAGAGCAAGAGTCTGTCTCCAAAAAAAAAAAAAAAAAAAAAAAAAACTAAAATGATATTTTGAATGAGCTGTGTGAAACTAATTTTTTTTTTTGAGACGGAGTCTTGCTCTATTGTCCAGGCTGGAATGCAGTGGTGTGATCTCGGCTCATAGCAGCCTCTGCCTCCCAAGTTCAAGCAATTCTCCTGCCTCAGCTCCCCAAGGAGCTGGGATTACAGGCGCCCACCACCACACCCAGCTAATTTTATATTTTTAGTAGATATGGGGTTTCACCATGTTGGCCAGCCTGGTCTCAAACTCCTGGCTTCAAGTGATCCACCTGCCTCAGCCTCCCAAAGTGCTGGGATTACAGGCGTGAGTCACTGTACCCGACTGAAATTAAATATTATCATTAAAATTAATTTCACCTGTGCTGTTGCTATATTTTGAACGTGGTACTGGAAAATGTCCAATTACAGATGTGGCTCATATTATGTTTCTATTGGACAGTGCTGGTCTAGTACTGATCTTTAAAGTACTTTCAGATCTAGTACTGATCTTTAAAAATAAATAAATGAAATGTTCTTGATCCCCAAGGTTTTGGAGGGGTACTTTATTCAGACTTCTCAATGGTAATTAACTTTGAAGTCCACTCAGCAGTTATAAAATGCCCTCTGCTCTGTGATTACGGAGGCACAAACAGTCCCTTGTTTGCTGCCCTCTGCCAACTGGATCCTTGAACTAGGGTAGAAGATGGTCGGCATGGCCTTTTAAATACTGGCATGTCCCAAGTCCTTACAAAGCACAAATGTTTCCCAAATAAGCCAGGCTCAGAAAACGATGACTGCACCCTCGAAGAGTCACGATCAAAGGGCTGCCTTTTGAAAATGATGAAAGATGAGGCTGAGATGATAGACCACTATTCACAGAAAGGGAAGTTCTGCTAAAAGGGATTTCATCGACAAGCGGCTTTGCATGTCATCCGTGAGGGCATCCCCCTTTAGCTCCGCATTTGTGAGCTCTGTATGGTTCAGAGGGGCTTTTGCTTCTGCTTCTCTAGATCAGCAGTCCCCAACCTTTTTGGCACCAGGGACTGGTTTCATGGAAGACAATTTTTCCACAGGCAGGGGGTGTATGTGAGTGGGGGGATGGTTCTGGGTGATAAAGTGCATTACATTTATTGTGCACTTTATTTCTATTAGTACTACATTGTAATATATAATGAAATAATTATACAACTCACCATAATGTATTATAGAACCAGTGGCAGCCCTGACCTTGTTTTCCTGCAACTAGAGGGTCCTACCTGGGAGGGATGGGAGACAGTGACAGATCATCAGGTATTAGATTCTCATAAGGAGCACGCAACATAGATCCCTCTCATGTGCAGTTCACAAAAGGGTTCGCGCTCCTATGAGAATCTAATGCTGCCTCTAATCTGACAGGTGGCGCAGGTCAGGCGGTAATGTGGGCAATGGGGAGCGGCTGTAAATACAGATGAAGCTTCACTCACTTGCCTGCTACTCACCTCCTGCTCTGCAGCCCAGTTCCTACTGTCCAGGGTTGGGAACTCCTGCTCTAAATTACTCTTTGAGCCACATGTCCAGGGCAAGGCAAACAGGGCCTATAGGACAGCAGCAAGCTCTAAACCTCTGGCCCAGCTGGAACTTTATAAAGAATCCACAGGTATGTCTGTACCCAAAGAGAGGAAACAGAAATGGACCTTAGATGTGGCAGGCTCTAGGGATCAAACTGTTATCATTAAGTAGCTGGGCCAAGAACCCCTACCAAACTGTCAGGTTGCTTCTGTAGCCAGCCAATGCGCAGGGAACTATGTTTACTGCCTTTTTCAAACTTATTCTTTGGAGCTAAGAAAGAAGTGGAGATGAAGTAATGTGGCCAGCGTCATGGTGCTGGCAAGTGGCACAGCCATGATTCAAACTTGGATTTGCCTGATCCCAAAGCTAATGCCTTTAATAAGCACAGAGCTATATTGTCATTATTTCCTTCTACAAACATTATTCCCTGCTGGGTGCTGTGGGAATAGAAGATTAGAGTGATTTATATCAACTAGCATCCTGCCTTCTCAAATGAGACACTCTTAAATTCCTGTATCTACTTTTGTTCAGCATCTCCAGTAAACTGAAGTAGAAGGCAGTGTCATTGGCTCATCTCTGTTCTGTGTATTATGGAAACACAGACAAGATATCTAAGAGTTCTTAATCTCTTCTGGACACACAGTGGGTGCAGGTGGGAAACAGAGCTTAATTCCATCTCCTGTCATGTCAGATCCATTTTCTCCACATGCTCATAAATGAGAGTGTACCAAGTATCATGCTTGTTGTGGCACTTAGAATGGGCCATGCAACCTGCTCAGTACTGGGCATATCCAAAGATGATATACCACAATCTCTGCCCTCTGGAATGTTCCTCAGTTAGAGGCTATCAAGTTATTTTAAAGTGCCTATGTTTTGGACAAAGTGTGCTGTAAAGAACAAAGCTCATTTCTGGAGCCAGTTTGTGGCTTGAGGCATCTTCAACTTATAGCAGTTGTTACAAAATGTACCTGACTTCGCGTTTCAAAAGAACTGGCTGGAACATGGCTATTTCTAGATGGACTTGTTCAGGGCTTGGGTAATCAAAGCCCTCATTTTCCACTCTCCTCCCACCACCCCATTATCTCCCGGGCCTGGTAGTCAGTAAGCAATTGGCTGGCTTTGCATGCCAGCATGGTGTGATTTGGAAAGTTAAGGGAATTATGATGAAAATGTCACTGCAAACCAAAAGTCTGGAGGCTTCTGATAAGGAAGTTTAAAGGTGTCTTCATCATCTTCCAGCTGGAGATGCCTAAGAAGACAGCCAGGATTGCTCCAAAAGATGGCCAGGAAGTCTAACCCACTCTCTATTTCTGGCTATGGTGGGCAGACCAATGCCCCCTGCCCAAGATGCCCATGTTCTAATCCCTGGAATCTGTGAAGAGGTTACTTTACATGGCAAATGAGACTTTGCAGATACGATTAAATTAAGGATCTGGAGATGAGGATGTTTTCCTGTATTACTTAGGTGGGCCCAGCCTAATCAAATGAATCCCTAAAGTTGGATAATCTTCCCCCAGAGAGTTACAATGGTGAAAAAAGGGTCAGAGAGATGCTGTGTTGCTGACTTTGAAGATGGGGAGGGAAGCCACAAGTCAAGAAAGGCAGGTGGGGCCGGGCACGGTGGCTCACGCCTGTAATCCTAGCACTTTGGGAGGCCAAGGCGGGCAGATCACGAGGTCAGGAGTTCAAGACCAGCCTGGCCAAGATGGTGAAACCCCATCTCTACTAAAAATACAAAAAATTAGCCAGGAGTGGTGGTGGGCATCTGTAATCCCAGCTACTCAAGAGGCTGAGGCAGAGAATTGCTTGAACCCGGGAGATGCAGGTTGCAGTGAGCCAAGATCGCGCCACTGCACTCCAGACTTGATGACAGACCAATACTCCATCTCAAAAAAAAAAAAAAAAAAAAAAAAAAAGAAAGGCAGGTGGCCTCTAGAAAACGGAAAAGGCAAGGAGACAGATTCTCCACCAGGGCCTCCAGAAGGAACACAGTCCTGCCGACTCCTCGAGTTTAGTCTAGTGAGACCCATGTTGGACCTCTGGCCTACAGAACTATACACTAATAAATTTGTATTGGTTAAGCCACTACATTTAGGGTAATTTGTTGCAGAAGCAGTAGGAAATTAATACACTGGTTATACACAACCAAACAGTGGGGTGGTGAGGCAATGAGGGCAAGTGACAAGGAAAGCGATTACACAGAAAAACAGCCAGCTTAACTAACTAGTCAATTTTATCCAAACGAAAACTCAAGTATTTCTGTAGAATGACCCAGTCTAAGATGAGACTGCAAGTACAAATTGCATCAAAGCACTGGGCCACTGAAATTCTGTTTGTTCTTGTAGGCCCTACAGAATCCTCAGTCCTCCTTCATCTGGGGCTCAACCAATACCAACAATAGCATCAGCAAGAACTCTTCTCAGGTGGAAGGAGATAAGGGAAATGAAGGGTGATGTTCCCAGAATCTTATTCCTAAGAGTGCAACCCTTCCCACCCCTCCTTAGGAGCTGCATGATGTTCTATGAAGAACAGGTATTTGGAGCACATGAAGGTGAGGAGGTGGCTCCCCTGCTAGGTTAAAACAGACCTATGATGCTTCCATGTGGACAGTCAGCTGTAGGGCTGCCCTTCCCCTAATACATCGACATTTTAAGGAAATATGTTACACTGTTGGGACTCAGTCAATGATGGAAGGCTGGGTGGTGGGAGGGATGGCTGGGCCTCCTTCTCCTTCCTTTTACTGACAGATGAGAAAATAGTTTATTTTAACCAGCTCTCACTTGGTACAGGCAGTCGTGTTGGAAAGGAGACTGCCCTGCGGTGTCATGTATTCCTACCAGGCACCCCTTGGGGAGCTTCCTTCTCCATGGGTTTCCCTGGGTTGTTACCTGAGCAAATCCCTGCTGTGTCTTTGATTCAAGCTTCCCAAAGAGCTTCTTGTTACCCTTTTCTATTTTACCATAGCATCCATCCAAGAGCGTAATCACCCACCCATTTGACCACTTTCTGAAGGTCTCAGCAGTGTTTAATCTCATCAACCCAAAGGGCATCATCAAAAAGGAAACAGGGTATCTGAGGACTTGGAAATCTGTCCAAAGTATGGTTCCTAACCAAAAGGATACCTGATACATCGTGATGGTCTTAGTGGCTCCTCTATTCCAAGCACCTCCCGTGCATTTTTCTGATGTAATTCTTATGCTATCCCTGAAAGATGAGTACTGTTATCTCATTTTAGAGCTGAGGAAACTGACGCTGACAACTTGTTCAAGATCACAGTGATAGCAAATGAAGGAGCTGGATTCCAAATTAGTCTCTCTCATGCCAAAGGCCAAGCTCTTCTCACTATGTTGAGTGGCTTTCCAAGATGGAAATTATCTGCTCCTCGTAAGTTCCTGGAAACGTGCTACAGGGAAGACACACACATATATAGATATAAAGGCTGTTACAAGTCTATTCTCAGTAGAAATCTAGCTTTTCCAGCTAGTGTAGGGAAGAGTTCTCAATGATATAAACAAGACTGGTTTCAACTCTGAAAGTATTTATTGAGCAACTGTTAGACAGAGGCCATACGTACAAACAGGCCAGTGCCCCCTTCTATTAAAGAAACTAGGCACATGTGGACAGACACACACACACACACACACACACACACAGACAATTTAACACAAGAAAAACAATAAGTGCTTTATCAAAGCTATCAGTGAGTAAACTGTTATGGAAATAAGTAGCAACCATGGCAATTATTTCAATAAGTTCCAGAGAGGAGGAACACTCAAAGTAGAAGCAGAAGGAAAATATGGGGCTGTGGAAAGACAGAACATCTCTGGATGGGTGGAGCATCCCAGTGTTCTTAGGAGAGAAGAGAATGAGGAGGAATCTGGAAAGGTGGGTAGGACAGGGCTAGCTTACTGATGGGGAAAAGGGCTTTGAATATCATGTTAAGGAAAGTTGAGACTTTATTTTCTATTTAAAAAACATTACTACATCTTTTGAATTCGTGTCATGAGGGGTCATGAACACTTCTTAGCAGAGAAGTGAAATGTTCACAGCTGGACTTTAAGCCGATGCCTGAAAAAGATGCAGGGATTGGCAGGGGCAGATGGGTCCATGAGAAGACGACCAACCAGGCACAAGACCTGTCCTAATGACTTTGTCCCAGGAGTCAGCCAGGTCTGACAGACGACCTAGGTTTCTAGGCTGGCTCTGTGTCATGAATTCAGTTATATGAATTTCCTGAGCCTCAGTTTCTTCATGTCTTACATGATAAGGTTAAACTAAATAGTGGCTCAAATCATGTCTTCCTCCAAAATGTTATAATTAAAAGTCATAAATTTATACACAAGACAGAAAAATGACCTCATATAAGGCATGGGGATAAGTATTCCTAAAATTACTTGAATCTCATTTTGAATTCAAATTATATAATCGATACAAAGCATTTTTTAAAGTGTACCTATGTTAGGTAAATCCAAGGTAAAGCTTTTTTTCTGAATTCTACATTAGATTTAGATTAAACAATGCTTTCCATTCTTAAAAAGCATTCTCCTTTTCCTTTTCCCAAATTCTAGACCTTTGTCTTTTGTTTTAACTAAAAACAGCTGCCAGCCTTTTCCGGATTCACCTGCTTAGTGAAGAAAAATAATCTGTTGTAATACACCATAAATTTAAATTCTAACTACAATATAAAAGCTAATGCTCTGTGACAGGCATTACTTCACATTTGCACAACACCTAAATCGACCCGGGCACACAAGCTTATTTAAAACGAATTCAACCAAGTTGTGAATCAACTGCACTTCCTTCGGCAAGTAGGACTATTGCAGAAGAATCTCCTTAAAATATAGCCCTGTCTAGAGTTGAACAAGTAGATGTTATTCCTGGGATCAAATTAAGAGCGCAGTATGGAGAGGGCAAAGAGGAGAGAAAGAAAGGAGAAGCAAACTGATCATCTTCTTCTTCCTCAATGGCTTACATTCTCTTCTCTCCAACAAAAAATCTGATAATTCAGACTGGTGAGAGTTTCAGGTAAGAGTGCCGCCCTTTTATGTCAAACCATCCATACTTGGATAGTTGGACTCTGCAACCTACTAAAACAAACATGTTAAAAATTAAACATATTCCATACTATTCAGAATTAATGTGAGCAAAAACACCAGTGATTTCATCCTCCCAAGGAATATGCCTTACAGGGTGTAATCTGGCATCCCTCCAGAATCTTGTCTCAGAAATAGCAGTTGGGTGATCTTAAAAGATGAGTATTTTAGTGCCTCGACTTCCCTTTAAATATACACCATTTGAATGAATCCATTTATTGTAAATATCGAGGCATTGTGTTTACATTTTTATACCTAAAAAAAGTTCTCGGCCATTTTTCTTTGAACCTTTTAAGATACTTGAATGTTTCCTCATACAAAAAAAAAAAAAATACTAATCCTGGTGTTTAATGATGATAAAGGGCTTGTCTAATTTTGTAACAAATCACCAGAACAAAAAGCTATTATGGAGTAATTAAACACCACATTCGGCATAGATAGAGAGAAAAGGAGAATTGCAAATTACTTTTTACAGCTTGTTCTGAAGTTTTCTGAAGTAGAACATATTTTAATCATTAAACTCCTCAGAGGTGTTAAAAAGCAATCAGAATTGTTATGTGATAACCTCCAATTCCAGGGCTCCAAAACCTCAGATCTTGCCAGGGTCTCCAGCTAAGCACTGTTGCCAGGCTGAGGCCCCGTCTTTGATAAGCCCATTCAGAGATAACTGCAGGGAAGCCCACTTCTCATGTGTTTTTCTGCTTTGGGAACACTTAATGGGGGGCACAGAGATCTCTGACCTTTAATTAAATATAGATTGCTAGTTCAGGCCAAAGAACAAGTTATTTTAAGTGCAGGCCTAAATCAGGATTCTAAAAAGCCACCTTTACTTCTTTCTTGTTATTTAAAAGGTATGTTTGGGCCAGGAGCAGTGGCTCACATCTGTAATTCCAGCACTGTAGGAGGCCGAGGCAGGCAGATCACTTGCGGTCAGGAGTTCGAGACCAGCCTGGTCAACATGGCAAAACCCTGTCTCTACTTAAAATACAAAAAATTAGCTGGGAATGGTGGCGCACACCTGTAATCCCAGCTACTCAGGAGGCTGAGGCAGGAGCATCCCTTGAACCTGGGAGGCAGATGTTGCAGTGAGCCAAGATTGCACCATGGCACACCAGCCTGGGCGACAGAGTGAGACTCCATCTCAAAAAAAAAAAAAATTTTTTAATTGAGTTAATCAGCTTTCGGAGTACACTTGGAAATGTGTAAGCATATTAAAATATAAGGATTCCCTGCCTTAGGGAGTTCTCAGGATTAATTCCCAGCATCTCAGAGCAATCAAGTTTATGATTTCCTGCACAGACACCCTAGGCAGATACTATTGCAGCCTGGCCTGGTCCAGCCTGGATGCAAGGCCCCTTGTTTTGAGCACCCACAGCCCATGGCCCCCTCCCCAACACTCTCCTTGTGGCCTGGTAGACTAGAAGCTCCCTGGAGGCAGAGCCTGCCTACTTCCCTCAGTCAGCTGTCCCAGCTCCCCGCAGTGCTGTGACTCATCAGGTGCTCCCCATCTATCAGGATCTTCCTCTTTCAAGGTCATCTGTTCTGCTCAACTGGCTTATTCTTTCCAAACTGGGCGATGTAAATACTTTGCCTGATTCCTTTTAACAAACACACTTGATGTTTCCCCCCAATACAAATTATGTCTAAAGGCCCATCTTACATAAAAGGGAAAAAAACAAATGATTTTCCTCAGACTCCACTGAATATGGCTTTGGGAAAGACTCTGTCATTTACTATAATTGATGCTTCTTGCCAGGGATATCGGGAACAGGCAGCTGCAAATCAATTCACTTTTGGATATGGTTCCTTTTTTCTCTTTCCTCAGCCCCTGGGTTGAATGAGCATTTCAAATTCTCTCTACTCTTTGGGAGACGGCTGAACTGTACTTATGTTTACAACCCTGATAAATGCAGGTTTTTTGTGCTAAATCAGAACAGAGCTCAGCTACTCAACTGTCTTTGTTGTTGTTGTTACCTTTTTAAGGAAAATAGCTAGAAGAGTTTGCCTTTTTTCCCCCTTCAGTGAAACTTTTAAAGTCCCTGGAAAAACTAGATATGGAAACCTATTCAATTCTCATCTGGCTTGAGTCAAACCTACTCTTAACTGGACAGCATCTTGGGGATCTAGTGAAATGAAGGGACAAGTGTAAAGAAGAAACCAGCTCCAACTGGTGAGGGGAAACAGGGCCTAGAATCCTAAAATGCAGCCAGTGTTTTTCACCTGAAACAGGTGTTTTTGAATCCATAGAATATAGCTTCAACTTAGGATACACAGCAAAAGAGACCTCACTCAAAGAAGGTCCATTCATTTGGATCCAATTTAGCCAACTCATCACAGACGTGGGACTGTAAACCTAGTCACGGCCCTCTGGTGGATCACTCCGTGGCCTTGGGCAGCACATTTGGCCTCTTAATGTTTCTCTAGTATATGCGAACATTCTATAATGTAAATTACATTACATATATACAAAAAATGTACCACTCAGGGCTACTGGACAGAGCTCTGGGGTGGAACATAGACCTGTGCCACTAATCTGGAGTAGAACTGGGACACTCTCAATATGTGAGCACCTGATATGGTTTGGCTGTGTCCCTACCCAAATCTCATCTTGAATTGTAGTTCCCATAATCCCCACATTTCATGGGAGGGACCCGATGGGAGGTAATTTAATCATGGGTGGGGGGGTTCCCTCATGCTATTCTCATGATAGTGAGTGAGTTCTCATAAGATCTGATGGTTTTATAAGAGGCTTTTTCCCCTTTTGTTCAGCACTTGTCCTTGCTGTTGCCATGTGAAGAAGAACGTATTTGCTTCCCCTTCTGTCATGATTGTAAGTTTCCTGAGGCCTCCCCAGCCATGCCGAACTGTGAGTCAATTAAATCTTTCCTTTATAAATTACCCAGTCGCAGGTATGTTTTTATTAGCACTGTGAGAATGGACTAATGTGGCACCAGATCAACTGAGTCAGGAATATCTGTGCCTCTCTCAGCGAGCAACAAAACCCAAGGATATCCCTGAAGCTAGTTTGCCAAGGCCAGACAGAGGGAAGACACATGTGGCTGAAATGGCCACTGTGGCTTGCCCAAAACTTATGGTTAGCTAGAGTATTTTTAGGCTGTTGAAGTTTGGTTTTCTGACCTATGAGTTTCCTTTCACAGGAAACGAATCTTGAGGTGCCTATTCCCTCTTTGCCTAACAATGAATAAAACGGTATTGACAATATCTGATTGGATATCCAAATCCCTTGCTAAAGTCCTGCACCAAAACTGCTGCCCCTCTAAGCACCAAGAAATCACCCATCATCACCACCCACCACCATCACCCACCCCCAACCCCTGGAAGATTCTGCCTGTGACTGCCCCACATTGGGTTGAGACTGTGGGGGGTGGTCCACCATAATTCAGCTCCAGCAAATGCCCCTCCCTAAAGCTGACAAATCCCCATCCCTCCTGTCACAGACTGGAGGTCTGTGTTCCCCCTTTTAAGTCATATGTTGAAGCCCTAACCCCAATGTGATGGTATTTGGAAGTGGAGCCTTTCGGCAGTAATTAGAGTTAGATGGGGTCATAAGGGTGTGGCCGTCAAGATTGGATAAGAGAGAGCTTGACTTATCTCTCATTTTCTGAGTCCACATGAAGAAGAGGTCATGTGAGCACACAGCAAGATGGTGGCCGCCATCTTGTAGGAAAGACCTCAGAATGAAATTCGCCTTGCTGGCACACTGATCTTGGACTTCCAGCCTCCAAAACTATGAGAAATAATTTTCCATTGTTTTAGCCACCCAGTTTATGGTACTTTGTTATGGCAGCCTGCACAGACTAAGACACAGCCTATCTCTGTGAGCCTTGTCACTACCCTCAGCACAATGACAGAAGAATTCAAGGAGGAGAACAACAAAGGTGCCACCTCTGTTCTGACTAAAATTCACCCTTGCTTTGGCGATTGCTACAAGCACATAACCAACTGGCCCTGAACATGGACAACCCCTAGTGCCCTCTGAGGATAACAACCCCAGCCCATGGTGCCCAAGGGGGACCTGCACTCCCTTCCATGCCTCGCCAGCTTTGCTCTGCCCAAATCACTTCCTATAGGCCCTGAAGACACTGCCTCTGCCAGGAACCACAGAACTGGAAACAACAACCCCCTTTCAGCAGAGAAAGGTGCCTGAGGTGGAAAATTTCCCCTCTATGCTCAAAAAGGTTACCAGGACTTTCTCATATGCAAAAGCAGAAAAGTTCTATATTTATAAAAATCACCCAGAAAGAACAAAACACTGTGAATAAGAACTAAATTAATATGGTCCCTGCCTCCCAGGAAGCAGGCGATCTGAGAAAAAACAGACCCAGAAAAAAGAGAAAAAGATTAGAAGCAGGCAACTGATGAAAAATATTGAATAAACCCCTAATGTATATACAAATTAAACATATACCATGTGTCTCTCATATGAGGGAAGGGGTAACTGTTAGGATTAAAGAACATATTTATCTAACCAAGAATGGAGTTGAAGAAGGAGAATGGAAATTCACCACCTCACAGAAAGATTTCCTGTCTTCCCCCCAAAAGCTGGGGTACAACCTCATCTGGGCTCCCCCAGCATTTTGTCTCTTCCTCTGCAACCGCCTTGGTGAGATCCTGTGATTATCTGTCTTCTCCACTAAACAGGAAAAGGTTACTTCTTATATGCAACTTTGTTTCAATACTACCAGGACAACAATAATAGCAAAAATGTAACCCGCATGCTTATTTTTGAGCCAGGCCTTCAAATAAGAACTTAAAGTGCATTATCTCATTGAATAGTCACAACAAACTTGCAAAACTGTGCTATCATTATTTTATAAGAAGTAATATATGTATATGCACTACATGTAATATATGTACTATACATATGCCAGGTTCCCACACTGCCTTCACATACAATTACTATTATTATTAGTGTCTTATGAATCCATCCATAGTTTCTTTGTGTATACATAAGCGTCTTTTTTATTTACAAAAGGTAGCAAGCTATACAAACTGCTCTGCACTTTGAAATGTTCACTTATCTTGAAGGTCTTTACATAGACAGCTATCTCATACCTTTATACAGCTGTGTAGCATTCAGCTCTCTGGTTGAACCATAAAACATTTAACCACACCTCTTGATGATGAACACATGAGTTCTTCTGTTACTGTAATTTACAGATGAGAAAAATGAGGCTCAGAGAGGTTAAGTGTCTTGTGCAAAGTCACACAGCTGCTATGTGGCAGAGGAAGGATTGAGGCTGAAGTGGGTTAGATTCCAGCCAAAGCTCTTAAGCAATTTGCTATATTTACTGCCTGGCATGATGCCTGTTATGCAGCAGACACTGAGTACATACTCGAATAGATTAATGAACCAATAAACTAAAGGCAAAAAAAAAAAAAAAAAAGCAAGAAGAACGACTCTGCTCTCTTTCTTCGATACTTCCTGTTCTTCTTCTCTAGATAGCTACATCCATAGGCACCCACCCCCCATGGTGCCTGTCAAAGCAGTAGAACAAAGTTTTCAGCCATTTGTCATCCTGCAAAGACCTGGGTCCTACTGATTCTCCATACTTATTTAATCCCAACTAAGCCCTGGATAAAGGACATCCTAGAATGTATGCAAGCTTTGCCTTTGCTGGCCAAAAGCACCAAAGCTCTGCACAAAAAGGTCACAAGGAAGTGGGGAAAAGGGTTCCTAGGGGCAAACAACACCTGTGCTTCCACCTCCAGGCATCACAGGGACACATCCAAGCTGAGCATCAGCGCTGATTAGACAGCCAACTTTCACTCCTTTCTTGGGGGCTTGCAGCACAGCTCTTCCTCGACCAAGCAGACTCTGAAAACCCTCAACTGCTTCCAAATGCGCCGTAAAGCTGACACACGGAGCCTCGTTTTTACTCTGTGTTTTACATTACGCTCAGTCTTCCAATAAATTTAACACCGGAATTATATACAACTTTAAGTGCACGCAAACCCAGCTGATTTCTTCACAGGCTCTTTTGTGCGCAGCTGCCGGGAAGGTGCAGCGTTTGACAACAGGAGAGCCGTGTCTTTCAATGTGGCAGGCCCTGGGGAACGCCGCCTGCCAGGTAACCTCCCAGTGACCTCGCAAGGTATCAGAAAGGTTTTACTTCATCTGACTTCTAAGTGTTAGAAGAACAATGCAAACTTTACCATCTGCATTCAGCCTCCAAGACCCTCAAGAGACATGGAAGGCCTGCCTTCCGAAGGGCCAGACTTAAAACAACTCAGAATGTGCACGTCACATATATTTACACATGCAATATACACCATTCCCTGTCCACATTGTCTGTGAATGTTCCATATATATGGAATTTCTAGAGAACAAGGGACTGATCGGAAAATGCACACCCATCTTTCCTCTGATGTTTTGCTGTCTTGATGGATAATAAGCAATATTTATTTAACAAGGCCTCAGAATTACGACTTAATTGGTTGTAATCCGCTCAATGAAGGAATAATGTCCTCTGCAATTATTCCAATCTAATCCATTTAATCTAAAATCTATGGGATATTACAGATTTCTCCAAGAGAGAATATTTAAATCTCTTCTTCCGTGTTTAACTTTCAACTATTGACATGCAAAACAAATGGTCATTTTTTTTAAATGCTACAATGCCAAAAAAAATCTGTAATTTTTGCCCACGTTGAAAGCTGGCTTATTAGCTATAGGATTAGCATAGCATTTGCAATTTCCCTAAAGTGAGAAAATTTTAAAGCTTGTATGTTTATTTTTCAGTTCCCTCGACTGGGTTCACACTGAAATACGTGAAATAGGAATCTCAAAGCAAGAGTATCATCAGCCATGTCCAGCTATATTGGAAGCAAATAGGAACATGCATTTTTCCCAAGGTGACCAGAGACAGAGAAAAAGACATCAGCTAGCCAATTAACGAACAAAAATCTCATCTTCATTTGTGAGTTTTCATTTAAAATGTTTATATTTTTGGTTCTTCCTAACACATTGATAAATTCTGTTCAAAGCTGGTGTCTAAACACTGTTAGGCATTGCATGACTTGTATTTCTCATATATAGTCAAAATACAGATCATGATGGAACAATTCCTTGACATTTTTGTTTTATAATTATTATTATCACAGTGAAATTCAAGCGGGGCTTTGCCGGATATATATCAGAAGTAAAAATCTTTTTAAAGTAAATCATTATAAAATCCCTTTCCTTTATACCATGCTGGAAGTACAGTGTCTAAAGGTCTTTTGGGAAAATAAATAATGGAAATTTTGTTATTGATCTCACGCAGAGGCAGTGAATCTAATGAGTTATTGTTATTCTACCCACAGCAAATATTATGAGGTCCAAAATAATAACATTCAATTAAATAAAGAAAGCCAGATAAAATGGAAGATAAGAACGTAACTTAACAATGAATTCCTTTCAGTACTTCCTAAACACTAATTTTGTCTGTCATACATTTAGAATGGAATTCTTTTTAAAAAGTAGTTTCCCATGCCACAGTAATAATTAAAATTATTATTTATCTTGTGATAGACACGTATCATCTTCAACAAAAGGAGGCTGCTGATCTTCATCAAAAGATAATTTATACTTGGGTTTTTAAAAAATTTAACAACAAAAACCTTAAGCTGATAACTGAGTCTCCTAGGATTTACCAAAATTTTTGAGAGTTAAATTTGAGCAAAACTATCAAAGCAATTTTGAACATGTTCACAATAGCGCCCTGTTAACATAGCTCCTTGTTACACCAGTGGAGGTTCATCAGACTGAAAGGTTACAACGTGTCCCTCAGAACTTAACTGGATCCAGGAAATCACAGCAATTCACAGAGGGAGAAAGGATATCTACAAGCAGGTGTTCGTCGATTTCTCTATGATGTATTATTAAAAAAACGGAAATCATTGCATTTTCAAATTTCATATCTGGTTCATCAAGCCACCAAGAAAATTCAAGTGACTGTTGAGCTTTAGGTAGCAGCTGGTATAATCTTAAATCCTCAGGACAAAGCCCCCACTGTTGTTCCACAGGCTGACCTAAGGCACCAGCCTCCTACTCCCATTATGGTGACCCAACTACTCCACGGCTTGAGTTCTTGCTGGAAGAGAAGACCTCTCAACGCCGTGCTCCATGGCTGAACTTCATCCTAGCTTCACCCTTCCTGTAGCTCAGCTGGCGCTCCACCCATCTCCCTATGCAGTGAAAATTAAGACCAAATACTTGGCACCCACTGACTAGTTTCTTTCTCATAAGCTGTAACAAAATCACATTCGCAAAGAAGTATTTTCTAGAGATGGATTTCTTTTGAAGGGTGTGAGTCCTACCATTTCTCAAAAAACAAAGCATCTAAAGAGAAAATGAATCATTTTGAACTTTTTACTTGGGCGGAGTGAAACGAAGGCCCTTAAATATGTGGGAAATGACTAGAAAGGATTATGTCTTAAGAACTGCGGCATGATCTGCCCTCCAACATGGCATCACAGTTAACTCTCTAACCCATTCACCCGCCCCTCAACTGCCTGATGAAGGAGGGAAACTAAACCGTACGCATCTTAGCCACCTGGCATTCCACACAGTGCTTGGCATAGAGTGGGCTGTCTCGACAAACATCTGCAGACTGAAAGGAATAAACGAATGAATAGCAGCTAACACACAGGGTGCACACTCTTTGTGAGGGATGATACTAAGAATTTTAATCTTCAAAACAATCCTAACAGGTAGCTGTAGTTATGATCATCCCATTTTACAGAGAATGAAACTGAGGCTTGCGAGGTTACCCAGCTAAGACTTGCAGAGTTGACATCTGAAACCAAATCATCTGCTCCAGACCTTAAGCTCTCAACCAATGTACTAAAGTGCATAATAGATGAATCTCAATCCTCAAAAACAAGCCCTTAGTTAAGATTCATGTATTTTCACATAGTGGATAATTTAGAATTTCGTAATACATTAGATTTCTAAAACGTGTGTTTTTGCAAGCCAGTAATAGTGATAGTGTGTTTTGCCAGAACTTAAAGAACTTTTAAAACCAACAACATGGGGAGAAAACCAATTCACACATGTCCAAGAACCTGTCACCAAGAGGTTCATGGTCCCCATACTTTCGTCCAACTATCTTGCAAGCATTTCAAATTTCCTGGAAGAAGCCGAGAAAACAGAGAGGCTTTGGAGAACCGAATCTGTCAAAACAAATCTCAACCACACAACTTCACAGTTCGTGTGCTGCTTCGTTCATCCTGACATAAAAATGCGTGGTCTCAGAAGCCTCTGAGCTGACTGTCTCTGCAATGTCTTCCTTCCCAACATGAGCATCCTCACCTGATCCAAGTGGTAGCTCGATGAGCATTAATACATATTGCCACATGATGCAGATGAGTTTGGGAATGGAAATAAAATGCACTGGCTGAAGTTCCACTTTGGCAGGAAACAGAGGTTCATCTGGAACTGATAGGATGGTCAAATTGGATATTTTTCTAAACATGGAAGCATTTGCCATGCTACTTGTGATTTTCAGACACAGGTGGAGACTGACGCTTTTGTTGTTATGTACAGGATTGGGCTGCAATGGCTGGACTACTGATGTATTTGTTCTGCAGGCTAGCTAGAAATATCACTAAATGCAGAAGGAAGTTTCAACACTAAGAATAGGAGAATCAACTTGCTACCCAGCCATTCTTACTGGAAGGCAGCACATAGTAGCCAAGGATCCTGAAAGTGAGCTGCCAAACCCTAAGCAAGAGTTGTGGTCTTGAAAAAATGGTCATTTCCAAAAGGCAGCTATTAAAAAAAAAGTTGTCAATCATAAAACAGCTGTGTTTACACATGCAAAATGAAGTAGAAAACTCAGGCAGTTACCCAGATGATTTTAATCAAAACATCCCCTCAACTGAAATACCCAGAAAATTTAAGATATAATATGGGGGCATTCTTATTTTTCGGCTGGAATTACTCAGATAACTGCTTCATCTCTCTATTCTTGTTTAGACACAGTCTGAAACCCTGTGCGTTGGCAATTGAAAGCACAATTATTTGCAGATGCGCATATTTAGGGAGACAAGTGTCTCTGGTTACAATTATGTGCAGATGTAACTCAGCAGAGACTGGCTTCAAGTTTAAAGTTTTGGAAGCCTGTTTTGAAAATGTGACCATAAGCAGAGATACTTCTTTTTAAACGCAACATTCTATAAAAAGTCACATAAGCAGGTAACGATAATTTGTTCCCAAAAAGCTAAACAATATACACTAAATCATTTCCTTAAAACTCCTATTTTGATTTTGAGAAGAGAAGGTATCCATAAAAACATTTTTTTTTTTTTTGAGACAGAATCGTGATGTGTCGCCCAGGCTGGAGTGCAGTGGTGCGGTCTTGGCTCACTGCAACCTCTGACTCCCGGGTTCAAGCAATTCTTCTGCCTCAGCCTCCCAAGTAGCTGAGACTACAGGCGCCCGCCTCCACGCCTAGTTAATTTTTGTACTTTTAGTAGAGATGGGGTTTCACTATGTTGGCCAGGCTGGTCTTGAACTCCTGACCTCAGGTGATCCGCCTGCCTCAGCCTCCCAAAGTGCCAGGATTACAGGCATAAGGACTGCACCTGGCCAAAAACAGAATTTTTAATAACAGAGTCCTTACCCAAATTGGCCCCTTTTGGCTTCAGAAACCACATTTCCATCAAATATGTTTTCTTTCTTTTTTATATTTAAGGTGTACAACATGATGTTTTGATATGCATAAACATAGTGAAATTCCTACAACAGTCAAGTAAATTAATATATCCATCTGTTTTCTCAAATCAGCTAGAAAAACTACCTCCCTTCCAAATATCACTTGTTTTCAGCTTCACTTTTGAATGATCTACTTTATCCGCACCAAGGAAAATATTTACGTCATTTCTTATATTGCATTTAAAATCTTACTACATTTATGCGTCTCAAATTTAACTTATTTTTGAATATATTCTCCAGCTATAGAATATATTCAAATATTTGTATCACAAAGGAGAAGCAGAGAATGCCACTAACTCCAATGCAGCCCCAAACTATAAATTCATTTTAATTAAAGATATTTGATAAGCACCCATGCTGAAAGAAATGAAGTGGGGAGGGAGGATGCCAAAAAAAGAGTTATCTTTTACAGAGAAATTAAAAATCACAGGAAGTATTCAATAACCCAAGAAGGCATGTAGAAACCTTCCATTTGAATCCTTTTATCTAAGCATGCTGGTTAGAATTTGGTACTTCTCATTTCTTCTGGTCAGTATGGTAACCGGAAATGATACAGGTATATAGACAATCTTCCCCCAACCCTGCCCCCCAAAAAAGAGAAAAAGAAAAGAAAAAAGAGAGAATAGTAAATGTGATATAACAAAAAGGGTTTGGTTTTTTTTTTAAGAAAAAAAAAACACAGGGAAACTGGGCACGTGTCTATAAGGCAATAATTTTCAACCTGGGCTGCACATTTAAAATCACCTAGGAGCTTTAAAAAATATATATCTGGGAGTGGGGTCCAGGTATCAGGGCACTGGAGCTTCCATTTGATTCCAGTGTACAGCCTGTCCTGAGAACCACTGTGACAAGGCCTTGAGAGAGTAGCCACTATGGCCACAGGCCCTGGTCAAGGAAACTCTCACAGAGCTCCCTGCATAAAACCAGCAGCCCAGAAGACACATATCTTGAAAACAGGCTCAGAGTATCTCTGCTCACTGGCCTGGGGACAAGAAACAAAAAGAAACATGAAGCTTGTAAGAGTGGGGTCCCAAAGATATTCCTCCATGGAGTGAGGAATTAACTTAAAAATGGCCCAGCATCCATGAAAGGCCCAGCAAAGAAAATATAGATGACTGCATAAGGTTGCCTTAAAGACCCTATGTAGGAATACTAGAGAAAATCACTGTTACTAAAGATGAACCTATTGTTGAAATAATAAAACACACAAGAAAAAAACAGTCATGAAAGAGCCTACATGAACAAGATATGGGAGAATCTTTCAGATTGATCTATTACGGATCTATTGATCTATTACAGATTTATTACAGATCAATCTGAAAAACTGCCTTATAGTAAATATTTTCAGTGAGATAAAGGAATAGAAACTATAGAAACTTATCTCATCAAAAAGAAGAAAAATTATAATATATAATATATAATTTTAATAATTAAAATTTAATTTTATTTCATTTAACTTTAATAATTAAAATTTAATTTTATTTCATTTAATGTTAATAATTAAAATTTAATTTTATTTCATTTAATGTTAATAATTAAAATTTAATTTAATTTAATTTTAATATATAATAAATTTTAATAACAATTTAATATATAATCCTATATATAAAAATATATAAAGTTCCTATAAAAATATATAGGAATTCTAAAACTAAAATATACAGGCGTTAAAATTTTAAAAATTCAATATATGGGTTCAACAAAACATAGAAGGAGAGAGGATTAGTGACTAGGAGGACAGACCTGAACACCTGACCCCAAATGTATGTCAGAGAAATAAGGAAATTGAAAATAGGATTCCAAAGTTGAGGGAAATAGAATAAAGAGGAAGAAGCTTTGTCTGATAGAAGTTCAAAAGGAAGAGAAGTAAAAGAATAGAGAAGTATTAGAAGAGGGTAATTGCAAAATTTTCCAGAAGTAAACAAAAATACACGTATTCACATAGGAAAAATAAAATCATACCTAATGCCAAAACTGAGGAATGTTTTTAAAAATCACACCTAAATACCAGTGAAATCAGTAAACATAAGCCAACAGGGAAACCCTAAAGTATGAGAAAGAAAGCTAAAAAGAGAGCTTAAAGAAACAATAGTTAGACATTCTAGACTCTATCAGCAACTACAGATGCCAGCTGGCAGTTGAATAATATTGTAAAAATGCTAAAAGAAAATAATTGCCAAACTAGAATATTACACCCAAGTAAATAATTATTCAAGAATGAAGACCAAATGGAGACATTTTCAAACTGAAAAGACCCAGTGAAATACATATCTGAAAATGAGTTTGTATCCAAAATATACAAAGAACTCTTAAAATGTGACATTAAGAAAACGACTCAATTTTTAAAATGAGTAAGAGATCTGAACAGACATCTCACCAAAGAAGATACACAGATGGCAAATAAGCATATGAAAAGATGTTTCACACCATATGCCATGAGGGACTTACAAAGTAAAATAAAAACAACCATGAGATACCCCTACACACCTATTAGAATGGCTAAAATCCAAAAGCCTGACACCACCAAATGCTGATGAGGGCACAGAGCACCAGGGACTTTCCCTCAAGGCTAGTGGGAATGCAAAATGGTACAGCCGCTTTGCAAGACAGTTTGGACAGTTTTTACAAACCTAAACATAGACTTTAAATATGATCCAGCAATCACACTCTTAGGTACTTACCCAACTGAGTTGAAAAGTTAGGTCCACACAAAAAACGAAACACAAATGTTTATAGCTTTATTCATAATAAAACGGACAACAGCCAAAACTGGAAAGAAGACATCCTTCAGTAAGTGAATTGGTAAACAAAGTGTGGTCCATCCATACAATGGAACACAATTATTCAGCAGTTGAAAAAAGTGAACTATCAAGCCACAAAAAGACAGAGAAACCTTAAGTGCATATTATTAGATGAAAGAAACCAGTCTGTAGGGTTCTATGATTCCAACCATATCACATTCTGGAAAAAGAAAACTATGAAGACAGTAAAAAGACCAGTGGCTGCCAGAGGCTTAGGAGAAGAGGAGGGATAAACAGGGGAAGCCCAGGAGGTTTTAGGGCAGTGACACTCTTCTGTGTGATACTGTAATGGTGGATACATGGCACTGTACATTTGTCAAAACTCATAGAACTGTTTAACATAAAGAGGGAACACTACTGTAAACTATGAACTTTGGTTAATGATAATGCATCAATGACTCATTAATTGTAACAAATGCACCACACTAAAGAGACATGTTAATAATAGGAGGAACTGGGCATGTTGGTTCATGCCTGTAATCCCAGCACTTTGGGAGGCCCATCACCTGAGGTCAGGAGTTCGAGACCAGCCTGGCCAACACAGTGAAATCCTGTCTCTACTAAAAATACAAAAAACTAGCCAGGCATGGTGGTGGGCACCTGTAATCCCAGGTACTCAGGAGACTGAAGCAGGAGAATCGCTTGAACCCGGGAGGCAGAGGTTGCAGTGAGACGAGGTTGCGCCATTGCACTCCAGCCTGGGCAACAAGAGCAAGACTCCGTCTCTAAATAAATAAATGGAGAAACTGTTGGGTCAGACAGTATATGAGAACACTGAGTACTACCTGCTCAATTTTTCTGTTGATTTAAAACTGTTCTATACAACATAGGCTAGTAATTAGCAAAAAACGAAAAGGAAAAGAAAAAAGACAGTGATTACTGTCCCTAGACACTGAACGGACTATTAAAAGATATGCGTCAGCAAAAAGGACACTCAACACGGAGGCATAAGCAAAGAAACAGGTTATTAAAATAGTAAATTAAAAGCAAAATAGCAATTAGTAAATTAAAGGATGACTACTTAATAGCAAAAGTGAATTTTGAAGGATTTCAAAACAAGGTGAAAATGCATATCCCCTTATATGGTATGTGAATTATATCTCAATAAAGCTGTTACCAAAAAAATATAAAATGTGCATGCCTCATAACCCAGTAGTCCTATTTCTAATTATCAATTTCCTCGATATGCACAGAGAAACCAGAATAAAAACAGCAGTATTATTTGTAATTTCAAAAACAAAGAATGCCCATCAAGAGTGGAATATTGTTCGTGGAAGTGTACATGGTAAAAGATAAAATGAGGATAGCATGAACAACAGCTCTGCCGAGGCAAAGATGTTCAGATTTACAAAAAGTATTTCAATGTGTCCAAAATGGAACTCTAAGTCTACACCCCTGTATGCAAAAATAGTTCTTGTCCCCGACCCCTGCCCCATCTCAGAAAATGGCACTGTCATTTACCCAGGTAAATGACAACATCAAAATTCCTAGAAGCCATCCCTGGTTTCTCTCCTTCTCTCACTCCATGTCCTCAATTCATCAGTATGACCTGTGGGTCCCTTGAATCTAACTGCTTCTCATCACTAACCCAAGTGTAAGCCCCTATCAGTTCTGGAGCTGATGTTACAACAAACTTCTTTTGCTATTTCTCCTCTTGCCTATTTACAGTTAAGAGATTCTTCTAAAACATAAGTGAGATCATGACATTGTCTTCTTCAAAACCCCCAGTCCTTCAAAGAGCTTCTCATTAGTTTTGGAACAAACCCCAGAGTCCTTATCCCGTGGTCTCTAAGGCCCTGTGGCCATGTGCTGGGGCCCCTGGCTGGCTCTCCCAGCCCTGACTTACTGGGGTGCATTTCCACTGCTCAGCTTGCTCCTTGGACTCACCAGCCTCTTCCCACCTCTGAGGCTGGGCACTGACTGGTCCCTCCATCTCAAAGCCTCTTTCTGAGACTTCACAAGCTTGGGAACTTCATTTCACTGTGTCAAATGTCTCAGCAGAGAAGACTTCCTCTATCTAAAATAGTACCCACTCCTATCACTCTCTGCCCCCTACCCTCCTCCTATTTACCTTCATTATATATTCATGTATCATCTGCCCTCCTCTAGATAGAATGCAGCCTCCTTGAGGGTGAAGGCTTTTAATGGCTGGTTCCCCATCATATCTCCAATATACTCAGCCCACAGAAGGCACTCTGAAAATACTTGTAGAATGAATCACTTATGCCATGATACTTTAAGGAGACTTCAGCTTTCCCTGTAATAGTTTCTGTTTTAAAATGATATGGTTTTAAAAGGCAAATGGTTACATTGGTTCATTCTGGGTGGTGGGTACACAGGGGTTTGCTGTCCTCTTGACTTTCTGGGTATTTGACATGAGACCAAAATTCCCTGCCAACTGGGGAGCCGACTGTGTGCTCCACAGGCTGAATCCGACCAGATCTGTGGCCCCGAACTTCTTGCAGAATGTGGCCTGGGTGTGGCAAGGGCAAAAGGTAAGAGCAAGGGAGCAGCCTCAGAGCTGGAGATCACAGGTTCATGGGGCTTTGCCTGCCACTTGCTATGAGGCTGGGCCAAGTCTTATAGAGGCCTGCACCCACTAGACCTGAGCTGCACCTCCACCATGCCAGGCTCAATGCAATCAGGCGGGAAAGGGAGCGCTGTTCCTTTTTCTGGAGCCTTACAGGGCATGAAGGGGATGCTCAGGGAGGAGAAGCAGCTGATCTCCAGACAACTTCAAATCTCCAACAGGCCCCACAACGAGTCACAACTCACCTTCTGCACTTTCACTAGAAGGTCCCTCAGGCTTCTTCCAGTTCCAAAGTGCTAGGGCTCATTGTTTCTAATTATCTTGAATTCATTCTCTTCCCACAGTTGAAGGAAAATCAAAACAACCGAAAGTGACTTGCTTTAGAACTGTGGAGTTTGCAAAGCACTTTGTTATGTGTCAACTCCTGTAGGCCTGCAACAAGTCCATAACCCCAGTTCACAGTTGAGAAAACTGAGGCTGGTGGGGGCGGTTAAAGGGCTGGCCTAAGAGCATGGGGTCTGTTTGAAAAGCAGCGAATTAAATCTCTAGCATACCAGCACTAATGCTCCAAGGGCCTCTTTTCCCCAGATGGGTGTAGCTGGTCCTTCTCAAATGTGACAATGACGACAGTGGGCTGAGAAAACCATGCACACCCTGCAATTCCTGCCACGGTGAATTCCAAGATTTAGGCATCCAGGCTGAGTCTGCAGGCCAGCTCCAGGGCTGCCACATGGCCCCACTCCTTCCCCCAGTTCCTAACCAGCTAAAGATGACATGTCCGGTCTCATCTCACACTGACCACTCTGGCCCGCCCCTTTGCCCCACACAACCTTGGCCTTTCCTTTGCTGGAACATTCTTCCCACCCTAAGCCTCATCACCGGTGCTCAGAGCATCATCTGCTTCTCTTTGGGATCACTTTTTACACTTGGATTTTCTATGTATTTGTGTCTCTGACCTCTGCTAGACTATAAGCTCCATGGGGGAGGGGCCAATCTGACTTTGGTCACCATTCTACAGCCAAGTACTCAGTCCAGGATGGTGTACATGAGGCTGTGAGGCCTGCAATTGCTTGGGTCCATTACTGAACACAAGAGACGAGTGTGGCGCTGTTGGGAGGTCCCACCCTGTTGTCACTGCAGATGTCGCCCCCAACACAAAGAGCACATCCAAGAACTGGAGGTCCAGGAGGCATGGTCCTGGTAACAGCAATTTGCCAGAATCCTGTCCTACTTCTGGCCTTCTGATACGTCCTAAGTGCTGACAAATTTTCTTTATCATCCAAGTCTGCTTGAGATGAGTTTTCTGTCCTTCATGAAAGAAAGACTCCTGACAGATGTACCTCGCTGGCAAGACCGTAGGCTCCCTCATGTCATGACCTGTACACCTCTGCCCTGCTTCAACTAAGTGCTGGGCACCAAATAGCTATTTAGTAAGCATCTTCTACCTACCTAGCTCTCACTTACTATGCATTTGTTCACTCATTCATTCATTCAACAAATATCTACTCAGCACCTACTACATAGTTTTCTTGGGAAAACTACCCAAGTGCAGAAAATTGAACAAGCCAGATGGGGTCCTTGCTTGTACACAACCTAACATTACAGAAACAGACACACAACACAAGTAAATCTACAAAATAGCTGAGGATAGTGGTAGGGTCTGTGCAGATAACGAAACAGGAAATGTAATAAAGAATGAACGAGGAGGGAGTGATATTTAGCGAAGTGGTCTCCTTTTTATGGAAGACCTCTGGTTGAAAATGACAAAGAGGAGCCAGCTAAGTTAAGATCATAGAGGACATTCCAGATGACGGGGGGAAGGCAAGGGCAAAGGCTTTGAGGCAGAACAAGAGAGATGTGTGTGCTAGGGAGGAGAAAGGCAGAGTGTCTTTAGATCTATGACCCATCATGGGAAATGGGGCTTGATGAGGCCAGAAAAGTGGGCAAGGACTTGATTCTTTAAGAATTTCTCTGACAATAGTACAGATGTATTCAGGGGTTGAACCTTCATCTCCTGGGGCATCGCCATTCTTTGGGCCTGTCCTACGTGGACACTACGTATGTCAACTAAGGAGAGAGGACCCAGGGCGCTAAGTCCCCACTCTAGCCCCATTTTGTCTCCTAACACAGGCCTCAACCATTCTGGTCTTTAATTCTGTTATCCATCCATCAAGTAAGGACTTGATGATGAACTTGGTGATCACAAAAGACTCTTTCAACATCAGGATTCTATAATTATCTTCCTTTTTTAAAAGAATGAGATAAATCAATACAAAACATGAGCCTAGCACTAGAGGAGTGCTATCATTTAAGGATTACATTTTCAAAGCGTACATCTGAAGTGCAACAGGGCAAAGCTGGCCCCTCCAAGTCACACTCGAGCACAAAGTCTCTGGTCCAGACGGCTGTTTTGCTCATGTCTCAGAATTCTAGGATAGTGAAACGCAGCCAGATACTTTTCTGGGTACAGTTCATGAGTCCCACCACCCAAAAAGCAGGTGCCATGGATTTGAAGCTTCCTGGTGTCCTCAGGACCCCTGGCCATAGCTCCCTCCTGAGCCCTGGTGGTGGCCTGGTCCCATTGCTAGCCCCCTGCACAGGGCAGCGGAAGGAGATAATCACTGGTAAAAAGGGACCAGGCTCCCACCTTACTAGCTCCACTGTTTCTGGGGAATGCACCAGGCTTGGCCCGCCTGGGGTCCTTGGAGTTCTGCCACAATGCTCTTCAGCAGGTGCTCAGAATGGCCAGTTCCCCCTTGTCATTTAGGTCCCAGCTCAAAGTCACCTCCTCAGAGAGGCACATTCTGATTTCCACGTGTAAAAGGGTCCCCTTCTCCCCTCTGTTCCCTTCTGTATCATATTGGTCAGTTTTCTTCTTCAGAGTACTGACTGCTATCAAAACACGTGCATTTTAATTCATATGCCTCCTGTACTAGACTATAAGTTTCGTGAGTTCATCCTGTCCATGCCAATGTCCCTAGGACCCTAGCACAATGTCCAGTCCACGAAAGTTGGCTCAGTAGACATTTGTTGATGGACCGAAGGAAGAAGTCATCCAAAGAATCTTGACAAAGCTCCGAAGAGCACATGGCAGGTCAGAGCCAGAAAGTTCCTGGGGAGATCATCCACCATAGCACAGCAGTTTTCACCCAAGACAGCACATCTGGCGTAAGAGTGGGGGTGGATGTATCAGAATATCATACACCTCCCCCACGAGACACTGATGCACAAAATGTGTGAGGTTGCCAGGTTAGAACCACTGGTATGGTCCAAACACTCTGCTTTACCAGAGAGGAACAGAAGGGTCTAGCAAAAAACGTATAATGGGACATTCAGAGACTCTAACTCAGGTGTCTGATGCATACAAAGAATATCTCAAGTCCAATGCCAGCCTTCCAGGAGTTTAAACACTTCAGCCAGTAGAGTTCCTTTACTCCTGGGAGCTGCTGGGGAGGCAAATCTGTCAATTCCAGCATCCCAGGCTCAGTTTCAAGAGGAAAAGCAGGTGAAATGGTGCCAGGCCCAGAGTCAGGGCTTACCAAGCAAAACACGCCACAGTCACCTGGATGGGTGGAGGAGGTACACGTCTGAAAAGGGGCTGGGAATGCAGTCATGAGGCTGAGTAAGGGCAGAGGAGCAGAAATGGGCAGGAGGGAGGGCAAAAGAGGCTTTGTCGTCATTCCATGTTGTAAAAGCCAGCTTAGAGGACACAGACAACAATAGGCCTCTTTTTTTTTTTTTTTTTTTTTTTTTTTACAATTACCAAATATAAAACCCTGAGTAAAAATTTTCTATTTTAGGGTTTTCCAAACAACATTTGACTTTGTGAGTGTTTTACATCTAGGGTAAATATTTGCCGGGCATTTCCAGCCCACGTCAGAGTGCTAATCTAAAAACCTGTTTTGTTCTGCTCTTAATAGGAAAATTCTACATTCAACGCAGGGTACTCACTCTGCCTAGGAACTCACAAGTACTCACCTTCCCTCAGTCTCCAAGGCTCGCCCACAATACGAGCAGCAAGCCGAATCCGCATGAGAGCCATTTCTGAGAGGCTGTTTCTATCTACCTCGACTGCACTTTCTCTTAATGAAGCTACCCTTCACGTGGTAGGAACAGGTAGGAACTTAATGAAGTTACCCTTCAGGTGGTAGGAACAGGGCACATGGAGGAACAGGTCAATTGCCGCCCTCACACTCAGGTGCATCTGCCTCAGCTGGCAAGGCTGCAGGTGATACCAAGTGAGGTATACAGCTGGCGCCTACTGCATGGTGGGGCTGCTTTGTCTTACAGGCAAACCAGGCTATCAATGGTCATGCATCTCAGGGTGGCATGTGCAAAGATACTGAGCAGTCTCCAGAGAGCAGCCACGAAGTCAGAAACGCGCACCCTCACCACTTCCGCCCTGGAAAGCTGGAAGGACCAGCACACGGACTACCTGCCCTTCCCAGGTGCAGTGCAATGTCTCGAGGCCAGTAAACAGATTCTCGTCTTTAACTAAGAACTTCTATCACTGTGACTGGGGGATAGGCTTCAACATGCTGTCTCATAACAAAGATCCAGTCCTTACAATGACACGGCACAGCAGATACTGTCTACATTTGACAAATCAGGAAACTGAGGCTTAAAGGTATTAAACAACCTGCCTAAGTTATGAAAGGATGAAGTCAGGATGCAAACTTAGTCTGACTCCAAATCTACATCCTTTCTGCTATAGCACTGCACCCCCCGGCCAATATAAAAACATCTCCCTAAGGTTCTAATGTGCCTCTTCCTCAGTCCACAAGATTAAAAGAGAAGGCAAGTTCAATACAGACTATGTTTGAGTTATGGCCAGGATATCTAGATGGGACTACCCAGCACGCAGCTGGATGGACCTATTCTAAAGGAGGGCTTCGCAAAAATCAGAGTTCATCCACCAATTCCCCAGGGGCCTTTGCCACATAGGAAATACCACAGCAAGAGATGCCACAGAAACTGCAGAACTGGAGGTCATGGACACCTAAGTGGAAGCACAGAGCGCCAGGATACCTGGAGGGCTCTGCAGTGAGTCCAGTCAGCCAGGGCAGGCACCGGACAGAAACCAGGGTCAAGACCAGTTGCGGTGGCTCATGCCTGTAAACCCAGCACTTTAGGAAGCCAAGATGGGTGAATCATTTGAAGTCAGGAGTTCAAAACCAGCCTGACCAACATGGTGAAATCCCATCTCTACTAAAGATAAAAAAATTAGCCAGGTGTTGGGGTGCATGCCTGTAGTCCCAGCTACTGGGGAGGCTGAGGCAGGAGAATCGTGTGAACCTGGGAGGCTGAGGTTGCAGTGAGCCAAGATCGCACCACTGCACTGCAGCCTGGGTGAGAGAGTGAGACTCTCTCTCACAAGAGAAAAAAAAAATAAGAAAGAAACCAGGGTCAAGGACAGGGAGGCATCCAGGAAAACTTCTGGCCAAGTCCAGGGCCTTCTTCCTAAGCCTCTCTAAAATAAAAAGCATGTAATTTTTTTTCTGTTCAAATACAAAGGGTGCTTAGGCCAGAGGTAGCTGAGGATCCATCTTGCATCTAGCTACTTTTGTTCTTGACAATCAAAAAGGCAATAAGCCGGGGTAGCATGCAAAGGGCTAGGCCTTTGCAGCTGGACAAACTTGGCTTGAATTCAGGATTTGCCACCAACTAGCTATGTGGCCTTAGGCAGGTCACTGGACTTCTATGAGTTTTGGTTTCCTCTTATGCAAAATGTGAATAATGCCCCTCACGCATACTCAAGGCTAACACTCAGGCTTTTATGAAGATTAAATGAAATAGCCTATGAGACCGGGTGCAATAGCTCATGCCTGTAATCCCAGTACTTTGGGAGGCCGAGGCAGGCAGATCACCTGAGGTCAGGAGTTTGAGACCAGCCTGGCCAAAATGGTGAAACCCCGTCTCTACTAAAAATAAAAAAAATTAGCTAGGTGTGGTGGCAGGTGCCTGTAATCCCAGCTACTCAGGAGGCTGAGGCAGGATAATTTCGTGAACCTGGGAGGCAGAGGCTGCAGTGAGCCAAGATCGTGCCACTGCATTCCAGCCTGAGCAACAAAGAGAGCCTCTGTCAAAAAAAAAAAAAAAAGAAAGAAAGAAAGAAAAGAAAAGAAAAAAGAAATAGCCTATGAAAGCATCTCCTGGTTAGACATGGTGGCTTATGCCTATAATCCCAACACTTTGAGAGGCCAAGGCAGGAGGATTGCTTGAAACAGAAGTTCGAGACCATCCTAAGCAGCAGAGTGAGACCCTGACTCTATTAAAAAAAAAAAGAAGAAGAAAAAAAGAAAGAAAGCATCTCCTGCCCTACTGATGGGAGGCCAGCAGACATTTCACAATTAATGTCCTTTGACAACTGCCCTTTGGCAACCAGAGCCAGCTTTCACTCTGACCTCAGGGCTGGGACTTAAGTCAGAGGCATCCCAAAAAATGCTCCTGGGAACCAGTATAGCTAAATCTTCAAGACTAAAGTGGACGTCCACGGACATCTTGATCCTTGCTGGCAATGCCTATTTTCCTAAAGAGAAACCTTGTCACAGGAAGAATATCTCAGGGCCAGATCCTCAGAAAACCGCCACATGACCAACCAGCTAGTATTCAAAAAAACAGCTGCCACCAAACCCCAAAGGAAGTCGTTTCCAGGCAATGCCCTTCCACAAAAGGATTCTAGACAGATCTCAAACCCAGACAAAGAAGACTGAGATAAATGTGTGGTGCTCAAGAATTCTGACCCTCACCTGACCCCACGCACAAGGCAGTTGCAGTAAGTTCACTTTCTCTACAGACTGACAAAGCCACCAACAGCTGTGGAATGTCAAAAACAAGGCTGCCTGGGTCTAAAGTTACCCCCCTCCACCATGAGAGGAAAGAAAACACATTTCTGGGCTTCGACTTCTTTATATTTTGCTTATGAGGAACAAATGTCGACAAGATATAGGATATGCTGCTCTGTTTGCCACCAAAATGCATGGAACATAATTTTATGTGAAGCTGCACCCGCTTAATTGTGATGCATTAAGTATATGTTCATTGTTTCTGAAACTGAGTAGAAATGAATAATTTATTTCAGACAAAGGAAACTCTTGAATATGAAATGCCTCATCTTTTAAAATTACAATTTGGAAAGCAAGAAGGAAAAAATACCCATAGCCAGTGAACCTTATACTGCTAATAGAAAACAATGCTTCAACTGTTTCTACTTTGTTTGCAAACATTGCATTTTTTTAAACATTCTTGAGAATCATCAGGAAAAAAAAAAACAAAAAAAAAAACACTAGGTTTCCACCATGTTCACATCCACTCAACACAGGACTAGCATATTCAGTATTAATTTTCTCTGCTGGCTGGGTACACGCCCTTTCCTTTTCCACTGATGTGTTAGCTCACCTGGAATCCACTCCCCACATCCCCACATTCCGGTCTCTGCCATCCCCTTCCAGAACTTTCCTTCCTGCATCCTAGTTCTCTTCCTCTCTCCTTCTCCCCTTCTTTACATGGCATTGCACTCTGCACTTTCTGGCCCACCACCATCTCCCCAGCAGCTAGCACATTCCCTGGCACACAGTCAGTTCGCAAAAAACCTGAGTTACTGCTTAAGTGTAGAGTAGAAAATCAGTGTTTTGGACTGACTGGTAATTGGAATTTCGGGTATGGCTATTGTTTTTCTTTTCAGAGCAGAAGACATCTGCGTGCACTCAAATCATCTACTATTCCTGTTTCATGCTAATATATTGAGGGAGGAGGAGAAAGGGAGTGAGAATGCATAGGAAAGGAAGGCGCTGGCAGTCATCCACCTACCCACCGGTTTCCTGCACAGCTCAGGAGGGCGGAAAAACAAATGAAACATTCCGTAAGTGTTACTTGTAGCAACCTTATGAACTGGATACTATTATTAGCCCCATTT
Source organism: Homo sapiens (assembly GCF_000001405.40). Lineage (NCBI taxonomy): Eukaryota > Metazoa > Chordata > Mammalia > Primates > Hominidae > Homo > Homo sapiens. The sequence continues at coordinate 116,256,151 of NC_000010.11, forward strand.
ACACATACAGGACCTAGAACGTTGCAAGTAACTATTTACCTGTGGTCTCACAGCTACTAAGTGCTGGAACATGGAATTCAAACCCAAGTGTGCTCAACTCCAAGGTTTTTGCTCCTTGCCACCGTGCTACTCTGCAGCACATATATTTTTTGGGATCACCATGACCTCATCCCCTGCCCCTCCCCGTTGCCAGCCCTATCTCTGGGATGAATACAGAGGGTCCACCCGGTAGGTCCTGCCCTGGGAACATGTTGCCCTTCCTCCCAGGGATCACCAGCAGCTAAAAAGGGCAGCACCACCTCTTCCCACCCCAGCCCCATTGATGTCATAAAAACAATGTCATAACATAGCATGGGTGCAGGGTAGGACACACAGAGAGGGCTCAGTAGCTTCTTAGGAGCCAGCTCTGTGAGCTGCATAGGCACTCCCAGCCCTCCCTCCCTTCCTCCCCATCCTCTCCCCTCAAGCAGGTGCTCCCTGGGGTGAGTGGGCACTGCTTTCAATTAACACAACTCCCTTCATTTAGAACACTTGAGTTTTCATTGAGACATTCTCTTACGAAATGTTCTGAATCGAGTTGAGAATTTGGCACAGAAAACAGCTAGGCAAGGCAGAAGACTGGGGAGTCAGAGGAAGAAAACAGTAAATACAAAATAAACGAATAAATAAGCCCATACCTCAAGTCCTCCAAATGGGTGCTACCCAGCACGGTTCCAGAGGTCTGAGAAAGGCTGGACAGCACCATCCCTCCCAGGCAGGAGGACAACACTGCCTAGGGAGCCAGGCACCCACACCTGAGCCACTGCTCCCAAGCGAGAGAGCAGAAGTCCACCCTGAGCCCAGGACAAAAGGCAGTGCTGGGGTTGGGGCTGGGACCCTGCAGAAAAGCAGATGGGAGCCATCCTCTCAGGGACCCATGCTGTGCACATCCCCACTGTCCACCAGGGGAGGCCTCCTAACACCAGCCATGCCACTCAGCATCCACAGGGTCCCAATGAACCGTTGTCAGAGACCACCTTTCTCCTACCACAAGCCAAAATGCCTCCTAGCAGCCGAGGCCCTTCAGGATGACCCAGCTTCCTGGGTTGATTCCTGCTGGTCCCTGTCTGCTCTGCTGTCTTTCTGCTTACCTGTACCCCCCACCCCGCCCCCACCACACCTTCCCAGGACCACCCAGGGAGATGCAGCCAGCCTGCCACAGAGACTCCTGCCCCTCTATCCTCCCTGCCCTCGGCACCTAAATGCTGGGCTCTGTGCACTTGGCCTTTGCCTTCCGAGCTTGTGCATGCTTTCTCCTCAAGAAGGTGCAACTGGAAGGGAGGAGCTTGAACTTGACCCACACTTGCTCTTGCTCCATTTCCACCTGGAGCTGAGGCTAATAGCACAGTGCTCCTGGGCTCATTTTTTGTTTTCCCAGAAGGTGCCTTCTATGATGAGAGGTTACTCACCCACAGCAGGTCTTATGTCCTTCTCTGGTCGAGAAGCATCCAGAGCCCCTGTGTGTGCTTTTATGACACAAAACTATATTAAGTTGAACTGTCTGAAATTGTTGCTATTCTACCATGTTGACCTACTAAAATGGCAATTTCATGCGATTCAATCTAAAAATTTCAGCAATGCTGAGACAAATTAGCCATCTTCCTTTCCCATCTTCGATGACAAAGGTCAAGCCCCTGAGTGTGACAAACCTGCCTCTCTGCTCAGTTCTTCTCACACCACTCCTCATACCTGCTGCTCCAGCCACGGCAAACCCTGGACACACTGTGCCTTTGCCCAGGCTGTTGCCTCTGCCTGGAATGCTCTCCCCATTCAGCTCTACTCACCAAACTCCTATCCATTCCACAAAAGCCAGCTTAAAAGTCCCCTTTTGCAAGCCTTCTCTGACCGGCAACACCATCCAGTCCGTTATTCCCACCATAGGGCCGTATGTGAGCTTTCTATGGGTTCTACTCATTCATCATAATTTATCTTGTTTATATCTATCTCTAAAGCAAAAAAGGGAATTCTTAGAGGACAATTCCTATTTACCTCTGAATCATCTGGGCCTCCCACTGTGCTCATAGTAAGTTCTTAATAAATATCTGATGAATGAATTTGGCAGAAATGGAATTCTATCATACTGAAAAACTGAAAACTGATAGAGACTCTAAAAACTTACCTCTTCTTCTCTTCATTCTAAAATAAGTATAAATGTAACATATATAATATATAATAATAAAATAATATCTAATATATTAATTAATAAAATAAAATATATTATATTAATAAAATAAATATAAAATTAATAAAATATATAATATATAATGTATATATGTAATATATACGTAACATATATAATGTAATATATATATTATATGCATCATATATCCACATATGTATCACTCAGTAAAAAATATCTAATAATCCTTTATGCAGTTCGTGCACTTCACTTTCATGGGATATTTTCATGGGCTATTTCTCCCATGCATGTTACATACATGCAAATGGGTGCTACTGCATGAGTTCTGAAGCCAGCCTTCCTGGATGAGAATGCTGGCTCTACCACTTATTAAGTATGTGCCCCCAAGACAAGTTTCTCACTTGAGCCCCAGTTCCCTTATCCACCAACCAAATGGGGCTAAGAGTACCTCTACTGAACAAGGCTTAAGCAAGTTATGACATATAAAACACCTAGCTCGCTGCAACTCACAGCTGCTGTAATTATTATTTTTACTTCTCTTTAAGTATCATGGGGAATGCAACCATTTCGAATTGGGAGTATGTTCAGCCTGATCACTTCTTTTGCCATTCAAATGCCACTTGCCATTCCCAAGCTAAGAAGAATATATATAGTGGTTTCATTGAGAACTCTCTGGAATTCAGGGATCTCCTGGTATCTTCCTCATCAATTGTTTTATTCAAAACGCGTAGTAACAGAAATTAATGAAACATTTCATAAACATGCGCTTTAAGAAAACTGCTGGCCTTCTCCTACAAAGAATGCAATCAATACTTATTTTCATACATTATTAACTGTACACAAAACGATCATGTGCAAAGGACAACAGAAATCACAGTTGGCATGGTGCTTCCTACACAGTTCACAGGGACCTAGAGGAAAGTGGCACCAGCATGGTGGAAGACAAATGAATAGCACATTAGGGCACCTTAAAGTGGGACTCAACTATGTATTCCTTTTTTTTTTTTTTTAACATTGTGTAATGCTATTTATACGACAACATGACAAAAAATGGCCCTAGGCATTCTGCTCCACTTTAGAAGCCTTCCATCTCACACTGAAATGAAAAAAGATACAATCCAGAAATTGCTTCTTTGGTTAATATTTCTGCAGTTCTGCAGGAATGGTTTTAATAGTACGCGTGTTCTGGATTTTGGTTGTCAATTAAGAACCCATCAGACGGCAGGCCCAAATATTAAAATAATAGGTAGTGGTGTATATTGCAACTTTAAAGGCCTTTTGTCAAACAGTGTTTTAGGGTGGAAGAACAAGGAGAAAGCTGGGAATTAAAGAGGGAGAAAAGGGAGTAGATAGCTCCTTCTAAATAAAGGATCCTGGTCTGTGCTTAAAATTTCATCACTAACAGTAGAAAGAACACAGGTTTTGGAGTCACAGGAACAAGAAGTGAATCTAAGCTCTTCCAGGTATCAGCTGTGTGGCCTTAAGAAAGTTACTCAACCTCTCTGATCCCAGCTTTTCTCCTCAGAAATGAGAGGGCACAATACATACCTTTTAGCATGGTGGGGGACCAGAAGAACGTAAGTCTGTGAAAAGGCAGCTTAGTGCAGGACACACGGCAGGGGAAGGGGACACAAGGTAGGGGCTTCCCCAGCGGGACTCCTCTTTGCTCACTCACCTCCCCTTTAAAGAGACTGAGGATTCAATGAGGAGAATACACAGTTCTGGGATAGGCAGAGTTCCAAAGGGAACTGCAGTTTGACCAAAAATAGGTCACTTGACCAAATGATTAAAAGTCTGTCATATGCTAATGCGTGGATGGGGCGGACCCTTGGCTAATTTAGTAGGAGTAAATTGCAATTGATTTTCGAAGAAATTGCTTGTTCTCTTGCCTTTCCTCAGCTGTGTCACACTCGCACACACAGCTGCCTTTGTCACAGCCAGGACCAACTGAAACACGTGTCAAGGAAGATCTTTTTGAGGCAAAATATTTTATCATATCCACACTTAACACACTCTATAAAAATATGCACATGTGAGCAGGCAGATATACAAGTGTATGTATGCCTATGTGTCTGTATACGTGTTTATAAAGATGTTTTTGAGAGCTTGTATTTAGAAACAATTCTGCCACCATGGCTGCATAGTTCTATATGTTTTGAAAATCCTCCTGTGGCTGGAGAGCTATCCTGAGTCATTTTTATTTTTACAACAGCCTACTATTTGAAGAAAGATCGTAAAAGAGTATACCTCTAAAATCTCTCCATATACCCCACAGCCCTGTCTATGTAAATCCTGGATATGAAAAGAAAATGGTTAAAAGATTACAGAAGATAAAAAATCATAATAATAAAGGTTAACAATAGCTGCTTTCACCCCTAATTTCTGATATGGCGATAGACCCTCTTAGAACATTAATTAGAATGGAAAGAGAGATGAAAGAAATGCCCAGGAGACATAATAAATTAGCCTCTTATGCAAATTACTCATTCATTTTCATCACTGACCCAGCTAGTTGAGTCTCTAAATTACAGGAAGTGGTAAGCTCCTTTAACAAAAAACTCTGAATGAAAGATTATCTTTAAAAAAAATCTGAGGGCTTAACGCAACAAATAATTTCTCACTTTTCCTTACAGACAACCCTGAAGGGTGCCAAGAAATATGAAAATTAACATTCCAGCCACTAGTTCTTGTTGCCAGAGACCTATTAATTAACCCTTGTTCCAAAACAATGAACAACTACCTCCTTAACTAAAGTCAATGGCTGTGGCTCTCATGCTAAAAGAAACAAAGAAAATAAAGTGTAGTATCCTAAGGGGGGAGCACAGATTTGAACAGGTGAAAGACAACTGAACTGAGATGGGGAAATGCCAAGATATGGAGGGTTTCAAATACCCATTTACAAGCAAACACCTAATTTTACTTGTCATCACTGTCCTAGACAATTTATGTTGCATTGTCCTATCAATTTATGGAATTCTGCTTTCTTATCAGTCAAATACGGGGACGGGACTAGAACGACCTCCAAACATCCTACTGCATCTACAAATCCAGTGGTTTTATTTATCCCTTCGTGAAACAAATGCCGCACTTCCGATTATTTAATTTATTGAAATATAATCTTGTAGCATGTATTTGTCTACTGAGCTCACTCCTAGCTTCATTTTCTCTTTCCTACTCTCATTTTCTCTTTTCCCCTGTCTTCTGCATTTACTTATTTTCTTTTGTACTTTATCTTCTTCCATGTATTCAAATAAGATGCCTTAAATACATTCTAGTTCAAAGTAAGGTATACATTGAATAAATCATACTTTATAAAGGTTATGAACATGAAAGACATATGCCAAGATCACAAGTTTCCTTGGCATGAATAAAATGCTAGAAAGAAAAATAGTTGCTGAATAACTATGTAAGATTCAATATACGGGCCCTTCAAAAAGGAAGGAAAATATTAAAAGTCATGGTAAAAACAGCAATTACTTTTGCACCAGCCTAATATGTTAAAGATCACTCTAGGCCACTGCCCTCAAATTACAAAAGGAGCAGATGACTCTCAGGACCTGCAGACACTGGCCCAAGGTCACCCAGCTAGTTACGGGTAAACGATGCTAGAAGCAGAACACAGATCTCCTGACTCCTGGATCCATACACTTTTACCAAACAAGCCCCAATTTGATACCTCCTCTTGAGAATTTGCTACTGTGTCCCAGAGAACAAAAAACAAAAAGGACATCCCTTGGAAAGAACAAGCTTCGACAGCAGAAAAATCAAGAGATGGCAAAAAGAAATACTTCAGAGGACTAAGAAGAAGGAATGAGGACAGACATATTGGCTATAAATAATTTGCACCTTGTAACAATCTTCAGTTCATACAATTACCTGTCACTCACTGATGTTTTATCTCCCTTCTTCTGTTAACAGGACCTACAGTAACTCTATGCAAAATATTTAACTGTCTGTACCTTCACAGCCTTCACTGGAACATTTGGGTCTTTGCCACAAGTGTACAGATACTAGCATGTCCTGTATTCATGGACCTTCTTGAGGTTGACATTTAATCTAAATAATAAAATCTTGCCTTTAGGAAGTGGTCAGTGAGACAGAAAGACATAGGTTTTTCAGATCATCAAGCAGGTAATCAGAGAGTAGATGTAGATTATGACACCATTTTTGTAAAAAAAAATATATGTATACATGTATGTACATACACATCTATGCATATTTACATATATAGGAAAAATTGGAAAAGGCTCCTATTAGCATGTTTACAGCAGTTATTTTGGGGTGGTAGGACGCTGGGTGATTGAAATTTCTTTTCCTTTTTTACCTGTTTGCAATTTCCTATTGTTCTACAACAAAAATGGATTGCTGAGGGGCAGGACAGGGAGAGAATAAAAACCAAAAGTAGTGGTCTGTGAAAGTGAAATGTAAGTGTACTTAGCAAAGCCTTTGCAGACGGAAGCATCTCCTAGGTTTAAGGCATGCCCTTCTCAGGGAGCAGTAATTCTTGCCGCTATGAGGGGTACTGGAAAGATTTATGGGGAGAGGTTAGAGGAATAGGAATCAGCCAAGCTTGGAAGGGAAGGCTGATCACAAGAATCCTTAAGCACAGGAAAAGCTCCCACCCCAGGTGATCACCAGCTGCAACCAACTCACTTCCGACCACAGAGCATAAGGACAGGGGTCCAAGGGAAAAGGAGAGACTCAGTGCAGGAATAAGGAAGACCTTCCCCACAGGGTAGCTAAGCCTCAGGCCAGGTGATTAAGAGACAGGACTTTGCTCTAGGGCCTTTTGGATAGAGGATAGATTTTTCATTGCTTGTCCAAGGTAGTTTATAAGCAGCCTTCCTGAAGGCTCAGGTTTGCTACCCTTTGCAAGACATAGAATCATCATTCTCTGATGGGGCAATGTGGTCTGCTGAAAAGAGTCCCAGTCTTGAGTCAGGAGCAAGCCAACATCGCCTTAGTGTAGCTTTAAAAAGGACTGAGATTTATTGAGGACCAAGTATGTTTCAGGCACTATACTGGATATTTTACATATAACATCTTTAATCCAAAAGAACCTATACAGTAGGCATTATCATCATCCCATTTTACACCCATGGAACCTGAGGCACAGTGAGCTCAAGATAAGGTGAATGGCAGAGCTGGGATTCATTCACCCAGGTTGGTGGAACTCCAGAGCATATGTTCTTTCTCCTAGCACCAGCAGGTGCAAAGGTACGGAGGGATGAAGCTGCCCAGAGTGCTAGTAGAACGGCAGCTGCTCAACCTGTCTTGTCTATGATACATGGTGGCTGGGGCGAGATCAAAAGCCAGTTAGTAAAAGAGTGAAGGAAGACTGAAGCCAGAGTGTTCCTGAAAGTCACCAAGGTGCACAAGACCTGGGAATGAGGAGGTCAGGTTGGACTGGGAGAAGCTAGGGAAGTCAGCTGGAAAGCCCATGCAGAGTTCAAGTGAGAGATAAGACAGTTACATCCATGATGTGGAAGGAGGGGAGCATTCAAAAGACAGCAGGTAATTTCAGCAGGACTTGGTGATGGGTCAGGCTGAAGGGGTTGAAGACAATGGAAGGGACGGAGATGACTTCACAGCTTATAGTGCAGACCACTAGGAAGACAATAATGCTATTAAATAAAACTGGAGATCCAGGAAGAGAGAGGGTAAGGAGCAAAGGAGAGATGATGAGATCCATTCTGGACATGCTAAGTTTGAGTTAACTGAGACACCGCCAGATGGAGTCATCCAGGACTCAGCTGGAAATGCTGGTTTAGCGCTCAAGAGAGGCTGCAGTAGGAAGGAAGGCTCTGAGTCATCAATGTAAGTGGTGGCTGAGGTCTCCAGAATGAATGAGGCTGGTCCAGAGAGTATGCAGACAGAAAGGGACCAACACTGGCTCCCCCTACACCAGTGCCATGACCTGGCAAAGGTCCCCAAGCCTACCCTCAAGCACTGTGACTCTGTCCAATCCCCTCCCCTCTCTGAGCTTCAAGTCTATAAAAACAGAGTACTGGACTAGATCTCTAGGGACCCTTCTTCTCTAACATTCAACCACTCGTGATTGACAGAATGCCGGCTCAGGATCAAGAAAAGATGCTTGGTGCTGAGTTGACACCTGGCATAACAAGCAAGTCTCCGACTTTCCAGTGGGAAAAACAGACACATAAATAAGTCCTCTTGATATGCTGTGATTAATAGCTACCATAAAGGCAAGAGCACGATGGAGCATGAGGGAGCCCTGAGTAGAATTGCCTGTTTGGGGGGATTCCAGCAAAGGCCTTCAGAGGTGAAATTTGATCTTGGTCTTAAAGAACTGATAGAAGATTTCTAAGTAAAGGCAAGGCCATGTGCAAAGGCACAGGAAAGTGAATGCACATGAAATACTTGGGGAATTGTTTGGCTCAGTGAGCTTGAGTGGAGATGGGGTGTGGGGCTTCAAAATGGAGAGCAGGGCCTTCACTGGCCCACTAAGGAGTTTACCATATGCCAGAGTAAATAACAGGAAACGAATGGGGGTTCTCAAATATAGGAACACCAGGATTAGAGAGCTGAGTGCAAGAAAAGGACCACCACGATCCCTAATAGCTGGTATTTACAAGGCTTTCTCTCGTCATGACCTGACAAGAAAGCAGGTGATGTTACAAGGCTCTTCTCCAACATGTAGACTTTGTGATAACTTTTTAAAAAATAATGACTTAAATATGACGGTGCATTTGAACAGAAATGCTAAACATGGCTAATTATTCACAGAATCACTCAGAAAAAAAGAGGCAAGACTCAAAAGAGAGTTTAGGTGCATCTCATCCTGGAGCAAACCACTTCCAATTACTTGGGAACGAATCTGGAGATCCTAAGGCTTCCCGGAAAGGTCAAAGCCACTCCTAGCACTTGGTAGGAAAATGATGAGCGCCAGAAGCTGGGACTTTTCCTTCCAGCAAGTCAGGATGTTCAAAACCTAACATTACTCTTTCCCTACCATCTATCCACTTGATTCTTGCATGCAATATCATCAACTGTGATTGTATTTTAAGGAAGGCCTGGCATCTCCTGACTTCTCTACAAAAATCCAGTCTCCCAATCAATAGTTTTAAACCTTGCTGCCAAAGAGGTGCTTCTGTCCTCCCTCTGTTCCCCATCCTCAGGCTTTTCTTAGCACTCACTGTATTTTCAAAATTTCTCACTGCTTTGCTCTCCCACTCCAAGAGTCCAAAAAAAATTGCCAACAGGTTCATCATCCTTTCAAATCCCTGTTTACTTCTGTGTCTCGAACTTTTCTGAGGAAGAAAAGCAGGGGCAGAATAGAGGTGCAAGAGCAGAGATCTCGGCCGGGAGAGATGCAGATGCTAAACAGTGCATTGCGCACGGTGGCTTCTGCCTCTGAGCCTCTGAGCGCCCACACAGCTCTGCCCTCTGGGATCCTAGGACACTTCTGTGTTCCTGCCTCTCCTCCGACATCCTCTTGCACCGGCGCACTTTCTCCTGTGTGTCCTCCCGCTCGCTTCATGTTCCAGGCCCCTAAAACCCACACTAGCCTCACCCCACAGGAAACACACCTCCTCAAGCCCTTAATTGTGCCCCAGGGGCCAAAGGCTTCCGCTCTCAGGTTTCTGGAAAGCAGCCCTCCACCCTCCCTCTGCAGTTCTCTCCTGACTTGGCTACTTGGTTTCCCTTCTGCATTTCAAGCTTGAAAACAGGACGGTTTTTAGATTCCACCTTATTTTTGTTCTCCTTCTTGTTCCCAACGGGCCACTGATAATACCTCAGCAAGGCCTTTTATGTGGTTAGCAAGCAAACAATGGCTAAAGTGAATGTGGGTTTGAGGAATCCAAGGAAAATGGAAACACAAGAACGTCAAACATGTCTTGTTCCTTGCGAGGATTCAGCTCACCCTTAGTGTATGTGGATAAACATGCTCTTCATGTTGGGCAGAGAAATCCAAACATGGAAAGTGATTGCTACCATATCTGTGAAAAGCAGAGACACTGTTGTCCTGGCTTCCTCAGATAAATTTTCAAGACAGAAGAGATGTTCTAGAAAGCTCAGATTCAAACCATGAAAAGCAACATTTATCATCCTGTTCCTCCATCCTTTTCCATCCTGCAAAGGCCAAACTGGATAATATGCATTATTCAATGACTTAAAGCCTCTCAAGTCTCCATTTGGCTTTACTATCCCACTTAAGGAACACAGTCACTGTCAGAGGTCAAATCACATTAGTGCTGGAACCTAAAGCCAATGCCCTTGAGATAGAAAATGGGGCTCTAGACAAGGCCTTTCTGGCTCTGGCTAATTCATTATGATTTCTGGGTTCTAGACAGGACAGGGCTCACAAACTCCAGATCATACTTGCTGTGAAAAGAAAGCTGGCCTGCGAATGGGATCCAAGGAATGCATAAGTGAAACTTGGCCCATGCAGAAGAATGTCCAATACTCATAAATTCAGACAAACCAGTGGTATCTGAGAATGACCATGCCTCCTTAACAGTTGAAATGATTGCAAGGGTAGAGAAGGTGATGTAAGAGAACCATGGAAGAATTCTAGAGATGAGCCCAACCTTTTCTCAGATCCATGGACTGTAACGATTAGAGATTATTTACTCCAATTGCCTCATTATACAAATGAAAGAGCAACTCTGAGAGGGAAAATGAGTGTAAAAAAACTCCATTGCTAGCCGGTGTAGTGGCACACCTGTAGTCCCAGCTACTCGGGAGACTAAGATAGGAGGATCGCTTGAGCCCAGGAGTTTGGGGCAACAGTGACCTGTGATCAGGCCACTGCACTCTAGCCTAGGCGACAGATCAAGACCCTGTCTCTAAAAAGAAAAGTTTTTAAAAAAATAATAAAAACTCCATTGCGGGCAGGCACGGTGGCTCACACCTGTAATCCCAGCAGTTTGGGAGGCCGAGGCAGGCGGATCTCTTGAGATCAGGTGTTCAAGACCAGCCTGGCCAACATGGTGACATGTATTTCTCTACTAAACATACAAAAATTATCCAGGCGTGGTGGCAGGTGCATGTAATCCCAGCTACTCGGGAGGCTGAGGCAGGAGAATCACTTGAACACGGGAGGCAAAGGTAGCATTGCGCCGAGATCATGCCACTGCACTCCAGCCTGGGCCCTGGGTGGCAGAACAAGACTTCGTCTCAAACAAACAAACAAAAAAAAAAACCATTGCTCATAGAAATTCTGAAATTAAAACCCAGTGGCCCTTCTTCCTTGCCTGCTTTCTCACTATCAATGACCATGGAGAGGTTCATACCCTTCCAGGCATCAGTACAAAGGAGGAGTCCACAGGGCAGACAGTAGGTAACAGGCATTGTCCCTCAAAAGCAGGATGAAGGTCAGGTTTGCCTCTGGCACCTAGCACTCCACTGGCAACACCCCATCCCAGTTTCTACAGATCCGCTCCCAGGAGAGCTTAGGTGGTCACATACGTTTGTCTGTACCTCTCCTCTCCACTGCTTAAACCATTGTCCTGGCTGGATCAAAGGGACAGAAAGCACTAGAAGTGACATGGAGTGGAAATTATTGGCATTACTCAGAGAAACATTTGAATTCCTCTTACACTAAACTCGTATCCTTATATCTTATGCCAAAACAGACTGACAGACTAACACACACACACACACACACACACACACACACACACTTTTCCTCTGAAGGAAAAGACAGAATAATGTAGAGAAATGCTTCTCAAGCTTCATGTACATATGAAGAACCCAGCCTAGGGATCTTGTTAAAATGTGTATTCTGATTCAGTAGTTCAAATGAGATCCTGTATTTCTAATGAATTCCCTGGCAATGTCAATGATGCCGGTATAAGAACCACACTCTGAGTAGCAAAGGGTAGATGTTACAAAAGCTTAGAATCAAACAAATTTGAGTTTCAGTTCTGGTTCTACCATTTAAGACTTTTGTGATTTGGGGCTGTTTCCCTAACTTCACTATGCCTCAATTTATTCATCTATAAAATGGAAATAATAATACCTAAGAAGCACTTGATGATTACCTAAGTTAATGATGTAACACTTTTAACACATTGCTTGGCAAATAATAAGACTTAATCAATGTCAGTTCCTGGCTATCTCTAAGATTCATGAAGGCAAGGTGATGACTGGCTCACTGCCCAAACCGCAATAGCTAGAACACAGTAGGTGCTCAATGGATGTTTGGTGAATGGATGAATGCATGTATAACACACCCAAATAAAATATCAGTATTTATACACTCCCTTGATTCTGTGGCTTTTCTGCAAAAAAACACAAAACATTTAGAACACCAAGACACTCTCATCAGTTACAAACCATAATCTCATAGAATCAAATTCAACATTACCCATCACGTTTAACCACTGAGAGACATATAATTTGTGGTGGCTATATATACTTGAGAAAATGTCTAAACTGTAAATAAATAAAGACAACATTAGTCTGGAATCTGTATGTCATAAAGATAAATTACTGCCTTGCTTATTTATGGGCTGTCTGAATGCAGATGTTACAAAAAACTTAATTCCAAAATTAAGTTCATTTCCAAACCACACATAGAACTGCAAAGAGAGAAAAAACAAACCATGGGAAGCGAGACTACATTTAAAAGGGCCATTGGGGCAGGAGTACATTCTCTCATAAATGCACACACTTGCTCAGGAAAAAATAGAAGCAAAAGAATTGTTAACAAATGGCAGAGCTTAATCTTTTAAATCAAAGGCAGACAAGTGAATTCATCCCAAATTTTTCAACAATCTAAGATTATCTTTGGGCGTCTTGTAAAGTAAGTGGCATAATCTGAACAGATCCCATTTCCAGGGAGGCACTATGTAAGGTATGCAGCAAGAAGAGAATACGATTGCCACCTACAGACAGAAGTGGCACTCCCTTTGCAAGAGATGGCCAATCATATTTTAATGTGGAAAAAAAAAAATACTCAACCAAGTCACCTCCCTCGAACCTCTTCCAAACCACCACACCACATTACTTCATTTAGAATTACTTTCAAGTCATACAATCATCTCTAGGCATTATGCCTCTTCATTATCATCATCCTATTTCTAATTTCCCAGAAACACTGTGCCATTCAACTATCTACTTATATGCTCTTTGAGAGCCAAAGAGAATGCAAGCCAACGAATTCAAGCACACAAAGGCATCAGCATGGAAGTATAAATCTGCTTACCTGATATGAATGGGACCACCCGGAATATATCTGACAATCTGCTGTTAACTGGTTCATATGGGGAATCCTCCAGCAGATCATTTCCTAAAAACAACAGAAAGATTGGGCTCAGATCAGAAAAACATATATTTCAAGCAGGTTTTTGCTGCTGAATCTGAATTCTAATTATGTTATGATTGTGTAACAAAAAGACGCTGAAACTTTGAAAGATTTCAAATGCATCTCTTTCACTATGGTTATTTCTTTTCATTCCCTCCGCCTTTGTTGTCCTTGTTCTCCCCAGAGTGCCATGAAAATATTGGAGAACAACCCAGCCCTATCTTGCCAGAAAACTCTCCCACTCTTTGCAAAGGAATAGAAATCAGAGAGGGAAGAGCCGGTGACGTCACGAGCCCTGCTTGCCTCCAGGAGCCAATGGAAGAAAGGTGACCCAGGAAAGACCCTTATTTCTGCTTGCTCCCAAAACCTGGCATACGGTTGGAAAGCAGGTACCATGGCTATTAAACAGCCCACCTCTGAAACAGGTTTTCATTAATAGACTCTGGAGGAAGTGACCGCTGACAGGTCAAATCTGTATAATACAAATCTCCAGTGTGAGTCTCAGTCAAGAATGAACACACAAGATGTTTGCGTTAGGCTTACAAACATGAGCCCCCTCTGGCTTATGAGGACCAAAACACTCCCATTGGACTGGATGGTTGTGACCAGTGGATCTTTCTCTCCCTGAGCTACTTCTGTGATAACCAAGGTTGAACCACACCAGCTGGTTCAAGACTCAGCTAATCTAAGATGACAAATGGATTTTCACACATCTGCCTTTGATCACGTTAGGTGGGGAGGGTGAAGATACACTGGATTCTCCTGGACCTTTTACAATACTTCATCTTACATCAGAGCAGGTTAAAGGGAACAAGACAGGGGGAGTCCAGACCAGATGCAGGGCAAGCCTTCCTATTATTATTGAGAGGCCAGCGAAAGCCCCAGGCTGGCTCTCCTTGGAAAGAAGTTGTGGGTTCCTTGGGGCCCTTTAGTGGGATCCTCCTCCCATGCTCCGACCAGGTTTCAGAGAGGTCAGCGGGGTCCCGGGGGTGGCCCTCCCCCCAGCCCCCGTCCTCCTCATGGGTTTTCCAACAACAGGCCCAACAATGCTGGTCAGCCCAGCAAACACCAGCTGCCGTTGTCCCTGGGGGCCAAGGAAAGGTCCTCACTCTGCAGCTGGGGAGAAGTGAGTGGAGGATGAGATCAGCTGGCCCAGGGACGAAAGGCCCGCCTGCCTTCGGGGAGGGACACGGGGTGGGGTGGGGAGGTTCCACGCGTACCCTGCAGGCTCTGGTACATGCTCCAGTAAATGCGCAGGCAGTTCTTCTCCTTCTTCATACCCCGCTTGCAGCGGCAGTTGTAGAGCGACTTCTGCTTCAGGGCCTCCATGGCGCTGCGGCACTCATCCTTGGCCTCCAGGCCGGATGCCAGGCTGAAGTTGGTCTCCTTGCCCGCCACGCACTGCCTTAGCGTGCGGTACTTGGTGCTGCAGCTCTGCTCCTTCAGGCACTGATCACTGGCTTTCACGCAATCCAGGCGGTCTCCGCCGCTCACTTCGGCCGACAGGAGCAAGTCTGCGGGGCAGAGGGGAGGGAGCCTGAGTGCGGCGGGCGGGGACCCCGGCCGCCCCTGCTCCGGGCGAGGGCGCGCGCCCGGGTCAGGGATGCTTGACCAGCCTTCGGGGGCGCCCTGCTCTGGGAGCGGGTCCACCTCTCGACCATCCGGGAGTCCATTTTCCCGCCCCCTGGAATTCCAGCTCCTCTCTCCTCCTCCCGGGCCCGCAAGGAAGAGTGGCGCAGGCTCAGCCCGCGGGCTTCAAGGGTTTGCTCCAGAGCCTGCGCTGCCCACCGCGCACGTCGGCCCTCCGCCCCGGGGCATCCTGGCCTGAGCAACGACCCGGGCTCCCGGGCCACCCCCGGCTCCAGCCACCCGCTCCGCCCGGCTGAAACTCAGGCGCTTTCCGAGGAGAAGTGCGGCGGCGGACTGGGCACCGGGCGCGCGCTGGGCGCGGGGCAGGCCAGCCATGGTCAGCGGTCCGCCGGGCGGAGAGTGCCCAGAAGCTACTCGGGAAAAACTTTTCTCTTCCAAGTTTGCTCTCCCGGCCCCAATGCTCCCCAACTCCACCTGCCCGCCGCGGCTCCGCGAGCTCCCAGAGACTCTCTGGGGGTGCAGGGCCCTGGGCTGGAGGGCTTCTTAGTCCCCCGCCAAGTTGGGTCATTAAAAACCACAGGAAATCAAAACCAAGCCCGAAAAGCTTCAGGCAGCGCCGCGCCGCCACCGCCTCCCTAACCCGGGGATTCGCGATCCCATTCCCCAAAAAGACACTTCTTCCTTCCACATCCACCACACCCGCGCCCCAATTTTGGTGCGGAGGGCGGGGTGGGCTGCTGCAAGCGACCCTAGGAAAGACTCAGAGGGTAAGAAAGCCCGCGGCGGGCCTCGACTTACCCAAGAGCGGCAGCGCGAAGTACAGGGTCGCCAGGAACATGGTGCCGGCGCGGGGCTGGTCCCCGCCCCCCCAAAAAAATCCCGAGCCGCCGCTGGGTCTTGCCGAGGGAGCTCAGCGTGCAGCGATCCCCGGACAGCTGTGCTGCTCTGGCCGCCCAAAGTTCAGCTCCATCCAGTGAAAGAGGAAACTCCGGGTCTGGCAGCAGCCACCGCCGCCGGCGACTCAGCTCCGGGATGGCGAGGGCGGGAGGCGGTTCCGCTTTTAGGGGTTCAGGTCCGACCCAACCTGGAAGGGAGGGCGCGCTTTGAGATGAGAGCGGAGAGCGCCGGAGACTCCCCCCACAGAACCCTCTCCCCTCCCCCGTTCCCGCCTTTGGGGAATTTCCAACACCGGGGTGAGGACCCACCCCCACCCAGGTCGGGGTGCATGTGCGTGTTTTCCAGGGGCCGCTGACACGGGGATGGAGGTGAGGGCTGGAGAGGTCTGAAGAGGGTTCCTAAAGTCCAAGGGGGTGTCTGTTGGGTTCAACCCGAGACGCTGAACGCAAGCAAATAAATAAATAAACGGTACTTTCCGAGCGTCGCGAGCGGAGCCTGCAGCTGCCTGGAGTCCGAGCCCTCGGTGGCGGCGGCGGCAGCTCCCTAGCCAGCCCTGGCGCCGAAAGAGCCCCTTCTCCCGGGAAGTTGGCCTCCCCCTCCTCGCGTCAGCCAGCGAGCTCGCTCAGCCGCCGGCCCTCCCCACTCCGATCGCCAATCCCTAGCCCCAGTCGCCGCCCTCCTTCTCCCCGGGACTCGTCTCCCTCCAGAGGCCGCCAAGCCAGGGGGAACCGATGTCCCGACTGGGGCTGAAACCCGGTTCCTGCGCCCCTACCCCCTACCCGCCGCGCGTCCTCGGCTCCCTCCTGGGCGTCCGCTCCTCTCACACTCTCGCCCGGTGCCCAGGACTCGGGCGCTTCCGCACCCCAGCCCAGGGCGAGCGCGCCGGCCCGCAGTCCCGGCGTGCCCCGGCAGGTGCAGCCCGGCGCCACGAGCGCCCCCCGGGCCCTAAAGTTGGGAGACGCCAGCAAAAAGAAAGGGGTGGCCGGAGGAGGGGGGAAGAAGGAGTGGGGAAGAGGGACGGGAAGCGGCAATGGGTTCCCAAACAGAACGAAAAAAACTCCAAATGCCACCAACCTGGACTCAACCGACCGCGTCCAGCTGCGGCGAGGAGCCAGTTTGTTTATTTACTTATTTATTCTTTCAGGGCAATGGTGTCCCCGCCCCCTCCTTCCCTTTCCGGGCTCACTTTATCTGCGCTAGGAAAAGAAAAAAAAGAAAAAAAAATAGATGCGGTAATCTTCGAGAGCTCGAAGGGCCGAGTTGGGCCAGGACGATTTCCGAGCAGAGCCCTCGGCTCGGATGCTCGTTAGGGATGTTAGTGGTTATTGGAAGCGGCGCGGAGAATGGCGTGTTCCGAGGCCAGATTTCTTCTGGCCAGAGGACCCTCGGCCTGCTCCTGTTCCCGCCGCTCCGCAGCTCCAGCTCCCTCCTAAGCTCGCCCGCCAGGCAGCCGCAGCTGCACACGCCCGCTTGCGGTGGGACCCGCGGCCGGACCCGTACTCGCGCACAGGACACGCAGTGTTCTGCAGCCGGCCGCGGGTGCTGCCAGACACACACACTCTCTCTCTCTCTCTCTCTCTCTGTCTCTCTCTCTCTCTCTCTCTCTCACACACACACACAGACACACACACACACATACACGGGCACAAGGGCTCTTTCTTCTTAGGGCAATCGAGCCAGACCCTTCTTCGGAACACAAAGTTTTCCCCCACGTCACTAGTGGCTGTGATTCAAGACTTGGTGCTTTCAAGACACACTCAGACCCAGGACGCTGGAGCGGCGATCCTGGGATGCGCCCATCCGTTCGTCCACGCCAGCGCGTGCACACTCACACTCACACGCACACATGCACACGCAGTCTCTACCTCTCTCCTGGAGCTCCGACAAGGAGACAAAAGCGGAGCCCCCAGCCCACTGCATTTAAACCCGGCCAGACCTGGCTTTAGAAAATTTATAAGCTGACCTCCATTTTGGCTGTTTCGAGAGTAAATTAACAACAACAAAAAAAGCCTAACATGTACACAGCCCTTCGCCCCAACCCCTGGGACCGCTGGTTCCCAGTCGTGCTGCTCACCCCCCGCCCCCCACGCCTGACACACGCTCCCCTTCCCGCACGCCGGGGGGCGCCCGGGGCACCGAAGTCTACACTGGGTCGGGAGACCGGTCTAGGAGCCAGCCGGCAGTGCTCGGGATCTTTGCTGATGTCCAAGTTCATCTCTCGGGGAGACCGAGTTTGAATCAAATCTGCGTGCGCCCAGCTGTCAAATCTGCAAACCTATCACGCCAGACAATGGGCCGCCGCGGAGGACAGACAAGAATGGCTCATTTTGATCGAGGGGGGTAAATTGAAAAGGGCACGGGCTTTGGTTGAAGTTTGAGGCCCGGGTGTCAGGGCGGGGAGAAGAAGAGGAGGAAGGAGGAGGGTTGGGCCGCTCTCCATTCAACCACACATCAGCCAGGCGCGCCCCTCGGCTGCAGCGGCTGCTTGCAGGCGGGCTGCATATTGTGTGGAGTCGCCAAAGAGGGTCTGCGCCTCGGGGCGCGCCCCAAACCCGGGGGACATCCTACGGATCCGCACTTCTCTTGTGCTGTACGCGTGTTCCTCCAGGGTAAGTATGAGGAGACGGACGCCCTCATCAGACACCCCTCCTCCAACACACACACACCCATAGCCACATCATTCAGGGATACTCTAGTTCAGTGTATCAGTTTACACTTGGTTGTTGAGTAAACAAAGCAAACATATGTCACATTTTCGCGACAGATGGTTCAAACCAAGGGCTACTTAAGTTCTCTCTCTCTAACAGTCTAAGTTACAGGCTGAACTAAGCAGAAATGTAATTAAGTCATCTGATCAGTTTCTTCGACTTAAAATGTTTTCCCATATTTTCACAAACAAGCCAGATAAATCCTGGGGATGTGGTTTCAAGGAAAGGAGGGCTGAATATGAACTAAGACTTTGTGTGAAGACTCCGTTTCTCCCCGGTCACCCCAAACAGAAAATCCTCTTTCATTGTTCCATTTCGTAAGTGGAGGAGAATGTCTTCTTTTGGAAAATCAGTAATTGGAATTTCAATTTTCAATAGAGGGACTAGTGCTTACCGGTGCTGATTACTTGGGATAGTTGGATTACAATGAGGTTTAAGACATCATCCACATCTTTTGTAAATGTTCTTTGTTTAGAAATGACTTCATGTTACCCTATATATTCCACGGAATTCTTTTGAATCAAATTTTAACAGGGTGGGGGAAGGGTGAACTAAAAGCTCTCCCAGTGTAGAATATGGGACTTCTTTTTAAAATACAGATGATCTCCAACTTATGATGCTTCTACTTATATTTTTAGACTTTACCATGGTGCAAAAGCCATATACATTCAGTAGAAACTGTATTTTGACTATGGACCATACAATCATTCTATTTTTCACTGTCAGGTTAGTATTGAATAAGTTTCATGAGATAGTCAACACTTTACTATAAAATAGCTTTGTGTTAGATAATTTTCCCCAACTGCCGGCTAATGTAAGTGTTTTGAGCATGTTTAAGGTAGGCTAGGCTAGGCTGTGATGCTTGGTAGTTTAAGTGTATTAAATGCATTTTCAACCTATGATGTTCTCAACTTTTGATGAGTTT
Source organism: Homo sapiens (assembly GCF_000001405.40). Taxonomy (NCBI): domain Eukaryota; kingdom Metazoa; phylum Chordata; class Mammalia; order Primates; family Hominidae; genus Homo; species Homo sapiens. The sequence continues at coordinate 116,275,722 of NC_000010.11, forward strand.
ATCAGAGCATAAGCCTCATTGGAAGTCAAGGATCATCTGTATTTTTAGCTTCAATAATGTATTTCTGAACCATTCACTCACACTTGTCCTTATTAAGTTTGTGCTGCTGATGAATACAGAGCTTTGTTTTTAAAAAGGTAACAATAAACCCCCAGAGGCTGTAACTGTGTTGTCCAATACAATAGTCACTAGCCATGTGGCTATGTCAATGAAATTAATTAAAATTAAATAAAAGAAAAATGCAGTTCCTCAGTAGCATTAACCATATTTCAAGTGCTCAATAGCTACATGTGGCTGGTGGCTACCATATTGGACAACACAGATATAGATCATTTCCATCATTGCAGCAAGCTCTACTGGACAGCACTACCCTATAATGTTGGTGTGGAATTAGTTAATGTGGTATATACACATATATAAAGTTTTTAGAATAGTAGAATAGTGCATAGAGTGCTTACTTCATAAGCAGCAGCAGTACTGGGGGTTGTAGTTGGAAGGATAATGATGATGATGATGATGATGATGATGATGATGCCTTGTTAGTCTCTTGTAGAAGTCAAAGAATCGATGAAGACACAGCCCACTTCTGGTATGTCAGGATGAGATCAGCAGGCAAAGAAGCCAGGGAGTAGGAGAATCTATATGTCAAAAGCTGATCTTCCAAGGAAAGCTGTGAACAGAAAGATGTGGCCCATACTGTAGCCTAAGACTTCCCGTAGTAGGAGCTAATAAAAATAATAATTAAAAAAATCACTGCTTTACAACTACATCCATTAACTTTTTTTTTTCTTTTTTTCTTCTTTTTTTTGAGACAGAGTCTCGAGCTGTCGCCTGGGCTGGAGTGCAGTGGCATGATCTCAGCTCACTGCAACCTCTGCCTCCTGGGTTCAAGCAATTCTCCTGTCTCAACCTCCTAAGTAGCTGGGATTACAGGCACCCACCACCACAACCAACTAATTTTTTTGTATTTTTAGTAGAGATGGGATTTCAGTATGTTGGCCAGGCTGGTCTCAAACTCCTAACCTTGTGATCCACCCACCTCAGCCTCCCAAAGTGCTGGGATTACAGGCGTGAACCACCACGCCCGGCCTACATCCACTAACTTCTAAAGGTGAGAGAAACACACTGCCCTTGGAATATCGAAGACAGAAAAGCATTGTGACTTAATGTATTAATATCATCTCTGTTTCCTTGGAGCTTATCTGTTCCTATGTGTATGGGACTGATCTCAGGATGAAAGGTGACATCAAAGTATCAAATATTATTGATAATTATAAAGGTTCATGTAATCCTCTGTGACATGTTGCTCAGCAGAAAATTGGTTTTAATGCCACAAAATTAGGTTCAATCTACCCATAAGCACGTGAAGTGAGCAATTTTCTGGCATTTCTTGATGTAAGTGTATTTTCATAAGTTAACAGATGAGTCAGGATGAGAATGACAGTTTTATTCCATGCAGCATTTTGTCTGTTTCTCTCATTGCCTTCCTTGGCCCTCCATTTTGTAAAATTCTACTGCTTAAAAAGCATTCAGATTTTTTTAACTCATTCTAGTCCATGAAAGTTCAACATTTGACATCAGACAGCTTGACAGATTTACCGCGGTAGTTACAAAAAAAAAAAACTATTCACCAGTCTCTAAGTGTGCCATGACATTTTTGACTGCTATACCTTTGCCCATTCATTTCCATCTGCCTAATGCGTGCTTCATCCTGATATTTCAAGGTTCGGCTCAGCTCAAACAGGACACTACGATAATATGGACCTCTTTGGTCAGAATTCATAGTTCCCTGTAGTATACTCCACGGCCTCACTGAAGCCTCCGCCATGTCTATTGTAACATTGCATTGTAGTTAGTTGCTATATCTGTCTCCTCATCTGGAATGTGTGCTCCTTGAAGGCAGGAAGCTGTCCTAGTCTTTTTTTTCATCCCCAGCATTTAGACTGATAACCAACACACAGTCACCCCCAATAAATGTATATTGATTGCATGAATAATGAGTGATGCTGTTCCTCATTTTCCTCTGACACAATAATTTTACTGAAAGGTTTACATAAAATCCCTTTACTGGATGAACAATGCAAAATATAAGTACCTCATACAATTACTGGTATTGCTGTTCTAATAATAGTATCAAATATGTATTATTCCTTTGGGGATTTGACATTTGAATTTTTTTAAACAAAACCCATTATTGTAATAGAGTGCTCTTTTTCTGGTTCACTTTAATAGTAACATATGACATATTTCATTTCTGGGAAATGATAGCTTGCCTTAGGTCATATTTTAAGGCATAAAGCCAGAAGCAGAGTAACGTTCCCACCTGAAGTTCTCTAATCATCTAGAAATGTGCCTCTTTCTGGCTGGGAGGCAGGGATTTAGAAGGGCTAGATTATGACTACCCTGGAGCATTCATTCACAAAGGCAAATTTTTAAAAGGCAAATTGGTCCCAAAGTGTTAAAAATTCTTTTATAAACACACAAGTCCTCTTGCAATCTTTTAGGAGAAATGAGAAAATAGGAATCGTCTACACCCAGAAAGTTGGTGTAAGGGTCTATATGCTGACACAGATCTCACCTTCTAATGCTGTACTTTGACATTTGCCCTTTGGCAATACAAGAAGAACCAGTTGCTCTCAGATTTCAGAGCCCTTTTCCAGGCTGACTATATTAAGAAGTGTCTTTTGAACATTATTTGCAAATGGAAGATTCTTATTGGCAATCTGGGTGCCTGACCCCCAGGAACCTATCTTAGGAAATCTTTCTTCCTCCTTAGTTTTCAAGTAATTTTTATTTCTTATACTAATAAGCCAGTGAAATGATTTTACTGCCTTTGTGGAAGGATATTGCATTTTGTGAGAGTTGAAGTCATTTGTACTTTGGCCTTATGCCACAAAATGCATTCAAGGTGTGTAGCCCTGATGAAATAAAGTGCCTGTCATGTCTTATTGCCTGAATATATGGCAAAAGATACCCCATCTTCGGGGGACTTGCAAGGGTTTTCTCGTGATTGCCAAAGGTGTTGGATTAAAAGCCCTGTACATTTCAGTCTTCTTCATCCAGGAAGGATGGGGAACGCCTGCACGGAGAAAACATCTTTTCTCTCCACCACTCTCCTAATAAGCCCTAAACCCTGTTCCAATGGGATTGTTCCTTCATAAGGGCAAGAGGGAAGCTTAATCCCCAGCTTTGTCCAGTAATTAGCCTCTCTCTCTCTGGAGGCAGCAAACACAGATGCCAATCCGGATGAGCTTTGGGACGTGGAATGAAAACAAGACTGAAAACACTGACTCACTTCTTCAGAAGCCTTTTAGCAGCCTCCAAGACAGCAACAACCTCTGATTTCCATTGATGCACGTTTGGTCTAAGTGGTGGGATGGGGCCTCTCCCACCGCTGATAAAGCAAGAGAAGAAGCAGAGATCACCAAAGACGTGGGGATAAGTGACCCCTAGGCCCCTCTGCAACAATGAAGGCTCTGTAACACAGCACTGTTCTTGTCATGCCACTTACCCCGGCATCTTTCAAGAAATGCCATGGAAATGCACTGTTTACCGAAACCAAAACCTCTGGAAGCACTATAGTATGAGCCCGCTAACACAATTAACTTGCAGTTAATGACGATGCCCCCGCCAGAACTAATTAAGCCAGTGGTGCTTGTAGCACAAAAGATTGGGGCCTGTTTTAAAGCATCAATTGTGACATCATTTAGAAGTCATTTCAAACTCCTCCAAACTCCAAAACTATTCCTCTGAAAACAAATGCAGTATAATGTTCTTAGAGTTGTTGGTTTTATTTTCTGCTGTCAAAAATCTGACAAAAGTCAGTTGAAACTGTCAAGGAAAAACATCACACCATATGAGATTTTCCTCAAATTTGAAGTCTATAGAAGGAATGACAAATCTGTTTTATAGATTTTTCTAGCACAAAAGCAAATTAGGAAAGTCTAGGAGACACACTATCACAATACATACATGAGGTTGCGCTTGACGCAGTTCGTAAATTTGAGGCCATGACAAAGAATTAAAATTAGATCAATTTGGTTTTGATCTGAATTATCTGTTCAGCTTAAAGTACAGAAGGATCAATGGGATGGATGTTTTTGTGCGTATTTTTTCTACACACAACTCACATTAAGAGACAAGGAGAATTTCTTCTGCTCACATCCCTAGAGGATCTCTTTGTAAAGGCCCCTCTGGCCTTCATTTTTTTTTTTTTTTTTTTTGGTCTGAACTATCAGTAAAGACTCCACCTCTGCTGGGTAATATTTCGTTGATTGTTTGATTTATGGACTGATTGCTTTGGTTGACTGTTTTCTTGTATCTGTCCAGTGTCTAATACTGTGATGTGCACTGCAAGGAATTTAGGTAAATTATCTTCCCTATGCTCAAGTACTTCCTTCTCCATGGTAGAGACCCCTAGTTACTCTCTCGATTTCTTCTTTCATCCTTCTGTAGTAGCGCCTTTCAAATTGCAGGCATCCCCCATTTGTTGGTCACAAACAACATTTATTTTATAAACTATAAAAATATTAAATGTTGGCCAAGCATGATGGCCCATGCCTGTAATCCCAGCATTTTGGGAGGTCAAGGTGGGCAGATCACTTGAGGCCAGGAGTTTGAGACCAGCCTGTCCGACATGATGAAACCCCGTCTCTACTAAAAATACAAAAATTAACAGGGCATGGTGGCAGGCACCTGTAATCCCAGCTACTCAAAAGGCTGAGGCACGAGAATCACTTGAACCCAGGAAGTAGAGGTTGCAATGAGCCAAGATGGTGCCACTGCACTCCAGCCTGCGATAAAGAGAGACCCTGTCTCAAATAAATAAATTAATTAATAATAAAAATATTAAATGCATCACTCAAAGTAGTGGTAAGTATTGTTTTATAAAAGTTTTCTATGTGTTCATGGTGCCTGTATTGAGTCATTAGGTAAAATATATTTATTATTATGAATCATGGTTTTAAAATTTTGAAAGCTACTGCATTTTTTAATGGTACTCTGATTTTTTATTTAAACATTTGCCACTCAATATTAAGGCTACATTTCCCATCCTCCACTGCAGCCAGTTATGGTCATGTGGCCAGATCTGATGAATCAGATGTGGCAGAAAGGATGCGAAGAAGCTCTGAGCAGGTGCCCTCCCTCTACATGTTCCCACCATCCTGCGTCCTTGTGCTGCGCCGGACCAGGCATGCAAGAACAACACACCAAGGATGGCGGAGCAACAAGATAGAAGAGGCCTGAGTCCCAGGATGACTGCCTGGAGCACAGCTGTCTGCCTGCTCAGGGCCTTGTGTCACATACTATAATGTGAGAGACAAATAAACTTGTCATATTTAAGCCAGTATTATATTGGGTCTTCGATACATGCAAACAGTCTTTGTAGAACTCATGCACCCAAATTATAATGAAAGAGAAGTAAAGGAAAATAAATTCAAAAAACAATTGTTTATTGAATATCTATCAGGGACCAGCCCTCTGCTAGGCTGCTATGGGAAATACAGAATAATATTGACTCTGAAGGAAAGTGTAATTTCACTGGGGAGATGAGCTGCATATCTGAAATAATCAAACCATATTGTAAAGAAGTGTAGGAATAATTGTCAACATGAGTGGAAATAAAAATAACAGTCAGAGGAGATAGGAAGAAAGGTAGAAAATGAAATGGAGTCATGCCATTGAGAGAAGGGGAAAAGAGAGAGTAATAGAGTAGGAGGAACATTCCTGAGAGCTAAACAAAATTGAAGGCCTCCAAAATAGAAGGGGTACATCACTTTATCCCAGGTCTCCCCTTTCCAGCCCTAAACAGTACTCAACCGAGGTGATCAGCAGGAGTCCATGCTATGGCAAAGCTGCAATCTATAGGCGTGCTCTTCACCTAGACATGGACTCATGCTCACTTGTCAAAAACCCTGTCACCACCACGACAGACCAAAGTCCCAAGCCTCCTTCGTCAGAATCTTATGCAGAAGAGGATGCTCTCTCTGTGGGAAGTCACTCTGGATTTGGTGAGAATGGCTTCCTCATGGGGTCATACTCGTCTGCCCAGACACACCTCTGCTTGAGGATGCACTGGTCTTTGCCCTTTTCTACAAGACTTTGGTGAGGCTTCTCATATTTCTCTAAATAATTTGAGCTGCTAATGATGTGGATATTCTGGAATTCAGTTTTCTGCATACCAGCTAAAAGCCATTTGACACGTGGGCCACCCTCCTTGGAAGATGCATGACTCGGAGATGCCTTGCTGGCAAGGCTCAGGTATGTTAAAAGGAAAAGTGTTATTTCAGCAGACTTGCCACAGAGGTATGTGTTAATTAAGTTAATTGTGCCATCAGTGATCCAGACGATGACAGTAACTGCTCCCCATAATGGGGCTGGGTTATTGCCATCATTTATTAAATGTGCTGGTTTTCTTAAATGCAGTTTTCCCTTATTCTTTAAGCATGCACACACCCCCACACCCACCCACCCACCCATACACACACACAGACGACGTATAGTTTATCAACCACTTTCATATGAATCCAGTTACATTATTGATCTTTATACCTACTCTGTGATGAAGGACAGGTTACTTTCTTCATTGAGCAGATGAGGAAACTGAAGCCCAGAGTTGTCTACTTACTTGCCCAAGGCCACCCAGCTTCTTAGTCAAGGAGCCAAATTCCAAGTCCAGGGTCCCTTTCTGTGTACCACACTGTATGTCCAGGAGTCTCAATATCCTGAAAAGCAAAAGCCAAGTTTGTATATTCCATATCCCCTAGCTAGCACATTGGATTAATAAATGTTAAATAAATAATAATTTATCTTTGGAAAAATTATTGGTGAATTCTCTTAATTGCTGTCTTCATGAAAGTCTAAGGTAGGAACCTTTTACGTATGGTTTGATCAAAACCAAACATGATCTATATAAATAGAAATCTGGATAATTTAGAGAGTTATCACAGACCCTTTCCCTCCTGCCTCTCCAAAATATTGGTAGATATTTGACTTAACCTGAGTTATTCTTACTGTAATTACAGTGAAGACTAAGACATAATTTAGTATGTCAAATCAATTACAGCCTTTCAGTGGACTTAACTAAGACTTCTGTTGAGTGGTTCCGGTTCCACAGTGAATGTCCGTTGAGGGGCTGACCCAATGATTGTCCTACCAAAATGACTCCCTACCTTGCAGACTGAGGGTCTATCTTTAAAGCGTTGGTATAATTAGTGTCACCTGCCAAAACATAATCATCCTTGGGACGATTAATGCAGAAGCATTTTTGGTTATTAGAACTTTAGCATGAACGAGCTTCTAGCCTCTTTGTTGGAAGGAGAAAGGGCTACAGCACCATCATACATGATGCTCTAGAGTGGATGAGCTCTGAGCTCCCTGAAAGAGACTCATTTCTGGAAACTGGTGGTCAGGCTTGGGTTGGTGTGCAAGAGCCACGTCTCACAGCACCCGAATGCTTCAAGTAGCACTTCTAATAAAGGTACATTGAACACTCACTTCCACTTCATGCCAAAGTATATTCTAGAAGCAGAGATAGAAAGGTTTCTTTGCCAAATAATTGAAATGCCATTGTGTATCATCTTTTACAAGCCTTCTAGAAGAATCACCTTAAACTGTTGAACAGAAGAAATCTGAATTGATTGAGTGCATCCACTGAGCCTAAGCAGGAGAAAGTGTCAGAGAAGCTGTTTTGTGCCTGAACTGGCTATTTCTTGTTAGTGTAAACACTGAGGAGCACAATTAGAATTTTGGCACATGCCAGGCACAGGGTGACTCTGTGACCAGCCACCAGTAGAAAGCCTGGACACTGAATCCCTAATGAGTGTCCTCGGTAGATAACATTTTACATGTTGTCAAAACTCCTTGCTGGGGGAATTAAGCACGCTCTGTGCGACTCGTCTTGGAAGCGTGCGCCTGGTTTCCCCTGGACCTTGCTCCATGAGCCCTTTCCTCTGCGGAGCTTGCTTTGCTCCTTTCCCTGTAATAAATCATAGCCATCAATACAACTATACACCAACTCCTGTGAGTCCTCCCAGAGAATCATCAAATCTCAGGGTGGTCTTGGGACACACAATGCAGAAATATTCTTAATATAGTTCATAAAATAAACAGACAGCGGTGTACGATTGTAAAGGATTATGTTGGACTGACCAGGGTGTAGCTGGCTTTATACCCGTGAGATCTGTGCAGTCACACAGCATCCCACGCTTAGAAGGTCCCTGAGCTTGGTTTCATGCCCTGCTGTCACCATTTTGAAATCCTTAATAAGCTATGAACAAAGGGTCCTGCATTTTCACTTTGCACTGGGTCCTGCAAATTATAAAACTGATGCCCAGTCATGGTGATACTTAGAGATAAAAGAGTGGAACGTCTTACTGCCTCAGATGCTAACACTGTCTTTGCTGGGAATTCTTCACTCACCTTTCCACAGGGCCTAAAATCTACCCATTATAGATTCGCTTTGTGGAGGAGAATGTCCCAGGAAGGTTAAATGGCTGTCACTTATTCACAACTTAGGGTGAACCTGTTTACTCATTCCCTCCCTGCATATTCTAGTCCTTAACCCTTAGCTGAGTTCAGAATCCTGGGTCAGTACTTCCCAAAGTCTGTTCTTTAGAATAATAATCCTTGTGAGATGCAAGTGGGGAGGGGATGTTGTTGTCAAGTAGGCTTGGGATGCTCTGTCCCGTCTTGGAGATTTAGGGCACATGAGCTTAGTACACACTCTGAAAAGTCTTGCACTGAAATAAGGTGTTGAACTTTGTATTCGTTTCCCAGGGCTGCCATAGCAAAGTGCCATAAACTAGGTGGTTTAAACAACAGAAATTTACTGTTCCAGTTCTGGAGGCCAGTGTTGGCAGGGTTGGTTTCTCCTGAGGGCTGTAAGGGAGAATCTGTTCCATGCCTCTCTCCTGGCGGATTGCTGGCAATCTTTGGTGTTCTTGGTTTGTAGATGATTGCTCTGATCTGTGCCTTCATGTTTACCTGGGCTTTTCTGTGTGTGTGTGTGTGTGTGTGTGTGTGTGTGTGTGTGTGTGTGTGTGTCGGTGTCCCACTTTTCCTTTTTATAAGAACACCAGTGGCATTGGACCTGGGCCCACCCTAATTACCTCATTTTAACTTGATGACCTCTGTAAAGACTCATTTCTGAATAAGGTCACATTCTGAGCTACTGGGGGTTAAGATTTCAACATATACATTAGGGGTGACACAATTCAACTTTATTATATTTTCCCAACACATTTGACTATGGGGGGTTGGCCTAACTACCATTAATATCTCATGCAACCAATGTTTCACAGCATAGAACCAGACATCCTCCATCAGATGAAGCGAGGAAAGTCCATGTGGCTGGGGGGGCTGCAGTACAGGGTTGGGGAGGTGGGGAAAGGTGGAGAGAGGAGGGGTGGGAGGTAGGCCACTGAGGTTGGTTTGGGCCAGAAACTACTCCAGATTCTGTACTCCGGGCAAAGCAGATTCATCAGAGGTTCACACAGGACTTCTCAGGAATTTCTAAGAGGGAAGTGGCATTATGAAATGAGGCACACAGCTTGGAGATTGGAGAGGTGAGAGACTGGAGGCAGGAAGACTGAGAGGCCATTTCAACATCTGGCGGAGGGAAGAAAAGGAAGCCTGAGCCAAAGTAATGGCCATGGCGAGGAAGGAGGGCTCAGCCTGAAAGGTAGAAAATGCAAAAGATGCGCACGCACATTCATAGCCACATATTAGCTTAGCTTGGTGCACAATTAACTGAGGTTAATTACTTTTGCACCAACCTAAGATATGCATCTATGCATAGATATGTATATATAATAAAGATCTATCTCTATATCCCCATATAATTAAAAGAATCTCAGAGGAGGAGACTGCTTTGCCTTGCTGGTGATTTGGGGATGTACATTAACATAGTACAGACTCTGTGTTTGGGTGAAATGCTCACGGAGGGCTAGTCTGGAGGTGTGTCAGGCTAGGAAGATCCTGTTTTGTCCCTGTTAGTGGCCTTGAGTGTGCTATGAATTCTAAGAGGCAGATGGGCAAACAGGGTCTTGCATGGTCTTCCCCAGCCTCATCCTGCACCCCTCCGTGCTCACTTTCTTAAGCTCCAGCCCTATAGACCTTCTTTGTGTTCCACCCCAGAGCTTTGCACCTGCTGTTCCCTTGGTCTCGCTTTTGACATGGTCCCCGTTTTGCTTGGGTGAGGATTGCTGCATGCAAGATGCTTCCTTTGGAAAGCCTTCTCTATTATCCTGGCATTCTCTCATCAGATGTGCAAACCCTTGTTCAATCTCTTTCTTCTCTGCTGGACTCAATGTGCCATGAAGGCAGGGAGCATGTCTACCATGTTCTTGTTGTATCCCCAGAACCTAGCACAGCCTGGGACAGATAGGCATTTGTATCTGTTGAATGAATGAATGATTTACTATATAAAAAGGACTTGAAAGAATGTAATAAAGGAAATGATAAAAATAGATGAGGGGCTAGATAACATGATACATTTAGAAGTGAGTTTAGAACCCACCCTTACTGAAATGAGTTTTTTTAAATTTTATTAATTTATGTATTTATTTATTTATTTTTGAGACAGAGTCTCTCTCTGTCTCCAGGCTGGAGTGCAGTGGCACGATCTTGGCTCACTGCAACCTCCGCCTCCTAGGTTCAAATGATCCTCCTACCTCAGCCTCCCAAGTTAGCTGGGACTACAGGCACGCACCACCAAGCCCAGCTAATTTTTTATAGTTTTAGTAGATGTGGGGCTTCACCATGTTGGCTAGGATGATCTCAATCTCTTGACCTCGTGATCCTTCCATCTGGGCCTCCCAAAGTGCTGGGATTATAGGCGTGAGCCACTGCGCCCGGCCATGATTTTTTAATTTAAAGACAAAGTCAGATTTTAAGAGATTCATATTAACTTAATCTTATCCAAAGAAACTTCTTTCTTAGAGAAAAATGGCGGGATAACCAAGATTTATTTTAAAAGCTTTGTAGACATCAAATCACTTTCATTAAAAAAAAAAAAACTTTAGATATTTGCGTAGAAATGGTCAGAAACATGTGGATTGCATTTCCCTTGAACTCTCTTGGGTTTGCAAATTGGAAAAAAGGGTTTGGAATAAAATCCCTTTTCTATTTTCCTGAAGTCAGTATACTTGGGAAATGGTGATGTTTGAGATATTCAAGAAACTGAAAATACGGGCGGGTACTTGTTTAAGTAACGTTATTTCCAATCCTACACCAAAGTGGCTGATAAGAAACCGGAAGTGGGCATTTAGCAGCTGAAAAGAACCAATTCAACAACAACACAATTTTTTTTTTTTTTGGTGTAGCTTTGACACAAGAGAAATCTCCCTCCCTCTGCCTCTCCCCTTGACCACAATCAATACTTTTAAGAGATGAAGGCGCGAGGAGGAAAGAGTTTATTCAGTCCTTTGTATGCGACTGAGCTGTGAAAACAGGATGAAGATTTTGCTAAATCTGTCCATTAAGTTCCTCTAAGTGCTTTCAAAACATATCCTAGAGCAGAATGCAGGGCACAAGAAAGAGAAACTGGGAATTAAAGCGAAATTATTACTTTTAAATGTCTTGACAGTGGAAATGTCAGAAAAAATAGCAGGCGTGGCAAGCAGATACAACTTCAGATGCTCCACTTAAACCTTCTGTTGAGCATCCCAAAAAGCTGAAACATTGTTCTGGTTTTTAAGTGGTCAAATTATATAATTTTTATGGAGCAAGAATTTATTTTGCTAGTTATCATATTAGTATCAATGAACAGTTTTACCCTAGATGTGCTAGATAAATATTGGGCTAAACTATATCAACCTAGCTGGGCGTGGTGGCTTATGCCTTTAATTCTAGCACTTTGGGAGGCCAAGGCACATTTGAGGTCAGGAGTTCAAGACCAGCCTGGCTAACATGGTGAAACCCCGTCTCTACTAAAAATACAAAAATAGGCCAGTTGTGGTGGCAGGTGCCTCTAATCCCAGTTACTCGGGAGGCTGAGGCAGGAGAATCCCTTGAGCCTGGGAGGTGGAATATATATACCAACCTAAATGCTTAGTATGATTACAAGGCATGTCAATAATTTCCCCCATGAGTAGAAATTTACTTTCTAATTTAGATTTTTAGAACACTTTGAACATAAAATCAAGAAGCTTAATTTTATATGGAAAAGAACTTTTAATGAAAAGGAGAAAAAAGGTGAAATAAGAGAATAATTTTTGACCAAGAATATCAGTAATTTTGCATATGAATTTTTAAAATGTTTAGATTATGTTAATCTAGTAATATTTAGAGATAACTATGAAAAGAGTCATTCATATTTAGACTTGCAAATTCTAGCAAATTTGTGTCTGAAAGATGGACTGCTAGAGCCCCCTAGCTGCTGGAAAGAATTCTGTCCTCCTAGGTATAGATAAATAACCTAATTGCAAAGGCAGTAAGTAGCACACCAAGAAATCTAGTGGAACACAATTAAACAAGAGCATACAACATGATCCTCCACTACTGTCCCACCTTTCAGGCTGGTGGCAATGTCAGCGCAGCTGTGAGCATCCACAGACATCTGTCCTGGGCCCCCACCCCCATCACCCTGAGCTTCTTGACAGATCAATTGTAAGGACACCATTATCACCCTATTGTTCTGATTGGTTTGAACTAGATGGTCTCTCAAACTCAGAAGTGCAATGAGTTCAATCAAGTTAGACATTTCAATTCCATTTTTGGTAGAAGGAGAGTCTATCCCAGGAACCTGGAAAGTTCTGAGCCTTGGGATGAATGAGAGGCTACAAACTCTCAGCCCATGGACAAATGTGTTTTGTTTGGTTTGCACAGAGCTTTTAAAACCTTTAAATAGCTTACATAGTTCTCTTTAAAGGCAATTTACACACTGGAAATTTTTTGATGAAAATTCATATTTCCAGCTTCTCTTGAAAAATCAAAAGATCTGGTAACTCGGGACCCGAGTACTCATATAGTACTGATAGGCTAAGTAGTGGTGATCTACTTTATATGATGAATAAAAGTTTAGTCCACCACAGTTCCCACCACTTCATATTGGATAATATAAAACCAGCATGCTGAATGCAATTACATAACCTGCTTGGAGCCTGTAGGCAACTATGTCTGTAACTCCTAGTCTAAACTGTAAATAATTTTATTCCTCCTCCTACTACTAATAATAGTCAAGCTTCTAGTGATTAAACACTTACTATGAGTCAGGCACAGTGGCAGGTCTTTTGTGTGCAGTGTCTCAAGTCTTCATATCAAGCATTCAAGACAATTATTTATTTTGTAAACAAAAATATGAGATTTATGTTCAAATTAAATAATTCAAAAAATATATAAAAAGCACCACCCTGGCCGGGCGCGGTGGCTCACGCCTGTAATCCCAGCGCTTTGGGAGGCCGAGGCAGGCGGCTCACGAGGTCAGGAGATCGAGAGCATCCTGGCTAACACGGTGAAACCCCGTCTCTACTAAAAAAATACAAAAAATTAGCCGGGCGCGGTGGCGGGCGCCTGTTAGTCCCAGCTACTCGGGAGGCTGAGGCAGGAAAATGGCGTGAACCCGGGAGGTGGAGCTTGCAGTGAGCCGAGATAGCGCCACTGCACTCTGGCCTGGGCGAAAGAGCGAGATTCTGTCTCAAAAAAAAAAAAAAAAAAAAAAAAAAAAAAGCACCACCCTGACCCAGGTATTGTACTAAACATTGGGTATGAAATGCTGGACAAGGCAGCCAGAGCCCCTGCCCTCATGGAATTTACAGTTGAATTACAAGCATGGTTACAAAGTAAACGTATAGATTGCTGTGAAGGTATAAAGCAGTGGGGATCTAATGTGGTATGTATCAATGTCCTCACATTTTTATATTAGAGTCATTCGGAGAGCTTGCAGGTTCCAGCTGCATCCCTACCTGTTCCATTTCTCTGTCTCTCTCTCCCTTCCTCCTTCCTTCTCTCTGTCCCTCTCTCCCTTCCTCCTTCCTTCTTTTTCTCCCTCTCTCTCCCTTCCTCCTTCCTTCTCTGTCTCCCTCTCTCTCTTCCTCCTTTCTTCTCTCTCCCTCTGCCTTCCTCCTTCCTTCTCTCTCTCCCTCTCTCTCCCTTCCTCCTTCCTTCTCTGTCTCCCTCTCCCTTCCTCCTCCCGACTCTCTCTCCCTTCCTCTCTCTCTCCCTCCCTCCCTTCCTTTTCTCTCTCCTGCCTTCTGCCCTCTCTCCCTCTCCCTTCCTGCTTCCCTGTCTCCTTCTCTCTCTTTCTCTCTCTCTCTCTCTCTCTCTCTGTTTTCTGATTACCTAGGCTTGGGTGGCCAGGAATCTGTACTTTTCAAAATTATGGTAAAGTATAGATAACAAAAAATTTACCCTGTAGACATTTTTAAGTGTGCAATTCAACAGCATTAAGTACACTCACATTGTTGTGCAGCCATCAGCACCAACCATCTCTAGAACCTTCTTCTAGATCTTCTGAAACTTCTTCTGAATCTGAAACACCATAAAACTCCCCATTTCCACGCCTGCCAGCAGCATAATGTCTCAACCTTCATCCAGCTCTGGAACCTTTTTCTAGATCTTCTGAAACTTCTTCGGAATCTGAAACACCATAAAACTCCCCATTTCCATGCCTGCCAGCAGCATAATGTCTCAATGTTCATCCATCTCTAGAACCTTTTTCTAGATCTTCTGAAATTTCTTCTGAATCTGAAACACTATAAAACTCCCCATTTTCATGCCTGCTAGCAGCATAATGTCTCAAGGTTCAGCCAGGTTGTAGCAAGTATCAGAATTTCCTCCCTTTTTAAGGCTGGATAATATTCAATTGTATGTATATGCCAAGTTTTATCCATTCATCTCTTGATGTGCACTGCTGTGAATAAAGTTGCTATGAACATGGGTGTAGAAATACCAGTTCAAGTAGGAATCTACACTTTGTTTTTCTTTTTTAGGAATTTCTTTAATTTTATTTTAAGTTCTGGGTTACATGTGCAGGATGTGCAGGTTTGTTGCATAGATAAACATGTGCCATGGTGGTTTGTGGCACCTATCAACCCATCACTTAGGTATTAAGCCTACTATGCATTAGCTATTTATCCTGATGCTTTCCCTACCCCCGCAACCCCGCTCCTCAGGCCCCATTGTGTGTTGTTCCCCTCTTTGTGTCCGTATGTTCTCATCATTTAGCTCCCACTTATAAGTGAGAACATGCGGCATTTGGTTTTCTGTTCCTGTGTTAATTTGCAGGATAATGGCCTCCAGCTCCATCCATGTCCCTGTAAAGGGCATGATCTCATTCTTTTTTATGGCCGCATAGTATTTCATGGTGTATATGTACCACATTTTCTTTATCCAGTCTATCATTGATGGGCATTTAGGTTCATTCTATGTCTTTGCTATTGTGAATAGTGTTGCAATAAACGTATGCATGCATGTGTCTTTATGGTAGGATGATTTATATTCCTTTGGGTATATACCCAGTAATGGAATTGCTGGGTCAAATGGTGTTTCTGGTTCTAGGTCTTTGAGGAATGAACCACACTGTCTTCTACAATGGTTGAACTAATTTACATTCCCACCAACGGTGTAAAAGTGTTCCTATTTCTCCACAGCCTCGCCAGCATCTGTTGTTTCTTGACTTTTTATAATTGCCATTCTGACAGGTGTGAGATGGTATCTCATTGTGGTTTTGATTTACATTTCTCTAATGATCAGTGATGTTGAGTTTTTGTTCATATGTTTGTTGGGTGTATAAATGTCTTCTTTCAAGAAGTGCCTGTTCATGTTCTTTCCCCACTTTTTAATGGGGTTGTTTGTTTTTTTTCTTGTAAATTTGTTTAAGTTCCTTGTAAATTCTGGATATCAGACTTATTCTTTTTCTTTTTTTTGAGATGGAGTCTGGCTCTGTCACCCAGGCTGGAGTGCAGTGGCATGACCTTGGCTCACTGCAAACTCTGCCTCCCGGGTTCACGCCATTCTCCTGCCTCAGCCCCCCGAGTACTTGGGACTACCGGCGTCTGCCACCATGCCCAGCTAACGTTTTGTATTTTCAGAGAGACAAGGTTTCACCATGTTAGCCAAGATGGTCTCAATCTCCTGACCTTGTGATCCACCTGCCTCGGCCTCCCAAAGTGCTGGGATTACAAGCATGAGCCACCGCACCCGTCCATCAGACCTTTGTCAGATTGATACATTGCAAATATTTTCTCCCATTCTGTAGGTTGTCTGTTCACTCTGATGTCAGTTTCTTTTGCTGAGGAATCTGCACTTTTACCAATAACCCAGGTGAATCTTATACAGGTGGGTCATGAGCCAGACTTTGATAAATGATGGTCTAAGAGTCAGGGAAAGTCTCTCTGAGAAGTTGACCTTGAAACTGAGTCTCAAATCATGTATAGGAGTTGCCCAATTTAGGGGAGGTAACAGCACGGATCCTGGAAACCTGAAAATGTAGATTTCGAACTTTGCCTGAAATACTGAGATATTGGAATTGCCACAGGAACATTCATCAGCACCGAGGTTTGCAAATGTGTGTCATAACTTAGTTGAATAACTAAAACAAGTGTCCCTAATCAATTACTCTTAATAATTATGTGCTAAGTGTCTCCTATATGTCAGGCACCTTGTTAGGTATAAGAAATATCATGTATCCATTTATCCATTTACTTACAGTGAGCCAGGTGATGTGCTAGGTGTTGAAAACTTACAGGAATTGTTGTACTATATAATTTTGTTAATTGTTTTACAAAATCCACATATATCACTTGTCAATAATTTTTCTCTGTGCTGATCCCTAAGAACATCAAATAATTAATACTTACACACTTATCTGTAGGCTCCTGAACTGATGGCATGAGAATTCTTTTTCCTCCTCTGTAAGTGATGGAATTTACCACTGGTGATCATTGCTGAGTTTTTAAGGCATTCTTTATTTCAACTGTTAACCTATCTTTTTGCTACCATTGATTTCTGGGTTTCCATGTTTAAGGATGACTTGCATATTTACCAAAGTTCATCAAAGCTGTAAGAGTTATCTTGACACATTGATAGAAAGCTGTGGTTCTTTGAGAGGGAAGATAGAGGAAGTCATTTATGACTAAATTACTTTTTAAAAGCCTGATACTATGAAAAGAACATCTAATGATACATAATTTTAAAGTGCAATTCAAAGATAAAAGGTTTAGACTGCAGAGGTCTCAAAGAAATTCAGGAGAACACTTTTCTGAATATTTACATCACTTAACGTAGCTGATATCATAGTCTACCTTGTATTAAAATTATTATTTTACCTTATCAGAGTACAAGTTTCTTGAAGGTAGGAACCATTTCTTAATCTTTATCTTTGAATACCTCTCAGCATTAGCGCTGAGTAACCTCCAGCATTGAATAACTCACAGTATATCATGTACTGAACACTACATAGTAAAATAGATACCCAATAAACATTCAATGATTGGACAAATAAATGAACATGATTCATGGAAGAGCAATTTGGAAAGAAGCAAACTTGAGTTACCATTTGCTTAAAATAAACACACTTCTGTGTCAGAGCAAGTAGGTGGCAAAATGATGATTTAATATAAAAACAAAATACTGCAAATAAAACATTTACTTTATTTTCAAAGGAAAGGAGTTTCAAAAATCTTTGAGAAGCTTGTCATTCATTCTTCAGAAAAAGCCCTTCTTGGAAGTGTGAGTACTCCGATCTGGAAGGGCAAACCAGATTAAATATCAGGCAGAGAGAAGTTGAATACCCTGTGCTTCTTGAGAAAAAGAGACTGCTTAGTGTGGGCTATGGAATCCAAGAAGACTAGTAGACATTTTTTGTAGTTTGTGCGTTGACAAGCCCAGTGACTCAGATTGACACCTAATGAGTGCTTTGAAGAAAGCATTCAGGAGAACACTTTTCTGAATATTTACATCACTTAACGTAGCTGATATCATAGTCTACCTTGTATTGATTTGATTACCTTGTAGGTAAGGAGAGAGGAAGAGGGTAGAAAACAAGGGATGCAGAGGAAAAGGAAGGAGGAAGTTTTAACTTAAATTTGAAAGGCTCTTTCTTTCCCTTCTCTTCCAGAGAAAGAGCGTGACTTAAACAAAGCAGTCAGTAAAAAAAAGATGAGCCTTAAACTATTATTTTCAATGACTTTGAAACATCTTCTTCTGGAATAACCTTTTTGAAAATAATTTCATATTTGGTCATTTTGGGGAGAAAATTCTTGCAACCAAAGTTGTTTATGTTGAAGCTCACATATACCTGCTTATCTCCCATCTATCATTTCTGAGAGCTAAATCATGTCCCAGTTACTTGCTTCGCTGGCTTTCATGGGAAGGAATTCAAGAAAAATTTTGAATCTGTTTATTTCTATAGATTCTCGGGAACTGACTTCCTGGGAGTGCGATGATATTATGCAGATTATTGTATGACACATAATGGCCCAGTGATTCCCAGTTTTTTGGCCTACATTTAATTGGAACACTTACTTTTAGAGAAACTTCAGTTGAAGTCAAATTCTTTGTAAACTAGGGGAAGCAGAAATAGCAAAGTGAAGGGAGAGGCTAAGAAGTCAAGAGAGAAGACTTGGAAAGACAGAGAAAGGAGTTTGCAAAGTCCTGTGATTCTCCCCAAATGCAAAAATGAAATTTGGCTGATGTACTGTAACTTAAACCATATTGTTTCTGGTGAGTATAATACTATATAAATTTTTAAATCCTGTCATTTTATGGGGCTGACTCGAGAAGTCTGGACAGAATGGGTTTACAGTGTATGTCAGAAAATCAAAATCAAGTGCAAAGGCTTCATTTCAGCTTGTTCTGGGCTGCGTCTTATGGAACCAGGACTAAAGCCAGCAATGCAACAACTTCCCTCCACTGTCTGATGCTACCTCATATATCACTCCTGGTATGTCACTGGCACTGCTAAAAAATGAATTTTTAAAAAAATCTGGGAATTATCAACATAAGAAAATGATCATGTGCAGCAATCTACTTCCAGTGATTTCTTGTTTCTAAAAGGACACAACCTGAGGTGCGGAGTCAGTCACCAGAGCACTCTGCTCTGAAGCAAGTCCATGCTGTGGCAGGCATCTGGTCTCTTATTCATCTCTCCATACCTGGCACAATAGGGAAGCTTCATAACTGTTTGTGGAATGGAGTGCGATGATATTATGCAGATTATTGTATGACACATAATTAGGGAGAGCCTTCTAATTTGTGAAGCAAGCAATTGCCCATGTGAAGTGATTACCCAATATAACAAGTGTTAATTACTCAGCTCTTTGGATTAATTCAATGTTGCCAAGAACATATTGTTTTGATTAATTTGAACCACATGAAATTGCCAACACTTGACCATTTTTGATCTCCCAAATTGCAGTTTCATATGGTTCAATCTAATATTCTAATTATCATATTAGTTGTAAGTTGAACCTTATGTGGTTGCTATTTGTATAGGACAAACACTGTTAACTACCAAAAACATCAGAGAGTTCAACTATCTACCCATTTAGGTATTATATAATTATTCATCATTACATGGTAAAAACAGCTACCACTATCTATTGAGTGTGTACTGTGTCCACATACTTTGCTAAGTAGTTTATATACTTTACTTTATTCAATCTTATGAGGTAGGTTCTAATATTATCCCTCAACTTATGCTGAAAGAGACCTTAGTGATCAACAGGTCCAATCTTTGTTTATTTATTTATTTATTCTTTTTTTTCTGAGACAGTCTCTCACTCTGTCACCCGGGCTGGAGTGCAGTGGTGTGATCTCGGCTCACTGCAACCCCTGCCTCTGGGGTTCAAGTGATTCTCCTGCCTCAGCCTCCCGAGTAGCTGGGACTACAGGGGCGCGTGACCATGCCCGGCTAATTTTTGTATTTTTATTTATTTATTTATTTTGAGAGGGAGTCTTGCTCTTTCGCGCAGGCCGGAGTGCAGTGGCGCTATCTTGGCTCACTGCAAGCTGTGCCTCCCGGGTTCACGCTATTCTCCTGCCTCAGCCTCCCGAGTAGCTGGGACTACAGGCGCCCGCCACCACGCCTGGCTAACTTTTTGTATTTTTAGTAGAGACGGGGTTTCACCGTGTTAGCCAGGATGGTCTCCATCTCCTGACCTCGTGATCCGCCTGCCTCGGCCTCCCAAAGTGCTGGGATCACAGGCGTGAGCCACTGTGCCCGGCCTAATTTTTGTATTTTTAGTAGAGACGGGGTTTAGCCATATTGGCCATGCTGGTCTCAAACTCCTGACCTCAGGTGATCTGCCCACCTTGGCCTCCTAAAGTGCTGGGGTTACAGGCATGAGCCACCGCACCCAGCCAGTGACAGGTCCAATCTTTACATCTGACAGGAGGCAGAGACTCAAAAAAGGTTACATTACAGCTGGCCAACAGCTGGGTTCTGGGCTGCCCTTAGCTCAAACTGAGAAGTAGGTAAAGCTATTCCCTGTCCTCCCACCTCCCTTTCCCAGGCCTGTCCTCTTTTTCTGTATTATTTATAAGAACATTAATAGCAGTGACGTTTATGGAGCTTTTTCTTAGAGACATGGCATAGTGTAATGTTTAAAGACTTTGGAGCCAGAGAGCCTGGACTCAAATCTTGGCCCCTCTACCTCCTCGTGTTTTATTCTCCAAGTCCTGATCATTACATAGCATTTCTCTGGCACTCCCTAGCCTTTCAAAGTACTTCTTTTTTATTTTCTTGTTTCCGTCCTGGTTCAGCTTCCTGTGTGCTCAACCTCTGTCCTCCCTCCATATGGTTTTTCCTTGATGATCTCATCCATTTTGACGGCTTCAACTCTCACCTCCTCGTCTTTGACTCCCAGATCTTTATCTTCTCTCCGTCTTCTCTTCCAAGGTCCAGGTCTAAATTTTCAGCTGTCTGCCAGACTCTTGTAAATGTCACACCAGAAACTTTAAGTCATGATGTCCAGAATCGAATTCATTGCCTCCGGCCATCCTCTTATTACCCAGGCTCAGCCCTCTTGTGTCTACTGCATCCCCCACTCAGGCAGCTGCTGAGCCTGACAGTTTCACTTCTGCCACTCCTCCTTTATTGCTCCCCTTCTTTTCGTTCCACCTGCCCACTCCAATCATGCCCTCACTCCCTTCCTCCTGGCCTTTTCCTTCCAGTTGGCCCCTACCCTCATTGCGGGGATGACCTTCCTAGACTTGAACTAGGATTCTGGCTCTCCTACCAGAGAACATTCAGTTGCTTCTGGTTGTCTGTAGAGGAAAGTTCAAATTCTGTTTGGCTCCAACTTTTCCAGTCCTAACTTCAACTTCTCTACTCCATATATCTGATATGCCACATGTACTGGACTACTCACTCCACTGCTTCCTGTATATCTATCTATGTTTCTACCTTTTGTCTATGTTATTCCCTTTGCTTCACGTTCTTTTCTCCATCTGTCTTACCCATCTTTCAAGATCCAACTCAAATGCCCCTTTCACATGTCTATCACACCATCATACACTAGGTCCTCAATTAAAATGTGAACACTAAATTGCTCAATGTGATTTTTAAAAATGATGTCTGCAAAGTAAAGTAATTGAACTGTACTTTTGAGTCAGTGAAAGAACAGACTCCAGACTACCTTTCTGTCTCCCAAAGTGTAGTCATCCTTTTAGAAGGGTGTTCCTCTCTTTCAGGCAGCAATTATTACAGTCAAGCTGGCCTGTCCAGCCTAAATCCTGTATCCTCTTGAAAAGCCTGAGAACATCTCATCCCTCATGAAGAGTCTAAGGTCTTCCTTCCTTTCTTTGAAGAAGCTCCCAGGATTCTTGGGTGGCAACACTTTGACCTTCTTTTTCCCTTGGGCATGCTAAACTCAGCTGTCCTTTGTAAGGATTCATTACTCAGAGTACTCAGTTATTTCAAACCCCAAACCTGTAGGGAAGAAGGTTTTTTTTAAAAAAAAATACTATCCCTGTGTGTTTGTGGAGAGGACGGTATATTTGATGAGGGCAGAGAAAGGTTTTGAAAGTAATCATAGGCTGCTCTTATGATTACCAACTGAAAACACTGGTGATACTTAGAAATGGCTAAAGATAACTTTCCACACTATATTTATATTTGGGCTAAGATCAAACACGAGAAATGAGTTAGAGAGACAAGTAAATATGAGCTGATCATGAAAGGTCATTCATTCTTCATCTAACAGCTAAGAGGCAACATTGAAAAAAGATGCACTTCCTACTGAAGTTTGTCCTTGAACTAACAACCGATTACAGAATTTTAATTTAATATTACAGCATATGTTGTCTTTCTGAATTTAAAAAGCCATGAAGATGCCAAATCTTTTCAAGTTCTGCAGAAGAATAGTGTCACCAAAATA
The DNA here is from genome assembly GCF_000001405.40 of Homo sapiens. Lineage (NCBI taxonomy): Eukaryota > Metazoa > Chordata > Mammalia > Primates > Hominidae > Homo > Homo sapiens. Next base: position 116,298,041 of record NC_000010.11, read on the forward strand.
AGGTCATCAGTGGTAGTATTTATAATAAATTTACAATTTCTGAAAAAATGAAATCAATATATACAATTAATATTGCAAATAAACGTCAAAATGACATACTTCCTGCCATATAAATGAACTCTGTTTCACACATAAATGTGTTTTGTGGCAATAGTTCAAAATTCTTTTTCTTCAACAGTAAGCAGATTGAATGAAATAAAAAATGATGTGCCAGGACTTAAAGGTACAAATGGTACAAATTTCAAATTATTGATTGCTGACTGTGCTTACAGACATCAAACAATACTTTTTCAGGCAGCTATAATAGTCCGCTTCAACAGAGACATGATCTATTACAGGAAAATTGAAAATATGGGGACTATTTGACTGGTCAATGGTCATTTTAAATTATTAAGGTTTGGGGATGGGTTTTCTTAGGTTATAGAAAATACAATGCAAACTAAATGAAATCTCATTAACTTCAAACCTTTTTTTACCAAGCACCTTTGTTGTAGTTTGAAAAGTACCAAGATGTTCAGCCAGAATATAAACTCACTTTGCATTAGAAGAAGTGCACATTTGGGCAAAATCAATAGTCAATGACATCCCTTAATGGAAATCCTAGCAGGCCAGAGCAATCACTCTTGAGAGACCAAGACTGTATTTCTGCAGGCAAGAATTTTTCTCGGGGACTAACTTCTGATGTATAGGTGAGACTTGTTCTCTAACAGAGTGTGAATCTGAGCTCTCTCAACCTGCCCACTCCTTCAAAATCGTTCTTAGGTAACATCTTCCCACAAGTAAGAGTTGAGTACAGCATCAAAATTAAGTCAGCAATCCTGCATCATTGCACTTGAGGTGCTCCTTCCAACACCAGGAAATAAGAAGCAGATTTGTGTATTAGAAAAGATCTATTGGTCAGAACTTTTCTAGTTGCAAGCGACAGAAACCAAACTCAAACCAGCTCAGGCCAAAAAGACAATTTATTGTAGCAGCTTATCAGAAAGTGCAAATTAGGCTGGATCTAGGGGTTCAGATGATGTCCTCAGGAATGTGTCTGTTTCTTCCCATCTCTCAGCTGTGCTTCCTCTGTAAAGGATTCATTCCCAAACTGGCTGTAGCCAATGGAGAACACTTAACAGGTAGGGCTGCTGAGAGCTGGTGCAGATCTGGAGGAAAGTTTTGTCTTCAGGCATTTCCAGCAAGGGTTAACTGGTTTAAAACAATCTTTACAACTAACTTTATGTTGGTCTATACACTGGAGTCCAGAACACTCCTTTGGACTCTGTCTCCCAGTAACAGGTACTATCTTCCTATCCCCTTCTTCCTCCCAACACACATGCTCCCAACTCCATCCCCTCCTTGGCCTAGCTCATAGGCTTGCATGGTCCTGCACTTATGATTTCACTAGGCAACTGTCTCTGTCTCTGTCTCTGTCTGTCTGTCTCTTTCCCATGCCCCTCCCAATTTATATCAAATTTCAAGGCATTATACCCACTGACCCTGATTGGGTATCCCTAACTCTGGCCAATCACTATGCCTGGCAAGGTGGAATATTCTAGTAGGCCTAGGACATGCTGATCTCCATGGGAAGTAGAGTCTTCTTTGATACAGCCTCACCAATTACACACACAATTAGGGTAAGGGGAGCAATGCTCAAAAAGAAGTGTTCTACCTTACACAAACAAGAAACAAACTCCACCTCAACTACTGAAACCATTGGGAAGAATCAGGACTTGCTGTTTTATGTGATTTTCCCTGAGTCTAGATTTCTGGCCTAGCTGAGAGCCATAAAATCAGTTGAAATGAGTCGAATCTGAAAACCCTTGCTAGGAGCTAAATAGGGAAAAGAAGGCTTGTTTCTTCCTCATGCTGTGGCATTAGATCCAACCTCACCGGTAATATGTTGCTCAAACTTGCATGTGTACCTAGGCTTCAACATGTGGACAGGGAACCCAGCTTTGGGGTAGTGAAGCCGGTGGTTATGGCAGGACAAGAGAGGAGGCTTCAGCATGGGGAGAATTCTCTTACCTTGGAATCCGGCTAAGGTAGTGAATATGGCAATTCTGGTACAAACCTCGTCAAATAAAGATGCACTGAGCATCTCTATGTATCAGGCAATGTGGGGACATAGTCATGAATTTTTTAAAAAAAATTCCCGGCCAGGCGCGGTGGCTCACGCCTGTAATCCTAACACTTTGGGAGGCTGAGGTGGGTGGATCACGAGGTCAGGAGGTCGAGACAATCCTGGCCAACATGGTGAAACCCTGTCTCTACTAAAAATACAAAAATTAGCCGGGCATGGAGGTGTGTGCCTGTAATCCCAGCTACTCGGGAGGCTGAGGCAGGAGAATCGCTTGAACCTGGGAGGTGGAGGTTGCAGTGAGCCAAGATCATACCACTGCACTCCAGCCTGGGAGACAGAGCAAGATTCCATCTCAAAAAAAAAAAAAAAATTCCCTGCCTTCAGGAAATTCACCAATGTAGGGGATCACAGAAAAGCAAATTGCTAACTACAACACAATGTGATTAGTGCTATGAGAATGGTCTAACAAAGTGTTAAAGGAGCAGAGAGAGGAGTGATTCATTTTTCCAGGGGTGGAGGGAATTAACACCATCAGGACAGTGGGATTGCGGTGCACCAGTGGAAGTTCCCAGAGGAGGTGGCATATGACCTGAAGAATGAGAGGGAGTGTGAAAACTTAGAAGCAGGAGAACAGCATTTCAGGCAGAGGAAACAGTAACAACAAGGAGGGGTGAAAATCAATTCCACATCTTTTTAGTAGTTGCTGGCCAAGTTTCCAAGACCAGGGGGAGGATTGAAGCAATTATTGAGAAAACTGTCTCAATCTTCCCTTTTCTCCTGGCTGTGGAAATTTGGCCACTGCTGCACTTTTGTAAGAGAAAGAGTCTTGATTTCAGAGACCACACAATATTAAGTGATAGAAAAATTATTTTTTAGACAGAATGGAGAAAAACCACAGCACCTGAATTCAACTGGGAAAACTAGATTTTGTGAGAAAGGAAAACAAAAAGCTTTCTCATCTTTCTCTGTCTTTGTCTCTCTCTCAATTCATTCTTCCCTTTTCCTTTTTTTTTATGTTAGGGGGGAGTTTGACTTGAGATAGCAAGTTCATTGAGCAAGAACCATATGTATATATGCATTTTCTGCCTTGCAAAAGCTTAGTAAATACTTGTAGTAGGATGATGTAATTATTCAAATATTTTTTCAAGAATATACTAGCATGGGCCAGGTGTGGTGGCTCATGCCTGTAATCCCAGCACTTTGGGAGGCCAAGGCAGGTGGATCACCTGATGTCAGGAGTTCGAGACCAGCCTGGCAAACATGGTGAAACCCCATCTCTATTAAAAATACAAAAATTAGGCAGGTGTGGTGGTATGCACCTGTAGTCCCAGCTACTCAGGAGGCTGAGGCAGGCAAATCGCTTGAATACGGGAGGTGGGGGTTGCAGTGACCTGAGATCAGCGCCAGTGCATTCCAGCCTGGGTGACAAAGTGAGGCTCCATCTCAAAAAAAAAAAAAAATGTACACACACACACACACACACACACACATCGAAATCAAAATCAAAATGAAGAGCGACTCCAGGAATTGTTCCCCATACTCTCTTCTCCATTATCCTATCTCCCCAAATGTCTGGGAAGCTTGTTAGCATGCAATAAGATTTGAATAAGATTTGAAGATTAAATAACATTAAATGTTTGTCTTGCAAGAAAGAGACTATAAATTTATATGAAACAAGACATTGGTAGAAAGGCATGTAGAAACATGATGGAGGGAGAAATTCCAGCTTAAAATCCACAAAATGCATTGCAAATGCAGAGATACCAAATGGAACTCAGTTTGAGTTTCAGCCCTATGATTTCTGAACTGTTTAACTTTGGACAGTAGCTTCACCTCTTTAAATCTCCGTTTTAAAATGGGGATAATGACAGTGCCTACAGCATAGGGTTGTTTTGAGGATTGAAAGGAATAATCATGCAAAAATGATTCACACAGTTCCCGGCCCACAATTTTATCTTAAAATCAGCAGAGCAATGGCATGCACGCATACATCTGAGATATTGCAGATTCTGTTCCAGACCACCACAATAAAGCAAGTTACATTAATGTTTTTTTGGTTTCACAATGCATATAAAAGTTATGTTTAGCGGGTGGATCACCTGAGGTCAGGAGTTGAAGACCAGCCTGGCCAACATGGTGAAACCCCATCTCTACTAAAAATACAAAAATTAGCCAGGCATGGTGGCGCTTGCCTATAGTCCCAGCTACTTGGGAGACTGAGGCAGGAGAATAGCTTGAACCCGGGAGGCGGAGGTTGCAGTGAGCCGAGATTGCGCCACTGTACTCCAGCCTGGGTGAGAGAGTGAGACTCCGTCTCAAAAAAAAAAAAAAAAAGTTATGTTTATACCATTCTGTAGTCTATTAAGTGTGCAATAGCGTTATGTCTAAAACATGTAAGTACCTTAATTTAAAAATACTTTATTGCTAAAAAATGCTAACAATTATCTGAGCCTTCAGTGAGTCAAAATCTTTTTCCTGATTGGTCTTTCTCTAACGTTGATGGCTGCTGAATGATCAGGGTGGTAGCTGCTGAAGGTTGGGGTGGCTGTGACAATTTCTTAAAATACGACAGCAATGAACTTTGTTGCATCAATTGACTCTTCCTTTCAGGAAAGATTTCTCTGTAGCGTGTTGTACTGTTTGTTAGCATTTTACCTACAGTAGAACTTTTTTCAAAATTGGAATCAATCCTCTCAAACTCTGCCTCTGCTTGATCAACTAAATTTATGGAATATTCCACTACATCTTTTGCTGCCATTTCAACAATGTTCATGGCATTTTTACCAGGAGTAGACTTCATTTCAAGAAACCAGTTTCTTTACTCATGCATACGAAGCAACCCTCATCCGTTCAAGTTTTCTCATAAGATTGCAGCAATTCAGTCCCATCTTCAGGCTTCACTTCTAATTCTACTTCTTTTGCTTTTCCCACAATATCCATAGTAACTCCCTCCACTAAAGTCTTGAACCCCTTCAAGTCATCCATGAATGTTGGAATCAACTTCTTCTAAACTCCTGTTACTGTTGATATTTTGACTTCTCCCATGAATCACAAATGTCCTCAGTGGCATCTAGAATGGTGAATCCTTTCCAGAAGGTTTTCTTTTTCTTTTTTATTATCATTATTATACTTTAAGTTCTAGGGTACATGTGCACAATGTGCAGGTTTGTTACATATGTATACATGTGCCATGTTGGTGTGCTGCACCCATTAACTCGTCATTTACATTAGGTATTTCTCTTAATGCTATCCCTGCCCCTCCCCCAACCCCACAACAGGCCCCGGTGTGTGATGTTCCCTGCCCTGTGTCTAAGTGTTCTCATTGTTCAATTCCCACCTATGAGTGAGAACATGCGGTGTTTGGTTTTCTGTCCTTGCAATAGTTTGTTCAGAATGATGGTTTCCAGCTTCATCCATGTCCCTACAAAGGACATGAACTCATCCTTTTTTAAGGCTGCATAGTATTCCATGGTGTATATGTGCCACATTTTCTTAATCCAGTCTATCATGGACGCCAAAAGCAATGGCAACAAAAGCCAAAATAGACAAATGGGATCTAATTAAACTAAAGAGCTTCTGCACAGCAAAAGAAACTACCATCAGAGTGTACAGGCAACCTATAGAATGGGAGAAAATTTTTGCAATCTACTCATCTGACAAAGGGCTAATATCCAGAATCTACAAAGAACTTAAACAAATTTACAAGAAAAAAAAATCAAACAACCCCATCAAAAAGTGGGCGAAGGATATAAACAGACACTTCTCAAAAGAAGACATTTATGCAGCCAACAGACACATAAAAAAATGCTCATCACCACTGGCCATCAGAGAAATGCAAATCAAAACCACAATGAGATACCATCTCACACCAGTTAGAATGGTGATCATTAAAAAGTCAGGAAACAACAGGTGCTGGAGAGGATGTGGAGAAATAGGAACACTTTTACACTGTTGGTGGGACTGTAAACTACTTCAACCATTGTGGAAGACAGTGTGGCGATTCCTCAAGGATCTAGAACTAGAAATACCATTTGACCCAGTGATCCCATTACTGGGTATATACCCAAAGGATTATAAATCATTCTGCTATAAAGACACATGCACATGTATGTTTATTGTGGCACTATTCACAATAGCAAAGACTTGAAACCAATCCAGAAGGTTTTCAATTTGCTTTGCCCAGATCCATCAGAGGAATCACTCTCTATGGCAGCTATAACTTTATAAAATGTATCTCTCGAGCAGTTAAGACTTGAGAGTCAAAATTACTCCTTGATCTGTGGACTACAGAATAGATGTTTTGTTATCAGGCATGAAAACAACATTCATCTCCTTGTACATCTCCATCAAGGCTCTTGGGTAATAAGGTGCATTGAAAATGAGCAGTAATACTTTGAAAAGAATTTTTTTTTTTTTCTGAGGAGTAGATTTCAACACTGGGCTTAAAATATTCCGTAAACCATATTATAAACAGATATGCCGTCATCTAGGCTTTGTTTTTCCACTTTAAAAGCACAAGCAGAGTAACTTTAACATAATTCTTAAGGGGCCAAGAATTTTTGGAATGTAAGTAAGCATTGGCTTGAACTTAAAGTGGCCAGCTGCATTAACAAGAATCAGCCTGTCCTTTGAAGTCTTGAAGTCAGGTATTGACTTTTCCTCCATAGCTATGTAAGTTCTAGATGGCATCTGCTTCCCATATAAGACTGTTTTGTCTACATTGAAAATCAGTTGATTAATGTTGCCACTTTCATCAATTATCTTAGCTAGATCTTCTGGATAACTTGCTGCAGCCTCTCCATCAGCACTTCACCTTGCACTTTTATTTTACAGAGATGACTTCTTCCTAAAACTTCATGAACCAAACTCTGCTAGCTTCAAACTATTCTCCTGTAGCTTTCTCACCTGTCTTAGCCTTCACAGAATTGGAGAGAGTTAGGGCCTTGCCCTGGATTAGACTTTGGCTTAAGAGAATGTTGTGGCTGGTTTGATCTTCTATCCAGACCACTAAAGCTTTCTCTACGTCAGCAAAAAAGGCTTTTTTGGGTTTTTTTTTCTTCATTCTTATCATTCAAGTGTTCACTGGAGTAGCATTTTTAACTTCCTTCAAGAACTTTTCCTTTGCATTCACAACTTAGCTAACTGTTTGGTGCAAGAGATCTGGCTTTTGGCTTAACTTTTGGTATGCCTTTCTCAAAAATCTTAATCATTTCTAGCTTTGTATTTAAAGTGGGAGATGTGAGATTCTTCCTTTCACTTGAACACTTAGAAGCCATTGTATGGTTATTAATTGGCCTAATGTTAATATTATTGTGTCTCAAGCAATAGGGAGGCCTGAGGAGGGAAAGAGAGACAGGGGACTAGTTGGTGGTTGGAGCAGTCAGAACATACACAATATTGATAGCTTAAGTTCACTGTTTTATATAGGAATTAGTCATGGTGCTCACAAACAATTACAATAATAACACCAAAAATTACTGGTCACAGATCACCATCACAGATATAATAATTTGAAAGTTTGATATATTGCAAGAATTACCAAAATATGACACAGAGGCATGAAGTGAGCCTGTGGTGTTGGAAAAATGACACCAGTAGAATTGCTTAATGCAGGGTTGCCACAAACCTTCATTTTGTAAAAAGCACAATATCTGGGAAACCCAGTAAAGTGAAGTGCAGTACAACAACATATGCCTGACAAAAAATTGTTCCAGCTTTGGTATTAACCACAGAGCAGACGTTATCTCAAGATTGTAATCGGATACCATTGATCCCATCTTCACCATCTTTGTTCCTTCACCAAAATGTTGATATTAACATGATTTGGAGACTGTTATTATGACATTGATCCATGTTGGATACCATCCAAGGTCCAAGGAATGACTGCCAGTGCTTTTGACCCTCCTGTTATTTACAGAGAATAAAAGCGGGGGAGGCATTGGTCTCCCTTCCCTGAAAACCTTGGCCATTTGGCAGTACAAGAGTTTGATTGTTAAGAGAAAAGGAAGGAGTCCTAATATGATGTTAACACTTGGTCCAAAAGGCCATGATACAGACCTTTTCCCTACCCCATGGCAAAACTTCTGGTATCTGAAAATATACCTCAGATATAACACATCATCTTATGGGCATTAAGTTTGAGAATTAGCTAATGTTTGACATTGGCCTTGAGTTTTGTATTCTCTTTATAAGTAGAAGGAAGTCTAAGCTTCCTGCTGAACTGTAGTGTGGGTAACAGTGGTGGTGTCTATAGTTCAAAAATAAGTATGAACATTCCCTTTATGTTGCACATAAGAAGTAAGTACATAATTCAGTGTTGCATGTCCTTAAACTATATTTGCCCATTGGGCTTTTGACTTGGAATTTATTTATTACAAATGAGCTAACATATGAATTTAGGTAGAAACAGGAGTCATGACAATTTTCCGTAAGCTGCCTAGTAAATAAACGTTCTCGTACCTTATTTTTATAGCAAATTCTTCCAAAATATTCATAATTTATCTCATTTACTGTACAAGGAATAAGGTATGCATGATTAGAGATATAAAATTAAAATAAATACTTGGAAGGAAGCACTTAGGACTGTATACACTGTGGGCAGAATTCCCCATGACTTTGTTCACATACCTGCCATTTAAATTCACTCTTTGCTGGATATGTACACTAAAGGGATGTGTTGACTATGAGTTACTGAAACATCTGAATGGTTGCAAAATATGGATCCTTCTATTTATCTATCATTCCAAATGAACATTAAGCATAAAGGAAGTTATAGTTTAGAAAAAGAGCAGCATGAAGTTGGAATAATAGAATGAGTCACATTATGATTTGTATTCACAATGAAATTTGAGGAAAAATATTTGGCTGGAAAATCATAAAAGATATGTTCAATTTTACAAAATCAAGTAAGGATGACTATGCACAATGGGTAAAACCCGTGATTTCTATTCATAGTTAAATACTGGTTTCTTAGGTCAATTTTCCATGTGACATTACAATAGTCTTTGGCTATGATTACACTGAGTTCTCATCTTCCTTAAAATCGTGAAATTGAGGGAATTTTTCTAAATGGACAAAGATGCTATATATTTTTAGGCTTCTCATTTCAGAAAAGGCCCATTATAAAGTGGGGGCTTTTGAGTCTAGAGCCAGTTCTGTCACTTCTGCGTTTGAGCAAATTAGAACTTCAGTTTCCTGATTTGTAAAATAGTGACACGCACTCATGGTCTGCCCCTATGATGGCCAACAGTTTAGCAGAATGCTAGCCTAGACCTGAATCCCACATTTTGGAACTTTTGGCCAGAGGGAAGCTAAATGGCCTGTGACCAAGGCCTCAGTAGCAGCCTAAACAGAAATCCAGACCAGGGTTTGAAAAACAAATCGTATTTTGCAGAACATCATTGATCCAAACATGGTTAAGGATGCTTCATGAAATAAAGGGCTTTGTGGCCAAATAAATTTGGGAAGATCGTATTAAATGGAATGAATCAGGTTTCTTTATTGCAGGATGTCTCAGAACCTTTAATAAACCAATGTGCTTTGTGAGTCCCCAGGGGGACTAAAGAATGCAGTTTCCCAACTTGTTTTCACACGGAATCACTGTTTTTGTTTTTAAAGAAAATATGAAAATCTTGAGGAATATTAGGCGTTCTTTAAGCCACATCTAGGAAAATCTTTCTTTATGTAATTTTTCTGAAGTTCAGATATTTTAGCCTGGCACATTTTTCATAACAGGGTGGTAAAGAACCACAGTTATTCAATAAAATACTCTTTGGGAAGGGGATTTCTTAGAATTTTACATCCTTCACTGGAAGATCGTGGGGTTGTCTTCACTGATAACGAGTTAATTATGGCTTGTCAGTGATTTAACATTTTCCAAGCCGTAGAGATTGATGTAGACATAGAACAACATGGAACGTGGAAATTGGACTTAAGTGTGATCTTTTGGGAACCCAGTTGCACAATTTAGAGGTGATAAGAATTTCTTTTTTATGAATTAAAACAAAATTGTTAACTGCAGAGCAGAAGTCAGGTCAGACAGATCTACTGCTCCTGAGAATGTGCTGATTGTGGTTTGTATTTTACGGTAGCTGAAGAGTTTGAGTTGCTTGCTAATGACATCAAGCAACATTACATATATTATTAGTATCTTCAGATGCTGCAGTTCTATTTTGAAACATCTTTATGCTACATTTGTTCAAAGCATTGTCTTTCTGTGAAAAGACTTCACCTGTGAATTAATTTTTCATTATAAATAAACTATTGATAGTCTTAAAAAGTATTTCTACATATCTCTTTGTTGGAATTTGGAAGATATGCATTTTCTTTGAGTTCTATTTCTTCTGAAAACTAGTTGTTGACAAATACAACTGTCACAGTGATTGTAGGACTGAATGATCCTGTTGATTTCCTAATTTGTTGTTTGAATTGTAATGCCTCAAAATAAGAGCAGCCTCTTTATAACATTTTGTTATCTTATACTGTTTGGAAGATAAATTGTCTTAAGTGGAGTGGTTGCTGAAATTCTTTGTAGAACTGAAGTTTTAAATTCAAGGTCTATATTTGAGAAAATGTAGGTGGCAGGAATTTCTCTTTTTGAGGGAGGTGTTTCTAATCCAGGTAGCATAAAATTCTGGAGTTAAGTCTGATGTAAAAAAGATAAGATAAAGGAGATGAATTTCCAAGTCAAAAAGAGAGCTGGAATGCATATTAAAAAGAGTACAAGGAGTGCAAGTATTGCTGGAAGATACTGATCTCATTTCCTTTGGATATATACCCAGAAGTGGAATTGCTGGATCATATGGTAGTCCTATTTTTAATTTTTTGAGGATCCATCCATGCTGTTTTCCATAATGTCTGTACCGATTTACAATATGTTCTTTGCAGTATTATTCACAATATTCAAGACATGAAAACAACCTAAGTGTCCATCAACGGATGAATGGGTAAAGAATATACACAAATGGAATATTATTCAGTCTTAAAAAGGAGGAAATCTTACCATTTGTGTCAATATGCACGAATCTGAAGGACATTATGTTAAGTGAAATAAGCCAAAGGTAGAAAAACAAATAACACATGATCTTACTTATATATGGAATCTAAAAAAGTCAAAATCATAAAAACACAATAGAATGGTAGTTGCCAGTTGGCTGGGCATTTCAGAAATGGAAGATGATAGTCAAAGGGTACACAATTTCAGTTGTGCAGGATGAATAAATTCGGGAGATCTAATGTGCAGCATAGTGACTATAGTTAATAACACTGTATTACATACTTAATATTTGCTTTGAGGGTAGATCTTAAGTGTTCAGACCACACATATGCAAAAGGTGCCTATGGAAAGTGATGGATATGTCAATAAGCTTGATTGTGGTAATCACATCACATTATCAAATGTGAACATAATTCACCTTAAATATATACAATTTTTATTTGTCTAATATATGCCAATAAAGCTGGGGAAAAAGAGTGAAGGATTTAGGTTCAGATTCACCATGAAGCCTTGGGGAAATCATGCAGGCGGCTGTCCAGGTGTCAATTTCTTCATTTATAAAATGAAGAAAATAGACATCAGTAAACTGTGAGATAAAACATCTTTCATTAGAAATTTGGTATAGAAGGAAAGAACAAAAAGAAAAAATATGGACTCTAGGAACTATAGAATTCTTTCCACATGCTAAATGTGAAAAATCAGTAATACTGCTAGGACTCATATTTTCTTTATTCTTTGGTTACCATTTCACATGTAGATTAGCAATGGCTATTGCTTTGGGGGCAGAAAGCATCTGCAAATTTGACTCAATTTTCCACCTAGAATTTTGTATGTTGTTATATGCCTAGAATATGGGTATTTTTTTTTTTTTGCCATTTCTCATTTGAAAGGCTTTCACTTACTATGCCTATAAGCTATGATATTAAAGCTCAATGCCAGTAAAGTTTCAGGGAAAAGAGTGAGAAAATTATTTAAAAGGACTACTTTTGGAAAATGGCAGTGTTTTGACAGTTTTTGACAGGCAGTTTGGAATAATGCAACCTCTTGGATTACAGCCAACCTCTAAAATGGGCTGTAATTTAGGATGATGGCAGCTTCTATGACCTCTGTATTAGAGAGTCACTGGGATTAAAACAGAAAAAATTCTCCAAACAGTTGAGGTCTATATTTGAAAACCTGGTTTAAATGTTCTGATACGTAGCCATTTTATTTAATGAAAGAATTTTCTTGTCCTATGTACAACTCCACGTGCTTTTCCTAAAGCCGGGGAAGCTTTTCTGCCTTTTTGTGTGTGGTGAAACTCTTCTCTAATGAGCTGGTTATGGGCATGTTTGCCCCTTCTCGTCACTCGATGAAATTAGACACTTAGGCATAGGTAACTGTATCTTGTCAGCCCACAGAGGATGGAAGTCCCAGGCTGCTGCAGCTCCAACTTTCTTTTTCACACAAACATGCTGTCTCAGGTCTGAGTCAGGTCCTTAAGCCTTCTTTGAAAAATAAGATTTTATTACTCCCCCATTTCTGAGAGTTAAATGCTTTTTAAAGAGTTGTGTAATTTAAATATGAGCTGGGTGTGTGGTGTAGGATTTTTAACTGAACCGCAATTCTCCAAACATACCAATATTCCAAAATTGCCAGTTGCAGGCCATAAAATATTTACATTACAGAGTAAATAATGTATGTTTAGTAAGAAATGATAAAATATTTACAGTTTTTCTAAAGATACTGTATGGATTTTTTCCTCTGCCACAGCCATTTTTCTTGAAGTAGGCAAAATAGGCAACTTCAAGGGCTCTGAGAGTGACGGGGAACCATCTACGAAGGAGAAGAATGGTCCAAGGCAGTATATGGAAAAGTCTCCATGAGGAAAAGAAATGCCAGCTGATCCCAGCTATCAAGATGCATATTTCATATGGTTGAAGGTCTAGGGAGGCATTAGCAAACAATTTTGGTATCCTTACCATTAAATTGAAGGGTTGCTAGGCTCAGTTCACGTGACGCAGTCATTTGCCAAAGCTATTCTGTGGGAGCGTTGTAAACCTCAGAGGATGATGGTATGACCTTCCAAGCTTCTAAATAAATGCCTTTTCAAAACCTCCCCTACACATTCACTGACCCTGAACATGATACACAGAACAAAATCACAGTGTCACTAAATCATCACTGCACCTGTTTGGGAAGGAGCCTGAAAAAGCTCTTAACAAAGGTTTTCAACAGAATCTCCTGGGAGAGTCTTAAACAGAGATTCCCAGGTCCCCCATCCTCCTAAGAAATTCTGATAGGACGCATCTAGTGCGGGGCTGGGTAATCTATTTTTGAAAAGCTTTCCAAGTGGTGATCATCCAAGTTTGGGAACTGTTGTAGGTTGAACAATGGTCTCCAAAGATACCTGTGTTCTAAATCCTGGAACCTGTGAATGGCAAAATACCTTACATGGCAAAAAGGAGGTTGCAGATGTGATTACACGAAGAATCTTGGGATGGAGGGGTTATCCTGGATTATCTGGGTGGGCCCTAAATGTAATCAAAGTATACAAGAGGGAGGCAGAGAAAGATTTGACTGTGGAAGAAGAAGGCAAAGTGATGATAGATGCAGGATGCTATGAAGTTGACTTTGAAGATGGAGGAAGAGCCCATGAGCCAATGGATACAGGTAGACTTTAAAGTGTGAAAATGCAAGGAAAAAGATTCTCTTCCAGAGCCTCCAGAAGGAAGCAGCCCTGCTAATACCTTGACGTCAGCCCAGTGAAACTGATTTTGAACTTCTGACCCCTTTAGAACTGTAAGAGAATACATGTGTCTTGTTTTAAGCCCCTAAGTGTGTAGCAGTTTGTGACAGCAACAACAGGAAACTAAGACAAGAACCACTGCCAAAAACCATGTCAATTTTAATATCCCTTTATTGCTAAACACAATTCTTCAAGCCAGAACATTAAGGCCCTAGAATTTAACCTGTTCCCAACTGTGGAGGGACACAAAAGCAGCCTTCCCTGCTGGAAATTTTGCTGCCCCTCTTGCCATTTGTGTTGAGCACTTCTCCCGGTGTTACACTCCCTTGGGAATGCCACAGCTACCTGAAGAGGCAAGGCAGCAGTGTGGGACCATGGCCAATAACTGCATCCCTCAAGTTTGAACATCAAACCACAGAATTCATCATACCCCTCCTGTGTGATCAGCATTCTGCTAGCCACTGTGGGGAATTCAGAGAATCAGAAGAGGCCATTCCCCTCTCTCCTGCTGAGTACTGACATTGCACAGTGATTGCAAACACTTAGATTGCATTTCCAGCAATGCCAAAGCTGAGGCTTCCCTGGTTACAAAGGATATTGTCTCATCTTGGGACAGGACAAATACATCATTGCAGTTTAAGGGAAGAAGATGATGTCAAAGCATGGGTTTGCCCCTTACACTCTGACTAAAAGACCTGAAAATCAAATCATTTTACTATAGTTTTAGGCTCTCAATAAGCTGAGGGATGTACTAATGGTGCCTGTATTCCAAGGCGGGTGGGATGTATGAGTGGCGGGGGCTTAGGGGCTGGGAATCTCTATATTTTGTCAGTATTTGCTCCTATCAGAACTCCTCATGGTGAAAAAAAGAAAAAAAAAAAAGATGGCAGCTGCGTAGAGTTGGGATAGCATCTCGTTTCTATGACAACAGTGTCTGCTCTGTTTCCAAGCTCCATCTGGTATTTTCAGGCCTAACAACCAGGTAGCATGTAAATGCCTAATAGAAGAAAAAGGCAACCATACTGATTCTTTGGATCAGGCACAAATGAACACAGCAACACCATGCCTTTTCTAGGAAAAATAGTGAATTACTTTGACAGCAACAGGGTATTATGAAGAGAGACCACAAAGTACATAGAACGTGCTCAACTCTTATTTTACGGACTAGCACAACATGCACACACAATTAAAGTAGCTGTTGGGGCTGACAAAGTTTTTTTTTGTTTTTTTCCTACAGGCAATCTAACACTACTCTCATGGGATGATTCTTGCCTTCCACCCTTGCTCGCTTTTCCAGTCCTGTTTCGTGGAGTTTTGTGTGTTTTAGGTAATATGGATGCAGCAGCTCTTACCTGCCTCACTGACCTTCCCTTCAGATTTTATCCTTGCTGATTACTGTTCCCTGGTAGCTCTGCAGAATTTATGAGAAGCTAAATTTCAGTTTCTACTCCATGGGCCCTGGCTTACAGAAAAGCATGCTTTTAAAACAGCACAATACAACACAGCAGGTCTCCACCTTCTCATACCCCGACCTTGAACACAAGCTAGTGAAAGCACCTTTTTTATCTTCCTTAAGAATGCCATCATTACAAAGCTAGTATCTTTACAAAATTATAATTTATCTAAAATACAATACAATATGACATTATAGATAGGTTGCCATGTAGTATTTGGGACAAACTTACACTAAAAAATTATTCATTGTATACCTGATGTTCAAATTCAACTGGAAATTATATATTTTTATTTGCTGAATCTTGGAAATCCTATTTACAGACAGGAATATAGGCTTTTAAATTCTTTGGATCACTTAGGATTTGATACAGTATATCAAAATGCCAATACACTGAATTCAGTATTGGTTTCTAGCATTTTCTAGTTATTAAAATGAACACTTAAATGTTCATTGTTTAGACCAAAAACTATTGTTCATGCCAACCCTTGCATACATTCATTTTCCTTTATTCATTCATCTGACACAAAGTCATTGGGAAATTGCTGTTTCCCTGATACTGTTCTAGGGGCTGGGAATCAGTGGTGTGCCCAAGACCGCCTCATGAAGCTACCATTTGATTGTGGCTCCTGGATTTTATTTCAGGATATTTACTCCCATTACATACACACCACTGTTTGATATACAAAGAACCATCAAATATGAGTCTCAGCAGAGAACTCACTGCCCTCCAAGAGCTGATAAACTATGTTAGATTAGCTATCTCCAAACTTCATCAAATCAATCCCATGGGCATTTAATTGCAGAGGACATTCAAATTGTCATTAATTCCTTTGATCTTTTTTTTTCACATTCTTTTCCTTTAATATTCTAGATTAGGAGACAATTGACTCTGGAAGGTTTAGTGATTACCTAATACAAACTCACTATCAGTTTCTGGAGTGTTTTCTTGTCCTCCCTGGGATCATTTGGATAGATTCTGGAATCTCTTCTTGTCCTTGCCACGATCTATATCCTCTATCCTCTTCTCTGGAGTACTGACATAAGATTGGGACTTACAAGTGATACTTCCATTTTCTTCCTCTTTTCTGTCTTGCCCCAACTCGTTTCTCTTTTGAGCTATTTTATCCATTTGGTACTGGTAACTACTAAAGTAGAGGAGGGAATTAAAGGTCTATAGTGTTCCAGAAAGTTCTTGAGACATGGACCTATTTTTAATGTTTTTTCTATATGACTCAGATTCTTTCCTTTCATATTTCACCTTTTGACTGTGACACACTTTTATGAGAATTCTATGTGGTTTATTGTATATACTCAGATACAATATTTAAAGTATGTAACCACTGTGGTAGACAGAATAATGGTCCCCAAAGATATCTGCATCTTAATCCCTGGAACCTGTGAATATGTCACCTTACTTGGCAAGAGGAACTTTGAAGATGTGATTAAGTTAAGGATT
This sequence comes from Homo sapiens, assembly GCF_000001405.40. Classification (NCBI taxonomy): domain Eukaryota; kingdom Metazoa; phylum Chordata; class Mammalia; order Primates; family Hominidae; genus Homo; species Homo sapiens. Next base: position 116,314,741 of record NC_000010.11, read on the forward strand.
TTGAGATGGCGAGATTATCCTGGATTATCTGGGTGGGCCCAGTGGGATCATTAGGGTCTTTCTAAGAGGGAAGTGGGAGTGTCAGAGCAGCAGAGAGATTTGAGGATGCTACATTACTGACTTAAAGAAGAATGAAGAGGCCAGGAGCTAAGGGATTGGGCAACTTTTACAATCTGGAAAAGGTAAGGAAAGGAATTGCCTCTCAGAGCCTCCAGAAAGACTAGCAGCAGCTTGATTTTAGCTTACGAAGACCTATTTCAGACTTCTGACCTGCATAACTGTGAGATCACACACTTGTATTATTTTAAGTTGGTGATTTGTTACAGCAGCCATAAGACGCTAATACATCTATAGACCTAGGCACTGAGCAGTCAAAACTGACACTGAGCAGAGGCCTTTGGTTAAGCCAGGCATTAGCCAGTTAGATGCCAGACTGTGGGTAGTTCTGCCTGGTGGTGGAGGTAGAACAGCCAGAGTGATAAGGGTTGGTCTTGGAGGACTGGGAAGCAATTATTTGCCAATCTGTGTGGGAGCATTTCAATATATTTACAGGTAGAATGGGTGTACAGTGAATTTCTACTGTGTACACACTTATATACGATGAAATCTGAAAGATATAGAGAGAATTCTGGCAGAAATCTTGAATTTTTCTTCCCTAAGACCCTGATATTGATTCTTAACCGAAGGCAATGATCCTCATACATTTCTAGATTCTTTTCTATGTGTCCTGTCTGGGACTTTTCCAGAGAGTGAAGTGAGACAACTCCTTGCTTAAAGGATTTTATTACTAAATTTTTAGTTTTGGGTTTTTTTTTTCTAATTTACTATCTGAAATTTCCATCTGTAAGTATTGTTTTTATTTTTTTCTTTCCTCTCTCCTATTTACTCCCTTTCTTTTACTCTACCTCCCCTATCCCCATTTGAAAACAAGTAAAATAAGGGTGAAAGAGAGTCAATGACTTGTTCTAGGTCACATAGCTAGTTATCAGCCAAATGAGCCCTGGACCCAGGTAGACACACTCCAGCCAGTCCACTGTGATGTGCAGCCACTCTTCCACCAAGGGAGCAGTGCACAGTTTTCATCTTATTCTTAAGAAGAAGCAACCCTTTTAGGGCCCTCCACTACATTTGGATAAAATCCAAACTCCTTCTTTTGCCTTCAAGGCCCTGCTGGATCTGACCCCTTTGACGACCCCATCTGTGCCCCAATTCCACTGGCTTCCTCTCTGCTCTGCAGATGCCAAGTTCTTCCAGCCTGAGAGACTGTGAAGTGTAAGTGTGTTGTTAACATCATTCACAGCAGGTCTCCATTCTATGCTGTTATATTCATACCTACACTTAGTCCATTTGTATTGAATTAATGAGTGTGAATTAATGAATGTGAGGACATGAGATTTGGGAGGTGCCAGGGGCAGAATGATGTGGTTTGGCTGTGTCCCCACCCAAATATCATCTTGAATTATAGTTCCCACAATCCCCATGTGTCATGGGAGGGACCAGGTAGAGATAATTGAATCATGGGGGCGGTTATTCTCAAGTTATTCTCGTGATAGTGAGTTGAGTTCTCAGCAGATCTGACGGTTTTACAAGGGGCTTTCCCCTAGGCTGGTCACTCATTCTTCTCCCTGCCACTATATGAAGAAGGATGTGTTTGCTTCCCCTTCCACCACGATTGTAAGTTTCCTGAGGCCTTTCTAGTCATGCTGAACTGTGAGTTACTTTAACCTCGTTCCTTTATAAATTACCCAGTCTCAGGTATGTCTTTATTAACAGCATGAGAATGAACTAATAAGCCTCGTTTCCTGTTGCCCCTGCAGGCTCTTTGAGTCCTGAGAGCTCATTTATCTTGTTCATTGTTGTGGCACAGGAGCTGGCACAAGTACATCTTCAATGAACACCAAATGATGTTTGTGGTCACTCCTCACAGACTCACCCTCAAGCCCTAACACAACTGTCAAAGCATGGAATTCCTAATCCATCTTATAAACCACTGAGACAGGCTGCCAATCAGATGCTGAGACTGAAAAAAAGGAAGAAAGGGTGTCTGGTTGGTTACATTAAACATCACAGCTGGCACTTAAAGGAAGTGGAAACTAGCTTTCTGACCTCTGTGGTAATCAGCTTACACGGTGAAGCAGGAGATTTGAATCCCCTTATCTACTCCTAGATGAGAATATTATGTCTCATTTACAGTTACAGCCTCCTGGACCAAAATATCATATTTTATGAGTAATAATAACTGTAAGTAAGATGAAAGCCATCGCAAAAGAAAATGAAAGCATTTAAAATACAACAATTACTGAAATAAAATCATCTTTAGGACATTTTTTCTGACAAGTTCTCTTAGGTTTTATTAATTTCTTCTAAGAATAACACCGTGAATCTTTTTTATGAGTGTTTGGATCCTTCATGCACAATCTTTGCATTTATTCACTTAAGGCTATGGTACAAAACAGTGTGGGATCTCAGCCCATTTCCTGCTTTTTTTTTTTTTCTGTGTTAACATCTTGAAAAAGGAAATGGTAAAGGGTAGATTGTCTAATGGTATAAGAAACCTGTGCATGTACACATTTTGTAAGCAAAATAATGAAACATAACAAGCACAAAATTATAAGACGGTCAAATTTCAAATGATGACATATACATTTATTCAGTAATTCTAGAATTTTGCAATATTTCCTTATATGTCTTCAGATAATTTCAATTCCTTCCACTTTCTATTCATTCCATTTAATTCTTTTCCAGAACTGCTTACCATTACCTATGAAATAATCAGCTTATTTTCTGTTTAAAATGTTTCTTAGTGAACTCTTTTATCTAAATGCTAATTAATTATTTCCTTTAAGCTTCTTAAGGGGTTTTCTACATTCTATTAACAGCACACCTGCAATGTCAAATGAAAGATAAGGTTTATGAGCCATGTAAACTATGATAAAACATTTTGAACTGTCTATGACATCCTGGCGGGAAAATAATGGCAGTGTCTGGTTTTTATAACGCAATACTATTGTATTAAGGCCACTAAAGTCATTTCAAACATTGACAGCATAAAGTAGTTTTATCCTGATAAATGAGCAATTTAGCAAAGTGTTTTAAGAAACAGAATTATGGTTCACTTTATCTACGCACGTATGTGTATATGTACATTAAATTTTTTTCAAACTTTTCAGTCACGGTAAATAATTCATAGAACGTAATAGAAATATTGCAATTTTCCCAAATTTCCAAATAGTTGGTATGACTAATTCACTTAAATTAATAGAAAACTTCATTCATAGAAATTGTGATACACGATTAGACAGAGTAGAATATGTTAACAGTTGGTTTAAGTTTAGACCAACTCAACAACTATGAGTCAATAATTTAGTGGGTAAGTAATCATGTATTAATTAGGTAGACAAATAATGATTAAGTGTCATTACTTATTTAATGACTAGAATAAGTAACGGTAAGAAAACAAACTGTCTTAAAATTATCTTTTAATTATTCTTATATAATAATCTCAAACCACTTCATTGTCATGTAAACTACAACTTGATAACAACTAGATTTTAAGCCCCTTGTCTTATTCATCTTTGTAATGCCAAATTCTTACTGGCTGTACATATAGTATAGACCCAATAAATATTTATTGAATACATAAATGAATTATACATGGTAGAGAATTTTGTTTTCCAAGTTTTGTTTTATTTTTGTTTTCTGGGGCTAACAATCTACTCTCTTGGCTACAGTACCTGAGATAGCCTTCCTGGCCCCCGTGCTGGGCTCTGAGCTCTGACAATGTAAAAATCCAAGTTCACCAGGTACACTGCAGAGTTTTCTTCCCAATATTTTGATATTTAATGATTCCTAAAGTGCATGGCATTTCTTCATGCCATGTATTTCATGACCAAAAAAAAAATTGCATTTCTTAATCAGTGATTAAGAATTGACCATTTAAAAATGAAGATTTTTACGTAGAAGCATAATACTGAAGATAAAATGGATGCTTTTAAGCATTTATATCTCTATATATCATTTTATCATACATGTTTGTATGTATCTATGTATGTATACGTATATGTGTATGCATGCATGTGTGTTTCTCAATATCTCTATCTATCTGTCTGTCTAGTAATATTATCATCTCTCTAATCTCCTTAATGGGGAAGGGACCCTGCAGAGGATGAATTGCTCCAGGCCAGCCCTTTACCCTGGTTATTATACCATTTCTTCAATCTCTTATAAGAAAGTTCACTATAGAAAACAGACTAAAGAGGAGTTACTTTAATTGAAGTGGTTCAAAGCCACTGGTGAACAAAAAATATCTTTCATTGGAACAGAAAAATTTTAGGTGGCAGTTCTAGACCTAGCTCTGATATAAACTGCATGTACAACACTGGGGAAATTTATCAACCTCCCTGGCCTTATGTTAACACCTATAAAAGAAAAGAATTGGGCAAGATGTTTTCTACAGTCCCTTAAATCACTAAAAATGCTTTGACCATAACAGAAATAAATCAATCTTGCTTAAAATTTTGTTTTAAATCATAGCTATTTCCTGCAACTTATCTTTTCAGGTTGGTTATGGATTGACTTATGTCCCCCCAAAAGAAATGTTGAAGTCCTGACTTGAACAGTCCCAGTACATCCCAAATGACCGTATTTGGAAATAGGGTCATTTTTAGATATAATTAATTAACATGAGGTCATGCTGGATTGGTGTAGGCCCTTTATCCAATATGACTGGGGTCCTTATAAAGAGCGGAGAAGAGGCCAGGCGTGGTGGCTCACGCCTGTAATCCCAGCACTTTGGGAGGCCGAGGCGGGCAGATCACGAGGTCAGGAGATCGAGACCATCCTGGCTAACATGGTGAAATCCCATCTCTACTAAAAATGCAAAAAATTAGCAGGGCGTGGTGGCGGGCGCCTGTAGTCCCAGCTACTCAGGAGGCTGAGGCAGGAGAATGGCGTGAACCCAGGAGGCAGAGTTTGCAGTGAGCTGAGATAATGCCACTGCACTCCAACCTGGGCGATAGAGCAAGACTCCATCTCAAAAAAAAAAAAAAAAAAGAGGAGAAGAGAGAAAGAGACAGAGACACACAGGGAGAATTCCAAATGACAACAGACGCTGAGATAGGAGTGACTGTCTATAAGCCAAAGAATGCTAGGGTTGACCAGTAAGCACCAGAAGCTGGGGAGAGGCAAGGAATAGATTCTCCTCAAGAGCACCCACAGGGAACAAACTGAGCTGACACCTTGATTTTAGACTTTCACTCTCCAGAGCTGTGAGAGAATAAATTTCTGTTCTAAAACACTCAGTTGTGGTACTTTGTTATAGCAGCCTCAGGAAACAAATATAAATATTAGGAAACAAATATAATATTTTGCATATAAATTGCATTTTTAGCTTTATGTATTAAATATATGGTTGGTGGAATAAGCATTTATAACAAGACATAACCCAGTTTCAATTATTTTTCCTTAAATCACATCTTATTTTAATTCATTACAAATACACTGCATTACTAATCCAAATTGTAGAAGTCTGAAATTTCTTTAGAAAAAATATTAATTTGCTGGTAATAAGCATTTTTTTGAAAATGTCTCTACCTTGAAACAAAACACAGCTACTTAAATAGTCTTATTTTCTCCTGCCTCTAGTTTTTAGAGGCAGTAAAGGGAAGTGGTTAAGACCTTTGCCTTAAGAGACCATCAGGATTCAAGTTCTGATTCTGCTGCTTCCTAGCTACTGTATGGGACCTTAGACAAGTTACTTGGCTATGGTGTCTCAGTCTCCGAAATAATAAAAGCATTAATCTCTTATGGTTGTTGGGTCAATTAAAAGAATTAATACATGTCAAAGTCTCAGATGGTTATTGTCTCATAGCAAGGGCTATAGCCTGAATGTTTGTGTCACCCCCACATCAAATTCATATGCTGAAATCCTAACTCTTAAGGTGATGGTATTCGGGGGTGAGGCTTTTGGAAGGTGATTAGGTTGTGAGGGCAGGGACCTCATGATTAGGATTGGTGTCCTTATAAAAGAGACAGCAAAATGCTAGCTAGCTCCTCCCACCATGTGAAGACACAGTAAGACCCTTTCTATGGACAAGGAAATGGGCCCTCACCAGACACTGAATTCGCTGGCACCTTGATCTTGGACTTCATAGACCCCCAGAACTATGAATAATACATTTCCATTGTCTTTAAGCTAGCTAGTTTATGGCATTTTGTTATAGAACCCTGAATGGACTTTGCCAGTGAGCTATTCAACACATGCTACATATTAGTCTCTCTTTTTTAAATTTTTTAAATTATACTTTAAGTTCTGGGATACATGTGCAGAATGTGCAGGTTTGTTACATAGGTATATACGTGCCATGGTGGTTTGCTGCACCCACTGACCCATTAGTCTCTTTCTTTTTACTACTTGTAACTTCCTGCCATGAATAGACTGCATAAAACAACTCTGACCCATGACTTACCCGATCACAAACATTATGTAGTCCTCCAACACATATATAAACATGTTAAACATCATCCAACTGTTGACCCCATCCAACATTCTGCTATTTTTCTCCATTACTTTATATTTGTTGAAGTACCACCCTCCTTTAAAACCCAGCTCATATTTTATATCCTACTGATAGTCTTCGTAGATCACCCACGTATGACTTCTTCTCACTCCCTCTCCTATATTCCCATAGCACAAGGGTGAAGCTCTTAAACACAGCATGCCTTGGAGTTATTTGTGCATACTATGTCCCATTTGGTAGACTATCACCTCCAGGAGAGTAGGGTCTGTACCTTTTCAACTTTGTATCCCCTATAGTACCCAGCAGAGAATTTTACACTTAGTAGAGCCTCAATAAATGGTTGTTAAACTTGGTTGAACCCACATATTTTTTTTTCTTTGTGGCAGATGCCCTAAGACAAAACATAAAATAAATGAATTACTTTTCTTATTTCCATTGCAATATATATGCCCTGGGCTAGTGGGTATTTGCAAGCCTGGTTTAGAACTTAGGGAAGTCATCAATCTAGGAAAGGAGAGGAAATACATTTTAAATCACAAAAGCAATATAGCCTTATATAAGGCCTTCTTAGCAAAGCAATTATCAATGGCTCAATAACCCAGGTGCTAGTGTTATTATGAACAAAAGTCTGAGGCTGAGAGACAATGAGTGATCTTAACTTTTATATTCCATAGGTATGCAACTCAATGGAACATGTACAGATGGAAGGTTTAGATCTGAGAATCATATCTGTGTATTACAATGCAAATAACTGACCATCCTTCTAAAGAACATCTGTTGAAACATCTGAAAGCAGTTGTTTATACGGCTGCCAAAATGCTAAAAAATATAATAATTCTCCAGTGAGGTTAGAAATATCCAGGGGAAGAAAAATACTTTTTTATGTAGTTCTGCTTTATTAAATCTTGTTGTTTTTTCTCTAATATGGCACATAGGAGATGCTCAATAATATCTGTTGAATGAATAGCAGAAACTCATTAAACAGTTGTTGAATGAATCATCTCTGTTTTTTTAGACTTATAAGGCACATTTTCAGAAAACTGTATGCCCAAGTTTTACCACATTGTATACCATTTTTATTTGGCATAAATTTAAGTACTGCTGCTCTTGCCCTGAACATTATAAGATGTAATGAGCACGGATATCTATAAGAAAAACTATCTTTTAACACTACAGAAAATGTATAAATAAACCTAGATATACAATAGCAGTATTTTTAATTATCTTAATATGTCACTTTTATTATTATGGGACACTTAAACTTTGAGTTGTGAGCTCATATGAATCATATTCGCTTCAAAAAACAAAATAAAATTTAAAATTCCTGCTAACGTGTATAGTTATGATACCTCTTAGAAGATTGTAACTTTGGATTTAAAAGCACCAAAATATTCTGGTATGTGAAGAAGAAGACTGCAGAAGATGAAGAAGCCATTTCTCCCCATACCCCCTTTCTTGAATTTCCAGCAGCTCTTTCTTCCATACTCCTGTGTAAGTGAGGCAACTGCACTCCCCAAAGACTGCCCAAATTTTACTCTGCCAGGTTTCAGCACAGAAAGAGCATGTTAAATAATACATGTGAATTTGAGTGTAACTAATAAAATTGGAACGTTAAATAGCAGCATGTTTTTGAAAACCAGCCTCCTTGTGATGACGTTCCTTGTGCAAGTCCATGGGAAATAATTCTGAAGGGAGTGTTATTAATTAGTAATGTAATTTATCTTCTGGAAGCCCTTTCCTTTGATGGCCGCTGTGGTACAGTTTATAAGCCTCCAAACAAGTGCTCAAAGAAAACTGTTCAAACCACAATTTCAGCTTTGTTTTCACCCTTGAACAGATAAGAGTAAAACTTATTTTGGTATATCTAAATTTTACACATGCCTCTTTATGGTGGAGGATTATGAAGTTATAAATATATATTTATGAAGAGTTTTTAATGAAATGGTAAAATGTCTGGGATGTAATAAGAGGATAAAATAGTAGACTCCAAAATTAAATTCATGGCTTCTGATTCCAGATTTCTTGGTTTCAGTTCTCACCACCCTATATGAGGTACGCAACTATGGCAATATACTTAATTGTTCCGTGCCTCAGTTTCCTCAACTACGCTATGAAGGTGATAGCAAAAATTATCTCAAAAGGATATAGGGTGTTCAAAATAGTGCCTGGCAAATAATAACAAATTATTATTATTACTGATTCACAATAATTTCAAATTTATAAAGGAAAAATGAAGAGTGAGGAGGGTTACCTTGAAGGGAATTGGTAAAATGTTAATATGTACTTCTAAATGACATGATTATGGGCAGTTCTTTTCTGCTTTGTATACTTTTCAGTATTTATTCTTTTAAAATAAACTCAAAGAATTAAGTTTTATGCATCAATGGCTTGATGGAAATTAAGGCGGAAATTTGGAATAGGTTAAAATGTATAACTGATTAGACTGCAGCATTAATGAAATATTAATTAAGCCTATTGTGATGTGACAGAATTAACATTTACCTTATTTTACTTAATTTTAAGTACATTCTGACAAATTACTTTTTAAAGTTCAACCAATGTCAATTTTACATTCATAAAGTCAAATGTTTATTTTACTTAATTTTAAATACATTCTAACAACAAATTACTTTTTAAAGTTCAACCAATGCCAATTTTACATTCAGAAATAAAGTCAAATGTTTATTATAATGTCAATATTTCAACCTACTAAAACTAAAAATATTTTAATTTTTGATTTAAAAAATCCCACGCAGAAGTCCCAAAGGTGCCTTTCATGTTTAAGCTTTAATTAGCAACCACTTTGGTCTCTGACACATATTGCGCAGATATTGAAGTGTTAATATTACTGCAGCTTGATTACAAAAGGCAATGATTAATTTTAAAGCAGACAAAAAAGATATGCCCTGATTACAAAGGAATGATTAAGGCGGAATGTCAGACATTGCACATTTATAGCAGTCTTTGCCATCGTCAAAGTATAAGACTTTGTAAAAGTTTATATTTAGAATCACAGTTACTTTGTACTTTATAATATTCAGTGTTTGCGCCTTGGATACCGGGCAACCCTACTCCAACTGGGCCTAAGACCTTTGGGGTTCACATGCCCAGGGCAAACCTGCCCCCCACAGGATGGTCCCAATGAGCCGCCGTAGTTTAAGTTCTCACAGGCAAGGCCCGACCTGAAGCACTGGCTCCAGCCTTAGGGAAGGTTTTGGCCGTGGGTTTTGTTGGCACGTACCATTTTGCTGAAAGACAGAGCACCTTGAGGACGTTATCCCTAAAATGAGAGAGGACTGGGATTGAAAGGCTGACTACAGAAATGGCTGCTGCCCAGACGCCCTCAAAAGCCAAGGTCTTGGCAGCCTTTTTATTTGCCACCAAAGCGAAAAACAAACCCAGGGAGGGACGGAGGCCTGAGTCAGGGGTTCCGCCAGGGAAAAAGGCAGACCTTGAAACTGCCCTCTTAGGGCGTGAGGGAGAAAAGCCCGGTTTGTAAACTGTAACGGGAAACAAAGGCTGAGGGCAGGAAGGGGCAGCAGCGGCCAGCGTCCCTAGACCCTCAGACCCCTCAGACACCGTCTGGCGTCGGGCTCCATCTTCTTGCTGGGCTGGCGACAGAGGGTTGGAGACAGGTCTATCTGGGAATGGTTCTAGAAGAATCCATCTTCTTTATTCTGCTTTCCAGGATCCTCAGAGTTGGTTATAAAATATTTAAGGGCGAGAAAAGGATCGCAGGAGCCAGGCCCTGAGATGAGCTTGGAGTCCCTGTTTCAGCACATCATCTTCACCGAGCATCAGGCGGAGGAGAGTCGCCGTTTGATGCGAGAAGGTCGGGGTATTTCTGTCCTTTGCATGGGGCCTTTTGTCTTCTGATGCTGGGTGCTTGGAGCAGAAGGAAATCCCGAAGGCAGTGGTCAGAGCCGTTAGGGGAGCTTGCATGCCATGCTGAGGGAAAGACAACTGAAAGGTGGCTTATCAAACGCCACCAAAATGGGGACTTTAGAAAGATTGATGTGTTTAAAGATTTAATTTTTATTACAGTAAGGTCGGAAATAACCAGATGTCGTGAAAAAATTAAGAAAGCAACGGAGGAGCTGAATGAAGAGAAAATCAAGCTGGAATCTAAGGTATTGAAATGTAAAGCATACTAATTATCACTTGAAAAAGCCTGCCTTAACTTGACTTTTGGGGGATATTTCAGTGTTTAACCAGTTGTCCTTCAAGTAGGAAGCACGTTACTCTGTGCTGGCTGTTTTAGTTCCATGTTGCCTGGTGATGTTTAAAGTTCTGAATCCCGTGACACCTTCAATTCCAAGACGAATTTGCCCTAAATAAACTAAGGTAATGAAGAATTCATTGTCCATTTTGTGGGATGGTTAAGGTTTTAAAAGAGCACAATGTCATTAGAAGAATCATTATTCCACTTATTTAATAAGTAGTTGGTGCAGTATATACATTTTGAATGATAAATAATTTGTGTGCTATGTTGATATAACAATTGCATGTAAATTTCAAACAAGCCCCTGCCTTTAGTTTTAAAAGTCTCTACCACATTTTAGACATGCCTTGCGTCCGAAGTATACCTTTTCCATTAGCGTTTCTCTCTTTCCTGCAGCGTTTGTAATGTTCTGTTATTTTAAAAAGAAGCAAGAGAGTCTGATGGCTTCTTGAAGGATGGATAGAATTTTGAAGAGGCAAATAGAAGGAAGTAGTAGGAGGAAAGCGTTCCAGACAGAAGGAGGAGGCAGATATGTGCAGTGCATATTGGGAAAGGAATCTAGTCAAAGCAAAGGGCTGATATCTGGGAATAGCAGAAAACCGTTGCAAGTTCCTGATCAGGGAGCAGTAAAAGTGGGTTTAGGTAGCCTAGTATGGTGGCACATGCTTGTAGTTCCAGTTACTCAGGAGGCTAAGGTGAGAAGACAGTTGTTCAGTTTAATGCCAGCCTGGGCAACATAGTGAGACCCTGTCTTTAAAAATAAAAGGTAGTTTTAGGAGGATCTTTCTGAGCTCTGATTGGGAAGATGGGAATAGACTATTAGGAAGCTAAGAATATTATTTAAGTGTGCCACAATGAAGGCCTCGCTATGGGTGGGGACAGAGAGTTATTCAAAAATATTTATTAAGTACCCAGTGATGAACTAAACAAGCACTGTGTAATATGAAGTCTGTTTGAGGAAGTCTGTCTGCTTCAAATATAACTATTTTAACTTACCACTTTGAGGAATTTTCAGTTTTCTTTGGGAATGAAACAATCAGAGAACACTTCTCCATCTGGCGAATTTCAGCTTTTCTTTCCAGGTGTTGCTCAAACATCACCAATAAAGCCTTCTTTATTTATACAATATTTATTATTTATACAATAAAGACATCTTGGTAAAATTTTAAAATTAAACAATGATACATACTTGTATTTGTGTTTGTATCCCCCACTATTTTGTGAGCTGCGTATCTGGAATTTTTTTCCTTATCCATCTTTTATTCTCACTGCCTGTTATCTAACAGTATATAGTATACAGTAGTGTGTTGAAAGAATTGAGTACTAATAGTTTGATAGATAATAGGGAGAGTCTTTTAAAATAGAATTTGTAACGGTTATTCAGTGAGATCCTTCCTCCTGTTTTGCCTGTGAATAGTAGGTAAACTAGCTGCTACCAGCAATGCTGAAAGCTGGTGGTATGGGCAAAACATTAAGAATGTTATGATGCAACTTTCTTTCTCTTGAAAAGGAATTAAGACACTTTCAGGATTGATATCTAGAAGCTAATAGAAGTAATGGGCAAAATATGAGCACTTACTGTATGCAGGGGCACTGTTCTAAATGCTTCTCCTGTATTAACTCCTTTAATCCTAACAGGAATCTTGTGATGAGACCCCATCATTATCCCCTTTTTATGAGTGAGGAAACTGAGAGGTAAATGACTTGTCCACGATATATAATTCAGAAACAATTAAACTACCATAATGAAAGTAACAATTGAGTAATAACAGCATATTTTATTAAAGCAGATTTCTTAAGCTCACTTTAAACATTTTTCGTCATGACATTCATGTATAATAATATAACTGAAGTTTTGTATCTTGTTTAGGTTAATATTTTTAAAAGGTTGCTTATACAAGTTTTTGTACAAAATGCATTTTTCCTGGATTGGTGAGGATATTGACCTGATATAATATATTTTTTAATGTTACTCTGTAATATTTTCTTTGTTAGCAAAGTTTTGTTTTGTCTGCAAATGGAAATGTAATTTGTTGATATATACACATACATTAAAAAATGTTGATTCAGTTGTTTTTACTAGAAAGAAGACAGAAAAGGCCTACCATTGTTTAGAAACATTTGTTGAAATTACTAATTAATATAGGTTCATAAGCATGCATTGCTTTTTAACCAGCTCATATATGTGGGTAATAATACATTTGTATCTTACTAATAAAATTAACATATGAGGGTCACAGTTCATACAATACTAATTTATAACTGAAATAGTTTGATTTGTATTATAGTCAAGATGGTATGTATATGTGCATAAAGATTTTAAAAGTGGAATCACAATTATAATGCATATGACTAATGGGAAGAACTGAAGAACTAATCCTAAATTGATTTCTTGTTTCTTTTATTCTGAGTTAATTATATGTCTGCCAATAACAATGAAAATATATTTACTTGAATATTTGACTTGGCATTTATTGACCCATTTATCAAACAGTAGCAGCACAAGGAGAAACTATTAATAGAACATAATTTGAATAGAGCAGTGCTTGAGCTATTGTACAGTCATACATTCAGAAAATTTGGGGGGCATTTATTTTGGATGTTGTTTCTGGTCAATAAATGTATTTGGGAAGTACAGTATTCATTTTTTTTCTTTTATGTAAAACCCGGATAGCATGTAATTAGAACTTGAATGATAGCATTTGCCTTGCAGGGCTCAATGAGTCTTTTAAAATATATGGTTGCAAAAGTCTCAGGTTATATAGTATGAGTACTTTATGAATTGGACAGCTACACTATGCCTGGTTAGGTTTGGTAATATGAAAACAGAAAAATGAGAACATGCCCTGGATTTGCATTCATGCTTACCAATACATCCAAAACTTCTGATAGTTAAGGAAAAGTTGTATAGTATTGATGACAGGGCAAACCAAAATTAAGGACTGACAGAACATTGGTAGTTTCTTTTAAACATCTAAAAGAGCTTCTTCTATTTTTAAAAATGGCATATAATTAAAATTTTGACATTTAATTTTTATAAACATATTACATAAAACTCAATATAATGCCATATTCCCTTAAGAGGGAGTAAATGGAGGAAAATCTGAGGCTATTTTGTGAATATTTTGTTTATTTTTTCTGTTTCCAATTTTAACTTGTGTAAACACCATAACAATAATAAAAGAATATTTCATGAATTTTTAAAGGAAAATTGTATTGAAATTAAAAAGTAACTTAAGGTGGCCCCATTTACTTCTTTACCTCAATATGTATGTGTTCTTTTATTTTAATTGGTAAAAGTTAGGAAACCTCCAGAACAGCAGGCAAAGTCATATCCTTTAGTACTGTATTACCTAATTGGAGAAAGAACAAAATCACAAATTATTATCATTTATAGTATTGAAATGGAGTTTTGTAATTGGAGTGCTTTTTTCTTTCTTTACACTTAATCAAAAAAATTTAGATCCTACCAATATTTAATTTTATAGTTGGCAATTATTCATTCAACAAACATTCATTGAGCAACTGCTAAATCACACTATGAATACTTGGCAAATAAATTATATAACACCTTCCTTCCTGAATTACAGGATTGACATCAAGCAATTTCAACTATATAAACCTAACTGTAAACTCAAAATTTTTGAAGTTCTCATTTAAAGAAAAAATTTGTTTCCATTTTCTCTATGAAATTCTATAAAGAAAGCCTTATCATGTTTGTCATGAGTAATTATCCAAAACTTGGAAATAGGCAAAAAAGGTCACTGAGTGTCCTTTGAGTATTGTATTAGACATTGTCCAGTAGCTCACCTTCCTGAGGACAGTCAGGTTTATGGGGGTGTGAACCTTTGTAATGGGCTGTTTTTTCTTGGATATGCCAATCATTCTTTGACCCCAGGGCCTTTGCACTTGCTGTTTCCTCTGCTTGAAATGCTGATTCCATTAGCTGTTATTCTGTCATGCACGCTCACTTCATTTAGATCTCTCCCAGTAGAATCATGTGGGACTTTTAGTGCTAACACTAGGACAGCCCCATGCAAATCTTGATGGTTGGTTAGCCTAAGTCTCTGCTCAGTTGTCACCTTAGAGCATTATTCTTAAAGTGTGATCTCTGAGTTCAAAGGGGTCCCCAAGACACTTTCAGGGAGTTTGTAAGGTCAAGCTATTTTTATGATAATACTATACAAAGGTACCATTTGCCATCTTCTCTATGTTAATGCACACATTGACAGTGCAAAAGCAGCAGTGAGTAAAACTCTTAGCACCTTAACACAAATCGAGGTGGTGGCACCAAACTGTACTAGTAGTCATCTCGTATTCTTCACTGCCATGCACTCTCAGTAAGAAAACAAAAACCGCTAGTTTTACTTAATGTTTTGATTGAAGTGTCAAAAATATTAATTTTATTGGAACTGATCATTGAGTATATTCATTTTCAATATTGTGTACGATCACATGGGTGGTACATCTAAAGTACTTTTATATTCCGAAGTGCCACGATTGTCTCAAGAGAGAGCATGTGTGCAGTTGTTTGAGATGCAGTATGAGCTAGCTATTCTTTTTCTGAAACGCCATTTTTACTTAGATAATTGACAGTCAAGTTGTAGTTATTTAGATTTGGGTGTTTGGCAAAATTTTCTGAAAAATAAATGAAGTAAGCCTAAAATGTCAAGGCAAACATCTGACATTCTTCTTATTATTTTGCCAATGATAATATGCAAGCTTTCAAACAAAAATTAGAATTTTGGAGGATTCCTATCTATCTTGGCAGCTTGGCAGCTTCCTGGTACTTAAAGATTTTTCTGGTGAGTTCGTTAGTGATATTAATGAATATGAATGTTACTTTTGAAGCAGTATGTTTCAAGATGTTTCAGAATGTTACTTTTCAAAGCATATTATGAAATATATCAACATTTGGAGGATCTGCATAATTCAGGGAAGCAGTAAGTAATGCATAAAGTTACAAAACTGTGCATAGATAAAAGGTAGACTCAAAGTGCAATGTAGACCAATGGATTTTATTATAACATAGAATGAAAAGTTCATTGAAACGGCTTCAGATTCCACATTGCAACTAACCTTTAAGGAGCTACCACATGGTGAATTTTGATATAGTATCAAAGAAGAATATGCACAATCATTTCCAACTACATATCTGTGCACTCCGTATTCTCCAACTGAAAAACGTATTACAAAAGATTGAGTAGAAGCAGATATGAGAGTCCAGCTATCTTCTTTTTTAATTTTTTGTTTTTATTTATTTATTTTTAAGAGACAGAGTCTCACTCTGTTACCCAGATTGGAGCTCAGTGGCACAACAACAGTTCACTGCAACCTCAAACTCCTGGCCTCAAGTGATCCTTCTGCTTCAGCTTCCTGAGTAGCTGGGACTACAGGCCTCTGCCACCCTACCTGGCTAATTTAAAAAATATATTGTTTTCTAGAGACAGGGTCTTGCTATTTTGCCCAGGCTAGTTTTGAACTCCTGGCCTCAGGTGATCCTCCCACTTTGGTCTCTCAAAGTTCTGAAATTACAGGCGTGAACCACCAAACCTGGTCTCAGCTGTCTTCCATTAAGCCAGATGTTAATGAGATTTGTAAAAAATCTATATGCAACTCCTTTTTCTAATTTGTTTTTGTTTTGGAAAGTCATTTTTCAATACAAATGTGGTATTTAAAATGCAATAGGATTATTGTTATTAAATTAATGTTTAAAAATTTTTCAGTTTTAATTTTGATACAGAAAATATTTCTAGATATAATTCATGAAAACAATCAAACAAAAAGAAATTCTCAATAATTTTTTAGACTATGAAGAGGTCAAAAGACCCAAAAATTTGAGGCCCCCTCTCTGTAGAGGCCCCTCCCTGACCTCCCTATATAAAATAGCATTACCATCTCTCCCTGTCTCTATGCTGTGTGATATGTACCACCTCTTGGCATATTTTATATTGATCTGTTTATTATTTGTCTCCCTCCAGTGGAATGTAAGCTCCACAAGGGATAGAAATTAATCTATTTTGTTCATTGCTGTTATTCCCAGCATCTAGAACAGTGCCTGAATAATAGTAGGTATTAAACAGACATTTAGTGAGTGAATAAGTTAAAATTTTTCTCATAGAATCCTGTTTTCTATTTTCCTCTGCCTTGAATTCTACTTGTTTGATTTGATGCCTTTCTTACATGGTGGTAGATTTTCTTATTAACTTTAAGATTTATTATTGATTTTATTTTATTGAACTTATCTTTAGAAGAACTTATCTCTCCTGGCTGTTCGACATATTCCTTTGATAGAAAAGATGTCCCTAAGAAGCAGTTTCACCCCTGCTGCCAGGGCCTCACAGGTTTCCCCTGTTAAGGACCAGTTTTTATGTTAAATTCTGAGCTCAAGATTTCTGCACTGTATGGATAAGAGAATCTCAGGGTTCAAATTCTCAGGATATGACTCGTTTTCCACTCATGGCTCAATGGGATATAGCTCACTTATACACTGCATCTCTAGGGCAACAGGTGGAGTTTTTTATCCATCTTTCGTAACTGGCATAGATATTTCTCAATTCCTGGCAGTACAATGAGTCCAACCCTGGCTCTCTTTGCCTGTGATTTTTGTTCTTATGTGGGCATTTAAAGCCTAATCCCTAATGCCTGTATCCTTTCTGAAAGATGCTCCTGTGGGCTTGAATTTTATCACCATCCTTACACTGAGCTGTCTATTTGTTTCTTGCATGAAGATTTCCCTCCTCCTTTTGGCTTAGCTATGTAAATGATAAATATTTTAAATGTAGTTAGATTTTATCTAGCATTTCTCTTTGTTTGGAGTAGAAAGTAAGTCCTTTCTACTTTTGCTTTTACTGCCATATTAACCATAATTCTGCACTATAAAACTCTTCAATGCCTCACGTTGTCATTCTTGAGTTCTTATTTTTTTATTTGTTTTTTGATGAGTCTGTAATTGTAATTTTGTAGGAGGAAGTTGTGAATGACAGATCTTCTAAGCTATTAATATCTGAAATTTCTGTTATCTTCACACTTGCATGGAAACTTGTCTGTACAGAATTATTGAGTCAAACCTTTTTTTACAACATTTTGTGGATCTAGCACTATTATATTCTGAAATTTATTAATGCAGAAGAGAAGTATTGAAGTCAACCTGGTTTTTAAAAATCCTATTTTAAGGTAACCTGTTAGGTTTTGTTTTCTTCCCTGATTGCTTTTATGATTTTAAACAATCTATAATTCCAAATTTGGTACAGATATGGTTTTTTTTTTCTGGAACAAGGGTGAGCCTTCCATTTTAACCTCAGCTATTATTTCATAGAGTTTGTTTTCAATACACCCATTTCTTATAATTTAGAAGAGCTTTATTCTCTTTTCTCTGAATTGAATCCTCAGAAGTCTGGGAAAACTTTGTATCCTTTACATCCCTAATTCTATTTTTTGCAGTATTAGTTTTAGTTATTTAATGCTCTCTGCAAATTTAAATCATGTGTTGTCTTCTCTTTTTTAACACTCTAATTTTTAAAAATTTCAGCTTGTTCTGTTTTTATCTTTCTCTGCTATGTCCTTCCTTGCTCTTGTTTTCTAGTGGACATGTCTTTGTTTGCATCCTTTTAAGAACAGTAAGTAATTGATTACAATTTTTTTTTCATCCTGTGCTCTTCACTGTAATCTTTTGGATAATTCTCTTTATCTCTTCTGTTAACAGTATTTTTCATAGGGTTCATGTTGTTATTCTGTGAGATTTGTTCAGACCTGCAATTTGCCTATAAATACAATATATAAATTGTTTTTTGTCCTGTTCTCATTTTCTTGAATACTGGAAGAATCAACTACTTTCTTAGAGCTAAAGCTGATTGACAAGCTGATGTGAGTACCCCCAGCCCAATTTCTAGTGTTCTTGTAGTGTAGCTTTATTGCCTGAGATATGATTATTTCTTGCACATGTGCCAAGTTTTCTTATTTGTTGAGGAAGATGTATGTTTTAAAGAATGTGTGACATTTTATAGTTCTTCCATTAAAAGCAGTGCATGAATAAACACTACCTCAGCATCCCTTTGTTTTGTATCCTAAGATGTGTGGTGATAGGTAAGGTAAGGTACTGCCACCTGAGTTGTCAAATAACACAGAAGTTATCTTACTTTAAAGTTGCTCCCCAGGAAGAGTCTTTCAGATTAAAACGTATCAGTACAAGATGTTCTTGACCGGTCAGTATTTGTGCTTTGCTGGTCTTTCCCTAATCAGATTACTGTCTCGCTGAGATGAGCAGCTTTGGAGGAATAGGAGTTTTATTTGAGGAAAAGAGGAAGAATAATTTTGCAGTTTAGGGGTTATTTTGAAAAGAGTTGACTGTGGACTTTGGAACAGGAGGTGAGTTCTGAAAAGGTGAGTGGGAAGGATCAAAGGCAACTGGCGACTTACAGCTGTACCTGTGATCTGATGCTGATAGGAAGAATTTCTCGTGTAGGCTTTGTTGCATATATGGTCTCATGGATTGTTATTGCCTGAATTCATATTTCAAGATAAGTTAAAAGGCTGTATACCTCAGTTTCCTTTGTTCAGATGAGTTCCACAGTTTCAAATGTAGTCTAATTTCTTCTGGTTAAAAATTCCTCCCAAGAGAGATAGAGGAAGGAAAGGGAGAGATGGGACCACCACAGTGAGCAAATGGATCAGATTATTACTCTAAAATGTTCTTTTCGTTCTGAGCTCCCGCTCCTCCCCGTCTTTACTAAGATTTCTCGCTTATGTTCCTACTGGAAAAGTGGGTTTTATTCCTGGGAAATTCTGAGGCCTTCTACCATTATATTTGGTGAACATGCAGTAGATTACTTTTCAAAATTAAGATAGTTTGATTGTTTTAACTCTTTATAAAAGTAGTGTTTATTTATTGCAAATTATTCCAAAAATAGAAATTGGCAAAAAGCAGAGTGAAAATCACCTATAATTCCACCACACGGTTAACATTTTCATAGGTTTTCTTTCAAAATTGTTTAAATGGATTTATATTTTTCTTAAATAATTTGCTTTTTTCTATTTACTGTAACCTAGACATCTGAGTAAATATATATATAAATAAGCAATTTTAATTGCTGCGTAGTATTCCATTAAATGTAATACTATATTTTATTTAACTAATTTCTTATTGATAAGTATTTACTATTGTATTAATAAATTACTGTTTCTATCATCATTGCAGTGATAACTGTATACATACATCTTTGTGCACTTATCCTAGCTTTTTAGGGTAAAGCCTTATAAATCAAATTGCTGTGTCAATGGGTCTGTAATTTTTAAGGCTTTGATTATTTTTAAATTGTCCTCCAGAAAAGTTGTTCCAGTTTTATTCTCACAGTTTTACTACTCATACACTGAAAATTAATATGTATTACAAATATAAAAATGGCATCTTTTTAGTTATAATTTGAATTTTTTAACTTAGTATTTTTAATTTATATGTATATTTACCTATTTCTATCCTGTCCTAGTCTTTTCTGGTTGGCATCTAGCTTTTTATTATAGATATTCTTTCTTTATCATTTGTTGCAAACTTTATTATTTGTATCTTGGCTTTTTATGACATGATTTTCTAGTAAAAGTTTAGAGTTTTGTGTTGCTGGAATTTTTAATGTTTTAGTTTGTTTCCGAATCCATTCTAGGCTTGGGAAAGCCTGTCCCACTCCAAGATTTTAAACAATATCTTTTTCTAATACTTTTATAGTGGTTTTCTTTTTTAAAATATTTTAAAGAAAAATGACTGTTGTCACCTGAGTAAATGTCACATGTTCCCCATTGATCGGAAACACTGTCTTTATGATACAGTATTTTGCATGTGCGTGTATATATCTATACTTGTATCTGTTTTATATATTCTATACTATTAATCTATTTGTTTTGGCACCAGTATATTATTGGCTTAAATATATTAGCTTTAAAATATCTTTGGCCCTCTGGAAGGGTAATTTCTTTTTCAGAATTTTCCTGATTCTTTTCATAGTTTATATTTCTAGATAAATTTGAAAATCATTTTGTCAAATTAAAAAAGAACCAAAATCATTGGGGTTTTCATAAGATTGCACTAATTTCATGTTGTAATTTATGAAGAATTGATGTCTTTATAACTCTGAGTCACACTTAAGAATATAACATCTTTTTCTGTTTATTCAGATTTTCTTGTATGTTCCTCAGTAGAAGTTTTTCATACAGGTCTCAGATATTTCTTATTTGTATTTTGTTTGTCTTGATTTTGCTGTCACGAATGGGATATTTTCCATGCTTTTTTCTGTTTTTGTTGGTAACTAGAATAGATTTTGGTATTTATTTTGTTACTAGCTTCTTTACTAAACCCTTTTTTTTATTTCTTGATGGTTTCTCTGTATATTTTCTTGGATTCATATATAATAATGGGGCCAGGTGCGGTGGCTCACATCTGTATTCCCAGCACTTTGAGAGGCCAAGGGGGGTGGATCATCTGAGGTCAGGAGTTTGAGACCAGCCTGGCCAACATGGCGAAACCCTGTCTCTACTAAAAATACAAAAATTAGCCAGGCATGATGGTGTGCCCCTGTAATCCCAGCTACCCGGGAGGCTGAGGCAGGAGAATTGCTTGAATCCGCGAGGCGGAGGTTGCAGTGAGCCAAGATCATGCCACTGCACTTCAGCCTGGGCGACAAGAGTAAGACTCCATTTCAACAACAACAAAAATGTATATTTAATATGTATAAATATTATATTATATTATACATGTATTATATTTTATATTATATATAATAGTATGTAGTATATATTATATGTGATATTATATATTATATATATTACATATGATACATACGTAATAATAATAAGGCCACTGTGGCTGGAATGGGGCAAGTGAGGAGGTGACTGATAGGAGAGATGGCTGGAGAGGGAGTGGGGGTGAAAATCATGTAAAGCCTTATAAGCCATTGTCAGGAGGTTATTTCCTTCCTTGCTAACTATATTAGGATTATTATGTCATAGTAAGTTATTCTTTAAGCATTGCCTCTGTGATTTGGAAAAGTATAAAGATAGATCTTTTTTACAAAAACCTTAATATCTGCTATCAATACAATATTCATTAATGTACCTTAGTATTTAGAATGTCTTTTATCATATAGTCATAATAATGATATATTTTTCCCAATTGTTATGGTTTTAGGTATGTGAAATTTTCTACGTAACTCTTAGTTTTTTTTTTAAATGTAAAATTGCCTATTATGCTATGGGGCAGATTATTTAATCAGCAAAATGTCAGTTCCTCAAGGCCGAGATTATTTTTAACAACAGCAACCACAACAAAGAGGACCTATGTACTTTGCTTGCTTGGACCCTAACATTAATTTTAAATCCTCAGTCATTTTCAATTTTTAAGTTCTTCTGGCAGAAAAATACCTAAAGGCACCCAGGCAGCAAGAGTAGTGAAAAGTCACAAATCATGGCTTTGCTGAAAACTGACCTAGTTGACCAGATAAGTCAGCTCACTGGGAAAACTATAAGCTCCATTAAAAAATCAAATATCCCAAGAGGAATAAAACAAGGAAAGGAAAAACAGTCTTTATTGCTGAGAGAAGCAGAATTAACCAGGGAGTTGGCACTACTATAAATTAGAATTTTCCAAAACAGCAGTATTTTCTGACAAAGCTTGGCTATGTGATTCTAGATTTTTTTTTTTTTTTAAACAAGAGTTTCACTCTCGTCACCCAGGCTGGAGTGCAGTGGCACAATCTTGGCTCACTGCAACCTCTGCCTCCCGGATTCAAGAAATTATTCTGCCTTAGCCTCCTGAGTAGCTGGGATTACGGGTGCCCCCACCACACCTGGCTGATTCTTGTATTTTTAGTAGAGGGGGATTTCACCATGTTGGCCAGGCTGGTCTCAAACTCCTGACCAGGTGATCCACCCGTCTCGGCCTCCCAAAGTGCTGGGATTACAGGTGTGAGCCACTGTGCCTGGCCTATCACTTTAAGGCTGTGTGCAAATATATTTTTTCATTTCTAGTAGGAGGACAGATAGAAATGAAAAAGAGAAAATTTTATCACTGCCATTAGGAACTTCCCACCCTTTTCTTCATATTGTCTGTATTCTTTTGGGATCTTAGTGGATAACTTAGGACACAGAAGCAATGGATTTTTAAGTTTTTGTTTACTATAAAATAAATGTTCAAGCTACATAGATATAAAATATTGCCTCAGTTCAAACCTGACCCGATATATTTAGAAATATTTTTATGTCACACTCTAACATTTTATGTATTATCTTCCCAACTCTGATCTCCACCTTTGTAACAAAAAAGAGGTGAGAAGATTTTCTGATGATTATTTATTCATCTTTTGATCCTATCAATACATTCAGGGTTATATTTCGAATATTTACTTAAATTTTACATATCAGTAGATTTAGTTGTCAAATGCAGGAACATAAAAAATAACTTAAGAAATCAGTTGGGACAACAGTAAGAACAAAAGGAACCATCTGAAACATTCTACGAATAGGAGACTGTGAAAAGCTATTTTATTTCTGAAGAGTTAGTAACTTAACAACGAGGAACTGGGCAGATTCAAAAGTTTTTGTTTCCTTAGTTCCACTAAAATATGAAGGCAATATATTAATAATAATAGGCCTCATCTAGCTTCTGCAACCTTGATCTGTTGATGTCCTTAACAATGTGAAGCAGTATATTATAGGCCTCTATTCTTGTCCTTCCTGACTTTAACTTTCCCAAACTCCTGCCGCTTTCTCCGTCATTCTACTTCTCATACTTACCAAGACTTTTGTATTAACATTTTTTAACCATAGATCCTATGTAAATTTGAAGATTAATGTACCGTAATCTTTCTGTAGTTATTGACTCTCTGGGACTCTTTAGATCTGGATTAAAAGAGACAAATATGGAAGTAAACAATAAAGACAGAAGGTAAGACAGAAAGGGAATGAAGAGGAGATAAACTAATAATAAAAATAAAAACAAAGAAGCAGAGAACTTAAAATGGATGATTTACATAAAATTTTAGGGAAGAGGAAAATTATGGATATGCCCTTTTTATAAATCTTTAGAACAGCTGTCTACTTTTTAGTTTTTGGGATATAGATTTCATTTTTTAGGTAATGGTGAAATATTCTGGTTAAGTGCCAATATGTCACCTAGCTCTTCTTAATATTGGTTATTCTCCCTTTTAAGAAAGAAGACGTGGGCTCAGTGGTAATTTAAGCTCTTAGTCATTGATAGCTGAAAGATAGCACCTTAATTTCTGAGTCCTTAACATAAGGCTTTCCTGAATTTGAATAATAGATTTGCTTAAGTCTCATTTAGAAATCCGTTAGTTTGATAAGTAATATTTTCCTCATTTTTGAGTTTTGGGTTTGACATAGATCTTTTACAACAGATCAGTGGTATACATGGACTTAGAATTCATGAATTGCGTTTCTGAAGGGCATAATACTTGAAATACCTTAGTAGATTAAACCCACATTTATCCAGTGCATTATTTGGTCTCTAAAGCATTTTTTGTGGACATTCCTGGGCAGTGTCCACAGCAGTAACTCAGAGTTAGGTATATACTGCAAACACCCTTCTCAGTAAGCTCTGGTGGATCTAGGATTTGGTAATTTCCTTAAATGTTTATTAACCTTATATATTTTCAACTCACCATCACACCTCAAAGTCTCTTTTTAGCTCTAGAATTATCTTTTCATTACTTTGAAATAGTTCTGACATTTCCATGCTCACATCATGATTTAGAAGAAAGAAAGGCAGAAGACCTGAATTTTAGTCCTGGATTTGCCTCTAATTAGTTATATAGCCTTTGTTAAGGTGTTTAACTTCTCTGGACCTCATTTTATTATCATTTACATAATAAGCATTAAATAGTCACAAAATATTTTTTATTCTGAATAAATGTGGTAGATTTCATGATCATACCCTAGTTTCCCCTTGTTATAAATTTCTATATGATTTTATAGATTTGGCCATATGTTTTCTAATTTCTGTCTTCTGAGACAGAAAAATACTAACCACCCTATTATTCCTTCCCCCAATCTCTAAAATATTATCTCAGTTCCTTTGATTATGTGAATTGTACCTCTCTAATCTTTCTCTATTGATGCCTTTCTTAAAATTGGGTTGATGAAAACAGTACCAAGTACTGAAGATATGGGCAGATGGGCTACGATCTTATATAAATGTAAGATCATATTTTCTGGTTTTGAAAATTTGAGCAACTTTTTTAATGTCAATATTTCTAGGACATTTTAGCCATAATATTTCAAACTGTCTCTTAAGCCAACCCTTTTGCCTCTGGACTAGACTATTTCTAAGCTCTTTACTATTCAATATTGTCTGGGACAGAGATTTCACAACCTGTCTCTCACCTTGAGGAAGTTCTTATAACTACCATAAATCTTGCTTTCTGCAATTTAAGTTGAATTTATATCCTTTTTCTTTTCCCTGTGGAGATGGGAACAGCCCCAAACTGGAAACGATGCTTTCTTATGAGGGCTAGTACTGAACATAGTAGAAAAATTACAGTATTTCCAGTCCAGCATCATTTTTAGCTTTCATATATTAAAGCTTCCTAACTTCATTTCAATATTCATCTCAGGAGATGTTATTTTTTAAGTTCCAAATGAAATAACAGTTGCATGTCTAACATTAATGTTTATTATACCTTTTGCTACTTAGAACCAAATGAAGTATTAAAATAAAAAATGAGTTCTCAAAACCCATTTAAGGTCTTTAGCAGACTCGTTTTTTATTTGATATAACTATAATCATGGGACTGGGTTTTTGCCTCTGCTTTGCAGATTTTATCTTATTATTTTATTAGTTATATTATGTACATGATTTATTCATTCATATATTCCTTATAAACTGTGAAAATAGAAACTTATTATCTAAAAACAAACAGTCTTAAAGCAGATTTCAATGTGTGTATTCAAAAAGCGTTAGTACCTAGCTAAGAATTCTTCTAGGTATTGAGAGGAAAAAGAAAGCACATTCTCTGCCCTTGAGGAGCCTATAGTCTTATTAGGGGAAGAGATTATAAAATTGTAACTATAAAGTACTTAAAAAATAATACAAGATAGTGTATATAAAATAAGATGTTTGATGCTAATTTTATTTTGCATTTTAAAGATTAATACAGAATATATTTTATACTAGACAAATCTTCTCTGTTACCTAAGGTACTCTAAAATGTCTAATTAATTGTTTTATTCTGATTTCTGTTTTTGTACTTTGAAGGTTCAACAGTTTTTTGAAAAATCCTTCTTCTTACAGCTTTTGAAAGCTCATGAAAATGCTTTAGAAAAACAGTACAGTGAAATTACAAACCATAGGAATATGCTTCTTCAAACCTTTGTAAGTTTCCAGCCACCTAGAAAAATCTATTTCACTAATATGTAAAAAAGTATTCAAATATACTTAAGTATACTTTTAGAAAATTATCCATGTGCATATTAGCAGGTAGTACTGCTCAGATACAGGAAAGTATTAAGTGCTATTTAAAACCAATTGGTAGAGTAATACAGTTTGAAAGAAGTATATGGGCAGGGATGTAATATAGCAATTATTTTCAGTTGTAATAAGCACAAAAGAAACAGTGGAACTGATTTGAATTGCTCAAGCATTGAGACCTTGGATAAAATCGTTTTGAAAGGCAGAAAGTTTCACACTTTAGGCATATTTATGGATGTGGCTAAAAGGATGGATATTGTTAATCTTTTTCTGTTAACTCAGAGCCAACAGCCTGAGCAATAGTTTTGAATGACAGGGCCAATTTAGAAATATGACTTGTGATTGACATTTTAAAGAAAATACATTTAAAGATATTAAAAATACATATCTGAAGTCAGAACCAACACACTTGGTGGTTTGAAATGACGTGGCCAGTTTGAAAATGAGGCTTAAAATTCATTGACATAGCTTAGAAAAATATGGTAATGTTTATATTCTAGCATTGTCAAAGAGTTTAGGTTTTTGCATTGTCCACAGTTTTTGGAAATTCTTATTTCTCTGCCATGTTGATACTTCATAAAATGTAAACTATTATTTAAAACTGATTTTGAAGTGAATATATAATTTTGATTTCATCATCCACATTTTAAAAGGTTTTCTTGGCTATCCTTGTTTGTTTGTTTGTTTTCCTGTAAGGCAGTAATCCCTTTAAGTGTAAATTTTAGTTTTTCAGTTTGGCCATTTAATTACTTTACTCTCCAGTTTTATATTATAATTATAAAATGTAATATGATTCTGAATTTTAATACACAAATAAACAGATATAATGATGAGTGGTAGAATATCTACCTCAATAATTCTCCCAAAACTTTAAGATTAAATCTTTCATCTGAAGATAGTTGTTACTATATAATAGCTTCAGTTTTTTATTAATATTACTATGAGAAAAAAACATTTTTGCCATAAAACCAGGAAGTGTAACTATATACTTTCATTGTTAATAATTCCAAATTATTATATTTTAAATAATTAAGGAAAAATATTATTGCAACTAACACCTATATTTGATCTTTTATTTATGTTTTTCAGGAGGCTATAAAGAAACAAATGATAGAGGAGGAAGACAAATTTATTAAGGAAATTACAGACTTTAATAATGATTATGAAATAACAAAGAAAAGAGAGCTTTTGATGAAAGAAAATGTCAAGATTGAAATATCTGACTTAGAAAACCAAGCAAACATGTTGAAAAGTGGTATGAATAAATATCACCTCATTTGTCTTGCATTAATGAAAATAACTTATTTTGAATGAATGAATTTTCCAAAAATTTAACTTTTTCATGAGCAAATTGGGTTATTGCATAGCGATTCTTTTACTTTTATTGATTTAATGAAGATGTATCTTCTATTGTGAGCAGTTTCAAATGATTTAGAAGTACATGTGACATGAACATTTGGTCATTCATTTAATAAATAAATATCTGTTATGTGATAGGCACTGTTCTAGGTCTTGAAGATATAACAATAAAAAGTGGAGGAAGAAAATATGTAAGCAGACATTTACAGCACATTGTGATGGAAGCTACAGTAGGGGTTAGGATTGGTGCCCTAATCCTCTAACAATCCAGGAGAAGCTAGGAATAAGTTTACACAGTGGAGTGGAGAGAGTTTTATTTCAGGAACACTAGTGAAGGTTTGGGTCTGTGTCCCCATGCAAATGTCGTGTCAAATTGTAATCCTTAATGTTGGAGGTTGGGCCTGGTGGGAGGTGATTGGCTCATGGGGGCAGGTTTCCCCTTTGGTGCTATTCTCATGACATTGAGTGAGTTATCATGAGATTTGGTTGTTTAAAAGTATGTAGCACCTCCTGCTTCTCTCTGTTCTTCCTGCTCTGGCCATGTAAGATGTTCCTGCTTCCCCTCTGCCTTCCACCACGATTTTAAGTTTTCTGAGGCCTCCCCAGCCATGCTCCCTCTATAGCTTCCAGAACCATGAGCTAAGTAAATCTCTCTTCTTCTTCTTCTTCTTTTTTAATAAATTACCCAGTCTCGGGTAGTTCTTTATAGTAGTGCAAGAATGGACTAATACAACTAGTATGTGGGTTATTGCAATCTTTGATAAGATCCTGAATTAAAGCAGTTGCCAAGTAGGGAAAGTCAAGGATAAATCAGTTTTCAAACTTCAGAGATTCTATTATAGCATTAGCTTAATGTCCAGTATTTCCTCATCTAAACTAGGTTCAATTGCACATGAGGCTCCTTGGATGTAGTTGCTTATGTAACTCCTTGAGTACATGTCCTCTTGATCTGAAGACCTCAGCCAAAGAAACAGTTGCCCTTCATATTCCCAATATACTATGGTGAGATAGGCATAGGATAATCACTAGTGATACTTCTGTTCAGAAAGCAGAAAAACTGGAGTCATTGTTATATAGCAATTCTGAAATTGAGCCAGGCAAGTATTGGACATTCCTTGATTAGGACTCAGTCATCCTCCCTCCTGGGAATGATTCCCCATGACTCTTGACACTACTCTCTGTGCTCCTATTTCCCTTCTCTGATCATTCGTTTTTTTTTTTTTTTTTAAAAAAATATATATAAAAGATAGCTTGCATTTGCAATTGTCCTGTGCCTGCTTCCATTCTGTAAAAGTTGCGTATCATTCCTTTTTTTTACTGCCTCTGTCCATTTCAGTCCAAGCTCACTGTGTTCATGTAAATACAGTGCTCTTAAAAACTTTGTGGGTCTCACGTGAATCCTACTGAGGCTCACTTCATTAGGGAAAAGCCACAACTACAAATTTCTTTGAGATAAGCCCTTTTATACTTTGGCCTTTTGCTAAAACTACTGAGACAATATTCTTAAACTTCTTGGCCCTATACTTTGACTGAATGGTTCTCTGAGGCATCACCTTGGATTTTTCTGAGGTTTTAGGAAAGGCTTTTTAATTCACATGCTAGATTTAGTCTTTATGATTTCTTAAGAATATTGGATTTTTTTCTTTACCCTCAAGACATTTCTTAGTGGTGAGAATGAAGACAGGGAGGGCATCTTGTAGTAAGGCTACCAAAGTTGTTTATTTTAATTCCAGAACAACCATTAAGGAAATAATCCAAAAACAAATAGCTAAAAGGACAATATAGAAATTAAAATACACATTTAATCTGAAAGAAAGTGGGAAAGGGAAAGAGGGGAACAAAAACACAGAACAGACAGAAAACTAATAATAAAATGATACACTTGAATCCATTTGCAATCATGCATCACTTTAATAATGGGGATATGTTCTGAGAAATGCATTCTTAGTCAGTATCATCGTGTGAACATCATAGATTGTACTTACACAAACCTGGATGGGATAACCTATTACACACCTGGGCTATATGGTATAGCCTATTGCTCCTAGGCTGTAAGCCTGTACTCAATGTTACTATACTGAAGACTGTAGGCAGTTGGAACACAATGGCAAGTATTTGTCTACCTAAACATATATAAATCTAGAAAAGGTACAGCAAAAATACAGTATAAATGATTTTAAAAATCTCTATAGGGCACCTTTATAGGGTATTTACCATGAATGGAGCTTGTAGAGCTGGAAGTTGCTCTGGGCGAGTCAGTGAGTGAATGGTGTGTGAATGTGGAGGCCTAGAACATTACTGTATGCTACTGTAAACTTTATAAACACTGTGTATTTAGGCTACACTAAGTTTGTAAAAAGAATTTTTCTTCCAAAGTAAATTAACATTAACTTCAGCTTACTGTAACTTTTTTACTTTATAAACCTTTTATTATTTTTGACTCTTCTAATAACACTTAGTTTAAAACACATGTTGTATGAATATACAAAAAATTTTTTTCTTTGTATCCTTATTCTACAACTTTCTTCTATCTTAGAAATTATTTTTTTACTTGAAACTAAAAAAAAAAAAAAAAACCTAAAACACAAACATGCACATTAGGCTTACACAGAGTCAGTATCACAATATCACTGTCTTCCACCTCTACATCTTGTCCCACTGGAAGGTCTTCAGGGACATGGAGCTATCATCTTCTATGAGAACAATGCCTTTGTATATGGAAATACAAATGACTTACAAAATCAAAACAATTTTAAAAAGAATAAAATTTAAGGATTTATATTCTGTGATTTCAAAATTTACTCAAATTCTATAGTAATCAAGATAATGTGTCACTGCCTTAAAAATAGGCATATAAATAGCTGGAACAGAAGAGTCCAGAAATAGAAATGCATATTGTCAACTGGTTTTCAACAAAGATGGAAAGGCAGTTCAGTGGGAAAAGGAAAGTATTTTCAATAAGTGGTGCTAGAAGAATTGGACATCCATTGCAAAACAATGATCCTTAACTCTTCACACCGTATTATAAATTAACTCAAAATAGGCATACACCTAGACACAAAAGCTAAAATTATGAATTTCCTAGAAGAAAACATAGGAGAAAATCTTTTCCATCTTGGAATAGGCAATGATTTCTTAGATGGGACACAAGAATCATGAACCGTAAAAAGAAAAACAGATTTAAAATAAATTGAAAAGACACTTAAGAAAATTAGAAGACAGACAACAGTCTTGGAGAGAATATTTGCATTAAATATATCTTCCAATGTACTGTTATCCAGAACATAATGAACTCTAACAACTTAAAAAATAAGAAAGGCAAAAAGCCAATTATAAAAGGGAAAAAAGTTGAACTTCACAATAGAGTACTAATGGCCAATGAACATGTGAAAAGATACTCAATATCTTTAGTCATTTGGAAAATACAAATTAAAACGGCAGTGATATATCACTGTATATCCACTTAATTAAAGTTAAAAAGACTGACCATACCAAACGTTGCTGAGAATGTGGAGCATCTGATACTCATATGGTAGTGATGGGAATGTAAAATTAATGGTACAATCACTTTAGAAAATTGTTTTGCAGTTTCTTAACAAGCTAAATGTACATTTACCATACAGCCCAGCCACTCCACAATGAGATACTCCAGAGAGATGAAACCTATATCCTAACGTTTTGGCAGTTTTATTCACAGTAGTCAAAAATTGAACATAACTTAAATGTCCGTTAAGAAGTGAATGGTTTCGGAGGCCGAGGTGGGCGGATCACAAGGTCAGGAGTTCAAGACCAGCCTGGCCAACATAGTGAAACCCCGTCTCTACTAAAACCAAAAAATTAGCCGGGCGTGGTGTCGGGCACCTGTAATCCCAGCTACTCAGGAGGCTGAGGCAGAAGAATGGCTTGAACCCAGGAGGCGGAGGTTGCAGTGAGCCAAGATCGCGCCATTGCACTCCAGCCTGGGTGACAGAGTGAGACTTCGTCTCAAAAAAAAAAAAAAAAAAAAGGAAGTAAATGGTTAAACAAAATTGACATATCTATGCAACGGAATACTTGGCAATAAAAATGACTAATTCTACTGATGCACTACATGGACCTATTTCAAAATAATATGATGATTAAAAGAAGCTAGACACATGCAAACTAACGTAAAGCCATGGCAAGCAGATCAATGGTTGCCTGGGTCAAAATGAATGAACTGTGAAGGGTCACAAATAATCTTTTGGGTTGATAGAAATGTACAGTTTCTTGCCTGTGGGTGTTTCATAGGTGTCAGTGACTGTCAAAAGTCATGAAATTGTATGCTCTAAATGAATATACTTTATGTAAATTATTCCTCTTTAAAATTAAGAAAAAAAAAAGTCCCTGATATCACAGATGCTATTGGAGCCCTCTAGTTTAGTTCTCTTTTTCTAGAAATATGGATTTATTTTAAAAGATTTGTTTTCAGAGTACCTGATATTGTTGATTTTTTATTCTTTCAGAAAGTCTGTTTCTAGGTATTTCATAACATTTTCATATAAAACTTTAATCTTTTTAATAGCAGGGACTTTATTTTGATTAATGTGCTGGCCCCAACAGTATGAATGAGATAATAATAAATTGATGACTGCTTCAAAAGGAGAAGCACAAGATGATATGAGAACATATATAAGTAGACTTAAACTGGACTAGGAAGTTAAGGAAGATTTCCCTGAACAAGTTGCCTTCAGAGTGAGGTCTGAAGAATGATACTGATTAGCCAAGTGAGAGATTTGAGTGTAGATGTCAATTAGATAGTTGTAATTTAAGTCAAGAGCTCAGAGATAGTTCTGGGCTAGAGCTATTAAATTTTGGGACTCACCTAGAGAGAATGTATTGAAAGAAAATGGACAGTACCCTGCAGAACCTCAGGATTTTCAAAAACTTGAGTGAAGAGTCTAAGACGGCTTCATGAAAGATGGGCAGAACACGTTACTGAGTGGAGTTGACATCACCTAGGGAGAGAGTATTTGAAGGCATGATCAACCCATGTTGATTGCTGCTGAGCTGTCAACTAGAATAAGGACTAAGAAGCAGCAATCAGAGGTCATTGGTGGCCTTCAGGAAAGGGAGCAGATTGAGGTAATAAGCAGGGCAAAAGCCAAATTGTAAGGAGTTGAGCAGAAGGAAGAGCAGAAATGGGATATCTATTAATAAAATTCATTACATTAATAGATTACAGTTGGAAAAGCATATGATTGTTTTTAAAAAGGCGATGTAGAGGGAAGGAGGGAAAAATGGTGGAGGAGAGGTGAAAGGAGAGGAAGAAGGAGAGGGAGAGCTTCACTCTGACATCATGATTAACAATGAAACTCTAGAAGTATTTCCATAAAAGTTAGTAATAAGGGAGGGTATCCAATATCATCACTATTATATAACAGTGTTCTAAAAGTATCAGCCAGTAAAATTAGAAACACAGTAAATATTGGAAAACAAAGACAAAATTGTCATTAGTTGAAGCTGATACAACTTGATTTCACTGGGTTTTCTATGTTTAGTTGCATCCTCCACCATTCTTCCCTCCCTCCCACTACATCTCCTTTTTGAGACATTCATATTTCCAACTGTAATCTATTGATGTAATAAATTTTATTTATATATATCCTATCACTAACCTTACTTAGCTGTGCACTCTTAGTCTTCTAATGTATTACTGAATTTTATTTGATAACATCTTCTTTAAGATTTTTGCATCAGTATATGTGAGATTCATCTTTGTGTGTGTATTATGTTGATTTCACAAAAAGCATACTGACGCTTTTTTCTTTCTCTGCTTGGAAAAATGTACGTACTATAATTATCTATTCCTTCAGGGTTCAAAAGAATTAACCTATGAAACGGTTTGTGGCAACTCTTCTTGGTGGTGGTGGTGGTGGAGAAAGAAGTTGTTCAAATTTTAAGCAGATATTAGAGCTGTTGACTTCCCAGAGCAGTTTAGCTTCCATTTGTCTTCTTACCTGTCAGTGTTTGCTCTTCCATTCCCACTTCTAATTCGTGCCACCACATCTGTTATTTTCTGGCATTTGACTTTTCTCCTCTTTCTTCCTTCATTCTGACCTTGCCCACTGAGCTTTTAGCCCATAACTATGATTAGTCAGCCAGTTTCATTGGGTTTTGAATAATCTCCATTTTTAACTTCATAGCTATTTTTATATTTATACTATTTTCTGCTACTCAGTGTTTTTTTCCCACTGCCAGATATTATCTTTGATTTATTATTTTTTAACCACAGGATTGGAGCCTATTCTTACTCCTTGAGATTGCCAAAATGTGAACATCCATTTTTAAAAAAGATATTATTAATACTGTACTATTGTATTAAGCCTCTTAGGTTATGTTCTGTTTAAATATGGCAAACCAAGCTTTCCAACCTGTTTTGCCATCCCTGCAGCATCTAGTGCCTCTCCACCTTCCAGCCTCACCCAGCAGCTTCTTTGTGCTAAAGGCATGCTGCCCTCTTTTGTGTTCCTAGATTGTACCCTGCTTCCTCCTGCCTCAGGACCGTTGACTGTGTTCTATTTGGAATACTTTTTTAATCCTTTATCTAGTTTGTGGGTCCCCAACCCCTGGGCCAGTACTGGTCCGTGGCCTGTTAAGAAGTAAGCCACATAGCAGGAGGTGAGTGGCGGGTGAGTGAGCAAAGCTTCATCTGTATTTACAGCAACTCCCCATCACTCACATTACCACCTGAGCTCTGCCTCCTATCAGATCAGCAGCAGTTATTAGATTCTCGAACATAAACCCTCTCGTGAACTGTGCATGTGAGGGATGTAGATTGCATGCTCCTTATGAGAATCTAATGGCTGATGATTTGCCACTGTCTCCCGTCACCCCCAGATGGGACGGTCTTGTTGCAGGAAAACAAGCTCAGGGATCCCACTGATTCTACATTATGGTGAGTTGTGTGATTATTTCATTATAGATAACAATGTAATAAAAATAGAAATAAAGTGCACAATAAATGTAATGCAATTGAACCATCCTGAAGCCACTCCTCTCCCTCCCGTGGTCCATGGAAAAATTGTCTTCCACAAAAACAGTCCCTGGTGCCAAAAAAGGTTGGGGACTGGTGATCTAGTTAACTTTTTCATTCTTCTGATCTCAGCTCAAATGTTACATCTTCAGGAAATCCTTCTGTGATACTCCACCCTCCCAATTCCATATTAGGTCAGCTCTTCTGGTTATATTCTCTCATTGCCCTCTGTGCTTTTTCTTCAAAGCATTGTAATTACACACTTGTATGATTATTTGATTCCTGTCTGTTTCTTCCACTAAAGTATAAATTTTCACAGAGAGAGGAACTACATTTGCTTACAAATGTATTTCTGAAATGTGCTTAGTTTGTTCACTCATTCAGTAATACTTGTGCACTTTTTGTGTATCAGGCATTGTTATAGGACCTGGTGTTACTGTAGTGACCAAGAAAAGAAGAAAAAAATCCCTGCCCCCATGGAGCCTACATTCCAGTATGAGAGAGGGAGGGAGTGGAGAAAAATAAGGGAGGGAAGAGGGATAGATAGATAAGGGGTGGGGTTGCAGTGGGGTGTGTGGTACAGTTTTACATAGATGTCCAGGGAAAGCCTCATTAATAAGGCGAGTTTTGAATAAGACCTGAAAGAGGTAAGGGAATCAAACAAGTGAATACCTGGGGGAATATCATTTCACAGAGAAGGAATAGCTGATGCAAATCACCTGAAGGGAGATTGTGCCTAATCATTTTTTGAGAAAGAGCAGAGCCTAAGGCATTTAGAGTTAAAGGAGAGGTCATGAGATCAGAGAGGTGACAGGAATCCAGATTTAAAACCTTGTGGGTCATTCTAAAGACTTTTACTGAAGTGAGATGAGAAGCCATTGGAGGACTTAAGCAAAAGAGCGAAGGGTCTCACATTTGAATAGGATTACTTTGACTGCTATTGAGAACACAGTTAAGGGAGGTAAAAGCAGAAACGGAAACCTAGAAGACAGTGGCTGTAATCCAGATGAGAGATGATGAGCAGTTGGATCAGGGATGCAGCATAGAAGTGGTAAGTGGTATTCAGGTTCTAAATATGTTTTGAAGGTAGCAAGGAGGATTTCAAGATGGACTTGATGTGGAATATGAGAGAAATAAGTGTTAAGGTTGACTTTAAGGTTTTTGGCCTGAGAAACTAGAAATGTGGAATAATTGATATTCAATATATCTGTTTGTAAAATGAATATTTATTTTAAACATTTGGTAATTCATAGATAAAACAGTTCATCACTTTTGGCTTCAAAATAATGGTTGTCATAATGTTTTTCTCAAAATGTTCCTCTTACTCATTTCTCCGAGTTGTTGAATTCATTTTTCTTAGATGTGAGATAAGCAATATATGACACTTTTCTTTGCTTGGCAATATCCTTTAATGATTGGCAATGTACATATGAGGAAGACAATTCACATGTTAAAAGATGTAAATTAATTTTGATTGTCTTAGTTGGTTTAATATTCATAACCATAAAAGCTAGCTGTTGATTAGAACATTGTGGGTTTTAGGCCGTGGAAGAAATTAAAAAGTGATTGCCACATCAATTATACCTAAATAAAGCTGTAAATAAAAATAACAATAAAATAATAGTGAGGCAATAAACAAGTAGGAAAAAAAGTTATCACCACAAACACAGTGTTTACTTTTTTCTGTTCTATAAGCCTGATAAGAAATTGGCATATTTGTTTTATTTTTTTCTTTAAAGGATTAATCTTTAGACTTACCTTTTTCATTTAGGCTAAAGTGTCAGGATTAAGAAAGATATATTTCAGAAATACTTAAATCCAGTATTTCTCCATCATTCTTGCCTAAGTTTTACAAAGATTTTCTTGTGATAGAATGTCTGATAAATCAATTAATAATGAATAAAATATTGTATCTTTTTTAATCTGTTGAATATTGTGTTATGGTATCCTGGATTCCCTCTATTGAATATTAATATGTAGTTATATTTATATTTTAAACTTTTGTTTATTAAGGGAGCAGAAGGATAAACATGAACGTATTTTCTTTTCATTGAATTGTCCACTTTCAGTTACCTACACTAGTGGACAGAAACATTGTGAATAATCAAAAATATTTAAAGTCAATTATATGATTTATTTTAGTTTTGTTCAACATGCTTTCTTGAGCATCTACTGTATATACTACACCAGGCACTGTTCAGAAATTGGGATTTAAAGATGAATGAGGCATAGTTCCTGTTTTCAAGGAGCTTGTGATCTAATGTGGAAGAGAGACAAGTAAAAGGATAATTTAAATATTATGTGGAGAACTTTTACGTATCGTCATGAGGAATAATTTTATGGAATTTTCCCTTCTATCACAACTAAAAGACTGGAGAAAATTATATGAGAAACTACTTTTAGAT
Organism: Homo sapiens; assembly: GCF_000001405.40. Classification (NCBI taxonomy): domain Eukaryota; kingdom Metazoa; phylum Chordata; class Mammalia; order Primates; family Hominidae; genus Homo; species Homo sapiens. Next base: position 116,351,705 of record NC_000010.11, read on the forward strand.
ATTGAGGACAAGAGAGTACAGGACCACGATCCCTGAGAGAAGGGAAACAAATGAGGTAAGCCCTAATTGCCCAAGCCTTCTCACTGGATATAGTTTTTGGATAGTAGCACTGGGAGGAGGAACTTAAGCAATGCAAAATGGTCTGAGTTGAGGAAACAAAGATTGGAATTTAGGGAGGCCAAGTTAGCTAGAATTTTCAGGACAATGTACTTGAGAGGACAGATCCACACAGAGAAAAAGCTCTGGAAATCTGGATGGAGATCCTCTTGAGTCTTTGGATGTACTTGAACCTGTGTATACAGACAGGAAACCCCACTGGGCTGAGTAAAGAAAAACTACTGGGGAGCAATAAGGTGGACAATTCTAAGAGCTCATATGGGAATGGAAGACATTCATGTTCCATCTTGTCACAATAGAAATATTTCATTAAACAGAAGAGTTCTGCCTTAATAGAAGGATTAAATTAAATTAAATATTCTTCTAGACCTACCCTAAAAAATTCTTATAAACAAGATTTGCACATGACCCATAAGTAGCTTACCTGCCTACTAAAACAAACATCAACATCCTTTATGGGAAGACAGCAAAACTCATTTAACAAAATAGTAAACACAATGTTTGGTATACAGTCAAAAATTACTAGACATGTAAAGAAGCAGCAAATTACAACTCAGAGCAAGGAGGAAATTTGGTCAATAGTAACATACCTAGAAATGATATAGATGATGCAATTAGAAGGAAAAATAATTAAAGCTTTTAGAATATTCTAAGTATACTCAAGGACATGAGCATAATGAGGAACTAAATGGAGGATATAAAAATAACCAAAGACACAGAAGAAATATTTGACAAAATTCAACAACTTTCATGATAAAACCACTCAATAAACTAGGGATAGAAGGGACTTTCCTCAATCTGATAGAGGGCATCTATAGAAAAACCCACAGCTAATGTCATTCTTAATGATAATGGAATGAATATTCCCCTCTAAGATCAGGAACAAGACAAGGATATTTACTCTTACAACTTCTAATCAACATTATAGTGGGGGTTTTAGGCAGAGCAATTAGGAAAAAAAAAAAGAGAAAAAGAAAAAGCATCCATATTGGAAAGGAAGAGGTAAAGCTATCTCTATTCAAAGATAACATGATCTCGTATATAGAAAACCTAAGGAATCTACAGGAAAACTATTAGAGCTAATAAACAAGGCCGGGCACAGTGGCTCATGCCTGTAATCCCAGTACTTTGGGAGGCCAAGGCGGGTGGATCACGAGGTCAGGAGATCAAGACCATCCTGGCTAACATGGTGAAACCCCGTCTCTACTCAAAATACAAAAAATTAGCCGGGCATGGTGGTGGGCGCCTGTAGTCCCAGCTACTCAGGAGTCTGAGGCAGGAGAATGGCATGAAACCTGGAGGTGGAGCTTGCAGTGAGCCGAGATCGCGCCACTGCACTCCTTCCTGGGCGACAGAGCGAGACTCCATCTCAAAAAAAAAAGAATAAATGTGTACATCCACCTCATACCATACACAAAAATTAACTCAAAATGGATCAGACAGCTAAATGTAAGAGCTAAAAATGAAAAACTCTTATAAGAAAATACGGGTGTAACTCTTCATGAGCTTGGATTAGGGAATGGTTTATTTTAGATATGCACAAGCAATAAAGTATAGATAAATTGGACTTCATCAAAGTTAAAAACTCTTGTGTTTCAAAGGATACTATCAAGGAAGTGAAAAGACGACCACAAAATGGGAGAAAATATTTGCAAATCATATATAAGGGACTTGTATTCAGAATATATTAAAAACTCTTACAACTTAATAAAAAGATAACCCAATTTAAAAATGGACAAAGGAATTAAATAGACGTTTCCCAAAAAAGCTATACAAAGCCACTTCCAGTAGGGGCTTGTCTTCCAGGACAAGATGTGGAGGAGAAAGACAGTGGTATTGATGATCCTGACCTTGTGTAGGCCTAGCCTAATTATATGTGTTTGAGTGTAAATAGTTTAAAAAGAAAAAAAATATTTTTATACAAATGTACGATGTATTTTTTTAAGCAACATGAAAAGTTGCTTACATTATTAGTTATCAGGGAAAGGCAAATCAAGACCACAATGAGATACCACTAGTGTGGCTATAATAAAGGTGGACAGCAATAGTGTTGGCAAGAATATGGAGAAATTGGAGAAATGTAAAATGATGCAACTGCTTTGGAAGCAGTTTGGCCGTTTCTCAAAGCATTAAACCTAGAGTTACCATATGATTCAATGATTCCACTTCCAGGTATTTAAGAGAATTACAAACATGTCCACACAAGACCTTGTACAGTCGTGCACCACATAACAGCATTTCAGTCTATGAAAGACCATGTATGACAGTGGTGCAATAAGATTATAATGGAGCTGAAAATATTCCTATTGCCTAGTGACGTTGTGGCACAACATATTACATGTTTTTGTGATCGCAGTGTAAACAAACCTATTGTGCTGCCAGTCATATAAAAGTATAGCACATAAAATTATGTACAGTACATAATACTTGCTAAAGATAATAAATGACTATGTCACTGGTTTATGTATTATTATACTTTTTATAATTATTATTTAGAGTATATTCCTCCTACTTATTAAAAAAAGTTAACTGTAAAAAAAGTTAACTGTAAAACAGCCTCAGGCAGGTCCTGTAAGAATTATTCTAGAAGGCATTGTTATCATAGAAGATGACAGCTCCAGGCCAGGCATGGTGGCTCACGACTGTAATCCCAGCACTTTGGGAGGCTGAGGCAGGCAGATTGCCTGAGCTCAGGAGTTTGAGACCAGCCTGGGCAACATGGTGAAACCCCGTCTCTACTAAAATACAAAAAATTAGCCGGGCATGGTGGCATGCACCTGTAGTCCCAGCTACTTGGGAGGCTGAGGCAGTATAATTGCTTTAACCCAGGAGGCGGAGGCGGAGGTTGCAGTGAGCTGAGATCATGCCACTGCACTCCAGCCTGGGTGACAGAGCGAGACTCTGTCTCAAAAAATAATAATAGTAATAAATAAAAGAAGATGACAGCTCCATCCATGTTATTGCCCCTGAGGGCCTTCCAGTAGGGGCTTGTCTTCCAGGACAAGATGTTATGGAGGTCAAAGATAGTGGTATTGATGATCCCACCCTTGTGTAGGCCTAGGCTAATTGTGTGTATTTGTGTCTTCGTTTTTTACAAAAAAAGTTTAAGAAGTAAAACATAATATATTTTACAACTGTACTGTATATTTGTTTTAAGCTAAGTGTTATTACAAGTCAAAATGTTTTTAAAAAGTTAACTTAAAAAGTTAAAGAAAGTGAAAGTTAATTTATTATCAAAGAAAGAAAAATATTTTTAAAGTAGTGTAGCCTAAGCGTAGTGTTGATAATGTCTAGAGCAGTGTACGGTAATGTCGTGGGCCTATGCATTCACTCACCACTCATTGACTCACTCAAAGCAACTTCCAGTACTACAAGCTCCATTCATGGTAAGTATCTTACACAGGTATACCATTTTTTATCTTTTATACTGTATTTTTGCTGTACCTTTTCTAGGTTTAGATATATTTAGATACACAAATGCTTATTACGGTGTGCCTACAGTGTTCAGTACAGTAACATGCTGTATAGGTTTGTAACCTATGAGCAATAGGCTATACAGTATAGCCTATGTGTGTAGTAGGCTACCCCATCTTAGTGAGTGTGAGTACACTTGATGATGTTCTCACAACAACATAATCACATAAGGACTTTTTTCTCAGAACATATCCCTGTTGTCAAACAACACATGGCTGTACATGAATGTTCATAGCATTATTCGTAGTAGCAAAAAAGTGGAAACAACCCAAATGTCAATCACGTGAGGAATCCAAAAACAAAATATGGGCATATATATACAGTGGAATTATATTCAGGCATCAAATAAATGAAACACTGAAACATGCTACAAAATGGGTAGTCCTTTTAATCATTATGCTAAGTGATAGAAGCCAGATGCAAAAGACCACATATTGTATGATTCCATTGTTGTGAAATATCCAGAATAGGCAAATCTGTATATAGAGAAAGTAGATCAGTGGTTGCCTAGGGCTGGCAGAGTTAGGGGAAATTGGGAATGACTGCTAACAGGTATGGAGTTTCTTTGGTGGGGGGAGTGAAATGTTCCAAAATTATATAATGGTAATTGGATGCACATATCTGTGAAAATACTAAAGCCCAATGAATTGTATACTTTAAAAGGATGAATTATGTGGTATGTGAATTATGTATCAATAAAAACTGTTTGTAAAAGGAACCAAAGGGGCTCTAAAAGTTAGGAAATACAATATCTGGGCCGGGTGCAGTGGCTCACACCTGTAATCCCAGCACTTTGGGAGGCCGAGGCAGGCAGAACACGAGGTCAGGAGTTCGAGACCAGCCTGACCAACATGGTGAAACCCGTCTCTATTAAAAACACAAAAATTAGCCAGGCATGGTGGCGAGCACCTGTAATCGCAGCTGCTTAGGAGGCTGAGGCAGGAGAATCGCTTGAACCCGGGAGGCAAAAGTTGCAGTGAGCCGAGATGGCGCCACTGCACTCCAACCTGGGCAACAGAGCAAGACTCCACTCAGAAAAAAAGAAAAGAAAGAGAAAGAAAGGGGGGGAGGAGGAAGAAGAGGGGAGGGAGGGAGGAAGGAAGGAAGGAAGGAAGGAAACCTGATATGAAAAATTTCCTGGAAGAGATTAAGAGCAGATCAGAGGCCGCAGAAGAAGAGACCAGTGAATTTAGAGATAACTTAAAAAATGGAAACACAGAGGGAAACAAAAGACTTCAAAAAGCTAAAAAGCTGCTCAGAGACATGTGGAACAACATAAAAGAATCTAATAAAATGTGTAAGTGGAGTTCCAGAAATTATGGCAGAAGAGAAAGAATATTTGAAAATTTAGGAGATGAGTCTTAAAGGATGAATTGGGATTTGTCATGAGAATAAAGGGAGCAAGGGCATTTTAGGTAGAAGAAACAATATTAGCAATATTGTGAAAGCTTGTAGCCATATTATGAGTACTATGCAATGTCATTTTAAATGTGTTTTAATTATAAAGGATAGTTTTCTTATTTGGAACTTTATTTCACTAAGTGATATTACATATTTTGAATTCTCTTTTGGTAGGCTAACCATCTACTAACTTATCCTTTTGTATCCAGCTGGTGATTAATAAGTTCTGGTCAGTTTCTTAAAAAGAGTTACTAGTTGGCCAGGGGAAGCTAGTTGGAGCTTAAAATTAACCGTATGCTGCTTAGATTTTTACTACATGAGAAAACGTTAATAATTGCTGACGTAAGGCAAAGCTTAAATGCTTAAAATAGATTTTTTGCATTTGTTTAGTTTTCTATTTCTTTTTAGATTTTTTAGGATTGATTTTTTTTCTATTTCTGTGAAGAATACCATTGGAATTTTCATGGGGATTGCATTGACTCTGTATATTGCTTTGGATAGTATGGATATTTTAACAACGTTAATTCTTCCAATCCATAGACATGGATATCTTTTCACTTATTTGTGTTGTCTTCACTTTCTTTCATCTGTGTTTTATAGTTTTTAGTGTACAGGTCTTTTACTTCCGGGGTTAAATTTATTTCTAAGTATTTTATTTTTGATGCTTTTGTATCTGTTTCTAGAAATGAAGTCAATGGAACATGATAGTAGCCAGTTAAATGAACTTCAAAAACAAAAGAGTGAATTGATACAAGAATTATTTACTCTCCAAAGAAAACTTAAAGGTATTACCTTCATGAGTTAGCTTATTTTGCTGATAAATATAGTTATATATGCATGATAAGGGCATATTATTCTTTTAAAATATATTAACCTGTTGTGATATAGTGCTATTATTGGTATAAAAAAGAAATAGATAAAACACTAATCAACGTGAGATCTGATATTTTTAATGTCACAAATTTTTTGAAGATCTTTTTTGTGCATGTAATTGCTATATTAAAGTAGAAAATAAAAATCATTAGTGTATAAATTTTATATGCAAGCACCAAAAATTAGAGTACTGTTCTTATGAGTGAATAAAGATAATCTTTATGTTTAATTTTCAAAAGATTGCAACTATTTTTTGATTTGTTTAGTTTTTGAAGATGAAGAGAATGAATCCATTTGTACTACCAAATATCTAGAGGCAGAAAAAATAAAAATCAGTGAAAAGCCTCAAAATGATACAGAATGCTTAAGGTAAGAGTTTCCTGTTATATTTTGGCCTAAATCAGGTAATTTTTCAAGTTAAATAGATTTCAGTATAAAGCTAAGTGCATCAATTATTAATTTGAAGTTCCAGATGAGGACATTATTTTCTTCTCTGTGTATTCTGACACGTGCTAATAAGGAAACACTTCAGGGCCTAGAAAGTGCTACACATAAGTTCATGATGCGTTGGGTTGATGACTGATAATAGTGAAATTAATTATATCTTTTCTTGAGACTCAGTATTTTTCACATCCCAAGAGATAAGACAACTCTCCTTTCTGTTATTCCTAACTTTTGGCGGGAAATGATTGAAATTACTTTTAATCTTTCTAGATTCCAGCGGTGGGAGGAAATCAGTCTGCTATTTTACTTGACATTTGTTACTCTGGTTTTGTTCTTAAAAAGTGAAAATGTATTTTCTGTATGGATTATTTAGATGATTTTTATGCATTTGGATAATGAATGTATGATATTTGAAGTGACATAGTCATAAACACAAGGAGTAAAGACCTCAAGTTTTAAAATTTGACTCTCATTGATTAACAATTTAGTGTTACCTTTGCTGGCTTAATTTTAAAGAAGTTCCTGCACTTTCTAGGTTTCATATAAGAAAAGAAACCTCATTACTGGATCTATGAAGAAGCAAATGAAGCCTTCTTTCACATAAATCGTATAGGAAATATGTCCACTAGAGCTGAACAAATGCTTCATATTAGCAGTGTATTACCTTAGGCAATAATTTTAGTAGATTGTGAGACAATATTTGCAATTTAATTTTATGTTAAGTTTTATAAGCATAAAATATCAATCTCTTGGGTGATATGTATGATGCAGAATGAGTTTTGATAATGACAATCTGCTCATTCATTTTTTTTTGCACTTTAAAAAATGGTGATGCCCACTGGTGTCATTAGAGTTAGTAGTGTGAGGGCTTCCAATCTGAACTCCAGTTTTGTAGGTTTATCACTCAGTCATAAAAATGTGCTCTGGGTTAAAATTAAACACACAAAGTCTGTTAGAGAATGCTTTTTCCTTCACAAATGATGACTTAGGAAATTTGGATAGAAAGAAATACCAGTGCATATATTTAGTCCATTCATTGCATTTTAGCAGTTATTAAATTAAATGCCAATATTTATCAATTCCTACTTTTTCATTCATTGATATGTGTACTTAGTTTCCCAATTAGCATGTTTCATAAGTTTTCCCAGGTGTGAAGAGTGAAGTCAAAGTACTGAGTATAAAGATTTTAGGAAAGAGGACTATCAGTCTTACAATTAATGCAATAACAAGAAGCTAATGATGTCAAAAAACAATAAGACATTGATTCAGCTTCATCATGAAGGCCAAAATTAAGTTGATGTTGTTATTGAATTTTGGGATAGAATAGTCTTTTTCATCTCTGTGTTCAAATGTATATGGAATTCCATAATAGTTGCATTTCTCTTAATTTGTCGGGTTTGACTTCTTAATGGAGTAGATGTTATTTTTATAGCAGGATTTCTCAAACTTGGCCTTGTTGACATTTTAGACCAGATTATTCTTTGTTGTCGGGGGCTGTTCAATGCATTGTGAGATGTTTAGTAGTAACCCTGTCCTCTACCCACTAGATGCAGTAGCACCCTGCATTCACCGGTTGTGGCAACCAAAAATGTCTCCAGACATTGCAAAATGTCCGCTGGGGAAGGGGGTTGCAAAGTCCCCCCAAGTTGAGAACCAGCTTTATTTTAAGGTTATTATGACTTCTACATTCATTAACTTTAACCAGTAAGAAAGCAATTACAGAGGAAATCTTTAATATTAATTCATTTCTATGAGCTTACTGTTTCTAGTTTTAGTAATTAGACAACTTTAATACATGCTTTATTTTGTCTATATTGAAATTCTTTTATAACGATTATGGTTCATGTTTTAAAGCTTAATATGCCATGTTCAGGTTATTTGTTGGAATCTATCTTGATGTTATCCATTACTGTAGAGAACCAGTGTTTCACAGTTTAGTGGTCTCTGCTTTAGGTAAAGTTTGCATTCACAATGGTTTAATGGTTCACATTCAGAATGATAATAGTCTCTGCTTTAAATAATCTGTCTCTATTTATAAATATCAAGATGTTTGTTTATTTAAACATTCTGTTTTGAAGAGTAAGTGTGTAACTAACACACATTTAAGCAGCTGACTTATAGAATATTGCTATGATTTACACTTAAACCATAGGTTAGGTTAATTTATCAGAAACCTCCCAAAGAGGTATGTAATTATGACTGATCTGGTTTTTTCATATAGTGTAGGGAGAACAGAAATAATAAAGATCAGAGTCTTAAGAGGCAGTAAGCATAGTGGTTAAACCCTTTTGAAACCCAGCTCTCCCCCCACTTATGGTTCATCTTTCTTTCACTCTTTGCATCTTGCACAGTCCAGGGCACATAGTGTTCAATAAATATTTGTTCCCGTAATTGAGTCTACATATAATTGAATTTTCACTACGAAAAGATTAAAGTTCATCTTCATATATTTTCAGTGTTATTTGCAAAGACATTATGTATTCTAACCACTGGGAAAGTGCCACTTTGGAATGGATTATTTTCATTCCTATCTTTTTCTTCGATGTGGAAAAAGCTTTACAAGTTTAATCATGCTGACCTCCCCTTAGTCCCTCATTCCCTTATCCTAATGTGGAGAGGAGTGACACAGTCTGATCGGTGAATCTGGAAAGGCAAACTGGGAAATGTGGAGCCCAGCCCCTTTCTTTTCCCTGTCTCTTTGGAACATTGCCTGCCTCAGAGAGCGTGTTTTCCCACTCTGCTTCTCCATCTCTTAAGTTTTATCATTGCTGGACTCCACAAGAGAAAGCCTGTGGGGTCCACTGCTACCTTTAATGGTGTGAGTTAAGTTAGTCTAATACTGGGGTTTGATATTAGCAAACCCTTGCCTACAGATTTAAGCCACATTCTCCAGTATCTGCTATATCAGTAATAAATGTGACATTTATGCTTGCCTTCTGCCTTTCTTATTTTTTGATTGGGCAGATTTCAGGCAGGAAAGAAGAGTATTATATATTGGGCCTCTGTAAACCCCCAAACCTATTATTATTATTATTATTATTATTATTATTATTATTATTATTATTATTATTTGAGACAAAGTCTTGCTCTGTATCCCAGAGCAAGGGATTACAGGCATGCACCGCCACGCCTGACTAATTTTTGTATTTTTAGTAGAGACACGGTTTCACCACGTTGGCCAGACTGATCTCGAACTCCTGACCCCAAGTGATACACCTGCCTCAGTCTCCCAAAGTGTTAAGATTACAGGCGTGAGCCACTGCACAAACCTATTATTTTTTGTTATTACCCAACACGAGGTTTACCAAAATGCACAGTTCTTGATCATGATTTTTTTTATTTACTCCAAATTATAACATAACAGACAATTTTAAACATTTCAGGAATTTTCTTTCACCACAAAACTTCCTTCTAGAATGGTTGTACATCTTGTATTACTGATATTTGTGCTTGTTTAATGCAATAGGAAGATTGTTTTAGGAATAAATCTGCATAGGCAACAGCATGAGATTTTCATTCTGAGCACTTAAAGATGGTGTGGCTTTGTTTCATCACCACAAGACAGGGCAATAAGAACAAAAAGAAATGAAAAGAAAAAAAGGTAGTATGGTTTGTGAAGAGCATATTTGCAATGTAAGCTGCACAAAAGTTAATATACACCTGCTACGAGAGACTCTAAATGCATTAATGTCATGTAGTAAAGCAGTGCTGTGACCTCTTCAGTGAAAAAGTCATCTAGTTAAGTTGGTCATAGAGGTCACACTGTTGGTCCTTAGACTTGTAAGAAGGCATAAACTCAATATGGTATTAACATGTTTTCAAACTCTTTCAAGGATACATAAATAAATATGTATATTTTCACATGTATATATTTTTTATTATGAGAACAGGCGGGCCAGGTGTGGTGGCTCATGCCTGTAATCCTAACACTTTGGGAGGCCAACGGGGGCAGATCACGAGGTCAGGAGATTGAGACCATCCTGGCTAACATGGTGAAACCCCGTCTCTACTAAAAATACAAAAAAAACTAGCCGGGCGTGGTGGCAGGCACCTGTAGCCTCAGCTACTCGGGAGGCTGAGGCAGGAGAATGGTGTGAACCTGAGAGGCAGAGCTTGCAGTGAGCCGAGATCGCTTTTCATACCCTTGCTCTGACACCCCAAGTGTGACTACTGTTAAAAGTTTGATGTGTATACTGTCAGAATTTATTTCTGTTTGTGTGTGTACACACATGTACATAGGTATGTCTGTGTGTGTTTAGCAAAAATGGGATTATGAATCACACTGGTCTGCAGTTTGCTTAATTATTTATCAAAATGTAGATGTTTTCATTTTAGTTTGTACTAATCTTCATTCTTTTTCATGCTATTATATGGAGATGCCATATTTATATAACCAGTCTCTCATTAATGGATGTACAAGATAGTTTCTAAATATTCATAATTAGACACACTTTTATAAATGTATCCTTAAATACTTGCAAGAGTCTTTCTGTAACATTATTTAGAATAAGCAGCATTTCGTAGAGTAATATGAATTGTTACCCAGGTTCCATTTATAAAATAGTCTACATTATCTTTGCTCTTTGTTTTCAACAACAGAGAAGCTCAAAGTAGACAAGAGTAACAAGATCTCAGTTCTACAGTGTCCTCAAAATATTAGTCAAATAGTTGTGTGTCTGTACCTTACCTATATTGTCTCCATCTTTTTTAACATTTATAAAATATGAGAATCCCCATTTAATTCCAGGACTGTTTTTTAGCTCTATATTTTGCTGAATATTTCTGTTGACTCTGCATCTTTTCTGGTAAAACTTCATCATTTATTCACTAACAGAAGTGTCTCTACAGCATTGATTATGTAGCCTTCAAGCTAATAGAGATCCCCTGTTTTGTGAATCCTTGGCACATACTGTAGTTATTAAAGCTTCAAAGCAAATACAGAGGAAATTTTTACGGTAGACTCCATTGATTATTTTAAAAGTTATATTCTGATATAAATGTAACTTTTCCCCTAAATTGTGAAATAATTTTATTATACAAGCCATACAAAATATTACAGTGATTATTTTCTAAATTCATTGGTATCTTTAATGTCATACAGATTTCTTTTTTCATTTTCCTATGTTTATCTTTATAAATCAACCCCTTTTGGTGTGGGTTTGGGAAGATGACAGAAAATATGTGGTAAAAGGAGATGCCTACCCCAACCAACCAGGATTTGGAGGAAGGGAGATGCTGGCAGGACCGCTCCCTCTTCTAGCCCTTTCTCAGCAGATTCCTCTGGTCTAGCCTTACACACCTGTGAAAGCTCTTACCTATCTGCTCTTGGCCTGGACTGAAGGAAAGCAGAATTAGAAAACTGATAATTCTACTGTCACACATTCAACTTTCATACCCACTTTCAGAAATAAATTATATATGAAATTGGAGTACTGATAGTACTTTAAATAGAATAATTTTGTGCTTAAATGCCACTAAAATAATTTTATATGAATTAATATAGAGATAGAGAATATGTAAAAAGTCAGTCCATGGAAAAACCAGTGGAAAGTAGGAAGAACTACTTATTAAACCTCTAGTGTGATTAAGAAAACCAAAAAGGACAAGATTAATAAATTTAACATACAAGATTTAAAATTTCGGCTGGGCGCAGTGAGTCACGTCTATAATCCCAACACTTTGGGAGGCCAAAGCAGGTGGATCACCTGAGGTAAGGAGTTCGAGACTGGCCTGGCCAACATGGTGAAACCCCGCCTCTACTACAAATACAAAAATTAGCTGGGGGTGGATGCCTGTAATCCCAGCTACTCAGGATGCTGAGGCAGGAGAATCTCTTGAACCCAGGAGGCAGAGGTTGCAATGAGCCGAGATCACATCATTGCACTTCAGCCTGGGCAACAGGAGCGAGACTTGGTCTCAAAAAAAAAAAAAAAAAATAATAATAATAGATTTAAAGTTTCATGTGTCAATAAAAGTCATCAAGATTAAATGGTAAACTGGAATAAAATTATAGTCATTATGATAAACAAAGGATAACAGCTTGTTAAAAAATCAACTGATAAAAATCCATTAGAAAACATTAAATTAGTGGTTCTTTATCCATGCATTTATCAAACATGGATTAAACACCTACTTTGTACCGTACAGTAGGCTAGTTGCTGGGGATACCAACATGAGTAAGACAATGTAATTGAGCTATACTGATTATCAATAAAATGTAAATTAAAACCACTAAATATTATTTAGTCTATCAATTTTTGAAAGATCAAATGATCATAATCAAAATTGGCAAGTGTGTGCTGCAGAGATGACTTATACATGGCTGGTGGCAGTATACATGCTTAGATATATTTGGAATGAAATTTAAGACAAACAAATTATTATAAGCATCTTAAAATGTTTATGCCATTTGACCCAATAATTCCATTTATGAGCTGTATTCTAAGGAAGACAATGCTAAGTACAGAAGAAGCTTTATGCTCACAAAGGTGTTCATAGTAATATTATTTATGGTAAAAAAAAAACTGAAATGCCCTGTTATAAGAAATGATTATGTTAATTAGTGATGTAACCACTAGAATTACTACATATTTCTCTTAAATAGTATTAATTGGTATGCAATTAATAGTTAACTGGGGGAAATATATAGAATAGCATTGAGCACACACACAAATACATACACACAAAAGCAAAACTAGGAAGCAAAATTGTATAATCACTTATATGAAAACTAGAGACTGCAATGAAATATACATAAATTTTAACAGCATTGCATTTGAGCACTAGGACTTTGGGTGAAATCTGTCCTTTCTACTTTAAATAGTAGTGTGTACAATTCTGTAGCTAAAATGAGTATGTTGTTAATTAAGGGTTTTCTATGTCTCTGAGAGGTAACTGAAAAAAATTTGTAATGATGCAGGAAATTATAAAAATACATGGAACATAAGTTTTTCTAAACTAATTAGCAATGTTGGCCTATCATAGTCATTATTTGATGACTCAGAGAAAAGTGACAATAACCAGTGCAAAGTGCCCTTAGTTCAGTGAGTGAGGGAAGTCCTTGACTCCTGTAGGCAATCAGTCTATGCACTGAAGCATGAGATCTACTTACCATTATATTGCTTTGGCTAGCTGCAAATGTATTAATATTCATGCCATTATCATCTGGCCTCTTTTGAAGCTAGCAACAGCAATCTTTTCTTTAAGTGCAGATCTAAATTCTACAGCTTGATTATATGCTAAATAGGGAAGTACTTCCTATAATTTGCTCTGCATGCCCTCCTTAATTTCAGCAGTCTCTCATTCTTATTTTTAGGTAACTAAAAGGGTGAGTGGTCACCACCTAATTCTGATAGGCATGAGAAGTCATACAGAACCTGTAGTCCATTTGAAGTGAAGAGATGGATGAGCACGTGTTGATGGAATGGTGGGAATATCTCTACCATTTTATTTGAAAAATAAATTTATTAAAAAGAAGGCTTATGTACATTTCAATAGCAGCATCCATAGTATATTGTAACTCTCCACTTAACTTTCCATTTACTCTTTAAAAATATTTATTACAAGGGTTTTTATACATGTGTAAATATATGATGCTTAAAATTAGTAATTTATCTTTCCTTATTAAGCATTCCTTTAGATTTCTCATTTACTATTAAATTCCTAAAAGTTCAGACAGAACACAGTGAACTTCCATATACATATGTGCTGCATAATGACATTTCAATCAACAGCATATCACATATCTAAGAGTGGTCCCATAAGATTATAAGACTGCACTTTTTATTCCACCTTTTCTATGTTTAGATACACACATACTTACCATTGTGTTTCAGTTGCCTACAGTATTCAGTACAGTAACATGTGGTACAGGTTTGTAACCTATGATCATCTGCTATACCCTATAGCCTAGGTGTCTGGTGTGCTATCCAATCTAGGTTTGTGTAAGTTCACTCTATGATATTTATACAATGACAAAATCACCTAACTATGCATTTCTCACAATATTTTCCTGTTGTTAAACGATGTATGACTGAATAGGGTATTTCACCATCCACCCTTATTATAAATATTATATTTTTATTCCCTAGTGGTCCTTAAAATAATATATGTAAACTATATGTAATTTCTAAAGTATACTAATATAATGAGCACCTGTGAACTAAATATGAGCTAAATATGAGCTAAAAATAATCATCCATGAAATAAACTAGAATATTACCGATAACTTGCATTAGCTATGGCTTCTCTTTTATTCCATACTCCCTTCATTACCCCAGATATCGTTGATGTCCTATATTGTATTTCATTTTCTTGTGCATGTCGTTCTACAATGTGATTCATTTACTTGTGTATATATAATTTTCTTTATAGTATTATATAACTAACTTTAGTTTACAGCATGCATTTATCATCTAACCTATACATACATGCACAATCTATTGGTTATTTGTATTTGTTTTTGAGTTCTGTAAAAATTATATTATACTATCTGGGATTTGTATTTTATTCAATGTTTTTTCTAAGATTTACCCACGTTGGTGAGTGTAGATGTATGACCATAGCATATTTTTTTCTCTTTTTAATGGACATTTGGTTTGTTTCAAGATTTTGGTATCACCAGCAGTGCTGCTGGTGCACATATGCAAGAGTTGTTCCAGGATAGATGCCTGTTGGAATTGCTGAGTGTGGGGCATGCGAATGTTGAACTTCACAAGATGACGACAGACTATTTTCCAGTGTGATTAAGCCAGTTTATATTCTCATTAGCACATTATGAAATTTCCTGTTGATCTCCATCCTCTTCAATGCTTTTTAAAGACTTTTTAGTTTTTGCCAATCTTGTGGACATAAGATGGTATTTCATGATCTCTAATGGCCTTGTCCTGACTACGTATATGGTTGAGCATCTTTTGCATCTGTTTATGATCCATGCATTTTTTTCTGTAAAGTAACTCTTATTTTTCTACTAGATTGTTTGAGTAATTTGTCTTTTTCCTATTAATTTCCAGAAGTTTTAAAGTTTTGCTCTTTCAGTAGTTGTGAATTTTGTCTGTTAATGAATTAAAAATATCTTCTCCAATTTTATGGGGTTTTGTTGTTTGCTTTAGGCTGTTCTAGTTGAAGAGTTCCTACTTTTGCTGTGGTTGAAATTTTTAATCATTTTTTATAGTTAGCATTTTTGTTTCTTGGTTAACAATATTCTATTGTATATTTCAAAATAGCCACAAGAGAGGATTTTGAATGTTCTCATGATAAAGTAATGATAAATGTATGAGGTGATGGATATACAAAATACCCTGATTTGACTGTTGCACATTGTATGCATGTATCAAAACATCACACTGTATCCCAAAAATATGTGCAACTATTATGTCATATTAACAAAATTAGAGGCCAGGCGCGGTGGCTTATGCCTGTAATCCCAGCAGTTTGGGAGGCTGACGCGGGCGGATCACAAGGTCAGGGGATCGAGACCATCCTGGCTAACACAGTGAAATCCCATCTCTACTAAAAGTACAAAAAACTTATCTGGGCGTGGTGGCGGGTGTTTGTAGTCCCAGCTACTCAGGAGGCTGAGGCAGGAGAATGGTGTGAACCCAGGAGGCAGAGCTTGCAGCCTGGGTGACAGAGCGAGACTCTGTCTCAAAAAGAAAAAAAAAATTAGAAAATTAACAAACAGGAAATTTATCATTGGTACAGTACTATTATCTAACAGTCTATATTAATATTTCCCCTGTTATCTTAATAGTGTTCATTATAGCTACTTTTCTTCTTTCTTTTTCACTTCCTTTCTGTCTCTTTCTTGTCTTCTTTCCCTTTCTCCTCTCTCTCTCCTTCTTATATCTAGGAACCAATTGAGGATTACAAATTATGTTTTCTTCTAAGCTCTTTTATTCAAGAACAATTCCTCTCCTTTCATTAAATTGACACTTTTTCTGAGGTGTCAAGGCTAGTTGTTTTATAGAATGTTCTTCAGTTTGTACTTATTTGTTCCTTTGAGATTATATGCAAGTTAATTTTTTTTGGCAAGAATATTATGTAAGTGATAGTGTGTCTTTTTCAGAGCATTATATCAGGAGGCTCATAATGTCAGTTTGTTTCATTTTTGGTAATGTTAAGTTTGATCCCTTAGTTAAGATTACATCTGCCAGATTTCTCTGGTGAGAAAGTACTATTTTTCCATTGGTAGTACTAAGTAATATATAGGATGACCCTTTGATACCTTGTACATATCCTTTCCCCAATAACCCTTCTCTCAACCATTTATTGTCCACTAATGATTCCTCCTTGAATCAGTTATTACAATGGTGGCTGCAAAATGGTAATTTCTAATCATGGCATTCTTTATGTATTTATTAATTGGTAAAGTTCTTTTAAAAAGAGGTTTCCTTTTCCCCTCCTTCCCCCACCCTTTTTATTTCTCCTTTAAAAAAAAATTCTCTACGTACTCATGCACCTTTTAAAGTTACATGGGTCATAATCCATTACCGTCATTATTATTTTTGATACCCCAATTTTCCCAAATTTGGCCAGAGGCAATCCCTCTGAAATTGATTTCTGTGTGGGTTTTTAAAAACCACTTTTTTTCTGGTGCAAGAAGGTGTTCCAGGCTCTTCTTTTACATACCTCCCTCAATCCTGGAACCAATTATTTTTTTCAAGAAGCCCTATTATCTTTGAGTTGGGAATAGTATTTAGAAATTCAGACCACAGTACTAGATGTGCTCATTGCTACTGGATGTCATTGCTTCTAAGCACTTTAAGTGGACACAACTAAAATTACCATTTTTAAATGGTAAATTTACACAATCTCCTCCAACTCAAATCTAAAATGACTGGGTTTTTCTTCTCCTTCCTCCATTCTGTATGTATGTCTTCTTTCTAGTTAAAACTCTGGTTCTCAATTATATCAATGTAATTATTAATATCCTAAATCCTACAAATATCACAAAATAATTTTAGAATTACTAGCCATGTACCCCCACTAACAACAAGCCTACTAAATAAAGTATAAGATTCCTCTATAATTCTTAGTGCCTTACTACACATCCCACTGAGGGTGAATAGACTATTGTGTTCAAAAATCACTTTAATTCTTTTTTATTTTTTCTTATGATTATAAATTTGAAATGCAGTTAGGCTTATTCATTTCCATTTGTGTTTAACTCAAGTGTTCTTTTCGTCTAACTTTAGGGCTCATTTTCTCAGCTTTATTGATGGAATTTTATTTGATAAATAAGTAAAACATCAATGTAATTGAAGAGTAAAAGTATATAAAAAGATACATCCAGAGGTGTTTCATTCCATTCTCTATCCTACTGCATTTTCACTCACTGCTGTAGGTTACTGTTTTTGCTAGTTTTTGATTCATCCTTCCTGTGTTTCTTTTTCCAAAAATAGACATTTAATTATATATTCTCATATCCCTTTCTCTTTCACAAATGTTAACACACTGTATATAGTCTTTTGTATCTTTCCGTTTTTTATTTAACAATATATCCTGGAATTCATTTTGTAATAGTTAAAAGAGATTATCTTCATTTTTATAGCTATATAATACTTCATTGTAATAGATGTACTACAGTTTATGCAACCAGTCTCATATGAATAGACACTTAAATTGTTTCCAGTATTTTGTGATTACAAATAATGCTGCAATAAATAATCTTGTGTATATGTTGTTTTGTATTTATACAGTATCTTACTGGATATGGAGTGGCAGTGTCAAAGGGAAAATGCAAATGTAGTTTTGTTGGATCTTGCCCCATTCTTCTCCATCGAGGTCATACCATTTTGAATTTCCTCTAGCAATGTTTGAGCACAATTTTTTTTTCCCATAATCTTGCCAAAAGAGTTTGTTGTCAAGTTTTTGAAGTTTTGCCAGTGTGATAGATGAGAAACAATATTCATGTGTAGTATATTTGCAACTCTTCATTATGAGTGAATTTGAGTGTTTATGCCTTGAAGAACCATTTGTAAATTGTTTTTTTAACTACCTATCTATGACTTTTTCCCATTTTTCTATCAGGCTTTTGGTCTTTTTTGTCCCTGATTAGAAAATTTATTTATATATTATGGAGATTAATCCTTTATCTGTGACATATGTGGCAAATATTTTCTTATGGTTTGTCATTTATCTTTGAACTTTACTTACGGTGGTTTTTGCTACACAACCTTTTAAACGTAATTGAATTTAATACTCTTTTCTTTTATTGCATTTGTGTTTTGAGCAATAGTTTAAAAGTCTTTACTTGCACCCAGTTTATCGAATAATTTATTGATGCTTTCACTTTGACCTTGTACGGTTTCATTTTTTACATTTAAATCTTTGATCCATTTCGAGGGTATTCTTGTATATGCTGTATAATATAGATCCAACTTTAGCTTTGGCAATCCATTTATATCCATTTGCAAATGACTATCCAGTTTTCTCAACACAATTTAATGAAGAGTCTATCTCTTTTTCCCAGTGGTTTGAGGTGTCACCTCTATTATCTACTAGATTTCCATTTATACTTTACTCTGTCTGTCTTCTACTGTATCCCACTGTTCTATTTATATGCCAGTACTGCAGTGTTTTAATTATAAAAGATAAATAGTAGGATTTAGTGGTTGGTAGGGCTAGTCACTCCTTTTTTTTTTTCTTTCTCAGGGCTTTCCTAAAAAGAAAAAGATTAAAGAGCCTTATTTGAATGTTTATTTTTTTCCATATAAACTTTAGGATCAATTTGCCTAGCATCAAGGAAAAAATTTGTATTTTTATCAGGATCATATTCAATCTGATTTAATGTAGAAATAATTAACATTTTTATGATGTCCTATGAAAGAAAAAGTCATGTTATTATTGATGAAAATGAAGGCTATTTTTGTATGCTAATTTTATATCTTGTCACCTTACTAAATTATTTTATTATTTGAATTTTTTTATTCATTGATATTTTTGAGTTTTCAGTTATATTGTCATATTACCTGAAAATTAAAATAACTTTATTTTGTCTCTCAAACTATTATGCCTCTAATTATTTTCTCTAGACTAATTTTAATGGCTAGTTCTTCCAACTTAATATTAAAAAGTAATAAAGGTAATGGGCATCCTTATTCCTGACCTTAAGGAGATTGACTCTAGTGTTTCCCCAGCAATAATATGCTTACTTTGGGATTGACATATGTATTTTTTTTATTGGGTAAAAATAATATGTATTAATTCTGATTTTATTGAAAGTTTTTTTAAAATCAGGGATAAGTTTTAATATTTTAAACACCCTTTCAGCACCTCTGAAGATAATCATATTATTTTTCCCTTGGAAATATTAATATGGTCAATTATATTAATGAATTTCTAATATTTAACCATACATTAATTCCGGGAACAAATCCTAATAGATCTTAGTGTATTATTTATTTAATGTGGTATTGGATTCTTTTTACTAATATTTTATTTATAATTTTTGCATTAGTATTCATAGACATGTGTATGTGTGTGTATATGTATTCACTATCTTGATCAGGTCTGCTATCAGTGTTATGCTTGCTTCAGGAAAAGAAATTCACTGTTTTCCTTATATCTTCATAATTTAGATCAATTTATATAGTTTTTGGATTATCTGGTGTCTCAAAGTATTTTTGCTTTTTGTTCATAATACAGTTTTTAAAAAACTTCATCAGCAAAACAAAACAAAAACTTTCTTCATTTCAGCTATGGTTACTGGGTGAGAAATAGACAAATTTGCAGGGACTATAACATTTAAAGACAAGAAGGAATCAAGAAATGGAAATGAAAAGCACTGGAAAGACAAAAAGAACATCATTAAATCAAAACACTGCAACTGTCTCTCCCCAAAAGATAAGAGAGCCATTGATTTAAACAAATTTCTTCCACCATACAGAAGCCATTACTTTCAACTGTGAGGCCTCAGACCTTCTCTCAGTGTTTCCCTACACGGGGAAAGACTTTCACTTTCTGAGGGTCATTTAATCTGTATTTCATCACCCTTAGGCACCCTTTTTCCTTTCTTCTATCTACCATTGAGTGGTTACTTAACTCTTTCTGCATTGGTGTGGGCTTCAGAGCTGAAGTTAGATGTTTATTTCCCTATTTACATGTAATTTCAAGTTTTGCAAAATCCTCTGTTTCCTTCTTAGCTTGTATACATAACTTATAGGTAGTTTTATTTGGTTTTCGTATTGAGAGGTCTTTTTTACATTATTTTTCCTTTTGGAAACTTAAACATTTTTAATTAAAAAATTTTGAATTAAAAAAATTTAATTGTTATTTTGTAGGAACTTTGGCTACTGTCATTGCCTTTTTTAAAACTTACATAGAGAAAATTTACCTTTTAGTATACAGTGAATTGGCAAAAATATTCAGTTATGTAACCACCACTGCAATCAAGATATAGAATACTTTGATGATCCCAGAATGTACCCTCCTGCCTATTTATACTCAGTGCCTGCGTTCCAGCCCCAGCCCCTGATCTGTTTTCCTAATTTTGCTTTTTCCAATATGTCGTACAAATGGAATAATATGCTATGTATCCTCTTCGGTCTGGCTTTTTAGATTTACCATAGTGCATTTGAGATTATATTTGTTCATTTGTCAGTAATAATGGTAGAGAATTCTACAAAAATAATGAAATACTTTAGAGCACAGATACAAGAAGCTCAGAGAGCCCCAAGCAGCATTAAAGAAAAACAAACATCTATACACATCATATTTGAACCTCTGAAAAATAAAGATAAAGAGAAACTCAGGAAGGAAGGCAGAAAGAGAAAAGACACAAAGACATTATATACAAAGGAATGAAGATAATAACTATAGAAGACTTCTCATCAGAAATCATGCAAACCAGAAGACAAGGGAATGACATCCTAAAGAATGAAAGTAACAGCTGCCAGCTCAGAATTGTCAGTGAAAATCCCTTTCACAAATGGAGGCAAATACAGATATTTTTAGACAAACTCAAGTTGATTGAATTTCTTGCAAACGGACTACATTACAGAAAAGGGCTGTATAAGTTTTTCAGAAAGAAGGACTATACCAGATAGAAATTTGGAGCTATGCAAAGAAATAATAAAACTCCAGAAATGGTTCAAATGGGCCAGTCATGGTGGCTCATACCTATAATCCCAGTACTTTGAGAGGCTGAAGTGGGCAGATAGCTTGAGTCTAGGAGTTCAAGCCCTGGAGTTTGAGACTACCCTGGACAACATAGAGAGACCCCATCTCTAATTAAAAATAAATAAATAAATGAAAGATAATGAAGATAAATATAAAATTAGAAATGAAAATGAAGTTAAACATAAAGGCCCCTTTTTCACTTTTAATTAATGTAACAAATAAGTGACAAAAGCAAAAAAGTAGGAATATATTTTAGGTTTATAGCATATGTAAAAACAAAAATATATGATGATGACCGAACAAAAAATGGGAGGGAGAAATTGGAAATAAACTGTTTTAAGTTTCTTATCCTATAAGTGTAGCAAGTGTTATTTTATTTTTATTTTTTTGAGACACAGTCTCTCTTTGTTGCCCAGACTGGAGTGCAGTGGCACAATCTTGGCTCACTGTAACCTCCGTCTCTGGGGTTCAAGCTGTTCTCATGCCTCAGCCACCCAAGTAGCTGGGATTACAGGCGTGTGCCACCACACCTGGCTAATTTTTGTATTTTTACTAGAGACGGGGTTTCCCCATGTTGGCCAGGTCGGTCTTGAACTCCTGGCTTCAAGTGATCTGCCCACCTTGGCTTCCCAAAGTGCTGGGATTACAGGCATGAGCCACTGTGGTCTGGCCAAGTAAAGCAGTGTTATATTATTTGAGAGTACACAGTAATAAATTGAAGTCATGTATTAACCCATATGCAAGCATTACAACTTTAAAAAAATACAGTAGTCCCCCTTATTTGCAGTTTCTTTCTGCAGTTCCAGTTACCCACATTCACCCATGATTCCAAAACATTAAATGAAAAAATTCATAAATAAACAATTCTAAATTGCACACCATTCTGAGTAGCATGATAAACTCCTGGGCAGTTCTGCTCCATTCTTCCCTGGACATAAATCATCCCTTTGTCCAGTGTACCTGCACTGTATATGCTACCTGCCTGCTAGTCATTTCGTAGCCATCTGAGTTATCATATCGACTGTTATGCTATCACAGTCTTTGTGGTAACCCGTATTGCACTTAATGATGAGCCCAAGTCACATGAGTAGTGATGCTGGCAATTCATATATGCCAAAAAGAAGGTGTAAAGTGCTTCCCGTAAGTGAAAAGATGAAAGTTTCTGACTTAAGAAGGAAAGGAAAAAAATTGTGTGCTGAGGTTCCTAAGATCTACAGTGCAATAAGATATCTTGAGAGAGAGACCACATTCATATAACTTTTAGTACAGTATATTGTCATAATTGTTCTATTTTATTATTAGGTATTATTGATAATATCTTTCTGTGCCTAATTTATAAATTAAACTTTATCATAGGTATATATATATATAGGAAAAATCATAGCATATAGAGAGTTCAGTACTGTCTGCAGTTTCAGTTGTCCACTGAGAGTATTGGATCATGTAGCCCCCATGGATAAAGGGGGACTATAGTAAGTATAAGTAATAAGTCAATAGAGGAGATAAAATGTAATTATTTAAAAAGTCCAAAAGCAGGTAGAAAGAGAGGGAAAGAAAAGGGCAAAGCACATATAGAACAAATAGAAAATTATTAGAAAAATCTTATATTTTTAATTCAGCCATATGAATAACTATATTAAATGAAAATGGTCTAAATATGCCAAGTAAAAGACAGATTATTACATTAGATAAAAGAGTAAGACACAAATATATGGTTTCCACAAGAAACTCACTTTAAATATAAAGATGTAGATACGTTAAAAAAAAAAAAAGAATGGAAAGCAATATCCTGTACTAGCGGTCTGGAAGTTCTAGTTTCTTTATATCCTTATCAACACCTGGTACTGCCTATCTTTCATTTTAGTTATTCTGGTGAATGTTTAATGGTATTTCCTTATGCTTTTCTTTGTATTTCCCTGATTCAGAATGAAATTTAATACCATTTCCTATTTTTATTAGCCATTGGACATTTTATTTTGTGAATAGTCTGTAGTTTTGTGAATAGCCTGGGTGTAAGCTATTGCTTCCTGTCTCTGCTTTTACTTTATAATGGCTTTCCTTGTTGGGTGCTTCATGAATTTTTGCTGCAAACTCATTGTTCTCAATCTATGAGAGGGCTGTGGGTCTAAATTTTTTCAGGTTTCCTTTAGAGAATATTTTCTTTTTATTATTATTATTATACTTTAAGTTCTGGGGTACATGTGCAGAACATGCAGATTTGTTACATAGGTATACACATGCCATGGTGGTTTGCTGCACCCATCAACCCATCATCTACATTAGGTATTTCTCCTAATGCTATCCCTCCCCTAGCCCCCCACCCCCCGACAGGCCCCAGTATGTGATGTTCCCCTCCCTGTGTCCACATGTTCTCATTGTTCAGTTCCCACTTATGAGTGAGAACATGCGGTGTTTGGTTTTCTGTTCTTGTATTAGTTTGCTGAAAATCATGGTTTCCAGCTTCATCCATGTCCCTGCAAAGAACATGAACTCATCCCATCTGACAAAGGTCTAATATGCAGAATCTACAAAGAACTTAAATTTACAAGAAAAAAACAAACAGCCCCATCAAAAAGTGGGCCAAGGATATGAACAGACACTTCTCAAAAGAAGACATTTATGCAGCCAACAGATATTTAAAAAAGCTCATTATCACTGGTCATTAGAGAAATGCAAATCAAAACCACAATGAAATACCATCTCACACCAGTTAGAATGGTGATCATTAAAAAGTCAGGAAACAGATGCTGGAGAGGATGTGGAGAAATAGGAACACTTGTACACTGTTAGTGGGAGTGTAAATTAGTTCAACCATTGTGGAAGACAGTATGGCGATTCCTTAAAGATCTAGAACTAGAAATACCATTTGACTCAGCAATCCCATTACTGGGTATATACCCAAAGGATTATAAATCATTCTGCTCTAAAGACACATGCACACATATGTTTATTGTAGCACTGTTCACAATAGCAAAGACTTGGAACCATCCACAGTGTCCATCAATGATGGGCATTTGGATAAAGAAAATGTGGCACATATACACCATGGAATACTATGCAGCCATAGAGAAGATTTTCTTTTGCATCTGCTGGCATCCAGGAAATGCCACTGATCTTACAACTCCTTCAGCTTCCCTTGAGGGTCAGGGCTCAACAAAAGTTCAAATTGATCTACACTTCTCACTTTGTTGCTGGCCCAGGAGTTGCTTAGGTTTGGGAGAGCAATGTTGTTCCTCATATCTCCCCTCAGGGCAGCTTTAACCTCCTAGCTGCCCAATTCCAGGCTCTAGCCTTCTACCTCTTCAGCCACAGCTCCTAGCTTTTGTTTATGTTTTTCTTTTCAGAAAAAAATGTTAGTCATAATGCCAGAAATGGAAAACTTACTTTTACTATTTTCCACATTAAATACAGGTATAAAATAATTTTTAAAAAATTCCTCAAAGTCTGTGCTGATTTGGCAATAAATTTCCAGAGCACATTTATAATCATCAAACTTGTATGATATTAGTACAATTGTTGGCTCTTTGTTTAAGGTTATTCTTTCTATTGCCTATCTGACCTTGCTTTAAAGGGACCAGAATATACCACCCTGAAATTATACCACATTGTCTTAAGGATTATCTTGGCAATTGATACTCAATAGTTACAGGAAGAATTCTCTACCCTTTTAGGCTTTATCTGCTTAAAAGTAAGGCATGAGAAGGGTGACACACTAATTCCAGGGAGAGAGGAGGTACTGTTATCATTGAAGACAGAGCCAATACCAAGATGAGTATGCATAAATAGATTTTAATGAAAATAGCCCTTATCTTCCATTACTACACCCATATACTTCCATATAGTCTAGTTCCTTAAAGTCTCATAAAAAAGAAAAACCGAAAATACAAAAAAATTCAGTATGGGGTAGGGGGAGAGGGGAGGGATAGCATTAGGAGATATACCTAATGTTAAAAGATGAGTTATTGGGTGCAGCACACCAACATGGCACATGTATACATATGTAACAAACCTGCACGTTGTGCACATGTACCCTAAAACTTAAAGTATAATAAAAAAATCAGTATAAACATTTAATTGGATTTTTCTAGAATCATTTCAAAATTAATTTCTTATAGTCATAATTCAGAGGAGACTGCCTTATGTTGGTTCAAGGCCCCTTTGATTGGTTGCTATGAATCTCCTATTTTTTGGGAAACTGGCCCATTTTCAAGATAGATTACATGGCACCTAGCTCCAGAAACTCTATTTTGGTTTGATCATTTCAAATGACAGTCTCTCATAAACTTTAACAACTCCAAACCCCCTTTCCTTCATTAAGAGGGTAATAAACCTGAATGTAACCGCTTCAGTTCTAACCAACCTATTTTTTTGTGATTCCCAATGCACGTTAATAAAATGTATGTGCTTTTTCATGTTAAAAAATTCAAAATATTCAAAAACTTAAAGACTTAATTGGGGAAAAGAAACTTAATTGGGGAAAAGAAAGATGTTGCTTTCTCACTCCCAAATTAAGATATATTTTAATTATGTGTGTATATTATAAAGTTATAGTTTACTTTTAGATCAAGAAGAGAGCTCAAGGGTCATTTTTTTTTCTATACTTAAAAGTTTTCAGGTGAGGTTCAGAGAAGCTAAATGTTTTAACTAAGCTTATTCAGTTTGCTGGTGGCCAGGACTAAAACAGAGATGTTAAGACATAGTACTATATATTTTTTATCCACCAGCTCATGTTGCTCTTTTAGTTATGATAAAATTATTAAATGTCAGCTGGGCGTGGTGGCTAACACCTGTAATCCCAGCACTTTGGGAGGTTCAGGCAGGTGAATCACTTGATGTCAGGAGTTTAAGACCAGCCTAGCCAACATGGCGAAACCCCATCTCTACTAAAAACACAAAAATTAGCTGAGTGTGGTGGCAGCCGCCTGTAATCCCAGCTACTTGGGAGGCTGAGGCAGGAGAATCGCTTGAACCCAGGAAGCAGAGGTTGCAGTGAGCCGAGATCACACCACTGTACTCCAGCCTGGATGACAGAGCGAGACTCCATCTCAAAAAACAACAACAACAAAAATATTAAATGTCTACTAGTCAGTCTACCTTAATTTCTTTATGAAAAGTTTTACCGCAAAATTTTATATAGTCTTTATGGAATTATAGATAATTAAAATATGCCAATTATTTAGTC
Source organism: Homo sapiens (assembly GCF_000001405.40). Lineage (NCBI taxonomy): Eukaryota > Metazoa > Chordata > Mammalia > Primates > Hominidae > Homo > Homo sapiens. The sequence continues at coordinate 116,378,316 of NC_000010.11, forward strand.
TTAACTTGAAATTCTGATTATAGAAGCTACAAACTTGTCCCTCTCTGTGCAGTAATACAATTACAGTTTATTATTAAACTAACAGGTGAAATTTTCTTTTAAAATAGACTTAAAAAAGAATTAGAACTTTATAAGGAAGATGACATGGAAAGTGTTTATGAAGCTCTCCAAACAGAAATAGAATTTTTGGAGTTGGTAAGTTATCATTGATTGTTTAACTTTTGTTCAGCATTATTTTACCTACTGGTAAGGAACGGTTTTACTGGTGTACAAATCACTGAACTAGTGTTTAATCCCTCTGCAAAAAACAGAAAAGCAATAATGAAGATAACTAGGATCAGGATGTAAATCTATGAAGTGTTTTGAGTTCCTAGAGAGTTAGGTGCTACATGAAGCAAATTATATTCAAAGAGAATATGTATGATTTCAAAGTAAGTTAAAAAAAAGCAACTTTAGATCTGACCTCATAACATTTCCTTGACTGAAACTGTTATTAGAGGATTACTGCACTGAAGGAAATTTAACTATCATAATGCCTTAAAAGCTTTTTGTTTTTGATAGGCATAAATTATACTTTTATTATATTTGATCCTAAAACTTTCTTATTGCGTATTTGTATAATCTCAAAAACCTTGAATTCAATTGTTGGAAATGTATTTTCAGATTGTGTAGGAGCACTTTAAATTGCTTTAACCTCTTACTTTGGTTGTTTATAAAATGAACACAGTATTTGCCATACTACATTTTAGTGAAAGACATGAATAGCTTTAAACTATCTTAAAATGTAGTTTTAATTTGATACATTGCATGTTGTTACATATTTTAGGTAAACATTTTCTTGTTCAAAAAATGTTTCAATAAGTTACCTTTGAATTTATTTTTTTTTATAAAAAATATAATTAAGAAATGCCCAGAATTTATTGTCATTAAATTTAGGTACATTTTATGTAATTATTTTATTAAGAATTTACTTTTCCTCATGAGTAATTACTATGTTTTCTTTTCAGACATTGGCACAGAAAGATCTTCAGGAAAGCAAATAACTTACAGAGAATTGATCAGCCATCTGAGATTTGATCAGAATATCTGAGAATCAAATCTTTGTGATAGATATATGAATGGTACCCGTTACAACGGATCCTTGTGGGAAATATGGGGTTTAAAATATTCAAATTGTTATTATCTAGAAATGATGTGTTAGCCCTTTAAGATAATTTTTGTCTTGTTACTCAAACTTTAAGAGTTCTTCTGTGGTTTGATTTTGTTTCTAAAAGAAGGAAAAGGAGAAGAAGTAGATACCGTGTTCCCAGGCTTCTTATATGCCCCTGAACCTCAAGCTGTCCTATTCTTTCTAATCTATATAATATGGTTTGGATCTGTGTCCATGCCCAAATCTCATGTTGAATTGTGATCCCCACTGTTGGAGGTGGGTCCTGATAGGAGGTGATTGGGTCATGGGGGTGGGTTTCTCATGAATAGCTTAGCACCATTCTTCTTGGTACTGTCCTTGAGTTCTCCTGAGAGCTAGTTGTTTACTAGTGTATAGCACTTCTCCACTTTGCTCCTGCTGCCACCGTATGAGATGTCTCACTCCCCCTTTGCCTTCAGTCATGATTGGAAACTTCCTGAGGCCTCCCTAGAAGCAGAAGTCACTATGCTTCCTGTACAGCCTGCAGAACCGTGGGACAATTAAACTTGTGTTCTTTGTAAATTACCCAGTCTCATGTATTTCTTCATAGCAATGCGAGAATGGACTGATACACTATACTTTTCATTTTTTGTTGTAGTTTACCTTGGGTCCAATGAAACACACATAGGAAGAAACATTCAGTTTATTGGCCCAGTTTTGTTGGTGCCACTTCCACTAACAAAGGTGCTTGCTTTCATTTTAATTATTCTCTAATCATAAAATGTCTGTTGACAGAGTTCCTCTGAGGACCTTCATCTGTAAAAGTTTTCCTACTTTTCACTGTGTTTCCATGAAGTCTGGGGCACCTGAAGCCATTTTCTGGTTAATGCCAGTGTTGGTTATAATGAAACAAATTATCCACGGGGATATGAATCCCCAGTGGATTATGAGGTACATAATCTCCTTAACAGCCATCAGGATTCATTTTCTCTGGTGACCTGAACTACTGCAACTGAAAACAGTGTAGTTAGGATCGGATCATACTTAGTATTGCTACCAAATTTCCAATATCACTTATCTTTCTGCCGTTACCATTTCTGACTAGACAGAAAGTCTATTGTCTGAAAGTGTATTGACTGATATAAGAATAGCTACTCCTGAAGTCATTATATGAAAAAGATACTTGCACATGAATGTTTATAGCAGCACAATTCGCAGTTGCAAAAATGTGGAACCAGCCCAAATGCCCATCAGTCAACGAGTGCATAAAGAAACTGTGAAATATATATACGATGGAATACTACTCAGCCTAAAAAGGAATGAATTAATGCCATTCACAGTGACCTGGATGAGATTGGAGAATAGTATCCTAAGTGAAGTAACTCAGGAATGGAAAACCAAACATTGTATGCTCTCATTCGTAAGTGGAAGCTAAGCTATGAGGATGCAAAGGCATAAGAGTGACACAATGGACTTTGGGGACTCAGGGGGAAAGGGTAGGAAGGGGGTGAGGGATAAAAGACTACGAATTGGGTGCAGTGTATACTGCTCAGGTGATGAGTGCACCAAAATCTCACAAACCACCACTAAAGAACTTACTCATGTAACCAAACACCACCTGTTCCCCAATAACCTATGGAAATTAAAAACAAATCACAAATAAAATAAAAATAAAAGTTTATTGCAACAATTCAACAAGGCCCTAGATTGGAGCAGGTTAGGAAGAAAACTTACTTGGGGATATATTTCAAAATAATGAGGGCTAATGTTAGAACCATGCTTTCTTTTGTGGTTGTAGTTGAATTCATTTATCTATTAATGTTAAGGTAGAGTACTTAGGTTTATCTAAATCTCAGAGCAGAGCCTAAGCAAGTCTTATTTCAGAGCAAGTCTTATTTAGACATAGTTTTTTTGTATATGTTAACACCCTTATTTTTCAGAAATTAGCAAAGTTGAAACACTCTCCTTCAGGATATATAGCAATTGCCATGTGTTTAAATAATTTGCAATTTTCAAAAGTAATTTCTAATTTTATTTTTTAAATATTTAAATTAGTAATCAATTATTTTTGCTTAGGAAGAAAAAAATGAATGGTGGCAGAGAATTGCAATATATTTTATATGCAAATACAGAGCGGGAAATGGTTATTGGGATTTGTCATGACCTCAGTTCTGTCTTATTTTAGTCTATTTGTCTACCCTGGAGAGTCCTGTGAATCTCTTTTGCTATATATATTTAGTATGCAGAATTTACACGTAAAGCTTCTTTCACTTACCAGTAATTTTTGCTCATTATTGGTTTTGTAGCTAAAATATTAATGTGAACTAGAGATCAGCCACCTATTTGAATTACTAACACAATGGCATATATGCAGAATAAACTGCTACCGATACAACCGTTCTTTCACATGTGTGTCATATAGAATATCTAGATTAAATATTCAGTAACAGAATCAGTATTCAAATGAATTGAATTTGAGAATAAAACTGAAGGTTCGGTACTTTTATTATTTTAAAATGCTTAAAATGCATAATTTAAGATTTAAACTCATTTTCATATAATCAAATAATTATTTTAGCACTGCATGATAGAGTAATAGAAAGCGGTATCCATGTGATACCAATCAAAATAACTGAACGATTAGAATCAATGTAATTAAAGGAACAAGTTATCTGAAACAAAGGAAATACAGCAATCAATAGAAATCACAGTGTGTGAAACTAAACTGCACATCAAGATAAAATATTAGGAGTAGATTAAGTCTGTTTTTAGGGTTTTTTTTAAGAATTAGTAAGTCATAAAACTCATAAGTAGGAAAATTAACTGAACTTATCTGGGTAAAAATATGTCTCAGACTGAATTCAGTTACTCTGGAAGTAAGACTTTGGCTATACAGAAAGGCAATTTTTAAACGAATGTCCATTCATTAAGTAAATTCATTAAATTTTCCGTATACTTAGTTATGATCAAAACGCAAACTAACCCAAAGTAACACTGATACTGCTCTGAGGTTTGTGGCTTGCCACCATAGTTCTTTAATGTAACTCAAGTTCTTTGAGAAGCAACTTTCTAACTCTCAGTACTCCACTGAGGATAATATTAAAATGTAGAGACAGTTTGCTGCGAAATTCTCTGCTGATTAATGGAGCTATTACACTGGGGGAAAAACAGCGACAAAATCATAGGATGTGGAGCATGACCACTGGCCTAGAAATTCCTTTCTTCCTTCCCTGGCCTAATTATTGAAATGGGAGGAAAAGTAAAGAAAAGCTTTAAGGTATCTACAATCAGAATGATTTCTATTCTATCATTGTTTTGTCAATAGTAGTGGTTTGTTTTTTAAAAGAAACAAACAAAAAATTGCCTGCCTGCTTTTTTTTTCTTGGAACTTGAAAAACCATGATGAGATTCTGAAAAGGCTAAGGTAAGGTAGAGGTCATTGTATTATAATGAATTGGAATCTAGAAATGCCTTAAAACAGAGTCAATTGGGATTAGTAATTTTTTGTAGGATGGAAATTATGCTGTGAAAAAATCCACTGAGTCCATTACCAGAAGGGCAAGCAGTAATTTAGCTGGGTAGCTGCAGATGGACAGACAGCATGCACTGGACAGGCCCTGTTCAAAGCTCCTGTGGAGGACAAAGTCCCTTTATATTTTATACCAATCAATCATACATAACTGTGTCACACTATAATGAATAAATCATTTATTTGCAGCCTAGGAAACAGTAGCAGTTCAGTGACATGATTAGAAATAAATATGAGACTATCTTAATGCCGGGTGTATCAGGGTAAGGTGTTCTGTGATTCAAGTATTTATAGTATAAAATTTGAAATTTAAAAGCTGCTTAATGTACTAAAAAGTATTTTAACATTTGAAGCTGATCTATTTTAGGTGAACTTTTATGTTTCTTTTTTGACCCCTCTTCTCTCCTTTTGTCATCCAGAAAAACTTTAGTAAAGAAAATGTTTGCCTCTCAGAATCTAGTTCAGAACATTTTCTGTCAAGGGAATTTTTTTCAGGATGTGAACTAAAAATAAAAAATATTTTTCGTCATTAGCCCGAAGCAGGGATTACATCTTGGGGTTTTGTGGCTCTTTTATCTTAAGACAATAGATTTTTTTAAAATGTAAGAATGGAAAGGATGAAGTTATCTTTTGAAAATATTTGAGGTCGGAATGTATAATCAGTTGCATTTGTGCTTTCTAAACATTATATTTTCAAGTTAAGTAAGTTTTTTCTTGGTTTGCTAATGGTCAAATCATCACAGCAGTAAAGAAGCTTTATTTGTTATTTTACTGACACTTGGCAAAAGACTAATATCAAGACAGCATTGACTACTACACGAGGGAAATCAAGTAATAACTTTCCCCTGCTTTAAAAGGGAGAAACAGGATTTTATCTGTTTGTTGTTAATTATACGTAAGGTCACATTTATTAAACATGAGGAAAAAATTTTGCAGGGCAATGCTTACCGTAGAACATATACTTTGACTGGAGGAAAAAAAAGCCATGACTGATGGTAAAGTGGTCTCCCAGCTGCTGCTATGAAAAGTATCAAGAGCAAAGCTGTCAGAATTGAATGCTGATTTAAACAGCTTTTGATACAGAGTGAATTTGTCTTTAAAAGGCCTCTATGAAATAAACAGCACCAGAATTCAGATGTCTGGGAAAATAAAGAATAGGTGAATATGTGAAATTAATAACAATGTCTGATATAAGTAGCTATTCCAAACAAGGCCCATTGATTGAGTGGGAGAAAATGATTTTATTTTTTTCTTACAACCAGAAGAACTACACTACTTGAATAATTCGAAGTTAATTATTTTCACACTTGTAATAAATTGTCATTCTAATTAGTTGGTAAATAAAACCTTGTTAAAATAAAATCCTCTTAATCTACATTTAATAGATGCAAATACAATTACTAATGATATTTCTGGATATGGCTTTGTGATTACTGAAAGTATTTACAAATTTAAGCCACCATTAAGTGATGTGGTTGTTGAAACAGTTTTTGTAGACTTTAGACAAAGAAGCTCCTGACTGGGAATGGGTGACCTGAGGGTAGTCATAGGGTCAGCATAATGTCAGCTCTACAATCTGGAGCCAATTAACGTTAGTAAAATATCAAGATTATATTTATAGTAGCCTTTTTATTCAATAAAATCAAAGCTCTTTATCAAGATTCTAGTTGTAGACCAATCAGATATGCCATTTTTAGAGGGGGAACTGAGGTTTTGATTGATGATCTGATTTGCATGAGGTCACACAGAGCAGAGGCCCTCTTTATTTACAGTTTAATTGCTTGGGTTTCATTTCTAACACAGCTTAAATATATATTGCTTTTGAAAACGTGCTTACAATAAAATCTTACATAACAGGTAAATATTAGAAGATAAGAGAAATTTAAGAATTATTTAAATCACCCTTTGGTACCAGAAAACATCGATTAATCAGAATCAGCAAATATGAATCTTTAATTAACTAAGAATATCTTTCTACACTCCTTGAGAAGAAAGGGGCAAATCAGAATAAAACAGACTCAAATCAAGTGTTATTGAAAATTCGCCTTCTGGCTATCTCTTGAAAGTAACACCTATTCATCCTGCTTTATTACACTTTCTACAGATGTGTGTTTTTTCTTTTTTTCCAGCACTACCCTGTGGTCATTGATATTTAAAGTGATAACCTGAGGAATGGCACCTTTTTACAATATCAAATAATAAAGGTTATATTCATTCTTCAGTACTTGCTAAGGCAGGAATGTGACTAATAGAAAACATCCAGAAAGATCAACATGTAAAAGAATCTGATTAACCTGAACTTAGCGCTCTTGCTCATTTCCTTTCTCCTTGTATTCTTCCTTCTATCCATTCTTTCATCCATCTCTCCATCCATCCTGGCTCTTGCCTACCTCTCAGAACTCATGCCATACCAGCTCTCCTCCTTGTAGACTCCTCTCCAGCCATACAGATCTTTCTGCCCCCCAAATAGGCCCAACTTGTTCTGGTGTTAGGATCATTTCATGAGCTATGTTCCCTCTGCCTGGGTTGCTCCACCCCCTGATCTCTGTATGGCTGTCAGCTTCTGTCATTCAGATGTCAAGTGAAACGTCACCTCCTCAGAGAGGCCTTCCTTTAAACAATCTATGTAAAGTAGTCACGCAGTCACACTATGACATATCCTAGTTATAAATTCTCTTCATACTTCTTATAATTTGTGACATCTTTCTTGTTTTTCTGTTCTACTTATCACCACTAAAACAGAAGTTCCATGAAAGCAGAGTATTCTTTATCTTGCACATCGCTTATCCCTTAGAGCCTGGAACAGTGTGTGGTATATAGGAAGTGTCCAATAATATGTGTTGAAATATGGTTTCAATTAACTTGTTCATTTAACCTATATTTATTGCTTAAGGATTTAAATATAAATTATTGATTCTCTAGTTAAAGAAACTGGATTCATTTATTGTTGTTTATCTTTCTTGGGTGAATTACCCTGTCTTATTTCTTACTCTTTCTGAGCCTGTTTACTTAGCTGAAAAATGGTAGTTATGTTTGCTAATTTCAGAGCCTATCTATGTTGAACAACCAATAAAAACAATGGAAATAAACCAGAAGAAAGTAATGATCCCACATCCCATCACAGAAAAGTTTGTAGGTCTCTCAATGGTCCCTTACAGCTTTCTATTATCAAACTGTTGATTGGCAGATAATGGTTATGAATGCTACCTTTCCACCACCTGCTAGAATAGGAAGTGAAAATTGTAAGTTACTTGCAAGCTATGAATGTGCATTAGAGTACCTTAAAAGCATTATCTCTCCATGGTAATAGAAAATTTTGAAATGTGTTTGCTTCTGTGATGTATTCAGTCTTTCTGGTCTGAAATACAAAGTGTAAGCAATCCTGTTTTTAATTCAGCATCATATTTAGAGAAATATATGAGTGCCATCTGCTGGATTTCTCTGGTACGACATTGAAGAGAATGACAAATCCTTATAAAAATGTGACCCTTCCTTCCTTCCCTCCTTTCTCCCTCTCTCCCTCCTTCCCTCCCTTCCTTCTTCCTTCCTCCCTCCCTCCCTTTCTTCCTTCATTTATGTAAATATAAAATTTAAATATTTGTATATAGTTTTCAATTGTTCAAATTTATGTACATATATAATTTTAAAATATGTATTTGGTGCTAATTTTCAAATTAATATCACATGCATCCTAGAGAAATATAGTCTAAAGGATCCAAAAATGAGTTTCCTCTTTTGATAAAGGAGCTTAATTGGTTTAATCAATACCTTTCCTTTATTTTTGAATAAAAACTATAAGTAATAGACTTTCAGTTTGTTTTTAAGTGTTAGTCTTCAGTTTTCAAAGATTCATTTGTAAGTTATTGGTCCATCAAATGAAGTGAAGTCACTCTACCTAGGATCTTTGATAAGTGACTTGCCAATCAGCTTTATCACCAGATATTTGTTCCCTTTAAAATTGTATTTAAAAATTTCCATCTCTTTATCATTTGACATCTGCGGAATTCATATTGTTTCATGAGTTAAGTGGCTGAATTATTTCCTAGGGCAATTATGTTGATGAAGGGAAATTGGGACTCTCTGTTTACTGTAAGAATTCCTAGTCGTTGAATAATTGACAGTACTTCATATGTTCAACATATCGGCAAATCCTGTTGTTTCTACTTTCAAAATAGGTGCAGAATCTGGGACTTACTCTCATCATGTCATGAACCACCACCCTGGGGTAGGCCCTCTGATACTTCCTGTCTTCCTTTTCTGCTTTAATTTTCTTCTTAGTACTTATTACTTTTATTTATCAGTTTTGTCATATTTGCTGTCTATCTTTCAGACTAGAATGTAAGCTTCACGAGGGCAGGGATTTTAGTATCTTGTTCATTGCTTTATCCCTAGTGCCTAGAACAGTGCCTCACACATAGTATGTACTCAAAAAGTTCATTTCTTAAATGAATAGATTATCTCTGAGTGATTTTACTCTTTCTCAAATAAAATATTTTCAACTATATTAGTAAGAACATACTCTTGGTGCTTCTATGAACTCTATAATGTCCAAATCAGTAAAATCTTTTTATATTTACACTGTTTGATTACGGCTCGCTACATTTTAAGGTGAAAAATGAGCACCTACTAAACAGGATATCATGATAATTGTGATATGGAACCAAAGGTGACTAAGACATGGTTCTTGTGCTTATGGAACTTTCCGTTATTCTTCCTGAAGACTGTTAAGGAATTGCAAAATGACAGAACAATTCAGACACAGGTACTAGATTTATTCTTCAGTGAAGTCAGAGGTGGGATTAGTTTTGTTGCATTTGGCTTCATTTTTCCAAAGGGCATCAGTTAAACTTGGCAGTGATTCTGGAGAAGTTCTGTGTGTTTTCTGACATGTGAACACTATGTACATATTAGTACATATATGTTTGTTACTAGAGAGTCCAAATTCAGAATTCCATCCTTGATCTCTCATGCTAGGTACTGTATATAAATCATCTCATATGTTCATCATTAACCTAAAAGATGGGAATATTGATGACTACTTTATAGCCAAGAAAACAGAGGTTGTAAGGCTAAGTAAACTACCAAGATAATACACTGTCAGTTTCAAGCAGATTTGAAACTAGGATTGTCTGAACTCAATACTCTCTAACATATGCTATATTTCCCAGTTCAGAATACCTAGGGACTGATTTCTCTGGGTTTAGAAATGCAATGAAAGTTCGTTTCTTTTACAGGTGTAAAGAAGAGTTTGCTAGGTACCAGGGATGTTTAACCACCTTTCTTCCCAAGTGAAGGCCACTACTTACTCTTTCCTATCAGGAAGGTGTAAACAATTGGAATGGGAATATCCATTTCTTTCCTATTTTACACACAGAGTGCCAAGTGTCTCCTGCTACCACCAGGCAAATGCATCATGCTTCTGTGCCCCACAGAACTGTTTCGGAATGTGCATTATAGTATTATCCAGCGGCGGCACAATTAGTAATCTCCTCTGGATTGTGAACTCTAGGGGGCAAGAATTTTCATTTATCTTTGCCTTTCTAACCTATATCAAAATGCCTTGTACATAGCAGGTATCCAATAAATGTAGAAGACTTCATGAATATGGTTCACTTAATGAGTTGAATAGGTTTTCTAGACCGGCCTGGAACCTAATTATTTTCAATAACCTCGGTGAGAGGAGGTATATTCTAAGATTTAAATAGCCTAACTCCCATTAACTTTTGAAGACCAAGGGCCTGCCTTTATTTCTTCCTCAAATGCTTGTTCTGGTGATTTCCACTCCCTTCTTAAATTCAAATTTGCACTCAGTACAGCCATTTGCTATTTGAGATTCACAGTAGCATCTGGATAGTGTTAAGAGGGGAAATGGAAATACTAGTGTGAGAACATTTCAAAAGGAAGGGAAGAAGAGACTAGAAAGAATAGCTGATGACAGATAGCCAGAATTAAATAATTAATACACACATTTAGGTCAGTGGAAAAAGTTTTTCTTAGGAAAGGATGCTTTCGTTAACTCCATCCTGCAAGTGTAGGAAGAAGCAGACTTGACTAAAATAACACTATGGTGATGTGTGCTAAATGGGTTATATCCTTGTTTAATTCAGTTTTAATTTCTGTTTTCTAAAACCTCATTAGATTCAATTGACAATATGAGACTATACTTATATGAAATAGTAGAAAACTGAATCAGTTTTTGTTCTAACAAAAAAGTGTGATAATTTTATTTAATTAGAACTCTTAGTTAAGTGAATAGGCTTAACTATTCACTTACTTAAGTGAATAGCTTGCTTTAAAGAGTAAGATAAGACCAACAATGAATTTATGAATACACACATTTTGGTAAGGGTATTAGTTTCCTATTGCTGTTGTGACAAGTTATCACAAACCTAGTGGCTTAAAACAGCACACATTATCTTACACTTCTGAAGGCTAGAAGTCTGAGGTGGATCTCACTGGGCTAAAAGCAAGGTGTTCTCAGGGCTGGTTTCCTTCTGGAAGCTCTAGGGGAGAATCTGTATCTTGCCTTTCCCAGCTTCTGCAGGATACAAGCACTCTTTAATGCTCCTTCATGAATTTCCAGAGCTGAGTCTGCTCATGTTTCATCTTTCTGATTCTTTATCTTCTGCCTCCCTCTTCCACTTATAAGGACCCTTGTGATTACGGAGCCCACCTGGCTAATCCAGGACACTCTCTCCATCTCTAGGTCAGCTGATGAACAAGAGTAATTCCACCTGCAACTTTAATTTCATTGCCATGCAATATAACATATTCGTAGTTTTGGAGATTAGGATGTAGACATCCCGGAAGAGGCATTATTTTGCGTACCACATCAATGAAATATTTGTGTTCTTCGAAATAGGTTAAGCCGTCTTCCTAAATTGGGCAGTACATATTGTTAGTTTTCTTAGCAAGTCCTTTTAAATTGACTGAAAAAAATCATTAGTAGTTCATGATATTTTACTTTTTATGATTCTCTGGCCCATCTCCGGGCCTGCAATAAAGTTAAAACATGATGTAGTTGAGTGATTTCTCCATTACCAGGAGACAAGGGGACTACACAGACCTATCACAAAGACAAGACACTTTATGGGGTATTTTAAGTTAGTGTTGTTCTCTGCCCCCATCTTCTCCTCCTCCACCTTCTAATTGTTAAAATTTCTCTTTTTCTTTCTGAGCTTCTCCCAAACACATTTTTATGATTTTTTCTTATTTTTTACTTCCACTCATCTTATCTGTTTTACAGAATTCTTCCACTCTTGGGTGGCAAGTAAAGCTGTGTTTCCCTTCTTTTTAAATGTTAAAACATGATGATTACTCCCTAGCTGAGTATCCCCTTTCTGGTTAAAAATCTTTATTCGGAAGTCTCCCTAGAGAACCCAAAACCTCAGAGTGATCTATATAAACTAAAGCAAGAATATGCACACTCAAAGTATCATTTGGGAAAATCATCTTGTGGGTTCAAATGTTAAGAATCTGTTTTTATTTTAAAAGATAGGATATCGTGAAATAATACTACTTCTCTGTATCTCTGATGGGTTTTCTGTGGTGTTGATTCCCTTGGCAGAAATCCATCTAGTGACTTACCCTACCTCTCTATAGTAAACTTGAATGAATTTATTCTTATGCAGTATTCACAAACTATTAAATAGTCTTCCGTTTAATGAGTATTTGTTGAAGTTTTCTTCTGATAGATGCTGTAAGAGTCACAAATAAGAAGAGGAAGAAGAAGGAGGAAGAGGAGAAGGAGGAGGAGGAGGAAGTGGAGGAGAAGGAGGAGGAAGAAGGAAGAAGGGGAGAAGAAGAAGGAGGAGAGAAGAAGGAGGAGAAAAGAAGGAGGAGGAGAAGGAGAAGGAGAAGAAGAAGAAGGAAGGAGAAAAGGAGGAGGAAAGAAGTTGTCCAAATCTGTGTAAAGCTTACATTGTATTATGAAATCCTCTTGAGTTTTGCATTCAAAGTTAACATATCTATTTGCCGTTACTTCACCTTATTCAAAATGGTCATATGGTGGCTTTCGAATGAGGCAGACGTACAGTTCTATTCTGGCCCGGCCTTTCCTGTGTGGCCTTGGGCTGGTTACTTAACTCTTATGGATTTCAGTTTTCTAATTGGTAACAAAATAAATAAAATGACACCCATTTTGTTGGGCTGTAACAGCTGCAGCATAATTCTGAAGATATCTACATGCTCAGTGAATCCTGATCATTTTAATTATTGTTGGGCAAAGACAGTATGGAATAGATAAAGTACCTTAGCATAGTATTAGTTTTTTAGTGTTGCTCTTTATATACAAAATGAACTTATTAGTTCATATACTTTGATCTCGTGCTTTGAATCACCAGAATTTCATATGTGTGGCTTATTTCCTAGACCCATGATATACTTGGCTGTGGTGGAGGTGCAATCTCCAGCTGTGAAACAGAGTTTCCTATGCAAACATAATTGTCATATTTTGCCAAGCATAAAACAACTGAACTGACCAGCCTAGAGGAACTTTTGGGAATAGTTCAGTTTTCTTTCAAGACAATCCTATTTGTTTTATACTCTGAGATACAATCAGAATCTGGGAACATGGTTGTTTTGAAACTAGATGCTCTTCTAAATTTTAGTTGAAGGTGGCAGAAATCTTTACCTCAACTCCTTTCCTCAAAGCCCACTACTATGATAGTAAAATTATTTCATTTTAAAGACCTAGAGGGCAAAGAGAAAATGACATAGAGGAGTTGATAGCAATACAATTTTGAAAGCTGGTAGTAGAGGGATGAGTAGCGAAGACTTAGCAAACTTGAAAAAGTGGATCCCAAACTGGCAGAGGGAAAAGGAAAAAAACATTTTGATTTGCCCCTATAGAACCCTGAAAATCACAGGAAGTGCAGTACTAGAAACTCTAGAAGTAAAGATGAAGATGGGAATGAAGACCAAGGGACTGGTTGGCTGTACACGTAAGAAACATTCAGGCCAGGCACGGTGGCTCGCACCTGTAATCCCAGCACTTTGGGAGGCCAAGGCAGGTGGATCATGAGGTCAGGAGTTCAAGACCAGCCTGGTCAAGATGGTGAAACCCCGTCTCTACTAAATACACAAAAAATTAGTCGGGCGTGGTGGCACGCGCCTGTAATCCCAGCTACTCCAGAGGCTGAGGCAGAGAATTGCTTGAACCTGGAGGGGCTGAGGTTGCAGTGAGCCGAGATCGCGCCACTGCACTTCAGCCTGGGCGACAGAGCAAGACTCTGTCTCAAAAAAACAAAAATAAAAATAAAAGAAACATTCAGATCCTCAGGCCCTATTCCCCACTCCAGCTGGGGAACAGCCTCTTCCTAACCTTGGCAGAAGATTTTATGTTTATCTTCCATAGAATATAAAACAGAAGTTCTCTGGACAGAGAACAGCAGGTACTGCTCAGGATGGGAAGAAAATAGACAAGAAAAATTTATATTCTGAATGTTGTAATCCCAACTCAGGTCTCATTTTGGGCAATCAAATTTGTATCCTCCAGGCATCTCAAATTAATATCATCTAGGAATAGTTAGAAATGCAAATTTTAGGGCCTTACCCAAGACCGATGGAATCAGAAACTCTATGGGTAGGGCCCAGCAATCTGTGTTTTAACAAGCCCTCCGGACATACCCGTCTCTGAAGAGGCTCACAAGTTCAAAAGAAAAGACTTCAGAAAAGCGAGTTTTCAATGAAACAGTCCAGCCAGAGTGAAGCCCAGAACTGACAAGTACCATCCATGTGGAACTTTTCACTTAATTTAGCCTCATTCTTAAATAGATGCAGTCAAGATTGACAAGGCATGCGTTTAACATGAAGAAGATCTATCCAAAAAAAAGCAGCAGAGGTGGGAAGCAACTTAGAAGAAAGACATTTTGCAGGGAGATTAAAACTTTAGGAAAAAATCATTGATGTCCTCAGAAAGATAAGAGAAGGTACTTGCCATTATAGGCTGTTAATAAATTAAAATATGTTAGTAGAAGTTTTTTAAAAAATCCATAAAAGACTTAAAAAGAGAAAGTTGAGGGAATCTCCCACAATGTAGAGCAAAAAGACAAGAGTAAAAATGGGAGAAAAAGATAAAAGAATTAGCTCATTCTGCCCAATGTTTGACTAATACTAGTTTAGAAAGAGATAGCAGAAAAAGCACAGAAGAGAACATTTTCAAGAATTAAAGGACAGAGGTTTTTAGATTCAGATAAACCATTAAGAACCCAGTGGCACTAATGCATTGGCCCTCTGTCCAGGTGACACTGAGAGGTGACAGCGTGCTGGCAGTCCTCGCAACCCTCGCTCGCTCTCGGCGCCTCCTCTGCCTGGGCTCCCACTTTGGCGGCACTTGAGGAGCCCTTCAGCCCGCCGCTGCACTGTGGGAGCCCCTTTCTGGGCTGGCCAAGGCTGGAGCCTGCTCCCTCAGCTTGCGGGGAGGTGTGGAGGGAGAGGCGCCACGGGAAACAGGGCTGCGCGTGGCGCTTGCGGGCCAGCGTGAGTTCCGCGTGGGCGTGGGCTCGGCGGGCCGTACTCAGAGCCGCCAGCCAGCCCCGACCCACCCGCCACGGGCAGTGAGGGGCTTAGCACCTGGGCCAGCAGCTGCTGCGCTCAGTTTCTCACCAGGCCTTAGCTGCCTTCCTGCGGGGCAGGGCTCGGGACCTGCAGCCCGCCATGCCTGAGCCTCCCCGACCCCCTACGGTGGGCTCCTGTGCGGCCGGAGCCTCCCTGACGAGCGCTGCCCCCAGTCCCACCGACCACCCAAGGGCTGAGGAATGCGGGTGCGTGGCGCGGGACTGGCAGGCAGCTCCACCTGCGGCCCCGGTGCAAGATCCACTGGGTGAAGCCAGCTGGCCTCCTGAGTCTGGTGGGGACTTGGAGAACCTTTATGTCTAGCTAAGCGGGACCAATGGGCACTCTGTATCTAGCTCAAGGTTTGTAAACACACCAATCAGCACCCTGTGTGTAGCTCAAGGTTTGTGAATGCACCAATTGACACTCTGTATGTAGCTACTCTGGTGGGGACTTGGAGAACCTTTGTGTCCACACTCTGTATCTAGCTAATCTAGTGGGGATGTGGAGAACCTTTGTGTCTAACTCAGGGATTATAAATGCACCAATCAGCACCCTGTCAAAACAGACCACCCGGAGCTCTGTAAAATGGACCAATCAGCAGGATGTGGGTGGGGCCAGATAAGAGAATAAAAGCAGGCTGCGGGAGCCAGCAGTGGCAACCCACTGGGGTCCCCTTCCACACTGTGGACCTTTGTTCTTTCGCTCTTTGTACTAAATCTTGCTGCTGCTCACTCTTTGCGTCCACACTGCCTTTATGAGCTGTAACACTCACCGCGGAGGTCTGCAGCTTCACTCCTGAGCCAGCGAGACCACGAAGCCACCAGAAGGAAGAAACTCCGAACACATCCGAACATCAGAATGAACAAACTCCGGACACGCGGCCTTTAAGAACCGTAACACTCACGGCGAAGGTCTGCAGCTTCACTCCTGAGCCAGCGAGACCACCAACCCACCAGAAGGAAGAAACTCCGAACATCAGAACGAACAAACTCCGGACACGCCGCCTTTAAGAACTGTAACACTCACCGCGAAGGTCTGCAGCTTCACTCCTGAGCCAGAGAGACCACGAACCCACCAGAAGGAAGAAACTCTGAACATCAGAACGAACAAACTCCGGACACGCCGCCTTTAAGAACTGTAACACTCACTGCGAGGGTC
The DNA here is from genome assembly GCF_000001405.40 of Homo sapiens. NCBI lineage: Eukaryota > Metazoa > Chordata > Mammalia > Primates > Hominidae > Homo > Homo sapiens. The sequence goes on from NC_000010.11 coordinate 116,394,689, forward strand.
CGCGGCTTCATTCTTGAAGTCAGTGAGACCAAGAACCCACCAATTCCGGACACAACATCATCACACAATTTTAGAATGCGAAGATAATGAAATGGGAAAAGTTCCCTTGTCCGCCTCGCACAGCGTGTGATGGGGATGTGACTCGCTTCTTCAGTGCCCCACTGCTCAGACCTCTAGGGGAGCATACAGATGGGCAGGCTGTGGGGCTCTGACCCCATGGCATTGTCTAGGGGTGATTGTTTACAGCTGAAGCCCCAGTGGGCGTGTGTTACAGGTTGCTCTTTTAGTTTAACTGTCCGTAGGTGACTTGTGTTAACTAGCTCAATCAGACCCTCTACCTTGCCGCAAGGACAGAGGACTTTCTGTATCCTGGGTTCTTGCCTCGGTGTACCGGAAGAATCGGATCACACCGGGGCTTGGAGAATGAGTGCAAGGTTTTATTGAGTGGGAGTAGCTCTCAGCAGATGGGGAGCCAGAAGAAGATGGTTTTCCCTAGAGTCGGGCTGCTCAGCGTTTGGACTCTCTCTGACTGCCCCAGCCAAACTCTGCATTGTTCTGATGGTCAGTGGCCTGCCGGCGTCTGTCTGTGTGCTCTTCCGCTGGTGCGCTCCCCTGGACGTCCTCTCCACGTCCAGCCACTTGTGTCTTCTTCAGAGGATGTGTTCCTCTTGATGTCCAGCCGCTTGAGTGTGTGCCTGCTAGAGTCTCGGGGGCTTTTATAGGCACAGGATGGGGGCGTGGCAGGCCAGTGGAGGTCTTGGGAAATGCAACATTTGGTCAGAAAAACAAAAATGCCTGTCCTCACTTAAGTCCCTGGGCACAGGCCCAGAAGTAGAGCCGTAGCCAGGGACCACGCCCTTCCCTTCCCCCTTCCGTATCATTTAAAGGGACCATGTCCTTTCCAGTACTTCCCTCTGTATCAATAAGACCCTATAAACTTCTGAAAGTAGGTCACCTCTAAAGGATCAGGAATCAGAATAGCTTTGGTCTTCTGACCAACAGTACTTGGATGAGCAGTCCAACAATTGGTTTACCAATTCACAAGGGAGGTGATGAGTATCTCCTAGATATGGGGCAGATAAGTCCCAGGATCATAGCTTGGCACCAGGCCTAGAGAGCAACCAGTCCAAACAAGAGCAGCCTCAAGGGAGATGTTTTTGAGAAGGTAAAATAGCTAGAATACATGATATGTTTGAACTATCGAGAGGGATTTTAAACAATTGGGATAGTGTTTTGGTATGAGTCTGTTATAAGTACAAAGCAAACTAAGGAAATGAAAAAAAACCAATAAGAATATCAACTCCAGGGAAACAAAAAGTTGTGCAAGGAAAGAAAAGTAATCCTAATATTAGGATGGCTCAGCTGCTAATATTTTTGATACCAAACCAGGTTCATCCTTCCTACGCACAGTAAGTCAATCACTGTGATGACAGGTTTGCAAAAGAGAGAAGATTTTAATCACAAGGCTGCCAAGTGAGGAGATGGAAGAACAAATTTCAAATCTGCCTCCCTGACAATAGGGCTTGGGGGGCTTATGGCATAAAGGAGTGGTCTAAAGCATTGGGAAAGGTGGTTAGTGGGTAGGAAAGGTGAGGTAGTCGGGGTTCTGCCAAGTGTAATCTACATGGCTCTTCATGTCTAAAACACCAAAAGCAATGGCAACAAAAGCCAAAATTGACAAATGGGATCTAATTAAACTAAAGAGCTTCTGCACAGCAAAAGAAACTACCATCAGAGTGAACAGGCAACCTACAGAATGAGAGAAAATTTTTGCAATCTACTTATCTGACAAAGGGCTAATATCCAGAATCTACAATGAACTCAAACAAATTTACAAGAAAAAACAACCCCATCAAAAAGTGGGCGAAGGATATGAACAGACACTTCTCAAAAGAAGACATTCATGCAGCCAAAAGACACATGAAAAAATGCTCATCGTCACTGGCCATCAGAGAAACGCAAATCAAAACCACAATGAGATACCATCTCACACCAGTTAGAATGGTGATCATTAAAAAGTCAGGAAACAACAGGTGCTGGAGAAGATGTGGAGAAATAGGAACACTTTTACACTGTTGGTGGGACTGTAAACTAGTTCAACCATTGTGGAAGTCAGTGTGGCGATTCCTCAGGGATCTAGAACTAGAAATACCATTTGACCCAGCCATCCCATTACTGGGTATATACCCAAAGGATTATAAAACATGCTGCTATAAAGACACATGCACACGTATGTTTATTGTGGCACTATTCACAATAGCAAAGACTTGGAACCAACCCAAATGTCCAACAATGATAGACTGGATTGAGAAAATGTGGCACATATACACCATGGGATAATATGCAGCCATAAAAAATGAAGAGTTTGTGTCCTTTATAGGCACATGGATGAAGCTGGAAACCATCATTCTCAGCAAACTATCGCAAGGACAAAAAACCAAACACCGCATGTTCTCACTCATAGGTGGGAATTGAACAATGAGAACACATGGACACATGAAGGGGAACATCACACACCGAGGCCTGTTGTGGGGTGGGGGGAGGGGGGAGGGATAGCATTAGGAGGTATACCTAATGTAAATGACCAGTTAATGGGTGCAGCACACCAACGTGGCACATGTATACATATGTAACAAACCTGCACATTATGCACATATACCCTAGAACTTAAAGTATAATAATAAAAAAAAGAAACAAATGATGGCATGAGTAAGTCATCTTACTCATTATAAACTTGTAGAAGATTATAAAACTGTTCAAAAAATGACTGGGATACTACAGATGTCGGTTTCTTATTGACTCACATAATTAAGAGTTGCTGATACTATAAATTTTTAAATAATAAAACATTTTAAGCAAAAAGAAAAAAAAGAAATAGTAATTAATGATACTTGTTAAAGATGGTAAGGCAGACTTTATTCATGGACTATCATGGCCATAGGTATAGGGACCACTGCAACAAGGTCTTGTACTTAGGGAGATACTAGAATCAACTTTTACTCCAACAAGGACAGGTGGAGATTTATAATGAGGAAGGAGAGTGTGTGTGAGTGGTGGTGGTGAACGGGGGGAGTCAGTCGATGGAAAATTACTGAAAGGAACCATCAGTGACAGGGGTTTCTGGCTGAACAGACTTGATAGGATTATTACTGAAGACCGGCCAGGGGGCTCAAAGATTGAGGGTGGTCAGATGTCAAAGAGTGGAGATTTTCGCTAATTTAATTTAGCAGCATTTTTCTCAGACTGGATTCATCAAGGACAGAGAGGGGAGCCCAAGGATAGGCTTAGTCAGAAAGGGCTCAGGACCCTGACTAAAGTCTTAGTCAAAGCAGAGAGTCTTTATCACTCTTTTCTGTACCCTGCCCCACAAATTCCAGCTGCTTCAGCTGCCTGAAATGTGGGTTTCTGCCTTCTCTGCTTGGGAAGCACACCTGTCTCACCTATGGCAGCCTGGGTCTCACTGCTCTGTGCAATGGGAAGAAAACTGACCTAGAATCACCCCACATGGCTTCTGTGTCTTAAGGATCACAGTCCTGCACTTCCTGCCCTCAGTGCTTGAAAACAGTTGCCTCACACGTGTCCATTTCCTTGTCATTTTCAATGTGAGAGGAAGTCCAGTGCCAATTACTCTGTCGTGACAGGAAGAATGAATTGTAGAATAATGTAGGATGATTTGACTCTTTAACCTGTAACTTGACCTTAAGCACAGCTGGATCCAAACAAACGCATCAGACCGGTCTCTCTCTCCACTCCTAGGCTGGTTTTTCTGGCTTAACCTCCAGGCGCACTCTGCCCACATAGTGGCAAAGATGGCTACTGGCAGCTGCAGCTTTTCTTGTGTCAGTTTAACCATCCCCCAGGGAAAGAGAGCACCTTTCTTCAATAGTTCTAGCAAATATCTGAACTAGCTTTCATTGGCCTGCCTTGGACTAGGTGCCTATGCCTGAACGATCTCTGGGATTCTGATTGGCCAGGCCAGGCTCAGGGGGAGGGGGCAAGGAATGAGACCAGCTTAATGCAAACCTGGTGCACTAAGGGGAGGCATATTTTTCCAAAAGAAAATGGGAGTGCTATTACCACAAGAAGGAAGAAGGAATGTTGGGCATTTCCAGCAAAAGTACTTACCGTATTCCAAGCACTCTCAAGGTTTAGTTCAAAGGTCATCTTCTCTATAAAGCCTTTTTGTGTCCTACTCGACTATAGACATCATTAGTCAATCTTTTAATTCAGTTTTAACTTTTACATATATCTATCTTAAAACAAATCACTCGTCTTTTATTATAATCAGTATTTCACCTTTTTGCTTCCTTCAGGCTCCTTGAGGACAAAGAGTATTTTATTTACATTTGAATTCATTTATTCATTCATTTAGTTAACAAATACCGTCTTGGTTCACTTAATGACAGGGATACATTCTGAGAAACTCACCATTAGGTAATTTCGTTTTTGTGCAAACATTATAGAGTGTATTTATGCAAACCTTGATGGTATAGCATCCTACATACCTAGGTTATGTGGTATAGCCTATTGCTTCTAGGCTACAAACCTAGGAGCAATGTGTTTGTTACTGTACTGAAACTATAGGCAACGGTAACACAATGATAAGTATTTGTCTAAACATAGAAAAAGTACATAATGTGTGGAATAAAATATATATATTTTTTGAGATGGAGTCTCGCTCTGTCCCCCAGGCTGGAGTGCAGTGGTGCAATCTCAGCTTGCTGCAACCTCTGCCTCCCGGGTTCAAGCAATTCTCTGTCCCAGCCTCCCAAGTAGCTGGGATTACAGGCGCTCGCCACCATGCCGGGCTAATTTTTTTGTATTTTTAGTAGAGCCGGAGTTTCACCATCTTGGCCAGGCTGATGTTGAACTCCTGATCTCATGATCCACCCACCTCAGCCTCCCAAAGTGCTGGGATTACAGGCATGAGCCACCGCGTCTGGCCTGGTAGAAAAGATTTTAAAAAGTATATCTGTATAGGGCACTTACCAGGAATGAAGCTTGCAGGACTGGAAGTTGCTCTGGGTGAGTCGGTGAGTGAGTGTGAGTGAATGTGAAGGCCTAGGATATGACTGAACACTGCTATAGACTTTAGAAACACTGTACACTTAGACTACACTCAATTCATTTAAAAATATTTTTCTTTCTTCACATAATAAATTAATCTTAGCATACTGTAACATTTTTACTTTATAAACTTTTTAAATTTTTTAAAACTTCTTGACTCTTTTAAATAACACTTAGCTTAACTTACAAATACATTGTACAGCTGTATAAAAATATTTCTTTATATCCTTATTCTGTAAGCTTTTTCCTATTAAATTTTTTTTAACTTTTTCTGTTAAAAACTAAGACACAAACACACACATTAGACTAGGCTTACATAGGGTCAGAATCACCAATATCACTTACTTCCACCTCTACGTCTTGTTCCATTGTAAGGTCTTCAGGGGCAATAACATTCACGGAGTTGTCATCAGCTATGATAACAATGACATCTTCTGAAATGTCCTCTGAAGGACCTGGCTGGGGCTGTTTTACAGTTAACTTTCATATAAGTATAAGTAGAAGGAGTATACTCTAAAATAAAAATAAAAGTATAGTATAGTAAATATATAAACCAGTAACAGAGATGTTTGTTATCAGTATCAAGTACTATGTACTGTACCTAATTGTATGTGCTATACTTTTTTAGGACTGGCAGAGCAGTAGGTTTGTTTACACTAGCATCATCACAAACATGTGAATAACGCTTTGCGCCAAAATGTTATCATGGCCAGGACCTCACTAGGCAATAGAAATTTTTCAGCTCCATTATGATTATATGAGACCACCATTGTCTATGTGGTTCATCATTGACCAAAATGTCTTTATGTAGTGGATGACTGTGTTTATTGAGTGCTTATTATGTACCAGTCATTGTGCTAAGGCTAGAAAGAAGGTAGAGTCCAATATACATACACATTGTCCCTGTACTAACAAGGTTTATTTTTAGTGGGGAAGATAAATTAATAAAGAAGGAATTAGAAAGTGTGTGTTGAATGTTATAATACATGTTTTAAAAGGGTACTGTGTGATGGAATGATTCCTGAAAGGAGTGGTGTTTAAGCTGACACCTGAGGAATCACCTGAGGAATCATGAGTTAGCATGATGAAGGAGGACTGGAGGTAGGTGGTGGCTGCTTCAGGAAGAACAAAGGGCCTTTGTGAAACCCTTGAGGCAAGAGATGATACCAAGAGTTTTCAAGGAACTGAATCTTATATAGTGCGGAAACAGTACATATAGGCCAGACCTTGGAATGCATTATAAAGTGTGTAGGCTGTTTGGATTTTACCTTAAGGACAATGAACAAAGGGTTTTGAATAAGGGAATAACATGATCATATTTATATTTGGATTATCCTGGGTACAGTATGGGAAGGAAATGGAAGAGGAGCAAGACTAAAGGCAGGGACACCAGAGGATACTGTAGTAGTAACAAGTGAAAATCGATAGTGGCTTGGACCAAGGTTATGTGGAGAGGATAGGGAGAAAAAGACAGATTTGGGAAAATGTAAGCCCTACAATTAAGAGAAATTCATGATGGATTGCAAGGAAGAAAGTGGAAGGGAGAAATGAAAGAGACAGAGGAATAAAACATGACTCCTGGATTTCTAGCTTGAACACTAGATTGCATAGCACTGGATTGCACAGCAGAACCATTTCTTGAGATTGGGTACTGTTAAGCAATGGCAGGTCAAAGGAAAGTGAGGGTGGAGAAGCAATGAGCTCTAATTTCATTATGATGAATATGAGGTATCTGCAAGATAGACAAATGGAGAAACCTAGAGGTAATTGAATATATGATCTGTCATTCAACAGGAAGCCCTGAGTTGGAAATAAGGATTTTTTTATCCACTTGTAGACATTAATTAAAGACTTGGATATGAAATGGTCTGGAGAGAATGAAGAAGGGCTATAATGGGCTCCAGAGGAACAACCAAAAACGAAGGGTCAAGTAGAGGAGAAACAGCCAGCAAAGAACTGTGAAGACTGCCCAGAGAGATAAGAAAATACAGGTGAGCGTGACACTGAGGAGTTCTGGGAATACAGCTTTTAAGAAGGAAGGACTGGACAAACTCTTTAAAATGCCATCAAGAAACGTGAGGACTAACACATGTCCATACTCCCCAGCACAGAACCTGACTGCATTCACATATTCATTTGTCAAATGAATCCTTATTAAACATCTTTATTTCTTGTCCACGGTACATTATTTCTCATCCCGGGAGCATGAGACAATGACTACAAGGCTGACTAGCACCTGTTATACCTGAGTTCCATTGGCTGAGGAGGTTTTGTTCTCAAGGATGGGTCATTATATTGTTTTCTGCTGCTTGTCATGAAAAAAGGTATAATGTTTTATTGTGAATTACTTTAATTAAAACAACTTCATTTAGAAGGCTTAAATTTAACTGTTTTGTTCACAGAATATAGGACTAAGAAAGAAATAGCTCTCCAGGACTAGGGGGAGTGGGAGTGAGGGTCTCATATAAATCAGAAATCTATCAAAAAATGAAGTTGGGCACCATGGCTCAGGCCTGTAATCTCAGTACATTGGGATGTCAAGGTGGGAGGATTGCTTGAGCGCAGGAGTTCAAGACCAGCCTAGGCAATATGGCAAACCCCATCTGTACAAAGCAATTTAAAAATTAGCTGAGTGTGGTGGCATGCACCTGTAGTCCCAGCTACTGAGGAGACTGAGGTGGGAGGATGGCTTGAACCTAGGAGGTTGAGGATTCAGTGAGCCATGATTGCACCACTGCACTCCAGCCTGGGTGATGGAACAAGACCCTGTCTCAAAAAAAAAAAAAAAAAAGCATTTTCTTTTCTTTTCCCTAAACAACCTCATAGGTACAGGCAGATGAGCATGCCCAGAGTATCAACCATCTCCTTCATCCACAGGACAGGATTAATAACAATGACTGAAGGCATTGGATGCCTACTAGGGGCTGTACACTGTCAGATATTTTACAAACATTCATCTAATTCTAATACAACAAAAGACATCCAACACCACACAAGGAAAACTGAGAAAATGTACTTGCGACAAGTGATAAATGAAAGGTTAACACTAATAATATAAACAGAACTTTAAAAACTTAATAAAAACGGGAAATAATAGAAAAAAATGGACAAGGGATATCAATAATTAATAGAAAAAGGTAAAAAGGCTAATATTCATATGAAGAGATGTTCAAACTCATTTATAATTTAAAAATGCAAATAAAAACAAGATAAAATCTTTTCTATAAATTGGCAAAAATTAAACAGAAGGATTATGCCAGCATTGGTGACATTAGGGCAAGAGGGCACACTCTTATGTTGCAATATTTTGAGAGTCTCTTTCAACATTTTAAATCCTTAACTTATAACCTAATAGGTACTACTACGTGCCAGCATAGGTTGTATGAATGTTTGTGAACAAGAATGTACTATTATTTGTAGTTTTTTAAAAATTGGAAATGGCCTAAATATGGAACCAGGAGCATATAATGCAACTATTAAAAATTAAGGGCGGGCGCAGTGGCTCATGCCTATAGTCCCACTTACTTGAGAGACTGAAGTGGAAGAATTGTTTGAGCCCAGGAGTTCAAGACTTCAGTGAGCTATGATCACACCACTGCACTCCATTGTGGGTGACAGAGTGAGATCCTGTCTTAAAAACAAAACAAAACATTGAGAAGTATCTATTACCAATTTTGGGAGATGTCTGTGATATATTGTTATGTGAAAAAGCAATTTAGAAAATATATTAACATTTTAAATAACATTTTTAAAAACCTCTAATTTGATACAGAAAATTAGCATGGCGTGGTGGTGGGTGCCTGGAGTCCCAGCTGCTTGGGAGGCTGAGGCAGAAGAATGGCGTGAATACGGGAGGCGGAGCTTGCAGTGAGCCGAGATCGCGCCACTGCACTCTAGCCTGGGCAACAGAGCGAGACTCCCTCTCAAAAAAAAAAAAAAAAAAAAAAAAAAAACCTGTAATTTGAAAGCTGTATATGTGTGTATATATATATTATATATAGACGGCCAGATAATGATATATCATATTAGTTTTCTATTGCTATTACAACAAATTACCACAAACTTAATAGCTTAGAGCAACACACATATATTATCTTACAGTTCTACAGGCGGAAGTAAGAAATACTCTTCACTGGTTTAAAATCCATGTGCCGGCAAGTCTGTGCTCCTCCTGGAGGCTCCAAGGGAGAATCCATTTCCTGGCCTTTCCCAGCTTCTAGAGGCTGCGTGCATGTCTTGGCTAGTGTCCCATTTCTCCATGTGCAAAGCCTGCAATGTTAGGCTGAGTCCTCATGCTCCATCTTTTTGGTTCTGCCTCTTTTGCCTCCCTCTTCTATTTTCAAGGACCCTTGCGATTACACTGAGCCTACATGGAAACCCAGGATAATCTTGTTATCTCAAGATTAACTGATTAGCAAATTGAATTCCATCTGCAACCTGAGTTCCCCTTGGCCATGTAACAACATATTGACTCGTTCTGGGGATTAGGATGTAGATACCTTTTGGTGGGGAGAGCATTGCTCTTCCTATCGCACATATGCACATATCTATATTCGTATAAGTATCCAAAAAAGTCTGGATGTATATATATTGAACAGTGATTTCCTCTGAGAGGCTGTATTTGAATGTACCTTGAAAAATTAAATACCATATATGTGTTAAGTATTAATAATTATTCAATATGGATGTAATGTAATATTGTAAATTAAACTTGTCACTTAGTGGCAGTATATCCACCAAAGAATAATATCAGAGGAATTAAAAACAAATGTGTCTGTTCTGATTTATGACACTAAAGAAAGAAAGAGATAAATCTACAATCATAGTTGAAGGTTTTAACATCTTCTCTCAGTGATTGACAGAACAAGGAGACAGAAATCAGTGAGGAAATAGATTATTTGATCAACAATTTTAACTAAATTCATCTGGTTAAAAATGTGTAGAACTATGCACCCGACTACATCAGAGCACACATTAACTTCAAACGCAGAGAGATTATTCACCAGTATAGAACATTTGATGGGACATAAAGCAAATTGCAATAAGTATCAAAGAATTGTAATCATACAGAGTGTGTTCTCTAACCACAGTGGTATTGACTTAGAATCAAGTAACAACAAAATATCGAGAGAATCCCCCAAATACTTAAACAATACACTTTTAAATAACCCGTGGGTCAAAGAGGAGATCACAAGGGAAATTAGAAAATAATTTTAACTTACTGGCAATGAAAGCACAGCATGTTAAAATTTGTGGGCTTCAGTAAGAGCAGTGCTTAAAGGAAAACTTAGAGCTTTAAGTGCTTATATTAGGAAAGAAGAAGGGTACACCTATTATGTACCTACAAATTGTTTTTTAATTTTAAAAATTAAAATAATTATATGATAAAAATGATCATATATGCAAAGCACCCTATGTAGTTCTTGACATATATTTATTATTTAAAGAAAACTTCCCTGTTTTGGAAAAAAAGGAAAGAAGAAAGGAATAAAATCAATTTTAATTACCAATTTAAGAAGCTCAAGAAAGGAGCAAATTAATCTCAAAAGCAGAAGAAAGGAAATAATAAAAATAGTGGAAATCAATGAAATAAAAAATAGACTAATAGAAAAAAATCAACAAAATCAAAAGTTTATTTTTGAAAAGATTAACTGCATTGATACATCCCCAGCAAGTTTGATTTTAAAAAGAGAAAGGAAACACAATTCACCAATATCTGGAATGAAAAAAATGGACACCGCTATAAATTCTACAGGTATTCAAAGGATAGTAAGTTAATATTATGAACATTTTTATGCCCATCAATTTGGCAACATAAAATGAACAAATTTCTTGAAGAACATAAATGACCAAAACTGATATAATAAGTAATAGAACATCTAAATAACCACATATCTATTAAGGAAATTGAATTTTTAATCAGGAACTTACCTACAAAGCAAACTACAGTTCCAGATAGCTTCATTACTGAATTCTACCAAATATTAAAGGAAGAAATAAAACCAATGCTACACAAACTCCTTCATAAAATAGAATAGGAGGGAGCAGAGCTCAGCTTATTTTATGAGGCTAGAATAGCCTTGATACCTAATGAAGATATCACAAGAAAAGCTGATCATAGACCAATATCCTTTATAAATGTAACAGAAATTGTCACAACCCCGCAATATACACAAAGGATAATACATCATGACAAAGTGGGGTTTATCCCACAAATGCAAGGTTGATTTAACACTTAAAATCAAACCAAATTCACCACTTAGTAGAATAAAGCAGAAAACTCATATTAGATGCAGAAGAATCACTTGACAATGTTCAATACTCCATCTCGCTAAAAACCTCTCAAAACCTCTCCAAACAAACTTAGAGAATTCACGAGACAATTCTGAAGGCTGCTCTGCCTGTACCTACACTTCACCCATTTTTAACAAGTTGGTCTTTGAAAAGAACCCTGGAGTTGAACCAGGATTGTTTTCTGCCACAAATATGGAGGAATTCCACTTTGAAATACACAGTGCAGTCAGTGTGCAGATGGGCAACAGAAAAATGTTGTGGCCAACTGAAAAATGTTCTCCCCAAGGAACTCAATACCAGAACCATTAAGAGTACTTTTCAGCCTTTGCTTTCTACTGGAATTACTTGGGGAGCTTCAATGCTTTGGCAGCAGTTTTTGTTTTTGTTTTTTGTTTGTTTTGTTTTGTTTTCCAGCATTATTTCTCTTTCTCTTTTAAAAAATACTTTAAATTGAGGTATATATAACATCCAGTACAATGTACAAATCTTAAGTGTCCATTTCAATGAATTTATTATTGTTATGAACTGTAGACAACATGAAATTTAGCATTTTAAACCATTTTAACTATATTATTCAGTGACATTAAATACTTTCACATTGTTGTACAACCATCACCACTACATCTCCAGAACTTCATTTTATCAAACTGAAACTGTATACCCATTAAACAGTAACTCCTCATTCTCCACTGCCAGCCCATATCAGACACAATTCTACTGCGTCTCTATAAATTTGACTATTCTAGGTACATCTAAGTGGAATTATACAATATTTGATCTTTTGTGTCTGGCTTATTTAACTTAGCAAAATGTCTCAAGGTTCATCCATGTTGTTTCATGTGTCAGATTTTTCTTTCTTTTTAAGGCTGAATAATATTCCACGGAATGTATATACCACATTTTTTAATCCATTCATCTGTCAATGGACACTTGAGTTGCCTCCCCCTTTTCACTACTGTGAATAACGCTACTCTAAACATGGGGTGTACAGTATTTGTTTGACTCCCTGCTTCCAATTATTTTGCGTATATACCCAGAAGTGAATTACTGGATCACATAGTAATTCTATGTTTAATTTTTTGAGGAACTACCATACTCTTTCCCACAGTATGGTAGTTCCTCAAAAGCAGCTGTATACCATTTTATATTCCCACCAACAATGCACAAAAGTTCCAATTTCTCCACATCCTTGCCAACATTTGTTATCTTCTGTTTTTTTTTGTTTTGTTTTGTTTTGGTTTTTTGTTTGTTTTTAAATAATGGCCATCCTAATGGGTGTGATCAATAGTTTTGGCAAATATCTATATTTGTGAAAGCTACCATCACCCAAAACAAAATATAGAGCATTCCATCACTGCAAAAAGCTTCCCCGGCTGGGCACGGTGGCTCACATCTGTAATCCCGGCACTTTGGGAGGCTGAGGCAGGTGGATCACCTGAAGTCAGGAGTTCAAGAGCAGCCTGACCAAAAAGGTGAAACCCCATCTCTACTAAAAATTCAAAAATTAGTTGGGCGTGGTGGTAGGTGCCTGTAGTCCCAGCTACTTGGGGGGGTGAGACAGGAGAATTGTTTGAACCCAGGAGGCAGAGGATGCAGTGAGCCGAGATCGCGCCACTGCACTCCAGCCTGGGAGATGGAGCAAGACTCCGTCTCAAAAAAAAAAAAAAAAAAAAAGCTTCCCCATGTTCTTTCCCAGTCAATTATTCACTCCCCTACCCTTGCTCAACAATTGCTCTCTGACTTCTATCACCAAAGATTATTTTCCTGTTCTCGAACTTCATATGAATGAAACCATACATACAAGTATGAACTGTTTGACTTCTTTCATTAAATGTAATAGTTTTGAAATTCATCCATGTTGTATGGATGTTACCACTCTTTTTTACTATTGAGTGGTAAGCTATTACAGAATATACTGTGATGGATTTATTCATTCTGCTGAGGTTAGACACGTGTTGTTTCAAGTTTGGGGCCACTATTCATAAGGCTGCTATGAACATTCTTATAAAAGCCTTTTTGTGACCATGTTTTCATTTACCTTGGGTAAATACCTAGGAATTGAATTGCTGAGTTATTGCTGATATGTGTATGCTTATTTTATAAGAAAGTGCCAAATAATTCTCCAAAGTAGTTGTACTATTTTATAATCCTACCAATAATGCATGAAAGTTCCAGTTACTCCACATTCTTATCAACATGGTCAATCTTTTAATTTTTTCCCCACCATTCTATCGAGTATGAAATAGTATCTTATTGTGTTTTTGATTTGCATTTTCTTGATGACTTTGTCATCTTGAGGCTTCGTCTACCTTTTCCTGTACTTACTGGCCAATGATATCACTTCCTTTACCAAGGGTTTGTTTAAGAATTTTGCCCATTTAAAAAACTCAGACTTATTTTTAAATTTATAGGACTTCTTTTTATACTCTGAATATACCTATGCCATTTATAGGAGCTACGAATATTTTCCCAGTCTGTAGCTTGTCTTTTCAGTTTCTAAATAACATCTTTTGATGAATAGAAATGTTTAATTTTGATGAAAGCCATTTTATCCATTTTTTTTAATGGTTAGTACCTTTTGTGCTCTGTTCAAAAACTCTGTCTACTCCAAAATTGTTAAGATGTTCTCTTATGTTTTCTTTCTAAAAGCTTTCGGGTTCTGGGCTTTACATTTAGGTCTCAGTTAGTCCATTTTTTTGTTGCTCTAAAGAAATACCTGAGGCTGGGTAATTTATCAAGAGAAGTGGTTTATTTTGGTTCATGTTTCTGCAGGCTGTACTGGAAGCTTACAATCACAGTGGACAGTGAAGGCAGAGCTGGTATGTCACACGGTGAAAGAAGAAGTGAGAGAGAGACGGGGGAAGTGCCAGGCTCTTTAAATGAACAGATCTCATGTGAACTCAGAGCGAGAGCTTACTCATTACCATGGAGATGGCACCAAGCCGTTCATGAGGGATCTGTCTCCGTGACCCCAACACCTCCCACCAGGCCCCACCTCCAACATTGGAAATCACATTTCAACACGAGATTTGGAAGGACGAACATCCAAACTATATCAAGGTCTATAATCTATCTCAAGTTAATTCTTGTGTATGTAGTGAGAAAGGGGTTTATTATTTTTTTCATGTGAATATTCAATTTTTTTGAGCAATTTTTTTTTTAGAAAGACTTCCCTGTTCTCCGTTAGATTGCTTTGGTCAAAAATCAGTCAGCAAAGCTCACTCTCCCAAGTTGAAACAACTTATGGACAAGAAGTTATTGAAATTAAATGGTGGCAGACATGTCAAAGGGATATTGCAGGGATTTGATCACTTTACGAATCTTGTGATAGATGAATGTGTGGAGATGGCAACTAGTGATCAACAGAACAAAATTGGAAAGGTAGTAATATGGAAATAGTATCATCATGTTAGAAGCCTTGTGACGAGTATAAACAATGGCTGTTCAGCAGGGAAATCCATGCCCCCTCTCCAAGGGGCCTGTTTTATTTTTATGTAAAAATTGGGTCATTTATGTTTTCATATTAAACTTTTGGTTAAATATACTTTTATGATAGTAAAACAAATCAATTAGTCATATATATTTCCTGCCTCTTTCTTCTGTTCCAGTGATTTATATGTCTGTCTTTTTTTTTTTTTAGACGGAGTCTCACTCTTGTCGCCCAGGCTGGAGTGCAGTGGCACGATCTTGGCTCACTGCAACCTCCGTCTCCCGGGTTCAAGCAATTCTCCTGCCTCAGCCTCCTGAGCAGCTGGGATTACAGGCGCCCACCATCACTCCCGGCTAATTTTTGTACTTTTAGTAGAGACAGGGTTTCGTCGTGGCTGGTCTCAAACTTCTGACCTCAGGTGATCTGCCCACCTCGGCCTCCCAAAGTGCTGGGATTACAGGCTTGAGCCACCGCGCCCGGCCTCTATATGTCTGTGTTTGTGTCAATACCTTGGTGTTTTGATTACTGTAGCTTTAAGTAGTAAGCCTTGAAATCAGGCAGTGCAATGCTACCAACTCCGCTTATCTTTCAAAACCGTTTTGGCTATTTTGAATCCTTTGCATTTTCATATAAATTTTAGAATCTGCATGTGTATTTCCTCACAAAAAGCCCTGATAGTATTTTACTAGGAGTTTCATTGAGTATATAGATTAAGCTAGAGAAAAATCAACATTCAATACTGGACATTCCAATCTATGAACATAATACGTATCTGCATTTATTTAGGTGTTTTATAATTTTAGTAACATTTTGTACTTTTCATTGTAGAAGTCTTATACATCTTTTTTGTAAGATATTTTCTAAAATATTTTGTGATTTTGGTGACTTTATACTTAGTATCACTTTAAATTTAATTTTATAATTGTTCATTGCCAGTGTATACAAATACATTTAATTTTTAATATTGCTTGTGTACCTTGTGATCTCGCTAAATTCTAGTAGAAATCTAATTCTACTAGATTTTTATGAAGATTCCATAGGATTTTGTTTTTACATACTCACTGACGTCATCTGTAAATAGTGACAAATTTGAAACTTCTTTTCCAATTTAGATGCCATTTGTTTCGTCTTCTTGCCTAAATGGGCTGGCAAGAACTTCTAGTTCACTGTTGAACACAAGCGGTGAGAGCAAACAGCCTTCCCCTGTTCCCGGGGAAAGGATTTATTGTTTCACCATTAAGTATGATGCTAACTGTGGCTTGTTTTTTAATGCCTTTTACCAAATTGAGGAAGCTCCCGTCTATTTCTAGTTAGGTGAATGTTAGCATTCTAATGATCTGTATCCTTATATATTTTATTCCATCTTCAAACATCTTCATGTACATTTTTAACAAAAGCTAAAAAGAAACAAACAAGTAAACAAAAACTGCTGCCAAAGCACTGAAGCTCCCCAAGTGATTCCAGAAGTCAGCTAAAGCTGAGGAATACTCTTAATGGTTCTGGTATTATTGAGTTCCTTGGGAAAGACATTTCTGAGTTGGCCTTTTCAGAGCTGTTGCCCACCTACACATGGTATTGTGTATTTCAGAGTGGAATTCCTCAATATTTGTTGCAGAAAACAAGCCCTGTCCCAATCCAGGCTTCTTTTCAAAGACCAACTTGTTAAAAATGAGTGAAGGGTAGGTACAGGCGGAGAGCAGCCTTCAGAATGTCTTGTGAATTCTCTAAGTTTGTTTGGAGCTGAAGTAGGAATGAGCCATCATCCCACTTGTCTTTACTGGACAGATCGTGATGCTTAATGTGGAATGCATGTGCCCGTGGATTGACGAGAAAGCTGGTGTCAATGCCAGTCTTCTTCCATGTGATAATCTTTGTTGTCTGCATCATCCTTTGAGCTTGACCATCTACTGGATGCAATTGCAAGGGCAATTCAGATAACCCGTTAGTTCACTGACTTGCCGAATATCAACTGAAAAAACCTGATTCTTTCACTAGGACACAGCATCAGAAACTCTTTTATCTAGTGATCTGTCAATTGCAAGCAAGTATGATTGTGCCATAAAGATCTATTTTGTTGCTGATTGCTCAGAGCCAAAGATAATTATTTTATTTTTCACACTTTTGGATTGCACTCTTGTAGGAAGGTGTGGATTACACTGCTGTATCTCTGTTTGCTGTTTTGTAATGTTTTCCCCCGTAAATCTCTAGAGTTTGGTTCTCTTGCCTCTCCCTTGTCTCCTCTCTTGTTAAGGGGAGGGAGGACACTGGGTTCTGTCCTGAAATCCAGGCCACTAAGGGATATATCCCTGAACTTGGACGTTCTCTTCTGGATCCCTCATCTCCGGTAAGGCACTGGCATCTGATTCCATGTGAATAAGGCTGAGGTTCTCCTTGCCATTCCTGTCAGAAAGATCAAGTCCTATCTATCCAGTCACCCTTTTCTTACCTTCCACCAGGCTCAACCATTCACACTAAACCTCTCACATAGCTTCACTCTGTCCATAAGTCCAAAACATGTATATCTCTCTTATAGTCCAGAAAGGAGCTTGTAATCGATATAAATTATATAGACATAATTACAGACACAAATCTACAATTTCTTGACGCTGAGACAGACTCAAGGGCTTCCTTTGGGGGTCGCATTTTTTGTAGATGACATTGTCCTTTAAGGATAAGTGTTTGCTTTCTCAGCACTGATTTCTTAATGTAAAGCAGAAGAAAGTGTGGTTTGTGTTTTTAATGTTCTGGCACGAATTCAGAACTCAGTACCTGCTTGATATTCTGGAAGGCATCTCTGTGATGGTGAATTTAAAATCATGGAACAAATTTTTTCTAGTGAGCTATAAAGTACTTCTGCAGTAGTTCATATTTATTGAACAAAAATGTGGTAAAAACTGAGTAGCTTGTAAGCAGTAAATATGGGTGCTTAGGTTCTTATTTGATGGGTCACTGGTGGCCTCTCAACATGTTCCTGCAGTTTTAGGTTTGGAACCTTTTTGAAGGGAGTTGGTGTAGCCCACTGGGGTTGCCCCACTAGTGTGAGGCTTCATTTGTTTATTACTTTGGTTGGTTTTCAGTTTTTTTCTCCTTATAATTAGACATACACTTTTTAGCTTTCAAGT
Organism: Homo sapiens; assembly: GCF_000001405.40. NCBI lineage: Eukaryota > Metazoa > Chordata > Mammalia > Primates > Hominidae > Homo > Homo sapiens. The sequence continues at coordinate 116,412,602 of NC_000010.11, forward strand.
AAACTGTGTAACGTCTGAATCCAGATAAAATTAGACTGGCTTCTATGTATAAACTCCTAGTGTCTCAGATTATATTTTAGAAAATTTATTGACAACTTGTTTATTGAACTTGCATTATTACCAGTTTATTGGATCCGGATTCTTAATAGTATGAGTCACTTCTTTCCCAAGACACTTTTCTAAGCTGTCCCCCTGCCTAGGTTGCTGTTGTTCTCTACAGCATTTCTAACAATATCAGCTATGGTGTTGATCATTGCAATGGACCACGTGAGGAAGTGTTCACTGTTGACTAACTCTCAAGAACCGTAGTATTCCTAGCTCAGGCATGACCATTTCTGAGGACTACTGCAATGTCCTCCTACCCTGAAGCTATTCTTTGTCTAGACCCCTTGAGTAAGATAATTTTATAGTCAAGATCACATGAATATTCACATCCAGTCAGGAACATTATAATATTGCTGAGTCTTCACCCTAATGGCAGGTTCATTTAAAGTAGCAGTTCCTGAGAAAATGTACACATTGTACACTTATTTATAGATAAAACTTTAGATACCACACAGCCAGAGCCAGATTTGGCTCATCTCCTTGTATTCTCATGCATACATTTTCTGCATTCTGCTGACTGTGGGCAACAGCTTTCTGCCAGTGTAACATGGACAAAATTAGTATGAGAATTCTCTTTGTTATTGTGATGTGTTAGTTATTGTGTGGTTTCGCTGGCTGGGGATATTAGTTGGGATGAGTTCAGTCAGATTTTATTGGTAATTTCATATCAGACTTTGCCCTGAGTCATCTAAGAAATGGAAAAAAATGAAATGCTGAAGGAGATACACAGGTCTTTAACATAGGCAACACAGCTCTTGGTTCCATTTTTGAAGGAACATGCTCTCAGCAATGTCTGATATTATGGCTGTGATAATCAGTGGTGCTACTCTCAGTGAAATAATGATGATGGAAGGTCTTACTTATTAAAATACATGAGTGGGTTCCATAAACTGCTCAGGGACCACCATTTCTTTTGCACAAAGGAAAGTCATCAAGGAAATCCTGGGGCATATACTGATCAACATCAAACTCATCAGTGTGTCCCAAAGTGCTCATTTTAAACCAAAGGATCTATGTGAGTACCAGGATGAAGGTCAGGAGTACTGAAAATGAGTTTATCTGCCCTTTCTGGCCCAGTTTTCTTCTCAATACAATCCCACTCTCGGCTCTGGAAAACAGATGGAAGATAAGCCTATACTTCCATGTAGCCCTTCACTGGAGAGAAAACAATTCTAACCCTAACTTGTTCCAAAATATTGAATATCCATATATACAACACAGGAATTCAAAAGGAACAAAATTTCCCAACATTAATCAAAATGGTCCTTGGCATGCAAAATTTTTTTTAGTTTCTAATCTCATGGTATTTCTTTCATCCTATCCTGTAGTCAGTCATACATACCCAACATTTGAGATCTCAGTAGACGGATGAAAATTTTAGGGTGATTTTTACTATGTATTTAAAATAATTAGTAACAATGCTTCCTCTTATTTTTTCCTTAGGGGTTACACTGCAGTCATAGCTGATGAGATGGTGTCTTTATTTCCCTTCTTAGGGTATTTCTGGCCATTTCTACAAATAGAATCCTAACCATTGGCCTTTCATCATTCATCAATTCCTTCGACACTCTTACTGAGCTCCGCCTCCTCATTCTCATGCACTGTGCTAGGTGCTGGAGGTAACAGGATGAGCAAAACAAGGCCCTGCCCTTGAAGAACTCACAGTGTAATAGGGGAGTTAGCCTTGTGCACAACCTTGTTTTCTACTACTTAGGAGCCAACAACTGAGAGGTGACCAGAACACATTATTATTTTTTTAAATAAGTGGAGGAAAATCATTTTCTTTTACAGTAATAGAGTTGAGGAAAGACTGTTCCATTTTAGGTCCACACTTGATTTTGAAGAGTCAGAAGAAGACAATTGGGGAAAGTTATTACAGTTCTGTATTTTTAAAATAATGGAATATATTTTCATCATGTATTTCTTAAATGATGGAATCACTTTTGCTTAGCCTTTGGTATTTCATGTTTTATTTATACATTTTATAAATGGCCATAAATGCAAAAGCGGAGAGAACAACTGAATAGTATGGGCTATAAACCCAAACTTTTCATTTTTGAGGATTTGAAACATAATGTAAACATTTGAATCAATTTAAATTCTAACCACGTTCATATATAATTCTTTTTTTAAAATAAAAACATATATGTGTAGATTCTTAGATTTGTATAGACAGAACAGAAGTTAAGGTAGGGCAAGAGAAGCCCAAAGATTATATGATACAATATTCCTTTTCAAGAAAAATAAAACAGAAAAATACTTGGCAACAGTAGCTAAGCAACATATTACAGAGCACATTGATTTTGAGAAAAAAAGACCTGTTCATTGTTGTATGAAAGACTAAAACATTTTAGAATACTATTATTTAAGATTAGTGTGTTATATATTGATGATACATCACTGTTTTATTCATTCGGTACTTATTTTACCTAAAAGTCTAAGTTTATCTTCGAAGTTAATGAAAGGGGAAAAGATCCTATTAGAATAAAAGATCATTTTAAAAGATGTTCAGAAATCAGAAATACCACTGTTTCTCTAGAGCAGAACATACTAAAAGTGTAAATTTTCATATTTTCTAGCTTAGATTGACTAAGTCCCTTTGTCTTTACACAATGAACATTTAGATGTCATCACTTTTCATTTTCACACATTAATTGTTTAAAATTAGTTCACTATAAGGCTATCAATTAAGACAATATATAGTATAAACATCATCCTGGTTTTAGTTGCTTTTTTTTCCCTAGAAATCCTTTAAGCTAGTTTATTTTTAAGATGAGAAATTCCATTGCAGTGATTACTCTTCTAAAACACATTTGGTCTATTTTGTTAAGTAGACTAATGTCTTCCACACATTGATCATTCTACAAACTACTAAAAGCTTTATTAATCATGTGTTAAATTTGTTAAGGAATTTTAAAAGCTTATGTACCCTACATATTCACTATTCCATGTGATACTTCAAAAAATGTGAAATTGGTTTGATAGGTACTATTTTCTCCATTTTATGTGTGAAAAAAAAAATGAGCAGTTCAACGAGTTGCCTGAGACTACCCACTGGGGATGTCAATAATAGAACTGGGAGAGTTGGTCACCCAACCGGTAGAGTAGAACCCTCTGTGCTTCTGAATACAGTAGCCACCCCCTTATCTGCAAGGATATATTCTAAGACCCCCAGTGGATGCCCAAAACCTTGGATAGTACTGAACTTTATACATACTATGATTTTTCCTATACCAGTACACCTATGATAGTTTAATCCATAAATCAGGAATAGTACTCTTGTGATGTGGGATCATTATTAAGTACGCTAAAGGTTACTTAAACACAAGTGCTGTAATACCATGACAGTGGACCTGATCATCTAGATGGCTATTACACGACTAATGGGCAGGCAGCCTAAGCCAAAAAGAAAATATATTGGTTTATGTAATGAGGAAGATCAAGGAAAATTCTGGCTTTAGAAATGTCTGGATTGTGCAGTTTGAATGTTATTATGACCTTTTTCTCTGGTTTTTGGCTTTGCTCTCTTCCTCCATGTTGGCACCATTTTAAGGTAAATTTTTCCGTGTGTCGGCGAAAATGACTATAAACAATTCTAGACTTCATTGTACTTTCAGGTAGTGAGTCTTAAGAGAAGAGAGTATCCTTCAAGTGTTTAAACAAAAACCTGAGGAGGTTCTGACTGGCCTGACCTGGGTCATGTGCGCATCCAGAAGTCCCACATCTGTGGCAAGGCAGCATCCACAGAACATCATCTCTATGATAGTGGATGCAGGGTTATGCCAGCGACATGTCTACCAGTAGGGAGAGCCTGTTGGGATAATAAAAATAAGAAATTCATATTATGCCATCTATAAAAATTTTTGCAAATATTTGAAGTGTTGGACAATATATAGTATTCCATTCAAAGTGATTGGCATAATTTTAGAAAAGTAAAATTCTATGAAATTATGGAAAATTTTAATACAGAGAGTGCATACTGCCTGCCTAATAAGGCTAATCTAACTTGCTGACCTGTTCTATCTGTCCTATTGATCTGTAGTGTTTTCTGTTTGTTTTCTTTTGTTTTTGTTTTTTGACGAAGTTTTGCTCTTTCTGGAGCAAAACTTCCAGGCTGGAGTGCAATGGTGCCATCTTGGCTCACTGCAACCTCTGCCTCCCGGGTTGAAGTGATTCTCCTGCCTCAGCCTCCCAAGCAGCTGGGATTACAGGCACGCACCACCATGCCTGGCTAATTTTGTATTTTTAGTAGAGATGGGGTTTCACCATGTTGGCCAGGTTGGTCTCCAACTTCTGACCTCAGGTGATCTGCCTGCCTTGGCCTTTCAAAGTGTTGAAATTACAGGTGTGGGCCACTGTGCTCGGCCTGTTGCTTTTTTTAATTGAACTATATTTTAGCTTCTTTTAAAAACAAATCAATCTTGACAATACTGAAACTACATTCCTGCGTGGAAACTATCAGCCATCTCTTTTATGTGGAGCAGCAGCAGCTGTTCCCTTCGATGGTTCATTTGCTCTCTCGTTAGCCACAAGCACCGTCACTCCCTATTGTCTCTAATGCTGAGGCTGATTTCACTTGCCCCTTGCACTTGTTTCTCCTAGAATAGAGAATTGCTGCCGTATACTCATATCTCTACTGGATGCGGAAAAAAGAAGCTTAATTCAGGCACAGTGGAAAAGAGCATCTTTCTTTGACGAAATAAAGAATATTCCTCCATGTGTAATATGCAAATAAAAGATGACTATATTGAAAGAACCACAGTTTAAGAGGCCAGTATGAATTAAATCATAATAATATGTCTAGGATATGGAGAAAATGAGGGAATGAAGAACTTAGACTGCAAAAAGGACTGAAATTTCAGCAAGCAATTGTTTTTAACTATGAATGAAATATCTGATGCTAATATAAATTAGGTTCTATATTAACTGAAAAAAATCCCCAGATATCAAAAGCTTTTACACATAACAAGTTTATGAAAGAGCATCATAGAATACAGCAGAAATTGTGTGTCTTTCACTGAGATAAGCATTTGTAAACTTCAGTTTACTGGAAATACTGTTGACAAGTATATTGAAGTTACTTCTGAATACTTACAGACAAGTCATATGAAGACAATTAAATTGGTTGCAGCATTTCTATTGCAGATGATGAAAGCACATATATAAATAATATCACCTAGTTAGCAATATGTAATCGGTGACATTGATCAGAATTTTTGTGTCAGAAGGTGAGAGGCCCTAACTGGAACTCAGCAAATGACTTATCTTTGTTGCTAGAAACGTTTTGCAAAATGCATCATCAATTGGTCAAAACCAGTCACTGTGACTCACCTCCTGCAATGAATAGTGTTAATGTGAAAACCTAAATTCAAGAAGGCTACATTATCCAAGAGACATAGAATTTAGATCTCCTAATTATGTCATTTTGCAGGAAGTGCCTTGTGCCAAAGAATTTAAAAGGTAATATAGTATGAATGTGTGGTAATTGACAATGTGAACAGAATAAAATCCCATGGCTGAAATCCAGATACTCCAGGGCTTCTTTTTATGAATTACATATATGGTTGCCTGTGGTAGTACATGAACTTCTGTGGCTGAATGCTGTGAGATATTTCTGGACACTTTTATATCATTCAAGAGAAAATCCCTAAGCAATCCCTGACAATGAAAAGTGAATCAAAGTATTTAATTATTTTGGCTGATATTAGAACCTATAGACTTTCAATATTTCCCTGCAAAGGCATTCACAAACAGATGATGCCTTTTGATATGGTTTGGCTGTGTCCCCATCCAAATCTCATCTTGAATTTTAAGCCCCATAATCCCCATGTGTCATGGGAGGGACCCAGTGTGAGGCAATCGGATCATGAGGGTGGTTTCCCCCATGCTGGTCTCATGATAGTGACTGAGTTCTCAGGAGATCTGATGGTTTTACAAGCATCTGGCATTTCCCCTGCTGGCACTCATTCTCTTTCCTGCTGCCCTGTGAAGAGGTGCCTTTTACCCTGATCATAAGTTTCCTGAGGCTTCCCCAGCCATTTGGAACTGTGAGTCAATTAAAACTCTTTTCTTTATAAATTACCTAGTCTCGGGTGAGAACAGACTAATACACCTTATAGAAACTAATTTGGCAAGAAATAACTTGGCCCAGTAGCCTATACTACAATCATTTTCCTCAAATGAGAGTCATAGCCTGAACTACATTACCAAAACTGTAGAGATTAAAACAAAATTCCAAAAGGTTTCTCTGACTTCCAGCTTTATGAAAATACATTAACACTGCTTAAGTTTACCTTTCTAGTTTATTATTGATACTATGAACAAAGGGGCTACAAATTGAAGTTTTTAAATGCAAAGCAATGAATAACTAAAAACTAAATACATTGCTGTTGAAATTCCAGAGCTGAACATATATCTCTAGATAATGATGATTGTACAAACAGAGCCTATACATGTTAAATAGCATCAATGTTAGTCTACTCTGTTTTTGCACATGAAACTAGGCCAATCAAATTATTGTTCCAAGCTGAATAATTTGTGGTTTAGGTTTCATGGCCTGACAGTGATGTCTAATGATAGATTACAATGGCAAGGAGTAACATATTGTGAAAGAAAACTTCAATAATGAAATACTTCTATTTTTTCAATATTGTTTTTACTTTAAAATGTCAAATATCTCTCTGTCATATGTTTGTGTTATGTTACATGCTTTTGTCATTATTCAAAAAACATACAGTATTTTTAAAAATTTCAATAGCTTTTGGGGTACAAGTGGTTATGAGTTGTATGAATTATATCGTGGTGTATTCTGAGATTTTAGTGCACCTGTCACCTGAGTCGTGTATGTTGTACCCAATATATAGTACTTTTATCCCACACTCCCTTCCTACCCTCCCACTTCTGAGTCTCCAAAGTCCATTATATCACTCTGTATGTCTTTGCATATTCATAGCTTAGCTGCCACTTATAAATGAGAACATACAGATCATAAAGTAATTTTGGTTGTTTTCTGGCACTTAACTAAACTGACATCTAATCTGCCTCACTGATTTATGTGATTGGCTGGCTTCTGTAGGCATTTGAATGAGTGACCTCTGCCTTGACCTAAGCCTCTATATGGTGCTCTGTCATCCTTTGATGAAAGACTATATTAAACAGAATAATCTATATGATTTTCATAAATAGAGAGTCCAAAGAGTAAGAATTTGTCAGAGTGTCTCCAGCACTGTCTAGAGGAAAAATGTATGCAGACCAAGGGCCTCAAGGATATTGTTACTGTGGAGAGAGATGCATTATCTTTTCCTAGACTGATAACAGTGACTATAAATGTCATTTAACTAGCTGTCCTTGATCAGATGAGACACTCACCAAGCAACAGGAACATTCCTGATCTGGCCTTAGGAGAGACCGTAATTACCAGGCACCAGAGTATCTTGTCTCTTCAGAAGTGAATCTTTTCCTTATACATTGTCACATTTTCTTTCTGCCTTATGTAGCAGCTTCTTGTCAGTTTGGGTAACTAAATAAGTCACTAGAGACTTATCACTCTTGGGCATCCTGACAAAGTATCTTGACCTCTAAACAATGGACCAGATCTTGCTACTTGTTTATATTTATATTTATAACTCAGTGTTCTAAAAACAGTTAGACCATACCCACTACTGTTCAGCTGAAATGATGTATGAGTATTTGGGAATAATAGTGAGAGGCTCCCTTACTACAATAATTTAGAAATAAAATTACTATTACTTTTACTTTGAAAGTAAAAGAAAATATTTCTTATGTGAATAAAATAAGTTAACTTAAGCAATGGTGAATACATTTGGAGAAATTTTGGGACTCTTCAAAGTGCTCATCAAAGTTGCTAGTAGGTAATTCAAAGAAAAGATAGTTTCTACTGATACATTTTTTAAATTTATTTTAATCTAATCTAGTGGCATTCCATCTTGAAAAATTTACCCAGTAGGCTAGCTGAATATTTAATGGACGTCTACATGAGAGTAGATTAGGCCAAGCCTAGAGTGCTCATGCTTTCAACCTCGGCCTGTGGCTGCTAGCGCTTTGCTAGGTAAGGCAAAGACAAGGTGGTTAATGGCCCCGATAGGCTTTTTCACAATAAATTAATTAATGTGGGTTTACATTCTTCTCAGAGGCGAATAGGCATTCTCTGACATGCACCCATTAATGTAAGTTATGAGACAAAGTATTTTAATTATATATCATGCCACGTAAGGCTTTATAACTTGTACCAACTCCGTCAATATTGAAGTCAATAAAAGTTGAGTGACTGCGAAATAAGATTCTGAACAATTAATCTTAAGGCTAAAATAGTATGAAAAGTGAATAGAAATTATAGATGTATGTAAGTTTATTATATTAGTCCAATAATTAAAATTTCCTTTAAAAAAGTCCATCATGACTATATTGAAAAAAGTTTGTGTCTGCCCTTTAGAAATAATTTTAAATATACTCTGTTGGCTTTTTCTAACTCATTGAATCCTCAGACATGTTTTAAGCAAATTAATTAAGAGTGTTTGTTCTAAGAACTACTGTTGGGAAATGATAGTATATAATAGAGATACATTTCTGCAAGAGAAAACAAACATTAAACTGAGATGTCAATGAATGAGAAAATCAGACAGTCCTTTTTAAAAATCCTTACTGTAGTGATAGTCTTAATAAAACCACAAAGCATTTGTTGGAAAGAACTGAATCTTGAAGGTCATGTAGTTTAACTTTCTACCCGATGAATAAATCTCTCTTACGTCATCCCAAATAGTCATATAGCCTCTCCTTGAACATTGCCTATGACATTGGATTTATTACCTTTCTACTTGGTTCATAAATTTTACCTTCTATCCAGCTTTAGAGTTCTTTATTTACTAATATATGCCATACAACTTCTACTAGACTGTAGTCTCCCTGAGGGAGGAATCTATATTTAAATCCCTAAAGCCCTGTTTACAACCAGTGATGTCCCTATGATAATATTACTGAAATAATAAGTTCTAGTTTGGGAACATTCTTCCTATTAGAAGATTTCTTTTTAAATTGAGCCCTTTATCTTCTATCAACTGATCCAATTCCATTCTTAGGAGTCTCTCAGCCCAAGGGTGGGACTTCCTCCTTTAAGGTGAAGCTTACAATCTTTGGCTCCTTGTTATTGCTTTCATTATCCCTTTCACAATGTGGGAAAGAGCTGATCTGTTTCTGTCATTTCAAAATAACTGGTATTCATGACACAGCAAGGTCTCAGATTTTACTGGACAAAACTCATCCCTTTACTCATCAAGACACACTGATTCTTTAGTTAATTTAGTTGCAATTCAAGTCAGTCTCTATTCCTAAAATTGCCTAAGGATATCCTACTCCAAGAGAGAAGCTTCTTTCTGGGTGGTTCCAAGAGTCGCCACCTGATTATGATGAACACTGAGACAGCACAGGTCACAGGAAATAATCCCATTTTCAGGTAGTTTTGTGGTTATGTCATCAGCCTCATTGTGAGGTAGGAAGCCAAAATGGCCAATTTCTTTTTCTCAGAAAAGTTTACTCGAATATCTATGAAAGATATCCTTAAAATTTAAAGCATAGACTGTTTTACAACCACAAAAGACTATATACCACCAATTTCGACTTCCTCACTTTGTAGACAAGGGAGTCAAAACTCAGAGTGTTTGTCCTAAGCCAGGCATGGTGGCATGTGCCTGTAGTCTCAGCTACTCAGGAGGCTGAGGCGGGAGGACCTGTGAACAATGTCTGTGATGCCTCATTGAGAAGAGAGAAGCCTGGGCCAGCAATGATGTTTCAGGCAAAAGAGGAAGTTCTGAGTGTGGACGTTGACAGTGAGTCTGACAGGAGGGAATGAATGAGGGAGACGCCATTGAGGAAGCATCAACAGGGCCTGGCTCACTCATAGAACGAGGGTGGCAGGGACCTTAAGGGTATCAAAAATGATGGGAATGTTTCCAGCTCATGACTCAAATAATAGCAGTTCTAATAACAGGAACAGGGAAGGCATGAAGAAGAGCTCTTTGGAGTTCAGGGGTTCAGGTCCAGACTGGGCAACATAGTGAGACTCTGTCTGTTAAAGATAAACTTTAAAAAATAGTGTATTGTCCTAGATCATGGGAGTACTGGAAGTATCAGAAGTGGAGACCAAGACCCCTTATTTCTCTTTATCTCTATTTCCAAAGAGCTCTTTTCTCACGCCACTCTCCTCAGATGTCAAATTGGATTGTGTTTTCTGTGTCATGTCCTGTCATGTAAAATTTAAATATTAAAATCTGCCAGAGGGAAATAAGTGCTTTTAAAGGTATTTTGTGATTTATCACGTAAAGAACTTAAGGATATGTGTTAAATAAACCTGAAATAACATGTCATTCTATTTCAGCCCTCTCTCATGAAAAGAGAAAACCTAGTTGTCTTCGAATTATCCTGTATTAGTCCATTCCCACACTGCTATAAGGAACTACCTGAGACTGGGTAATTAATGAAGAAACCAGGTTTATTGACTTACAGTTCCACAGGCTGTAAGCATGGCTGGGGAGGCCTCAGGAAACTTAAAATCATGTCAGGAGGACAAAGTGGAAACAAGCACATACATCTTCACATGCAACAAGAGAGAGAAAGCAAAGGCGGAAGTTCTACACACTTTAGACAGCTAGATCTTGTGAGAACTCACTCACTCACTATCAGAGTGAGCAGGGGGAAATCGGTCCCCATGATCCAATCACCTCCCACCAGGTCCCTCCTCCAACACTGAGGATCATAATTTAACATGAGATTTGAATGGGGACACACAGCTAAAGCATATCATACCCTCAAATCTTCTTTTCTTCAGAAAATTTAAATTCTTTTAAATTGAAGTAGCCATTTTGGAAAGACAGAAGCATAAGTAAATAATATTGAACTAGGTGATGAGATAATCCAGTATTTGGCCTGATTAAAGGTAAATATTTGTCAGTTCCAACATTGAATACTTGGCATTATTTGTTGTGGGAATATTTATTTATTATATTGGAATATAATAACTTTTAATATATATAATACACTAAATACATAATATATAATTAATATTATAATATATAATATTAATATATTATAGTTGAATATTTTATATTATGCAATGTTTATTATATATTTATTATATGTCAATATTTTAATATATCAGAGAGAACAATACATATAATCTTTGGAGTTCAGAAAAAGTGAAATAGGCCTGAAGTTCATTTCTTAGAAGGTGCCTAGATATACTAGAAACATGAAGAATGAAATTAATAAACTCGTAGGATGACTTCTTCCTTTGCCATGAATCGTTGAGGGTTGTAATTATACAAATTTGGACTCACAGACAAGTACTTTTACATTTTGAAATGTTTCACCAAATAAATATTAGTTTATTTATTAATATTTATTTAAGTTTCTTTCTTTTTCTCTCTCCCACTCATTTATTTGTTACAGTATTTGTTCAAAAAGTACAAAATGTCCACGTGACAGGCCCCTTACCTGGTACTAAGTAATATAAACATGACTATGAAACATTGATTTCCTTAATCTCAAGGAGGCAACCCTCCTTGGAGCAGTCCATCATGTGACTAATTATCATGCAATAGCGTCAGAGTGAGACATATGTCTAAAGTGTGGGTGAGCCAAGAGTAAGTGATAATTTCCAGTTTAGGGGTTGAGGATGATTTTACAGAGTAGGTAATAAATGAACGCAAGCTTACCTGGTAGGGAATAGGGAGGGAAAGGTGTTGCAGAAATAGCACAAGTTAAGGCATGGAGGTATAGGCACAACTAGTTTGTTGGCAGTGCTCTAAGTCAGAGGTCCTCAACCCTCAGGCCACGGACAGGTAACTGGTCCATAGACTGTTAGGAACTGGGCTGCACAGCAGGAGGTGGGCAGCAGATGTGCGAGCGAAGCTTCATCTGTATTTACAGCCGTTCCCCATCGCTTGCATTACTGCCCAAGCTCCGCCTACTCTGAGATCACTGGCCGCATTAGGTTCTCATAGGAACACAAACCGTACTGTGAACTGCGCCTGTGAGGGATCTAGGTTGCGTGTCCCAGGAGAATCTAAAGCCAGATGACCTGTCACTGTTTCCCATCACCCCTACATGGGACCCTTGTTGCAAGAAAACAAGCTCAGGGCTCCCACTGATTCTAAATTAATGCGAGTTGTAGAATTATCTCATTATATATTACAATGTAATAATAATAGAAATAAAGTATGCAATAAATGTAATGTCCTTGAATCATCCCAAAGCCATCCTCCCACCCCATCCCGTGGAAAAACTGTCTTCCATAAAACTGATCCCTGGTGCCAAAATGGTTGGGGACTGCTGTTCTAAGTGGTTCAGCTTGAAGGGTGCTTAAAGTGGGGAAGTGGTAAAAGAAGCACGTGGGGGCAGTTTGCTAAAGGCCCTGCAGGAATGCTAAGGAGTTTAGATTTTATCTCCTAGAAAAATGATCAGATCTGTGTTCTAGAAAAAACCTGTACCAACAAGCATACAAATGTATGCTCTTGGCTTTCAAGCTTACAATTTAGTTAAAGGGGGTAAAAAATAAGTAATATAATGTTTAAGTTATAAAAGATTAAAAATAAAAAAATGCAGTGAGTGTTCAGAAACTAGAGAAATCTTAACCAACTGAGGATGATCAGAAAAAATATTTATGAAAGAGATTGTTCACATTTGAACTGGGGCTTGAATTTATGACGGGGGTGTAGATATATATAGAAAAAGGCGAGGAAGGACCGTCAAAGTAGAAGAAACAGCACGCCCAACACTCAGCAGGTGGACAGGAGCAACATGGGTGAAGGGCATGGACTTTACAGCTCAGATGGTTGACCAAGGAGAAGACAAGAAAGTCCTTGATCTAAGTTAAGTAATTTGAGCTTTATTCAATAGGGACATTCGAGGAGAGTGTGATCAGAGATGTGATTCCAGATGGTTTACCTGGGAACAATATCTGTGATGCCTCATTGAGAAGAGAGAAGCCTGGGCCAGCAACGATGTTTCAGGCATAAGAGGAAGATCTGAGTGTGGATGTTGACAGTGAGTCTGACAGGAGGGAATGAATGAAGGAGACACCATTGAAGGAGGATCAACAGGGCCTGGCTCGACTCATGGAATGAGGGAGGCAGGGACTTTAAGGGTGTCAAAGATGATGTGAATGTTTCCAGCTTGTGACTCAAATAATAGCAGTTCTAATAACAGGAACAGGGAAGGCATGAAGAAGAGCTCTTTGGAGAGAAAAGCATTTCTTAAGATTTGGATATGATGACTTTATGCTTCAGATAAAGTATCTGAAAGGCCCAGAATGTATTGGCAATGCTGGGCTGGGAGTTTTGGAAAGAGAATGGATTTTGTGATGAACTTTTAAAAGCTATTGTTAACTCCTGTATGGGACATTTTTCAGGCAGAACTACAACGATTGCAGCAAGCATTTATGGATTCACTAGTATCTGACACTCATTAAATACAATTGTTAAAGTATGGGTCTTCATCTCTCAGAATGATAATCTCTCTAGGGTAAGAATTTCCTTGGATGCTATGAGATCAATGAAATCTAATGCTATCTTTTTCTTTCAACAAATATTGACCAAGTGCCTGTGATGATAGACCTATTGCTATGTGCTGGGGGCCCAGAGATGAACAAAACCCAGCTTGTCTCAGAATAGTTCGATCTGGAGGAGGAGAGTAAAATGTAAATACCTAACAATTCTATAATATCCTAAGTGTTATAAGAGAGTCATTATAAATTGCTGTAAAAACACAGAAAAGGATGTGGTTTTTAAAAATATCCTATATTATCATTGTAGGTCTTTGTACTTTTTAATTTAAAAATGCTTATTAAGTACCTACTAAGTCCCAGACATTGTGCTTGTCACTTGGGATGCAGATATAAATAACATGTAGTCTTCTGAGAGCTCCTACTGATGAATGTATTAAATGTTATTCATACTTATCTTACAGGTATGGCTGAAAACATTGATTCTTGAGGTGTTGCTTGGAAAAAAAAACAGCCAGTTGTAACTAGTGAAGCTTTCAGAGGGTGATTTTTCTATAGTGTGGGCACTCACAGCGTGTCCAGCACACTGCTTGGTGCTGTTGAATAGTTAATTCTCTAATTACTGCAGGTCTGCATGCCAGTGTGGACTGGCTGCCATGAATACCAGGAAAGGTTTCAACCAAATAAAACATCCAGGACTTGGAAGTACTCTTGTTCATAATCTCTTCTTTGTCTAATTCTTGCATAATGTAACAAAGTTTTTATGAAAAGGCTGTGCCTCATAAATGTTGGAAATTTTAATATTATAATAGTCAGAAACAAAAAGTTAGGAAAAACTAAGAAATAATGTTAGCTATTTTCTATGAGCGTTTAAAAATTGAGAAACTGACTAAGAATATCTGTAGATTGAATTGCTCATCACTTTAAGTTAACATAGTAGCCAAAATGGCAAGTTTCTATTACGTTAAAGTATATCATGAAGCCTATGTACAATCATGTAAGGTTATATTTAGCTATATGTGAACATCAATTTGCCCATACACCCATTAACATAGTTGAACAATGACAGCACCAAAAAATTAACAGGTAATATAGTACTTACTATGTCCAGGTGCTATTCAGACAATAAATAATTCAATCATCTTATTTAGCATATGAGCTAGGAACCACGATCATCCCCATTTTACAGGTAAGGAAAGGAATAGTGAGGCTTACTAGCCCAAGGTCACACTGCTAATAAGTGGCAGAGGCAGAATTTGGACCCAGCATTCGGGCTCTGAAAACAATAATGATAACTCCCATATTATACTGCCACACAGATAAGAGGAAAAGATTAGCTATGTTTGTTATTGAACTCGGAACATCTTATAGCAGGGTCTGTTTGTATTAATTGGGATGCTTACACACAGAAATGAGTTAGGGAAAAATATTCTGAAAGTGCCTAATCCTGGTTTGGAAAAAAAAAATTACCTTTTAAATGCTTATTATCTAACACCTTGTAACCTTAAAGTAACTTTCAAGAGTGACTCAGTTTGTGCTTAACCAAAATATTACTAATAATGAAACAGCAAAACCTTGGAAGTTTCCATTGCCAATCATAAGATGTAAGGCACACCCCGATAATTTTATTTACTTTGCAGAGCATAAGGTGGAATAACATGTTCTTTTAAACGTAGAGTTTAAACATTGAGTTGCATCATTGTGAGGAAAACCACTTAGTATTTTATAGTGAGGTGACTTTACAAGTAAAGATCTTCAAGAAGATTTTTATGTGATTTAAAAAATCAGCTTAGATGCTTGGAATTTGGATTGTTGCATTCTTGTTCTTTGGCACATCAAGAGGTAAGATTCATAATTTATAATAAGTTCTTTAAAAATAATGAGTATACTTACATCTAAAATGTAATTGACATGAACTTATTCTTTAGAAATTACTATTGCTAATTTCATTCTTAAGTAGTTTATTGTTTTTATGAATATGTTTAAAATATTGGCTGCTTATATTTCTTTGTATTTATTTATTTTTTCACTTAACATAAAATTATCAATGGAAAATGCATCACTTAATACTGAATGAGTCTTATGAACATAAAGAAGCATCTATTTCCAACAATATAAAAGAGTTGCCGGACAGTCTTGTGTTGGGCTGCTAGCTCTGCCACTTACTAGTCTTATGGGCTTAGACATTGAAGTCTCAATTTCTTCATTTCTAAGAAGGGTACATAGTAATAAATGAGAAAATATATACAAATTTCCAAATTCTGTAGCTGACTCATAGTAGATACTCAATAATTGAATGAATTAACTAATTATTAATGTCAGTTGGAATGTCCATTTTTTTTCCACTTCAGTCACAGTTTTCTGGAGGGCTGTTAGTCTGTGGACATTTCTTAAACATTAACTCAGTATTCATTGACATGTTTGCTCTTTATACTATGGACTCCTTAGACATTACAATGTAAGGAGTTAGTGATTTTGGCTACTTTTACCATCCATGTTTAATATTGTGCCTATAAGCAAACATTAAAATTAGTTGATTTATTTTAACCAAACTAGAATCAAATAATTTTAATGTTGAAAGAGATCAACCCCTTTGTTGTAAAGTATCACGTAGTTGGTTGAGATAGTATGGTGGTAAGAAGACAGTCGTCACATCTAACATTCAGTTCAACCACCGGTTTGAATTCTGAATCTTCTTGGGTTTTAGTCCTCGTTCTGCTGCTTGGTAGTTGCTTAACTTTAAACAAGTACTTAACCTTTCTAAGCCCAGATGATTGATCTGTAGAAACAGGACAGTAACCAAAATAAAATTATAGGGTTGTGCCAATTAAATAAGATGCAAGTTGACCATCTCGAATCCAAAAATCTAAAATCTAAACTTCTCCAAAATCTGAAACATTTTAAGCACTAACATGATGCCACAAGCAGAATATTTCACATACAAATACTTAAAACAAACTTTGTTTCATGCATAAAATTATTAAAATACTGTATAAAATTACCTTTAGCCTATGTGTATAAGGTATATATGAAACATAAATGAATTTTGTGTTAAGACTTGGACCCTGTCCCCAAGATATCTTATTGTGTATATGCAAACATTCCAAAACACAAAATCTGAAACACTTCTGGTCCCAAGCGTTTTGGATAAGGGATACTCAATCTGCAATTCATGTAAAATGCTTGGCATGGGATTTGGGACATATTAGTAGTGAGCAATCAATAAATGTTCGCTCTTATTTACACAGATGAAGAAAACAAAACACAGAGAGATTCGTTGTGTAACATCTTGGCGCTAGCTTGTGGAATTGGCCAATCTTGACTTTCAGTTCAGTGTTTTTCAGTCCCTGGCCTCCAGCTCTTCTCTATTGGATAAAAAATGAAGGAGATAGGACTATCATTAGTTTTCATATTTCAAGAACTATATTCTATTTTGCATGATTCTCCTGCCCCAGGACAGTCCTAATTGAGTGCTGAAAGCAGTTAGACTGGTGAAGGCAGAATTAAGAAATAGGCAGTTTGCCCTGATCTGCTGAGATGATATTTAAAGCCATGACTACAGACAGGATCATCAAGGGAGTGACTGCAGGTAGAGAAGGAAGATGGAACTACTGAGTCCTAGGACACTTCCTCATTAAGAAATCAGGAAGATGAAGGCAAACTAGCAAACAAGACTGCCAAGAAGTACTCAGTGAAGTGGTAGGAAACCTAGGAGAGTCAGCATCCTAGAAGTCAATTTAAGATGAAAGAAATAACAGCATGTTTGTGTGAGGCTAGGAATGATCCAGCAGAGAGGAGGAAAGTTGGTAAAGCAGGAGAAAGAGAAGGGAGTAATGTTGTGCCTTACCCCTCAGTAGGTGAGAGAAGATGGAGTCTTAATAGGATGAAGGTTTGCCTTTGCGAGAAACAAAGACAGTTCATCTCTTGTGAACAGAGTGAAGGCAAAATAGAAGGGCAGATATCTGCAGGTAGCTGGATAGACACGCTGGGAGCTTGTAAAAGGTCTCTTCTCTTTGTTTCTGGTTTCCTATTGAAATAGGAAACAGGGTCATCAGCCAAGAGGTTTGGTGGGCATGAAGATGTTGGAGGTTTGAGAGGCAAGAAGAATGAAATAACCCAGGAGTCTGGGAAAATGAAGGGCCTAGGAAAATATGATATGATGGCTGGGTAGCTTTAAGATCTGCTTTAATTTCATAACCACAAATTAAAAGTGAGATAGTCAGTACGGTATGTGATTTCCTCCAGGCACATTCAGCTGCACAGGTGTAGACAGGAAATAGGTGAAGTGTTGGGTTTAACCAGAGTTGTGGTTAAGCCAAGTGAAGCAAGAACAGGAGAGAAGTTCAAGGAGAGTACAGGGGTATGGTTTTAATTGACTGTAGGATTTACACTGGATAAGAAGGGAATTGAGGAGAGAAATGTCTGCCTAATAAGAAGTTATTTTAACAAAATACATACTTATGTAAAATTTAGATAATACATATATTTCTCCTACACACCACATATCTATTACACAACTGCCATAAATTTAACAATTGAGCTTACATTCATTTGTATTATTACCTATATCTCATCTATTAAATCTGTAACAGAGTCCATTGCCTTCAATCTTCTGGTACCTACCATTTATGCTAATGACTTCCAAATGTAATCTCTCCAGCTGAACTTCTCCCTGGAATCCCAGTCTCGTATATGCAAGGTAGCTCCACTTAGGTATCTAATTCATATAGAATCTACATATCCAAAACTGAACTCTCAATATCTACCCCCAAATCTGTTCGTCTCAAAGTTTTCACAATTAATGGCCTTCCAGATGCTCTGGCCAAAACACCTTGCATCATCCTTGACTTTTCTTTCTGTCATACCTCACTGCCAATCAGTCAGCACAACTCTTTGGATCCTCCCTCAAAATCCATGCAGAACCTGACCACTTGTAACCACACCACTGCTACCACCCTAGTCTTAGCCACCACTGACTTTTATCTAGTTTGTTATAATAGTCTCCTAACTGGCCTCTTCCTCTACCTTGCCCAGAAGCTAACCCAAGTCAGTCCATGTCACTTTTCTGCTCAGAGCCCTCCAGTGGCTTCCCATCTCACTTCAGAGTAAGAGCCAGTGAACTACCAAATGCTACATGCTTTAGCCCTCTGTTACCTCCTAGCATTAACCCCTGCTCCTCATCCACCTACCCCTATTCAAACTCCTGGGGGCCAGATGCATTACAAATGTTAGGGTTTTTTTTATTATTTTGAAACATGCTATGGTAAACATACTGTATATAATACATAATTTCCAGAAAAATCTAGGACAGAACCCCATATTTAATCACATGCATATTTATGTAGTAAAATACATGACTACGATCCCACATAATTTAATCTCATATTAAATGGGATAAAGACTATAAACAGCTTTAGGTCTGTTATTGCTGCCAAACTAGTTACTGCAAACTAGAAAACAAATAAATGAACAAGCCCAAAAGCAACTATTTTTCCCCAGAGATTTTTAGATTTTGAAATTGCAGAGTAAGTCATTGTGGAGCTATGTCTTCTCCCTGTCTCCATTCCCTGGGCCCTAGTCCCGGTGCCTCCTCATTCCTCAGTCACAGTAGGCTCTCTGCTTCCTTGCAGAGTCTTGTGCTTTCCTTCCCTCTGTCTGGAATGCTGTCCCACACATCTGCATGCGGTTTGCTCCTCTCCCCCCCAGGTCTTGATGCAAATGCTACCCTGGACACCCTATTTAAACTGCAAACCCCTCCTCACCTAAACACACAAACACCCTCATCCCTTCCCTGCTTTAGGTTCCTCCTAGCACCTGTCACTGTTTTAATGTAGCCATTTTTGAAAAACGTATTCTTATTTATTGTCTGTCTCTACATCCCCTAACTAGATTATATACTCCATGAGGGCTAGAATTGTTTTCTCCAATGCTGAATTCCAGTGCTAATAGCATCTGGCAAATAATAGGCACAAACAAATATTTCTTGAATAGATTATCGAACCTACTTTCCAGCTTTTCTATGTCTTTGGAAAAGCCTGCTCACAGTAAGATAGAGAAGTGACTCCTTTAGAGAGTGGAAATTAGGAAGATAAGAACTAATATGCCAATTTACATGATTTCTTAACCAATTAACACTAGCTTCATGTAATGTGCTGTTTTTCAAATGTTTCTTTAAAGAATTCTTAGGCCAAAGGGGAAATAAAGCATTTCAACTAGAGAATATATTAAAATACAATGACTCAAGAACTGAAGAAAGTGGAAAATAAAATAAGTAAAGGTGAAGAAAGCATTTAAGTAATAAAAATAAAAATATAAGTAGAAGTGAATCATACAAACAGGAAAGATAGAATTCATAAACCTATGTGGCAGTTGCTTAATAAAACTAATGATGCCATGATGGCAAATTTAAATAAAGTGAAATAACCTCAGATGTGGATGAAGTTAAAATGACTAGACTTTGCATAAATTTATGGTAAAAGAATTGAAATTCTAGATGAAAGTCTTACTACTTACACCAGAATAAATCCCAGGTGGGTAAACATTCAAAAGTAAAAGATAAAACATTAGAAAGAAGTATGAAAGAAAAGTGTGTAATTGTTAATAGTCTTGGAGTGGCCAGGCACGGTGGCTCATGCCTGTAATCCCAGCACTTTGGGAGGTCGAGGCGGGCGGATCACGAGGTCAGGAGATCCAGACTAGCTTGGCTAACATGGTGAAACCCTGTTTCTACTAAAAATACAAAAAATTAGCCAGGTGTGGAGGTGCACACCTGTAATCCCAGCTACGCGGGAGGCTGAAGCAGGAGAATCGCTTGAACCTGGGAAGCGGAGGTTGCAGTGAGCTGAGATCGTGCCATTGCACTCCAGCTTGAGCAACAAGAGTAAAACTCCATCTCAAAAAAAAAAAAAAAAAAAAAAAAAAAAAAAAGTCTTGGAGTGAGGAAGCCTTTTCCAAACAAAACAAAACCCCAAAGCCACTAAGCAAAAGCCTGATAATTTTGATTGCATAAATGCAAAATTTCTAAATGACAAAAGTAAAGTAAAACAAAAATATAGACAACAAATTTGAGTATATTTTCCAGATATCTGACTAAAAGGAAGCAAATTTCTCTACTCTTTGAAGAGTTTTTACAAATAAATAAGCAAAAACAAACTTTAGAAAAATATGCATAGGACACAAAGATCTCATCCACAAAAGAGGTACAAATGGCTAGAAATGCACAAAAGGATATTCAAAGTTTCTGATAATTAAATAAATGCAAATTAAAATAACAACGGGTTTTCATTCTTGTAGGACATGTAAGGTTGTCATACTGGTGGTACTTACAGAAACTGAAATCTACATACCCTTCCATAGTATGTAGATTGTATTGTTGTTCCCCATATTGACTCTCCATCCCTTTAAGACCATTATACACATTCATCTTTGACCACATGACATGGAAGAGAGTATTCTAAGTCTAGACACCTTTAAGAGCCTTTGCATGGTTCCACAGTTGCATCATTTTCCTTTGCCCCAACAGACACAGGCTCAAAACAGAGCCTACTCATTTAGCTTGGATCCTGCAATGCAGAAGGCTGGTAAATCAGAGCTAGGCCCAACCTAAAACCACTGCAGCCAAAGGATAACATGAGCAAGAAATAAACCTTAATTTTTGTAAGCCAGTGAGATGTGAGGGGCTGTTTATTACCATAAAGTAACCTAGCAAAAGCTAGGCTATATCTCCCAATTCCACTTAGTGATAGAGTGACCGGCATAAGGGTTCAATTATTTTCCTGCCACAAATAGCAATACATTTCTCTTAGATCATCACTTTTTCTAAGTCTTCATTTTTTCACATGTATGACACATAAGGCTAAATCTGTTTTTGGTATTTTTTATTAGCAGTAGTAAGACAAAAAGAAAAAACCAGACTGGGCATCATTTGGTAAAGAAGTACTCTTTCTCTCCTTTTGTGACCTTTTTATTATTATAAAGGTAATTCATATTTATTACTGAAAATTTGATAACATAGACAAGTATAAATAAGAAAATTAAAACCACTGGGATTCACCATTAATATTTTGGTACCTTTCTTTTAATTTTACTTTTTTCCATTACAGATATTATTACAAATTCTCTATAAACATTTTTAATGGCTGCATAATATTCCTCAATACCATAATTTTAAAACTATATCCTTTATTATTGGCCACTTAAGTTATTGACCCAATTTCAATGTATTAACTTTATAGCAAACATTATTTTTACAGAACTATTAATCTTTCAATCTTTTCTTAAGTGGCTTTAATACCTTATAATATTGCTCACTGTGCTTTATCACATCCATTTTCCTTTAACTTTACACTCTCTGTGAGCATTTTCTTATGGAAAAAAGAGCACAGTGGTAGATAACCCTGGTAAGCGATAAACAT
Source organism: Homo sapiens (assembly GCF_000001405.40). Classification (NCBI taxonomy): domain Eukaryota; kingdom Metazoa; phylum Chordata; class Mammalia; order Primates; family Hominidae; genus Homo; species Homo sapiens. Next base: position 116,434,634 of record NC_000010.11, read on the forward strand.
AGAAAATAAGGACTAGTTATAAAAATCTTCATTTTAAAATCCATAGACTGAATAATGTAGTTGAGGACCTGGAGAAAAAAGCAACAGAATGCAAAAAATAAGGGCAACTGGGCATTCTAGGGAAAACAGAAGGCTGTTTTAGAAAGCCATGATCCAACTATGAAGTCACTGGTTCAAATTAGAAAAGGATCAGAATGGATTCCAGGCAGGAGAAATATTAAGAAGCTGCAATATAATAGGAATATATTGAAGAAGGCACATGTTCATTCTTCCAGGAAGAGAAAAAAAGGCAACCAGAGAATATAGGAAAACACAAACAGTACAAGAGAGGCATGATCCAAATATGGAGTAACCTACGATGACACTGATCCTGAGTAATTCAAATATTAGGAAAGACAATTCATTTGAATCATCTCCTTTGAAGAGAATGAGTGTCTGAACAATGGAAGTGCAGTAAAGGAAATGTAATTATAGCATGCGAGTTGATTGAAGCCAAAAATATTTATCTAGTTATAATAATATAAATTCTGTTCATTGATTTTCAACTTTTTGGAGTCAGCATGCAGACAAAACATAGAAGGATTAATTTTGCTTATAGAGCAAAGTCTGAATATTATCAATTTTGATAGTATGAAAACAACATTATGAAGCTGACAGACCTTGGAAGCTGGAAGGGAGGAAGAGAGGGAGAGTCAGTACCTCTAAAATCTTCCTCTTAGGAAACTGGGAGTCAGGTTCTAATGAATATGTTGTATGGATCAAAAAATAGAAGGTTACTGTTTAAATTTATAATAGAAGCCAATAAATGAGCCAAAAAAAAAAAAACCAACCAAACAAAAAACAAAACAGTGTATTGACCGCATTGGAGGAAGAGGTGAGACAAAGTGAAGAGTGGGATGCGCTGGGTTATTGAGCTGTTATCTCTCGGCTTCAAGCCTGCCCTTCTGGCTGAGCTTTGCTGAGGCTGGAATGTGGCCAGTACCATCCTAACAAGTGTGGGATGATATCTCATTAAGGTTTTGGTTTACATTTCCATAGTGATTCACGATGTTGAGCATCTTTTCATATGGCTGTTGGCCATTTGTATGCTTCTTAAGGAAAATGTCTGTCCAGGTCTTTGCCTATTTTAAAATTTAGTTATTTGCTTTTTGCTATTAAGTTGTGTGAGTTCCTTAGGTAATTTTTTTACAGAAATAGAGAAAACAATCCTAAAGTTGTTGTGGAACCACAAAAGACTCCAAATAACAAAGCAATCTTAAGAAAGAAGAACAAAGCTGGAAGCAGCACACTTCCTGATTCAAAACTATATTTACTACAAAATTATATTAATCAAGACAGTGTGATACTGACATAAAAACAGACACATAAACAAATGGAACAGAGTAGAGCGTGCAGAAATACACCCATGTGTATATGGTCAACTAGTCTTTGACAAGGGTGCCAAGAATATGCAATGAGGAAATGATTGGCTTATTCACCAAATGGTGTTGGGAAAATTGGATATCCACATTCAAAAGAATAAAATTGAACCCTTACGCCATATACAAAATTATAAACCTGTGTGTATATGGTCAGCTAGTCTTTGACAAGGGTGCCAAGAATATAACAATGAGGAAATGATAGGTTTGTTCAACAAATGGTATTGGGAATATTGGATATCCACATACAAAAGAATGAAATTGAACCCTTACCTTATGCCATATACAAAATTAACTTGGAATAAAGACTTAAATGTAAGACTTGAAATTATAAAACTCCTATGAGAAAACATACGAAAAATCTCCTTGTTGCTGGCTTTAGCAATGATCATTTTGGAATATGACAACAAAAGCACAGGCAACGAAATAAAATAAATAAACAAGTGGGATTGCATTAAACAAAAAAGCTTCTGCACAGTAAAGGAACTAGTCAACAAAATGAAAAGGCAACCCTATAGAATAGGAGAAAATATTTTCAAGCCATAAATCCAATAAGGGGTTAATTTCCAAAATTAAATTCTACTTTAACTCATAGTGAGAAACACAGCCTCTCTCTAAGCCTGGTTCCTCTATACTGACACTCCACCTTTCTGCTGCAGGAAAAGAAGTTTGCTATGAAAGGTTAGGGTGTTTCAAAGATGGTTTACCATGGACCAGGACTTTCTCAACAGAGTTGGTAGGTTTACCCTGGTCTCCAGAGAAGATAAACACTCGTTTCCTGCTCTACACTATACACAATCCCAATGCCTATCAGGTAAGCTAACTTGCAGCCTTCACACATGGATTATTCTAAAATATAAGATTTGCCTATAGATACAGAAGACATAGATACAGTAACCTATTCTGACATATGCTATTGACTTAAATGCAAACATTTCTTTTCAGTATTATGAGTCAGATTTTTTCTATGTTATCTGTTCTATATTATCTGTTCTGATATATCTGATTTAAATATGAAGATTGCTCTTATGTTATTTCATAACAGGTAAACTTGATATTATGTTCAGTCAATGTACCAACTGAGAACCTTCCATCTGTAAGACTGAATAAGCAACAATGCCTATTGTCTATTGAATTGAATAAACAGAACAGTCTTGACTTTATTGCAGTGGGAGAAATGACATGTACAAACAAATACCTTTCTTGCAACACAAATTATGATCTGTGATGTAAGATGCAACTGAAAGACTCTGGGAACAAAGTGAAGAAGAGCTCACCTTGAGGTCAGGGATGGAACCAGGTAACATTTTGAGGAGGACATGTATTTGAGGTGTATCCTGCAGGATGGGCAAAGTGCTCACAAGCAGAGATAAGCAGGGTAATGGCAAAGGAAGTGGCATGAACATAAAGGAGAGAAACCACAGGCCTGTCTGATGAATGACGTGTTGGGTTAGTCTGTGGGCAGAGAAGGAGTCTTCAAAAGTAAGGTTAGTTAGAAAAGTAGTTGAGGAACAAATTGTATAGTTCCTTCCTGTGGAGTTTGTACTTCATCCTGTAAGCCATGGGGCCCCATTGAGAGCTTTTCAGAGATGCTTTAGGGCATTTACTCTGGCTGCTGTTGCTCTCTTGTCTGAAGCTGGAAGAGACTAGAGGTGACTATGAGGCCATTTAGAACTGTGCTGTCCAACATAGTAGCCACTAGCCACATGTGACTATTAAAATTACAATTAAATAAAATTAAAAACTCAATTCATCAGCCACACCAGCCACATTTCAAGTGCTCAATAGCCACATGTGGCTAGTGGCTACCATACTGGACATTACAGATATAGAATATTTCCGTCATCACAGAAAGGTCCATTTGACAATGTTAAATAGAAAGCTATAGTGCAGTTTGGATCACACACGGGAAACAGCCTGAACTGCAGTAATGAAAGTGGTTATGATAATAGAAAATCAACATGATAGACATCATAAACTAGTCTGAGATTTCACACGTAAATGATTGGGAAAATGATAACCCTCTTATCAGAAAAATTGAGGATAAAAGAGAAGGAGTTAGATTCTGGATAGGTGGGGCTTGAGCAGGCTGTTGGAGATGTTAGTCTAACAGCGAAGCAGGCAGCCCAGAGCTGGAGAAAAAGATTCAAAAGTCTTCTGGCTGGGGTTGCAAATTGAAACCCAAAGAGTACATGAAATCTCAGAAGCAGAGAAACGAGGGCAGGACTAGGAGTGGTTGGAGGATCTATATTTAGGGAGCAGGAAAAAAGTGGGGCCAGAGAAGATCATTTCCAGTCTTTACCTGAATCTGTAACCTCAGGGCTTACTTTCCATCAGGCCCATCACATACTGCTGGGCCTTGCCAGCCAGGGCAGTCTTCTCCTATGCACTCCTACCGTACAAATATGGTCTGATTTGTAGCTCTCTACTCACCAGACACACATACATATGTACACACTACTCTTTACTGAAATCTGCCAGCTATCTGTAGATGAGTATTTCCCTAAATAATGTTCTTCACACCTTCTCCACTTCCCTCCATTTGGAAAGAATCATGTGTAGTTAAACCAGATCTGTACCTGAATTTTGTAATGGATAGAAGCCTGATTGTTTGCTGTTAAAGTGTTTTTCAACAACCAAGATATAGGATAAATCAAGGTATGTACTTAAAACAAGGATTTCCACAGGCCTGACCCATATGTTATATGAGTTTGACCAATTCTGTAGATGTGGCTGTCTCTAGAACAAGGAAAAAAGTTCTTACTATGGGTATAGAGACACTTATAAAGAAACATTCCTCAAAAGCTTGAGTTTTATAATTATCAAGAAGTAAAGAGAGGAATATTACTTAGCTTTAAAAAGAAGTGAAATGCCAATACATAATATAACATGGATGACCATTCAAAACATTTTGCTAATAAGCCAGACACAAAAGGACAAATAATCTATGGTTTCATTTATAGGAGATATCTGGAGCAGGTAATGGAGAGTTCCTGTTTAATGGGTACAGAATTTTAGTTTGGGGTGAAAACAGTTCTGGAGAAAGATGGTAGTGATAGCTGCATGACAATGTGAATGACTTAATGCCACTGAGTTTGCACTTTAAAATGGTTAAAATGTTGATTTTAATGTTATGTATATTTTGACTTCTTTTGCATTTTCATTTTTAAAATGTTTGGAAATACGTACAACTTTCATACAGTTTCAGGGTGCTCCAGACACCCGTGGCCACTTCTTGTAAACCACTGACTATTTCTAGAGCACTTTGAGAGACTACAATATGATCATGATCAAATTTTGTAATTAAACCTAATGAGGGCAACAGACACTTCTCAGATAAGAAATGTGTCAATTACAGAGCTCCCCTACTCTAAGTATTCACAAGGAGACAGATAAATAGTTTCTTTATTCCTCCTCCTCCTCCTATTCTTCCTCCCCGTCTTCTTCATCCTCCTCTTCCACTTTTTTCCGGGCAACTTTAGCAGGACGCTTTGCGCCATCAAACTTTACTTTCGACTTATAGTCAGCAACATCCTTCTCATACTTTTTCAGCTTTGCCACCTTAGTGATGTAAGGCTGCTTTTTCGCTGCCATTTAAGTTATTCCACATCTCACCCAGCTTTTTTGCCACGTCTCCAATAGAGAAGCCAGGGTTTGTGGATTTGATCTAGGCGCAGAATTCTGAACAGAACAGGAAGAATCCAGACGGTGGCCTTTTAGGGGCATTAGGATCCTTCTTCTTGCCTCCCTTAGCTGGTTCATAATCCTTCATTTCCCGATCATAGCGCACTTTAATCACCTTTGCCATTTCATCAAATTTAGATTTCTCTTTCCCGGACATTATCTTCCACCTCTCAGAGCGCTTCTTGGAAAATTCTGCAAAATTGACAGGGACCTCTGGGTTTTTCTTCTTATGTTCTTCTCTGCACGTCTGCACGAAGAAGGCATAAGCAGACATCTTGCCGTTTGGTTTCTAGGGGTCACCTTTAGCCATCCTGACTGTATTGTTCGCTAGTAGATCAACTTTTTTTTAAGTGAAGAGAATCTATGTAGAATACAAGTATTTGGGGGCACCTTCTCTGCCTTTTAGGATGTTCAGGGCATATTTATCCACTTAGGACTAACTCTATTCCCTGATCTTCACTCTTAGGACTCATCAGGCTCATTGATCCTTTTATCCTTTTATATAAGTGGCCATGCACTTGAATTCTGTGGAGCACGGTCAGTAAAACAGAAGGTGATAAAGACAGTGTTTAGGTGAAGCTGGGTCCTACTGCCAATGAAGAGAAAATTGGAAAACTAAGTACTTCCCTAAATAATGTTCTTCACACCTTCCCCACTTCCCTCCATTTGGAAAGAATCATGTGTAATTAAACCAGATATGTATCTGAATTTTGTAATGGATGGAAGCCTATTGTTTGCTGTTAAAGTGTTTTTCTAACAACTGTGATATAGGATGAGTCAAGGTGTGTAATTAAAATAAGGATTTCCACAGGCCTGACTCATATGCTATATGAATTGGACTCATTTATAAACAAATCAGAAATTAACTCTACACAGTTAACATACTCTCTTCTCCAAGTGAGGAATTGTCAAAGGTAAATGTGGTGTGGTACGATAAACTTGGTCTTCTGGAGGTCACAGGTCTTTACAGTTACCTTTCTGTAAGAATAAAACCAACCGACTTCCCCCATGAATCCATGACACCTTAACCTAGAGTGACTTATACAGTCACTGGTGGTGATGGACATGTTGCACACTTCCGGTAGTTTCTGTGTCTGCAGCTTTAGTCAAGGATAGAACATACCTAACTGGTAACTATTTTTTACTTGCTAGAGATGATATCACTGGAAATGTAGTCATCAGAATGGATTGATCTCGTACCTATTATGCTTCATGTCTGCTCAGTCAAAGAATGCTAAAAGGCCCAGATAAACCTTGATACTTTAATTAACCCTTCCTCTCGATAACCTATTCTGTACAATATTGACATCATTTCCTCGTTTCTATCCTTGTGGCAGCAGAATCTAAGCTGTCTTCTTTTGATCCCATGATGGTGTATGGAGTTTCCCACATTTATGTTGAAAAGCTGCTTTAGAGGGTTGTGCCAGAGTGAATGTGAAAGTGTTTTCTCTACCTATTCTACTTGATTAAACTCCTCATTGATGTCAGACAAGATCACCCATATCAGCATACCTGGATGGAAAACAGATGGCAGATGGCAGGGAGACATGTGCAATGTATGATGTGAATAAACTCCTTTTTACACTAGCATGACAACAGATGCTCAGACCCCACAATGCCTGTCAGAATGCTATTCTCATGTTGAGAAAAGAATAAACAATTTTTTTCGGACTAAATTCCCTCCAAAAGGTTTTTCAGATGTAGAAATGGGACTATAGTAGGTGTTTGAGGCGCTCCAGCTGGGCCTAAGAGAGTTGAAATGAGTGAGCACCTGGATTATCTTAGAGACATAGATGGAATCATGTTTTTGTACTTGGATTGGATTATTTAGCAGAAAAATGCTTCCTAGAAGGCCTGAAGATGATTGATTTTATTGCTCACTTCAGCAAATCCCACATCTGGTTTGGGCCCTATCAGCAGAGAACACTATAATCAGAACATCGCTTGAGAGCCCAGTGGTTAAGCACCTAACTTCAAAGGCCATGTGGATTTGAACTCTGGCTCCAGGATTCATTAGCTGCAGTACTTTTTGGCAAGTTACTTGGCCCCTCAGAGTCCCCTTTTCTAATTTTTAAAATTAGTACCTACTTCACAGTGTTTTGAGAGTTAAATGAGCTACTCTATAAAGTGCTTAGAACAATGCCTGGCAAATAGACAGATAGGAGTGTTAGCTATTATAATTACTGAGCAAGCCAACTTATGACTCTCATAACCATTAGCTTACAGTCTTGGAGACACTTTACCTAGCCAGCAAATTGTATGATTAATTGCATTACTATTAAACACAGGTAGCCAGAAATAGGCTCTTTGTTTGAATTTCATAAATATCTAAATGTGTTGCTTCCAGGTTATAGGATTCACCACTGTCAGACTTGCTATTTGCTGATTTAAGTATTCATTTTTTCCAATAGAATTGCTTATACTTGTGCCTTTTATTGTTTTAAATAACAAAATCACTTAAATTTATAGTCTCCTAAAGTCTTTGAGAGTTTTGTTATTAAGGCAATCCAACAAAATACAAGAAATACAAAAGAATATTTGACATAATCATATAAAATTATCTCCAATATGCTGGTGTATTTCATGTGATGAGATTCTAACCTCAATTCCTTACTCATAAAGTGGGGTGGACAACCTCCATTTTGCCATGTTTTTGGCATGCTTCTAGGCATGTTTTAATTCTCATGAATTACACTGATCACTGAGAAATGTTATACAAAAATAAGATTTACTGAAACTATGATTTAAACTTCCCAACATTGTCTTGCAAACATTACTTTAAAAATCAAAGATTTTTTCCTCGTGTTGAATTCGTATACTGCATTTTATAATGCATTAACTTTTTGAGCTAGATGTGGTGGCTCGTGCCTATAATCCCAGCAACTTGGGAGGCTGAGGTAGGAAGATCACTTGAGGCCAGGAGTTCAAGATCACCCTAGGCAACATAGTGAGACCCTGTCTCTAAAAAAATTGTTTAAAATTAGCCATGTGTGGTGTCATGGGTCTGTAATCCAACTATTCAGGAGGCTGAGGCGGCCAGATGGCTTGAGCCCAGGAGTTTGCAACTGCAGTGCGTTATGATGGAGTCATTGCACTTCAGCCTGGGCAACACAGTGAGACACTGTCTCTAAATAATAATAATAATAATTTTTGGTACTTTTATAATATGTAGCCATAACTATTTAGTAAAAATATATTAAAGAAGGTTGCTAAAGATCAAATTTAGTGAAAGGCTTTCGAGCAGCTTTAGAATAGGTCTACTAACTATTAAATAATTTTTAATTATTATTTTTCCTTAATCTCTTTCTGCTTGAAACAGGAGATCAGTGCGGTTAATTCTTCAACTATCCAAGCCTCATATTTTGGAACAGACAAGATCACCCGTATCAACATAGCTGGATGGAAAACAGATGGCAAATGGCAGAGAGACATGTGCAATGTATGACATGAATAAGCTCCTTTTTACACTAGCATGCGAGCTTTATGTTTAACATGAATGTACTTTGCAAGGTATTGATGTATATTCATGGAAATCTTCCATTCAGTTATCCACAATTATCCGTGTTCTGGGGCCTCAAATTAGTTATCCATTTCCCATTTATTTTTATTATAAATTGCACAGATTACAAGGGAAGCAAATTTGTATAATCACTCTTGAATAAATTCTTCTCTTGACAGGAGATTAAATGGTATGATCAATTTCTCATTTAATTTAAGAAAAACAATTTCCAAGTTAACTCCATGAAATTAATCTTTCTCTCCTATACTTAAGATTAATAGACTGCTAACATCATAAGCAGTTAAATATTTATAAGGCCATATAGTGAAGATAACATTAGTACCTATCTCACGGAGTGAGAATTAAATTTATATATATGTGTTTTATATATATAACACATATATATAACACATATGTGTTTATATATATAACACATATATATAAACACATATATATAAATTTAATTCTCACTCCGTGAGATAGGTACTAATGCATAGGTGCTAATTACTAATGTGTGTGTGTGTGTGTGTATGTGTGTGTGTGTGTGTGTGTATGTATGTGTGTGTGCATATATATATATATATATATATATATATATATATATATATATGGGTTAGGACATACGTATATATATGGGTTAGGACAGAGCTTAGCCTGTGGTAGGTTCTCTATTAACACCTAAGTATTACTCCATTTTCATACTGCTATAAAGAACTGCCCTAGACTGGGTAATTTATAAAGGAAAGAGGTTTAATTGACTCACAGTTCAGCATAGCTGGGGAGGCCTCAGGAAACTTACAATCACGGCGGAAGGCACCGCTTCACTAGGCAGCAGGAAGGAGAAGTGCCAAGTGAAGGGGGAAGAATCCCTTATAAAACCATCAGATCTCATAAGAACTCACTATCACGAAAACGGCACGGGGGAAACCACCCCCATGAATCAATTACCTCGACCTGGTCTCTCCTTTGAGACGTGCAGATTATGGGGATTATGGGGATTACAAATCAAGATAAGATTTGGTCGGGGACACAAAGTCTAACCATATCAACCTACTAGTATAATTTCTTATTATGGAATCAAGTGTTGAGACACGTCGGTTTCCTTGAACACTTATTTATTTAATATTTATATAAATCTTTGTGCCAGGTGTTGCTACAGCTGGAAGATATAAATTGCATTAATTTAGATTGGATCAACGGTTCACGGGAATACATCCATGCTGTAAACAATCTCCGTGTTGTTGGTGCTGAGGTGGCTTATTTTATTGATGTTCTCATGGTAAGAAGAGTTGATTTTTTTTTAATTATATTGAATTGGTTTTGGATATTAACACTCAGAAGTTGGGACAATTTAATGTCTTTTTTTATTAGCTTAGACAGGTACTGAACATGTGAAATAATAAGCATTTGTATATGGCAGACAAAAAAGGAAAAGTTTCTTCGCAGTAAAGAGTCTGTGGTTATTTGAAGCACCACTAGGTGGCAGTGTGTCTACACAGGCTCATCACTAAAAACTGCCCCCGCAAGGTCACTGCCTTGGTCAGCATGTTAGACCACCTCAATCAGTTTCATCAATTGTAAATCTATCCTTAGAATTATAAATTGTTACCATCCTTCAAATATTATTTGTTTAGAATATGACATGTATTTTCACACAAAAACAGGGTTCTGTGCCTGTGAATTAGTTAGGTCTGTAGGCCAGTCCAGACACAACTATTTAACACACATATTCTCTAAAGGAATTAAATAGACCTTGCTATTTATTAGGCCTATACTCTGCGACATTCACGAATCTCCAAATGCTTTCTAAAAAGTAATTTCCCACCCTAAAATGCAGTGTAGTAAAATCTAAAGATGCATAATCCTTTCAGATTTTTAAGGAGGGTTCATTCATTCATTCAACAAATATATATTTCACTCTGCACTTACTGTGGGCTAGGCATGGAAGATATGACTTGTAAGTAAGACAGTGTTTCTGCTCTGACAAAATGTACACTCTAGTAGGCAATGGAGGCACACACAGAAACAAATGAACAAGAAAATGTCAGTTGGTGACAAGTACTGGGTGAAGAAAATGCAAGGCAGTAGAATGGAGAATGGCAGAAGCAGAAACAAATTGTATGAGCAACCAGGTTAGGTGATATTTGAACATTGACCACTGTCAGTAAACATCCTGAAGAAGGAATTAGGGATCCAAAGACTCATTTATGCCCCGACACTTCTCTATCTTCTCTTTCCACTCTATCAGGGAAGACTAAGGTACAAGATCTTTAGAGAAAGTCTTTGAAAGGATGAAATCAGATTCATCTTCATCTTCTCTTTATAAAAAAAAAAAGCCAGCTGTAAGCTTTTGTGAGTTTCTTTATTGACCTTAGGGCCTGAGCTGTGGGCTTTCCTATGTCCAATAAATAAATAATAGTGGTTCATAGGAAGCTGACAGGAGATGTTTGCAGAACTGAAGGGAAAAATGTTTGTTGAATTAAAATGTTCATTGAATTGAATAGGCAGCCTTGAAGTGGGAAAAGGGTTTAGGGTGAGTGGGCTCCAGGGCCTCTGGGGATAATTCAGGATTCAAGCTTAAAGAAGGAGCAGCTAAAGGAACAGCTGAGTCTCTTCTCCACCTCTCTTTCTGTCATCTCATCACAAGTTACTAGCCCACCACAATTCACCACCTGGATTGGTACTGAGGCAAGCAGGTGCTTGGGAATGGGGTAGGAAGATGGGGAAGAAGGAGAAGAATGAAGGGGATAAGGGCTGAGAGTGATCTCAAATACCAACCTATATAAGGAGATAGGAAAGAAAATAGTCATTTAAAATAGCGGCAACAGTCGGCCGGGAGTGGTGGCTAATGCCTGTAATCCCAGCACTTTGGGAGGCCAAGGCGGGTAGATCACAAGGTCAGGAGATCGAGACCATCCTGGCGAACAAAATGAAACCCCGTCTTTACTAAAAATACAAAAAATTAGCTGGGTGTGTTGGCGGGCACCTGTAGTCCCAGCTACTCGGGAGGCTGAGGCAGGAGAATGGTGTGAACCCGGGAGGCGGAGCTTGCAGTAAGCCGAGATGGCGCCGCTGCACTCCAGCTTGGGCCAGAGTGCGACGCTGCGTCTCAAAAAAAAAAAAAAAAAAAAAAAAAAATAGTGGCAACAGTAGAGGAAGGGATGTTCTAATGACCATGTAGCATTCATTGGCAGTTATTCACATATGTAAATGAGAGAGAAAATATTCTTTGTTCTGTGACTTATAAAACTGTCATAACTGGTGGAAAAAAATGGAATATTTGATCAAATGAAAAATGTATGCAAGTATAAATCAATTGCTTGATTTTCATGATAATTATGAGAGCCTGAAACTTAGGTGAAACTAAAAATGCTTGCTCAGGAGTGACATTATTAAGATAATAGGAATAGGGAGACCTGGATCCTTCTTTCTCTGACAAGCACACTGATTCAACAGTAACAGACAAATTTTCTTTGTGAGAAATTAAGAAACTAGTTGAGAGGCTCTTACATCCTGGGTAAATATAAAACCAGCTACAACGAAGGCCAGAGGAAAATTTGAGATACCTTCTTGTCTTAACTTCTACCTCTGACCCAGCACCATATGATCTGAAGGAAACTCCTAGCTTCCCGCTTCACCTTGTGGACAGAAAAAGTGGGACGTCATATCCAATGTTTCAGCTTTTCTGGGGGCTGCTTAGGGTAATCACTTCAATCTCACATGTCTTGGAGCACTGATAGAACCCAGAATATTTTAGTATCTAGGGGCCAATGAGAACAAAGATGGGAAGAAAGATGTCATTCAAGCAGTCACTATAGCCCCTTCCCCTAGCTCAGTGCAGACAAACAAAGTGATTGAGTAGAATACCCTAGATCCCATGTTCTCCTTGGGAGGAAAAGAGTTAAACTGCAAATCAAAAGTTCCAACTTTTCCAGGGGCTGCCTGAGAGACTGATTTCTGTCTTGACTCTCTTGGAAGTGCTGATGGCACTCAGCTTATTCTAGATGCTTGAGGGCTGCTAAGAATGAAGATAGTAGTTTGGACCAGCACAAAGTTTTGACAGGTGCCCAGAACTGTTGGCTAGGCTGATTGGTGAGAGTCTTCTCCCACAAAGAACAATCCATGAACACCCTCGCAGAGGTGGCTATTTTTTCTAATGTGCAAATACCAACATAAAGAGTCAAGGAAAATGAAGAAACAATATATACCAAAGAAACAGATTCATCTCCAGAAACTAACCCTAATGAAACAGAGATATATGATTTAACTGACAGAGAATTCCAACTAACCATCATAAAAATGTTAAATGAGGTCAGGAGAATGAATATTGCATGAACAAAGTGACAATTTCAACAAGAAGATTAAAAAAATATAAAAAGTACCAAACAAATCTTGGAGCAAAAGAATATAATAATTGAAGGCTGAGCGTGGTGGCCCATGCCTGCAATCACAACATTTTGGGAGGCCAAGACAGGCAGATCACTTGATGTCAGGAAGTCGAGACCAACCTGGTCAGCATGGTGAAACCCCATCTCTACTAAAAATACAAAAAAGTAGCTGGTCATGGTGGCGCGCACCTGTAATCCCAGCTACATGGGAGGCTAAGGCATAAGAATCACTTGAACCTGGGAGGCGGAGGTTGCAGTGAGCTGAGATGGTGCCACTGCACTCCAGCCTGGGTAACAGACTGCACTCCAGCCTGGGCAGCAGAGTGAGACTCCATCAAAAAAAAAAAAAAATGAAAGAGGAAGGAAGGAAGGAGAGAGAGAGAGAGAAAAGGAAGGAAGGAAGGAAAGAAAGAAAGAAAGAGAAAGAAAGAAAGAAAAGAAACAGAAAGAAAGAGGGAAAGTATGTGGAAATATAAAACTCTCTGGTAAAGGTAAACATATAGACAAATACAAAATACTGTAACATGTGTGTGTAAATTACTTTTAATTCTAGTATAAAAGTTAAAAGACAAAAGTATTAAGAATAACTATAACTAAAAATATGTTAATGGATACACAATAAAAAAGACGTAATTATGACATCAATAACATGAAGCATGTGATGTGAACAAGTAAAAGTGTTGACTTTGGCGTATATGATTGAAATTAAGTTGTTATCTCCTTAAAATACACTATTATACTATTATAAGATATTTTATGTAAACCCTATGGTAGTCACAAAGAAAGTACCTATAGAAAATACACGAAAGATTTAAAAAAGCTATCAAAGTATATTAACACAAAAAATCAACAAAACACAAAGGAAGACAACAAGAGAGGAAAAGAGGACCAAAGAACTATAAGACAGAAAGGTAGGAAACAATTTTTTTAAATGGTAATAGTGGTCCGATGTGGTGGCTCATGCCTGTAATCCCAGTACTTTGGGAAGCTGACGTGGGAGGATCACTTGAGACCTGGAGTTCAACACAAGCCTGGGCAACATAGTGAGACCCTGTCTCTATAAAAAGGTGTTTTGTTTTGTTTTGTTTTGTTTTGTTTTGTTTTGTTTTAGGGCTGGGTGCGGTGGCCCACACCTGTAATCCCAGCACTTTGTGAGACCGAGGCAGGCGGATCACTTGAGGTCAAGAGTTCAAGACCAGCCTGGCCAACGTGGTGAAATCCCATATCTACTAAAAATACAAAAATTAGCTGGCCATACTGGTGGGTGCCTGTAATCCCACCTACTCAGGAGGCTAAGGCAGGACAATTGCTTGAACCTGGGAGGCAGAGGTTGCAGTGAGCCAAGATAGTGCCATTACACTCCAGCCTTGGCAATAGAGCAAGACTCCATCTCAAAAAAAAAAAAAAAAAAAAATTTCTAATTAGCTGGGCGTGGTAACATGCACCCGTAGTCCTAGATACTCAGGAGGCTGAGGCAGGAGGATTCTTTGAGTCCAAAGGTTTGAAGGTACACTGAGCTGTGATAATGATCTTGCCACTGCACTCCAGCCTGACTGGCAGAGCAAGACCCTGTCTCAAAACGAGACAAAACAAACAAAAAACAATAAGTCCTTCTCCATCAATAATACTTTAAATGTAAATGTATTAAACTCTCTAATCAAAAGATATAGAGTGATTGAATAGATAGTTTTGAAAAGATTTAACTACATGCTGTCTACAAGAGATTCATTTTATATTTTGGAGACACACATAGGTTTAAAGTGAAGAGATGGAAAAGAATAATCAACACAAATGGTAACCATAAGAAAACAAATGAATGTACTTGTATCTGACAAAATAGACTTTACGTCAGAAAGTATCACAAGTGACAAAGGTCATTATATAATGATAAAAGAATCAATTCACCAGGAAGATATAATAATTATAAATATATATACACCCAACACCAGAGTACCTAAATATATAAAGCAAACATTGACAGATTGGAAGGGAGAAATACACAGCAGTGAAATAATAGTAGGAGCCTTCATTATCTGATTTTCAATAATGGATAGATCACCTAGATGGAAAACAAATAAGAAGAAAACTTATTTGAACAACAACTTCAGCAACACTATAGACCAAATGGACCTAACACATGTGCATAGAATATTTCACCCAACAGCAGAATACACTTTCGTCTCAGGTACACACAGAACCTTCGCCAGGATAGATCACAAGTGAGGTCAGAACAAAATCTTAGCCAACTCAAGAAGATTGCAATCATACCAAGTATCTTTCTTGACCACAGTAGAATGAAACTAGAAATCAATAGCAAAAGGAAAACTGGAAAATACACAAATATGTGCAAATTAAACAGAAAACTTTTAAACAACCAATGGGTCAAAGAATAAATCAAAAGAGAAATTATAAAATACCATTAGACAAATGAAAACAAAAACACAACATACCAAAACCTATGGGATTCAGCAAAAGCAAACTAAGAAGGAAGTTTATAGTGATAAACACCTAAATTTAAAAAGAAAAAAGCTCTCCATTCAACAACCTAACTTTATACCTAAAAGAACTAGATCAAGCTTGCCCAACCCACAGCCCAGAACAGCTTTGAATGTGGCCCCACACAAATTTGTAAACTTTCTTAAAACATTATGAGATTTATGCATGGACCTTATTTTTAAGCTCATCAGATATCATTAGTGTTAATTTATTTTATGTGTGGCCCAAGACAATTCTTCTTCCACTGTGGCATGGGGAAACCAAAAAATTGGATACCCCTGAACTAGATAAAGGAGAATAAACTTATTCTAAAGTTAGCAGAAGAAGGGAAATAATAAAAATTACAGTAGAAATGAACAAAATAGTGAATACAAAAACAATATTAAGAAATGAACAAAACTACAAGTTGGTTTGTTGAAAAGATGAACAACATTTACAAACCTTTAGCTAGACTAAAAAAAACTTGAGAAGACTAACATTTAAAAAATAAGAAATAAAAAGGAGACATGACAATTGAGACCACAGAAATAAAAGGAACATGAGACTAGTATAAATAATTACACAACAAAATTTAAGATAACCTAGAAGAAATAGATAAATTCCTAGAAACATACAACATACCAAAGCTGAATCATGAAGAAACAGAAAATCTGAACAGACCTGTATTAAAGAAGACACAAATAAATGGAAAAACATCCTGTGTTCATGAATCAAAAGAGTCAATATTATCAAAATGTTCATACTACCCAAAGCTATCTACAGATTCAACGTAATACCTATCAAAATTCCAGTGGCCTTTTTTTTAACAGAAATAGTAAAAACAATTGTGAAATGTATATGGAAGCACAAAGGACCCTGAATAGCCAAAACAATCTCGAGAAAGAAGAACTAAGCTGGAATCATCACAGTTCCTGATTTCAAAATTTATTATGAAAGTACAGCAATTAAAGCAGTGTGGCACTGGCATAAAGACAGAATAGAGATCTCAGAAGGAAACTCATGTATGTATGGTCAACTGATCTTCCACAAGGGTGCCAAGAATACACAATGAAGAAAGGATAGGCTCTTCCTACAACTGGCATTGGGAAAGCTGGATATCCACATAAAAATGAATTAAATTTGACCCTTGTCTTACACTATATACACACACACACAAATCAATTTGAAATAGATTATAGACAAACATAACACCTAAAACTATAAAACTCCTAGAAAAAAACATAGAAGAAAAGCTTTATGACATTGGACTTGACAATGATTTCCTGGATATTTCACCAAAATCACAGGCAGCAAAAGCAAAAATAGACAAAGAGGAGGATGTGCTTTGGATGCGTGTCCCCTCCAAATCTTATGTTGAAATGTGGTCATCAATTTGGAGGTGGGAATAGTGGGAGGTTTGGAATCATGGGGGTGGATCCCCCATGAATGGCTTAGTGCCATCCTCTTGATGATGAGTGAGTTCTTGCTCAGTTAGTTCACACAATATCTGTTTGTTTAAAAGAGCATGGTACCTCCCCACTTACTCTCTTGCTCCTGCTCTTGCCATGTGATACCCCAGTCCCACCTTTGCCTTCCACCGTGATTGTAAGCTTCCGGACATAAGCAGATGCTGGCACTATGCTTTATGTATAGCCTACAGAACCATGAGCCAATTAAACCTCTTTTCTTTATGAATTACCCAGCCTTAGATATTTCTTCATAGCAACACAAGAATGAACTAACACAAAAAAAATTAGTAAAAAGGAGCAGGGCATTGCTATAAAGATACTTCAAAATGTGGAAGTGATTTTGGAGCTGGGAAATGAGCAATGTTGGGAGAGTTGTGGGGCTCAGAAGAATACAGGAAGATGAGGGAAAGTTTGAAACTTCTTAGAGACTTGTTAAATGGTTGTGACCAAAATGATGATAGAGATATGGACAGTGAAATCCAGGCTGATGAAGTCTCAGATAGAAATGACAAAGTTATTGGGAACTGGAGTAAGGGTCACCCATGTTACACCCTACCAAAGTGCTTAGCTGCATTGTGTCCACACCCTGGGGATCTGTGGTATGTTGAACTTAAGAGTAATGACTTCAGGTATCTAGCAGAAGAAGTTTCTAAGCAGCAAAGCATTCAAGATATGACCTGGCTGCTTCTAACAATCTACAATCAGATATGGGAGCAAATAAATGACTTAAAGTTGGAACTTATATTTCAAAGGGAAGCAAAACATTGAAGTTTGGAAAATTTGCAGCCTAGCCTAGCCATGTGGCAGACAAAAAAAGCTTTTTCAAGAGCAGAATGTAAGTGGGCTGTGGAGCAACCATTTGCTAGAGAGATTAGCATGACTAAAAGGGAGCTGGGTGCTACTATCCAAGACAATGGGGAAAAGGCCTGAAAGGCATTTCAGAGATCTTTGAGGCAGCCCCTCCCATCACAAGCCCAGATGTCTAAAAGGAAAGAATGGTTTCAGAACCCAGGCCTAGGGTGCCACTGCCCTGCTCAGCCTTCAGGACACTGCTCCCTGCATCCCAGCTGCTCAGGCTCCACCCTCAGCAACTAGGGCCCCAGATACAGCTTAGAACACAGCTCTGGAGGGTGCAAGCCATGAGCCTTGGCAGTTTTCAAGTGGTGTTAAATCTGCAGATGCTCAGAGTGCAAGTGTGAAGGAAGCTTGGCAGCTTCCACCTAGATTTCAGAGGATGTATAGATAAGTCTGTGTGCCCAGGCAGAAGTCTGCTGCAGGGGCAGAGCCCCCACAGAGAAACTCTACTAAGGCAATGCCAAGAAGAAATGTGGGGTTGGAACCCCCACACAGAGTCCCCACTGGGGAACTGCCTAGTGGATCTGTGGGAAGGGGCTCCTGCCCTCCAGATCCCAGAATGTTAGATCCACTGGAAGATCCATGATTATAAAAACTGGCAGGCACTCAACTCCAACCCCAGAGAGCAGCATGTGGGTTGCACCCAGAGAAGCCACAGGGGCAGGGCTGCCCAAGGCCTTGGGATCCCACTCCTCACACCAGAATATGGAACATGGAGTCAAGGATTATGTTGGATCTTTAAGATTTAATGCCTGCCCTGCTGGGTTTCAGATTTGCATGGGGCCTATTACCTCTTTCTTTTGGCCAATTTCTCTTTTTTGGAATTGAACTGTTTACCCAATTCCTGTACCTCCCTTATGTCTTGGAAGTAAATAACTTGTTTTTTATTTTACAGGCTCATAGGTAAAAGGAACTTGGCCTTGAGTCTCAGATGAGAACTTTGACTTTGAGCTTTGAGTTGATGCTAGAATGATTAATATGTTGGGGGAAGAGTAAGAAGGGATGATTGTATTTTGCAATGTGAAACGGACATGAGGTGTAGGGGGGCCAGGAGTGGAATGATATGGTTTGGATGTGTGTCCCCTCCAAATCTCATATTGAAATGTCATCCCCAATTTGGAAATGGGGCTTAGTGGGAGGTATTAGATCATGGGGATGAATCTCTCATGAATGGTTTAGTGCCACCCCCTTGGTGATGAGTGAGTACTTGCTCGGTTAGTTCACACAAGATCTGATTGTAAAGAGCACGGCCCCTCCCCACTTGCCTTTTACTCCTGCTCTCACTCTGTGATACACCAGCTCCTCCTTTGCCTTCCCCGATGATTCTAAGCTCCCTGAGGCCTCACCAGAAGCAGATGCCAGCACTATTTAAGTTCTGGGATACATGTGCAGAATGTGCAGGTTTTTTACATAGGTATAGACGTGCCGTGATGGTTTGCTGCACCTATCAACCCATCATCTAGGTTTTAAGCCCTGCATTCATTAGGTATTTGTCTTAATGCTCTCCCTCCCCTTGTCCCCCACCCCCAACAGGCCGCACGATGTGTTGTTCCCTCCCTGTGTCCATGTGTTCTCATTGTTCAACTCCCACTTACGAGTGAGAACATTCAGTGTTTGGTTTTCTGTTCTGGTGTTAGTTTGCTGAGAATGATGGCTTCCAGCTTCATCTGTGTCCCTGCAAAGGACATGATCTCATTCTTTTTTTTTTGAGATTTGAGACGGAGTTTCGCTCTGTTGCCCAGGCTGGAGTGCAGTGGCCTGATCTCAGCTCACTGCAACCTCTGCCTTCTGGGTTCAAGTGATTCTCCTGCTTCAGCTTACTGAGTAGCTGGGATTACAGGCACACACCACCACGACTGGCTAATTTTTCTATTTTTTTAGTAGAGATGGGTTTCACTATGTTGGTCAGGCTGGTCTCGAACTCCTGACCTCGTGATCTGCCCGCCTCAGCCTCCCAAAGTGCTGGGATTACAGGCGTGAGCCCCCACGCCTGGCAGATGTACCATTTTTTAATAATGAGAGTGTTTTAAACCTACTCTTAGCAATTTTGAAATATACAATGCATTACTATTAATGCTAAGCAATAAATCTCAGAAACTTATTCCTCCTGTGTAACTGAAGCTTTGTACCCACTAATCAATATCTCCCTATTCACCACACCCCAATCTCAGTCCCTGATAACTACTATTATCCTCTACTTACGTAGTTTGACTTTTTAAAATTCCACATATTAAGTGAGGTCATGCAGTGTTTGTCTTTCTATGCCTGGCTTCTTTCACTTAGCATGTCTTCCATGTTGTCACAAATGACAGAATTTCCTTTTTCATTGTGCAGGTATAACACATTTTCTTTATCCATTAATTCATTGATGGACACAGGTTGATTCCATATTTCGGCTATTGAGAATAATGCTGCAATGAAATGGAAGTGCAAATATCTCTTCTTCAGCATAATGATTTTGATACCTTTGCATATATTCCCAGAAGTGAGATTGATAGATCATATAGTAATTCTATTTTTAGTTTTTCAAGGCACCTCCATATTATTCTCCATAGTGGCTATACCTATTTACGTTCCCTCCACAGTGTTCAAGTTTTCCCTTTTCTCCAAATCTTTGACAGCTCTTGTTTAATTTATAAGAGACATTCTAACAGATGTGAGGTGATATCTCATTGTGATGTTGATTTGCATTTCTCTAATGATTAAGGATGTTCAACATTTTTTCATAAATCTGTTGGCCATTTGTATGTCTTCTTTTGATAACTATTCAAATCCTTTGCCCATTTTCAATTGGATCATTTGCTTTCTTGATATTGAGTTATTTGAGTTTGTGAATATTCTTAAAAGCTCCTGTTTTAAAACCAAAGTTATCCCATACATTTTCTAGTGTTGCCTTAACCTGGGATACAGACACAGGCAAGGTGGATAACTGTAGGAATGAGCTGCCTTTGATGCATGTTGTGAGCATGCTGAAAGGATTTGGGCCTCAGGAAGGATCAGCATGGAGCTAGAAGCCACGAATATAGTTGTTAGGGCTGTTCTCCTGTTTCCAAGGACCACAGGCCAGCCCCTTAGCACAAGGAGGAGAGCTCCTATAGAAGGCATTCTTCCAAGCTCATCTGTTCTCCTTCAGTTGGATAAGGATGTAGGCAGAGGTGTCACTTTGTGACTTTACCAGTCCCTGTCTTATGTGCAAAAGGGAGAACCATGTTGATCCTTTTTTTTTTCTATTTTTAAAGCATATTTAAGCTATTCCACCGCTGTTTTTAAAATACTTATTCTGTTAAACAATTCTTTCAGAAAAAATTTGAATATTCCCCTTCTAAAGTGCACTTGATTGGCCACAGCTTGGGAGCACACCTGGCTGGGGAAGCTGGGTCAAGGATACCAGGCCTTGGAAGAATAACTGGTAAGCATGCCCTGCAGTTGGGCCTTGAGTGTGTTTAAATATTGTTTACACACACTACCAAGTATCTGAACACCAAGTAATACTGCAGAAGAAAATATAAGATACTACAAAATGTGATTCCAATGAAATAAAACGTGAACGTGTTTTCAGAGCAGAAATGTGCAGATTCGCTTCAAGGGGGTTCATTGCAGCGTTGTCTGTGGTGACAAAGTAAGAGAAACTATGTGTTCCCTCACCCGCAATTGAATGGTTGAAGCAATTATAACACATTCCATCCTTTGGGATTTCATACCAGTAATGCAAAGAGTGAGGTTTACCTAGACGTAGGAGTAGAATGGTGGTTATGAGAGGCTGGGAAGGGAAGAAGAGAGGGGAGGCTAAAGAGAAGTTGGTTAACAGGTACAAAAATCCATAGCTAGAAGGAGTACATTCTAGTACATGATACAGAAATTACAGTTAACAATAATTTATTACATGTTTCAAAATAGCTAGAAGAGAAGGACTGTAATGTTCCCAACACGAAGAAAAGATGAATGATTATGGCGATGGATGTCCCAATTACCCTGATTTGATCATTACACATTGTATACATGTCTCAAAATACCACATGTGCCCCCAAAATATGGACAACTATTATATATCAATTTTTAAAAGTTATTTTTAAAAAGAATGAGTTTGAATCCCACTGATTGTCCTGGACGTTCCTGACACACTTGGACTGCAGCTTACTCAGTTGTTACCATTTTTAATATTATCCCTGGATATACCGTTAAGTCTAAAAATAAGTTGCGGAGCAAAGTATATAGCATGAATTGGGTTTGGGGGTATAATAATTAATCATGTCTCCTCCCCACATTCTGTTTTCCAAACCAATTGTGTGAGATGGATGAAGGTCAAAGCAACAGCTCCTTTACCAACAGGCGGGGCTGGCCTCTCCCTCTGCATCCCCCCACCAACAGCCAGTAAGCAAGCCCCACGTCTCCTTCATCTGCCTTTTCCCTGTCCATCCTCTGGTCATTGTCCTGGCTCAGTCCCTCATCTCTTGCCTGCATTTTGGCCTTGGTCCCCGCTGGTGCCCCAGCCTAGTCTTCTACAAATACTGCCAGGCTTATCTTTCCAGGTGCAGGCCATGCCACTCCACTGCTCCAAATCTCTCAGGGTGTCTCCTTGTGTGAAGCCTCTTAGCTTGTCACGTAAACTTGTCATGTTTCATCACAGTTTTTCATGCTCTGTGCCTTTGCACGTGCTGTTGTCCCTCTTGCTGAGCATTCACTGTCCATTTGTCAAGATTCATCTCAAATGTTTCCTCCTCAGGCAGGAATTAATTCTCTGTGCTTCTCATACCCTTTGACATGTGCCTCTTTTGTGTTTGAAAACACAAATATTATATCACATGGTCTTATAATTATGGATGAGCCTGTTATTTTTAACAGAAAGCCTCCTTACTGCATTGACTCCAGGCTTGGCCACAGAAGCGTATTTTCTCTTTGTTAAACTGCTGTGCTCTGTGTGCATGTGTGTGTACGTGCTCGCTCTCTCTCTCACACACACACACATACATGCACACTTTAAATTCAAATCTCAATTTAGAACACAGTTTTTAAAAAAATACCTAGAAGTCCAAATTGGGATTATTTTGTCTCTGCAATCTGTTGATATAACAGGCTTATTCCTGCTATAAGTCATCTCTCTTCTCCTAACTCTCTGCTCCTAAATCCTCCTCACTCACCTCCACCACCACCACCACCATTCTTATTTAGAATAATAAAAACTGAACTTTTTCACTGAAGTCATTATGTGACCCTTTGTGGTCAATTTTCAAGCCCAGAAAAAAGAAGGAATGAGTTCCTCTTTTGAAGATGGAACCTCATGGGGCCTCACAGCCTCAGGCAGGCTGAGTGAAGCAGAACACATAACTGCATTTACAATTCATACTGGGTTATGATCAATTCAAAGAGATTTTGTTTTTATTAAGTTTTTTCAAAAATCAGATACTATTTAACTCTAGTTTTTCCCATCAGGTGAATTATCCTGCTGGGTAAATAGAAAACAGATTTTTAAAGGTTTTCTGAATGTCCAAAGAATTAATATTATGTGGATGTTTTAATCTATATTCCTCTGAGAAATTAGTTTTTGGGCAATCATGTTCCTTGAGTAATAGAAGAACTGAGACCTCACAAACAGATTTTAGCTGTATAATTAACCACTTAAAAACAAAATTAATATGATAAACATATTAAGGACATACATAAGTTTTTATGTCTTTGGTATTTATGTATAAGTGGTAAGTAGTTGTCATAATAAATATAGTTAGGGGGTTACTCAGCTGATTCTGCTTTTATTTATTTTTATTTATAAACAGTATCAACGCTTTTCTTATTTGAGGAAAAATTACTCTCATTTTGCTGACACACACGTACCAAAATACACATACATACTACACACTCAGATCCTAAACGATTAGTTCTCACTCATGTAGTAAGAGGTCATGTCTGTCTCCCTAAGGTTAATTAATAGGTTGAACCTAATAATTCTCTTCCCTTCTGTAGACTTTTCTCCTGAGATATCCTAGAACAACAAATTCAATGTTCCCTCTTCCTTACGTCTTGGAAAGACTGTCTTTTTTTTTTTTTTTTAATCTGATTGCCTTGTCCTCCAATCAATAAGATCTGAGGTATACCTATCTTGGGATGTTTCTCTCCAGGAATCCTGACTTTATTAGAAAGTTGTGTGTAATCACACTAGTAAAATAAAAATTCTTCCAAGAGTTGAAGATTAATTGTGAGATAAATACTTTTTCCTCTTTGTTAAGCGCGAATGGTTCATTCATATGCATGTTGCATTACTTCATTGATCTCTTTGTCTAAGTGTCTTTCCATCTGTGCTCTGAGTTCCCCCGCTTTGTGGACTTAAGTCATTTGTTCACTTTTTTTCAGGTCTTGTCAATAGAAGCGCTGTGCTGAAACGAACCCCTTCCCTCCTGGCCTCTCATTTCCTTCTAAATGATGCCCTAGCCTATTGCATTCCTCTAGATCCAAGCTCCACAAAGTTGAAAGTGGAGTGATTGCATTTCCTTAGGGTTCATTCTCTCCTTGACCCACTGCTACCTAGCTTCTTTCCCCAAAACCACTATTGCCAGATCACTAGTGGCTTTTTGTGGAACTCTATCAGACATTTTGACTCTGTGTTTTACTTGACCCCTCTGCAGAATTTGTCCCAGTGGACCCCTCCCGCCTTGCTGAAGTGCTCCCTTCTCTTAGCTTCTATGATTCCGCATCTTCTTGGTTGTCTTTGTTTTTTTGACTCCCTCTCTCCAGGCTACTTCATGAATTTCTTTTCTTTTGCCTTTGCCTATCTGTTCATATTCTTCAAGTTTCCATTCTAGGCCCACTCTTCTCTCCTGTTGCTTTTCTATAATCACTCTTTTAGTGATTATATTAGTCAGAAAAATAAAAAAAAAAAAAAACACATCCTATGACAAGCTAAGTGTGCTGAGCACACACCCCAGACTGTGACACAGACATTCCTTCCTTGCTGATGCCACATTCCCAGAGGTGTCAACGGCAATGCTACTCTGCATCCTTCCCACTCCGGGATCCAGCCTCTATATCACAGCAAAGGGATTTTGCTAAAATATAAATCTGATCATAAATCTCCCCTGCTTGCAAGCTTACAACAGCTTCCCATTGATGACCACATCATGTCCAAACTCCTTGACATGGCTCAGCTGACATCTGGCTCCTGCTAGCAATACTACCTTCATCTTCCACCGAATCCTAGAACTCTACACACCAGCCTTAGCAAACTAGTTACAGTTTCCCAAACACGATGCTTTCATCTGGAGGCCGTGTACTTCTCTGTCCTCCCCTGGGTTGCTGGCCACCTTACCTTTGCCCTGGCCAATTCTTCTGGCCCTTCAGATCTCTACTAGTGTTTCTTTTCTTTTTCTTTTTTTGAGATGGAGTCTTGCTCTGTCACCCAGGCTAGAGTGCAGTCGCACAATCTTGGCTCACTGCAACCTCCACCTCCTTGATTCAAGTGATTCTCCTGCCTCAGCCTCCCAAGTAGCTGGCGTTACACGTGCCCACTACCATGCCTGGCTAAATTTTGTACTTTTAGTAGAGACGGGGTTTCACCATCTTGGCCTGGCTGGTGTCGAACTCCTGACCTCGTGATCCACCCGCCTCGGCCTCCGAGGGTGCTGGGATTACAGGTGTGAGCCACCGCGCCCAGCCATGTTTCTTATCTCTTGCAGAAGCATGTCCTAGTTCCGCAAGACTGGGTTATATGTGGCTTCTCTGTGCTTGGATAACACTTATGATCACCACTGCCTCTGCACGGAGGACACTGACTGGGGTGCCTTTCCCATCAAATGGAAAATCCCTTGAAGACAAAGCAAGGTCTTATTCCTCATATCTGAATGCTAAACCTAGTTCCTGGCACATACTAGGTGCTTGACAAATAATTGTCAAATACAGAAATGATTGAATATGTGAAAGATCATAACATTTTAAAGAATTCCAGCTATCTTGCCCTTATTTTACGAAACATTTGAACATGACGCAATGGGATGAGAGTCTGGACACCTGGCCTCTTAGTCCAGTTTGCCTCTAACACATGATAACCTTGTCCAGTCACTTCACTTCCCTGGGCTTCGGGCTTTTCATTTGTATTACTATTAATGAAAGTAGAACTAAGTGAGCCATAGCTCAGGACAAGGATTCTGTTATTTTAATTGTGTTGCTTTGTAGATTCATCTTTACACATCAAAGAGTGGTTGTGTTTTTAATTTAATTTAATTTTTTGCCTACAAATGTTGCTTTTCAAGAACCTTTGTAATTCATAACCTTATTGTATATATGGTATTCCATATACAGACCCTAGAATAGCCACTGTGATTTTTTTAATTTGTTAGCTGTTTTGGCATTGTCTCAACATAGCATTACTTATCTGTAGATACTTGACATTGCAATATATAGAGACCCTACATTTATAGATTTAGGTTATGTATCTGTACTTTTTCCTGAGTGATCTTTGATTGATAGAAATAATGTAGGAAAGGACACATGCTTCCAAAGTAACAACAATATTAATGTGCACTTCCATAGAACATGTCTTGGTTGTGCTTTCTCTAGGGTTGGACCCAGCTGGGCCATTTTTCCACAACACTCCAAAGGAAGTCAGGCTAGACCCCTCGGATGCCAACTTTGTTGACGTTATTCATACAAATGCAGCTCGCATCCTCTTTGAGCTTGGTAAGTTTTAACAGAATCAGAAACTTCATTGAAGCATAGAGGAGATTTTTAGAGGCATTTACCCTGTTTTTATTTATTTCAGGTGTTGGAACCATTGATGCTTGTGGTCATCTTGACTTTTACCCAAATGGAGGGAAGCACATGCCAGGATGTGAAGACTTAATTACACCTTTACTGAAATTTAACTTCAATGCTTACAAAAAAGGTAAATACTTTCTAAACTATGAATGCTACTGATGCATATTCACTTAGCTCTCTCCTTAGATGGGATCCACCTACTTTTGTGTATAATATACATATAAAATGTATTTTCTCTCAAAACACAGTTGCATATAAGAAGCTCTCCCACCTGTTCTCAGATCCACAAGATCGGGTACCGTGTCTTCATTAACTTTGTATCCCTGGTGCCTTATCAATCTCTAGCATATTGCAGTCACTCAATATAAACAAGGAAGGTGTGTTATTCACTCAGCAAATATGTATTGAGTGTTTACTATGTGCTAGGCATTATTCTAGGAACAGCAAATATGGAAATGAATACAAAAGACAAAGGTGCCTCCCTGATGGAGTTCATTTTCTAACTTGTTAGGAAACCAATAAATAGTGTAAGAGCTAAGGGGACAAAATAAAGCATTGAAGGGGAATATGATGTGTTGGTGACAGTGAAGGTAAAGTAGAAGAAGAAAATTGTTGACAGGATGGTAAGGGAGTCCTTACTGAAAAGATGACCTAAAGGAGTTAGCCTTATAGACACCAAGGGGAGAGGCATTCCAGGCCAACAGGGGGAAGCAAGTGTAAGGGCTGAAAACAGGAGTCAGCCTGGCAGGTTCACGACAGTGAGGAGCCTGTTGTGGCTGAAACTAGGTAAAAGGAAAGAAGTAGGGCATAAGGTTGGAGAGGGAACCAGGCAGAGGGCAATAACACAGGACTTTGTGGATGGTAGAAAAGACTTAAGCTTTCACTCAAATGAGATAGGAGCCATGAGTGGATTTTGAGCAGAGAAGAGACGTGGTTTGAGTTACTTGTAACAAGAATCACTCTGGATGCTGTAATTACAAATTAAACAAGTAGTATTTAACTTTTTATAGTAGTTTCCAATAATAATAGTTACAATATCTATATGGCATCAAGTTAAAAGGCACCGAAAGGTTATTATTTGGGAAATTTGTTCTTCCCTATCTCTACATTTCATCATATAATTAATGAAATACATTACCCATAATATATAATAATAATAATATATATATATATGATGATATGATAATGGATACCTGGATGATTCTGAATATCTCATAGCCCAATCCCCTGTAGTCAAGATATCAAGGAGTTGAAATTACTTGCTCTTTCATTTGGCTGTTGTAGAGGAAAGATACAGAGATCATAGTATTGAGTGTAACTCAGGTATCTACTTCACTAGAAATAAATTACAAAGGTTTAATATTTGCTCTGAAAGAGAAAATGTGATCAGAAGTATATATTTGTAATGACTATATTTTAAAAACCCACACAACTGTCTAATCTACAGGTGCAACAAATAAGAATTAAGGCCAATTTCACCTAGTTCAGATAAGCAAAATTCATACAAAAGAGGCATATTATAAAATTGATTTTCCCCATTATTTTCTATATTACGACTATGAATCCTTTCTATTAGGACAAAATATAGCTCAGAAGACTTCATTACATAATTAATTGTTATACACAGATCATATGAAATTTTATGAAAGATTAATTCAACTAAAATATACATTTATCATAAGCTATCATTTTGAGACATTTTAAGATTTCCTATAACTTTATTGGATTAAAAGAACATTTATCATTCATGTTAAACCTTTGGATGAGTTTTAAGACTTCAAGATGTTCTATTTTACTTAAATTTATTACTAACAAACCATTACTTTTAAAATTAATAGTTTGCTATATTCTAATGAACCGTCTTGTCTAAATCACAATTAATTGTGAATATAAATCTATAGATATACAGAGACCTAATGTAAGAGAAGTCTTTGTTTAATAAAAATGGATGATGCCAATTATTAATCTGTGCTGACGATATTACATTATTTCTGAAACTATTCTGTCTCAGTTCTCTATTGTGTAACAAACCACAGTGAACAATTACAAGAAAAATTGTTATTGCCCAGCGTTCTGAGGGTCAGAATTCAGGCAGAGTTCTCCTGAGATTCTGCTTCGTGTGGTGTTGGCTGGAGCAACTCAGGTGACTGCATCCAGTTGGGGGCTGAGCTGGGCTAAGCTGGATGAGGAGGTCTGAGATGACCCTCCGTGTCAGGAACCCTGGGACTTGTTCTCCTCTGTCAGGTGGTCTGTCATCCTTCAGGACCTCTCTCCCCAGACAGGTAGCCTGGATTTCATAATATTGCAACTGGGTTTCAGGACAGTAAGAGTGGATGCTGGAAGGTCTTTTAAGGCCTTAGAACTTAACCAATGTCAGTTTCTCCACAGAACTGATCTTGGTTCTTTGCTACTGGGCAAAGCAAGTTACAAGATCAGCCTGTAATGGGGCAGGGGTATTTTTAACATGGCCTCCATGTTGAGAGAAGGAATGGTTACATAATACTGCAAATGGGTGAGGACCCAGGAAGGAGTCATTTGTTGGAAGCAATTATTACATAATAATTATACTGCATATGCTAAAACCAAAATCTAGTTTCTCAAAGATTGGCTAAGCTGTGTAGGTCATTCAAAGAATAGTCCACGCCATTCAGTAAAAATATTGTTATGTAAAATAAAAGAAAGCATAAATGGCTGGGCACAGTGGCTCACACCTGTAATCCCAGCACTTTGAGAGGCTGAGGCAGGAGGATCACTTGAGACTTGAGGCCAGGAGTTCAAGACCAGCCTGGGCACAACAAGATAGTGAGGCCTCATCTCTAAAATAAAAAAAGAAGAAGAAGAAGAAGAAAGAAAAGAAAGAATAAATGACTAGAATGTTATGAAAATTTTGGAATGTGCAGATGTATTTAGATCTTATTATTATTCCAATAATCCTAACTATTGATGGCAATAATGTCATGCTTGATAATGACAAAACTAATTCATCTTTAGCATTCTTTATAAAACCCCCCACTTGTTACACCTTTAACCCAGCACTGGTTCACAATGCTGACTGTTTTGTGATTGAATAGGAGGGAGTTCAGTTATTCTTGCAGAAACAGAGAGGCAGAGTCTTAACTGGTCTACAATGGAGATACTATATGCACAGGGATATTGTGTCAGAGGTCCTAGTGATACAGGATTTTTTTCCATGCTGCTTCACCAGCCAGAGACCTCCACAGCCTGCAGTGCCTCTGCTTGAGTTTCACTTGCACCTGCTGGGCTCACCACTGGACTTATCTCACCCACTTGGCCTGGCAGCCTGTGCTCAGCTCACTCTGCTGACCTGGATCTCACACCTGCCAAGGGTGAGCCAGGCATGCCCACTGCTGTGGTAGGGCAGGTGGCTTCAGGCCAGTACAGGCACTGGTTCCACACGAGGCTGTGGCTGGACCAGGCATACTGCAAGCAGCTTCCACCTTGGGCACCAGCTTCTGAACGAGGGAAATGTGGTGGTGCCAAAAAAACTTGGAGATGGCAGGAACCACGCAGCCCCAAAGGGGGTGTTACATACAGCATGTTACAGCTGTGGCTTAGGGAGCCTTGAGGTCTAAGCCCCCAGGAAACATTACGGCTTGTTTGTGTTACAGCTCATTTGTTCCCACCCTCTGCACAGTTCAGCGAATAGGGGTGTGTCTCACATTGTTTGATCCCATTGCTGTACTCCAGACCACAGCTCTTGGGCTGTCCCAGCCCCACTGCAGCTTCCTGATGCGTGGGGTGGGATGGCTACAGTGTTTCAGCAGCTCCTTTGGCACCTGCTGTTTGGTGGGTCTCAGGTTCTTGTCCCACGTCCAGGAAGAAAGAGGTTACACAGACAACTGAAGAGTGAGCATGGTGGAGAAGAGTTTTATCGAGTGACCAAACAGCTCTTGGATGAGAGGGGAACCC
Source organism: Homo sapiens (assembly GCF_000001405.40). Classification (NCBI taxonomy): domain Eukaryota; kingdom Metazoa; phylum Chordata; class Mammalia; order Primates; family Hominidae; genus Homo; species Homo sapiens. Next base: position 116,465,094 of record NC_000010.11, read on the forward strand.
AAAGTGGGTAGCCCCTATCTGAAGGCAGGTAGTTCCCACCCAAAGGCAGGTAGTCCCCAGAGTGTGGCTTAGTCTGGGCTTTTTATAGGCTCAGAATGAGGGAGGTGTTGGCTGTAGGTAGCCTTGGAAAAAGCAACATTAGATTGGTTAAAAAACCTTGTTCAGGCTGGGTGCGGTGGCTCACACCTGCAATCCCAGCACTTTGGGAGGCCTAGGTGGGTGGATCACGAGGTCAGATCAAGACCATCCTGGCTAACATGGTGAAACCCCGTCTCTACTAAAAACACAAAAAATTAGCCGGCGTGGTGGTGGGCGCCTGTAGTCCCAGCTACTCGGGAGGCTGAGGCAGGAGAATGGCGTGAACCCCGGAGGTGGAGCTTGCAGTGAGCCGAGATTGCACCACTGCACTCCAGCCTGGGTGACAGAGCCAGACTCCATCTAAAAAAAAAACAAAACAAACAAACAAACAAACAAAAAACCTTGTTCAGAAAGAACCAAAAACGTTGTTCAGGAAAGACCAGGCAAACAGGAATCGAAGTTCTCACTCTGGTCAGGGACTTTACCTGGAACTGGCAGCTTCGTTTTCAGGCTTCACACTGTTTTTGGCTTAAAGGTTGGGTTTCACTGAGGACACACCCCTATCTGCCTAGGAAATTGTCTGCCTCCTGCCACTGTCACTAGGAAGTGACTCAGTATATTTGTGTCAAAGCACAAAGTCATTCACATTTGCTTTTGCTTATTTCCACTTCTTGAATGTCCCTTTTGAGTCACATAATTCTTTGGTACAAATAAAATTATATGTAACTTTGATAAATGTACAATATCCAAGCCTAGACAAAAGGTCTGGCCCTCCCAACTCAAGAAGACTGCCACTTACAGTTACTGTTTCTAAGATATGGTTTATGCTACCAGTTATCAGTTAATTGCTATCAGTTAATTGGGAATTGTTTTCACAGAAATGGCTTCCTTCTTTGACTGTAACCATGCCCGAAGTTATCAATTTTATGCTGAAAGCATTCTTAATCCTGATGCATTTATTGCTTATCCTTGTAGATCCTACACATCTTTTAAAGCAGTAAGTAAATCATCTTACTTGGAATTTAATTATAAAGTAATTTTTTGAAACACAATCATCCAGCTAAACATTAGGGCTTTGTGTAGGTAGCAAAAAAAATGCACCTGCCATTTTGGGAAATAATGGATTGTTTCTGTGCTGAGTACTGAACAGTAGCTGGGATTGCTGGAGGGTTGAAATAACTCAACCAACTATTTGTATTCTGGTTGTTTCAGCTCCTTTGAAAATTATATACAATTTTGCTTTTTTGGCCATTTGTTATGCAGTAATTAGATGTTACTGTGTAACAGGCATAAGTCTAGGGCAAAAATATTTCTGCATATATATTTTAAATGTCATCTTCAAAGATGCCCTAAGAAGGCTGAACCAATCAATAGCTACAACCAAACATATTACTATTTACTTGGAACATGAAAATTATTTTATTAAAATTTAATTATTTATACAGAGCAGAACTAAAGCATAGATAGCTCACAGGAGCTCTACACAGATCAATATGTGACAAACTACCAAATCTGATTTTACTTGAGTAAAAGAAAGAAAATCTATTTTGTAGTGGGAAGTGGAAAAGATCTTCATTCTTGTGCTTTAGAGACCTAATCCCCTGTTTTATCACGGTAGAAAATGTGGGCTGTTCAGCTGAAGTTTATGGTAAGTAATAGTACTTCGTGAATAAGTGCTGTGTTGTGACATGAAGAAGCATGTCCCTTTTGCTACAGAGCTTGGCAGATGGACGGGTTTAGGCCATCCTGTCAGTTTCCTGCCATTCTTGGAAAGCTTGACAGCCAAACAGTAGCATTTTCCACATATCCTCCTTGTCCCCGACCTCTCTCTTCTTCCTGCCTCGGCTGCTACTCTGAGCACCCACGGGATCCTGGCATTTACTTCTAGGAGAAGCAGGCCCTTGGAGTCTTTGTATATTTGGAGATAAGAGTTAATCTGCCAAATTGGAGTACCCTTAGAAGCTAGCTCATGCCACATGGATGCTACTTGTGGTTACAAACTATTAGAATGAATCAATTTCCTTGACGTACTTTATTGTACTGTACCCTAATAGTCATACAATCAAAGTGTGTCAGAGCCAGCTGTGGCATGCACCTGTAGTCCCAGCTACTTGGGAGGTTGATGCAGGAGATCTCTTAAGCCCAGAAATTTGAGGCTACAGTGTGCTATGATCATGCCTCTGAATAACAACTGCATTCCAGACTGGGTGACAAATTGAGACTCCATCTCAAAAAATAAATAAATAAATAAATAGGATGTTACAGTAGCCCTAGCCTAAATGTCTATGGTTTATTAAATTAAAAGTTCAAAGCCTAAAATAGCAAATACTCAAGCACTGCTACCCATGTTTTTAAAATGTTCACATTTCATTCCTTTTCCTTTAGATTTTTAAAACATACAAATAAAATTAAAGAAGCAAACGACCTTATATTCCCTTCAATCCTTCCCCTAAGGCAGAGTTGAATTTGATATGTATCAAATAAATGCTTTCATATTATGTTTCTGGATTTGCTGTTTTCATTAAATATTATAAATATAAAATTTGAAATTTACATTGATGTAGATAGATCTAATGTATTTATTTTATAGGAATCAGGCATAATTTATTGATTAGTTCTCCTACTAATGTGAGTTTTTATTGTTTCCAGTTTTTGTTATTAAAAGTAATGTCGGCCGGGCGCGGTGGCTCACGCTTGTAATCCCAGCACTTTGGGAGGCCGAGGAAGGCGGATCACTAGGTCAGGAGATCGAGACCATCCTGGTTAACATGGTGAAACCCTGTCTCTACTAAAAATACAAAAAATTAGCCGGGCGTGGTGGCGGGTGCCTGTAGTCCTAGCTACTCGGGAGGCTGAGGCAGGAGAATGGCATCAACCCGGGAGGCGGAGCTTGCAGTGAGCCAAGATCGGGCCACTGCACTCCAGCCTGGGCAACAGAGCCAGACTCTGTCTCGCAAAAAAAAAAAAAAAAAAAAAAAAAAGCAACGTCTACCAACTCTGCCATCTTTGTATGTCTCTTTATGTACTTGAGTGGAATTCCTTCATGGCATACAACAGAAGTGAAATTATCAAAGCATACATGCATTTCCTTCTTTATTAGACATTACCAAATCACTGTTTAAAATGTCTATCGATTGCTAAAGAAAAATAAAAATGAAGGCCACAATTTAGATATAACCCAAGGCCACCCATGACCACATAGCCAAAACCAAGTCATCCTGATTTTCCAGAAACACTAGCTCTAATCATAAATGAAACACAAAAACATAAGCTTTACCTCCTTGTCCGCGTGATTCAGGGAAATGAAACCAATCAGCTGTAGACAAATCAACATAAATATCTCTACTTGCCCTAGAGAAGAATGTTAATGCATAATAGCCAATCACCAAAAAAGGTCAAAATACTTCCGCCTTTATAAACTGTCTTGTGACTGCTGTAAGCGGGGGCTTCTTACCATTTTCAGTTTGAAGTCTCCCAGCTCAAGGACTGTTCTTTTGTGTGCAGAGCAAATTTTTAAAAATTAAAAAATTTGATCTGATTATATTTTTGACATTTTAAAAATTATATTCCAGGCTGGGAATGCAGTGAAGAACAATACAACTTTCCATCAGAAGCAAATGAGAATTCCCCTATTACACGTATTCAGTGTTGCCAATTGCTTTAATGTTTGCAAATCTGCTGAATATGAAATTTTACCTTGTTTTAATTAACATATGCTTGACAACTAGTAAGACTGAACATCTTGCATAGTTATTGACTATTTGAGTTTCCTCTTCCGTGGATTGTCTATTCATATCATCTACCCATTTTTCTAATAGGGAGTTTCTCTTTTTCCCTCAGTTGGTTTTGTTTTATTTTTGAAAACAGACATGGTGGCCTGTTAGGCACTTTTAAAATGCATATCCTTTATTTAGATCCTGGAGATTTATTATTATTTAATAATATATAGCGAGTTTATTGAAGGACAACATTTCTAATTACATAAGTAATCACCTTTCATTTTCTGTCATCAGGGAAATTGCTTCTTTTGTTCCAAAGAAGGTTGCCCAACAATGGGTCATTTTGCTGATAGATTTCACTTCAAAAATATGAAGACTAATGGATCACATTATTTTTTAAACACAGGGTCCCTTTCCCCATTTGCCCGTAAGTATCATAGCTAAGTTTAATTGTAATGCTTTAAGGTACTTATCTTTAAAAATTCAACAGTTTTTATTGAGTGTCTACTAAATAACTGGGCATTAGGCCAGACTGGGATTTCAGTGAAGAACAACACAGTGAGGTCTTTAATTGAGTTTAGGCTAGTGGGAAAGACAGCAAGTAAAATCTCAGTTCCAATCCTGCGTAATAAACTTTCTCTTAGGAAACATTCAAGATATGTGCAGAGCATAAAGGTCAGAGAGCCTTTCGAGGAAAAGAGATTTCTAAGCTGACTCCTGAAGGATGAGTAAGAGGGAGAAGGGAAGTATTCCAGGCAGAAGTGACCACGTCTGTAAATGCCTGGAAGTAAGAGAGAGCAGAAACTGAAAGAAGGCCCTGCCAGGATTGTAGAGACTGGGAGGACAGTGATAGCAGATGAAGTGGGAGAGACAAATCAGGTCAGATCATGAGGCAAGGGCCTTGTGTCCCAAGTGGAGAGGTTGGGCTTTGTCTGTGGGTGAATGGAAAGCCATTGAAGGGTATTAAGAATTACCAGATTATTTTTATTTTTAGAAAAATCACTTTAGTTTCTGCATGGATTAGAAGGCCACAAGATGGAAGCAGGGTGCCTGTTACACAATTATTGCCACAATTCAGGCAAAAAAAAAAAAAAAATAGAAGTAGAGAGGTTGCAAAGATAGTTAGAAGGTGGAAGCAAAATGGACCTAGGTGAATGGATTTAAAAATGCAGAAAAGCAAGGAGTCAAGGACAATTCTGGCTGTGGATGAGCTGTCATTCTCTGAGCTTGACGACACAGGAAGAAAGGCTAGTTTGGAGCAAGATGATAGGCTAGTTTCTCCATGTTACGTTGGAGCTGCCTTTAGGGTTTGAGAGTGTGTGTGCACCATGAGGCAGGTAGAGATACGGATCTCAGCCTCTGGAAATGGATGTGTTCTACAGATAGAGAGTTGGGAGTCACTCAGACTGTAGTCAGTGTGGTGAAAGTGGATGACATCACTACCCAAGAAGAATGTGCCAGATAAGAAGTAAAGATAGCAGAGAAAGAGGCCCCTGCAAAGGAGACTGAAGAATGGGCAGAGAGAAGGAAGACCAGCAAAGCTTATCGTTAAAAGAGCCAAGGAAAGAAAGTTGAGCAGGAAGAGAGGAGACATACACCACAGCAAATATATATATATATATAATTTTTTTTTTTTTGAGATGGAGTCTTGCTCTGTCGCCCAGGCTGGAGTGCAGTGGTGCGATCTCGGCTCACTGCAAGCTCCACCTCCCAGGTTCATGCCATTCTCCTGCCTCAGCCTCCCAAGTAGCTGGGATTACAGGCGCCGCCACCACGCTAGGCTAGTTTTTTGTATTTTTAGTAGAGACGGGGTTTCACCGTGTTAGCCAGGATGGTCTCCATCTCCTGACCTCGTGATCTGACCGCCTCGGACTCCCAAAGTGCTGGGATTACAGGCGTGAGGCCCCGAGCCCGGCCCACACCAAATATTTTTATGACTTCTAAAAATGGAAGTCCTGTGTCTTCTTTTGTCTATTTCCTTTGTATTGTGGTCAAATGAGACAGGGCCCCATAGAGGCTCATTGGATGAAGAAACAGTTCAACCCTTAGTGAGCTTGGCTGGGGTGGTTTCAGTGGAGAGACAGCAGGGGGAGCCAGGTTCCAGTAGAATGGGCGGAGAAGAGAAAGAAAATTCTTTGGCAATGATTAACTCATGAATTAAAATTCCTCTCTGGTAGGTTTCTTTCCCCTTTCAATTATTTTCAAATAATCATATGAAGAATTGCATTTTTTCAGTTTGTTATTAAGCGTACAGTAATTTCAGAATTCAGAATAAAAGATCTGTTTAGCTCTAGATGTAAAAAGTCACATTTGGCCATTTGCAAGGGAATGATCTACTGACAGATACTATATTGATCTGTATCTACGTGTACTGGGCATTCTTAGCACATATCCCTGCAGGAGAAGAAGAATGACTCACTTTGCCTCTAAATGATTATAAAAGCATACATCTTCTTGCCCAATTGGTTTCCTAGATTTTTCTGGATTAATTGTCACATTATGGCAAATAAAAACTTGGCTATAGAAAGTATACATACTATATATATGCCACACAATACAAAGGAAATAGGCAAAAGAAGACACAGGACTTCCATTTTTAAAAGTCATAAAAATGCCTGGAAAAATAAATAATTTTCTTTTAAAATATTATTAAACTATTTATTCTGGAAAATTAAAATGTGACCCATAATGTGTATTTTTAAACGTAGTTTTTCACCAAATTCACTGAAACTAAAGTTGTATTTTTGCATGAATATGTGCAGCACTGTTCAAATACAACCCTGAAAATTTTATTTCCATTAAAGGATCCAGGAAGTCATACTTCCCATGTGTTTTTAACCCTTTCTCTCCCTTTCCTTCTTGTTTCCTTATATCTAGGTTGGAGGCACAAATTGTCTGTTAAACTCAGTGGAAGCGAAGTCACTCAAGGAACTGTCTTTCTTCGTGTAGGCGGGGCAGTTAGGAAAACTGGGGAGTTTGCCATTGTCAGGTAGGCAGAGTGAGAAACTGACGCTTTGCACAGTGCTGGGGGCTCAGTAACACTAAGTGAGACTGGCTCAGTAAGCTGTTTAGTCTTCTCTTTTCCTACAATTCCACAGGCTACCATGGTATCTTTGATTTTTCTTTTTACTTCATGTTTTCCAAATATAAAGTAGAAATCATAATATGTATTTTCTCTACAGTTCCAACTAGAAACAGAAAATGTTAGGAAGTGATAACATGAAAATACAGATCTAGATAATAGAGCAAGTGGAAAAAACTGACGGTATTCAAGATATATTTTTAATCCCATTCACTTAATATTATACAAATATAAGCATATATTTTTATTTGTGTCAGTAACAAATAAGACATTTATATAAATTGCTAAATTTCTAATAAGCTGTCTAAGCATTACCCACAGATACAGGACATGTGTTAGAATAGTCAGAGGTTAAAAATAATCCAGTTCAGATGTTCATTTTGTATCTTTTGCTAAACCCTCCTTTTATCTTGAAATTTTCTTAATCTTTTATTTGTTCAGCCTTAGCATTTTTGTATTATGTTCATGTCCATTATTTTATTCTGTAATTTATGTCAGAATTAACATTATACCTACTAATTAGATGCAACCTTTTCTGCAAACAGATGAATGTATTAGGTGTTTTATCTCTGTGATTTCCATCATCCTCAAACACTGGGCACAGGCACGAAAAGCAGAGATTTTGTGGTTATTTTGTCAGTTGAGAGATGCATCCGTTTTATCACTGGCAGAGTTTCTGCAGGTCATCTTGCCTTGGTCCAACTGCCTGTAAATATAAGCTCAGTGAATGATGATCTGGATCCTGATTGGTGCACAGGCTCCAGCCCACCCTTCTCCTAACCATGTCTCCCACCATTTGACTTTATTCCACCTTCAGTTCAGCGAGGCTACACTGTTTGCACTACCCAGTACTGAATAGATCCTACCCTTACCTTTCTGCAGGACTTCACCCATGCTGTTTCTTTGCTGCAGATACTTTTTCCTGTCTGCTATTTTGTTTCTACCTCTTCTTCATGGCTCCATCAAGCCTCCCTCTGAGAGCAGTTCAGCATAATCATGTGCCTGTGGTTTTGAGGCTCACAGGACGCTGGGTAAAGCTGTGTGATTTGTGCCCTGCACAGAGGCATCTAACCTGGGGCAGCTGGTGATGAATATGCAGTTTCTGCCTCTTTTAAGATTTGTGAGAGCGTTTCCACATCTCTGTTCTTTTGATAACGGCCGAAGAAGCTGTTTGTAATGCTGTTGCATAGTTACCCAATCCTCTTTTAAGAATAAGTAAGCATTGAAGGTTCACAGCAGATGTGTCATCTTGAAATGAAGTCAGCTAGCTAAATTTGTATGCTGGTTTAGTTCTATTCTTCAAACAAGTTTTATAAGTCCAGCTTCTCCATGCTCATGGATAGGCAGAATCAATATCATTAAAATGGCAATATCAATAACATGAAAAGACAGATCTAGATAATTGAGCAAGTGGAAACAAAATGATGGTATATAAGGTATATTTTTAATCCCATCCATTTAATACTATACAAATGTAAGCATATATTTTTACTTGTGCAACTCACAAATAAATAAGACCATTATATAAGTTGCTAAATTTCTTTTTCTTTCTTTCTTTCTTTTTTTTGAGTTGGAGTCTCACTCTGTCACCCAGGCTGGAGTGTAGTGGCATGATCTCACCTCACTGCAACTTCCCCTTCCCGGGTTCAAGTGATTATCCTGCCTCAGCCTCCTGGGTAACTGAGATTACAGGTGCCCACCACCATGCCTGGCTAATTTTTGTATTTTTAGTAGAGACGGGGTTCACCATGTTTGCCAGGCTGATCTCGAACTCCTAGCCTCAAGTGATCCACCCACTTCGGCCTCCCAAAATACTGGTATTATAGGCCTGAGCCACCGCACCTGGCCAAACTGCTAAATTTCTAATAGGCTATCTACGCCCAAAGCAATTTATAGATTCAATGCTATCTATATTAAACTACCATTGAGTTTCTTCACAGAAATAGATGAAACTATTTTAAAATTCATATGGAACCAAAAAAAAAAAAAAAAAAAAGATCCCAAATAGCCAAGGCAATCCTAAACAAAAAGAACAAAGCTGGAGGCATCATGCTACCCAACTTCAAACTACACTACAGGGCTACAGTAACCAAAACAGCATGGTACTGCTACAAAAACAGACACATAGACCCAACGGAATAGAGAATAGAGAATCCAGAAATAAGGCCGCATACCTATAGCTATCTGATCTCTGACAAACCTGTCAAAAACAAGCAATGGGGAAAGAATCCCCTACTCAATAAATGGTGCTGGGATACCTGGCTAGCCATATGCCAAAGACTGAAACTGGACCTCTTGCTTACACCATATATTACAAGAATTAACTCAAGATAGATTAAAGACTTAAATGTAAAACCCAGAACTATAAAAACCCTGGAAAACAACTTAGGTAATACCACTCAGGACACAGGCACAGGCAAAGATTTCATGATGAAGATGCCAAAAGCAATTGCAACGAAAGCAAAAATTAACAAATGGGATCTAATTAAACTAAAGAGCTTCGACACAGCAAAACAAACTATCAACAGAGTGAACAGACAACCTACAGAATGGGAGAAAACTTTGGCAACCTATCCATCTGATAAACGTCTAATATCCCACATCTGTAAGGAACTTAAACAAATTTACAAGGCAAAAACAAACAACTACATTACCAAGCGGGCAAAGGACATCAACAGACACTTTTCAAAAGAAGACATATGCATGGCCATCAAGCATATGAAAAAAAGCTCAACATCACTGATCATTAGAGAAATGCAAATCAAAACTACAATAAGATACCATCTCACACCAGTCAGAATGGCTATTATTAAAAGTCAAAAAATAACATGCTGGTGAGGTTTTGGAGAAAAAGGAACACCTATACACTGCTGGTTGGAATGTAAATTTGTTCAACCATTGTGGAAGGCCTCAAAGACCTAAAGACAGAAATATCATTTGACCCAGCAATCGCATTACTGATTATATACCCAAAGGAATAGAAATTGTTCTATTGTAAAGACACATGCATGCATATGTTCATGCAGCACTATTCACAACAGCAAAGACATGGAATCAACCCATGTGCCCATCAATGACAGACTGGATAAAGAAAATGTGGTACTTATATACCATGGAATACTATGCAGCCATAAAAAAGAATGAGATCATGTCCTTTGCAGGAACATGGATGGAGCTGGAGGCCATTATCCTTAGCAAACTAATGCAGGAACAGGAAACCAAATACTGAATGTTCTCACTTATAAGTGGGAGCTAAATGATGAGAACACATGGACACACAGAAGGAAACAACACACACCAGGACCTATCAGAGGGTGAAGGGTGGGAGGAGGGAGAGGATCAGGAAAAATAACTAATGGGTACTAGGCTTAATGTCTGGGTGATGAAGTAATCTGTACAACAGACACATGTTTACCTATGTACCTGCACATGTACCCCTGACCTTGTTTAAAAAAAATGTCCAGCTTCACCATAGGTTATATCTTAGCTAATTGGGCTTCTAGTGACATAAAGGGCTGCAATGTATGGGCAATGAGTGAAGATAGTTCTTGGAATAACAGAAAGATTACCCTTAAGAACTTGGAAGAACAGTTTCCTCTGGTAATTAAATCAATTAATTCTACTAGTAATATAATAAGACAGACCCTAGGAATAGCAATATTCATTCGTTAATTCATTCAGCAAATATGTAGGTGCCTACGCTGTACCAGGAACTGTTCTAATTGCTGGGGATGCAGACACAGGTCCGTCTTTCACAGAGCTTATATTTGCAGTTTGAGTAGACAAATGATACATTAACAGAAGAATAGTTATAAGTTATGAAGAAATAAGGAAAGGTGATACAGTATGGAGCAACATGGGGACAAATTTAGATTGGATTGTAGCTTAATCATTTACTAACTATAGTTTAATTTATTTTACCAACACAACAAAAAAAGGGACTGTTTCATCAGAAGGAGAATATTAGCAATAGCCATAGGAAATGGGAGTCAGGAAGCTCTTATGGGTAAGAGATGTTGGTTTGGGTGCCACGACCAATCTGGGTCACAGTGGAGAATTTTTGCATGATGGGGAAAAAACAAGTCATTGGTTTCACTTTGCCTTGGATGGAACATACCTTATGCCTTGAGATATGGCACCTCTCTCTGCTCTATTGCCGTGATCAACAAAATGTCTTTTGATCACTAGTTTAGTTACCCAATTCCTTTTATGTGGTTAAAGAAGGTACCAGAAAAAGGGCACGGGAGCACTCTGGTTAATCGAAGGGAGGTATTTCCACACTGTGAATTGGTGAACAGGCTCCTGGTTTGTAGATAAGTCTTGTGTACATTTAGTCCACTATTGAGAGTTTCTTGATTTCCTGGTGTCAGTATAATCTGGTTTCTGATACTACAAAGCCAAGACCAGATCTTTCACTATGGAGAAATCACAATAATGCCTCTCTAGGTATTCTCTAAAAATCACCTAGCCAAGCTTTCCATTTACTTCACCCTTCTTTCAAACTTCAGAACCATGCTATTCTGAGATGCTGATCAATACACATGGAAAGAATAAATCTCCTACAAGCAAATGCTAGCAAATACAAGTTTCTCTTCCATAGTGCATACACAGATGTGTTTTCTTTCATTCAGTGCTGTGAATACCCAGTGCAAACTTACGAGTCTTATTTTTGTTTACAGTGGAAAACTTGAGCCAGGCATGACTTACACAAAATTAATCGATGCAGATGTTAACGTTGGAAACATTACAAGTGTTCAGTTCATCTGGAAAAAACATTTGTTTGAAGATTCTCAGAATAAGTTGGGAGCAGAAATGGTGATAAATACATCTGGGAAATATGGATATAAGTAAGTATTGCTTTTTCCTTTTCATTTTCGTAGTTTACATTTTATAAATGGTGTTTAAACCCACAGATAATTTGAAATGTGCAAGTAGCATAAAAATTTATAGACTTTGAAATTTTGCAATTAAAGAAAGGGAAAAGTTAAGAAACCAATGCTATATGTGCAGAAGTGTTAGAAAATAAGAATTACTCATTAAATCGGGGGATCTACCGTGTCTTTTTCTTCCCTGGCATCAGGTTAAAATTCCTTTTTTTTTTCCTTAAAAACTTTCAGATCTACCTTCTGTAGCCAAGACATTATGGGACCTAATATTCTCCAGAACCTGAAACCATGCTAATCTCAGATACAGTCTTGATGGATTTCTTTAGTAGGAGCAATGAAGAAAAGTGTCTCCTTCCACCTGGCATCCAGACCAAATTTGACCCTTGTAAATGACTTAGTCATTTACAAGGGTCTTACTCAGAGTCAAGTACGGGTTTGCTTTTTTTCTGTGTAGAATGTTCATCTAACTGCACCTTAAAAACACACTGAACCCTGGGACAAAAGATAATTACTATGATCTGTAGGAATCTGGATATCATTGACAAAATAGAGCTGTTTTGGAATTTTCCTGAATAAGAGGAGGTGATGCAAATGTATGTTGAGTGTATAAACTCACTGGACAAAAGTAAGCCTCTGGCTTGCTGAGTTTTTGAAGTATATTTTCAGGTATAATAATCATTGTTCTAAAATTATATAAAACTATTTGTTATGTTGTTAAATCTTGCTGAGACAAATTATGACTATAGTGCATGATATATAGTAGATTATAACCTTGTGGGTTGATGTGTCTATCTAGTAATAATAAAAACTAATGAGATGGCACTAGTATTTCCAAGGTGTTCCTTGGTGTTCAGGGTGTGCACAAGAGAGATTTTGGAGCTTATCTGTTATGTGTTCATCAGTTAGCAATGGGACCTGAAGTTCAACAACCCAGGGTATAGCCCCCTTCCTCCAAAGTCCCTGCCACAGGAGAATTACTCCTCTCCCTGGGTCTTGAATGCTCTATGGTGAATTTGTATTTAGCCTCAAGGCAGCATTTCATTTGTAAAGCACTTGGGTAACCCTTTGTTCTTGCAATAACAATATTATAATATTTAAATGTGTCCATTGTGTTTCTTTTTTCTTTATGTTGCTTCAATTTCTTCCAAGTCGGTTGTCCTTAGCCAGCGAAAGGGAGAAATTTCATACTTTCATTTGCTCTGTTTTCTATCACTAGGCTCAGTGTTTAGCCTATAGGTCTGCGCTATAAATATTGTTGGAAGGAAATGATGACAGATACTCTGCAGAGGGTTTCTCGATTCTCCTTGGTGCCTCGCTGCCAGCTGAACCTTCAGAAAGACCCGTGGGTGTACATAAATAAATCTGTGCTGTGGTGGAAAGCAGAGAAGCATGTGGGATGACTCTCCCATTTTGCAAGGAAGGGATGGAAGATTGCTGGGGAGAAGGAGGAAAGCAGGTTCAGGGACATTGGCATGATGTAGCGGTGTGTACTGCTCTCACTGGTGGGCTGCACATATTCACACCTAGGCCAACCTAGGAGCACAGTGGCTATGAGTAAGCTCAGTAGAAGGGACTGAGCCATACTGAGTAATTGTGTCGCAGTCCAGCATTCATTAGCAAGCTGGTGGTGGAGTCAGCACAGACCCTGGGGAGAGAAGTCTTCCTGAGAGCAGCTGTCCCGAGCCTGCACAGGTCCCAAGGTAGAGGAAGAGTTATGCATCCGGCCGTGGCCTTAGGCAACGTGAGTACTAGCTGCCTCCTCACCCAGGAGATCTCTAGGCTGGCTCCTTCAAGGTTTGAAAAGACTAATGGGAGTCAATTAACTTCTGAGAACCCTATTTTAATAAAGTATAGACTTACTGTCCTATAGTTCTTAATATCTGTCCCCTTTTTTGCATTATAAGAATGTATGAGGATGAATAATAGTGCATGAACTATCTAGGCAAAGGAATTCCAAAAGTTCAAGGTGACGCCATTATTTTCTGTGTGTGCTTTTCCCTAAGGAAGCACCAAAAAAAATGATTCCCTTTCCCTCTGAGTGCCCTGCATTATTGTAGCAAGCAATTGTGGCCTACTACTGTTTGGGCAAGGACTGTTAGGGAATTGTTCTGCTTCCTAGATGAATGCTGAAAATGCAGTCCAATTACCCATTACTCCCTCCACTCTCTGTGACTATTGACCCACACTCATGCCTTGTCATCATATCACTCAAAAATGCGCACCTCCAAACTCGCCACGCGGAATGTCCTCTTTGACCACAGTTGCCTCCCCTTCCGGCTTGCTGACTTTTTTTTTTTTTTAACTGTTAGGCAAAATCTTAACCTTGAATACTTTCAGATTTCTTTTCTCTGGGCCAGCACCTGAAGTGCTGTTGGGACAGTGGTACCACAGAGAAGACGGATGTAATTAGAATGTATATGATATGATGTATATTGTGATCAGCACTGTCCTGAAATGCGTTTCTTTTGACACCTCCTGCCCCAAACTCTTCTGCTACTCCTACTTTATATAGAAAACAGATGCCATGATCCGATAGCAATCTCTACTCTTTTTTTTTTTTCTCTGTCGCCCAGGCTGGAGTGCAGTGGCGCGATCTCTGCTCACTGCAAGCTCCACCTCCCGGGTTCACGCCATTCTCCTGCCTCAGCCTCCCCAGGTGCCCGCCACCAAGCCCAGCTAATTTTTTTGTATTTTTAGTAGAGACAGGGTTTCACCATGTTAGCCAGGATGGTCTTGATCTCCGGACCTCGTGATCTGCCCGCCTTGGCCTCCCAAAGTGCTGGGATTACAGGCGTGAACCACCGCTCCCAGCCAGCAATCTCTACTCTTTTTGATCCAAACACATCAACTACCTACATCTGCATCCATTCTATCCTTTTTCTTTCTAATAAGGAAGCTGCCTCTTCTTTCCCAGGCTAATCCCTGCCTCTGTGCAGTGGCCTCCACCCTCTCCTGCTTTCTTGGGAACACTGCCCTGCGGGTTACTTTTTCTTTCTTTTGTATATTCAACTTATCATTGCATCCGGTTTTTAAAATCTGAAGTCCCTGCCATTACAAAATAAAATAAAATAAATCCTTCCCCATCCTAAATTCCTCTCTGCTCCCATCTGACTTTAGAACAGCTCTCACCCAGATTTCCAATGACCACCAGTCACAAAGTCAAATGGGAAATTCTACTCATTTGCTCCGTCCCATAGCAGAGTTCAACACTGTTGTCAACTCCCTGCCACTCTCTCTCTTTTTAAAAATTAAAAAAAAAAAAATTATTTTTGGCCAGGCGCGGTGGCTCACACCTGTAATCCCAGCACTTTGGGAGGCCGAGGCGGGCGGATCATGAGGTCAGGAGATCGAGACCATCCTGGCTAACACAGTGAAACCCCGTCTGTGCTAAAAATACAAAAAATTAGGCATGGTTGCGGGTGCCTGTAGTCCCAGCTACTCGGGAGGCTGAGGCAGGGGAATGGCGTGAACCCCGGGAGGCGGAGTTTGCAGTGAGCCAAGATCGCGCCACTGCCACCACACTCCAGCCTGGGCGACACAGCGAGACTCCATCTAAAAAAAAAATATATATTTGTAGAAACTTTTAAATATTCACAACAGCAAAAAAAGCAGTAAACTAGCACCCCCAGGTGCCTGTCAACCAGTTTATCAATTTTCATATATTGCCAATCCTATTTTATGAGTGTGCACACAAACACTCTCCCTATTTTTGTTTTGTTTGTTTTTGCTGGAGTATTTTAAGCCAAATCCTAGACATAATGCTGTTTCTCCCATTTATACTTTAGTATGTATCTGTAAATGATAAACTTGCTTACCTGTCAGGCCTCTGAGCCCAAGCTAAGCCATCATATCCCCTGTGACCTGCACGTACACATCCAGATGGCTGGTTCCTGCCTTAACTGATGACATTCCACCACAAAAGAAGTGAAAATGCCCTGTTCCTGCTTTAACTGATGACATTGTCTTGTGAAATTCCTTCTCCTGGCTCATCCTGGCTCAAAAGTTCCCCTACTGAGAACCCTGTGACCCCCACTCTACCCGCTAGAGAACAACCCCCCTTTGACTGTAATTTTCTTTCACCTACCCAAATCCTATAAAACGGTCCCACCCCTATCTCCCCTCACTGACTCTCTTTTCGGACTCAGCCCACCTGCACCCAGGTGATTAAAAGCTTTATTGCTCACACAAAGCCTGTTTGATGGTCTCTTTACACGGACACGCATGAAATTTGGTGCCGTGACTCGGATCGGGGGACCTCCCTTAGGAGATCAATCCCCTGTCCTCCTGCTGTTTGCTCCGTAGAAAGATCCACCTACGACCTCAGGTCCTCAGACCCACCAGCCCAAGAAACATCTCACCAATTTCAAATCCGGTAAGCGGCCTCTTTTTACTCTCTTCTCCAACCTCCCTCATTATCCCTCAACCTCTTTCTCCTTTCAATCTTGGCGCCATACTTCAATCTCTCCCTTCTCTTAATTTCGATTCCTTTCATTTTCTGGTAGAGACAAAGGAGACACGTTTTATCCATGGACCCAAAACTCCGGCGCCGGTCACAGACTAGGGAAGGCAGCCTTCCCTTGGTGTTTAATCATTGCAGGGACGCCTCTCTGATTATTCACCCAGGTTTCAGAGGTGTCAGACCACGCAGGGACGCCTGCCTTGGTCCTTCACCCTTAGCGGCAAGTCCCGCTTTTCTGGGGAAGGGGCAAGTACCCCAACCCCTTATCTCCATGTCTCTACCTCTTCTTCGCCTTTCTGGGGGGCAAGAAACCCCCAACCCCTTCTCCTTCACCCTTAGCGGCAAGTCCCACTTTTCTAGGGGAGGGGCACGTACCCCAACCCCTTATATCTCTGCATGCTGATCCCTTATTTCCGTGCCCCAACCCCTTATATCTCTGTGCCCCGATCCCTTATTTCTGTGCCCCAACCTTGTATCTCTATGCCCCGACCCCTTTCCCGCTTTTCTGGAGGGTAAGAACCCCCGAACCCCTTCCCTCCATGTCTCTACTCTCTCTTTTCTCTGGGCTTCCTTCCTTCACTATGGGCCACCTTCTACCCTCCATTCCTCCTTCTTCTCCCTTAGCCTGTGTTCTTAAGAACTTAAAACCTCTTCAACTCTCACCTGACCTAAAATCTAAGCAACTTATTTTCTTCTGCAATGCCACTTGATCCCAATGCAAACTCGACAGTAGTTCCAAATAGCCAGAATATGGCACTTTCAATTTTTCCATCCTACAAGATCTAAATAATTCTTGTCATAAAATGGGCAAATGGTCTGAGGTGCCTGACGTCCAGGCATTCTTTTACACATCAGTCCCTCTCTAGTCTCTGTTCCCAATGCAACTCATCCCAAATCTTCCTTCTTTCCCTCCCACCTGTCCCCTCAGTCCCAACCCCAAGCATCGCTGAGTCTTTCTAATCTTCCTTTTCTACAGACCCATCTGACCTCTCCCCTCCTCCCCAGGCTGCTCCTCGCCAGGCCAAGGTAGGTCCCAATTCTTCTTCAGCCTCCGCTCCTCCACCCTATAATCCTTTATCACCTCCCCTCCTCACACCGGGTCCGGCTTACAGTTTTGTTCTGCGACTAGCCCTCCCCCACCTGCCCAGCAATTTACTCTTAAAAAGGTGGCTGAAGCTAAAGGCATAGTCAAGGTTAATGCTCCTTTTTCTTTATCAGACCTCTCCCAAATCAGTGAGCGTTTAGGCTCTTTCATCCAATATGAAAAACCCAGCCCAGTTCATGACTCGTTTGGCAGCAACCCTGAAACACTTTACAGCCCTAGACCCTAAAAGGTCAAAAGGCCGTCTTATTCTCAATATACATTTTATTACCCAATCTGCTCCCAACATTAAATAAAACTCCAAAAATTAAATTCCGGCCCTCAAACCCCAAAACAGGATTTAATTAACCTTGCCTTCAAGGTGTACAATAATAGAAAAAAGTTGCAATTCCTTGCCTCCACTGTGAGACAAACCCCAGCCACATCTCCAGTACACAAGAACTTCCAAACACCTGAACCGCAGTGGCCAGGCATTCCTCCAGAACCTCCTCCCCCAGGAGCTTGCTGCAAGTGCCAGAAATCTGGTCACCAGACCAAGGAGTACCTGCAGCCCAGGATTCCTCCTAAGCCGCATCCCATCTGTGCGGGACCCCACTGGAGATTGGACTGTCCAACTCACCTGGCAGCCACTCCCAGAGCCCCTGGAACTCTGGCCCAAGGCTCTCTGACTCCTTCCCAGATGTTCTTGGCTTAGCGGCTGAAGACCGATGCTGCCCGATCGCCTTGGAAGCCCCCTAGACCACGGACGCCGAGCTTCGGGTAACTCTCACAGTGGAGGGTAAGTCTGTCCCCTTCTTAATCAATACCGAGGCTACTTACTCCACATTACCTTATTTTCAAGGGCCTGTTTCCCTTGCCTCCATAACTGTTGTGGGTATTGACGGCCAGGCTTCTAAACCTCTTAAAACTCCCCAACTCTGGTGCCAACTTAGACAATACTCTTTTAAGCACTGCTTTTTAGTTATCCCCACCTGCCCAGTTCCCTTATTAGGCAGAGACACTTTAACTAAATTATCTGCTTCCCTGACTATTCCTGGATTACAGCTACATCTCATTGCTGCCCTTCTTCCCAATCCAAAGCCTCCTTTGCGTCCTCCTCTTGTATTCCCTTACCTTAACCCACAAGTATAAGATACCTCTACTCCCTCCTTGGCGACCGATCATGCACCCATTACCATCCCATTAAAACCTAATCACCCTTACCCCGCTCAACTCCAATATCCCATCCCACAGCATGCTTTAAAAGGGTTAAAGCCTGTTATCACTCACCTGTTACAGCATGGCCTTTTAAAGCCTATAAACTCTCCTTACAATTCCCCCATTTTACCTGTCCTAAAACCAGACAAGACTTACAGATTAGTTCAGGATCTGCGCCTTATCAACCAAATTGTTTTGCCCATCCACCCTGTGGTGCCCAACCCATACACTATTTTGTCCTCAATACCTTCCTCCACAACTCACTATTCCATTCTTGATCTTAAAGATGCTTTTTTCACTATTCCCCTGCACCCCTCGTCCCAGCCTCTCTTTGCTTTCACCTGGACTGACCCTGACACCCATCAGTCCCAGCAGCTTACCTGGGCTGTGCTACTGCAAGGTTTCAGGGACAGTCCTCATTACTACAGCCAAGCTCTTTCTCATGATTTACTTTCTTTCCACCCCTCCGCTTCTTACCTTATTCAATATATTGATGACCTTCTTCTTTGCAGCCCTTCCTTTGAATCTTCTCAACAAGACACTTCTGCTCTTTCAGCATTTATTCTCCAAAGAATATCAGGTATCCCCCTCCAAATCCCAAATTTCTTCTCCATCTGTTACCTACCTCGGCATAATTCTTCATAAAAACTCACGTGCTCTCCCTGCTGATCATGTCCAATTAATCTCCCAAACCTGAATCCCTTACAAAACAACAACTCCTTTCCTTCCTAGGCATGGTTAGTGCAGTCAGAATTCTTACACAAGAGCCAGGACCACACCCTGAAGCCTTTCTGTCCAAACAACTTGACCTTACTGTTTTAGCCTAGCCATCATGTCTCCGTGCAGCGGCTGCTGCCACCCTAATAGTTTTAGAGGCCCTCAAAATCACAAACTATGCTCAACTTACTCTCTACATTTCTCATAACTTCCAAAATCTATTTTCTTCCTCACACCTGACGCATATACTTTCTGCTCCCCGGCTCCTTCAGCTGTACTCACTCTTTGTTAAGTCCCACAATTACCATTGTTCCTGGCCCGGACTTCAATCTGGCCTCCCACATTATTCCTGATACCACACCTGAGCCCCATGACGGTATCTCTCTGATCCACCTGACATTCACCCCATTTCCCCATATTTCCTTCTTTCCTGTTCCTCACCCTGATCACGCTTGATTTATTGACGGCAGTTCCACCAGGCCTAATCGCCACACACCAGCAAAGGCAAGCGATGCTATAGTACAAGCCACTAGCTCGCCTCTTAGAACCTCTCATTTTCTTTCCATCGTGGAAATCTATCCTCAAGGAAATAACTTCTCAGTGTTCCATCTGCTATTCTACTACTCCTCAGGGATTATTCAGGCCCCCTCCCTTCCCTACACATCAAGCTCGAGGATTTGCCCCCACCCAGGACTGGCAAATTAGCTTTACTCAACATGCCCCGAGTCAGATAACTAAAATACTTCTTAGTCTAGGTAGACACTTTCACTGGATAGGTAGAGGCCTTTCCTATAGGGTCTGAGAAGGCCACCGCAGTCATTTCTTCCCTTCTGTCAGACATAATTCCTCAGTTTAGCCTTCCCACCTCTATACAGTCTGATAACAGACCAGCCTTTATTAGTCAAATCAGCCAAGCAGTTTTTCAGGCTCTTAGTATTCAGTGAAACCTTTATATCCCTTACGGTCCTCCGTCTTCAGGAAAAGTAGAACGGACTAAAGGTCTTTTAAAAACACACCTCACCAAGCTCAGCCACCAACTTAAAAAGGACTGGACAATACTTTTACCACTTTCCCTTCTCAGAAGTCAGACCTGTCCTCAATGTTACAAGGTACAGCCCATTTGAGCTCCTGTATAGATGCTCCTTTTTATTAGGCCCCAGTCTCATTCCAGACACCAGACCAACTTAGACTGTGCCCCAGAAAAACTTGTCATTCCTACTATCTTCTGTCTAGTCATACTCCTATTCACCATTCTCAACTACTCATACATGCCCTGCTCTTGTTTAAACTGCCGGTTTACACTGTTTCTCCAAGCCATCACAGCTGATAGCTCCTGGTGCTATCCCCAAACTGCCACTCTTAACTCTTGAAGTAAATAAATAATCTTTGCTGGCAGGACTATGCTGAATCTCCTTAGGCACTCTCTAATCAGATGTCCTGAGTCATCCCAATTCTTAGACCTTTTATACCTGTTTTTCTCCTTCTCTTATTCCATTTAGTTTTTCAATTCATACAAAACTGTATCCAGGCCATCACCAATAATTCTAAATGACAAATGTTTCTTCTAACAACCCCACAATATCACCCCTTACCACAAAATCTTCCTTCACCTTAATCTCTCCCACTCTAGGTTCTCACACTGCCCCTAATCCCGCTCGAAGCAGCCCTGAGAAACATCGCCCATTATCTCTCCATACCATCCCCCAAAATTTTCGCTGTCCAAACACTTTACCACTATTTCATTTTATTTTTCTTATTAATATAAGAAGACAGGAATGTCAGGCCTCTGAGCCCAAGCTAAGCCATCATATCCCCTGTGACCTGCACGTACACATCCAGATGGCCGGTTCCTGCCTTAACTGATGACATTCCACCACAAAAGAAGTGAAAATGGCCTGTTCCTGCTTTAACTGATGATATTGTCTTGTGAAATTCCTTCTCCTGGCTCATCCTGACTCAAAAGCTCCCCTACTGAGCACCTTGTGACCCCCACTCTGCCCGTCAGAGAACAACCACCCTTTGACTGTAATTTTCCTTTACCTACCCAAATCCTGTAAAACAGCCCTACCCCTATCTCCCTTCGCTGACTCTCTTTTTGGACTCAGCCTGCCTGCACCCAGGTGATTAAAAGCTTTATTGCTCACACAAAGCCTGTTTGATGGTCTCTTTACACGCACGTGCATGAAATTACCGTTAACTACAAAATGAATTTCATAAAAATTAACAATAATCATTTTTAAGTGAATTTGAGATTAACTGAAAAATTAAGTCATTTAAAAATATCATTTTATATTCAAGTTGTATTGAAATTTCCCAGATTGTCTCAAAAATGGCTTTTGGCAGTTAATTTGTTTAAATTGGGATCCAAGCAAGGTCCACACACTGTGTTTGATTGACATGTTCCTAAATCTCTTCCTCTGTAGCAGCTTCCCCTCTCGCTTCTTCCACACTAATTATTAAATAAACCAGGTCAATCATCCTATAAAAATGCTCACATAAAACTGATGGAATTCCCTTGGTATCATTTAAAGTATTTCTCTATCTTGTATATGTACTGTAACTAGTAGTTCGTTTGAGAGGCTTGGTGAGATTCAGGTGTGTCTTCATTAGGCCCTGGGGACGGGCCGCATGCCTGGTAGCCTACAGCCCTGGTAATTTTCACACCTTGCTTACTGCTCTCAAGTTAGCTGCAGACTCCCTTTTTTTTTTCTTAAAGGACTATGTATGTAATAGCATTTTACACATTTGAAAAGGCTATACCAATTCAAATTGTAGGTAAAATAGAGTATCGAATGGCTTGGAATCTGGTTGCTCAATGGCAGGCTAAGAGGAGAAAGGTACCTGGGAGAATGTTTACAAGGGTTTGTGCTCCAGGACTGGAGGAAAGAAAGGGGCAAATATTAGAGTTGTGTAAAGATCCAGTTACGTCAGAAGCACTGACCTCTGTACTATGCCTAGGGCTAGGGGAAATAAAGCAGAAGCTAAAGGAAGATTCTGACACCGGGTTGAGTTGCATGGCTATTTATTTCCCCAGGCTCATCATTGATGGCAGTGATGGGAGTGAATAATAGAAATTCTCCTGTTCAATACAGCCTTCAGATTTTGTTGACTCTGGAACTCTCCAGAACAAGCAGGGGGGCCTTAGGAACAGGAGAATAATAATTCATGCCAAGTTATTGTTTCTCAGTCTTTTAAAACCTAAGCTCATGTTAGATAAACAAAAAATTCTCATGTCCCTCCTGGGGTCTTCTCCACTTGGTAAAAGCAATCTTTTCTTTCATAGACCCTCTGGCCAAGAAGATTTTGTAAATCTTCACTTTCTGTAGATTGTGTAATAAAAATGATAGATGTAGCTTGTGTTGTGTTGTTTTATACTTTTTCCCAAAAATACATACTTATAACACTAGATGGGCTTCTTTCTTTTATGCTTGCTTTTCTGTGAGTTCTGCCCTATGGGATTTGAGTGTTATACTCAGGAGAGTAGAGTCTACCAGATTTTATTCCAATAAGGGAGGCCAAATGTCTATATAGTCAGGGCCAAAGATTTTTGGCAGATGTTTTCTTCCTTATACAGCCTATTTTCTATGTTTGAGTTTTGCAAACATTTAGCCTTCACATACTCATATATTTCTCTTTACTTTTATAGGCTTTTCTCCCATTCATTTACTTAACAAACATTTATTGAGTTATCCTTATGTGCCAAGCATTGTGCTAAATAATGAGGCTATATAATAAAAAGATATATAGTCCCTATTCTCAAGGGACACACAGCATTGAAGAGGGCACAGGAGAGGAGATCACTGATTTTAATACTGCATGACAAGGATTATAACAGAAGCAGACACAGGGGTGAGAGAAGCACAGAAAAGAACCAGCTTTCTCAGCTAGTCTTAAGACCTTTGCTCTCCACACATTGATCTCCTATGGGAACAATAACTACAGAGAGAGAAAACAGTGGGTTTTCTTTTCTGAATTCTGTGGTTACCACACATATGTTGTCATAAGCAATCTCACTTTGGAATTCAGAGTACTTTATTTTTCTGGAAGCTATGGTCCTGGAGAATAGAACTGACATTTCATTCATCCGTACACACATACATCTACCCATCAAGGATGTATTGACTGTCATCTGAAGCCAGAGAAGCAGTAATTTCCTTGAGGGTGCTAGACCAAGGGAGCACAGGCCATGCCCAATAGATTTAGGACAAATCCAACCAGACCATGACTAACCCACTCACCTCAGGCTCCTCTCGGACACAGTCCAGTGGCCCTAACTGGGTCAATTGCAGAACAGTGTCCATTGAGCATGAAGACAGATGCAATTACCAAACTTTAATCCATCATTTAGGAATAATCACAGCAAACCTAACATTTAAAATAACTTAAGGCTAGAAACGTGAGTGTGTGAAGGAAGAAAAAAAAGTCACTTAAAGATAAAGAAAAGAGCATATTGGCAGCGGGCAATGCTTCCCGACGGTTCCTTTATGTCAGACAAGACTCTCACACTCTTTATTCAACTAAGAACTCGGTCCAGCCGGGCGCGGTGGCTCACGTCTGTAATTCCAGCACTTTGGGAGGCCGAGGAGGGCGGATCACGAGGTCAGGAGATCGAGACCATCCTGGCTAACACGGTGAAACCCCGTCTCTACTAAAAATACAAAAAAATTAGCCGGGCGCGGTGGCAGGCGCCTATAGTCCCAGCTACTCGGGAGGCTGAGGCAGGAGAATGGAGTGAACCCGGGAGGCGGAGCTTGCAGTGAGCCAAGATAGCGCCACTGCACTCAGGCCTGGGCGAAAAAGCGAGACTCCGTCTCAAAAAAAAAAAACAAAAAACAAAAAACAAAAAAACTCAATCCAAGTCGCTATATTGCAAGTGTGGGAAAAGGGAAGAGAGTGATTCTCATCTGGCTTAAAAATGAAAATATATGCGTATATATATAGCTTCTGGAGAGCAGAAAGGAATTTAAATTTTATTTCTACAGCAAAACATTTTTAAGTCAACCAATCAGAATTAGACCTTTCATAAGATGAGGGCTACATTCATAGACTATAACGTCAATATCTAAAGTCCAGGTGTTTTACCAAAGTCTTTTTAGCATTTGGAAATAGCACTTACAGCAACATTTTTATTATGCATGATGCCATTTACTTTTTCTCTGAAGCTGCAGGGGAAATATGCAACATTTCCTGTCTTATTTACAGAAGTTTCTTTCACCAGCACTTACAAAGGCCCATGAATTTTCGAGGCCAAAAACTGTAATTCCATTGGTTATCACAGAGAGAAAGAAACAGGCCCAAGGCACCCAAAACAAAAAACTTGAAAAAAGAAAAATGCAAAAGACAAATGGAACATTTGGCCGGAAGACAAATGGAACATGTTGATATTTTGTACCAGCAATGCAGATGACATTTTCTGAAATCTTAGAAACAGAAGTTTATTTCTGTTTGAACTTCCACAATATCTTAGAATCTAATATAGTGAATAGAGCATAGAATGGTGAATTAAGAGGATCTGGGATCTAGTTCTGATTCCAGCATCAATTAATGAAGTGGACTTGAGCAAATCTATTCTCCCCTTTAATCTTCAGTGTATCCATCTGTAAAACGAAGATAACATTCATGATTTCTGGGGTTACTTTCTTATTGTGAAATCCTTGAGGAAAATTAGGTTACAGAATGTGTACAGGAATGACTGGATAGATGGATGAATGAATGAATGACTCAGTCAATCAATACAAAAGAAGCTTTGGATTTTCATGTGTGGTCATAATTCTCCCCAATCATATGCAGCTATAATTACATATTTTTATGTTTTAGTGATGTTTACTGATTGCACCAAATAAATTCTAATTTTCCAAAAGTTTGATTTGTCTTTTTATTGTGGAAAGCCTTAGTTGACTTTAATAGATTTATTACAGTGCCCTCTAGTGGAAGAATGAGCATATTGTGTCATCCTGCCGCTGCTTAGTAATCAACAAACCTCTACATTTCACACATTTTTAATGAATCAAACCTCTATGCTTCTTGCAGTGAAATTTTCAGTTTTCAAGATCTCACTTGGATTAAAATTCTGGTTTATAACCAATCTTGAAATTTAGCAACAACAACATGTATTAAGGTAGAATATCATTTTTTAAAAAAACCCTCTCCTAATTATTGACTGATGCTCTTGGAGTAAGTGTACATTGGGCTATATAAAACATAAAGGACAAACCTCAATGCGTTCTCCAAATGCATGAATTACAACCAGGAAAGAAAGAAGATTCTGATATCCTGAACTCTTTGCTGGTTTACCATGTATGTTTCTGTCACATGTTTCAGGTGGGACAGGGACAGTACCCGTGGAACGCAGAAGAGGAGCACCAGGATGGAGAAACTCTAGCCTCACCGACTGTTTAGGTTGTGAGAGCACACGGGGCATGTGCTGTGGGAGTTCTTCAGCTATCTGTCCTCAGGTTACATGGGAACTTACCATCTTACTCACTGGCCTCGGCTTCAATGTAATTGCTGTTGGTGTAGTAATCAATAGACATTTCTCCCCAGAAATTGAACTTTCCTCTTGATTGACCAGCAACTGAAAGCATATGAGGGAAATATTTAAGCTCTGCCTACAAACCAATTTCACACAATTAACTGGTCAGTTTTGTTTTTAAAAAGTGACAAAGGCATTTTAGTCAAGCAACAAAGATGATGTTTTAAAGCAGAATTTCTCCAGTTACTGATTTCAATTTTAATATATCAACATACCAGATACCAACATACCAAAATATAACATTGGTTTGTATGTACAGAGAGTGTTATGGAGTAAATAAAAAGCTAAAAAGAGATGTGATAACTTGAATTCCATAGGATTGAATAATTACCTTAATTAGTACCTTCTAGGACAACATCTGATGTGATTAGTTTCTATAACAACTCTTCATGTTAAATTTAGATCACTCCTCATAGCAAAAGGATAATAGAAAGTTCTATGTCAACTGGCTTAAAAAATATATTTGCATTTTTTAATGTAACTATGGAAAAAAATCCATGAGTAATAAATCTTTGGGGTGCTGAAAATTCTTGCATTGAACAGAGCAAAATCCTGCCATCTCTCTAGCTTTTGTCACCTGAGTAAATCACGTTTCCAGAGGTTCCCTATATCTTTAATTCTAACACTTCATATTCTTTTTCCCTATTTACATCATTGGCAACAGGATAGGCTCCTACCCCACTGAGGAGGATAGGAGGATAAATGAGAACAATGGGTGAATCACAGGTGAGCAAAAACAGTGAGCACTGGAAAATGTATGACACTAATATACTCAGTGTAGTCCAGGCTAATTTCTAGGAAGGAAGCCCCTTAGGAGAGGGGCTGCCACAGTTTACTTTAATTTAAACTTCTTTTTATTGAAGTGTAATATACATACAACAAAGTGCACAAATCATAAGTGTACAGCTCAATTAATTTTTTTTTTTTTTGAGACGGAGTTTCGCTCTGTCTCCCAGGCTGGAGTGCAGTGGTGTGATCTCCACTCACTGCAAGCTCCGCCTCCTGGGTTCACGCCATTCTCCTGCCTCAGCCTCCCGAGTAGCTGGGACTACAGTCTTCCTCCACCACGCCCCGCTAAGTTTTTGTATTTTTAGTAGAGACGGGGTTTCACCATGTTAGCTAGGATGGTCTGGATCTCCTGACCTCGTGATCCATCCACCTTGGCCTCCCAAAGTGCTAGGATTACAGGGATGAGCCTGTAATGCAATGCAATGAGCCTGTAATGCAAACGCGCGCGGTTGCATTAAATTTTAATATAAACCTAGGGATGGAATTGCAGATTTATGAAGCATGTACATATTCCCCTTTAGTAGGTACTGTCGAGAAGCTCTCTGGGTGGGTGTAGTCATTTAAACTC
Source organism: Homo sapiens (assembly GCF_000001405.40). Taxonomy (NCBI): domain Eukaryota; kingdom Metazoa; phylum Chordata; class Mammalia; order Primates; family Hominidae; genus Homo; species Homo sapiens. Next base: position 116,492,223 of record NC_000010.11, read on the forward strand.
CCATCAGCAGTGCTGAGGGGTTCTTTTTGTCCCACATCCTCACCACATTTGATATTGACAATCCTTTTAATTTTAGCCATTCTGGTGAGTGTGTAGTGATATCTCATTTTGGTTTTAATTTGTTTCTTTGATGACAAATGATCTACAGCATATTTTGACAAATGAGCTACAGCATATTTTTATATCTTTATAGGACATTTACATGTCCTTCGTAGTAGAGTCATTATTAACCTTTTATGCCCATTATTGGTTTCTCTTTTCCATCTTTTTCTTATTGATTGGTAGGAATTCTTTATATATTATTAATATGACTCCTTTGTTGGATATATGTATTGCAAATATTTTCTCCCTGTCTGTATCTTGCCTTTTGCCTTTTCATGCTCTTAATAGTATCTTTTGATGGATAAAAATTCTTAATTCTAATCCATTTTAAGTTTGATTTATCAGACTTTCCCTTGATGATTAGAGTTTTATGTTCTGATTAAGAAATAATTTTACCAATTAAATTCATGCGGATATTTTCCCATGTTATCTTATAAAAGCTCCAGTGTTTTATTTTTAGAACCAAGCAATTAATGTTTGTGTATGGTATGAGGCAGGGTGAAGACCCATTTCAATTGCATATCTAGTGGATCCACTTTTTGAAAAGATCATTTATTCTGTCGCTGAATTGCATTGGTACTTTAACATAAATAAGATGGTTTGCATTTTTATGGGTCTGCTTCTGGACTCTTCTATTTCATGGATCTTTTGGTCTACCATTGTGCCAACACCATACAGTTTTAATTACTGTATCTTTATAATTAATATCTAGATCTGACAATACAAGTCCTTCCAACTTTAAAATATTTTTTCAAGGTCGTTGTTATTCTTTCCCTTTCCTATTTCCAAATACGTTGTTTGGGACAAGTTAACATGCTTACAATATTGACCCTTTCAATTCATAATCATGATATATCCCTCCATTTAGTTATTCTTCTTATTTTATTTTAAGTTCCAGGGTACATGTGTAGGATGTGCAGATTTGTTACATAGGTAAACGTGTGCCATGGTGGCTTGGTGCACCTTTCAACCAATCACCTAAGTATTAAGCCCAGCATGCATTAGCTATTTTTCCTGATGCTCTCTCTCCTCCAACTGCCCCCGCATCACCGACAGGCCCCAGTGTGTGTTCTTCCCCTCCCTGTGCCATGTGTTCTCATTGTTCAGCTCCCACTTATGAGTGAGAACATATTGTGTTTGGTTTTCTGCTTCTGCATTAGTTCGCTGAGGATAATGGCTTCCATCTCCACCCGTGTCCCTGCAAAGGACATGATCTCATTCCTTTTTATGGCTGCATAGTATTCCATGGTGTATATGTACCACATTTTCTTTATCCAGTCTATCACTGATGGGCATTTGGGTTGATTCCATGTCTTTGCTATTGTGAATAGTGCTGTAATGAGCATAAGCATACATGTATCTTTTTTTTGTTTGTTTTTTGAGATGGAGTCTCACTCTGTCCCCCAGGCTGGAGTGCAGTGGCACGATCTCAACTCACTTCAAGCTCTGCCTCCCGGGTTCATGCCATTCTGCTGCCTTAGCCTCCCGGGTAGCTGGGGCTGCATGCACCCGCCACTACGCCCGGCTAATTTTTTGTATTTTTAGTAGAGACGGGGTTTCACCATGTTAGCCAGGATGGTCTCCATCTCCTGACCTCATGATCTGCCTGCCTCGGCCTCCCAAAGTGCTGGGATTGCAGGCATGAGTCACTACGCCCAGCCCTGCGTGCATGTATCTTTATAATAGAATGATTTATATTCCTTTGGTTATATATCCAGTAATGGGATTGCTGAGTCAAATGGTATTTCTGGTTCTAGGTCTTTGAGGAATTGCCACACTGTCTTCCACAATGGTTGAGCTAATTTACACTTCCACCAACAGGGTAAAAGTTGTTCCTGTGTCCCCGCAGCCTCACCAGCATCTGGTATTTCTTGACTTTTAATAAAACAAAAATAGCCATTCTGACTGGTGTGGTTTTTATTTGCATTTCTCTAATAATCAGTGATGTTGAGCTTTTTTAAATGTTTGTTGGCTGCATAAATGTCTTCTTTTGAGAAGTGTGTGTTCATGTCCTTTGCCCACTTTTTAATGGGGTGTTTTTTTCTTGTAAATTTGTTTAAGTTCCTTATAGACTCTGGATGTTAGACCTTTGTCAGATGGATAGGTTGCAAAAATTTTCTTCTATTTTGTAGATTGTCTGTTCATTCTGATGATAGTTTCTTTTGCTGTGCAGAAACTCCTTAGTTTAATTCGATCCCCTTTGTCAGTTTTTGCTTTTGTTGCAATTGCTTTTGGTATTTTCATCATGAAATCTTTGCCCTTGCCTCTGTCCTGAATGGTATTGCCTAGATTTTCTTCTAGGGTTTTTATAGTTTGGGGTTTTACATTTAAGTCTTTAATCCATCTTGAGTTAATTTTTGTATAAGGTGTAAGGAAGGGATCCAGTTTCAATTTTCTGTGTATGGCTAGCCATTTCTCCCAGCACCATTTTTAAAATAGAGAATCATTTCCCCATTGCTTGTTTGTGTCAGGTTTGTCAAAGATCAGGTGGTTGTAGATGTGTGGTCTTATTTCTGAGTTCTCTGTTCTGTTTCATTGGTCTCTATGTCTGTTTTTGTAACATGACCATGCTGTTTTGGTTACTGTAACCCTGTACTATAGTTTGAAGTTGGGTAGCATGATGCCTCCAGCTTTGTTCTTTTTGCTTAGAATTGCTTTGGCTATACAGGCTCTTTTTTGGTTTCATGTGAGTTTTATTTTATTATTTATCTATTTATTTATTTTGAGACAGAGTCTTGCTCTGTCACTCAGGCTGGAGTGCAGTGGCACGGTCTTGGCTCACTGCAACCTCTGCCTCCCAGGTTCAACTGATTCTCCTGACCCTGCCTCCCAAGTAGCTAGGATTAGAGATGCACACCACCATACCAGGCTAACTTTTGTATTTTTAATACAGATGGTGTTTCACCATGTTGGCCAGGCTGGTCTTGAACTCCTGACCTCAGCTGATCTCCCCACCTTGGCCTCCCAAAGTGCTGGGATTACAGGTGTGAGCCACCACACCCAGCCCCATATGAATTTTAAAATAGTTTTTTTCTAGTTCTGTGAAGAATGTCAATGGTCGTTTGATGGGAATAGTATTTAATCTATGTATTACTTTGGGCAGTATGGCCATTTTCATGATATTGATTCTTCCTATCTATGAGCATGGAATGTTTTTCCATTTGTTGTACACTCACTGATTTCCTTGAGCAGTGGTTGGTAGTTCTCCTTGAAGAGGTCTTCACTTCCCTTGTTAGCTATATTCCTAGGTATTTTATTCTCTTTGTTGAAATCGTCAATGAAAGTTCATTCATGAATTTGGCTCTCTGCTGTCTGTTGTTGTTGTGTAGGCATGTTAGTGATTTTTGCACATTGATTTTGTATCCTGAGACTTTGCTGAAGTTGCTTATCAGCTTAAGAAGCTTTTGGACTGAGACAGTGGGCTTTTCTAGATATAGGATCGTGTCAGCTACAATTCTAAGAGCTTTGGGCATTTTCTGATTGAGTTTTCATGACAACCCTATGAGGTATATACAGATGAGGCACCTGAGACTCAGAGAGATTAAGTAACTAGCCAAAGATCAGACAGATGGTTAATGGCAGAAACAGGGGGCAGACCCAAGCAGTCTGGCCCCAGTGTCAGTGGTACTGCAAAAAGGTGAATGTTTTACACATTGTGGACCACAAGAGTGATAAGAACCAAAAAAAATCTGGAATCTGACCAAATAGAGCACAGGGTTTTACTAAACCTAAAATGAGGGTTCACCATTTCTAGTTGCCATGGCAATGAACCGCTTTAATGACAAGGCAGGCAAAATGAGGGGTGGGGGAATGATGTGCAAATGAAGTAATAGTAGTAAGGCAGAGAAACTAGGGGAGTGAAACTCTACTTGGGGGGAAGTTTGTGGATCCATTTGGGAAAGAATCTGCTGCCAACATGTCATAGCAGCATCATAGGGAAGCATTTGCGTTCTAAATAATGGAACTAAATGAATGGTGATGCTCCAAAACACATATCTGTATATCTATTGTCTCTCTCACTGGTTTGGTCAACAGAGAGTCAATAAATCAAAGAGTGAAAACCCACAGGGTCTGATTTTTTCTACCTGTCATCATTTGTATCTTGATAGGATGACTGTAGAACTCATTCTCCAGGTGCCCTATGCAAACTGGCTTTTGGAGGCTCTCCCTGCCATGGCACTGGGTGCCTGTGCGGTTAAATGGTAATATTTGCTGAAGAAAAATGTATGCTTTCAATTTTATTTTTCAGAGACAGGGCCACACTCTGTCACCCAGGCTGGAATGCCGTGACATGATCATAGTGTGTCCAGAATTGGTTCCTTCCGGTGGGTTCTTGGTCTCGCTGACTTCAAGAATGAAGCCACGGATCCTTGCAGTGAGTGTTACAGTTGTTAAAGATGGTGTGTCCAGAGTTTGTTCCTTCAGATGTTCAGATGTGTCTGGAGTTTCTTCCTTCCTGTGGGTTCATGGTCTTGCTGACTTCAGGAGTGAAGCCGCAGACTTTTGCAGTGAATGTTACAGCTCTTAAAGGTGGCGCGTCCAGAGTTGTTTGTTCCTCCCTGTGGGTTTGTGGTCTCGCTGACTTCAGGAATGAAGCTGCAGACCCTCGCAGTGAGTGTTACAGCTCATAGAGAGCGTGGACCTGAAGAGTGAGCAGCAGCAAGATTTATTGTGAAGAGCAAAAGAACAAAGCTTCCACAGCGTGGAAGGGGACCCAAGCGTGTTGCTGCTGCTGGGTTGGGTGGCCAGCTTTTATTCCCTTATTTGGCCCCACCCACATCCTGCTGATTGGTCCATTTTACAGAGTGCTGATTGGTCTGTTTTTACAGAGTGCTGATTGGTGTGTTTTATTGAGCGCTGATTGGTGCATTTACAATCCTCTAGCTAGACAGAAAAGTTCTCCAAGTCCCCACCCGACCCAGAAGCCCAGCTGGCTTCACCTCTCAATCCCCCCTCTAAACAGGACACCCCAACTGCTGTTGGGAATTAGGTGGTGACTGCTCTAGCTACTTCCTGCTGGATGGGGCAAAGAAGGGGCCCTGCAGATGTAGTGTCCTCCAGAGGGGAACTCTTTAGGCCAGTGGAAGGGCCAGCAGGTTGGTCCAGGGGTCCTCGGTAGAAGTTGTTAATTGAGCTCATTTGGGGTTCCATTTGTAAGACCATCTGTAGCTTGATGGCATTGATCCTAGAGGAAACAAATTTGACAAGGAGGTTAAAAATACAGGGCCTGAAGATGAGTAATAGTAAGATGGCTGTCATGGGACCTAGAAAGGGGAGAAGCCATGTTGCCTAACTTCAGAGGTTGGTATAAGAGTTTGAAGAGCATTGTCTGATTTCAGAAGACTTTTCCTGTAAATGCCGGGCAGCGTCTTGTACTATCCCTGACTGGTTAGTGTAAAAACAACACTCTTCCCCTAAGAAGGTGCAGAGTCCTCCTTTCTCAGCAGTGAGGAGGTCTAGGCCTCGGCGGTTTTGGAGAGTCACTGCTGCCAAAGAGTCTATTTGGGATTATAGAGTAAGGATAGATTATGTTATTTCTTGCAAACTGTCTGAGAAATCCTTTGAGAGCATGTGGTAGGAGGATAATACATGTTACACTGTTAGCAAACTTTACTTTTGTTGAAAACCTTGTAAGCTTGGGATTTCAATTATTCTTTGCTATTAATAAGACCTCATTCAGTCCATATTAACTTAGAATTGGTATAGATGGCTTCTTCCTGATTCTGTAAGTACTTTAATGTTTGGCTGAGTGCAAACAGTTCGCACATTTGAGCAGACCAATTATTAGGCAATTTTCCTAACTCTGCTTCTATAAGATTTTCCTTATCACTTACTGAATACCCATTGTGTCTTTTTCCCTCAATCACCTGGGAGGAACCATCTATTGTCCTGTCCTGAAGGGAGTTCTTCCTAGGTCTGGTCAGACCTTTGTATGGTAATTAATTAAGATTTAGATCCCCTGTTAGGAAACCTGCTGGGTTAAGGATTTTTGATAGGAAGGTTACGGGTTGTCAGTGGCCTCAGTGCTTTTGGGCTACATTTACACTGACAACAAGGTGGTATTGGAGTGTAATACGGTCACGGAGAAGACCTTCAATTATCAATTATAGGTTTTAAATTTACCCTGGCTTTTAAAGGAATAGGGTACACTGTTTTTTCTTTACTACTTCTATCTCTCTTTCTTTCTCTTTGACTTCTTCTTTGTCTCTTTCTCTCTTTCTGACTCCCTCTTTGTCTGTCTCTTCCTCTCTCTTTGACTGTCTCTCTCTTTCTCTCTCTCTGACTCCCTCTTTGTCCCTGTCTCTTCCTCTCTCTCTCTTTCTGACTTTCTGTCTCTTTCTCTCTTCCTCTCTGTCTGACTCCTTCTTTGTCTGTCTCTTCCTCTCTCTTTCCTTCTCTTTCTTTGACTTTGTCTTTCTCTTTCTGCCTCTCTGACTCCCTCTTTGTCTCTCTGTCTCTTCATCTCTGTCTCTTTCTCTCATTGACTTCCTGTCTTTTTCTCTCTTTCTCACTCTCTGTCTCTGTCTCTCTGTCTCTGCCAGCCGCTTATGCTGCTGTTTCCACGTCCTTGGGTTTTTGCACTGTGTGCAATAACTCCATGGTTGCCTTGTGATATTTAATGGAGTTTCCCCCAGAGCTTAGGAACTCCCTTTCTTTCCATATTGTAGCATGGGCATGTAGGATTAGATAAGCATGCTTACTATCTGTAGGAAAGTCTCCCAGTTACAACTGAGGAGGTGGGAGAAATACCTGGTTACAGGCTGTCCCAGGATTCCTCGGATGGTAACGGACCTTGAGGACAGCTGTCTGGGACAAGAGTTTAACACTGAGAAATCCGCACCAGTGTCCAGGAGGAAGTCAATTTTCTGGCCCTCAGTGGTTAAACATACCTGGCACTCAGTGAGGGTGATGAGGTGAGCTGGTGCTTCCCCGGGCACCCTCAGTCCTGTTATTGGATCATCTGGTTGGGGGCTTCTGGCCCAGAGAACCTTTGTCCTCTGGGGCAGTGCACCTTCCAGTGATTGCCTCAGCATTGTGGACATGGGCAAGGGGACAGCTTGTTTCTTGTTGGACAATCTTTTTTTAAGGTGTCCTTGCAAACAACACTGGTAACAAGCCCTACCGCATGATTGGCCTGCTCCATTTTCTCTGAACCAGCAAGGTTTGTTTGTTTGTCTGAGGGCCATGACTAAGGCTACGGACTTTCTCTGATCTCGCTTTTCCTTTTGGGCCTCTTCCTTTTGGTCCTTATTATAGAACACTGAGGTTTCCAGGTTTAATAATGCCTCCAGATTTTGTTCAGGGCCCAGGGCTCGCTTTTGGAGCTTTCTCCTGATATCTGTGGCTGATTACCCAATCAGAATAAACTTATCTTTTAGGATCAATTGACCCTCAAGTGAGTCAGGTGATGGGAGTATATTTTCTTAAGGCCTCCTATAGCCACTTGAGGAAGGCAGAAGGATTTTCTTCCTTTCCCTGAGTTATGGCGGACATCATTGAATAATTCATGAGCTTTTTCCTAATTCTCCTTAGTCCTTCTAGAACACATGTCAACAGATGTTTACGACTCCAGTCCCCATGATCTGAGTCAAGGTCCCAGTGGGGATCCATACTGGGGATGGCTTGCTGACTGGTAGGGAATTTGTCTCTTTCTTCGGCTGTTATTCCATCATTTACTTGACTAAGATACCAGGTATCTCCAAAATCTCAGGCTGCAGCTAAAGCCACATTCTTTTCATTAAAGGCCAGGGTTTGATCTAACAATAGCATGACATCTCTCCAGGAGAGATCAAAGGTTTGCCCTAGACCCTGTAGGACAACTATATACCTATCAGGATCATCTGAAAACTTCCCCAGATCTACCTTGATCTGCTTTAAAACAGAGAGGGAGAAGGGGACATGTATGCAGATTAGGCCAAATTCCCCTTCCCCTACAGCTTGAAGGGGACATAACTGACAGCCCAGGGATTTTTGTGGTCCTTTGGAGATTTCTTTGCGTGTTTCCTTCTGGGAGGGGGAGATTAGAGGAGGCTTATCATTAATAGGAAGGGGAGCTATGGGGGTAAGCTGAGAGGTCCTCCTGTGGGATGTAAATTGCAAGCACAACTATTCTGACCAGCAGGGTCCAGGGACCGTTGCATCTTCTTGGATAAGAGGTGTTTCTGCTGCTGCATCAGTGAGCGCAACTATTCCGATCAGTAGGATCCAGGGACTGTTGCAGGTTCTTGGGCAGGGGGAGAAACAAACCAAAACCGTGGGCTGTTTTGTCTTTTAGATGGGAAACACTCAGGCAGCAACAGGCTTACCCTTGAAATGCATCCTAAGCCATTAGGACCAATTTGACTCGCACACCCTGAAAAAGAGGTGGCTCATTTTTTTCTGCACTGTGGCTTGGCCCCAACATTCTCTCTCTGATGGAGAAAAATGGCCACCTGAGCGAAGTATAAATTATAATACTATCCTGCAGCTTGACCTTTTCTGTAAGAGGGAAGGCAAATGGAGTTTATTTCCAAGCTTTCTTTTCATTGAAGGAGAATCCCCTAGTTGGAATAGTTGCACTCACCAACGCAGCAGCAGAAACACTAGTTTTCCTCCTAGACCACAAGGAGGGCCAAGGAATGTCAGATTTAGTGGCCCTTATGGCCGCATTCTCGAAAACCTGTTAGAGTCCTAAGCATTCTCCTGTTAGTGTTGGGACATTACCCCTGTCCTATAAAGATGTTATGCCCTAAAAATGAAATGGAGGGCCATACCCTGAGGGAGGGAAGGCATCTCCAGAGTTGGAAGAGTGATGCCTTTTGTCCTCACTTATATGAATAGGAAAGATACCATTTCTGAAGCTCCCCATATCCTAGCTTCAGGAATAGCTTTTATTAGGCCTGCTAGTCTCAGGAGGGATCCTAAAATTCCAGATAGTAATCCCCACTACCAATGGGGCTTTGGGCAAAAATTGTGTCTTTCTGATTGGTGAGCCTGAGTGCCTAAAGAAGGGAATAGAGTCCTGAGGTTTATACTAGAAATCACACTTAGAGGAGAAACTACAAAAGCACCAGAGACAGGGAGTGGTTTTTGGAAGCGGGACTTGTCGCGGAGAAGAGAGGCGAGAGGAAGTTTGTCTGACAGGCATTAGGACCCAGGAAGCAAGGGTCAGGATAGATAAGATAGGTGGGCGAGTCTCACTTGGGCAACGTAACTTTGAGAGTTCTGCTTACGGTCGCAGGGTCAACCAACTTGTTGTTGGGACCCCGGAGCTGAATGGCTTTCCTCTCTGTCGACCCTCAGCTCAGCCCAGAAGTACAGGAAAAGCGGAAGCTGGTTCCAGGCAAACCAACGCTCCCAACTCCGAAGAGTCAGGGGTTGTTACAGAGCCCTTTCCCAGAAAGTCTGACACCTGTCTTTAGTGCGGCCGCCGTGCTAATCACTTTTAACTGGCCAACAGGTGCCCGGTATTTAGCCCCCGAATTGTAAGTAAAAATAGGACAGAATAGCAAGCGAAAGGGGTGGTGCTCACTGCTTGGCAATAGTCCCATCTGGGTCGCCAAAATGTGTCTGGAATTTGTTCCTTCCAATGGGTTCTTGGTCTCGCTGACTTCAAGAATGAAGCCACGGACGCTCGTGCTGAGTGTTACAGTTGTTAAAGATGGTGTGTCCGGAGTTTGTTCCTTCAGATGTTCAGATGTGTCTGGAGTTTCTTCCTTCTGGTGGGTTCGTGGTTTCGCTGACTTCAGGAGTGAAGCCGCCGAACCTCATAGTGAGTGTTACAGCTCTTAATGGTGGCACGTCCAGAGTTGTTTGTTCCTCCCAGTTGGTTCATGGTCTCGCTGACTTCAGGAATGAAGCCGCAGACCCTCACAGTGAGTGTTACAGCTCATAAAGGTAGTGTGGACCCAAAGAGTGAACAGCAGCAAGATTCATTGCGAAGAGCGAAAGAACAAAGCTTCCACAGTGTGGAAGAGCACCCGAGCGTATTGCTGCTGCTGGGTCAGGTGGCCAGCTTTTATTCCCTTATTTGGCCCTGCTCACATCCTGCTGATTGGTCCATTTTACAGAGCGCTGATTAGTCCACTTTACAGCGTGCTGATTGGTGCATTTATAAACCTTTAGCTAGACACAGAGTGCTGATTGGTGTGTTTTTACAGAGTGCTGATTGGTGCATTTACAATCTTCTAGCTAGACAGAAAAGTTCTCCAAGTCCCCACCCGACCCAGAAGCCCAGCTGGCTTCACCTCTCAATAGCTCACTGCAACCTTGAACACCTGGGCTCAAATGATCCTCCCATCTCAGCTTCCTAGGTAGCTAGGACTACTGGAACATGCCACCATGTCCATGCATCTGACTTTTTAATTTTTTACTATTTTGTAAAGACTGGATCTCTCTAAGTTGCCCAGGTTGGTCTCAAACTCCTGACCTCAAGAAATCCTCCTGACTTGGCCTCCTAAAGTGCTGGGATTACAGGCGTGGCCCATCACACCTGGCCAAAAAAAATTATATATATATATAATTTTTGAACTAAATATTGAACTCAATATTATATATATATATAATTTTTTATATATTTTACCTAAAGAATATGCCTTTTGTGTTTTCAATTTGTGGCTTGATTTTTCCAAAACATATTAACAAGAAAATGGAATAAATATATATATATATATAATTGTTTAACTGCACTTAGAAAATGGAAGTAAAATTTTTTAATTAAAAAAAAATATTACCAATGGTATGGAGAGAAATAAGGTGGGAAAAGACAGAGAAAGCCTGACTTTTCTGAATCTACTTTGTTTTGTAGATTTCATTTTGGAAACATGTAGGTATTTTACATGATTATATAACAAAATAAACTAATAGAAAAAAATCCCTAAATATTGGACTCAATATGAAATAAATGAACTTCAGTGTGTATCTGGCTGATTTGCATAATCACATAAACGACTGCAAGTGATTTTATGGCAGTCATTTGATTTATATCCCCAGTGGGATAACCTGAAGGATAAAAAGATCTGCGAGGAAAAACCACATAAACTCTTTCCAGTATTTATATTGTTGTTGCTGGTGTTGATATTGCCATTTTGAGACTGATGCCTGTGTTGTTATTTTGAGACGATTGTAGGATAAAACAAATGAAAATTAAGTTGATGTCATTGAGAACCAGTACTTCTGGCATGGAAAAAAAGGGATATACAGATGCAAGGTTAATGAGATTACATAAAATCCTTTAGTACTGAAGTGGAATTCCAGTGGGAACTCATAATCCATTTTTTCTTTTTCTAAAATAAAAAGCTTTTGTACAGTCTAGAAACAATAACCAGTCCAGTACTGATGAACACCCTAACACCCAAATTGTGACCTCCACTTGCCATTTCCCAATAAAAATAACCAAAGCTTCTTAGAGAAATGGCTGACTTCAGATTGAAGATGAGGCCAGCACATCTTGTCTGACCTGAAAGCAAACTGTCAAGGATTACAGGGTCATGTTAAAGAGACTAAGGAGCTGACTTAAAGAGGCTCATACTTATTGCAGATGGGACGCTATGAGCATCAATAAATCATCAATAAACAGTAGTTATATGGCAATGGCCACAGATGGAAACATTTAAAAATTTGTTTACTCATAAGTTCAAAACGATACTAGAAATCAAAACAAAAAGTTTATTCATCACCTTTGGAGGATGATAAACTCATTACTTTGAAAATTGGCAAATAAATGGTAAATCATTGATCCTGTTTTTCCTATATGAATTGTAACTCACAGTAATTAGTTATTAAAGAGGCAAGTAATAGTAAATAGAGAGGCAAATTCCTCTTTATAGAAATATTCTAGCTAATACATGAAATAGAAATTACATAATTAGGATTCCATTATTTTCAAACCTTAAAGAATTATAGTATCTAAGCAATGATTATCATTGGCTACTAACATCACAAAAAGAGAGACAACCAGATATCTGGATATCAGAGTCGTGAAATACACTACCTACCATTGCTGCATAGAATCCTAAGGAGGAGCTTTGACAAACAGCTTCCTAGTTATCTTACTGGGAATGATTCAGATTTCAGTTCCCCCCAGTAGATGTCTATCATTGTTTCCCAAATTTGTATGTGCATCTGAGTAATCAAAGAATTAAAAAAAAAATGAACCCAAAATACTGCCCCTGATCATGTGATCTAATAGATCTCAGTTGAGGAATTGATTTTATAAAATTTCACAGGTATTTCTGATGTTCATCCAGGTAAGAGAACCATTGGCCTGTCTTTTATTGTCCCCAAAGCCTCATCTAATACCCTGTATGGAGCAGACTATAGGCAGGTAAAGCCTTGGGATTTTTGGAGAATCCATCAAAAGGCTGGTATCTTCAATCACTCCTCCACCTTATTGCTGGCACCTTCAATTCCACCATCAGCATTTAAACTGTTTAGCTTTTTACTGTCAAAATAACCCACTAAAGACGGGAATGGAAAATGCATAGCCAATGTAATACCATTTTTTACTCCCAACCAATGGCCCTGCGACTAATTGATCAACGTCCTCTTCCCACTGAAATCAAATGTGACCTCAGATTCCTTCTCACTCCAATGATCTGGGCAGTTACAACCAGTTAATTATTATTGACACACAAAAATGATTTGTCATCCTCCGCTCGGGTGTTACTATTATCCCCTGTGCACTTTGAGTAGGCGGAAAAAGGTGATTTGTTTGCATCTCCTTAACATGCACTAAGGGCCTGAGAGTGGCAAGTGATGATAAAGTGAGAAATCACGAACACTTCCTGTATCTCAGGCTGATAATGGCGCGTGTGTTCATTACTTCAACAGGTATTTATAGAGTTGCTCTTGTCCAGGCCCCATGTTTGGCAGCAGGGTTCAAAAGAAGAAAATAAACATGGCCCTCAGCTCGTGAGGTTCACTGTCCCACACTTCACAGAGAGGGTTCCATCAAGAGGTGAGCATTTAGCTTGGAAGTTTCAGAGGAATGAAGGAATGAAACAATGTTGTTTGCAAGCACTTGACAAATAGGAAATGTAACATTTACTATCATTTCCTTGGAACCCCTGCTTCCTTCTTAACAATGTGCTCTGAGGATGGAATCTATCCTTTGGCCTCAGCAAGCATTTTACTTAGTAGCAAGCCTTCTCAGCTGATGTCTTCTCGCACCATTTGTGGGTTTATTCTTCAATTGAGCTCGTTAATTTGCACAATTTCTTGTTACTCCTGTGTTTGTTTCCTGTGTTTGTTACATCCCCAATTCACTAGAAAGAATCAGTGGCTCCAAAGTTGTTCAGTGAGAGGGGAAATCAGAGATGACAATAGCAGCGTAAGTACCAGGCACAGAAGCGTGTAATAAACCAAAACCCAGCCTTGGCTCAAATGAATCTGAAAGCATGAGAGAAGCCAACTGAACAGCAAAACTTTTTCCATCTTCCTTCAGGTCTATAGTGTGTAAACATTTCTCCAGCAGTAGCGTCAAGTTTTTGACATTCTCATGACATTTTTTTTTTTTTTTTTTTTTTTTTTTTTTTGAGACGGAGTCTCGCTCTGTCGCCCAGGCTGGAGTGCAGTGGCGGGATCTCGGCTCACTGCAAGCTCCGCCTCCCGGGTTCACGCCATTCTCCTGCCTCAGCCTCCCAAGTAGCTGGGACTACAGGCGCCCGCCACTACGCCCGGCTAATTTTTTTGTATTTTTAGTAGAGACGGGGTTTCACCGTTTTAGCCGGGATGGTCTCGATCTCTTGACCTCGTGATCCGCCCGCCTCGGCCTCCCAAAGTGCTGGGATTACAGGCGTGAGCCACCGCGCCCGGCCTCTCATGACATTTTTAAGCAAAATGTGGTGGCCTCTTGATTAAGTGTATTTATTTATTTATTTAATTAATTTTTGAGACAGAGTCTTGCTCTGCTGCCCAGGCTGGAGTGCAGTGGCCCGATCTTGGCTCACTGCAAGCTCTGCCTCCCAGATTCACGCCATTCTCCTGCCTTAGCCTCCCGAGTAGCTGGGACTATAGGCGCCCCCTACCACACCGAGCTAATTTTTGTGTTTTTAGTAGAGACGGGGCTCCACCATGTTAGCCAGGATGGTCTCAATCTCCTGACCTCATGATCCACCTGCCTCGGCCTCCCAAAGTGCTGGGATTACAGGTGTGAGCCACCACACCCGGCCTAAGTGTATTATTTTTTAAACAAGCAGAAAACAATACCTTCCAGAATTAGGTTTATAAATAGGATATGAGTTCAAGAGTACACAGGCATCATTCAATGTTGCAGCCCTTATGGCAAAAACAGGTGCAAGTCGCAGTATCGCAGAGGAGCTTGTAAAACCAGTCTCAAAGTCAGTGACAAATATTTTTGAGAAAACAGAATAAGCTATCGGTTAAATGCCTTTTCAGATGAAGCTGTTGGATGTTGCATCATATCACTAGTATACCATGTGGAATTACTATCACTTGTGCATGCCAACAGGCTTATACAGTTGTACAAAACCATCGATACGTAAAGTAGCACGAGGGAGAAGTGTGATGACCTTTTGTCCTCTGTATTGTGGAAAGCCCATGCCAAAAGGAGCAAAGATTTCCACCTAGCTCAATGGTTGGTGTGTGAGCCATAAGATAAACTGGAAGAGGTATACTGGGATCAATACAGACAACACCAGCTGTGTTTGCAGCAAAGAGGCTGGAGGACACAACTGAAAAATATGGCACCAGAATGCCAGTTATGCATGGCTGAATGTGCAAAGAACAGTTGGTCTACAAAATGCCTTCTGATCCTGAAATGGTGTTGAGAAAGATTGTGAAATTTTCGATATGACAATATTGTGGCCACGGAATATGTGTTTAGCATGCTGTATGAAGAAAAGAACTCCAGTTCTGAAGGGAAGTGTGTTCATGTTGAAGAAGAAAAAAGTGTGTTCAATATCCCTGATGATGTCTGTTCCGTTATTTCCAATGAATGATCTTAGCAATAGATTTATTTTCTTGAATAGACTGAACCTCTCACTTCTTGGATAAAATACCACAGTTTTTAATGCTGAGGGGAAAAAATATAATTTTTAAGAAGAGAAAAATATGGTGAGAAACTGCTTGATGCCCAAGATTGGATTCTTTCTAATTACTCAATAATTTTCCCCATTTGCCCCCTCCAGCCCTATGCCCTGCTGCCAAATAGGCATATTTTTAAGAATAAAGAAGAAACCTCAATATCCTCAATTGAGGATGTTAAGAATGGCTGGATTCTCAGATATTCGTCACTCTCTTTGTAAAACATCAACAGGTATCTGCAGCACGGTGATTCCACTGTGATTCAGTATGTCTGTGTGTTCTCAAACGTATTTACCACTTACACTGTTAACATAGGTGTATAATTTAATCAAACATTACACCAGCCAATGATATAAAGATATACACCAGACTCTCTTGGGAAGCTTTAAAAATCCCAGCCCATCCTCCAGCCCAATTTCACCAGCATCCCTGGGAATGGGTCCCAGGCATCGGTGTTTTCTTTAGAGATCTTCAGGTCATTCCAATATACAGCCAAAGCTGAGAAACAGAGATTGATCACCCAGCTATCTTAGGTATGGAACAAAAGAAACAGTTGGCACAAATTATTAGTTTAGACTTTTTTCCTTCCTTTTTTTAGCATAGCTCACAATGACCAAGCTACCTCCATAGATTCTCAGGAATTTTATCTCTTTCCTTTTTTGACTCCTTTTACTAAGTAGTGGCATTTGAGAAGACGTTGCCATTTTAGGGGTCTAGGATGTAGCCTACCTTTATATAACTGCAGCTGATTTTTTTCTTTTTGAGATATTGTGAAAAAAAGGCCCTGTGGCACCTCCCATCCTGATGAAGTCCTGAATGTGTGGGCATATTCAGACATCTTCATAGCTCACTAAGCAAATAGAGACTACTCAAAAGATGCTTGAAGCTAGGCACAGGGTAGTTCCAGGTGCTCGGGAGGCTGATGCGGAGGATTACTTGAGCCCAGGTGCTCAAGACCAGCTCAGGCAATATAGCAAGACCATGCTGTAAAAAATTATTTTCAAAAAAAAGAAAGTCGGGGAAAAAATTAGCACAGTGAGGGTGGGACTGGAGGACAGCACCAAAGGGGAAGATTTCATGCTCAGGAGGGAATTATGATACAGATAGATAGATACCGATTGAATACCAGGGTCGCTGGGTAGGCCATTGGTGAGTGTTGCCAGGTGTGTGGGTGATGGGGGAATATGAGGGTAGGGAGTGTAGTGGGAGGAAATAATGTTCCTGACTGAGCAAAAGAAAAGTGAGAGGAGAGCTGAGCAACTCTGCCGTGAGTCCCCAGGGCCCTTGGGGATTTCCACTAACCAATCATTCTTGGAATCTCTTTTGTTATCCTCTCTGGGGTCCAGATGGGAAGACACAGGAACAACTGTTTCTCTGCAAGTCCTTGTTTCTGAGGCTTTCAAACTCATGCTCATTTGTCCATTCAGCAAAAGTTTGCCTGAGGTAGGAGCCTCTTTGGCTTATCTGAAAAACAGCAGCGTGGCCAGAGCCAGAGTGCAAGGCAGAAAGTGAGAAGAAACGACGTGAGGGAGCAAAACAACCAACCTTGCAAGCCATGGTAAGGAACTTGGAACACGTCCCAAGGAAGCTGGGAGACGCGTGGAAGATCTTGAGCACATCCTCTAAGTTAGCTCCCTAAGAGGAACACCTTTACCCTTAACTTTTGCAGAGCTCTTCACTAAAGACATAGCCTCATTTTTGTGACTGTGATTGACGTTAAAAGACTAATGTAAACCTGGTGGCAATCTGGTGTTTAAATATCTGTTGGGGATGATTGGATAAAGAAAATATGGTGTATATACACAATGAAATACTATTCAGCCATTAAAAAGAATGAAATTGGCCGGGTGCGGTGGCTCAGGCCTATAATCCCAGCACTTTGGGAAGTCGCGGCGGGCGGATCACGAGGTCAGGAGATCGAGACCATCCTGGCTAACACAGTGAAACGCCATCTCTACTAAACACACACACACACACACACACACACACACACACACACACAATTAGCCAGGTGTGGTGTCAGGTGCCTGTAGTCCCAACTACTCAGGAGGCTGAGACAGGAGAATGGCGTGAACCCGGGAGGTGGAGTTTGCAGTGAGCGGAGATCCCACCACTGCACTCCAGCCTGGGTGACACAACGAGAATCCGTCTCAAAAAAAAAAAAAAAAAGAATGAAATTATGTCTTTTGCAGCAACATGTACGTAACTGGAGGCCATTATCTTAAGTGAAACAAGTCAGACACAGAAAGACAAATACCGGATTTACTTAGAAGTGAGAGCTAAATAATGTGTACACATGGACATAGAGCATGGAATGATAGAAAATGGGAACTTGAAAGAGCAAGGGAGCAGGAGGAGGTGGACAATGAGAAATGACTGAATGCTCGCAATGGTTGTTATTCAGATGATAGATACTCTAAAAGCCTTGACTTCACTACTGTTCAATCTATGCATGTGACAAAATTACACTCATACCCTATACATTTATATAAATAAATAAATACCTGTTGGGTGTTTTACTTAATGGACCAGTTTTCTAAAGAATTACTTCCTTGACACTTCTTTGCAAGGAGTCTTTTCTTTCCTAAGTG
The DNA here is from genome assembly GCF_000001405.40 of Homo sapiens. Lineage (NCBI taxonomy): Eukaryota > Metazoa > Chordata > Mammalia > Primates > Hominidae > Homo > Homo sapiens. The sequence goes on from NC_000010.11 coordinate 116,509,940, forward strand.
ATTTTGTTCCTAAGTCATGCTTCCACACAGCACACAGGCATTAACAAGATCCGTGGAGTCAGAAAGAACAGACCCTGGAGACCTGCCTTCCTTCCTGTGGGCACCTGTGACTGATGGGGACCTAAGCAAGTCAAGGGTGACCATAGTTGAGCTATCTCAAGATGTGATGTGCTGTGGAGACTGGAGAAGAATAGGTTTGGGGGGCAAGTTCAAGCAGCTCCCCATGGTATGTGAGTGCCCTCTGTGTAGTAGCCCCTTGGGCAACTTCGGCCTCATATAAATGATATCTGGGGACCCAGGGAGCACTGGGTAAATCTGCACTGAGATTTTGGGTTTCAATTGACCTCAAGCTGCCTAGAAATCACAATTCCCGTAGGTATGATAACTAACAATGGATATATTCAAGTACCCTACCAAATCATGAATTTTAGATAATTTAGGGATAGCAAATGGAGAAGGATTTTTTTCTAATATAGAAAAGCTCTTTTAGGATATTATGGCTATGCACAAATACTATATCTTCAGAAATATTCATAAATACTGCCCAAGCCATTAAGGATGTTGGCAGCCCAGTAGATTTTTTTTTTACTTAAACTTTTAATGGACTTTAGAAGGAAATCAGTGAATAATGAAATACTGAAATACTCTAAACTATTTTTCTACTGGGAAATAAATGGCACTCTAGAGGCCTAAATAAATCATTACAGCTAATAAAATTTCCTGATATTGCCTCTAGTGAATTTTCACCAGGAAGATTGAATTTGTACAGATTTATACAGTCAAACAAGGTCAGTCTAGGAAAGGAAAGCTGTTTATCCAGCATGTGGGCAACATAAATTCAGACTATTCATTATGTAACCACACCTTTGGTAGATGCCCTTTGTAGCTTTCCCGTGAGATTGGAGAAGAGAAGGCTTACGTTGCTGGAAATAGATATGACTGCTAGTGAGAGAGGACACTGTAAGATTCGTTCCTAGGATATTGGACTGAAAATCCTGTGCTTTCAGTCATTGCAGACTTTCAGTTTTATCTCTTGCCAAAATCATATCTCACTTTAATTTGCATTGTCATTACTATATTTAATTCTATTTTATGTGTAATTTTTCATATGTATATATATTTCAGTTCTGAATTTCTTGTTTGTGTATTTTATCTCTTTTCTTATTTATTGTATCTGGATGGTTTGTCTTTTCCTGATTGATTTGTAAAAACTCCTTGTATATCATGGATATTGTTTCGATTGACATATATATTGCAAATATTTTTCCTAGGTTGTGGTTTGCATTTTGTCTTTGTTTTTATCTTGTGGAGATGTTTTTTATTTTTATGCACTCATCATTCAACTGAGGTTAAGATTAGCTTTATTTTTAAAAAATACCATTCACTAATTATCCAAAATCCATCAATTTCCATTTAATTGATTTAATGATATCTTTATACTAGTTTATATTGCTATAGATGCTTAGGTCTAATACTAGATTCACTACTTTGTGCTGTTCATTTGTCTATTTTAGTTTCTCAGCCTTGGCACTATTGACAGTTTTGGGCTAGTTATTCATTGGCAGGTGGGAGTGGGCGGCTGTCCTGCACATTATTGTAGGATGCTTAGCAGCATCCCTGGCCTCCATCCTCTAGATGTCAGTAACACACAACTGAGCATCCCTCAACTGTAACAAAAAAATACCTCCAGCCATTGCCAAACGTCTTTGAGGAGCAAAATTGTCCGCAGTTGTGAACCCTGGTCTATGTCTATCCCTCTACCTCATTATTTTAATAATAACTGTGGCTTCCAGCATACTCTGGTATTAGGTAGGGCAAGTTACCCCCTTTTATCAGAATTTCCACATTCAGAATTCCAAAATTTAGAATCACCCAGTGAATTAAGAAAAAAAATCCTGATGTAAATTATGTATCAATAAGGTTGTTATATTTTTAAAATCCTGTCAACATTTTATTGAGTTTGCATTTAATTCAAATATAATTTGGTAGGAACTGACACCTTTTATGATACGCAGCCATCCTCTTCAAGACATATCACCACTGTGTCAGGTGCTTGTATAATACTTTAGTGGAGTTCTATGGCTTTTTTTTTGTAAAGGTAGAGCGGCAGTCTGTAGCCATTAAGACCACAACCTTTGGTGCAAATCCTAACTCTCTTGTGTTCTGGAAATGATTTTGGCGAGCTGGTGATGCTTTTTGAAGCTCAGTTTTCTCAGTTACAAAATGATTGTAATAATGTTAATGCCAACCCCATAGTTTGTTTTAAGGATTAAGTGATAAATGTAAAAAAAAAAAACCCCATTTCAACAGGTGCTTGTTATTAGCTACCATTGCGATTCCTAGATATTTTGTGTCTTGTTTTTGTGAGTAGAACTTCTTCTTTCATGATGCGAATTGTTTCTGTAGCATGAAGTTTGTTGACTCTTGCATATAAATTTTACAACTCACCACCTTACTGAACTCTCTTATGGTTTTCAATGGTTTTTTTTTTCAATATAGTGATAGCATCTGGAAATAAGGGAATATTGCCTCCTTTTTTCCACCTGGTTTTAACTGCTTGTTATTGAATTGATGCGTTATTTAGCACTTTCAGAACAATTTAAATTATAATAAATGACAAGCATCCTTGCTTCATCTGGTGTAAATGAAAATGCTTCTAGCCTGTCATCATTAAACATTGGTTCCTGAGAAGTATTATCATTCTGTTGAAGTAGTTTTGTATTCTTCCTTTCAAAATTTTTGTTCGTTCATTTTTTTAATCAAGAATAAATATTGACAGAGTAGAATAGTGGTTGCCATTCTACTATGGCAAATGTGGAGTTGCTCATCAGTGGGCATGAAGTTTCAGTTACGCAAGAGAGAGTAATGCTAGAGAGCTGCTGTACAACACCGTGCCTGTGGATAATGATACTGTATCACACACTTAAACATCTGTGAAGAGGAAGATCTCATGTTAAGTGTTCTTGACACAATACAATAATTAAAAAAAGTAATAGACAAGGAAACCAATGAAACAAAATAGACACAGACCCACACAAATATAGGAATGATGCATTATTGAACTGGCAGATGCAGATGAGTGGGGACAGATTGGGCAGTTCAACAAATAGTGCATGGACAGCTGATTAGACATATGAAGTTTGACCCCTTACACCATACGATACCTAAAGAAATTAACTGTAGGTGGATTCGAGACTCAAATATAAAAGGAAGAACTATAAAACAATTGGAAGACAGTATCAAATATCTTTATGTTTTCTGAATTGAGAAGGATTGTTTTAAGGTATTAAAAAATATAGACCATAAAGCAGTGGTCCCCAACCTTTCTGGCACCAGGGACCGGTTTTGTGGAAGATAATTTTTCCATGGACCAGGGCGGGAGGATGGTTTCTGGATGATACAAGCGCAGCACATTTATTGTGCACTTTATTTCTATTATTATTATATTGTAATATGTGATGAAATAATTACACAACTCACCATAATGTAGAATCAGTGGGAGCCCTGACCTTGTTTTCCTACAACTAGATGGTTCCATCTGGGGATGATGGGAGACAGATCATCAGTCATTAGATTCTCATAAGGAGCATGCAACCTAGATCCCTCTCATGCACAGTTCACAGTAGGGTTTGTGCTCCTATGAGATTAATGCTGCCACTGATCAGACGGAGGCAGAGCTCAGGCAGTACTGTGAGCAATGAGGAATGGCTATAAATACAGATGAAGCTTCACCCATTTGCCCACCACTCACCTCCTGCTGTGAGGCCTGATTCCTTACAGACTATGGACCAGTACCAATCTGTGGCCCTGGGGGTTGGGGACCCCTGCCATAAAGGGAAACATAATATATTCAATTACAGTAGTATTAAGAACTTCTGTTCATGAAAAGAAAACATAAAGAAAGTGAAAATCCAATCCTTTAACTGGGAGAATATATTTCAAAACATATAACTGGAAAATTATTTATATCCAGAATATATAAGTGATGCTTACAAATTAATAAAAAGGAGAAAACCAACCCAATAAAAAATAGTCAAAAGGCACTTTATTGAGGAATAAATCCAAATAACCCAAAAAGAAGTTCTAGCTCATTGGCAATCAGGGAAACTAATTGAAATGACCAGACTGTTTTACTGGCAACAGATTACCAAAACTTTTAAAAGCCTGATAATATCAAGTTATTGTGAGGATGTAGAACAACTGAAACAGTTTTACAGCTCTCATGGGAATGTAAATTGGAACAACCTCTTTGGAAATAATTTGACACTATCCAGTAAAGACTAAGGCCAACCTATGAAGACCCTACATATCAAGTTCGCTCCTAGATATGTAACCTGAAAAAATCATATACAATTGCACAGGGTCATGTATAAGAATGTTCACAGCAACGAGTTTTGTGCCAAAACTAGGAACACTACAAATGTCCACATATGCCCAGATAATTAATTGTGATGTAATCATACAACAGAATACTATACAGTGGTGAACACTGGATCCAAGCTACACACAACATGGATGAGTTTTGGAAACTGTTGAATGAAAAAGCTGAGTCACAGAAGAATGCATGTAGTTTGCTCCATTTATAGAAAGTCAGAAATATGCAAAACCAAACAGTATGTTTTTAGAGATACAAACATATTGTAAAACACACAAAGTATGAAGACAGCAGGGGAGAGATAAACGTATTTAGATTTGTGACCACCTGTGATGGGGGAGGGAAGTGGGTAGAATAGAGGAGGGTCACTCAGGAGGTTTGTCCTGATCCTTCAACTGGGTGGTAGATTTGTGAGTGTTTGTTCACACATGCATTCAACAAATGTTTGTTCAGAGCCTCCCCCCTGTATCAGGAGAGAGAGCAGCTGTTCTGCCCACCAGAGCTGATTTCTGATGCTGAGAGATAATTGATTAATAAATAATATATATTCTATAGTGATAAATGCTAAGGATTTTTTTAAATGAAGAATGAAGAAGGAGAGGAAGTATTGGCTGGGATGGGTGCTGAAATTTTATATTTGGTGGCAGGGGAAGGGCTCACTGCAGAGGTAGCAGGCATTTGGGAGAATCCCTGGAGGAAGTGAGGCTCAGCCCTGTGGCTGTGTGGGGAAGAGAGCTGCGGGCTGAGGAAGGGCCAGAGCAAAGGCCTTGAGTGTGAGGGCCAGGGGAGGGGGCAGCGGTCAGCTCTGCTGTAAGGACAGGATGGAGGCAGGTGACTGGAGCCCAGCTGGAGAAGGGTAAAGAGAGGCCAGGTCTGAGGTGGTGGGTTGGAGAGTAGATCATGATGAAGACTTTGGCTTTTCTTCTAAGGAATATGTGACACTATAAGGAGGTTTTCAGCAAAAGAGCAACAGCCACTGCAACATGATTCTTTCTACCCTAGACATATCTTATCAGGATTTCCTATGGTCTGAATGTTCGTGTCCCAGCAAAATTCCTATATTAAAATCCTAACACCCAAGGCAATGGTATTAGGACTGAAGGCCTTTGGGAGGTCATTAGGTCATGGGGGCAGAGGCCTCATCAATGGGATTAGTGCCCTTATAAATGAGGCCTGGGAGAGACCCCTCACTCTTCTGCTCTTTAAGGATGCAGCAAGAAGACGTCATCTATGAACCAAAAAAGGGGCCCTCACCAGACTCGGAATCTGCTGGCACCTTGATCTTGGACTTCCCAGCCTCCAGAACTGTGAGAAATCAATTTCTGTTGTTTGAAATCCACCCAGTTTATGATATTTTGTTATAGCAGCCTGATTGGACTAAGTATTCTTTTCTGAAAATTCAATATTAATTTGTTATAAAGGTATTCAAAGACAAAAGTGGGTTTTTCTCCCACCTCTATCTGCCCACTTTATTCCCATGGGTTAATAGAAGAGGAAGCAGGCGAGCTTACAATTCAAGTGTTTCAATTAGTAAATAAGCTTAGAACTCAAGTATAAACAGCTAAGCCTGCAGTAATTAGGCATTCAATGTTGTATTTCCTAAATAGCAGCCAGGAGCTGCTGTGCAGATCTAGTCTCTGGCTGTGACCATAGGGTTAACTTGACACTGGTATGAACACATGCCTTGAAGAATTAGGACTCTGGTTCTCAGAAGTTTCTGTTCTCCAATGTTTTAGCCCAGTTTTGAGATAATGAGAGCTCATTAAAGTCCTAGTGTAAGATTTTACGAACAGCTGATGTGACCAGGCCTACTAGACAAAATAATGTATTCTTCTATATCCATAACTAATCTAATTTTTACAAGAACTGGTCCTTTTCTTTGTGTTGTGTCATTACAAGAACATCACTCGAGCCTCTTGGTCAGTCATTACACACAAAGGTCTCTGCCTCCTTATTGGTCCTGCTTTCTATTTTCTGTACCTGCCATTTTACTTGGGCACTGAATATCTCTTTTTAGGGACACACAGGCAAGCCACAATGGCTCTAACTATTTCTTCTTAACATACCACAAGGCCCTGCTTCTGGCCTCAAGAACTTAGGAGCTGATGGACAAGGCAGACGCTGTACACACAGTCTCCAATTCTCTTCTCCAGAAGATCTTTTCTGACTCCTTTTTTCCTAGATGGAATTTTCCAAGTTGAATCTCAGTTTACTTTCCTTCTCATCATTTCATTGGGCAGCCTGTAACTTATTTTTCCTTTATTATTTGACCACGGCTCCTTCTGTTAGCTCACTTTTTTCCCTACATTAGTGCTGAGAGGTAAATGCGCTGGTTATATGTTATTCTAAGCTAAAATAACACCCGTTTTTCTAGAATGACTGAATGATCTTGCTGGGTTAGCAGTGAGTGAAGAACTATTGCTAATTTTCTGTTTTTGACCTTGCTATGAGTTAGACAAGCTGTTCATAGAAAAAGTATGGGCAGGTAATTTCTTCATATTTATTTTCCAGGCAACCCTAATGGGCTTTGTGGTCACAAAACCCTTTCAGCCACAAGGATGTATATGCTGGAAATTGTGGAATAAAAAAACAACTACACTGAAAAAGTGACTCATTTAAGCACTGATTACCCAGTTTTAAAAATAAATTTTATGTGTGCATTTATGACCTTTCCTCAATTGTTATTGATGTAAGCTTTTCAGTGGTTTAAATTGGAAATATATCCTGGAAACCTCTCTTTTCTTGATCTTTTTCTATGGAATTATAGGAAAAAGCAAACATTTACCTATAAAAGGGCATTTATACTCTGGCATGATATCTGAAACCTCCTGGAGCTACTTGGTGAGGTGAAAAATGTGCCGTACTTAATTAGGTAATGGCAAATGTTTTTTACATATAAAATTTATTTCATATCTATTTATCTATATTCAAATTAAACTGTAGTTGTCCCTTGATAGCCTCAGGGATTGGTTCCAGGCTCCCCCCACCCAGGATATCAAAATCCTCAGATACTCAAGTCCCTTATATAAAATGTTGTGGTATTTGCATACAACCTACATATATGCTCCAGCATACTTTAAATCATCTCAAGATTACTCAAAATACTTAACATAAGGTCAATGCTATGTAAGTAGTTGCTATGTTTTATTGCTTTTAGGTATATTATTTTTATTGTTGTATTGTCACTTTTATTTTTTTTTTCTGCAAATATTTTCGATCTGCAGTTGGTTGAATCTACGGATGTGGCACTGACCAACATGAAGGGCCGACTGTATTACCATGGCACTGAATTTTCTGAGTTAAAGCTACTTAAAAATATCACCGTTAGGCCTGGCGCGGTGGCTCATGCCTGTAATCCCAACACTTTGGGAGGCCGAGGCGGATGGATCACGAGGTCAGGAGATCGAGACCTTCCTGGCTAACACGGTGAAACCCCATCTCTACTAAATATACAAAAAATTAGCCGGGCGTGATGGCGGGTGCCTGTAGTCCCAGCTACTCGGGAGGCTGAGGCAGGAGAATGGTGTGAACCCGCGCGGCGGAGATTGCAGTGAGCTGCGATCGCGCCGCTGCACTCCAGCCTGGGCGACAGAGCAAGACTCCGTCTCAAAAAAAAAAAAAAAAAAAAAAAAAAAAGAAATGATAACAAAGAATTTAGAATATTGCAGAAACTCAGTTGATAATGCAGCAGCAGAGTTTGAGAGGTCTTGCTACAATTTGGAAAAAGTTCTACTGTGAGTAAAATGCTATCAAACATCATTGTATGCTCTAGAGAAACACTTTGTGAAAGGAAGAGTCAATTGATGCAGCAAACTTCCCTGTTGTCTTATTTTAAGATATTAGCCACAGCCTCCCACCTTTGCCAACCACTACCCTGATCAGTTGGCGACCAACACTGGGGCAAGACCTCCAGCAGCAAAAAGATTATGACTCACTGAAGGCTCAGATGATCATTAGCACTTTTTAGCAACAAGGTATTTTTAAATTACAGTATGCACATTGGTTTTTTAGACATAATACTGTTGCACCCTTACAGTGTAGCACACACATAACTTTTATACACACTGGGAGGCAAAAAAATACTTTGGACTCCTTTTATTGCTGTGGTCCCAGTGTCTCCGAGGTATGCCTGTACTTATGTCTGTGTTGAAAGAGATGTTATATAAAAATCTTTGTGGCCAGACTAAGTGGTTCATGCCTGTAATCTCAGCACTGAGGCGGGAGGAGTTTGAGGCCAGGAGTTTGAGACCAGCTTGGGCAACATAGCAAGACCCTATCTCTAAAAAAAAAAAAAAAAAAAAATTATTAGCCAGGCATGGTGGTGTGTGCCTGCTACTTGGGAGGCTGAGGTGGGAGGACTGCCTGAGCCCAAGAGTTTGAGGTTGCGGTGAGCTATGATCATGCCACTGTACTCCAGCCTGGGTGACAAAGTGAGACCCTGTCTCTAAAATTATAAATAAATAAAAACTTTTAAAAGCTTTTGTAAAGTGCCAAGAAAATATGATTTCAAATTATGTAACGGATAAAACTGAATATACTGAGTATTTTCCTTTGATATCTATTTTCATAGAGTAGTTTTAGAAACTCGAAAGAACTCATATTGTTTTGCTCATAAGTAGCACTTGCATCCAGGGGACCCTCAAACTCAAGCCAGAGATGGAAAAGCTCAGACATGCATGAAAAGGAAAAACTTCTGGTCACGACGGGAACCTTAAGTGCTCAAGGTAAAGCCTAAACCATTAATGAATTGACTGAATTAATGGCAATGGCCATCTATCTTGAATGGTAAAAATGAGTCTGAAAGTATGGCTGATCTGAAAAGTGGCAGGAAAAAGACAGCTTACTTCCTTAGAAAAGAGCATTCCTGCCACCCATACAGAAGTGAAATTGTTGAAGCACTGGTTTGAATGATTGTTTGTGGGGTCCTGGGAGAAAAGCCAGAGGGGAAGAAATACCTGCTATGAACTTCATTTTAACTCATCATGGATCATTTGACAAAGTCACATTCTAGAAAACTGTTATCCTTGAAATTCATTTTCGGAGGTTTTCCAAAGACCCCCGAGTGGGAAAGATATTAACACCTGCTTACCTAATGATAACAAAAACAACTTTCCAGGAAAACTACTAATTAGTCTTATATTTTATGCCTGTATATTGTATCTAATCAAAACAAGCTAAACATGCAACTTTAAAACATTTATGACACTGCAATCTTATCTTGATATATGCGCACCAGAAATTATGGCCCCATTCTCACCAAAAGATGTGTTCAAAAATGTTATAGTGGCTTTATTTTAATAGCCCAAAGTCAGAAACAACCCATACCTATTAGTAATAGGTGGCTAAATAAATTGCGGTATATTCATGCAATGAAATACTACATAGCATTGAAAAGAAGTATCTAATTAATATGCACAACAGCAGGAATGATTTTCATAGACATGATATCGAGTGAAAACTGTCAGACCCAAGAGTACAAATCATATGATCTTTAGAATCAGTAAACTCAAGTATTGTGTTCTATAATTTAATTTTAATTGATTTATTGTGTTGATATTATTATTTTTTAGTTGATATTATTCTTGTTCTCCCATTTAACAAATATATTCCATTATTAGTTGCTTTTTTTCCTATGAAATAGGGATTTTAATAGCACCTGCCTCATTGGGTTGTTTTTTAAAATCAACTTTGTTATAAACTTTATTATTTAAAATAAATGGCACCTATTCAAAGTGTCCAATCTGAAGAAGTTCAAAAACGATAAAAGTAATAGTCAAAGGTGATGTAGGTCAGAATAGTGACTCCTGGGAGTGGTTACTGAATGGGAGGGGTCCTAAGGAAGTCTTCTCATTGTTAGAATCTTCTATATCTTTATCTGAGTGATAGTTACATGGGTGTTTACATGTATAGAAATTAATCAAAGGATGCATTTAATATTTGGGTACTTTACTGTACTTAGCCCTTAATTTTAAAATATGTTAATTTTTTAAAAATCTAGATGGCTTTAGATAATGAGATTTTATATTTAGAAATCTTTAGAATCAGTAAACTTGAGTGTTTATGTTATATAATTTAATTGTAATTGATTTATTATGTTGATATTATTTTTAAGTTGATATCATTCTTGTTCTCCCATTTAATAAATATATCCCATTATTATTTGCTTTTTTTCTATCAAATAGGGATTTAAATAGCACCTGCCTCATGGGGTTATTTTTAAAAACCAACTTTGCTATAAACTTTATTTAAAATAAATGGCACCCATTTAAAATGGCCAATCTGATGAGTTCGCACAGTGTGTTAGCCCGTGAAACCATTACCATGATCAAGGTAGACTCCCGGGAGTCTCCTCTTGCCCCTTTGCAGTCCATTTTTTCCTCCACCTGGTTCCAGGCAACCACAAATTTTCTTTTTGTGCAAAAAGATTCGTTTCCATTGTCTAGGATTGTAGATAAATCGAATTGCGGTGTGTATTCTTATGTGTCTGGCTCCTTTCACCCAGCATCATGCTTTCAAGATTTGTCCATGTTGTTGCATTTCACAATGGGCCACGCCTTTATATTGTGGAGTGTTATTCCATTGTATGGATATGCCACATTTGTTCTTCTGCTAACCTGTTGATGGACATTTGGAGAAGCCAGGGACATCATGGGAGAACAGAAGTGTGTGGCTGTAGGAACACAGTTCCACATAACAGTGAAGAAAATGGCCATCCTACCTGCAGTATTACCCAAAAGTCAGGTGGTATGGGACTTTTCCTAGGACTTGAGAATCAGAGGTAAAATTATTTATTGTAGATGGTAGATAGGTGGATAGGTAGAGATAGAGGATGCTATTACATTAGAGAATAGTGGATGCTTAGGGCACCTGGCTCTGCCCCCACAGAGTAACTGGTGATCTTGTCCCGGGCAAATTATTTCCCCTCCTTGAGCCTCAGTTTCTCCATCTATAAAACTGAGAATGTTTAGGATTATTTCCAAGACTCTTGCCCTTAAAAATATAATAATATTTAAACAGGTAAGAGTGTTTGTAAGTTATGTTATTATTCTTTTAAAAGTTTCCATTCATCATTAACACTGTACATTTCTATTTTTTATTTTGTTGACATTGTCTTCTAGTCATAGTTCTCTGCCTTATAAAGCTCTAATCGAATATCTGCATGCTTTTCTGTGAAATAACTTTCCGCCAATGTACCATAATGGTATAGATTCAAAAGCCTTTTTGATTAAAGAGAATATTGATCTTTTCATCTTAAAAAAAATTTCACATCCCTTCAATGTATTTAGTTGAGGGGCCCTCTAGTGGAAGAAGGTGGACATAGCATGACAACAGTGGCTGCTTACACATTTAATAGCCAGTGATACGTTTTATTCATTTAAAAAAATCCCGTGCCTATATTACAGTAAAATTCTCAATACTCAAGTTTTCACTCAGGTTGAACTTCTAGTTTGGATTCCGTATTAAAATGTATCAGAGACTACATATATAGGAATATGACATTTAATTTTTTATCCCGACTATTGGTTGTTACTGTTAGATTAGCTTTGTGGGCAAGAATGTAAAAAATCGATGAAATTTTATCTTATCCTCAAAAATGTATTAAAGGAGAAAACACCTGGGTCCTGAATGATTTTCCAGTTTTGTAGATGGTTCCTGCGTTTTTCAGGTGAAAAAGATGAACACGTGTGTGGGCTGGAGCAAAGAGTGGTGGGAGGCAATGAGGCATTTCTTGTGAGTGTTTGCCAGGTAACTATATCGCAGTCACATGGGAACCCACAGGCTCTGCTCTCTGGGGTGTTTCCTAAAGCAATGCTCTAGGTGTGATCAATGACACAGTCACTCCCCCAGGAGCACTGGCTTTACCCATTATTCAACAGGAAAATACTGTGAATGACAACTATTTTTAGCTTCAGTCAGAAGCCAATTTGACCTCATTTACTAGTCTTTTCTGTTTTTAGAATTGTAAATATAGCTAAGGCAATTTAATTAAGGAATTAATCTCATCTTTAAACTGAATTTCATGTGTTATCAGTGTCAATTCTAATAAATTGGTATAATTCATCCAAAATATTAAATAGGTTGTGTTATAGGAAACTCATGGAGTAAATGAAAAGCTAAACTTCCTATAAGAAACAGATATGCTTGAATTTCATGGGGTTAAGTCATTATTCTCATTATTGTTTTCTTGAAGAAATTCTTTCTAATAACAATTTCCTGCAATGATTCTTATTAAATTAACTCCTTCTTCATAGCAGAGGGACAAGATAATGACCCATGACAACTACCTTAAGAGTTAGATGTACTGTTATTTTCTCATATGACTATGAAGAAAAATAGCTAATGAATATTTGGAGTGCTTTTATATCTTCCCTTAATTGGACCCAAATCCCATTATTTCTCTGTAGATGTTATTGTCAGGTTATCTTGGCAAATCAAGGAGCCAGAGGCTCCCATTACATACACTATTTTATTACTGGCTCATTCTGGCACATTCTGAAACCGTTTACTCTCCAAAAGTGGACACTGGTCTTCTGAGATTCACATCGTTGGAGACCACTGGGCTCCCACTCTCCTGGGGAGGCTGGAAGGAGAGCAGATGAGGCCATCGGGCGACTCACAGCCTGTTCATCTGGCAGCCCAGGGCAGAACAGGCAGCACATTTAACTTCAAATAGTTACATATTCGCCTGGGAGAGTGGTTCCCAAGTGTTTTCAGTACAGGAACACAGGATCCAGTTTTGAAGGGTTGAGAGTGAGCATGATTGTGTTTTATTGATACCGATAGCGGGGTTGGCAGAACATGTTTCACACATAAATACTATCTGAGACTCAAAAGTGATTTGGGGACCTCATCTGCATCCACGCCCACTCAGCTGGCCATTCCCAGTGTCCCAGTTCCATGATGTAATTTAAGTGGAATTAAACTTGTAGAGCTAGAAATTGTATAGTTCTTCACAGCCAGCTTCCACTGCAATCACTCATAGATGCAGAGCTACCAGCTGAACTCCAGGTAGTGTCAATTACTCAAGAAGGAAGGAAAGGAGGTCAGACCCTTCTGGTTCTTATTCCCTGAATAATGACATTAAAATGGTGTGGGCTGCAGAATCCCTGGGCCATCTGTAGGCAACCGAGGGCTACCTGTTATCTGCTACTCTGGCTAACAATGTCAACTTCGTAGATACAAATCACATGGATGCAACTCCCATAATCCCCCAGTGGATGAGGGGCACTTCGGGAACCAGTAACCCTCTTCCTGTTACTTCCTCTCTGTGCTTATGTGAGTCTCTTATCTCTCTGTGGCTTTCCTAAAACTCATCAGTTCTTCAGGAAATTTGGTTGTCTTCACATATCCTAGAAGAGATATTTGATATTTAGAATTTCTAGCAGGTTATTAGCTGAAGAGGCGTTCTCCATCACAGCTGAGCTGCTTTTATGGAACCAGCATCTCCCACCTTTGGCAGAATCTTAGTAATTGCCCAAGGAGGAGATAATCCTCAGAGTTAAGCAGCCTTAGATATTTGCAGCAGCTGCCCCTTCTTGGCCACTTAGCAGGGGCTGTGCTAAGCCCTTACATGCATTATTTTATATATTCCCCACAATAACTCCGTGATGAAGTTACCATTATTGTTCTTACTCTACAGAGAAAAACTGAGGTTTAGAGAGATAGGAGATAATTTTGTGGATTTCTTCAGTAACGTAAATGGCAATCTAGGTGATTTCACTTCAGAAAATGGCAGGGGAGGGCCGGGCGCGGGGGCTCCCGCCTGTAATCCCAGCACTTTGGGAGGCCGAGGCGGGCGGATCTCGAGGTCAGGAAATCGAGACCGTGGTGAAACCGTGTCTCTACTAAAAATACAAAAAATTAGCCAAGCGCGGTGGCAGGCACCTGTAGTCCCAGCTACTCGGGAGGCTGAGGCAGGAGAATGGCGTGAACCCGGCAGGCGGAGCTTGCAGTGAGCCGAGATCGCGCCACTGCACTCCAGCCTGGGTGACAGAGCGAGACTCCGTCTCAACAACAACAACAACAACAACAACAACAACAACAACAACAAAAATGGCAGGGGAGTCTCATCCCATACATAGACCAAATTATAAAGCTGGATTTTTGTGCACATTCCCGCCCACAGAGGCAATGCCCCTAGGCATTCACATCTATGCTATTAACATGACGAGTGTGTCTGGCTCGAAGACCCAGCTACCCAATCCAAGTAAGGACACCAAAGACCATAGCAATGCCAACCACCAGAAATCAGAGCCTACTGCATCTTCTATAGGTTTGGAGAGGCCAAGGAGGACTCAACACACAAGGCACTGGTTGGATCAATGCTTTACTCACAGGAAGAAGAGACCAGCATCAAGGGTACCCTGTGGTGTGCACCCACCTCCCATGGCCAGAAGTCCTTCCCAATAGCCAACGCAGGGTGAAGGGCTGAACACAGATCTCTTGGGCTGCTGGAGAACACCCACATTCCCTTGGGTGGTGTGGTGGTAGAAGATATACTGGTGAGGCTGGCCATGTAGCACACACTTGAGCAATACAAGGAAGCTCACTCTGTACCCAGAACAGGGGCGAGTTTTCTCCTAATTAGGAAAAAGCATCAGAGAACAAGCAACAGCTCAGCACTTAGCTTCCATATAGAGGAATGTTCCACGCCCAGGGCTCTGATGGAGCAATCCCAGAGAGGGGCAGGCAGTTCTCATGATGGTTGCTTTCCCAGCAGTGTAAATATTTCTTTAGAATTGGATCTTCCCAGCTTGAAGAAGCCTGAAGATGCCGCTGATGCTCTATCTGTAGATGCAAACTATGTAGAGGGTGGTACCATAACCCCCAAATAGAGGAGCTCCTGGACCCCAGTTTCCAAGGATGATCAGCTATTATTGCTCAGATGGCAATTTTATTAACTTCCCCTTCTCCTTCTTTTTTTTTTTTTGAGATGGAGTCTTGCTCTGTCGCCCAGGCTGGCTGGATCGCAGTGGCACTGCGTTGGTTCACTGCAACCTCTACCTCCGAGGTCCAAGCAATTCTCCCTTCCTCAGCTTCCTCAGTAGCTGGGATTACAGAAGCCTGCCACCACGCCCAGCTAATTTTTGTATTTTTCAGTAGAGACGAGGTTTCGCCATGTTGGCTACGCTGGTGTTGAACTCCTGACCTCAGGTGATCTGCCTGCCTCAGCCTCCCAAAGTGCTGGGATTACAGGCGTGAGCCACTGCGCCCGGCCCCTTTTCAAGTATATTAGGTTTGGGGATAAGTCAAATTGGGGCCATCCAGATCAGCATCTCTCAAACTTCAATGTGCTCACAAAGTCCTATGGAGATCCTGTTAAAATACAGATTCCCATTCAGCAGGAACAAGTAGCTTTTGCATTTGTAACTAGCTAGCTCTCAGGTTCTGCCAAGGTTGCTGGTCTGCAGACCTCACTTTGAATAGCAAGAATCTATATTTCTTCCAAGTAAAGGAAAAGAAATATCATATGCAAAAAGAATTCTCTCTTCTATTCTGTAAATAGAGAATGAGTCTGGGACCATAAAACCATTTTGTGTGTAGAAAGATTTTTTCCAGGAAAATATTGTTTTGCCAAACTTGCTAAATATTATCTAGTTCTTATTTTATTTAATGTATAAGGACTTCAAACATTGTTCCAAAGACTGCCAGTGTTCTGTGAGTATTCTGCCAGGGTGAATGAAGAAAACTGTTGGAGAAAGAATGTTTATTATAAACATTTCATTGAGCTAATCTAGACTATCCATTAATGAGTAAGACTCATCTAAATGAATCAATCTTTTTCTCTAAGTTTGTTTCACACTTTTATCTATGACCTATTTGAAACAGCTCTTGGGAACTACAAAATGAGTCCTAAGGCTGTAATGTCACAGTGTGATTCTGATCCAGTTGCAATAATGCCTATCTCGTTATATCCTGAACAGGATACTAACTAGAAAAAAAAAGGTCATTAATGTGTAATCAAGTCCGATTTTATAAGAGAATTTATAGTGTGTCAACAGCTAAATGATTTTTCCAGTAATATTCTCAACACAGATATCTTTGCAGGATATCCTTGCCCTTCCTGTAAAGTTTCATAAGGGAAAGTGTCTTGACATGGCAGTGACTAGGGAATAGTATCACCCATAAAGAAACAGGATATTATTTTCAGTAATTTTTATGACTCATACAATTTTCTGCACGTTATGCATGTAAGAACTATTTTACATACTGCTTATCCAGGAAAGGATATTTTAGAGAAAATTTAATTTAACTTTAAATTTAATTTAACCTCAGTTATTCAAGTTACTGACTCATCTGAAATATTTACTTTTCATCTACATGTTTGATACTCTAGACAAAGTTATAGTCACCAAATGAACAAAAAAATGTAACTGGTTTCATTTTCACGTGTTGTAATTTTCATTATGCAATGTTAATTATCAGTTATTTCTTATAATCATATTTTTAAAATATATATTTATTAAACTCAGACTTGGTGATATACATCATTTCACAATGAAAATATCAAGTTATACGTTAAGTGTGTGGTATTAATCAGAGGTGAGCTCTATTCACTTAGAAGAGGGGAGTATTGAGATTGACTCAAAGAAATAAAATAGATTAAGTTAGTAAATTCTGCAAGACCTTATAGGAATACAAAACAGGAAAAATTAATCATGATAACAATAATGATAATATTTATTATTTACCTGCAATGTGCCATGCCTTATTCTGTATGCTTTTCCTGTCTCATTTATTCTTTACGGGAACCCAGTGAGGTAGCTTCTATAACATTCGTCTTTTATAGATGGAGAAACTAAGATACAAGGAGCTTAAGCAACAAGTTTAAGAACACATTAGCATGTAGTGGAGCTGGGATTCACACCAAGGAAATCTGATTTCTAATCCCACATACATCACCACAAAACTGTAGAAGGTTTTGCATTCCTTAGGCCAGGGGTCTGCACCTTAAGCCTGCCACCTTAAGCCTGCAAGCTAAGAATGGTTTTTACATTTTTCAAACATTGAAAAAATATCTTTGTGAAATATGAAAATTATCTGAAATTAGAACTCCAGTGCCCATAAATAAGTTTTATTGAAACACAGTACATTTTTTTGTTTATATATTGTCCATGGCTATTTTCATGTCACAGCAGCCAGGGAGGGTAGTAGCTACAGAGACTCTCTGGCCCATTAGAGAAAAAAATTTACCAATCTCTGCCATAGACCACAGGGGTGAAGGGAACTAAGAACATAGTTGGAATTTGAGCAAATGCAACAGAGGGTCCATCCAAAATGGCCTCTGTGTCGTGCAAGGTTACCTGGCCATGGGACCTCATGTTATGAAAATGATAGTGTAATGAGAAAAACTACATACAATCGAGTAAGTAGCAATTAGAGGCAGAAAAAGTGGCTGTCTAGCCTGCTTTTTACTGGGGCATAGGTGTAGGAAGGAATTTGGGAGGCGTCTGGGCAAAATGATAAGATCAAGAGGGGCAGAATTATGTCCCAAGCTTTTGGATACAGAACACACCTGCCATTTCCTATATTGACTTGGTAAAAATCAGAGACAGTAAATCAAGGAAAGACAAAGTCTAATTTTTTCTACCTGTTGTCATCACTGCCCGAAGGGATTTTGGACTGGAGACCTGCAGAGTATTTCCAGGTTAGGGCTGGGTTAGGGGTGGGATGGGGTGTACATGGGCTTGGGTGCAGACTACCTGGTCATGGGGGAAGGAAGGCAGGGAACATTCCTGTGTCTCTAATTAGGCACTAAACTCATGTGCCCCTGTTATAAAGGGCAATATTTGCTGGAAAGCTATTCATTCTATATGTGTTTTGCCAAGAAAATGGTCTTTCAGGAGATGATGTTTTTAAAACGTTATTAAGATCACTTTTTACCTCCCAAATAGTGATGACTTGAGACCATTCCAATTCCTGAAAAGGTAAGACCCCAAGATTTATTTATTTTCATTAGAACAAGAACTTCCCACACCAGGCATGGTTGCCCAGATGGGCCTGTGGCTGAGGCCTGTGAAGTGAGTCAGGTCAGCTATCAAACGCTGGAGATACCTGTCATTTTCTTCCTAAGTTCCTGTATACTTTCTCAAATGATTAAGTTCTGTGCTATGATGAAAGATGTCCTCTGTAGTATCATGTTTATGGATAAAAATACGTCTGTTGGTATCATTGGCTTGGATAGCACAGCAGGATTTTTTTTTTTTTTTTTTTTTTGAGATGGAGTCTCGCTCTGTCACCCAGGCTGGAGTGCAGTGGTGCCATCTCGGCTCCCTGCAAGCTCCGCCTCCCGGGTTCACGCCATTCACCTGCCTCAGCCTCTCAAGTAGCTGGGACTATAGGTGCCCGCCACTACGCCCGGCTAACTTTTTGCATTTTTAGTAGAGATGGGGTTTCACCGTGTTAGCCAGGATGGTCTCGATGTGCTGACCTTGTGATACGCCCGCCTCGGCCTCCCAAAGTGCTGGGATTACAGGCTTGAGCCACCACGCCCGGCCGGGATTTGGGTTCTTAAACTACTAGTGAGAATGGCAGGAGGCAGCCAAATGCCTAGGCAGATAGGGGCGGGTCCCCGGTGAAATCCCACCTCCAAGCTGAACACAGTTTAAAGCCTGAAAGCCAAGATACAAACTAAATCCTCGGACTGGATTGAGAACTTGTCTTCCTGTTTGGTGCGTTCTCCTCTGATTGGTCCCCACCCTTCATCTATTTTACATATACCTACCTTTTCCTAATTGGTTTTCTACACTGTCATGCCAACCTTTGAGGGTGTCTTCACCTTAACCTTTTTTGCATACTCACAAACCTACCAGCATTCACTCCCAATTCTGAGTCCATAAAAGGCCCCAGACCCAGTCACACCGGGGACTTTCCTGCCGTTGGGTAGGGCAACCCCTCAACCTGCGTCCCTTCTTGGCTAGGAGCTTTCCTTTTGCTTAATAAATTCTATTCCACTCACTCTCTGGTGTCTGCATGCCTAATTCCTCCTGGCTGCAAGACAAAAACTTGGACCTAGCTGAGCTAAGAAGCAGAAAGACCACAACACTAGATGATACAAAAATGAACGTCTTTATATTCAAGTTTGGTTTGGTGAGGTTCTAGGCTTTTCTTTTTGGAACAGATTTTGAAATACACAGCAGTTTCACTGAACACATTGAGATGTCTGTGTGGGCAAGGTGAAGTGTCCGCTGGAGAAAATGCAGTGCAGCATTGCTCTGTGGAATCCCTGGGCAGCAACTCTGCAGCTCCATGGGCAGCCTGCCCCGGGGAAATAACATTTCAGTCAACACCCCAAACCCAATACGTTGTATCAGTGTTCCCCCCAAGCGTGTGTGCCGTGAGTCACCAGGGGAGGTTCTGAAAAATACAATTCCTCAGTACCACCCCCGAAGAGTCTGATTTAGTAGATAAGAGTGCATCCCAGGAATCCAAACTTTACAGAAGTTCCCCGGATTTGGAGCTATTGATTGATGTGCCTCTTGTTTTTGCAAATGCCTTATTGGATACTCTATGTAAAGCTATGTGTGAGCAAGACAAACCCTACCTTTTCAGAGAAATCAGTCATAATGGACTCAAAAAGTCATCATAGCTAATAAAATCCTAATAGTCTCAAAAAGAAACTTCCCAACACCTACTCAGAGAGGCCTGATTCCCCCTTCAGTACTTAAAGGCTGTGATCAGCAGAATAACAGTCCCCTCTGCCCAGATGTCTGCATCCTAATCTGAAGAATCTGTGAATATGTCATGCTACATGGAAAAAGGGAATCAAGATTGCAGGTGGCTTTTTTTTAAAGCACTGCATTTCTCTGCAGAGAATAGCACAATACCACATGTGAATGCTTAGTAAATGTTTACAATTATAATTACTATGAGGACTTCATGAAATTTTCTAAACATTCATGATAATGATGAAAAATGAATAATAAAAAACAATGAAGAAATAGGGTTATGTGCAAATTTTCTCATTTAATAAGAAGACAAAGGAGTGTAAATTTTTTTATATATCAGTTAAAAATCCTTTTGTTAAGAAAGATATCCACTTTTATCATAATGAAGTCATTTACAAATTGGTTTAATTGTTTCAAATGAATGGTTTACTCAAATAATTTAAGTATTTCTGAACTTGGTACTTTTTTTGAAAATACTGCTTTTAGAGTCCTAACTCAAATTTTTTTCCTCCCTTAAGAGATGAGCTTTATGTCAGTTTGAAAGGATGCTGATAATGTTAGAATACATGATGTAAAATGGTGGTAGAGATGATGGTAAGGAGTTGATAGATTCATTAATTCAGTAAGTGCTTAGAGAGTGTTGACAATGTGCCAAACCCTAATTTAGATATTGGAGAGCTAGAAGTTGAAAATACAGACATGATCCCTACACTCATGAAGTTTTCTGATTCTTTGATGTTTCTTAAAGTGTGGTCAATCAAACAGAAGACAGATGATGAATCAGTTGGCTAGCACTGCATAACAAGCCACCCCAAAAACTCAGTGACTTGAAAAATAATCATTTATTATTGTTCTATGAGTCAACTAGACTGTTTGGCTGATCTGGGCCAGGGTTGGCTGATCTTGCTCGGTCTCACTCGTATGTTTGTGGCTGGTTGGCAGAGGCCTGAATGGTTTAGGGCAGCCTTGTGTGCATCAGCTTTCCTCCACATGATCTCTCATGCTTCAGCATGCTAGCCTGTGCTTTTGAACCTGGACTCCCAGGGGTCCAAGAAAATGAATATAAGTAAGAATGACCTCTTGAGGCCCAGGCTCAGAAGCAAAGTGTCATTTTCACGACATTCTACTGGAGAAGGAGGTCACCTGGCAAATTCAAATTCAAGGATAAATTCTACTTATTGATGAAGGTAGCTAAAAAGCCATATTGCAAAAGACATGGATACAGAGAGAGGTAGGCAGTTAGAGCATTTTTGGAATCAATCTAGGTGGCTTGTTAGTTTTAGTAGAGAATGTGATGAAACCATTTTGTTGACCTACGTTTGACAGATCTGAGTTGTGAAAATTCTTATGCTTTTCACAGAAATCCTTTTCACTTCTTAATAATTGTGGCCATCCATGGTGCAGAGGCCTTTGACAGTTTGCCTCAGCACCATTTCCTCACCTGAGAAGAGTTCTCATGGGCCAATGTATTTTCACAACCCTTGTGTACTGGCTCATTATCATTTGTCAAATTTCTATTTTATATTATACCTATTCTGAGTTAGATTCTCATTTTGGGGTATTTAAAAAAAGGATAGGCTGGGTGCAGTGGCTCACGCCTGTAATCCCAGCCCTTTGGGAGGCCGAGGCAGATGGATCACGAGGTCAGGAAATTGAGACCATCCTGGCTAACAAAGTGAAACTCTTTCTCTACTAAAAATACAAAAAATTAGCCAGGCGTGGTGGTGGGTGCCTGTAGTCCCAGCTACTTGGGAGGCTGAGGCAGGAGAATTGCTTGAACCTGGGAGGCGGAGCTTACAGCGAGCTGAGATCGCACCATTGCACTCCAGCCTGGGCGACAGAGCAAGACTCCATCTCAAGAAAAAAAAAAAAAAAAAAAAGAATCAATGGCTTCAAGTGGTTCATTAAAGTGAAAAAACAGTGATAAAAACAGTAAAAAAATAGCCTAGCTCAGAAACCTAAATAGTGAACAATAAGTTCATAACCTAAATAGTGGACAAGACTCAAAGGAGAATCCCCCATATGAATCTCTGTCTTGAAACAAGCGGAAAATGGGATGGTGCTAACAGGGTACACAGCAATGATGAGCTAAACTTGGCTGACAGTAGATCCATATTCATTTGTCCTGTAGTGTCCTGCCCACTACTCCCAGTCTGCCTTGCTTTTGTCATGAATATTTATCCTAAGTGGAGTTGATGATGTTGCTGTTTTCATAATATTTTGAATAATACTAGAGACTGTTCAGATAAATAAATTTAGTCACTTTTTTTTCCAGAACAAACAACAAATAATGCTTTGCAAGAAGAAATGAATTAATTTTTTTTCTAGTTTAGCCACTGATTACAAGGAATAATTTAAAGGATACAAATGAAACAGTTAAATGAAGAGACACACAGGGCAAGGTTTGGAAGGGTCCCAAGCTCAGTAAAATTGATTAATTTTGTGGCTAACAGTGAAAATCAACCCAAGAGTACACAGACATTATTCAAACTTAACATTTCTTGTAGTGGAAACTTGCAAATCATGCTGTCACACGGAAGCTATAAAACCAGCCAAAATGATAATGATACGATATTGCGAGAGAAAAGGAAGAATGAGTTATCAGCCAAATTCCCTTATCAGATGACCACCTTAAACGTTACATGGTATCATTGGCATATTGTTTAAAATTACTCCCCAGAGTGTGCTGGAGAGATGTCTCACATTGCAATCGGATGGCCCCATTCGTGCAGATTTGGAATTGGTTCCTGGCACACAAGGCACAAGGAAGAGTGCTTTACACTCTTTTTTGTCTACTTGATTTTGTCTACTTGATCATTGAATTTTCACAATTAAACATTGTTTTGTGAGCCATAACACAGACTGAAAACAAGGCCCTGGGATCTGCAGGTTTAGAACCCCAACTGTGTTTGCATCAGGGAAGAATGTGGCTGTTAAGATATAAAAGGTGGCAAAGAATTCTAAATCTCAGAGACCAACTGATGATCAAGTAAATGCTTCATGTTCCTGATTGAATGTTGAAAGACATAGTGAAAATGGTAAATTCAATAGAAATCTCTCTTAACCTCTGCCTACCCAAATCACTGTTTTCACTCATGTTCCCCATTCTTACGGTCAACTCCTTTCTTACCTCTGAGTCTTTTGATTGTCTCACCTCCTTGAAACATTTTCTTCTCTCTGTCTCCAGGACACCACTTTCTCTTGGTTCTCCTCTGTCCTCACTGGATGCTGTTTTTCAAATCCTTAATTTCCCTGTGCTTGTAACATTGCAGAGCCTCAGTATTTAGTACTTAGAAACATCTTTCTAAGAGATCTCATCTACACTAATGGCTTTATGTAAAACCCAAGTTGGTATTTCTTACATGGACCTCTCTTCTGAGCTACAGATAACTGCCACCTCTCCATCTCCACTTAGACTCTAAGAAGACATTTAATTTTAACCATGCCCAAAACTGAACTTCGGATCTCCACCCCAAGCCTACTCCACTGACGTGCAGCCTTCCCCATCTTAGTTAATGCAATTCCAGCTTTCCCATTGTTCAAGTCAAAATTTGGGGGTCATCCTTAACTCATCTGCATTTACCCAACTCCCATCCAAATCCTATCAGTCATTTTTTTTGTTTTTGTTTTTGTTTTTTTTTGAGACACAGTCTCGCTCTGTCGCCCAGGCTGGAGTGCAGTGGCGCGATCTCGGCTCACTGCAAGCTCCGCCTCCCGGGTTCACGCCATTCTCCTTCCTCAGCCTCCCAAGTAGCTGGGACTACGGGCGCCCACCATCACGCCCGGCTAATTTTTTTTTTTTTTTTTTTTTGTATTTTTAGTAGAGACGGGGTTTCACTGTGTTAGCCAGGATGGTCTCGATATCCTGACCTCGTGATCCACCCTCCTCGGCCTCCCAATGTGCTGGGATTACAGACGTGAGCCACCGCGCCCGGCACTTTTCTTTTTTTTTCTTTTTTTTTCTTTTTTTGAGGCGGAGTCTCACTCTGTCGCCCGGGCTGGAGTGCAGTGGCAGGGTCTCAGCTCACTGCAGCCTCCGCCTCCCAGGTGCAAGAGATTCTCCTGCCTCAGCCTCCCGAATAGCTGGGATTACAGGCGCCCTATAAATAATCCCCTAATTCACCCTCAACCCTAGACAGACACTGATCTGTTCTTTGTAGTTAACATTAGTTTTGCCTGTTTTAGAACTTCATGGAAGCCTAATAATATAGTTATATGCTCTTTTTGTTGGGTTTCTTTCATTTAGTTTAATATCTCTGAGATTTGTCTATGATGCTACATGTACTCATAGTTCATTTCTTTATATAACTGAGTAGTATTCCACTGTATGAATATTGCATAATTTTTTTCAACTTTTATTTTAGATTCAGGGATACATGTGCAGGTTTATTTCCTGGTTATATTGCATGATGCTGAGGTTTGAGTATGAGTGATGCCGACACCCAGGTACTAAGCATGGTACCCAACAGTCAGTTTTCCAACCCTTGCCCCCCACCATTCCCCTGTCTAATAGTCCCCAGTGTCTATTTTTGCCATCTTTATGTCTACGAGTCACTGAGGTTTAGCTCCCACTTATAAATGAGAACATGTGGTATTCAGTTTTCTGTTTCTGTGTTAATTCACTTAGGATAATGGCCTCCAGCTGATCCATGTTGCTGCAAAGGACATGCTTTCATTCCTTTTTATGGTTGCTATTTTTTACTTCTTATTTGTTTACTTTTAAACTTTTATTTTAGGTTCAGGGGTACATGTGCAGGTTTGTTATTAATATACAGGTAAACTGGGTTGCAAGGGTTTGGTGTGCAGATTATTTCGTCACCCAGGAAGTAAGCATAGTTAACAGATACAGTTTTTCCATCCTCACCCTCCTTCTACCCTCCACCCTCAAATAGGCACCAGTGTCTGTTGTTCCCTTCTGTGTGTCCATATGTACTCAAAATTTAGCTCCCACTTATAAGTAGTATTTGGTTTTCTGTTTCTTTGTGAGTTTGCTTAGGATAATGGCCTCCAGCTGCATCCATGTTGCTGCAAAGGACATGATCTCATTCTTTTTTATGGCTGCATAGTATTACATTGTGTATATGTACCATTTTTTTTAATCCAGTCTACCATTGATGGGCATTTACGTTGATTCCATGTCTTTGCTATTGTGAATAGTGCTGCGATGAACATATATATGCATGTGTCTCTATGGTGGAATGATTTATATTCATTCGGGTATATACCCAAGAATGGGATTGTTGGGTCGAATGGTAATTCTGTTTTAAGTTCTTTGAGAAATTACCAAACTTCTTTCCACAATGGCTGGAATAATTTACATTTCACCAGCAGTGTGTAAGCATTTCCTTTTCTCCACAATCTCGCCAATATCTGTCTGATATTTTTGACTTTTTGATAATAGCCATTACGGCTGTTGTGAGATGGTATCTCATTGTGGTTTTGATTTGCATTTCTCTAATGATTAGTGATGTTGAGCATTTTTTCCTATGCTTGTTGGCCACATGAATGTCTTCTTTTGAAAAGTGTCAGTTCATAATCTTTGCCCACTTTTTATAGTGTTGTTTGGTTTTTGCTTGTAAATTTGTTTAAGTTCCTTATAGATTCTGGATATTAGACCTTTGTGGGATGCATAGTTTGCAAATATTTTCTTCCATTCTGTAGGGTGACTGTTTATTCTGTTGATAGTTTCTTTTGCTGTGCAGAAGCTCTTAGCTTAATTAGGTCCCATTTATAAATTTTTGTTTCCATTGCAATTACTTTTGGCATCTTGATCATGAAGTCTTTGCCATGTCCTATGTCCATAATGACATTTTCTCAGCTGTCTTCCAGGGTTTTTGTAGTTTTACATTTAAGTCTTTAATCCATCTCGAGTTAATTTTGGTATACGGTATAAGGAAGGGATCAAGTTTCAATCTTTTGCATATGGCTAGCCAGTTATCCCAGTATCATTTATTGAATAGGGAATCCTTTCCCCACTGCTTGTTTTTGTCAATTTTGTCTAAGATCAGATGGTTGTAGGCGTGTAGCATTATTTCTGGGTTCTCTATTCCATTCCATTGATCTATGTGTCTGTTTTCATACCAGTACCGTGCTGTTTTGGTTACTGTAGCCTTGTAGTATATTTTGAAGTCAAGTAATGTTATGCCTCCAGCTTTGTTCTTTTTGCTTAGGACTTACTTGGTTATTCAGATTCTTTTTTGATTCCATATGAATTTTCTAATTACATGAATAATGTTGATAGGAGTAGCATTGAATCTGTAAATTGCTTTGAGTAATATGGCCATTTTAACAATATTGATTCTTCCTAATTCTCGTTGGAGAGGTCTTTCACGTCTTTGGTTAGCTATATTCCTAGGTATTTTATTCTTTTTGCAGCTATTGTGAATGGGAATGCACTCTTGATTTGGCTCTCAGCTTGAATGTGATTGGTGTTAGGAATGCTACTGATTTTTGTACATTGATTTTGTATCCTGAAACTTTGCTGAAGTTGTTTATCAGATCAAGGAGCCTTTGGGCAGACACCATGGGGTTTGCCAGGTATTGAATAATATCCTCTGCAAACAAGCATAGTTTGACTTCCTCTCATTATTTGAATACCTTTTATTTCTTTCTCTTGCCTAATTGCTCTGGTTAGGACTTCCAGAACTATGTTGAATAGGAGTGGTGAGAATGAGCATCCTTGTCTTGTTCCACTTTTCAAGGGAAATGTTCCAGCTTTTGTCCATTCAGTATGATGTTGACCATGGGTTTGTCAAAGATAGCTCTTATTATTTTGAGATATGTTTCTTCAATACTTATTTTATTGAGGGTTTTTAACATGAATGGATGTTTAATTTTATCAAAATATTTTCTGCATCTATCAGGATGATTATGTGGTTTTCACATGGACACAAACAACTATGACACTACTCTTGTGACTTAGGACCATTGTTAAGTAATACAAAGCTTCCCTGAACAAAACCACTGGATACCCCAACAGTTGATCTGATGACCCAGACAACTGATTACCAAGTGACTAACACATAGGTAGCATGTCCAGCCTGGAAATGCTGAACAAAGCGATGATTCATGTCCCAGCCAGGAGGGAGTAGGACAGTGCAAAATTTGATAATGCTACGCAGAAGAGCATGCAATCTAAAGCATATGAAGTGTTTATTTTATTTCTAGAATTTTCCAATTAATATTTTCAAACTGTGTTTGGCCACAGGTAACTGAAACTGCAGAAAGAGAAACCATTAATAAAAACAGACTGCTGTATTTAATGTTGTCATAGTTTAGTTAATGAACACTTGGGTTACTTTCATCTTGGGCTATTATGAATAAAGCTGCTATGACTGTTCATGGAAAAGTCTTTTTGTGGATATATGCTTATACCTAGTTGTGGAATTGCTGTTTTTTATGTAAGTGTCGTTTACCTTTATAGGAAACTGTCAAACTTTTCCAAACTGTTTGTCAATTTGATACTCCCACTAGCACTTTATGCACTTTATGAAATTTCCAATTGTTCTACACCTTTGGAATTGTCAGATATTTGCCATCTTACTGGGCTGTAATATTTCCTTGTGATTCTGTTGTGCATTTTTCCAATGACTAAAGGTGTTGAGCGTATTTTTGCATGCTTGTTAGCCACCTATGCATCTTTTTTGTGAAGTTATTGATTAAATATTTTTCTTCTTTCTTTCTTTCTCTCTCTCTCTCTCTTTCTTTCTTTCTCTTTCTTTTTCTTTCTTTTTTTTAGATGGAGTCTAGCTCTGTCACCAGGCTGGAGTGCAGTGGCATGATCTTGACTCACTGCAACCTTCACCTCCCAGGTTCAAGCAATTGTACTGCCACAGCCTCCCAAGTAGCTGGGATTACAGGCACGTGCCGCCATGCCCAGCTAATTTTTGCATTTTTAGTAGAGATGTGGTTTCACCATGTTGGCCAAGATGGTCTCAATCTCCTGACCGTGTGATCTGCCCACCTGGACCTCCCAAAGTGCTGGGATTACAGGAGTGAGCCACTGCACCCGGCCTGATTAAATATTTTTCTATCTTTGTAGGTTGTTTGTTTTACTATCATGTTTGTAAGAATTATTTTTATATTCTGGATACAAGTTCTTTGTTAGGAGTGTATTGTAGACACTTTTTCCAAGTCTGTGTCTTGCCTGAAAAGGCAATGAAAATTTTCTTAACAATATCTTTTGAAGAATAGGGTTTTAGTTCTTGTTTAGACAGCACATATACTAAAATTGGAATGATACAGAGAAGATTAGCATGACCCTGCACAAGGATGAAGAGTAGGTTTTAAATTTTCATAAAGTCCAGTTTATCTGTTTTTTTATAGAGTGATTTTTATGTTTTGTCTAAGAAATCTTTGCTTATTCTAAGGTAGCAAATATTTTTCTCCTCTATTTTCTACTAGAAGATTTTGGTTTTGGCTTTTACATTTAGGTCTGTGACTTTCAGCACACTAAATACAGTAGTCCCTTCTTATCCATGTTTCTCTTTTTGCAGGTTCAGTTACATATGGTCAACCATAGTCCAAAAATGTTAACTGGAAAATTCCAGAAATAAACAATTCATGCATTTTAAATTGCATGCTGTTCTGTGTAGCATGATCAAATTTCACAGTGCCCTACTCCCTCCTGCCTGGGACATGAATCATCCCTTTGTCCAGCATTTCCAGGCTGGACATGCTACCTAGGCATTAGTCACTTGGTAATCAGTTGTCTTGGTTATCAGATCAGCTGTTGTGGTATCCAGTGCTGTTGTTCAGTTAAGCCTCATTTTACTTAATAATGGCCCTCAATCACAAGAATAGTGATACCTATGTCAGTCACCTCACTTTATCACCACACATAGGCATTATATCATCTCATATCATCACAAGAAGGGTGAGTAGAGTATAATAAGTTATTAAGACAGACAGAGAGAGAGGGATGGAAAGAAAGTGAGAGAGACCACATGTACATCAATTTTATGGCCGTACACTGTTCTATTTTATTATTAGTTATTGTTGTTACTCTCTTACTGTGCCTAATTTATAAATTAAACTTTGTTATAGTTATGTATGTATAGAAAAAACATAGTATATATAGGTTCAGTATTATTCACAGTTCTAGGAATCCACTGGGGTCTTAGAATATACTCCCCATGAATAAAGGGGAACTACTGTAAGCCATTCCATTGTCTTTGGCTTGCTGTTTCCATTGAAAAGTCTGCAGTCATTCCTTCTTTGTTTTCCCTGTATCTTTCTCCCCCTGTCTGCTTTTAAGTTTTTTTTTTCTCTATTATTGGGTTTCACAGTTTTACCATTTTTTGTGTTTTTTTTTGGTTTTCATTGGATTTATCCTACTTGATATTGTTCAACTTCTTGGATACATAGATTCATTTTTACAAATCAATATTGGATATTTTCAGCCATGATTTCTCCAATTTTATTTAACACTTGACCCAGGACTGCAATTAGATGCATGTGAAACTGCTTATTATTACCCCAAAGATCATGAAGACTCTGCAGATTTTTCAGCCCTTTTTTCCCCTCTCTGAACTTGGCAGTGTGAATGGTTTTTCTATTGCCATGTCTCAGTTTTCTGATATTCTCTTCTGTATTTCTTAATATGCTAATCTTGCCTAATAGTTACTATTTGTCTTCTCATTATGCCTATGTTTTCCTTTAGCTCTTAATCTTATTTATAATAGCTGTTTTAAAGTACTCATCTGTTAATATTATAATCCCTATCAATTCTAGGTCTCCTTCTATTGACTAGTGAGTCATATTTTTCTGCTTCTTTGTATGCCAAATAATTTGATAATGGATACTGAATACCAATAATTTTACATTTTTGCAGATCAGATTGATGCTTGAAGATTTGTTTTTATGCTTTCTTATGGCAGATTGAGATTAACCTTTATTCTAGGGATATTTTAGTCCTCCTAAAGCATGGCCTTTTGGGGGTGTCTACTAAATGCTCTGATTATACAATAAAATCTCTTACTCTGTTGGACCGAATGTCTTCCATCATGTGTGAGCTCCAGGAGTTGTTTGGATTACAAAGTCCACCAGCAAATTGTTCTTTCTCATATGGTTGTTATCTGACCAGTCTCATGGAATCTTATGCTTTGTAAGCATGTTAGTATTATTCAAGGACTCAAGTGGACTCCTGTGCCAGTTTCTGGAGCTTTTCATATTTGTAGCTTCTCCTCTTCAGTACTCTGCTCTGCTCATTCCAAATACTTTGGCCTCACTGAAATCTGATCTTCATCTCCTCAGCCTGTTGAGTCTACCTTTCTCTTCTCAGATTCTCCCTCTCTCTGCTAGGGTCCTGGAAATGTCTCCAGACATATAGCTGAAGTAATTGGTGATCTCACCTCATTTGTTTTCCTTTTTCACTTATTTTAGTCTTGCATTGCTTATTGTCCAATCTTGGGAAACTTCATATATATTTTCCAGACTTTTAATTATTTATGGTAAAAGAGCAAGTCTGAAGCCAGTTGCCCCATCATGGCTAGAAGTGTAAATCCCTCAGCTTATAATTTTTGAAAGAGACTTTGCTTCATGCCTTACAAGGGTAGTTGTGGAATGCGCATGAATAACAACCTCTGGCTTAGCCTGCCCCTTTGTGAGCCTCCTTGTATAATTCATAATTGTTTGGTGCCTCAAACATCTTAGGTATGGAACAAATATATATATTTGGTACAAATTATTGTTAGTCGATTTTTTTTTCTTTTTGACTTTTCTCTTTTGTGCTTTCTCTTTTTTCACTTTCATTACACCTCTCAATAGTCATGCTGTGATCTTTGGGTCTGTTGAATTTTGCAACTCTTCCTATTTACTCTCTCTTCTTGTTCATTGGCACCTGGAAAAGTTTGTTATTCCATTCTTTAGTACTTTCAGTTGTCTCCCATTCCAAACCCATTGAGAGTGCATATTTTGAAAGAAGCTCATAAGGGGTGGAAGATGGGCTAAGTGGGTATACAACAGGGTTGACCGGAAACCACAGAGAAGCTAAGCAGATCTGTAAAGCTGTATTTGTGATGTAAAGAGAGTAAAGTTAATCTAGAATTGTGCAATACATTACAGCAGCCACTAGCCACATATGACCATTGATCAGTTGACATGTGACTAGTACCACATGTTAATATTGATATGATAATATTTTGTATGTATTGAATTATAAAAATCGTTAACATTATTTTCACTGGTTTCTTTTTGCATTTTAAATGTGGCTTGCTTATATTCCTATTGGGCAGTGCTAATCTAGAAAGCACAAGAGAGGGGAAGGGAAGTGAGGTTTTAAGAAAGACAGTACAATGACCAGTCTGCATTTTAGAACTGACTTTCTAACAGTGTATAGAGAACAGACAGAAAAGGAACAGTCTGAGGGCAAGGAAGGCAGTTAGACTACTGTGATGGCTCAGGAAAGACATGATTTGTCATATTCAGTATCACAAAAGTTGTATTTCTGTTTGATAAAATTACCATTTACTACATTAGTATTGGAAAGCAGACTATAAATAAAACAAAAAAATAGGCTATACAAAGCGTATTTGCATGAATTTGTTTTGGAAAGCAAATACCCAGTCTTACACACCTGTATATACATACTAATGCCCCCTGGTATTCATTCCTGACTATATTTTAGTCCAAGGCTAGACTAACACAGCCTGGGAAAAGATGGCCTTCCGTGGATTGACACAAACAAGTCATTTGGAAATGGTGAGAAGAAATTGTCCCTCCTGACAGCTCTGCTACTTACCAACTGTGTGTTCCTGGGCAGGTTGATTAAACTCATGTCTCACCGACTTCATAAGGAAAACAGCTAATCCTTTAAGTTTGGTGGGAGATTAAAGGCAAAAACTTAAAAAGTGTGGAAACCTAAATAATTAATGCTATAAAATTTTAGGTATGCTTGTTATTCTAGGCCACAAAGAAAACCATCTTTATGCATAACAGAAGAGGGTTGACTATACGTTCACGCCTTGGGCCTGGATAGTGAAAGTGTGACCCACTCACATTTGGCAGGATGGTTGCTCTCTAGAAGGTGTGAAGCAATTAACCACCCCCAGAACTTCACAGTATTTTTCTGCTCAGGGAAGTTTGGGATACTCCAGAGAGCATGTCTTCCTCACCTTCAATGATCTTGGAAAGAGGCTGAGCTAGATAAAGGGAAGCAGGACAGGCTCTCTGAAGGTTAAGTAAATGAGACCTCCTTTGGCTAACATGCTGGTTATCTGGCCACACAGGTGTTCTGAAACCTTTCTTTCCCTCACCAGGAGTTTAGTATCACAAGGTTGTCAGAAGCAGAGCCTAAACTTAAACCAATATTTAACTCTGCTGCAATTTGATTAGAAGCATCCAAGTTTGGCATTTTTATTTTCAAATGTGCAAGGTTTCTGGGGCAAAGTTGAACTGATGTTATATAATGCATTGGTAAATAGGACACATGGAATTAATTCTCAGTGAGATCCCATCTTGGCTGTCAATGCCATGAGGTAGTAGGGTGAGGACTCTCAATGCTTCATTACCATTTGAACAGCTTCTTGTCAAGCCTGCAATCCTGAGATGTGAGGAGTGACAGAGGCTGGTAGAAAGTAGGGTTTTGATGGGAGCTCCAATCTGCCTCTGGTGTTGCAGGGTCTCCTATGTATCAAGAACATTGAGCTGCTCCAAGTTCAGATCAGTTGTGTCTAGGGACCCAGGCAACACTGGGTGAATTTTCTCTAAATTGTGGGTATCATACGGGCTCAGACTGAAGGTAGAACAATAGTCACCACTAGGGACTGAACTGAAAAATGCCCATTAGAATTTAAAATTTACCACAATAAAGTGAATACTTGAGCACTTATATTCTGTGATATGGGAAGTGGCAGGAAAGGGATTTTCAAAAAATCAAGTATTAGAAAAAAATCTGTCCAAGCATTAGTGTTATCCGTAAGTACCATCCAAATCTCATGTTGAAATTTTTAGCCCGGCATTTAATGTTTGATACATGGACTGTTCATGGAAGTAGAAGAAACATTCTATAATAAATAATCTATTGGTTAAGATAATGTTAATTGTTATAACCCTTAAATCTCAAGGCTTAAGATAATAATTCATTTATTGCTCACGTACAATTTAAAATGGATGTTTGTGATTGTGGGTAGTGTTCCATTAAGCAGGGATCCCAGGTTCCTTCCATCTTGTGTTTCTACCAGCTTCAACACATGGCCTTTAAGGATTTGTATTTGTCTGCATCAAGCCACAGAAGGCATGGCACATGGAGGACCATGTGTGGGTTTTTTTGTTTTTTGTTTTTTGAGACGGAGTCTTGCTCTGTTGCCAGGCTGGAGTGCAATGGCTTGATCTCAGCTCACTGCAACCTCCGCCTCCCAGGTTCAAGCGATTCTCCTGCCTCAGCCTCCCGAGTAGCTGGGACTACAGGCGTGCGCCAACACGCCCGGCTAATTTGCTTGGATTTTTAGTAGAGATGGGGTTTCACCATGTTGGCCAGGATGGTCTGGATCTGACCTTGTGATCCACCCGCCTCGGCCTCCCAAAGTGCTGGGATTACAGAGCTGAGCCACCACGACCAGCCACTGTGTGGGTTTTTAGGAACAGGACTGACGGGGGTGCACATCCACGCACTCACATCTCTGTAGCCAGAGAACTGGTTACATGACCCCATCTCCCTGCAAGGGAGGACAGAGAATAGAGTCTAGTTCTATTCCCTGTAGAAAGACGCTAGCAAGGCCAGGTGCGGTGCCTCACGCCTGTAATCCCAGCACTCTGGGAGGCCAAGGCAGATGGATCACGAGGTCAGGAGATCAAGACCACCCCGGCTAACACGGTGAAACCCCATCTCTATTAAAAATACAAAAAATTAGCCAAGCGTGGTGGTGGGCACCTGTAGTCCCAACTACTCAGGAGGCTGAGGCAGGAGAATGGCATGAACCCGGGAGGCGGAGCTTGCAGTGAGCTGAGATCGCGCCACTGCACTCCAGCCTGGGGGACAGATGGAGAATCCATCTCAAAAAAAAAAAAAAAAAAAGATGCTAGCAACTTTGCCACACATACTATGAAAATAGACGCTTCTAGATAGTACATTGTTGTCTGAATGAAACAATGTAGTTTATAACATTTCACAACCCAGCTTAAGAGTTCAACAGGATTATGTATAGAGGAAGTTATTCATCCAGAGCAGATGTAATAGACGGCTGATTATGTACCATTCCGTTCTTAGCTTTTATAAATTTGAGAAGTTGAATCTTCTTGAGATATTATAAAATTTGAACTTATTTTAGTTTACAAAATATCCCCACAGATTTCACTATTTCAGAATTTGGTGACTATTGATCCTAATTCTTTATACTATATTAAACAAATGTCCCCCTAATTATGGATTACATTTTGTGCCATCTAAAATGACAACTTAGAAACTTTGTGTGAATTACTTGGTAACTCACACAAAATGTAAATAACTTCATGGTAAAACCAGAGGAAACAATGACTGTCATAGGATATGACTCTGAGATCAATGTAGCATTACCATCACTAAATACTAGAGAGATGCAAGACTTCTGTTTTTAGAGGCTTCTGGATTTTTTTTTCCACATGTTTTGAATAAAAGAAATTTCAACAGCTTTTTACTTATGAGACTGTGGAGACAATTATTATTGCAGCCATTATGCAAAATAAATTGCTTTGCTTTTCATATTCATTCCATTTGTTCAATCATCCATCAGAGATGTTTTGAAGGCCTGCTGTGTATCAAGCACTGGGCTAGGTGCTAGGATGTGACAACAAGGCCCTGAGCATTCCAGCCTTCTCTGAGTTTATAATATACAAATGATCAGTCTTAAGTGAGAGAAGTTCTAAAAAGAACCTTCCTTAGAGGGAACAAGGGAACCAGCTTAACCATGGCTGGGGAAGATTGCCTGAGGAGGGGATGAAAGGCTGATATTTGAAAGATTAGGTAGGAATTTGCCATGGTGTCCATCCATGGATCCTTCCTTGTGCCTTCTGTCTTTATCTTAACAATTCCCTTGCCAAACTTCCTTGAACTTCCCTTGTACACGATAATTCTGTTGCTTTTCTCTATACCTATAAACTTTTCCAGGGGATTGAATTATTTTTGACCACTTTTGACCTACGAATGTGACAATTTCAACAACTCAGTGTATAGCTGTGACACTTTCAGGCTAAAAGGTTCTGGTCTCTTAAAATTATGGTATCACATTGTACTCTTTTTAACATTTATTGTAAGCAATCCATCATTAACTGAAAACATCCCAGTTATTTTCCATCAAACAATTCTCTTTCAGATTATTTTTTCTAAACCATTTTCTTCCAAGTTGAGTCATATTTTTTCTGCTTATTCATCATTTCATCTGATAGTGGGGTCAGTGATTCTGCCTCTATGCTTTCGGCTGTACCTCCAATTCCTTTTCTTAGCTTGTTTATTCTTTCCTCCATGACATTGTTGAGAAATAAATCAGTTCTATGGACTATCAAAATTAATCAAATGCTTTTCCAGAAGGTATGAGCTCTCTTGAAGGATTGCTTCTATTTCACTGTTTTTGAGGGTAAGGCAAGGTTATACAAAAATGGCAAGAGCTGGTAGGCTGCTGGTATTTGTTTTTAAGACTGCTGTTATCAAATCTGTGAAAACAATTTAATTTCACACATGCCCACAGACAGGCACAGAGAATTGTGAACTTAAAAAGAGACAGAAAGACTAGAACCTTTACTATATAGAACCTTTACTATAATGAAATTAAAGTGGTTTTGAGCTTTACATAATCACATATCTACCCCCTTTCTCATCATCCCACAACTACTATGGAAAACTTTACTCTGTCAACCTTAGTTTATCTATGATTAAAATTAGAAACACATCCTTGGGCCTTTCTTTGCATGCCATTTTTCCACGGTTTCAAAAAGATAAGCTTCGCCTATAAAAGGAGTTTTTGTTGCTATCTGGTTGCGTGTGGAACCTGACGGAACTGCCACGGTGAGTCGGGAACATGTTTTCCAGGCCTAATTGATCAGAATGTATCCATTTTCCCCCAGAGGTCTAAATGAACTAAAACTTGCCGATCTTTTAAAAACTTAGCCAGACTCAATCATGTTTTTAATTTCGTGTAGATGCTGCCACTTTGGACTCTTTCACTGCTGCTGGGAGCAGTAGCAGGTAAGAAAACAAATAAATGTTGAGCTGGGAGAGATTCACTTTTCAACACGGTCAGGAGGGCTAGGGCAGCTGAATTCAGGCCGCAGTAATAACATGAAGATTTACTTCAAGGAGTAAAGCACAGGAGACGCATAAGAGCACAGGTACATGGAGTAGGGTTGTCAGAAAACATCTAAGATGCCCAGTTAAATTTGAATTTCAGATAAACAGCAAATATTTCCCACAAACAACAAATATGTGACATATCTATACTAAAACATTATCATTTATCTGAAATTCAAATTTACTTGTATTTTGATTTGCTAAATCTAGCAACCCTGACATCAAGTCAAGTTAAGAGTTTGAACCTTGGCTCCACCACCACCTACAACTGTATTACCCTGAGCAAAATTCTTAACTCTTCTGTGCTTCAGAATCTTTGTCTGCAAAATGGGGAGAGTCGGATTCCCCATCTCCTAGGATTATTGTGAGAATTAGGTCAGATTAGTAAACCATCCAACCCAGCACCTGACACATGGTAAGATGTTGAGAAACGCAGCCCCCACAACAGCTGCTACTCTTACTCCTACCATTAATCTAGATTTATCCTCCTTAGAGAAGAGAACCCTTCTTTGGGTTATTTTTTTATGGAGTGACATTCAAGCCTAGAGTTGTGTTAAACCATGGATTTTTGGTTTGGTTGTTTGTGAACAGCTTCTTCATCACAGGAATGAAGATGTCCTGCAGTACAGCAAGGATGGGGATATACGGTTTTGGCCTTTCCATAAAATTTTAGCTCTCCTTTCAAAGCCCACAGCTAAACAGTGGCTACAAGAAGTTAAGGCTTAGGGACACAGGGCTGTCCCTTTCTTGAGCACCTATAGCCCAAGGAAGATATCTGAGTTTAGAGGCTAAAAGGAGTCCCACGTTGGGATTGGGCAGAGACACAAGGGGAGTGAAGTGATCCATGTGGTAGAATTGAGGAACAAGAACAACAGCCTGTCTGGAATAGTTGTGTTGTCTTTTGAAGCTGTTTTGTGAGTGTGTGGCTAGGAGGGTGTTGAGAGTAGCAGAGGAGGAAAGTCTACCACACAGTGTAATTGAACTCATATATTGGCAGACAGATCATTAAAAAGAGCATGTTTGTAAAACTAATATCCTTCTGGGGGATTGCAGGAAAAGAAGTTTGCTACGAAAGACTCGGCTGCTTCAGTGATGACTCCCCATGGTCAGGAATTACGGAAAGACCCCTCCATATATTGCCTTGGTCTCCAAAAGATGTCAACACCCGCTTCCTCCTATATACTAATGAGAACCCAAACAACTTTCAAGTAAGAACTATCACTGTGTTTAGAACTAAGTTCTTTGGGAGGCCGAGGCGGGCGGTTCACGAGGTCAGGAGATCGAGACCATGCTGGCTAACATGGTGAAACCCCATCTCTACTAAAAATACAAACAATTAGCCAGGCGTGGTGGCAGGCGCCTGTAGTCCCAGCTACTCGGGAAACTGAAGCAGGAGGATGGCGTGAACCCGGGAGGCAGAGCTTGCAGTAAGCCGAGATCGCGCCACTGCACTCCAGCCTGGGCGACACAGTGAGACTCCATCTCAAAAAAAAAAAAAAAAAAAAAAAGAAGAAGAACCAAGTTCCACCTGTTTTCTGTAATAAGGATACTGAATATTCAAGTTCTTAAGAGAAAAAAATCAGCCGTGAAATTTGCATCTTTGTAGATATTCAGGGCACTGAGCTTAGGTATTACTTAATGTAAATTGTTTATAAAAGATTCATTAACTTCATATTATTCTTGTCCTTCCTCTATAACATTTAATAAATATTGTAAATGTAGGGCTATATTTATACATATAAAGTATATAAACATTCCCAATATTATATATTTATGTAATCTCCTATTATATATATGTATCTCTACATAGATAAAGACATATAAAAATACACACACGCACACACACACACACAAAGCCTTCCATTGTATGAAGAAAAGATCATTACCACCAAGATTATAACAGACATATTATCCCAAGTTGAACAATGGCAAACATGTTGTGATGACTGGGAAATGGCAACATGATGATGATAGTGAATACTGTGGTTGCTATGGAGGAATCATTATTCACAAGGATCCTGAATCCTAGCAGTCTTCTACTTACTGCCCCTCTCCATGTACAAATGGTTCTATTGGCTACTATAGGAAACTGACATGAAACACTTTTCTGTCTAAACAGGAAGTTGCCGCAGATTCATCAAGCATCAGTGGCTCCAATTTCAAAACAAATAGAAAAACTCGCTTTATTATTCATGGATTCATAGACAAGGGAGAAGAAAACTGGCTGGCCAATGTGTGCAAGGTGAGATGTGGTCATCTCTCAAGGAAAGATCGTTTCCAAAGTGGTAATTAACAAACGGTAAGGCACTGGCCCCGACCAATGAGGACAGTGCTTGGAGGTCTTGGAGGATATTCAGACCCCTGCTGGGCCTGGAGTTCCTAGGGGAGGTCAAGGAGGTGGTGGTGGGAAGAGGGGGTTTAGGATGGTCAGAGCAGTGAGGCTGGCAAGCACTTGGTGGATCTAGGCAGTGGTTATTTAATAACTGATATGGAGGTGTTTCAACATTATAGCAACAGATGCTGTCATGCTGATGCACACCAGCTGGTTATAGGCCCCTGTTTTTTCATTAGTTTTTAATTTTATGTGAAGTGCTAAGAGGTCTCATTTTGCCTGAATGAATTCTTTTCCTTTGATTTTCACTTGCTACTCTCGGATCTCCTCTGGTAGCAATAACTTTGAAAACTGTGTAGGTTTTCATTTTTGGCTTCTGTTGTTTCAACAGCGGTGATCCTATTTTCTTTAATTTGCCTTTGGCTATATGCCCTGTCATAAAGAAGAATGAAAAGACAGAAAATCAAATAGAATAAATTTTCCTAGTAACTGCTAGTGCTTGAGGAACATTACTGTTGATTCATTTATTCAAGTATTTATTCATGTATTCATCAAATTTCTTTGACCTGCTGTCGCACAAAGGGAGTAGTCCTTTCTTCAGAGGTGTCAAGAAGAAAGACACAGGCTGGGTGTGGTGGCTCATACCTGTAATCCGAGCACTTTGGGAGGCTGAGGCGGGCGGATCACGAGGTCAGGAGTTCGAGACCATACTGGCTAACACGGTGAAACCCCGTCTCTACTAAAACTATAAAAAAAATTAGCCAGGTATGGTGGCACGCACCTGTAATCCCAGCTACTCAGGAGGCTGAGGCAGGAGAATCGCTTGAACCCGGGAGGCAGAGGTTGCAGTGAGCCAAGATCGTGCCACTGCACTCCAGCCTGGACAACAGAGCAAGATTCCGTCTCAAAAAAAAAACAAAAAAAGACACAAAGGTCCTCCTAAGCCCATACAGTTTCAGGTCTGCCTCTGGCTCAAAGCAAGGGCAGAATGAGTCAACTCCAGAACCTATCCATTGATCCTGAAGACAGATGAGCACTGTAGAATCTGTACACTCCGCAAGTTTAAACACAAGCAGTAAAACCACAACTTGTCCTCCAAAATAATTTAAAGCTGATGATTACTGGAGGGAGGGTAATAATAGATATTTATAGAACAGCAAAGAAAAAAATGTGATTCTCAGTTCAAAAGGAATATAGTTACCTTTGATATGGCTATGCAATTTATTTCTAAGATCCCAAAGGCAATTGTGGTTTGTTTTTGTTTTGTTTTGTTCTGCATTGATTTGGCTTTGACAGAACTATTGCTTTGAGACGCAGAAACAAGTGGTTTAAACTAGAAGGATAAAGGTTCTACAGTCCAGTCCTGACTCTCTCCTTAGCTAACTACGATTAGCAAATCTTTTCCCTGCTTTGGATTTTTCCTTTTGAAAAATGGAAAAGTTGCAGATGATTTCTAAGATTGTTCCATTATTCTCAAATTCTTTTTTTTTTTTTTTTTTTTTTTGAGATGGAGTCTTGCTCTGTCCCCCCGGCTAGAGTGCAGTGGCGCGATCTTGGCTCACTGCAAGCTCCGCCTCCCGGGTTCACGCCATTCTCCTGCCTCAGCCTCCCGAGTAGCTGGGACTACAGGCTCCCACCACCAGGCCCGGCTAATTTTTTGTACTTTTAGTAGAGATGAGGTTTCACCATGTTAGCCAGGATGGTCTCGATCTCATGACCTTGTGATCCACCTGCCTCGGCCTCCCAAAGTGCTGGGATTACAGGCGTGACCACCGCACCTGGCCTATTCTCAAATTCTTTTTGAAAAAAAAAAAAGAAGCTATACATAAACACACTCAGACAACAGAATTCCTTCCAGAACTAACCTCCATGAAGCCCTAATTAAATGCCATCAAACAAGGCTTTCCATAGATATCTGGTAGGCAATGTTTTCATGTGAAATATTAATAACTCTTTAGTGATGTACAATAAAACACGTTCATCCAAAAAATTTGATTAGTCTTTCTATTGTGGAAAAACTTATTTACCTTCAATGTATTTATATAAGGGGTCCTAACATTGTCTTTCATTCATTCATTAAATATTTACTGAGCATCTACTGTGTACCAGAATCTGTTCTGGACACTGAGGCTATACCAGTGGACAAGGTAAACAATGTCCTTGGGTGCATTCTATTAAGGGACAACGTAGTCTTATGGCATTTAGGATGACCTAATGAACAACACATTGTACCACATTTTATACAGTTTATACACTTTTTTCTTGAACTAAATGTCTCTGTATCTGCTACAGTAGAAATCCCAAGAATCCAGTTCCCACTATGGTCAAATTCCAGTTTGGAGATGATTTTAAACTTTAGCAGAGATTATATATCTATAACAGACTAAAAGTTTTGTCAATTGCATTAGGGTTAAAATGACATTGTGTGGGTCAAGGAGGGAATTTATCCTAGTCCTCCAGTATGTTAACTAGTAATTAATAAAGATCCTGAATTATTTATCTGTTTATTGTGCCCCTTCCACCAGAATCTGTTCAAGGTGGAAAGTGTGAACTGTATCTGTGTGGACTGGAAAGGTGGCTCCCGAACTGGATACACACAAGCCTCGCAGAACATCAGGATCGTGGGAGCAGAAGTGGCATATTTTGTTGAATTTCTTCAGGTAATTACTCCCGGATTGCATAAAAGCCTGTACACATGGTTTTCCAGATTATCTTTCCAAAAAAAAAAAAAAAAGCCTGTAGATTTAATCATAGATAAAGACACTTCTCTACTCAGATATGATGTTTCTCTTGGCTACAAAGAAAAATTAAAAAAAATCTAGCTTTGGGTTTCATCAATAACCCATTATGTTAATAAACTAGTTTTTTTAAGTTAACTTATTCAAGCAATTGGTAGGTTGTTTTTAATAAATTCCACGAGTATTTGTTTTAATTTTACTAGTTATTACCAATGTCAACCTTAAGATTAATCTAGTTTTATTTGATTTTAGTTTTGCTTTCTTAAGAGAAGCACGGTGATAACAAGCTAACCTCATTTGGTAACAAAAACCACAGAAAATGTTATACTTGAATGTGTTTAAATAATTGTTTTTATTTTTACTTTCTAATCCAAATACTTGCTTCATCATCTCTGGATAACAACTCTTCATGTTCATTAAGAGTTCTCTCTCCATAGTAAAACAACAAAATACAGCCCTACTTCCACCAGATTAAAAGTTAAACCCATTTCCATTTTTCATTATAACTATTTTAAAAAACATGGAAGTCAAGTGCTTTGGAAAGGCAGTGTATCTTCTTGACACTGAGGTTTTTGAAGGTTCTCCCTCTGCGCGCCTCATTGAATTCTGCAATACAGTCATGCACCACACAAGGACGTGTAGGTCAATGATGGACTTCAGATATGATGGAGGTCCCATAAGATGACAATGGAGCTAAAAAATTCCTATTGCCTTGTGACCTATAGCTATCATGATACCACAGCACAACATATTACTCATGGATTTGTGGTCATGCTGGTATAAACAAACCTACTGCACTCCCAGTTATATAAAAGTCTACCACATATAATTATGTACAGTATGTAATACATGATAATGATAATAAATGATGACATTACTGGTTTACATATTTACTACACTTTTTATCATTATTTTAAAGTATACTCCTTCAACTTATTAAAGAAAAATAAAACAGCCTCAGGCAGATCCTTCAGGAAGTATTCCAGAAGAAGACATGTTATCATAGGAGATGACAGCTTCATGCATGTTATTGCCCCTGAAAACCTTCCAGGGAACAAGATGTGGAAGTGGAAGACAGTGATATTGATGATCCTGACCCTGTGTAGGCCTAGGCTAATGCAGGTGTTTGTGTCTTAGTTTTTAACAAAAAATTTTGACAAGTTAAAAAAATTATCATAAAAATGGTTATAGAATCAAGATATAAAGAAGTAAAATAATTTGATACAGGGATACAGAGTGTTTTAAGCTAAAGGTTATTACAAAAAGTTAAAAGTTTAAAAAAAATAAAAATTGTGGCCTGGCACGGTGGCTCACGCCTGTAATCCCAGCACTTTGGGAGGCCGAGGCGGGCGGATCATGAGGTCAGGAGATGGAGACCATCCTGGCTAACACAGTGAAACCCTGTCTCTACTAAAAATACAGAAAATTAGCTGGGCGTGGTGGTGGGCGCCTGTAGTCCCAGCTACTCGGGAGGCTGAGGCAGGAGAATGGCGTGAACCCGGGAGGTGGAGCTTGCAGTGAGCTGAGATCGTGCCACTGCACTCCAGCCTGGGCAACAGAGTGAGACTCCATCTCAAAAATAAAATAAAATAAAATAAAAATTGCATAAAGAAAGAAAAATATTTTAAATGAACTGAGTGTAGAGTAATGTACAGTATATAAAGTCTTCAGCGGTGTGCAGTAATGTCCTAGGCCTTTACATTGCTTACCACTTACTCCATGACTTGCCCAGAGCAACTTCCAGTCCTGCAAGCTCCATTCATGGTAAATGCCCTCTACAGATCTACCACTTCAGAATTTTTTTATTTTTTTTCAGACAGAGTCTTGCTCTGTCGCCCAGGCTAGAGCGCAATGGCGCGATCTCGGCTCACTGCAACTTCCGTCTCCCGGGTTCAAGTGATTCTCCCACCTTAGCCTCCCAAGTAGTCAGGATTATAGGCACCCACCACCACGCCCAGGTAATTTTTTTACTTTTGTAGAGACGGGGTTTCACCATATTGGCCAGGCTGGTCTTGAACTCCTGACCTCAGGTGGTTAGCCCACCTTGGCCCCCCAAAGTGCTGGGATTACAGGTGTGCGCCACCAAGGCCAGCCTAAAATCATTTATACCGTATTTTTGCTGTATGTTTTTAGGTTTAGATATATTTGGATACACAACTAGTTACGTTGTGTTCCAGTTGCCTAGAGTACACAGAACAGTAACATGCTGTACAGAT
The DNA here is from genome assembly GCF_000001405.40 of Homo sapiens. NCBI lineage: Eukaryota > Metazoa > Chordata > Mammalia > Primates > Hominidae > Homo > Homo sapiens. The sequence goes on from NC_000010.11 coordinate 116,553,527, forward strand.
TTGTAGCCTAGGAGCAACAGGCTGTACCACACAGCCCAGGTAGGTAGTAGGCTATGCCATCTAGGTTTATGTAAATATACTTTATGATGTTCCCACAACAATGAAATCGCTTGATGATGCATTTCTTGTAACGTATCCCTGTTGTTGAGCAACTCATGACTGCACTTGAAAACATTCTGAAAAGGTTTTCTTTCCGACAGTCGGCGTTCGGTTACTCACCTTCCAATGTGCATGTCATTGGCCACAGCCTGGGTGCCCACGCTGCTGGGGAGGCTGGAAGGAGAACCAATGGGACCATTGGACGCATCACAGGTTGGTGAAAACAGTGAAAGATACCAGGGGGGTTGAGGCAAGATGATCTCTTGAGGCCAGCAGTTTGAGGCCAATCTGGGCAACATAGCGAGACTCCTATCTCCTTAAAAAAAAAAAAAAGAAAAAAAGGACGCTACAAACTTAGACTAAATGCAGCCTGTATGTGATTTAAAAGGAAATACAAGATGGAAATTTGGTGCAACCCTACGTTTTACCTTTTCACATTTTCTGAATTGGGCCCCATGATCAGAAATCGCTGTTCTGAGGCTTTGTAAAGTCTTCATTGATACCAATCTTTGGTCTACAGCACTCTGTTTAACATATTTATATTGCACGTGACTAGAATATGAATTAAGGACATCGAGAGATTTTATTCATGTCTATTTCCCCATTGACCGACATTCACAAAGGACAAGTTTCATGAATAGAATAAATTTCATAAATAGTAGAATAAATATAATTAAACCTAAGGAGCTGAAATTTGTATAACTAATTATATTCTGTTTCATTAGCAATTGCTAATGTGCTTAAGCCTCAAACATAACCCCAGAGTTGTCAGGGAAAAGGTGGTCAGGGTGCTCTGGGCTGCCAGTTCTGTGTGCTGCTAATGAGATAACGAATAGTATTTTACAAACCTGAGGCTGGCTGCATTCAGCCAGTGAGCTCACATATTGGATACCCAGGTTCTAAAACCTCTGTAAGGTTATAAGAAAGATGCTACCATCCTGGATCTGAGAGGTGATTATTTTAAGGAAGGACCACTTTCCTCTTCCATCTGTGTTCAACCTTTTTGTCTCTGACTTGGTGATTTTCTTTTTAACCCTTGGGATAAGTCGGCTGTATTTGGACTTGGGATAATCTGGACTGCCTATCCGTTCATTTGCTGAAGGGGAGATCTGCACAAGATTTTCTTTTCCACAGTCTGTAAATGTTTCTTTCCCACAGCCTGCTCGGCCAGGTGCTGTGCAGTGAATGCCTGTGGTCTCAGTGACGTTTGTGAAAGCCAAGGTCCTTGCCCTTGTGGGAGTTCACAGTCTAATGGGGACTATTTTAACCCTGCGTGGTTTTTAGTCCAGTGTGTCCCAGAGTCTACCTCTTTTGTTGTAACTGCTGCTAGTGACTAAGACTCTCCCAGTGACTATGGAGCCATGAGGAAAGGCATATTGTTTGGTTTGGGGAAAATTCACTTTAAAGCAAATAGCTAGAAGTAGATTCCTCTTCAGCAAATGGTCAGGTAAGGAAGAACCCGTTCATCCCTTTCCATGCATAACTCATATTTTACTCTTAATACTTGTACTCAGGACTTGTCATAATTCATGAAACATACTCTTTACTTTAGGGTTGGACCCAGCAGAACCTTGCTTTCAGGGCACACCTGAATTAGTCCGATTGGACCCCAGCGATGCCAAATTTGTGGATGTAATTCACACGGATGGTGCCCCCATAGTCCCCAATTTGGGTGAGTTCCTCAACCCGTCCCCCAAAGGGTGTTATAGTGTCTGAGTCTATATACATTAGCATAAACCCTCATGTATTTTTATGATTTCAGGGTTTGGAATGAGCCAAGTCGTGGGCCACCTAGATTTCTTTCCAAATGGAGGAGTGGAAATGCCTGGATGTAAAAAGAACATTCTCTCTCAGATTGTGGACATAGACGGAATCTGGGAAGGTAGAACTATTATGTGTAGAAAGAGATCTTCTTGGGAGAAAGCTTGTGTTTTGTTTTGCTAAACTTGCTAAATTCTTTGGAATTGTACAGGTCTCACATTTTACATAACAAAAGACTTTTAATTGTATCCATGAGATGTAGGTTTTCACTGGGATAAGTGGGCATGAGGAGACTGGGAAAGAAAGCGTATTTTCAGTCAACTTCAGAGTACCTAATTCAGGGAATGAGCTTTTATTTATTTAAACCAATCTTTTTCTTCTACAGTATTTTAAACCTTTCATTTAATTACAGTATTACCTATTATAATCTTAAACAGTACTCAACTTGTGATTACATCACAAATCATAAATATACTTTACAAATGACTTTGTTCTGTGACCTGCATGAGCTCACACTAATTAGAGAAATCTATTCAACCACTATATTCTGAATATGACGTTAACTTGGAAAAATAAAATCTGTCCTTGATGTGTAATTGTGTCTGATTCAAAGGGACTCGAGACTTTGCGGCCTGTAATCACTTAAGAAGCTACAAATATTACACTGATAGCATCGTCAACCCTGATGGCTTTGCTGGATTCCCCTGTGCCTCTTACAACGTCTTCACTGCAGTAAGTAGACTCCACCTTCCGCATAAAGAATTTTGTGACTGTCACTTCTCATGACTGGTGTGCTTTCCTATACATGACATCATTCAATGAATGTTTATACTTTTGAACTTATACATGCCTTTAATTATATGTATTTAAATAGTGATAAATTAGAGCACTTTAGAGAAATGAGCTTGTACATGGAAATGTCCTGTTTACTTTCATTTGTGTTACTTTTGTATGCATTGGGTAAATGTCCAAACTTGTTTTAGAAATAACCCTAAACAGACAAAAAATAATTAGTCTATGGAAATCTGAGCAATATCTGTAGGATGCTGATGAACATGGAAAAATTTTCTTAAATGCTGACCTTTCTAACTATTAATATATAATTATAGACATGTGGACATTTCTGTGCAATTTCATAATGGCCAAAATTTTTTTTTGAATTTTCATCTTATTTGGTATTCTCTTGATATCTTGGTTGAATTATTTATTTAATTTTACTTTAAGTTCCAGGATACTAGTGCAGAACGTGCAGGTTTGTTACATAGGTAAATGTGTGCTGTAGTGGCTTCCTCTTGGTTGAATTCTTTATATGTGATCTCAAATATGACATATCTATTGTCTGGGTTTTTTTTTTTATAAAATTGACTTTGCTTTGTACCATAAATTTTTGAAATAAAAATTTAAAACCTATGGATTTAATAAGAAAATTTCCAGTAACAAATGTGCCAGCTGAAGTCACAATTACCCAGGATATATACCTTAGTGATTAAGAGAGAGGATGCAAATCTTGGTTTCACCATTAAATAGCTGAATATCTTTGGGCAAAACAGTTCTCCAAGAAGTTTCTTCATGTATAAATGTAAATACTGATGGCAAACTTAACATATTTGGTGAGAGGACTTAATGAGAATACATACGTTAATTGCTTAGCCCAGAGCAAAAAAATATAATAGCATTCAATTAATGTTAGCTATTATGGGAGAGGGAGTACATATATTATTCACACTACAGCTTCCATATGCAGTGAGACAGAAGATCCCTTCTTTATTTATTTTAACTTTATTTTTATTTTCTTCCCCAATACCCAACAATAAGTAATGGGGGAAAAAAATAAAGAAGCAAACACAAAAGCCTCAGGTTTCATTCAGTTAAAACTTAGTCTAATTCAACAATATAAACAGTTCTTTCAAGTGATACTCATCACTTGTATAAGAAAAAATGTCTCAGTCTTGCAGATTTCTTCACCTTTGCACTCCCTTCTAAGCTTCTCTCCAAGTGAGTGCTGGGGCCAGGTGATCTGGTGGTGGTGGTCGATGTGTGTTCAGCAGAGGAAATGAATTGGGAGTCCATGGGTGTAAAGTTTTTGGGCTCCTTTCGACTCTGGGTAATAGCCTTGCCTGTTTTATTGATGGGCACACTGCTGTATTTAGAGATGACGTCTTGGGCTTGTCTATTCTTCTGGCTCTAGCAATGCCCTCAGAGAGCTTTGGCCATTTCTTCCCGGCTGGCTTAGGCAACACCTGGATTTTGTTGAATGCCAACCCTGGGACTGTGATAAGCCCATAATATGGTCCATTGAGCCAGGAGTCCACCACTTGCCTTCACTGTAGAGTAGCCCTGCCCCTCACAGTGGGAATTGGGACACTTGTCCTGCCAACTTGGTTCCTCCCTCTCCATCTCTTTTTCCCAGAAGTCCTTGGTCCAGAAATAAGGGGTATTTTCCTATACGAATATGTCTTCTCCAGGTATCAGCCTCACAGTAAGCCTTAGGCTAGCTGGGGCATTTTCTCTTCACATAGAGAAAATTCCGGGATCTGAATCCTTCAGGGCTTGATATGCTAAACATGAGCTAAAACAATTGAAAAAAGCCGGGCGCGGTGGCTCATGCCTGTAATCCCAGCACTTTGGGAGGCCGAGGCAGGTGGATCAGGAAGTCAAGATCGAGACCATCCTGGCTAACATTTTTAAACCTTTAAAAAAAAAAAAGAATTGAAAAAAGCCTGACTTTTGAGCCTATTGTCCTCCTAATAAATTCTATTTTGTTTATCAGAAGCTGATTATAATCTCTGTTCTACTTATGCAATCTTTCTTTCTTTTTTTTTTTTTTTTGAGACGGAGTCTCGCTCTGTCACCCAGGCTGGAGTGCAGTGGCGCTGTCTTGGCTCACTGCAAGCTCCACCTCTTGGGTTCACACCATCCTGCCTCAGCCTCCCAAGTAGCTGGGACTACAGGCGCCCGCCACCATGCCCGGCTAATTTTTTGTATTTTTAGTAGAGACGGGGTTTCACCATGTTAGCCAGGATGGTCTTGATCTCCTGACCTCGTGATCCTCCAGCCTTGGCCTCCCAAAGTGCTGGGATTACAGGTGTGAGCCACCATGCACAGCCAACTTATGCAATCTTTCTAAAATAAATTCTAGCTGTAAGTAGATGAATGTCTTGGGAGCAAATTAGGCAAAAGAGAAAAAATAGAAGATAGATACACACACACACACACACACACATATTCTCTCATTGTATGATTTGTTTTTTTTTTGAGATGGAGTCTTGCTCTCTTGCCCAAGGCTTAAGTGCAATAGTGCAGCCTCGGCTCACTGCAACCTCTGCCTCCTGGATTCAAGCGATTCTCCTGCCTCAGCCTCCAGAGTAGCTAGGATTACAGGCGCCTGCCACCATGCTCAACTAATTTTTGCATTTTTAGTAGAGACGGGGTTTCACCATGTTGGTCAGGCTGGTCTCGAACTCCTGACCTCTGGTGATCCACCTGCCTCAGCCTCCCAAAGTGCTGGGATTACAAGCGTGAGCCACCACGCCCGGCTCGTTGTAGATTTTTATAGTATTGTGTTGTTTGACAGTGAAGTTGGTGACTTACTGTTGTGAATAATGAAATGCATTGTTAATCTTTGCTGCTGAGACACTATTAAAGTCCCCATTTATCATCAGAACAGAACTGGCTTTAGAATATTTGAATGGCGACAACATGTAGGAAATATGGTACACAACTAAAAGATAGGGCATCCTCATTCATCATTTGTTTGTTTTCACTAGAACAAGTGTTTCCCTTGTCCAAGTGGAGGCTGCCCACAGATGGGTCACTATGCTGATAGATATCCTGGGAAAACAAATGATGTGGGCCAGAAATTTTATCTAGACACTGGTGATGCCAGTAATTTTGCACGTAAGTTTCTGTTTTCTGTATCTTATATTCTTATTGCTATATATTTTATTATTATGTCCACTGAAAATGTGCATACTTGCTTTTCTATACAAAAGCTTTAAACACCCCCTCTGCAAGGTGGAAAAATGCTCAATGCTATGTTCAAGGTAATTATAGCTAATTAGGGTGGCAGAACGGAGTTTGGGTCCTGGACTCTTAATGCTGCAAAAATAAGTTTCTTCATATTTGATTCTGGTGCTGAATTCAGAAGGCTTTCTCTGCTCCAGCCTCTTTATATTCAGTCAAAAGTTTCACTGAACAAAATTCTGAGATTTTTGTAAAAGCAGAAAAGTAATCTAGGAGAGAGAGATGGCAGAGGTTGTGAGAATGGAAAGACATTGACAGATTTAAGAGACGTTTAGGATTGTAGGCTCCATGGGTGATGGGAATTAGAGGCTGGAGGAGTGGTAGGAATGGGAACAGGTTCTGGGTTTCTTTTCCAAATAACAGAGGAATAAAATTATTTGGATGAGAGTTAATGGGGTTACCGACATTTTTAAATACTAATGACAAATTTTATCTCCTCCCCAATTTGCTCTGCCTATCTCTAAATGGCAAACTATTGGCTAGCACCAAGAAAACGTTCTTTTGGTTTTCATAAATTAATATATTCCCAAAGGCAATGAAAAGTTGAATTATAGAATTTTGAAAATAAATGTAGATATTTAGACAAAAAGATAGCAGTACCCTAAAATTTGGTGATCTATGAAAATAAATTAAACTGAAAAAATGTCACAGTTCACAATTTTACAACTACCTTTTAACATAAAGTTCTTATAACTTTCAAGGATAAATTGTCAGGTTGGAAATTGAAAACTAAATGTATTCCTTAGTCCCTTGGCTTGAAAAAAAATCTGTCTTAACTTTGAAAAAATTCTGCAAAGCCCCTATTACCTAATGCCTGTCCCCTAAACACATATAAAGGAATATCTATCACTATTTCATTAGAAAATTACACACACACACACACACACACACACACACACAATTATAAATAAATTATTCAAAACGTGGCAGTAGTGGGATGCAAATTAACTTGTTTTTAGTGTCTTTTATCTCCAAACTGACATTTTGCAATTTTTCTCCCTTGCAGGTTGGAGGTATAAGGTATCTGTCACACTGTCTGGAAAAAAGGTTACAGGACACATACTAGTTTCTTTGTTCGGAAATAAAGGAAACTCTAAGCAGTATGAAATTTTCAAGTGAGTAAAATAATATTGCTCTATGCTTTTTTTTTTTTTTTTTTTTGAGTCGGAGTCTCGCTGTGTCGCCGGGGCTGGAGTCTTGCTCTGTCACCCAGGCTGGAGTGTAGTGGTGCAATCTTGGCTCACTACAACCTCTGCCTCTAGGGTTCAAGCAATTCTCCTGCCTTAGCCTCCCGAGTAGCTGGGATTACAGGCGCCCACCACCACGCCTGGCTAATTTTTGTATTTTTAATTGAGATGGGGTTTCACCATGTTGGCCAGGCTGGTCTCAAACTCCTGACCTCAGGTGACCTACCCACCTAGGCCTCCCAAAGTGCTGGGATTACAGGCATGAGCCATGGTGGCCAGCCAATGCTTCTTAATGTTGGAATACTGCACATGTATAATGTATGTCATCGACATAAGAGTTTGTCTATTCATTACTAAATGGAAGTAGAGTACTGACATGTATAAGGGAAAAGGAAGCAATTATGTCATCCTTACGCCTTAGTACCATTCAGAATTCAGTTTCTAAATATTTTCATGCTATTTCCTGATAAAACCATTCATGTTTGCTTTGATAACTGGCATCTGATTTATGATCAGTAATTAATTAGTCTGCCCACAAAACACATGTGAAAAGATGATGGCATACTCTCATCATTTATTAAATTGTGGGGGAATGGTGACTAATACATGTTTGAAGTTTTACTAAAGTAAAGGTGACTAATATGAGATGTTCATGGCAAATGGACTACCACTGAGTTAGCATGCATGTCTGAATTTGTTTAATATGTTAGAATGCAAATGTACTGCCAATCACCTTAGCCAGAAATGCATTGTAAGCTGGTCTTAGAAACATAAATGTGTATGTATATATGTACACACTTACATACACACAAATATATATGTATATATTTACATGTATGCTCATGTATGTTTTTGTTAACTTCTTAAATCCTTAGGGGCACTCTCAAACCAGATAGTACTCATTCCAATGAATTTGACTCAGATGTGGATGTTGGGGACTTGCAGATGGTTAAATTTATTTGGTATAACAATGTGATCAACCCAACTTTACCTAGAGTGGGAGCATCCAAGATTATAGTGGAGACAAATGTTGGAAAACAGTAAGTAATGAAAATCCCAGGAGATGTGAAATATCGAGTCTGTGTTTATAGTTCTATTCCCACTAAAAGTCTAATTTAAGTGAAACCTCCTACAGGGGATCGCCTACATCCTAGTTGCAGTTGCTTCCTAATGCCTTCTGTTTCTTTAGGGAAAAGGGTAGAACTTTAGGAAACAGCTTTGATCAATTCATGATAGATGTGTGTTAGCTGATACAAATTAAATGTTAGAATGAGAAACCGGCTTCATGATTCTAAGGTGAGAGGAATGTTTCCTTTGGCAGCTGTGCTTCGTGCTATGTGAGTGCTTCTTGTGTGCATCTTCCAAACTTCCCAGGCTCACCTAATTGCTGTTTAAGTTGCTGGAAACACAGTGAATGTTTCAAGGAATAGAAATAGGCTTTTCCAAATCACTGGTCTTCTTAGTGAAGACGAAGGTCCAGGAGATAATTCTTGGTTTCAACCAGGACTGGAGTGTGTGGGAGCCAAAGGATGGTGAACTACCAGGAAAGGTGATCTGGTGATAATCATAACAATACCAATACTAGACCAAGTATTTCTGAGTATTAGGCCAAATTCTGAGGCAAGCACTGTGCTTCTGTCATTCTATCCTTCCATCCTCATAAAAACCAAATGAGAAGACTTTGCTTCTGGCAAAGATGGAGTAACAGAGCCCAGATTTACTGGCCTGACTGAAATAACCAAAATTCAAACAAAGTACATGAAAACACAGTTTTCCAGACACTGAACATTGAGGAATAAGGGATAGTGATTGCTGAGAGACAAAAACGGACAAGATGGAGCCTGGCAGTTGCCCCAGCTTACTGCTCCGAGAGATTTCCAGGATGTGTCACAGGGAGGAGAAACCCAGGCAGAGTTCAGTGGACTCCTTAAGTTAAAGAATCAGAGCTAAGAATGAGAAGATCCAGGGAAGTAGATTTCACAGGACAGCATACCAGAGAGGAGAGAGTTGCTGAGGGAGAATCCCAGAGATTATGAAAAGTCTCCCTGAATATTCATCAAGGTACTGATTGACCCATGTATGAGAACAAACCAGCTGGAGGTCATTGAAATATCCATTTGATGGATTAGAGAAAATAGTTCCCCTACTTTTGCAGGACTGAGAATGGTGCTTGTTTCCACCAAGCAGTCTGGAAAAGTTTATAATTCAAAGGACACAGGGTAGAGTATTTTAGAAGGTCTTGCTTTATAGTGGAAAATAATTTACCTATATTGACCAAGATCTGTAAAGAAACTGTTTCCAAATAACTGCATTGCAGAACAAAAAGGTCAAGAATATTTATAAAGATCCAGAATTATCAAGTACCTAAAACTCTAAAATCCACAGTATCTGACTTTGACTCAAAGATTCCCAGGTATATAAAGAAGCAGAAAAATACAGCCTATAATGAGGAGAATAATCAATCGACACCAAAACAAAACTGACATAGATGTTACATTAGCAGAGGAGAAAATTAAAACAGTTCTTAAACCTGTATCCATTTGCTTAAAAGGTCAGTAAAGGCATGGCATATACAGGTTAAGTGTTTCTCATCCAAAATGCTTGAGATCCGAAGTGATTCAGATTTTGAATTTCTTTAGACTTTAGGAATAGTTCCATTATATGTACCAGTTGAGCATCAAAAATTAAAAAAAAATCCAAAATCTGAAATGTTCCAATAAGCATTTCCTTTGAGCATCATGTTGGCAATCAAAAGTTTCAAATTTCAGAGCATTTTGGATTTTTTATTTATTTTTAATATATTTTATTTTTCCATAAGTTATTGGGGTACAGGTGGTATTTGGTTACATGAGTAAGTTCTTTAGTGATGATTTGTGAGATCCTGGTGCACCCATCACCTGAGCAGTATACACTGCACCATATATGTTGTCTTTTATCCCTCGCCCCTCCCACTCTTCTCCCCAAGTCCCCAAAGTCCTTTGTATCATTCTTATGCCTTTGCGTCATCATAGCTTAGCTCCCACATAACAGTGAGAACATACGATGTTTGGTTTTCCATTTCTGAGTCAAGTAACTCAGGAATGGATTTTTTTATTTTTGGATTTAGGATGCTCAACCTATATAGAAAAAGACCCACACTGAGTTTCTAGAGATGAAAAATACAATGTCACAAACAAAAAATGCACAGAATGTAATTAACAGTAGATTAGACATTATAGAAGACAAGGTTAATGACCTTGAATACATAATAGAAACTTTCTGAAATGAAATACACAGAGAAAAAAATCTTAAAAATAACTTTAAAAGAACATCAGTGATCTGTGGGACAATAATAATAAGGCTTATTTATTTGAAATAAGACCCTTTTTTAGGTCTTTGAAGACCCTAACAAAGAAGGGACAGAAAAATATATGTGAAGAAATAATACCTTGAAAATTTTCAAACATGGTGAAAACTATAAACCAACAGATCAAAGAAAATCACAAGAAACATGAAGAAAACAGCACAGCACCAATACACATAAAAATCAAAATGCTCAAACCAGGTAGAATGTACATTATTCAGGTGATTACACTAAAAACCTAGATTTTACCACTATACAATATATCCATCTAATAAAACTTCACTTGTTCCCTTAAACTTACACAAATAAAAAAATGTTGAAACCCAATTATAAAGACAAAATATTGAAAGCAGTCAGAGAAAAACCACACATTAGAAGAGTAAAGAAAAAAATAACAGCAAATTTCTAATCAGGAACAATGCAAGCCAGAAGGCAGTGAAACAACATCTTAGAGTATGGAAAGGAAAAACTGTTAACCTGGAATTTATACCCATAAATATCTTTCAAAGACAAAGATGAAATAAAGACTTTTAAAACTGAAATAATTCCTCACCAGCAGGTTAACACTAAAAGAAATGTCAAAGGAAGGCCTTCAGGCAGAGGAAAATGATACCAGGTAGAAAAGAATTCACTAAAAGAAATTAAGAACACAGGAAATAGGAAATACATGATAAATACATAATATTTTTAATTCTTATTACTAAATTCTCTTTGAAAAAATTGACTATTTAAAAAATAATGACAGTATTTTGGGGAGTAAATAATATATGTATAAGTAAAATATAACAATGACATAAAAGGCAGGAGGGGAGACCTGAAAATATACTATTGGAAGGTTCTTATACCATTTATGAATTGGTATACTTTCCCTTGAAGGTGTGATAAGTTAAAAATATGCGCTATAAATTCTAAAATAATGAAACAAATAATGAAACAACCACTAAAGTAATGAAACAAAGGATAATAGCAAGTAAACCAAACAAGGAGATAAAATGGAATAAAATATAATCCAAAATAGAGTATAAAAAGAGCTAAAAGGGGCCGGGTGTGGTGGCTCACACCTGTAATCCCAGCACTTTGGGAGGCCGAGGCGGGTGGATCATGAGGTCAGATCGAGACCATCATGGCTAACACGGTGAAACCCCGTCTCTACTAAATACACGACGCAGGCGTGGTGGTGGGCTCCTGTAGTCCCAGCTACTCAGGAGGCTGAGGCAGGAGAATGGCGTGAACCCGGGAGGCGGAGCTTGCAGTGAGCCAAGATCGCACCACTGCACTCCAGCCTGGGTGACAGAGCGAGACAATGTCTCAAAAAAAAAAAAAAAAAAAAAAGAGCTAAAAGAGAACAAAGAATATAGGAGACAAATGGAAAACAAATAGAAGACAATAGACTCATATCTAGCCATGTAAATAATCATATAAAGTAAAAATGGTCTAAATACTACAATTAGAAGACAAAACTTACCCCACTGTATTTTTTAAAACTCAATATCCAATTGTATTCTGGCTATATAAAATGCACTTTTTTTTTTTTTTTTTGAGATGGAGTCTTGCTCTGTCACCCAGGCTGGAGTGCAGTGGCACGATCTCAGTTCACTGCAACCTCTGCCTCCTGGGTTCAAGTGATTCTCCTGCCTCAGCCGCCTGTGTAGCTGAGATTACAGGCAGCAGCACCACTCCCAGCTAATTTTTGTATTTTTAGTATAAGTGGGATTTCACCATGTTGGTCAGGCTAGTCTCAAACTGACCTCAAGTGATTCACCCACCTCGACCTTCCAATACATCTCGCTGAGTCAGCGATTTTGGTGTTCGATATTTACCCATGAGGCAAGAACACATATGATTATACAAAAGATTTGTACATGAATATTTATAGCAATTTTTTTTTGAGACAGAGTCTTGCTCTGTCACCCAGGCTAGAGTGCAGTGGCACGATCTTGGCTCACTGAACCTCCATCTCCTGGGTTCAAGCGATTCTCCTGCCTCGGCCTCCCCAGTAGCTGGGATTACAGGCATACGCCACCCTGCCCAGCTAATTTTTGTATTTTTAGTTGAGACTGGTTTTCGTCATGTTGGCCAGGCTGGTCTCGAACCCCTGACCACAGGTGATCCACCTGCCTTGGCCTCCCAAAGTGCTGGGATTACATGTGTGGGCCACCGTGCCTGGCCTGTAGCAGCTTTTATTGTAACAGCCAAGAAGTAGAAATAATCCAAATGTCTACCAATAGAGGAATGGATAAACAAACTATGGTCTATGGTCTGTCCATACAATGGAATATTACTCAGCAGTAACAAGGAATGAACTAATGGTACACTCAACAATATGGATGAATCTCGAGATAATTATACTGAATGAAAAGCTAGACAAGAGTGCACACACCTTAGATTCCATTTATATAAAATTCCAGACAATTCAAACTACTCTATAGTGACAGCAGAGCCGTGGTTGCCTGGGAGGAGTGAATATTGGAGGGAATGGGAAGAAGCAATTACAAAGAGGAAGAAAGAAAATTGGGGGATGATAGATATGTTAATAACTTTGATGTTGGTGATGGCTTCAGAGGTGTGTGTGTGTTGTGTGTGTGTGAAAACGTATCAATTTAAATATGTACAGTTTATTCCAGGTAAATTAAAGCTCAATAAAGCTGTTAAAACAAAAATATATATCCTATGAGGTAGATGGTTTTATTATCCTTATTTTATGGATAATTAATTAAGGTACTGTTTCTGAATTTCTATGCAGGAAGTTTGACTCTACAAAATTCTTAACTACTACAAAAAAATTCAGTTCACCTTTAATCATGTATAAATATTGGTGCCTTTCTTTTCTTGTGTCCCTGATTGATAACAGTTTTAACCTTTAATTTCCTATTTGTGAGGCTGCCAGTCATTGAGGAAGTGAGCGTGAAGGGAAAAAAACATTTTCTGAGCACTTTTTTTCTGTTCCTGGTAGTTTACATATGGTAAGGTATTTTATTAAAGAAAAATATTCCAAAGCATCCTAAGTATTGTTCAGCCTGTTCTTTCTTTCTTTCCTTTTTTCCCTCCCTCCCTTCCTTTCTTCCTTCCTTCCTTCTTCCCTTCCTCCCTCCCTCTGTCCTTTCCTTCCTTCCTTTCTTCTTTCCTTCCCTCCCTCCCTTCTTTCTTTTCATTCCTTCCATCCTTCCTCCCTCCTTTCTTTCTCTTTCTTTCTTTCTTTCTTTTCTTCTCTTTCTTTCTTTTCTTTCTTTCTCTTTCTTTCTTTTCTTTCTTTCCTTCTTTCTTTTTTTCTCTTTCTCTCTTTCTTTCTTCTTTCTTTATTCCTTCCTTCCTTCCTTCCTTTCCTTTATTTGATCCACACAGGGAAAGAAGGCATATTGTTCAGTCACAATGAGAAAAGTTTGTCATTTCAGTTCAAATATTGAATTAAAATAATGGTTAGCCAACGTAACACCAGAAATTAGACTTTATACACTGGGCTGATTTCTTATGATGGTGACTCTGCTGTTCCTGAGTTGCATTGGTTGACATGGGCTAAGTGTTCAGTGACTGCTCATGACAAATGAGTCTTTCTTTTTCTTTGGGGCGTCTACTGACAGCTTCTCTCTCAGCTATTGCACAACCAGAAAATAACACTGGAAAGGAGAATTCAGTCCTTTATGTAGAAGAGGTCTTCCCTCAGCCATTGTCTGGTCTCCAGCACAGGGTGCGCCCTTCCCTCAGACTAGGAGGTTGGGGGCATAGATTGTCCTCACTGTCACACTCCAGATATGTGCCAGGAAGAGGAGGTGACTTTGTGTTGTTTTTTCTCCACAGGTTCAACTTCTGTAGTCCAGAAACCGTCAGGGAGGAAGTTCTGCTCACCCTCACACCGTGTTAGGAGACTACTGTTATTTGACCAATGAATTGACTTCTAATAAAATCTAGTGGTGATGCATTACATGCCTGTTTCTTTTGTCCAAAACCTCGATTGTTTCAAGTGAATCTGTTGGATGAAGTGACTAAAATCCAAAATTTGGAGTTGGTCAAAAGAACCACCAATGGCTGTTAAATTTTGCTGCATATTTGACCTTAAGAATGTTGTTTACATGGTACTGTCATCATGTTCATTATCAATATTACTTATGCCATTCTGGTCACTTAAGGCAGTCTTCCATGTCCAAAATGACCCCCTCTTGGTGGGCTCACATGGAAAGACTCACAATTGCCACTTTTTCCATAATCTTTAAGTTCTGTGTCTGCTCCTAATCAGATATCTCAGGGGAAATGACACACAAGGAGATAAGGACTAGACAGATCCAATGCTCCCTAACAGGTCTACCTGGTCTATGTGGGGCTCCCCCAAACCCCTCACTTCTGCAGCCTCTTTGATTTTTCTAAAGCGCAAATAAATCATCTTCCCAGTGGTCCCCAGGACAGAATCCATATTCTTTAGTAAGCCTTGTGAGGTCCCTCTTGGTCTGGTTGTCTCCTTGGACTCTAGCTTCATCTTTCACTATGTTCCTTCTGGAACTCTACATTCTGACCCTGTCCCCCAAGAGGGTTGTCTTGATCTCTGATGCTGCTGGATGTTGTCAGGAACTCTTCTTCTTCCTGGGATGTTCTTTTCTCTGTCTTCCTGTCTGTTAAGCTCCTACTGGTTCTTAAATCTTTTTGTAGACATCACTTCCTCCAGGACTCACCTCCATTATCCATACCCACTAAGACTTGATGAGGGGCTTACCACTATTATACTCCCACCACACCCAGACATTTTGCCGTCTCAACACTGGACTTCCCATATTGTAATTGCTTGCTGGCTCACTTCTCTGTATAGCCCATTTCTAAACTCCTTAAGGAGTTTTCCCATTGTATGTGCCTGGCACATGCCTGGCATATAGTAGAAGAGAAAATATGTATTTTTTGTATGACTTTCCCACTAATGGGACCAACGAATGAGTCCACTAGGGTCAGGTACTTAAAATTAGGCCATGTCTAAACAATACATCCTAAGAAAGAAAGGGATATTTGTGTTAGGTCTTAAAAGTTGAGTAGGGATTTGCTAAGAGGACATGGTGGAAAGGGCACTCCAGAGACAAGGAACAGCATAGCCAAAGGCACAGGGCTATGAAAAATTGAAAATGCCATTTATTCTGTATTTCACCAAAATATATGAAGTTAATCAACACACAAAGACTTGTTAAAGGGCCACCCGTTTATATTAATTAGGATGTTTCACTTGCATGAATCAAAAGCTCCAATTCAAAGTTGCTTTAACAACAAGGAAGTGTTTGGCTCACATGATTGGAAAGTTCAGAGGTCGAGGAAGCTTCAGGTTTTGATGACCCAGTCACTCAATAACCTCTTCAAAAGCCACTTTCTTTTTCTATCTTCTGATATCTATGGTGCTAGTTCTATACCAAGTCTGGCTCCCTTCTCAGTTGAAGAATGGCCATCTCCCACAATTGAGGCTATAAACATTTATTTCACATTCAACAAGGAGAGAAAGTGCATCTTCTTTCCTATTTTTTTCTCACAAAACTTGTGAGATTCACTCTTATTGGCCCCTGACCATGGGAGTAGAATGTGCTGATTGTCTTAAGTCAATCAGTGAACACTCCTGGGCAAAGAACAAGGCCAGCATCCTCAATGTACATGAACTATATAGAGAAGGAATTGATATCTAAATGAAAAAGGGAGTTAAGAATGACTCATGGGTCATCATTACAACTGGAAGGATGGAGTTGCCATTGCCTGAAATGGACATGCTTTGAGAGGCACGATTTTGAAGAGGCAGGTCAGAAGGTCAGTTTTAGTCATGTCAAATTTGAGAGGCTCATCAGGCATGCAACTGGGCATGGCATGCTGGCATTTGGATATATAAGCACAGAAGTGAGGACAGAAATCTAGGTTAGACACATAAACTTTGGCATCTTTAGTCTATAGATGTCATTTTTAAGCACTGCACTTCCCTGTAAAGAGAATAATGCAATGTTTATCACGTGAGTGCTTAATGAATGTTTATAATTGTAATTACCATGAGGACCTCATGAAACTTTCCTAAACATTAATGATAATGATGAATAATGAATAATAAAAATCAATGAAGAAATAGGATTATGTGCAAATTTACTCATTTAATAAGATTGAACAAAGGAGTTTAATTTTTAAAAATCAGTTAAAAATCTTTTGTAAAGAAAGATATCCATTTTCATCATAACGAAGCTGTTTCCAAGTTAGTTTAATCATTTCAAATGAATGGTTTACTCAAATTATTTCTATATTTCTAAACTCAATAAATTTTTTGGAAATACTACTTTTAGAACCCTAAATCAAATTTTTCTTCCCCTAAGAGATGAACATTTGTGAAAGGATGCTGATAATGTTCAGAATGCATGATGTAAGATAGTGGTAGAGACAATGGCAGAGAATTGATGAATTTGTTAATTCAAGAAGTGCTTAGAGAATGTTGACAATGTGCCAAGCCCTAGTCTAATATCAGAGAACTAAAGTTGAAAATATAGGTATCATCCCTACCCTCATGGAGTTTTCTGTCTTATTTGATGTTTCTCGAAGTGTGATCCACCTAATAGAAGACAGCTGATGAATTAGTTGGCTAGCACTGCATAGCACATCACCCCAAAGCTCAGTGACTTAATAACAATAATCATGTATTATGGTCCTGTGGGCCAACAGACAGATCTCCTGATCTGGGGCAGGGTTGGCTGATTTTGCTTGGTCTCACTCATGTATTTATTGGTGGTCAGCTTGTAGGTTGGCAGAGGGCTGGATGGTTTAGTAGGGCCTGTGTGCATTGGCTTTCCTCCACATGATCTCTCATCCTTCAGCATGCTAGCCTGTGCTATTGAACTTGAACTCCCAAGGGACCAAGAAAATGAGCATAAGCAAGGAAGACTGCTTGAGGCCTAGGCTCAGAAGTAGCAAAATATCATTTTCCCCACATTCTATTGAACAAAGCAAGTCACAAGGTAAGCACAAATTCAAAGATGAATACATAGACTCTATTTCTTAATGGGAGGAGCTTAAAAGTCATATTGCAAAAGGCATTGCTAGGGAGAGTAGCAGGGAACTGGGACCATTTTTGTAATCAATCTAGGTGGTTTCTCAGTTTTAGTAAGGAATGTAATAGAAATATTTCTCTCACTTTTGACAAATTTGGGTTATAAAATCTATTAATATTTCCACAGAAATTCCCTTCCTTTCTTAAGAATTGTGGTCATATGTGATGCAGAGGCCCTCTGACATTTTGCCTCAGCATCATTTCCTTCACTAAGAAAACATTTTTTGTGGGTGAATGTATTTTCACATCATTTGCAAGTAGTAGCTTACTCTCATGTGTTAAATGTGCATTTTATATTATTCTCATTCTGTTAAGTTATATTCTCATTTTGGGCTGTGAAAAAAAATCAATGGCTTCAAGTGGTTCATTGAAGTGAAAAAGCAGCAATGAAAATACTAACACAAATACAATATCTCAGAATAAGATTGTAACTGAAACAGTGGATAAGACTCATATGAAACTCCCCCCTATCAATCTTTATATCTTGAAACAAGTGGAAAATGTGGTGTTGCTAATGGGATACACAACAATGATCAACTAAACTTGGCTGATACTAGATCTGAGATCATTTGTCCTATACAGTATCCTGTACCCAACTCCCTGTTCTGCATTGCTTTTAGTCACGAATATTTGCCCTAAGTAGAGTTGATGATGTTGACGTTTTCATAATATTTTCAAATAATATCTTTGTATGCTCAGATAAATAATTGATCTTTTTCTAAAACAAGCAACAAATAATGCTTTCCAGGATGAAATCAATTAATTTTGTAGTTAAAGGTAGAAATAAACCCACAGCTACAGTCATTATTCAAAATTACATTTCTTGTAGTAAAAACTGTTGCAAATCACACTATCACACAGAAGCCTAAAAAACAAGCCAAAATAATAATGATACCTGTTATACTGGGGGAGAAAACGAAAAGTATGCTATCAGCCAAATTCCCTTATCACATGACTACCTTAGATGTTACATAGCATCATTGGCATATTGTTTACTATCTGGAGTGTGCTGGAGAGATGTCTCACATTACAATTGGACGGCCCCATTCATGTGCAGACTTGGAATTGGTTTCTGGCACACAAGGCACAAGGAAGAGTGCTTCATATATTTCATTTTTTTGTCTACTTGATCATTTAATTTTCATTGAACGTTGTTTTGTGAGCCATAACACAGACAGAAAACAAGGCGCTGGGATCTACACGGATAGAACCCCAACTGTGTTTGCATCAGGGAAAAGTGTGGCTGTTAAGATATAAAAGGTGGCAAAAAATTCTAAATCTCAGAGAATAACGGCTGGGTGGTCAGCTAAATGCGTCATGTTCCTAATAAAATGTTGAAAGAGGCCGGGCACGGTGGCTCACACCTGTAATCCTAGCACTTTGGGAGGCCGAGGCGGGCGGATCACGAGGTCAGGAGATAGAGACCATCCTGGCTAACACGGTGAAACCCCGTCTCCACTAAAAATACAAAAAAAAATTAGCCGGGTGTGTTGGCAGGTGCCTATAGTCCCAGCTACTTGGGAGGCTGAGACAGGAGAATGGCGTGAACCTGTGAGGTGGAGCTTGCAGTGAGCCAAGATCGCGCCACTGCGCTCCAGCCTGGGCGACAAGAGCAAAACTCCATCTCAAAAAAGAAACCTCTCACGACCCCCTGGAATATTCCTACTGACTTCATTCTATTAAGCCTCAGCTCAGGAAACAAAAGTTCTGCTACAAATTATCACAACAAAAAGGAAGATTTATTTCTATAACTGGTAAAAATAGATTATCATCAAAATGGAAACACATAGTAATTTCTCAGAGAGAGTCTGCCCAGGAGCCCTGGGAGTTAAATACTCCTATATCAGGGCGGACTCTCACCTAGCTGCACATGGGAATCACCTGTGGGCTTTTTAAAGGGGCCTGTGGCTTATGATTACCCTTTAATTGGTTGGGGTGGGGCCTGGGATTTGTCTGTTCTTTTTTTTTTCTCCCAGGTGACTCTGGTTTGCAGCCAGGATGGAGACAAACTGGCATGTCTTGATTGTGTTTTGGCTTCGTGCACCTTGGAGTTGTATGCAGGAGGCGGAGCTTGCAGTGAGCCAAGATCGCACCACTGCACTCCAGCCTGGGCGACAGAAGGAGACTCCGTCTCAAAAAAAAGAAAGAAAGAAAGAAAGAAAGAAAGAAAGAAAGAAAGAAAGAAAGAAAGAAAGAAAGAAAGAAAGAAAGAAAGAAAGAAAGAAAGAAAGAAAGGAAGGAAGGAAGGAAGGAAGGAAGGAAGGAAGGAAGGAAGGAAGGAAGGAAGGAAGGAAGGAAGGGAAAGAAAGAGAAAGTTGAAAGACAGAGTGAAAATTGTAACTTCAATAGAAATCTCTCTTAGCCTCCACCTAGCCAAATCATTGTTTTCACTCATTTTCTCCATTGTTACAGTCAACTCCATTCTTACCTCTGAGCCTATTGATCATCTCATCTCCTTGAAACATTTTCTTCTCTTTGTCTCCAGGACACCACTTTCCCTTGGTTCTCCTCCATCTTCACTGGCTGTTTCTTTTCAAGTCTTCCTCATTTCCCTGTGCTTGTAACATTGTAGGGCCTTAGGGTTTAGCACTTGAACCTCATCTCATCTAGACTAATGGCTTTATGTGAAATGGATGAACCCCAAGTTGATGTTTATTACCTGGACCTCTCTTCTGAACTACAGAATAACTGCCTACTCTCCATCTCCACTTAGACTCTAAGAAGACATTTCATTTTAACCATGCCCAAAACTGAACTCTGGGTCTCCCCCTCAAACCTGCTCCACTGACATGCAGCCCTCCCCATCTTAGTTAATGCAATTTCACCTTTCCAGTTGCTCAAGCCAAAATTTGGGAGTCATCCTTAACTCATCTCCATTTCCCCAACTCCCATCCAAATCCTGTCAGTCCTGTCTTCAAAATATATCTGGAATTTGGGCAATTCTCATCATTTCTGCTGCTAGCATGAAAGAGTTCTGGGTCTTAATTATTCACAGGACCTCTGACAGCAACTAGGAGTCATGCAGAAGATATACAACTGACAATGAAACAAGGCATGAGTGAATGAATGAATTACCAGGATCAAAATATCAAGAGAAGTGAATTGACAGAACCATCCAGTTGTCAGCCACCCTTAACAGAATTCAATTAAATGAATAGTTTCTGAGCACTTAGCATGGGCCTGGCATGTAAAATTTTTTCAATTTTATTGAAGTACATTTTACACACAAGAAAATGCACCCAATTTAAGAGTATGGTTCAATGAGTTTTGAAAAATGTATATATCCATGTATACAATCAAACTCTTGAAAAATGTATATGTCCATGTGTACAATGAAACATTTCCATTATTTCCTGAAAACATTCCCCTAATTCACCCCCAACCCAGGCAGACACTGACCTGCTCCCTGTCATTATAGATTAGTTTTGCCTGTTCTAGAATATCATGTAAGGATAATAATGTGGTATGCATACTTTGTTATTGTGTTTCTTTTATTTAGTTTAAGATGCTTGAGATACGTCCATATGGCTGCATTTATTCATAGTTCTTTTCTTTATATATGAGTGGTAGTCTATTGTATTAATATAGCATAGCTTTTTATCCCTTCATCAGTCAGTTCACATTTGCATTTTTTCCATCTTGGGGCTACTATGAATAAAGCTGCTATCTTAGTCCATTTTGTGTTGCTATAACAGAATACCTCAAACTGGGTAATATACAAACAATAGAAATGTATCTGGCCCATGGTTCTGTAGGCTGGAAAGTTCAAGATCAAATGGCTGCATCTCATGAGGGCATTCTTGCTGTATTTTAACACAGTGGAGTGCGTCACATGGCAAGAGAGCATGCAAGACAAAAGAGATGGGTGAACTTGCTTTCATAACAGACCTAATCTCAAAATAACAATCCTACTCCCACAATAAAGACATTAATCTATTCATGAGGGCAGAGCTCTCATGACCTAATCACCTATCTAAGATTCCATCTGTTGCATTGGGGATTTATATTTCCATCACATAAACTTTCGGGGACACATGCAAACCATAGCAACTGCTACAAATATTCACATAAAAGTCTTTGTGTTGACACATGCTTATATCTCTCGGGCAAATACCTAAGTATGAAATTGCTGGTGAATATGTAAGTGATTCTTTAATTTTATAGGAAACTACCAAATTGTTTTCCAAAGTGATTGTAAATTTGATACTCCCACTAGCAGTTTATGAAAAAAGTTCCAATTGTTCCACATCTTTAGTATTGTCAGTTTTTGCCATTTTACTTGGCTATAATGGTATTTCCTTGTGATTTTATTGTACATTTCTCTGATGACGAAAGATGTTGAGCATCTGTTTGCATGCTTATTGGCCATTCATAAATTTTTTGGGTGAAGTGATTGATTAAAATGTTTGCCTTACTTTTATTAGGTTGTTTGTTTCATTAACTTGTGAGAGTACTTTCCATAGCCTGAATACAAGTCCTTTGTTAATGTGTTTATTGCAGACACTTTTTCCCAGTCTGTATCTTGCCTTTTATTTCCTTAACAATGTGTTTTGAAGACTAGAGTTTTAATGTTCATAAAACCCAGTTTATCATACTTTTATAGAGTAAATTTTATGTCCTGCTTAAGAAATCTTTGTCTACTCTAAGGTAACAAAGATTTTCTCTTATGTTTTCTATTAGAAGGTTTTGGTTTACTTTTTACATTTAGACCTATGACTTTCAGCACTTTAAATAAGCTATTCCATTTTCTTCTGTCTCCACTGAGAAGTCTGAGGTCATTCTTATCTTCTTTATCCTGTAGGTAATGTATCTTTTGGTCTCTCTGTCAAACTTTGATAACTTTTTTTCTTTATCATTGAACTTATTTTTGCCTTTGTGTGATTTTCATTGGATTTATCCTGATTTAGATTGTCCAACTTCTTAGTTATGCTTTTCATATTCATTCCTTCAGTTGTTTGTTTATCCATTCAACAGGAATGTGATGAGGGCCAATGTACCAACCACTGGGGAAGATGCTAACATGTCACAATGAGGCCCAGAAAATTCCAAATTTCTCTGAGTTTATGACCCACAAATGATGGTGATGGTCTCAAAGGAGGGAAGCTCAAAGAGAAGGCTGTCTTTGAGGGAATAGAGTTACCAATCTAATCAGGGCTGAGACATGAAGGATTGTGTAGGAATTTGCCATGGTTCCTATTCACTGGAATTCCTCCCTTGTCTCTTATGCATTCTTTCTTTATTTTAACAATTCCCTTGCCAAACTTTCTTGAACTTTCCTTGTACACAAATAATTTTATTGTTTTTCTCTGTATCTGAGCAGGGAACTAAATTATTTTTGACCACTTTTGACCTACAAACATGGCAGTTTCAGTGATTCGACCTGTATCTATGACATTGTCAGGCTAAATGGTTCTGGTCTTGTAAATTGTAATATCATTTTGTTGTCTTTTAAAAATTTATTGGAAGCAATATATCACAAAATCATCCTAGTTCCTTCTATCAAACGTTTCCCTTTCAGATTATCTTTTCTAGACCATTTTTTCCAAGTTGAATCATATTTTCCTTTCTTATTGATAACTCCATCAGACGGTGGGGTCGCTGATTCCTCCTCTGTGCTCTTGGCTGGACTCCCCCAATTCCTTTTGTCAGCTGGTTTATTCTTTCCTCCATGATACTGCTGAGAAATAAATTAGTTCTACAAACTATCAAAATAACATATCAACTACTTTTCTAGAAGGAATAAACTCTTGAAGGATTGCTTTTATTTCGCTGTTTTTGAGGAAAAAGCGAGGTTATACAGAAACTGCATGACCTGGTAGGCTCTTGGTATTTGTTCATAAGACTATTGTCATTGCATCTGTAAAAACAATGCCCACAGACCTGCACAGAGAATTGTAAACTAAAAAGGGGCAGGGACACTAGAACCTTCACTACAATGAAATTATAGTGATTCTTAGCATTACATAATTACACATCTACCGCCTTTCTCATCTTCCCACAACTACTGTGGAAAACATTACCTACTCTATCAACCTTGGCTTACCCACAATTAAAATTAGAAATACATCCATGGAACTTTCTCTCTTTGCACGCCACTTTTCCATGGTACTCCTCAAAAAGATAAGCTTTACCTATAAAAGGACCTTTCGTTGCTGTCTGGTTGTGTGTGGAACCTGACAGAACTGCCACAGTGAGTCAGGAACATGTTTTCCAGGCCTAACTTAACAGAATTTACCCATTTTCCCAGAGAGGGCTAAATGAACGTGAATTATGCCAATCTTGTAAAGAAAAAAAATCTTAGATTCAATCATGTTTTTAACTTTGTGTAGATGCTGCTACTCTGGACTCTTTCAGTGCTGCTGGGAGCAGTAACAGGTAAGAAAAAATATGAATATGGAGTTGGAAAAGATTCACTGTTCAATAGTCAAGAGGGCTATGGCAGCCGAATTCAAGGCATGACGTGGATGACAAGAGAGGGAGATGCATGGCTAACAGCACAGGTGCTTGGAGTAGGGTTGTCAGATAAAATCTAAGATGCCTAGTTAAATTTGCATTTCAGATAAATGGCAACTGTTTCCCACAAACATGTGATATATTTATATTGAACATGTTATTGCTTATTTGAAATTCAAATACATATATACAAGTTAAATTTTAATTTATTTATTGTTGTTGTTAAATCTAGCCACTTTAGCTTGGGGTCAAGTGAGGGGTTTGAACCCTGGTTCTGCCACCTACAATTTTATTATCCTGAGCAAAATCATTAACCCCTCTGTGCTTCAGAATCTTTGTCTGTAAAATGTAAAGAATAGGATCCCCCCTCTCCTGTGTTATGAGAATTAGGTCAGATTAGCAAACCATCTTGCCTAGCACCTGGCACATGGTAAGATTTTGAGAAAAGCAGCCCCCACAACAGCAACTACTCTTACTCCTACCATTAATCTAGATTTATCCTACTCAGGAAAGAGAACAACACTTCTTTGGATTGTTTCTTTATGGAGTGACATTCAAGCCTAGAGTTGTGTTCAACCATGGACTTTCGGTTTGGTTGTTTGTGAACAGCTTCTTCATCACAGGAATGAAGATGACCTTCAGTACAGCAAGGATGGAGATACATGGGTTTTGTGGCCTTTCCATGAAACTTAAGCTCTCCGTTCAAAGCCCAGAGTTATATTGGCCCAAAGCCCAAAGTACCAAAGGCCCAAAGAAAACATTTGAGTTTAGAGGCTAAAAGGAGTCTCAGAATGGGACTGGACAGAGACACAAGGGAAGTGAGGTGGTCTTATGTGGTAGATTTTAGGAACAGTAGCCTGTATGTAACAGTGGCATTTTCTGTGAGCGTTTGGCTAAGAGGGTGTTTGGGGAAACAGAGGAGGAAAATCTGCCACAAAATGTAAATTAACTCACATTTTGGCAGAGAGGCTATTAAAAAGAGTGTTCTGGTTAAACTAATATCCTTGAAACACATCTAGGAGATTGCAGGAACAGAAGTCTGTTACCCAAGACTCGGCTGCTTCAGCAATGATGCCCCGTGATCAGGAATTATGGAAAGACCTCTCAAAATATTGCCCTCGGCTCCATAAGGTGTCAATACCTGTTTCCTTTTGTACACCAATGGGAACCTAAATGACTTCCAGGTATGAATGCTTATTGTTTTCAGGACAAAGTTCCATCTGATTTATGTATATTGTGGCACTATTCACAATAGCAAAGACTTGGAAACAACCCAAATGTCCAACAACAATAGACTAGATTAAGAAAATGTGGCACATATACACCATAGAATACTATGCAGCCATAAAAAATGATGAGTTCATGTCCTTTGTAGGGACATGGATGAAACTGGAAACCATCGTTCTCAGCAAACTATCGCAAGGACAAAAAACCAAACACCGCATGTTCTCACTCATAGGTGGGAATTGAACAATGAGAACACTTGGACACAGGAAGGGGAACATCACACTCCGGGGACTGTTGTGGGGTGAGGGGAAGGGGGAGGGATAGCATTAGGAGGTATACCTAATGCTAAATGACGAGTTAATGGGTGCAGCACACCAACATGGCACATGTATACACATGTAACAAACCTGCACATTGTGCACATGTACCCTAAAACTTAAAGTATAATAATAATAAAATTTAAAAAAAAGAATGTTGAATATACACATATTCTAAAGAGAACAAATCAGACAACGGAATTGCATCCATAGACACTTTTAGGGCAGTGATCTGAACTGTTATTTTATGTAACTTTTTATTAAAAGTTCTTCAACTTCATATTATTTTTGTTCTACCTTCATGGTACCATTTAACAAGTATTCTAAATATGAGGAGATTTATATATATTTTTACTCTATACATAGTAAAAATTCCCAACATCATATGTTCATATAATCTCCCAATTATATATATATCTCTATATTAGATGGGTAGAGTACAGATATATATAGATACACGCACACATACACACAAACGCACCAAGCCTTCCATTGTGTGAAGAGAAGATCCTTACCACCAAGATTATAACAGATACATTATCCCAAGTTGAACAATTGCAAACATGTTGTGATGACCAGGAAATAGCAACATAGTGATGATTGAGAATAGCGTGGTTGTAATGGGAGAATCATTATTCAGAAGGATCCTGAATCCTAGTAGTCTTCTACTTACCGCCTCCCTCCATGTACGAATGGCTCTACTGGCTACTATAAGAAACTGACATGAAACGCTTTTCTGCCTAAACAGGAACTCATTGCAGATCCATCAACTATCAGGCATTTCCTGGGTCCAGGCAGTGGTTGTTTAATAACTAATACAGAGATGTTTCAAAATTTCAGCAAAAGTTCCTACCATATTGAAGCATTACGGCATGTCCCAGGCCCGTTTTTCACTGCTTTTTTTTTTTTTTTTTTTTTTTTTGACACAGGGTCGGCCAGGCACAGTGGTTCATGCCTGTAATCCCAGCACTTTGGGAGGCCAAGGTGGGCGGATCACCTGAGGTTGGGAGTTCGAGACCAGCCTGACCAATATGGAGAAACCCCATCTCTACTTAAAAAATACAAAAATTGGCCAGGCGCGGTGGCTCATGCCTGTAATCCCAACACTTTGGGAGGCCAAGGCGGGTGGATCACGAGGTCAGGAGATCAAGACCAGCCTGGCTAGCACGGTGAAACCCCGTCTCTACTAAAAATACAAAAAAAAAATTAGCCAGGAGTGGTGGTGGGCGCCTGTAGTCCCAGCTACTCGGGAGGCTGAGGCAGGAGAATGGCATGAACCCAGGAGGCAGAGCTTGCAGTGAGCCGAGATAGCGCCATTGCACTCCAGCCTGGGCGACAGAGCGAGACTCTGCCTCAAAAAAAAAAAAAAAAATTAGCTGAGCTTAGTGGCGCATGCCTGTAATCCCAGCTACTGGGGAGGGTGAGGCAGGAGAATCGTTTGAACCCAGGCGGCGGAGGTTGAAATGAGCTGAGATAGCGCCATTGCACTCCAGCCTGGGCAACAAGAGCGAAACTCAGTCTCAAAAAATAAAAAAATAAAAAAAAAAATTGGCCAAACGCAGTGGCTCATGCCTGTAATCCCAACGCATTGGGAGGCCAAGGTGGGTGGATCACAAGGTCAGGAGTTCGAGACCAGCCTGACCAACACGGTGAAACCCCGTCTCTACTAAAAATATAAAAATTAGCTAGGCGTCGTGGTGCATGCCTGTGATCCCAGCTATGCGGGAGGCTGAGGCAGGAGAATCGCTTGAACCTGGGAAGCGGAGGTTGCAAGCTGAGATTGTGCCACTGCCCTCCAGCCTGGGCAACAGAGCTGGACTCCGTCTCAAAAAATAAATAAATAATAAAAATAAAATAAAGACACAGAGTCTCGCTCTCATGCACAGGCTGGAGTGCAGTGCCACAATCAAAGCTCACTGAAGCCTCAAACTCCTGAGCTCAAGGGATCCTCCAACCTCAGCCTCCCAAGTAGTTGGGACTACAGGTGCACACCACCATGACTGCTTAATTAAAAAAAAAAAATTCTTTTTTTAAGACAGGCTTTCCTATGTTGCCCCAGCTTGTCTTGAACTCCTGGTCTGAAGGGTTATTCTCCCATAGCTAGGATTACAGGCCGGAGCCATTGCACCAGGCTCTCTTTCATTACTTTTCAATTTTCATGTGATGCTCTAAGAGATCTCATCTTGGCTGAACAAAATCTTTTTCTTGATTTTCACTTGCTACTCTTCGATCTCCTCTGATAGTGATAACTTGGGAAACTGTGTAGGTTTTCATTTTTGGCGTCTGTTGTTTCAACAGCAGTGATCCCATTTTCTTTAATTTGCCTTTGGCTATGTGCCTGTTATAAAGAATGAAAAGAAAGACAATCAAATAGAATAAATTTTCTTAGTAACTGCTAGTGCTTGAGGAACATTGTTATTGATTCATTTATTCAAGTGTTTATTCATGTATTCATCACATTTCTTTGACCTACTGTGGCACAAAGGGAGAAGTCCTTTCTTCAGGTGTCGAGAAGAAAGACACAAAGGTCCTCCTAAGCCCATACAATTTCAGGTCTGCCTATGGCTCAAACCAAGGGCAGAATGAGTCAACTCCAGAGCATATCCATTGATCCTGAAGACAGATGAGCACCTTAGAGTCCATACATTTTGCAAGTTTAAACACAAGCAGTAAAACCACAATTTGTCTTCCAAAATAATTTAAAGCTGATGATTACTGGAGGTAGTAATAGATATTTATACAATAGCGAAAAATGAAATGTGATTCTTAGCTCAAAAGGAATATAGTTTTCTTAGTGAATACAATTTATTTCTGAGATCCCAAAAGCAGTTGTGTTTTTCTTGTATTTGGTTTAGCTTTGACAACACTGTTGTATTTAGATGAAGAAACAAGGAGATTAAACTAGAAGAATAAAGGTCCTAGATCCCCGTCCTGATTCTCTCCTCAGCCAACCATGATATTAGTAAAATCAAACTCAGTTCAGGATATCAGAAGTGCTGTGCCCTAAGCACACTTTTATGTTGCCATTCAAGAGTAGCCAAACTGGATTCAAGACAATCATTTCCTTGCTTTGGATATTTCCTGCTGTAAAATGAAAAAGTTGGAGATCATTTCCAAGATTGCTTTATCATTTCCAAATTATTTTTAGAAAAAAATGAGGATATGTATAAACACATAGCCAAATAAACAAAGCTCCTGCCCAAACAAACATTCATGAAACCATAACTGACCCTCATTAAACAAGTCTTCCAGTAGATATCTAGTAGGTTATATTTTCTATTGAAATAACTCTTCAGTGATGTACAATAAAATACATTCATCCAAAAGCTTTGCTTAGTCTTTCAATCATGGAAAAGCTTATTTCCTTACCTTCAATATGTTTATATAAGAGAACCTAAAGTAATATTTTATTCATTCAGTAAGTATTTACTGAGCACCTACTGTGTGCAAGAATCTGTTATAAGAATTGGATATAGCAGTGAACAAGGCAAGCAATGTCCTTAGTTGCATCCTAGTAAGGGACAATGTCTTGTGACATTTAAAATGACCTAAGGAACAACCCATCATACCACATTTTGTACATTTTTTGAAGTAAATGTCTATGTATCTATTACAGTAGAAATCCAAAGATTCCGGTTCCCATTGTGGTCAAACCTCTAGCTTAGAGCCAATGTTAAACTTTAAGAGGGATTCCATAGCCGTAAAAGACTAGAAGTCTTGTCAATTGCATTGGGGTTAAAATGATATTGTGTAGGCCAAGAAGAGAATTTATCCTAGTCTGCAAATGTGTTAACTAGTAATTAATAAAGATCCTAAGTTATATATCTATTTATTGTCTTTTTTACCAGAATCTGTTCCAGGTGGGAAGTGTGAACTGTGTCTGTGCGGACTGGAAGAGTGGCTCCCAAGCTGCATACACACAAGCCTCGCAGAACATCCAGATTGTGGAAGCAGAAGTGGCATATTTTGTTGATGTTCTTCAAGTAAGTATCCTCAGGTTGTACAAAAACCCATACACATTGCTCTCTGAATTTTCTTTCAAAAAAAAATCCATAGGTATGATTAATGACAAAGCCATTTTCAGCAATTTCTCTTTCCCCTTATTTGAAAGAAAACTGCAGGCTGGGCGCGGTGGCTCACACCTGTAATCCCAGCACTTTGGGACGCCAAGACGGGAGGATCACGAGGTCAGGAGATCAAGACCGTCCTGGCTAACACAGTGAAACCCCGTCTCTACTAAATACACAAAAAATTAGCCGGCGCCGTGGCGGACGCCTGTAGTCCCAGCTACTCAGGAGGCTGAGGCAGGAGAATGGTGTGAACCCTGGAGGCAGAGCTTGCAGTGAGCCGAGATCCCGTCATGAGAGACTCCGTCTGAGAAAAAAAAAAAAGAAAACAGCAAAAAAAATCTAGCTTTGGGCATCATCAATAAGCTTTGTTGGGTCAATAAACTAGTGCTGCTTGTTTGTTTGTTTTGATTCAAGCAACTAGGTAGGTTATTTCTAATAAATTCCATGAGTGTTTGTTTTAATTTTACCAGTTATAACCAAGTTGACATGACAATGTCAACCTCAAAATTAAACTAGCTTTTTGTTTTTGTGTCTTGAAGAGAAGCACAATGATAATAAACTGATAACCAAAAATACAGAAAATGTTATATTTGAATGTGCTTAAGTAATTGCCTTCATTATTAGTTTCAAATCCAAATACTTGCTTCATCATCTCTGGGTAACAACTCCCCATGTCCATCAGGGGTTCACTCTACATAGTAAAATCTCAAAGTAGAGCTCCTTCCACCAGTTCTGAAATTCAATTAATTTCCCTTTCTCATTATAACTGTGAAAGAGAAACATGAAAATCATTTACTTTGCATAGGAATTACCGAAGGGGGCCACAACACCTGGCCAATGAGGGTTAGGCTCATTAGCAATGCTATTGATGCAGAATATAATTAATTATACAAATTTTGAGCCTTTGGGTTTAATTCTATTTGTTCCATTAGGTTGGTGCAAAAATAATTGCAGTTTTCATCATTACTTTTAAGGCCAAAACTGCAATTACTTTTGCACCGACCTAATATTCTTTATGGTATGACACTTGTTCTTTGTATATCCCTGTCAATGGGAAGTAGACATAAATGAATAAAATCTCTGGATGTCCTTAATGCACGTTTGAGTCACACATAGTATTAAAGAGAGTGCTATAGACAAAAGATGAATATCATTAAAAAAATACAAGGACTCTAAGGGTTCTGATTTCTGATCATGTGACCCAATTCAGAAAATGTAAAAAGGTAAAATACTTATTGAATGAATATTTATACTTGCATACCTATACTTTTGATCATAGATAAGTATTTTAATAGAGATAAAGCATTTAAGGACTTAAGAAATATGGGTTTGTAGATGAAAATGTCTAAAGTCTACCTTAGTCACCATCACATATATATGTATCAGGTAAATGTTCAAACTTGCTCTGGAAATAATTCTGAACCAAAAAATTTAGTCTATGTAAATCTAAACTATGTCTATAGGATGCTAATGAACATGGGAAATTTTTCTTGAATGGTGACCTTTAAACCATATAATTATGGACATGTGGATATTTCTGTGCAATCTTATAGTTACCAAGATTTTTTTTTCATCTTGTTTAGTATTTTCTAGATATCTAGGTTGGATTCTTATATCTAATCTTGAAAATTATATATCTATTGCTTGGATTTTTATAAAAGACTATTCTTTTCACTATAAATTTATTGAAATAAAAATTTTAATGTATACCACTTAGAAGTAACATTTCAGGTAATGAAGATGCCCAGTGAAGTAAAAATTACCAAGGATATATATTTTAGTGACTACAAGAGAGGATTTGAATCCTGGTTTGGTTTTACCATTAAATAGCTGAATGACTTTGGGTAAAATACTTCAATTCTCTAAGGCAGGTTTTTCATTTGTAAATGTAAATATTAATGATACACTCAACATTCTTGGTGGGAGGCCTTAAAGAGATGATATATATTGAATGCTTAGGTTAAAGCCAAAAGTATAATAATTAGCATTCAACAAATGCTATGAGGGTGCATAAATGCTATGAGGGTGCACATTTTATTTCCACTATAGCTTGCAAATACAGTAAGTATGGAAACTACCTCTCACCTTTCTTTGGTTTAACTCTATTTTTATATTTTTCAACTTCTGTAGTCTAGAAACCTTGTGAAAGGAAGTTCTGTTCACCCTCACATTGTGTTAGGAGGCTGCTGACATGTGATCACTAAATCTTACTGCTAACAAAATTTAATGGTGGAGCAACACATTCTTGTCTTTTGTTATAAATTTCCTCTCAATGAAACTTTTCAATATGGTCTCAAGAACCATACATGACTGTTGAATTTTGCTGCCTTTTGAACTTTGGAATACTGTTTACATGAGACTGTCATCATTTTCATTATTAATATTAGTGATGTCATTCTGATCAGGTAAGCAGACTTCCAGGTCCAAAATGACCCCTTCTGGGTAGGTCCATGAGGAAAGTACCAACCATTGCCACTTTTCCCATCATCTTTAGTTCTGTGTTTGTTCCACATCAGACATCTCAGGAGAGAGGCCACACGAGGAGATGAGAACTGGACGGAATTGATAATTCCTAACTCATCCCCCTATCCCTGTGAAAGCAACTAACGTAGGTTATTTCTAATAAATTCCATGAGTGTTTGTTTTAATGTTACCAGTTATAACCAAGATGGCATGACAATGTCAACCTCAAAATTAAACCAGACCTCTCATCTCTCTGCAGCCTCTTTGATCTTTTTTAAAGCACAAATTGATCATCCTCCCAATGGTCCCCAGGAAAAATCCATATTCCTTAATGAGCTTTGTGAGGTCCTTTATGTTCTAGTTGTCACCTTGGACTCCAGGCCTCATCTCTCACCATGCTCCTTCTGGAACTCTACATTTTGGCCTTGTTCCCCAAAAGGGCCTTGATCTCTGATGCGGCTGGATGTTGCCATGAATGGTTCCTCTTCCCGGGATGTTCTTTTCCTTATCTTCCTGTCTGTTCAACTCCTACTGATTCTTAAATATCTGAGTAGACAGCACTTCTTCCAGGAAATCTTTCCTCACCTCCATTACCCATACCCCCTAAGACTTGATAAGGGGCTTCCCGGCAATAATCCTACTGCACCCAGAAATGTTCCCACCTCAACCCTTGACTCTCCATATCATAATTGCTGGTTCATTTCTATGTATATCCCATTTCTAAACTCCTTAAGGGGTTTACCTATTGCCTACATGCCTGGCATGTAGTAGAAGAGCACATAAATATTTTTTGAATGACTTTCCCAGTAATGGAAACAATGAATGGATCCACTAGGGTCAAGTATTTAAAATTAGGCCATGTCCAAACAATAACACCCTAAGAAAGAAAAGTATATTTGTGTTAGGTCTTAAAAAGTGGATAGAGAGGGCCAGGCGTGGTGGCTCATGCCTGTAATCAAGACACCAGTTTGTTAGAGCTCTGCGAATTCTTACCCAATCCATTGGGATAATCCTAGAGTTATCAGCCTATACTTGTCAGAGTACTTTCCATGAATCTCCATAAAGCTGAAGCTCGGTAAGGTTACAGTTGCTTGCAAAAAGCTTTCAGAAAACAATTCACTGGCCAGGCGCAGTGGCTCACTTTGGGAGGCCAAGGCAGGCGGATCACTTGAGGCCAGGAGTTCAAGACCACCCTGGCCAACGTGATGAAACCCTGTCTCTACTAAAAATACAAAAACTAGCTGGGCATGGTGGCATGCACTTGTAGTCTCAGCTACTCAGGAGGCTGAGGCAGGGGAACCGCTTGAACCCGAAAGGCGGAGGCTGCAGTGAACTGAGGTCGTGCCACTGCCCTCCAGCCTGGGCGACAGAGCAAGTCTCAAAAAAAAAAAAAAAAGAAAGAAAAAAGAAAAAGAAAAGAAAAAAAGGAAACAATTAACTATTTAATGATCTGTGCGTGAATAACAGGACTTAAAATGACCATCGTTAAAAGATGAGAATTCATTATAATAGTGACACAATTCACAAGGAAATGTGGTTGTTTTGTAGCATATAACAGTTTAACATAATAACCAAAATTACAGCTGCTAACACATTAGATTTCTAAGAATTTATTAGTTTGTGGAACATGAAACAACATATTTATACAAGTATAACTAAAAGAAGGTTAAATATAATTTCTTATTTACAATGTTTCCCATATAATTTAATGTATTTAATAAGCCTAATTGGTTTAATATGTCTCTTCCTTTGAGAAGCTCCAGGGACCCTCTAGTATGTCCCAAAGTCATTCTGAGATCAAAAGACTTAAATTAGAATTTCAGAAGTTTGTAAGAAATGTCAAAAGACCTAAAACATTTTCTTAAATAGGATCTTGGTCATTATGAAACAACTAAAGGTAAGTACAGAAAAGTTACACAGTTTTTAAAAGCTTAGCTCTTTTAATATTAAGAAGACAGTTTGTTATGGCTTCTGGGCAGTATTCAGAGAAGAGAATTGTAGGAGACAAGACTAGGATGGTCCTTGAGTAAGCATTCATGTCTTCCACAAACATGTGCTGAGCACCTACCATATGTGAGGCACTCCGCTAGGCATTGGAGACACAGAAGTGAGCAAAAAAAAGACCCAGTTCCTGGTCTCCGAAGTCCATGGCAGCTGGATGATGAGGACTTCCTCATGGACAAGCAGAGGCCCCCAAAAGTGGCTTCAGCCAAGTTTTGGGTGTAAATCAACCGTTTTGATACTTGTATGGAGAGCAAGTTCTGATTATTTCCCTATCTAATCGTCATTCAAGTTTGCAGAACTTCACAGCACCCAGATTCTGAAGGCTGGGAGTTGTTCTGGAAATGCCAAGGACCCCTACAGAGGAGCGCAGACTTTTGGACCTAATGCACTCCAACTGGCACCAGGGTTTGTCTGGCCTCGGTGAGATCTACCAGCGGTCATCAAGGACTTTGAGAACTCTAGGTGAAACTCAGAAGCTGAGTTCACTTCCCACAGACAGGTATCTCTAATAAAAGAAAAAGAAATCAATAGCTGACTAATGATGAGGCAAGTTCTTGTACCCTACTTCCATTACAACACACAGAGGGAGAGTCTGCCAGTTCATGGGATATTTAGAAACATAGTTCAATGTAATACAGTCTGATTCTAGGCTCTGGAAGAGATTTAAAAACCAGCTTTCTCAAAACAAACATTTCTCTAAAATTAAGGGACTCCGAAAACCCACCTTGAACCCAACTCTATCATTCCCCCAGAATTAAAATTGAAGGAGCAAACAAGGACAGAGCTGATTGCCTGAAGGAAAGCAGATATTTGGGCTTCATCTACACATGTATGTATAACAGATAATGGCTGGTGACTTCATTCTTTACTTTTGTGACCTTCAATGAGTCATACGTCTTGAAGACCTGAGAGCTGTCTGGTGGAAATGAAGTCATGGTTTCAAAAAGAGATCCACAGATTTGTATGCCTATGAATCCTTACTTGTGACCCTGAAACTGGATGTAAGTTCAATCAAAATATTCCAGTTGTTGGCCAGACGCAGTGGCTCACGCCTGTAATCCCAGCACTTTAGGAGGCCGAGGCGGGCGGATCACTAGGTCAGGAGATCGAGACCATCCTGGCTAACACGGTGAAACCCCGTCTCTACTAAAAATACAAAAAAATAGCTGGGCGTGGTGGCGGGCACCTGTAGTCCCAGCTACCTGGGAGGCTGAGACAGGAGAATGGCATAAACCCAGGAGGTGGAGCTTGCAGTGAGCCGAGATCGCGCCACTGCACTCCAGCCTGGGTGACAGAGCAAGACTCCATCTCAAAAAAAAAAAAAAAAAAAAAAAGAAAAGAAAAGAAAAAAAGAAATTCCAGTTGTTATTGTTGTTTGAAAGACTCACCCAGAAATCTTTCCATCTGGTGTGGAATGAATAAATTGTCTGACAGCCTGTGAAGGAGAAGCAGCTTGAACCTCAGCCTTGCTAGAGGCTTAGTCTAATTAAATCCCCTAGAGCATTTAAACAGGAGCCAGTGCATTGGAGCACAGTGTATATTGACTGATGCACGGAGTTTCCTCATTGTCTTAGGAAAGGGTATGCTCGAACCTGGTGCTGTGTGCTAAAGAATAGTAACAGTGAGTGCAACAGGTGCTGCTGTCTCTGAATTCCAGGCCTGGCTTGGGTTCCTGTATTGGTTAGCTACTGCTGCATAACAAACAATCACCAATTCAGTGGCTTAAAGCACTGAATTAAAGCATTTATCCATGCTCAAAAATCTGAGTTTGCTGGGTGGTTCTTCTGGTCTTGGCTGGATTTACTCATGCCTCTGTGGTTACAGTGGGTTGAGTAGGCAGTGCCACTAATCTTGGCTGGGTCCTTTACATACTTGGGGGACAGCTGGCTTTGAGTTGTTCAAAGATGTTGCTGTTACCACACTTAATGACCAAATCAAGTCATACCATGTCTAGCTCAGATTCAAGAGGTGGAGAAATAAACTCCACTTCTTGATGGAAGGAGCTGCAAGATCACATTGCAAAGGGTGTGTGTACAGGAGGAAGGGATGAAGAACTCTGACCACCTTCCCAGTCCATCACCAAGTCTAGCCTGTTTCTCCATCCTGGGGATGCCTGGAAGTAGGGAGGAAACAGGTCAAGGGCCAAGAGGGTTTTCACATTTTCTCTTTTGACTCATTCTGTGTATCCCTCTTGTTCTACATGGTTGACATCCAGTGAAGCTTGCTGATTACTAGCTCAACACAACTGAATATTCAACAACTCTGTACAGCCTGAATTCAAATCTTACCTCATCACTCGTTAGTCGTGTGACTTTTTAGGCAATTTACTTATCTCTCTGTGCCTCAGTTCCCACATTTATAAAGAGAGGCTTATGGGATTGTTTTAAAACTTATTAGGTAATACACGTAAGGTGCTTGGAATTCTGACTGTACTTGGTAAGGCTTCGTAACAGTTGGCAGCTATTCTTTATGATTCCAGGAGTCCTTTCCATTTTCTTAAGAGGAAGGCCCTTAGGCCTGCACCCTTGTGTTTTGGTTATTTAAGATTGAGAACTTTGACACCGAGGCATATTTAACTTGGCAAGGGGAGGCACTCATGGTGTTTGCTTTGTGAAGGCTTATCTGCCTTGCTGTGTGAACTGGCTGGGCTGTTCACAGATGCAGAGGTCTCTGGTTATATCATGATGGCTTTACAGGGTCCAAGAATTATCTGCAGGTGTGCAACCTTCAGAGGACCTGGGGAAACTCAACAGACATGACATGGGCCTCTGGGGGCTCCTGAACCCAACTATTGAGATTACAGTGGCATAATGCAATCATTGCTATTGTTTTAAAGTGTTGTCTTTTGGATTGGTTCATTGCATAGCAATATATAACTGGAATAGGCAGTTAATGGGAGGATTGTGGTCAGAAGCTACTGTGAGGGCTGTTGAATTTTTCTCCAAAGCTCAGATGCCCAGTATTCCTAGTCTTCGAAAGAGAGAGAGGAAGATTGAGAGAGAGAGAGAGAGAGAGAGAGAGAGAAGAAGTTTTCTTAATCAGAGATTTCTCTTTACTTTCAACTAATTGCAGGTATTTTCATCTATTCTAAATGAGAAATACTATCCTCTATCATTAGGGTTTGCTGCTGTGTCCCTATTGAGACTTGTAAACTATTTGGTGATGAAATAGAAAACTGAAAAGTGAGGGCCCATTCAGCTCACAAGTACATGCATAGTTACATAGGTACAAGGTTGGTGACTTCACTCCCTGCTTTAACCAAGCATTCTGTCATATTTCCAGACTTGTGGGAAGACTTGACAGCTATTATTAATCTTGTTTTGTGTATTTGGGCAGATTAAAGTATTAAGTGCGCACAGCATGGGCTATAATCACCTGCTGTTTTCTTGAAGTAGTGTCCAAATGATAAGGCTGGAATATATATTTTTAGAAAGGGCTGGACACTCGATCCGGTGGGAGGGAACATCTGGAACATTAGACAGGGTAAGCCACCTTTGCAACTCCTTTCCCCCTGCTGTGACGTACAGGTGAGGTAAACAGTACTGAAGTCCAGGGCGTCGGTGCTCACTGCTCTGGCAATGCCCGGTGAGACTGAATTATGTTTAAATTTATTGTAGATGCTGATCTTCTGGACAATCACACTTTTCCTGCTGGGAGCAGCCAAAGGTAAGAAACACCACTCCTGCCCCGTAGGAAGGGCTTAAACTTAAGCTCTCAGCCCTGGCCAGAGAAAGCTTTAACTGTGGCAGGGCTCCCAGCAGCTCCAGGGTACCAGAGAGAAGATGTGGGCTGACACTCTGCCTGGGAGAGTAGGCTGGGCAGTTTAAGGGAGACCTGTTTCTGGGGATCCCCCCAGTGGCCTACCTTCATGCTCGGGGTGCCCAAGGCCAGACATTTCTAGGTAAAGCATGAAACATCTGCCTGAGTTAACATATTGACTTATCAATGCCCATGATCACATTGGTCAAATAAATGTATCAGAAGAGCTAGGAATGGGACTTAGAACTTTCCAGTTTTGAGGGTAGTTCTAAACAAAGGCTCCAGTGGTGTCCCTGTGGGATTCAATGGGACTGATACTACTACCGGCCAGTAGTAGGTGGGCACTGGGGTCAAGAAGAGAGTGGGAGGGGTTGCAGTAGGTTCATCCATTGTCTTCAGACTGTCCCTGAATAGAAGAGTGACCAGGCCCGAACAGCAGTGACACCCCAGAGCACACCTTGAGAGCAAATCCTTGAGCAGATTCAACCTTTCTCTGTAGGAAAAGAAGTTTGCTATGAGGACCTCGGGTGCTTTTCTGACACTGAGCCCTGGGGCGGGACAGCAATCAGGCCCCTGAAAATTCTCCCCTGGAGCCCTGAGAAGATCGGCACCCGCTTCCTGCTGTACACCAATGAAAACCCAAACAACTTTCAAGTGAGACCTCTGTCATTTAAATGTCACTGTAACTGGCACGGGGCTATGCCCACCCTGCAGACCATGAATACCTTATCTCTGTGCCCTCTTCCTCCACCATGCCCCACCCCATCCCTCAAGCTGCCCCCCAGACCTAGCTAGACCTAGACAGAGCAGGTCTTTAGTAATGTTGGCTTGAATGAATGAATGGTTCACATTTGCCAGAACCTCTAGCTACTGTGTGATTCTGGTCTGGGGCAAACAGCTTACTGTCTAACAAAAACCACAGGGAAGGTAAAACCTCAAACCACAATCCAGGCCTAGTGGAAGCAGTGATTACTCACCTGGAGAGATGGGGCAAGAAAAGGGAGATCAGGGTGGGCTTCATGGAAGAAGTGGCTTTTTGCTAAGCTTTGAAAAGTAGAGGCATTGGCGCAGGCGGAGATGAGGAAGGAAAAAGGCCTGTGAGGCTGGGCTGCGAAAACATGAAGCACTTCTGCGTCTGTCACAGATTCTCCTCCTCTCTGATCCATCAACAATTGAGGCATCAAATTTTCAAATGGACAGAAAGACCCGGTTCATCATCCATGGCTTCATAGACAAAGGAGATGAGAGCTGGGTGACAGACATGTGCAAGGTAGGAGCCAGCTCTGATCCCTGTGGCCAGCTGAGGCCAACACTTCTGCTAACATCTCTGCATCACTTTATGCACTCAAGAAATCTTTACATATTAGGTAACTTTATGCAATTAAAATGCTTCTCTTCACAAAAATTAAAATGCCTTTCCATGTTTCCGCACTACATCTGCACACTGAAGCAACCACATTTGCTGTTAGAAAAGTACTCCTACTACCTAATTTCTGGTTAAACCAAGGCCTGATGTTTTCTGCTTCCATTTGTAGTGAGGGTACTTTGTATCCTATAAGCGAGGGACTATAGGGGTTTCTTTGTTCAAATTTTTCCCACATCCCTGAGAGGCTGACATGTGTTGCTGTGACCACTTAATTGATCCCAGCACTTTGGGAGGCCAAGGTGGATGGATCACCTGAGGTCAGGAGTTCGAGACCAGCCTGGCGAACATGGTGAAACCCTATCTCTACTAATGATACAAAAATCAGCCTGTTGTGGTGGCAGGCTCTTGTAGTCCCAGCTACTTGGGAGGCTGAGGCAGGAAAATTGCTTGAACCCAGGAGGCAAAGGTTGCAATGAGCCAATATTGTGCCACTACACTCCAGCCTGGGCAACAGAGTGAGACTCCATCTCAAAAAAAAAAAAAAAAGAAAACTAAGATTAAGTTACTACAATGACAGAATAGAAAGTGTCACCTACATGTAATATAGGTCAGAAGGAGAGCAACAGAAGAATACACACATGTGCACACACACACATACATACATGGACATGTGTGCAACTTGTGCATACACACACAAACACACACACATGTGCGTGCAATATACCACAATATACCATCATCCTTTCTATTTATGTGGAGACTAGTTCAATCGATTTTTCTGTCACCTAAGAATTTACCTACCCCAGGAGCCTGCCTTCCACACATACATTAATAACACCAACCAGTAATGTCAAAAGGAAAAATTACAAACCCAGAAAATTAAAGTCATTCTGCACTTGCCCTTGGTTTAACAGGCATTTCACTCTTGGCACCTTTCCTGTCCTATCATTAATAAGCATCTTATTGATACAGTTTATACTCCAAATTCTCCAGGCTTGTGAAAGTTTCCTCAGGATTGCTTGAAAATGAAAGTCCTGGCCAGGTGCGCAGTGGCTCATGCCTGTAATCCCAGCACTTTGAGAGGCCGAGGCGGGTGGATCACCCGAGGTCAGGAGTTCAAGACCAGCGTAGCCAACATGGTGAAACCCTGTCTCTACTAAAAGTACAAAAATTAGCCAGGTGTGGTCGCAGGCGCCTGTAGTCCTAGCTACTCAGGAGGCTGAGGCAGGAGAATTGCTTAAATTCGGAGGCAGAGGTTGCAGTGAGCTGAGATCGCGCCACTGCACTCCAGCCTGGGCGACAGAATGAGGCTGTCTCAAAAAAAAAAAAAAAAAAAGAAAGAAAAAAAGAAAAGAAAAGAAAAGTCCTGAGGAGAAAACTCCCACTATCTCTGTGCATGTGATCACACATATTAGTATACTATATGTGGAATGATTCCAAGTGCATTTTAAATTTATAGTACCATTTTAAATTCAAGCTGGTAATATGTACTGCCTGGCAGAACTCCTAAAGATATATCAGCTCCTTTGACATCCAGGAAGACATTTTCCTTCCAGAATTCTTCAATCTCTTTTAAATCAGTACAGTTCTATTTTTCAAATATCTACATGTGTCTACTCCATGAAGTACTGTGTCATCGTGACTATAAAAATAGTGAAACTTCTCTCTCACTTTCCAGCAGCCTGGGGCATCGCCAAGAGCCTGAAAGGACCCCTTACAGTCAAATCCACAAGGTCATTTAGACACTGGCCACCGGAGATTGCACCTAAGACTTTTCCTTTTCAAAACAGGACTCTTTTCATGATGCAATTGTTTTTCCCTTACTAACCAACCTTACTGAATTTGGTTGAAGGAAACCAGAGAGTAGCCAGCTTCCAATTAATCTGCAAGCTGGAGGGGGAATCAGTTTGCCTTTCTCATAGCATTCACCCTGAAGGATAACTCCTAATTACCAACAGGATTCCCTAACAGAGTCTAGTTTATCTCATGCCCTAGCTAGGAGAAGAGAGAAGTGGCCATTTCTGAGCCCTGGCTGGATAAGGTTTCCCCTGCTCCCATTATCTCCCCAACCCCACTATCTCCCCAACACCAGAAACTGTTCGAGGTGGAGGAGGTGAACTGCATCTGCGTGGACTGGAAGAAGGGCTCCCAAGCCACCTACACACAGGCTGCCAACAACGTGCGAGTGGTGGGCGCCCAGGTGGCCCAGATGCTCGACATCCTCTTGGTGAGTCAGCTGGCTGGCCTATGTGAGGAGGGAAGCAGTGCCTGCTGGTCTCTGTTTGGTAGAGATGCAGCTGAGAGTTATGGATTAAAGAAGGACAAAGAATTGATATCCAGACCTTACTTCTAAAACTCTGAAATTTGCCTTCATAATGACACGCCAGTGGAAGCAAAAATAAGAATCGCTAACACTTAGAAAGTGGTTTTTTAAAAATCATCTTCAATTTACAGATAAAGAAACTGAGGCCCAGAAAGTTTAACTAGTTTGCTCCCAAAGTCATAAAGCAAATGAATAGAAGACCTGCCTTTTGATCCAGACCATCTAGCTTCAGAATTCACCCACAACACCAGGTGGGCTCTGTTTCGCGTGAAACACAGCATGGCCAGAGAGAGCCACAGAGAGCCAACGGACAGTACGTGCAATTGGCATGTACCAGCTCTACTGGCCTGGTGGTATGGGTCCTATTGATGTTGGGGAATTCCTTCTGCCACAATCATTTCACTTATTTCTTCCTATACTGTTTCATTATAGCTAACTCCTTCAGTCTTTAATTCTTTAAGTTGCTAATCCTTTGTGACTATTTTCTATACCAGGTAATGACTACAGCCATTTCTGTCTTATAGTTAAAGGGTCTACAAAAGAATCAACTTCTGCACTCCTGCAGAAATCAAAACCCATGGTATTTGTGCAAGAAGTATGATAGACCAATAAATGAAGTGCCTTTGGGTGAACGTCTCTGAGATCAACATGTGCAAATACCTCATAGCTCTATTTGATTTGCTTGTTCACCAGTACTTTTGGAGCAGAATGTCAGGAGTATGTGAGGAAGTAAAGAAGACACATGAGATCCCAGACCATCAAGGAGCTTGCAGTGAAAACTTGCAATGCCAGTAGAGTGCGATCTATTAGTGGGTTCTGATGGGGAGAGTAGGAGCTTTACAGGAACACATAGAAGGCAGCTAATCCACACTGATGGGGTGGGGAAAGGGCTTAAGGAGGTCTCCCAAGGAAGAGACGTCTAAATTGACAGCTGAAGGCTAGTCTGTTGATGTTAGCTGGCAAGTGCTTGGGGGATAGACAACAACAAGAAGAGAAGAACAAACCAGGCCCAGAGGTGAGAGGCTATGATGTATTCGAGGGTCTGAAAGTTCAACAAAGGGTTTGGCTGAAGAGTCTAGAAAAATAGATGATGAGTTAGGAAAGCTCGGAGGCCTTCAGAATGAGTTTGGGCTTGATCCTGAAGGCAATGAGAGGCATGGAAGGTTTTCAGCAGAGGAGTAATATCCATTAGGCTGGCATTTTAGAAAAACCACAGCAAAAAATGTCCTGAAAATACAATCTTCCCTCTCCAGACAGAGTATAGCTACCCCCCTTCCAAAGTTCACCTCATTGGCCACAGCCTGGGAGCCCACGTGGCTGGAGAGGCAGGAAGCAAGACTCCAGGCCTGAGCAGGATTACAGGTAAGGCCCCAGAGGCAGGGCCCCAGTTTTGTCCCCAGAAACCCCAGAATGAGGTCTCAAGAATGCAGCCCAGTTCAGAGCTCCCCTGAAGGAGACTGTCCCCCTTGGCTGTGATAGAGCTGCTTGGAGCCTGCACAGAACATTTTAGGGAGCCCCCAAGAAGCTCATGCGCCACCTTCACGGCAAGGGAAGGGTGATTTTGTTCCTCTTTGCTTCTTCCACCTCTGTCCTAGCCCCTCCTTTCTAAGTCCTGGTTTTCTGGTGGTGTTCGCCTCTCAACAGGACTGGGCACCCAGGAAAATGCAGAGTGAGACTAGTATGAACATGAGCAAAACATAATCAAGGAGGGTCTATATTGCCAATTCTTTCTCCCTTCTCTTTGAAATCAAGGGCAGAATAGAACCTAAAAATTGTTTCCCACTGCTTCTACTAGTAGAAGAAACCCAGTCGCCATTATGGCCAAAAGCATTCTTTTAACCCAATCAAAGCATTTGAATTATAACAGCAACAGCAAGATATATCTACATAATATGATGGTGATAATAATAATAATAATGCTATTATAATTATTATGATAAGCATAGATTAAGTGCCTGCTTATCCCAAATACTGCACAAAATGCTTTATATTTTCTTATATAATTCTCAGAACTGAAGAAAAAGGCTCAGGGATGCAAATAACTTGCCCAAAGCCACACAACTCATCAGTGGGAGAACTGAGATCCAGACCTGGTTTTGCCGATGTTTGGCTTAAGCAACTCTTTATAAGAAATCTCTCTTTTATTTTCAGCTGGCAACTACATTCACGTTCCTATTTTATCAGCTGCTGTAATGAAGCCTTCAAAAACTATTAACAAATCCAAGATCCCTACTAAGAAGGAAATTTGTCAAAAACAATAATTATTAATATCTTACTTATACACCCATGACTATACACCAGGCATTGTGCTAAGTG
The DNA here is from genome assembly GCF_000001405.40 of Homo sapiens. Lineage (NCBI taxonomy): Eukaryota > Metazoa > Chordata > Mammalia > Primates > Hominidae > Homo > Homo sapiens. The sequence continues at coordinate 116,597,277 of NC_000010.11, forward strand.
CTACCTATTAACTCATTTAATCTATAACAACCATATCAAATAGATGCCATTATCACCCCATTTTGTAAAATGAAGAACCTGAAGCACAAAAAGGTAGAGTGACATGCTCAAGGTCATGCATCTTGCCCCAAAAGCAGCTGAGTAGGAATTTGGAGCCAGGCAACCTAGACCCAGAACCTGTGTTCTTAACTATGATACCACATTGCTTCACCCCTTTCTTTCTACAAGCTTGGGGAGAGAAAGGATGATGAAGAAGAAAGATACACAAGTAAATGGGAGACTCTGGTGTGGAAAAAATCCTTGCTTAAACAAAATCTAAATTTCTTTGCTCATTTGTCCTCCTCCATCCACGCCACTGGGAACCCTTTTGCAATGAGCCACATTCAGACTCTATGTCCTCATATTTAGCACCCAAGGCCATGGCACTGCATCACTCTGGTGCATGGTACCCATTGAGTTGGGCAGTGCATAGCCCGGGCAGCTGTACACCTTGGTGCTGCTGACATCTACAGTCAGGTCTATTGTTCTGCAGTGCTGATCATCTCTTTTAGGGTTGGATCCTGTAGAAGCAAGTTTCGAGAGTACTCCTGAAGAGGTGCGACTTGATCCCTCTGATGCTGACTTTGTTGATGTGATTCACACGGATGCAGCTCCCCTGATCCCATTCTTGGGTGAGACCTATGATGCTCCAGCTGTGAGCACGCACAACTGTGTTTTAACCATGAAAGTCCTGCATGACAAAAAGCTCATTGTTTTTCTAAGCATTTCAGGTTTTGGAACGAACCAACAGATGGGTCATCTTGACTTCTTCCCCAATGGAGGAGAGAGCATGCCGGGATGCAAGAAGAATGCCCTGTCTCAGATCGTGGATCTAGATGGCATCTGGGCGGGTAAAGTCATGGTGGGGTGAGGGGAGCAGGGCGGGTACTTTCCTGGAGTGACCAATACCTTTCTGCAGCAAATCTTAAGAATAAAAATGAAACTGTCTTTAAAAATATACAATTCCCTCTTCTGGGGATTATTTCAGAAAAAATGTAGCTACATAGTATTTGTTATATCTCAGCTTTACTGCTTTTGTGCTTCCTTAAAACATTGCTGTGGATGTCCTGGCATGTACAAGCAACAAAGAATTATAAAACTGTCACTTAAAGCTGTGACTCCAGCAATCAGTTGGTAGTTACCTAATACAGAAAGGAAATACCATAAGAGCAAACATCCTGACTGTAACTAAGAGACTTTTGCTACAAATTCTCTCTTGGGAGTCAGTGATAAGGTTCAAAATGATGTAATCAGCTCCCTTTCAGTAGCTAGAATGAGAATATTCCCAGTGGTTTCCACAGCAAGCCTATTTGCACAATGAGAGCCATTGCTCACCCATGTTGAGTAGGAATGAGGAGCAATCACAGTTAAGGAAGGTGAGATGGGAGACTGCTATTGGATGTGGTTATTCTTTATTGTTGATCTAGCACACTTGGGAAGAAAGGGCATCCTGCAGACACAGCTCTGACTCTGTATCTAATGAGGCCAAAAGGACAATGGACAGGTGAAGTTTTCATCCAGACTTGTCATGTGGCACCACACGGAGAAAACCCTTAGTAGTCTGACCAAATGTAATGAGTAAAGATTTTTACTGAATTTCATCAAAATGGCTTGGCATATATGGATGCCATCAAAGCAAATATTAAGAATGAGGACAGGCCAGCTGTGGTGGCTCACGCCTATAATCCCAGCACTTTGGGAGGCCGAGGCGGGCAAATCACTTGAGGTCAGGAGTTTGAGACCAGCTTGGCCAACATGGTAAAACCCCGTCTCTACTAAAAATACAAAAAGTAGCCAGTCGTGGTGGTGCGTGGCTGCAATTCCAGCTGCTCGAGAGGCTGAGTCAGGAGAATCGCTTGAACCCAGGAGGCAAAGGTTGCAGTGAGCCGAGACCATGCCATTGCACCACAGCCTGGGCAACAAGAGCGAAACTCCATCTCGAAAATAAAATAAAATAAAATAAAATAAAATAAAATAAAATAAAAAATAAAGAATGAGGACATATGCAGTTTGTCTTTCACAGCCTCATGAGGGTTTGCGTGCATAGGGCAGTCAAAACTCTTCATCAGTAATGGCCCAGCAAGCTCAGGCCAGGTCTAGAAGGTATAATGTAACATTTGTCACTTGGCAGGAGTTGCAGGGAGCCCAGAAAGGTTGCAAGTAAAATCAAGACACTATGAGAGTGAAGCTCATACAAAACCACCTAAAGTTATCCAGCCCTTGTTTTTATTTGTATAACTGCCGCATGGAAATGTCCTCGCATTGGCTTGGTCATGTCACATCTGGTCATGTCTTTGAGGACCTCCAGCATGGTGCCTGGGACATGAGATGGCACTAAGGTTAGAGGGATGGGCCGAAGACAAGATGGGCATGGGTTTAATTACCAGCTTTCCCACCTATTAGCTAAGCTGTAAATCTGAGGCTACACTCTGTAGTCCTTTCTGTAACATAGGAATGAGATGATAATGCATAAATAAGGATGATATGGTACCCACCTCCTAGGAAGACTGAGGATTACATGGACAAGGCAGGTAAAGTGATCAGAATGTTGCCTTGTACACAGAAAGCACCCTCTATATGTTAATTGTCATTATGGTGGCTGAATTTTGGATTTATCTTAAGTTTCTGAAAATACGGTCCTACTTTGGAACCATCCCATTTGGAGAGAGAGGCAGAGAAGCTGTTACAGGCCCCCAACCACCTGTTCAGGTCTCCTTATTTGTTTTCCCAGGAACCCGGGACTTTGTGGCTTGCAATCACCTAAGAAGCTACAAGTATTACTTGGAAAGCATCCTCAATCCCGATGGGTTTGCTGCATATCCCTGCACTTCCTACAAGTCCTTTGAGTCTGTAAGCTATTGTCCTGCCTCGAGCAACAAGCATCACCCCTCTGAGGGACTGCTGTCCTGCTGCGTTTGGGATTTGCAATGCCTTCTCACTACACGTTTTGCATTGACCCTCAGAGTTCATGGTCCTGTGGAGTGGAAGAGAAAAAAAAGTAAACAACTTTTGGCAGGAGATGGCTAAAATTTTAGATGACATGAGTTATGTGGCAGAGGAAAACTGGGAAATCAGAGAGAAAGAGCAGTCAATTCAATGATATAGAGGCTTCCTGCAGGAGGCAACCTCTGAATCTAGCTTAAAAATGATACAGTTTAGAAAACACAGGAATGCACATTTCTGGCAAGGGCAGAGCGAGAGTAGAAGAATGTATAGAGAATAATTCACACCAGAGAGAAAGCAAGGTGGATGCTGGAGTCCTATATGCCAGGCTGGCAACAAGGGGAGAGATGAAGAATGACAGGTTAGAGCCTGCCTATTCTGGCTCACGAAAGCCAGCATGAGTATCCCTTCCCAACTCCAAATTCAGAGACATCATGTTGGTAGCCTGAAACTGGCCACAGTCAGAGTATTTACACCACTGAAAATGGTAAGCACTGCAATCCAGGGTTTTTGTCCCAGAGCTTTTGCTGCTTATCATTCACCAGCTCCACTCAACAGAAGGTATAATTGATCTAACCTGGGTCCTGGGCATCAGTATTTTTTAAAGCTCCTCAAATAATTCTAATGTGTTGTGCCTAAAAGTTGGGAACCCTGATCCAGATGAAGGTAATTTAGAGATCATCTGCTCCAACCCCTTTGTTGTCACAAAGGAGAACGCTTAGGCTGTAGGAAAATTGAGTGTCTGCCCTCTCAGATGTATCGATCATACAAACACAAATTCTCCTTACAGTCCCATCTATCTCTTCTCATTAGGACAAGTGCTTCCCGTGTCCAGATCAAGGATGCCCACAGATGGGTCACTATGCTGATAAATTTGCTGGCAGGACAAGTGAAGAGCAGCAGAAATTCTTCTTGAACACAGGAGAGGCTAGCAATTTCGCTCGTAAGTTGCACTTTGACTACCTGCCCATGTAAAGAAAGTATATAGTTTCTGTTACAAATGAGGGGCTTGCTTTCAACCTGAAATATTTGTGGGTACATTTTAATTATCTTAGAAATGGACACATTTACCGAAACTATTGCAGTTACAAGTAAACTGAGGATTTAGACAGAGTGTGCATTTCTTCCGTTCTATTTCTGCGGCATGAAATGAGAGCAAGCAACTAGTATAATTAATGGGATGAGGCCAGTTTGCACATCCTTGTGACCAGCTACCCTGAATTTTTACCACTCCACAGTTCATTGTTTCTTTCCTTTTTAAGGCCGCATCAGACACACCTGTTCTCTTCATTCAGCAAAGACGTAATTGGTACCAGCTCTTTGCTGGGCTATGTCCCTTAAGAAGCCCAACTCCATTCTCTGCTTTCCCCTCTGTCTGTGCATCCCTGATGCCCAGGGGCTGCCTCGCTGGTGGAGTGCAGGCAGGAATCAGGGGGAAGGATGATTTCTCTCCAAAACCTGCTGAATGGACTAAGACACAGGGTAGAGACTGGGCATGTTTGGGCCACTTTGTACCAACCTGCCCCATGACACTTCCATAGGAGGTGACCCAGTAAAGACAGAGGTTACATATTCATATAAATGTATAACACATCTTACATAGTTTTTAAAGTCAGATTTATTGAGGTATAATTTATATTTGGCAAAATGCACGCTGTTTAGCATACACTTGTATGAGTTTGGACAAATGAATAGTTGTGTAAACACCTCCAAATCAAGATACAGAACACTTCTATCACCATATATATCACTCTGTAATTTTTTTTTTTTTTTTTGAGACGGAGTCTCGCTGTGTCGCCCAGGCTGGAGTGCAGAGGCGCAATCTTGGCTCACTACAACCTCCCCCTCCCGGGTTCACGCCATTCTCCTGCCTCAGCCTCCCGAGTAGCTGGGACTACAGGCGCCCGCCACCATGCCAGGCTAATTTTTTTTTTACATTTTTAGTAGAGACGGGGTTTCACCATGTTAGCCAGGATGGTCTCGATCTCCTGACCTTGTGATCCGCCTGCCTCGGCCTCCCAAAGTGCCGGGATTACAGGCGTGAGCCACCGCACCCGGCCCACTCTGTGTATTTTTTTTGTAAGAAGACATTGATTAATCAATCCTTCCACTGATGTTGTGATGCATGAAATACTTGCCAATATTTCAACAACAAATTAAACACTCAAAAACCAGGTATTCATTCCTCAATCAACATTTATTTATGGGCCACAGACTATGCTAGACACTGAGGATGCAGGGACGAACAAGAGACTCCTCTCATGAAATTAATAATCCAGCCAAAGACAGAAACTGGGCAAGCAACTACAAGCGTGTTGGGCTTGGTGGCTGTTGCCATGACATTATGGGACAGAGAACCTGGCCCTGACCAGAAGGAGGGTCAGGGTCAAGGTCTCTGAAGACACGAAAGATGAATAGGAGTTAGGCAAGAATCATGTCTGTGTATATTAATGTACATCTGTGCACATGTGTGGGTGTATGAATGCATGTGTGAGTGTGTTTGTGTATGTACCTTTGTGTGTATGCATGTGTTTATATACGTATGTATATGAGTCTGTATGTTTATGTATATGTATGTGCATGTGTATGTATATTTGTATGTGGGTGTCTATGTATGTGCGTGGTTAAATGTGTGTAGGTTTGTGTGTGTGTGCACATACACATGCATGTTTGTGTAGATGTATGTGTGTGTGCACATGCACATGTTGTGTATATGTATTTGTGTATGTGCACGCACATGCATGTTTGTGTATATGTATTGTGTGTGCACATGCATATGTTTGTGTATATGTATTTGTGTGTGTGCACGCACATGCATATGTTTGTGTATATGTATTTGTATTTGTGTGCGTGTGCATGCAGGCCCTGGGACAGCATTTCAGGTAGAAGCCTAAGTGACAGCTGCTCGTGCACCTGCTCTGTGCTAGAGACTGCCCAGGGCCCTGGGGAGCAGAGAGGAAACACAGTCCCCGCCCTCGAGGTGCTTGCCAGGCTGCACTCCCGAGCTACCTTCCCAAATGTGGAGACAAGCCCCTATTCCCTCTCTCTTCACCTTACCTTACTGTACTGCCATTCTGGGGCAGAGCTGGCTAACAGAACTTTCTGCAATGAGGGGCATATTCTGTGTAGCCATTAGCCTCATGTGGCAACTTAACATTTGCAACACAGCGAATGAGTTTGAGAAACTAAATTTTTAATTGTATTTAATTTGGATTTAAATGTAAGCAGCCACATGTGGCTGGTGACCTCCTCCCTGGGCAATGCAGTTCTAGAGGGGGATACTGCTAAATACATACTTCTCCATAAGGCCTTGTTTGATTTGTAGATTAACAAATAGAATTTCTTATACTTTGGCTGGGTGTGGTGGCTCACGCCTGTATTCCCATCACTTTGGGAGGCGGACACGGGCGGATCACTTGAGGTCAGGAGTTGGAGACCAGCTTGACCAACATGGCGAAACTCTGTCTCTACTAAAAATACAAAAATTAGCCAGGCGTGATGGTGTGTGCCTGTAGTCCCAGCTACTAGGGAGGTTGAGGCAGAAGAATTACTTGAACCTGGGAGGCAGAGGTGGCAGTGAGCCAAGATTGCACCACTACACTCCAGCCTGGGTGACAGAGTGAGACCCCATCTCAAAAAATAATAATAATAATTTTTTAGAAAAGAATTTCTTATGCTTTGTTGCCTCAGAGTAAGAGAAGGAGACAAGTCTGGGATGTAGGCTACTTATTTTGTGTGTGAATAAATTGAACTCTTCCATCTCCTGTGCAGGCTGGAGATATGGGGTTTCCATCACACTGTCTGGAAGAACAGCCACTGGTCAGATCAAAGTTGCTTTGTTTGGAAATAAGGGAAACACTCACCAGTACAGTATCTTCAGGTAATTTCCTATTTTAACACTACGTCTCATTTGATGATATACACAGCCTTCAAACCACACACTTAATTTGAACACTTATCATCTCTTTATATGTCACTGGTTTTTAATTATAGTCATGCAACATGTAACAACATTTTAGTTGATGGACCACATACACAACAGTTGCTTTATAAGCTTGTAATACCATATTTTTACTGTACTTTTTCTATGTTTGGGTGTTTAGATACACAAATACTTACCATTGTGTTCCAGTTGTCTACAGAACTCAATACAGTAACATGTAGTACAGGTTTGTAACCTAGGAGCAATAGGCTGTACCATACAGCCTAGGTATGTAGTAGGCTGTGCCATCTACGTTTGTGTGAGTACATGCTATGATGTCCACACAATGATTAAATTACCTAAGGACACATTTCTCAGAACATATCTCCATTGTTAAGCAACGCAGGACTATATAACTTTATGTACTGATGTTAATTGCAGACTTCTGCTAATAATTTTTCTTTTCTGTTATAAACCTAGGCATTTCGTCCTTTCTCTCTCTTTTTTTTTTTTTTTTTTTTTTTTGAGAAAGAGTCTTTGCTCTGTCACCCAGGCTGGAGTGCAGTGGCACGATCTTGGCTCATTGCAACCTCCGCCTCCCGGGTTCAAGAAATTCTCGTGCCTCAGCCTCCCAAGTAGCTGAGATTACAGGCATGTGCCACCACACCTGGCTGATTTTTGTATTTTTAGTAGAGATGGGGGGCGTTTTGCCATGTTGGCCAGGCTGGTCTCGAACTTCTGACCTCAAGTGATCCACCCATCTCGGCCTCTCAAAGTGCTGGGATTACAGACGTGAGCCACCATGCCCGGCCTCTTTCTCTTAATAGATGTTTTTTTAAACATAAATCTAATATTACTTCAGATATGCTGTTTTCTGATTAGTGCAATAACACATGCTTATTGTGCCATACTATGTGGCCAATTTGTTACTGTACAAATAATTCTTCCAAAACATATAAAATGATATGCAGGAATTCTATTTTATTTTCTATTAGAAAGCTTTAAGGAAAAATTAACTTGAGTTTTAAAAACCATAGTTTGAGGTGCTAGCATATAGCTGGCTTTTCCATTTCTCCATCCTTTATTTGGAAATTAATTCGGAAAAATAATCCTGTTAATCTAGAAGAGAAAACAGCAGCCTGGCATTGTATGGTAATTAGAACTCATTTCCGTGAACAGGGATGTTTATGTTTCTCTATTTCAAGGGGGATTCTCAAACCAGGCTCAACCCATTCCTATGAGTTTGATGCAAAGCTGGATGTTGGAACAATTGAGAAAGTCAAGTTTCTTTGGAATAACAATGTGATAAATCCAACCCTCCCCAAAGTGGGTGCCACCAAGATCACTGTGCAAAAGGGAGAAGAGAAGACAGTGTATGTATCTTTGCTGGCTGGTGCCTAAAAATGTTTGCAGAGATTCATGTTATAATGAAAACCCACCCTAGAAAGTTACGTGTAGTTAAGCAAGAAAAGCCAAGAAAATTTACCCATCTGTGGCCCCTTCTCCCCAAACAAGCAACTGACAAACAGCATAAAATGTTTCTGTTGGGTGCACCTTATTGGGTGTTCTCAGCACTGCCTGTGGGAATACAGAAGATAAGGCTGCACTTTCAAGGTAAAATGAGAAAATACAAGAAAGAGAACAAGAAATCCTTTCTGAAGGGTACAAGTTTATAAGTATGGGCTAGTGAATAGCTATACTTGAAAGAGGAGAAGACCAATTACATTTCAGGATAATAAAACGGAAAATAAATCGGTTTTAGGAAAAGATCGAAAATTTTACATAGGACAAGAATGCACTAGGATTGCAATACTTGTGAGATCCTGACCTGTGGTCTCCCTGGCTTTGGGCCTGAATAAGCACAGGGCCGTGGGTAGGAAAAAGGGACGGCTGGAGGAAAGTTGGAGTGGTGACCTGAGAGGGCAGAGCGACTGTCTCTCAAACCTCAGACCCCAAGTCTGGCTAGTAGAACATGTGGCTTTGTGGGAAGGAGATCCTGGGCTCTCAGCCACCGATGTTCTTGAAGTTTGGGGTTAGGTGGAGTCACCGAGTTCAGGTCCCAGAGATTGTCACTCCCCCAGGTGGGGAGGGTGGGGTGGCAGAGTAGAATGGGGGCTGACTCCACATCTGGGTCTCCTCGAACTGGATGACTTAGTGAGGTTCTCCTTATCCCCACGAGGCAAGGAGAACAAAGAGGTTGGCCCTGCCAGGTGGTGGGTGGAACCAGGAGGCCTCATAAGCTAGAGCATAGTACAGAGGAGGCTGGGCCGGGCTGGTCGGGAGCCCTGTGCAAGCTGGAGGTGCAACCAAATCCTTTCCTCCCTGACCCCATCAGAGGATACTCAGCCTCTAAATTCAGCTCCCCAAGGCCCCATTAGCAAGCATCCCATGGCCTGGATCCTGGGACTGTGTGGTTAAAAACATGTCAGGTGGTGGCATCATTGGAATCTTAAAAATTAGAGGTGTTCCCAGGAGATGACTTGCTCACAGGTAAGGCATACAAGTCCAAATCAGCCAGGGCATTGCATCTTCCAGGTTTTCTGAGGAAAGGCTGAGGCTTTCTGAACTTTCTGCAAATGGAACAGAACATACTTAAGGCTGCACCTGAGGTCCTGTGCCCATCAGCTGTCACCTGCATTCCAGTGGCTGAGTGCAGCTCCCCTCGCTGTCTGCTCCAGAAAGACTCTTTCTTAAGAGCAGCTGGATATAAGACATCAGGTTTTCTAAACAGAGGAAAGTCAAAACAGCTTCAAATCTCTCAAACTAGTTTGGGAAGTAAAAACACTGAATTAGTTGAATTACTCAAACATTTTCCTGTTATGAAAATGGCCAGTAACATTTAATAATAATAATAATAATAATAATAATGAAGAAGCTAAAGAAAATCAAGATTTTGGTCCAAGCTCTTCTCAGAATCCCCTCATATTTTTTAGTAACCTCATTGGGGTTTCAATTCCTACTAAGGAATCTGCCGACTAGGATTCCCTCCAATGACACAGTATCCAAAGAGAAAGGCAGCCCTCCCCCTCTTTATTTCTCCGTCCCCCTCTCTTTATTAAGTACCTTTGGTAAATGTACCCTTGCAAATGACTTTATTCAGTACCTATTGTATGGCCTGGCAAACAGTAAGGGATGCAAACACTGAGCCTACACTCAAGGAGCTTACAGTTCAGCTGTTGAGAAAAATCAGACTTATGGTTCACAGGGAAGGTCAAAAGACCAAATAAAGAACTCCCAGGAGAGGCTCAGAAAGACAGTGGCCAAGGAGGAAAGCAGAGGGCCGCGGGGAGGCTGTGATGGAAGGAAGGGCAGCTCTCAGGATGAGGCAGGGAGTAGGAGGGAGGAAGGGCACAGGGGCAGGGCAACAGGTCCAAGTGCATGAGGGGCGACAGGGCCCAAGTGCAGGGAATATGATCGGAGGCCTCCGATGCCAAGTTAGGGCTTCTTGGCAGAAAAAATGAAACACAGAAGAGAAAGTGGGAAGGGGCCAAGGAACACCAGTGAGGAAATGGGGCAAAGCTTCCGAGCTCACAGGTGGTGAGGCCTGAGAGAAGTCCGTGGTTCTTGAACAACCACAAAAATAACTGCTTACATCTGCATTGTTTTTTGTTAATTGTAAGACTTTTTACATTTACCATCATGGGATGTTACGTTCTTATCATGGAATTCTCAACAGTCGTGGGAGAATGACTGAGATGGAATCTCGCTCTGTTGCCCAGGCTAGAGTACAGTGGCATGATCTCAGCTCCACTGCAACCTCCACCTCCTGGGTTCAAGAGATTCTTGTGCCTCAGCCTCCCAAGTAGCTGGGATTACAGGCATGCACCACCACGCCCGGCTAATTTTTGTATTTTTAGTAGAGACAGGGTCTCACCATGTTGGCCAGGCTGGTCTCAAACTCCCGGCCTCAAGTGATCCACCTGCCTCGACCTCCCAAAAGTGTGGGGATTACAGGCATGAGCCACCACACCAGGCCTTGCCTTGCTCTTTTGATACTGTGTCATTGGAGGGAATCCTAGTGGGCAGGTTGTTTAGTAGGAATTAATACCCCAATAAGGTTATTAAAAAATATGAGGGGATTCTGAGAAAAGCTTGGACCAAAATCTTGATTTTCTTTAGCTTCCCAGTTACTAACTACATCCTTCCTCAGAGTCCTCAGATAACTAGCCCCGAAGCACTCAAATGTGGGAGGGAAAGGTCATGAGGAACTCCAGGGAGGAACGCCAGGTCCCCCGACTCCAGAGCTGGAAGACAAGGTCAAGGAAGGCTTGATGTGTGATCCTACCATGGAAAATACAGCCTCTGGCATCAGATGGACCTGTTTTTGCATCTTTGTTATTCTGCTGATTAATGGAGCGCCCTTTGTGCCTCAGTTTCCTCTCCTGTAATGTAGAACTAATCATCAGACCCCCTCACACATGTGTGGTGAGGATGCAGTTTGCATAAGTGAATTAAGCAGCATAATTGGCTGCAGATGAGAAGGGCTCAGGGCGTGTTGGCCGCTGTCCCCTTCCGAGAGTGACTGGAAGACAGCATCCCTCTGTAAGCCAGGCTGCTGGGCCTATGGAGGCCGCCAGGCGCCTGTGGGGACAAGGAGGTGAGAGTCCCTGCCTTCGGAGGCCACCGTCCTGTGTGACACTCCAGAACCATAGCAGACCTTGTCCTAGAGCCTCCAGGCAGCAAGCGCTGTAGGCGCTGGTTGCAGCTCCAGCCCTAGTGCCCCCTCGTGCCTCCTGAATCACTCATCAACTGTGACCTGGGCTTAACCCCTTAAGAAAAACCAAACCAAACCAAACCAAACCAAAACAAAACAAAACACCTGGCTTTTGCTAAGGTGACCCAAACTCTTACAAAGCTTCCTTTTCTCCCCAGGTACAACTTCTGTAGCGAAGACACAGTGCGGGAAGACACGCTGCTCACCCTCACGCCCTGCTAAGCTCCCGGGGCGACGAGGCTGCTGCGTTCACACTAATAAAATCCACTGGTGCATCTGTATGCTCTGGGTCTATCTCCTGCCGCGGCCGCCTCCCGGGGATACATTTGGGAATGGAACGTTTGCAAATGTCCCGAGCACGTCCCCATACCTGGGTTTCTCCCCGTTAACTTTGGGTCACACGGTTTCCCTGGCTCCTGTGCGTAGGTCGACTGTCTTCTCCGTGCCTGAGCTGGTGGCGATGGACTGAACTCCGGAGCCTCAGCTCAGGGATACCAGCCTTTAGCCCCGTCCCTCACTTCACAGGGAGGAAACTGAGGCCCAGAGGAGCAGGTAGCTGTTCAAACTCACTGAGTGACTCGCTGTCCCCGTCAGGTCGGAGGGCCGGGCCCCGGACCCCTATTTCAAGGACCCTCCCTGACTCACCGAGACCACCCCGAGGGATCGCGGCAGGCCCGGGAGGACCAGCCTCTCTGAGGAGGTAGATTTGAGGGTGAGGGGACCCCTCGTTGGCCCTGGCTCTTGGGGAGGTGCGCAGAGGCAGGCACAGGTGCAGGGCGCTCCCGGGCTTCCTTCCTGCTCCCCTGGGTCGAGGCGGCCTCGCGGCCACCTAAGCACAGAGCGGCGCGGAGGCGGGGCCCAGGCGGGCCCTGCTGAAACGGGCTTTTCCGTCAGCCAATCGGCTGGGGCCCCGAGGAGCCTCCTCCCCCCCCACCCGCCAGTCTGGCGTCCCCATGGGCCCAACCCATAGAGACCTGGGAGGAGCGGGCGTTCTTTCAGGAGGCGTTTCTGCCCCGCGGTGTCCCAAGTCACCACTCCCCCCAGGGAGTCTCTCTGTGGTTCACCAAGCCCCGCATCCTACCCCGGCAGTCCTGGTGCCAACTTCTTTTTCTCTTTTTTCTTTTTTTTTTGAGACGGAGTTTCGCTCTGTCGCCCAGGCTGGAGTGCAGTGGCGCGATTCTCGGCTCCCTCCAAGCTCCGCCTCCCGGGTCCACGCCATTCTCCTGCCTCAGCCTCCCGAGTAGCTGGGACTACAGGCGCCCGCCACCACTCCCGGCTAAGTTTTTTTGTATTTTTAGTAGAGACGGGGTTTCACCGCGTTAGCTAGGATGGTCTCGATCTCTTGACTTCGTGATCCGCATGCCTCGGCCTCCCAAAGTGCTGGGATTACAGGCGTGAGCCACCGCGCCCGGCCACCGACTTCTGTTTCTAACCTGCGTGGCCACGTCAAGCTATCATTGAACTTAAGACTTGAATGCGAGTGGGCTTCGATTATCCCTCCAAAGCAGGGTCGTGGCGAGGATCAAAGGAGCGACCTTAGGAGGGGCCTTACAGGACAGGGTGCAAGGCGAGTGCTCGGTAAACCGCGGTGATGACGAGGGTGATAAAGACGGCGGCGGCCAGGGACACCCACCCCTTGGGTGGTGGCACCAAGTGGGAGACAGCCAAACCCTCTGGTTCTCTGTCAGTTTCAGCAGCATCCGCAGTGAGCCCACACCCCAGGCAAAGAACTCAATCAATGGAACGTAGATTCGCCAAACATTTATCAAATACCAGCTCTGTACCCACCCCTGTGCCAGGCATTGGCAGGAGAGGAAATCAGAAGACATGCTGCCCTCAGGCAGTGCTTGGTGTTAGGGAGGCTGCCCCTGAAAAAGCACTGTGATGCTGCCTACTAGGTACAAAAAGCAAGGTAGGTCCCAGGCCAGGGAATTTCAGAAGGAAGGAGCAAGACAAGAAGGCTCCACAGAGATGGTGGTTACAGGACCAGGCTTGAAGGAAGATGTCCTACCAAGACCGCAGCCTGGGAGGCCAGCTAGGAGGAGGCGGCATCTGCCAATACCCAGAATTGATAAGGACCATCTGAGGGTAGTGACTGGAACCAAGGTATAAGGGAGGGGGTGTGGCTGGTTGGCCATGGGTGAGAGCCCTACTCCCTGGTCAAGGACAGTCTGTCTCACCATGCTTCCCAGACTGACAGCTATGGGTGTGATGACTTGGGAAAAACAATTTTAAAATAGGAAGGAAACTGAGAAGAGAGAAACTGGAGAGAGGAAGCCAGCTGGGGAAGCTCCCCAGGGCTGTTGGCCACATCCATAAGCACTCGGCCAAAGCACTGCTCTGAACCTTGGAGTGACCTGTGGTGACCTGGGTCCCAGTTGCAGAGGCAGAGATGGTTGGATCTCCAGGGGCAGGGGAGGCAGCAGATGGAGACCTGAGCTGGAACGGGGCCAGGCCCCTACTCACTCCTCCCACATTCCCTTCCTGGAACCTATGTCCTTTTATCAGTTATGCAGCTGGAAAAATCCCCAGGAAGGTAAAGAACAGCAGGTTCCAAGATCACCAGTGTGAACTTTGACTACTGATCAGTGTGGGTATCTACGGTCCACTTTCTGATGCCACTGGGGAGTCCAAGCTCAGCCCCACAGATCCGTAGCCCTTACACCCTGACTTGAGGAGATGTGGAGTCCAGGACTCTCTGGGGTAGGCCTGCCCTGTCTTTATGGCCCTGACCAAATCTGATCAGGTTTCTAGATTTAAGGGGTTGTATGAGGCCAGCTTGATTGGACTTTTCTATTTGTGTTTTAAGTAACAAAAGTGGCACATTGTTCAGAATGCACATGGATAGAGTCTTTGGGGCAATGAAAATATGCCATACTAACATTGACTTTATTAACATAAAGCTCAGATGGACATCCAGTCTTGTTGGAAGCAATGAAAAAGGGCACTGAGCTAGCATTTAGGATTCTAGTCAAGCCAGGTGACCCTGGACAAGGGGTTTCCACCTCTCTGGACCATAGCTTTCTCATGGGTAAAATGAATGCAACATTTGAGCCCTGTCTTTCTCATGTTGTCTTAAGGGTCTAACTTACAGGGATGTCCAACCGTTTGGCTTCCCTGGGCCACATTGGAAGGACTGTCTTGGGCCACACATAAAATACACTAACGACAGCTGATGAGCTAAAAATAAATAAATAAATAAAAATAAAAGTTTAAAAACTTGCAAAAAATCTCATAATGTTTTAAGAAAGTTTACGAATTTGTGTTGGGCTGCATTCAAAGCCAATATGGGCTGCATGCAGCCCGTGGGCCGTGGGTTGTACAAGCTTGGATCAGCATCACCATGGGAACGTAAGGCTCTAGCCTTAAGTCAGTGTGCTATAAGGCGAGCAAGGCCATCTAAGGAGTGTGGTCACAGTCTGGCTGCACACCCCAAAGTTACCCGAAGGCTGTAGGCATGCAGAGCTTTGGGGTCCCTGCTAGGTAGCAATGCTTGTTAAGGTTGGCTCCAAGCCCCCCAATCCACACCCTGCATACAACTCCAAGGTGCACGAAGCCAAAACACAATCAAGACATGCCACTTGTTCTCCATCCTGGCTGCAAACCAGAGTCACCTGGGAGTTAAAAAAAAAAAAAAAAAAAGAAAGGAACAGAGAAATCCCAGGCCCCACTCCAACCAATTAAAGGGTAATCATAAGCCACAGGCTGCTTTAAAAAGCCCACAGGTGATTCCCATGTGCAGCTAGGTGAGAGTCCGCCCTGATATAGGAGTATTTAACTCCCAGGACTCCTGGGCAGGCTGTCTCTGAGAAATTACTATGTGTTTCCATTTTGATGATAATCTATTTTTACCAGTTATAAAAATAAATCTTCCTTTTTGTTGTGATAATTTGTAGCAGAACTTTTGTTTCCTGAGCTGAGGCTTAATAGAATGAAGTCAATAGGAATATTCCAGGGGGTCGTGAAAGTTTTTTTTTTTTTTTTTTTTTGAGATGGAGTCTTGCTCTGTCACCCGGGCTGGAGTGCAGCAGCGCAATCTCGGCTCACTGCAAGCTCTGCCTCCTGGGTTCATACCATTCTCCTGCCTCAGCCTCCTGAGTAGCTGGGACTACAGGCGCCCGCCACCACGCCTGGTTAATTTTTTGTATTTTTAGTAGGGACGGGGTTTCACCATGTTAGCCAGGATGGCCTCAATCTCCTGACCTCGTGATCCACCTGCCTCGGCCTCCCAAAGTGCTGGGATTACAGGCATGAGCCACCACGCCCGGCTTTTTTTTTTTTTTTCGAGATAGAGTTTTGCTCTTGTTGCCCAGGCTAGAGTGCAGTGGCACGATCTCAGCTGACTGCAACCTCCGCCTCCCAGGTTCAAGCGATTCTTGTGCCTCAGCCTCCCGAGGAGCTGGGATTACAGGCACGCACCACCATGCCCAGCTAATTTTTGTATTTTTAGTAGAGATGGGGGTTCACCATGTTGGTCAGGCTGGTCACGAACTCCTGACCTCAGGTGATCCACCCACCTCAGCCTCCCAAAGTGTTGGGATTACAGGCGTAAGCTACTGCACCCAGCCCGTGAGAGTTTTTTTTAGAAAGAATAGAGTTCACATATTTACTGGCATCTGAAAAATCTTGGAGAGTATGATCTGGAACTGAAAATGTGGAACAGATGTCCAATGTCACAGGCTTTGCGAGCAGAGAGAGTTTGACCTGGGACCTGAAATGAAGGTGGAAACGTGCTGGCAAGGAGCCCCAGGCAATGGAGGAGAAATGAAGCTGGGAGACCTGGGAGTTGGGGTGGAGATGTGGAAACATTCCTGGCATGGGGAACCCCAGGGGCAAAAGCTCAGAAGAGGGGAAAAGCAGGTTCAGAACTGTGAGTGTTGACTGTTTGTGTCCTTCTATGTAGGCAGTTATCAGCTGGGAAGGCATCAAGGGTGTTGGCAGAAATTAGGCTGGGCAGAGGTCATATGGGAGCTGTTAGTTTGCTGGGGCTGCCATAACAAAGAACCACAAGCTGAGGGGCTTAAATAATAGAAATGCATTGTCTCCCCCCAGTTCTGGAGGCTGGAAGTCCAAGATGAAGGTGTAGGCAGAGTTAGTTCCTTCTGAGGGCTATGAGGGAGAATCTGTTCCAGGCTTCTTCCACAGCTTCTGATGGTTTGCTGGCCACTCGTTGGCAATCTCTGCCTTCATGTTCACAGGATGTATGTGTCTCTGTGTTCAAATTTCCCCTTTATATAAGAATGTCAATCATATTGACTTAGGGCTTACCCTAATGACCCCATTTTAACTTTATTAGCACTGTAAAGATCCTATCTCCTAATAAGGTCATGTTCTGAAGTACTGGGGGTTAGGATTCTAACATATCTTTTTGTGGGGCCTGTATTCAACCCATATCAATGTCCATCTGCTATGGTTTAAAAGTTTGTGTCCCTCCAAAATTCACGTCAAAACTTAATCCCCATTGTGACAGTATTAAGAGGTAGGGCCTTTTGGGAAATGATTAAATCATGAAGGCTCCACCTTTGTGAATGTCCTTATAAAAGAGGCTCCAGAGAGCTGCCTGGTCCTTCCATCTCATCTGCCATGAGTTCATCCTTTGTTGTCCCCTTTTACCATATGAGGATACAGCAAGAAGGCAGCATTTTGGAAGCTGAGAGCATCCCACATCTGACACTGAATCTGCTGGTGCCTTGATCTTGGACTTCCCAGCCTCCAGAACTGTGAGAAATAAATTTCTGTTCTTTATAAAATACCCTAGTCTTGGGTTTTTTATTATAGCAGCACAAACGGACTAAAATATCACCCTTGCATACCTAGCTTTGGTGCTTGGACGCCACCTAAATTCTTACCCCTCTCCACAGAGTTATTCTCTTTAAATAAAGCCCAAATTACATGATAGCTCTCCTCACCTGCCTTTTCTTCTTAGTGCTTTTGATCATTTGTAATTATGTATGTATTTATAGGTAACCATTGCCTGTGCCCCATGGGACCATCAGTCCATGAAGGCAGGGAAGGATGATGTTTTGCTCACTGTTGTGCCTTCAAGGCTGGAAGAGCTCTAGCACATTGTAGCCACGTGAAAATGAATGTGAATGAGTGAACCGACATGTGAATAATGCATCTGAAGGGAATGAGGAACCACCCACAGGATTCAAGCTGAGAAGGACTTTAGGAAATGGGGGAGGCTGACCTGGAGGGAGATGCAGTGGCCTAGAGAGAGGTGATGCTAGCCCCAGGAGGGGAAGGGCAGGGGGGAATGAAGGGAGGGGACCAGGCATGGTGGCTCATGCCTATAATACCAGCACTTTCAGAGGCCGAGGCAGGAGGATCACTTGAGCTCAGGAGTTCAAGACCAGCCTGGGCAGCATGGTGAAACTCCTTCTCTACAAAAAATACAAAAATTAGTTGGGAGTGGTGGTGCATAACTGTAGTCTTAGCTACTCAGGAGGATGAGCTGGGGAGATCTCTTGATCCTGGGAGATGGAGGATGCAGAGAGCCGAGATTGCACTACTGCACTCCAGCCTGGGTGTTGGAGTGAGACCTTGTCTGGAAAAAAGAGAAAGTGTTAAGGGGAGGGACAAATAGGTTTCAACAGGCCTCAAGGACAAGCAAAGGAGGACCCAAACCACCCCCATCCCCTGGGCAGCAGCTGTGCCAGCTGGCAGGGCTCACTCAGGCCCTGACCCTCCTACCTGCCAACCATGTGGTCAGCAAATGAGTTTTCCCACAGGTGCTGACCTTCGCTTCCTTCCCACAGTAGACAGCTGGCACCTTGGGCCTTCTTGGTGCCATGGGCAGGCAAGTGGGAGTAAATGAGTGCTACTGGGTGGCAGCCTAGGGGGCCCAGCTGCCTGCCTTGGGCCACCCTGCAGAAGAGACCAGGCAGGCTTGGGACTGCTTAGGAGCACCCAGTGTGTCTCTTCTCAACTACTGGTGACTGTGGCAGGGGTACCCAGCCCTCTTTGGAGAGCAGCTTGGTGCAAAGACAATGTTCCTTGATAAGCCTAGATTCCATCTATTTCACAGATTAACAAACTGACCTGCAGGAGGAGAGACAATAGCACCATAGTAGGAGAAGAAGCCCAGAGGTCAAGTCCCTCCTCTTCCATTCACCCTCACACTAAGCCCTTTAACCTTTCTGGGCCTCTGTTGTCTCAGCTGTAAAATGGGAATTAAATAAGACTCTCTATTTCTTGAATGTTTTACAACTCTAAGAGCTTGGATTTGATCACTGCCATTTATCTGAGGTCAGCTTCTAAACCACCACCACCTGATTCCTTTCCCGTTCTTAGCTCTCTCCCATGGCCCTTAACATCTGCCCTTGGGACTATATGCCCCAGATGTGTTTGCTCAGTTTACTCCTCATTACCTTGGACATTGTTACCTCTTGGGTGATTTCTTATCCCCTTTAGAAAGGGTTTAAGTGATGTGCTCCTTCAGGGTGACTGTTGCTTGAATAGAAAAGCAACATCCTTTCTCTAGGTTGCAGTTTCCAAAATTTCTGGTGGGGTCCCAGATTTGAAAACAACCTTGGAAGAAGATCACCTAAGTCAACCCTTACATGCTGCTTGACTTCTGCCAACCTCTGCTCATGTCGTAATGTCATTCAAGTGGGGCAGAGAGCTCATTCCCCCACCGACAAAACTCCATTCTATTTTCCAACGAGTCTAAGCTCTGGAAAGTTTTTCTTTACACTGTGCAAATCTGCCTCAGTGAGTCCTTCCAGAGCAGGGGTGACTGTGATCTGACTTGGCACTCAGAACAGAGTCTGAATAAAGCAGACCAGGAAATAACAATAATTGCTTCTTGCCTAAAGGAACTGCAACCTCCTCTTTTTTTTTCTAGCTCCGCTTTCTGGGGTGGATGTTGACCAGATGATATGCCACTGGCCACTCAGTGAGAAGTTTTCTTTGACTATTCATGGCTAGAGCCAGGTGAGGATGATGATGGGACCCACAGGTTATCTGAAAGTGCCTTAGCTAAACCACACCAAAGGTTATGAGCAAGCCACAGAATGGGTTGGCTACTGCATGGGTGGCTAAACCAAAAATCAAAGAACTACACAATCCAAAACCCTCTGTCTTTCCTAAGAAAGACAGAAATCCTCGTTAGGAATATAGAGTCAGGAAAGGAAGGTGCCTAGCTAATCCCTTAAAATGGACCACAGGCCTCTGTACAACTGCAGTCATTCTCTCTCCGGGGGAGTCCAGTGCCCAGTTGCACCTGTCAGAGCCTGGAAAAGAAATACTCCAACCTCTTCCTTCCACCATCCCACCTGCTGATACCTCCCATTGGCTAAACCCAATCAGAGGGCCAAGGGTCAAGTAGCCCAGGGAGGAAGCCCATAGAGGCAGCCTCAGGGCACCGAGCAGAGAGTAAGAAGAAGGGGGACTACATCTGGGGACACAAATAGGATCAGCTCATCACCAACCTAATGAATCATTAACTTTTTTTGTTGTTGTTGTGGTTTGTTTTGTTGTTGTTGTTGTTGTTGTTGTTTTAGAGACAGGGTCTCCCTATGTTGCCCAGGTTGGACTTAACTCTTGGGTTCAAGTGATCCTCCTGCCTCCTTAGCCTCCTGAGTAGCTGGGACTACAGGCACCACATCTGGGTAAAATGAGTCATTAACTCTTAATTCCCCATGTTCACATCTGGCAAGTATTTACTGATTACTTACTATCTGGCAGGTGCTGTGCTAGGCTGTCACAACATAGCAGTGACTACACAGAACTTGACCCTTTTGTCAAGACAAGACCTAAACAAATTGTCATGGAAATGTCGTTATCAATTGGGATACTTTCTATGAAAGCAAAGATAAGGAACATGACAAGAGATGTTAAGGAAGGTCTGGTTTCAATTTGAGGATTGAAAAAGGCTTCTTTGTAGGCTGAACCCTGAGGTATGACTTTGATTTAGGCAGGGAAAGGGGAGAGTGTCAGGAAGAGGAAATAGAATGTGAAAAGACCCTGAGACAAGCACTTTCAAGAGACCACCTGGAGTTTAGTGAGCAAGGGAGAGACACAGGTGAGGCCAGGGATGGAGAGAAGGTCCAGAGAACACCACACTCTAAAGGCCACGGTAAGGAGTTTGGATGTTTTCCCAAAAGCTACCGGCACCCACTGGTCCCATGTCATGGGCCTTGGGCTTCATTCAGCCTCATGTTGTCATTCCAGGCTCCTCAGTGGGGTCACTTATGCACATCAGTGTTGAGCCTTAGACCTAACCTCCTCTCTCAGCTGCCGAACACCTCCAGGGGCAGTGGGTGGTGACGTCAGGCTTTGGATTTGCTGAGACATAGGTGACCCCATTCAGGCTTCATCATCACTACAGATTCCAGAAGACTTTTTTTTCTTCTTTTTAAATTTATTTCATTTATTTTGGAGACAGAGTCTCACTCTGTTGCCCATGCTGGAGTGCAGTGGCATGATCTCAGCTTATTGCAATGTCTGCCTCCCGGGTTCAAGCGACTCTCATGCCTCAGCCTCCCTAGTAGCTGGGACTACAGGCATGCGCCACCATGCCCGGCTAATTTTTATATTTTTAGTAGACACGGGGTTTCACCATGTTGGCCAGGCAGGTCTCGAACTCCTGGCCTCATGTGATCTGCCCACCTTGCTGGGATTACAGGCGTGAGCCACCACACCCAGCCAGAAACCTTGACTTTTCTTAAGCCCATTGAGATAAGAAAGTTCATTCTTGGCTTCCCTCAGCTCCACACTCTTCCAGCCTCAGAATTCTCAGAAGAGAGTTTCAAAAAAAAAAAAAAAAAAAGCTATTTTTCTACACATGAAACCCTCAGGAAATTGCTGGCAACCTCGTGCTTCTGGGATTGATCAAAGGCCAGGGGTGGAATGGGAAGCAGCTAGAGCTCCCATCCAGCTGCTGGTGGGAATTACGCTGGTGCGACCACTTTGGGAAGCCGTCTGGCAGCATCTCCTCAAGCTGAACACACTCCAGGACCCTCACAATACTCCTGGGCATAAACCCAGGAGAAATGAGTGCATATGTCTACCAAAAGACCTGCACTAGACTAGAATGTCCTTAGCAGTAGTGTTCATAATAGCCCCAAACTGGAGAATTCAGATGTCCACCAACAGCAGAATGGATAAACAAATTGTGCTGTATTCTTACAGAACTATATCAATACCATACAGCAATAAAAAATAATTACTGATACACGTAACAATGTGAACGAATCTCAAAAATGTCTTGAGGGGGAGAAAAGCAAGACGCTAAAGAGTACATACTGTATTATTACATTTATATGACATTCTAGAGCAGACAAAACGAACCTATGATGATGGAAATCAGAGTATTGTTACAAGGGTGGTGATGGTGGTAGAAAGATCTGGCTGCTGGAAATGGTTTTTTTTTTTTTTTTGAGATGGAGTGTCTCTGTCACCCAGGCTGGAGTGCAGTGGCGCGATCACAGCTTACTACAAGCTCCGCTTCCTGGGTTCACGCCACTCTCCTGCCTCAGCCTCCTGAGTAACTGGGAATACAGGTGCTTGTCACCGCACCCGGCTAATTTTTTTGTGTCTTTAGTAGAGACGGGGTTTCACCGTGTTAGCCAGGCTGGTCTTGATCTCCTGACCTTGTGATCCACCCGCCTCAGCCTCCCAAAGTGCTGGGATCACAGGCGTGAGATAAAACTATACTTAGGTTTTCTTTTTTTTTTTTTTTTGAGATGGAGTCTTGCTCTGTTGCCCAGGCTGGAGTGCAGTGGCGGGATCTCGGTTGACTGCAAGCTCCGCCTCCCAGGTTCATGCCATTCTCCTGCCTCAGCCTCCCGAGTAGCTGGGACTATAGGTACCCACCACCACACCCGGCTAATTTTTTTTTTGCATTTTTAGTAGAGACGGGGTTTCACCATGTTAGCCAGGATGGTCTCGATCTCCTGACCTTGTGATCCACGCACCCAGGCCTCCCAAAGTGCTGGGATTACAGGCGTGAGCCACCGCGCCTGGCCTGTACTTACATTTTCAACTTAAGATGTATGCAGTTTGGTGTATCTAAATTACACACCCATTTAAAACATGGCAGGATGGCACCTGGTTATTCACCTAGGTTCTTCTGTAGCAGTGAAGAAAAGAAAATACCTCCCCTTCTTATCTCCAGGTCAAGGTACAGTCTGTGCAGCTCAGAAACACTTTTAAAACAAGCTATATTATTTCTAAACAAAGTTGTATTTGAACAGTGTTCATGTTCATTTTATTCTTTTTTTTTTTGAGACAGAATCTCGCTTTGTCACCTAGGCTGGAGTGCAGTGACGCAATCTCAGCTCACTGCAAACTCTACCTCCCCAGTTCACGCCATTCTCCTGCCTCAGCCTCCCAAGAAGCTGGGACTACAGGGGCCCACCACCACACCCGGCTAATTTTTTGTATTTTTAGTAGAGATGGGGTTTCACCGTGTTAACCAGGTTGGTCTCGATCTCCTGACCTCATCATCTGCCCGCCTCAGCCTCCCAAAG